>NC_000013.11:23408106-24658106 GCF_000001405.40 Homo sapiens | reverse complement strand
GCTCCTCTTGGCTGTGACAGCTTGTCCGACTTTGTTTTTGATGACCTCTGCAGTTGTGAGGAGTACTGATCAGGTATTTTGCAGAACGCCCCTCAATTGGGATTGGTATTTTCTTCTCTCATTAGACTAGGTTTATGGGTTTTGGGGAAGAAGGCCACAGAGGTGAGGTGCTGTTCTCATCACACTATATCAGGGCAGGTAGTATCCATATGACTTATCACCATCAATACTGGCCTTGAGCATCTGGCTGCGGTAGTGTTTGTCGGTTTCTCCACTGTGAGGTGGCTCTCCTCCTCACACCCCTAATCAGTACTGCACTCTTTGAAAAAAAGCCACATCTATGGAGTGGGACGTTATGCTTCATTTTCCTGAGGGCAAAGTGCCTACATAAATTATCTGGAATTTTTGCATGGGAGATTCATGTATTTTCCTAATTTATTTGTTATTCCCTGATTTTTTTTTAAGGTGGGATATTTGTGAGTGCGGAATCCATTTCTTTCTATTATTCTACTCTTTCTATTCATTCGTTGACCAAATTTGGCAAGTTATATTTTACTAGGAATTTTTCTATTTCATTAAAGATTCCAAATTTATTGACATAAAACTTGTTTGTAGCATTCCCTTACCAATCTAAAAATCTCTACTGAGTATGTAAACATGCCTCCTTCTCATTCTAAATTTGCTTGTTTGCTTATTTGTAACTTGTTTTTCTCTTTTGCTGCTCAATCTTGCAGGAGGGTGGGATGGGGTTAGTCTATTTTATTTTATTGTTTATTTATTTATTTATGACAGAATCTTACCCTGTCGCCCAGGCTGGAGTGCAGTGGTGCGATCTCAGCTCACTGCAACCTCAGTCTCCTGGGTTCAAGCGGTTCTCCTGCCTCAGCCTCCAGAGTAGCTAGGACTACAGGTGCCCGCCACCACTCCTGGCTAATTTTTTAATTTTTGGTAGAGACAGGGTTTCGCCATGTTGGCCATGCTACCCTGGAACTCCTGACCTCAGGTGATCTGCCTGCCTCAGCTTCCCACAGTGCTGGGATTATAGGCATGAGCCACTACAGCCAGCCTGATTAGCCTATTTTAATAGTTCCTGTGAAGAACTAGCTTTGGTTTGGTTGATTGTCTCTATTGTTTGTTTATTCATTACTGTTTGCTCTAATCTGTCTAATTTTATTCCTCCTACTTTCTTTGGGGTTTGTTCTGTTGTGTTGTCCTCTTCCTAATTTATAGGGTTTACTTGTACTCTTTCATATTTTTACATAAATTCCATAAAGTATAAATTCCCTCTATATCCCATTAGTATTTTCCACAGGTTTTAAAAAATGCAGTTTTTCATGAACTCAGCCCATTCCATGGTGTAAGTGTACCACATTTTCTTTATCAAACCCACCATCCTTTACCACACCGGATAAGGAAAATGTGGTACATATACACCATGGAATACTATGCAGCCATAAAAAGAATGAAACTATGTCCTTTGGAGCAACACGGATGCAGTTGGAGGCCATTATCCTAAGTGAACTAATGCAGAAACAGAAAACCAAATACTGCATGTTTTCATTTACAAGTGGTAGCTAAACTTTGGGTACTGTTGGCCATAAAGATGGGAACCACAGAGACTAGGGACTACTAGAGGGGAGAGAGAGGAAGGAGGGCAAGGGCTGAAAACTACTACTGGGTACCATGCTTATTTCGGGGGTGATGAGCAAGCATAAGCCAAGCCTCAGCATCACACAACGCACCTTTGTAACAAACCCTTGATTCTAAAAGCTGAAAAAGAAAAAAGATGCAGTTTTTGTTGTTAAGTTAGAAATATTTCAAAACTTTCATTGTATGTCTCTGTTGAGTCAATAATATTTAGCAGTATGAGTTTACGTTTCTAGATATACGTGTTTCAAAAACAGATCTTTATTATTGATTTCTAATTTTAAAATATTATGATCAGATGTCATGGTTTGTATTTTTTTTTTTTTGAAGTAGGTGAGGACTTTGTGACCTTATTAGGCATCAAATATTCTAAAATTTTCTTTTTCTTTTTCTTTCTTTTTTTTTTTTTTTTTGAGATGGAGTCTGGCTCTGTCGCCCACGTTGGAGTGCAGTGGCGCAGTCTCGGCTCTGCCTCCCGGGTTCACGCCATTCTCCTGCCTCAGCCTCCCGAGTAGCTGGGACTACAGGCGCCCACCACCACACCCAGCTAATTTTTTGTATTTTTAGTAGAGATGGGGTTTCACTGTGTTAGCCAAGATGGTCTCGATCTCCTGACCTCGTGATCTGCCTGCCTCAGCCTCCCAAAGTGCTGGGATTACAGGCGTGAGCCACCGCGCCCGGCCTTTTCTAAAATTTTCTAAAAAGTTTCCTGTATGCTTGAAAATAATGTATATTTCCAATTTTGTTTTTTCTTTTTTTATTTTTTGAGCCAGGGTCTAACTCTGTCACCCAGGCTGGAGTGCAGTGGCGTGGTCATGGCTCACTGCAGCCTCGACCTCCTGGGCTCAAGCAATCCTCCCACTTCAGCCCCCTCCTTCCCAAGTAGCTGGGTCTATAGGTGCACCATCATGCCTGGCCAGTTTTCGTGTGTGTGTTTGGTTTTTTTATTTTTATTTTTTTTAATTCTTGGTAGAGGCAAGGTCTTGCTATGTTGCCCAGGCTGTTCTCAAACTCCTGGGCTGAAGCAATCCCCTGCTCTTGGCCTCCCAAAGTGCTAGGTATTTTCAGTTTTGGAGCGTATGTTTCTATATACATTATTCGATTAGGCCAGATATTCCCAAACTTTCTCTGCTCACGTCACCCTTAGTGACTCAGTAATTATTTGTGTGGTACCCCTAGACCAAAAGAAATACCTAATGGTTTTGTTTATTAAGTAGTTAGATCCAAGTGACTTCATTAGTATTTGCATCCTAACAACTTGTAGCTGTTTGAAAAAATAATACATGTACAGTAATTGAAAGAAAAAATATTTTTAGCTTCTTACATAACTACAATTGCCTCTTCATGAGATGTATGTGTGTGTTGGGTACTGTACCACTTCTCAACTCTTGGAAGCAGATTGGAGGCTCCTGCCACGCTCGTTTCTTGTTCCATCGTGATTTTCCCAGGCTACTTACTGTTTATCACAGCAATGGCTGAAAATCCAGCTTCACAAAAATATGAAATTATGAAAAGAATGTAGTGTGATCTGATGTTGAAACTATGAGCTCTCAAACTCAAAGCTTGCGTGGTTCCTGACCAGATGTTTTGTGCAGCTCTTTCCCTGGAAACTTAAAGTCTTCTGCAGCTGAAGTCTCCGGCAGCTTCCCATGACTCCAGCTCGGCACTCTGGGGTGCCTCAGTGTGGAGTCTGGGAACCTTCGGATTGGCTCTGAATGCCATTGTTCCATCATTCTATAATTTAATTAATTATACATTTGATCTTTTAGTTTCTCATTTATGGCGTCTTAAAATCTCCCGTTATAGTTGAGGATTTGTGAATTTCTTCTTGTAATTTATGTTAGCTTTTGCTTTATGATTTCAAGGCTCTATAATTTGATATATTATGTCATTAGGTAACCCTGATGAGTTTCTTCTGTTATTATTAGGTAGTGTCCCTCTAACTCTCTTAATAATTTTTTTTGTCCTATCTTCTATTTTTCTGGTATTGGTATAGTGACACATACTTTCTTTTGATTCGTATGTGATAGACAGCTTTCCATTAATTTATTTTCAATCTTTCCATGGTGGTTTCTTTTAAGGTTTGCCTTTTGTAAGTAATGTACAGGTGGATTTGAAAAACAACACAAACCGAAGGGTTTTTGTTGTTGTTGCTGTTTTGAGAGAGTCTCTGTCATCCAGGCTAGATTGCAGTAGTGTGATCATAGCTCACTGCAGCCTCCAACTCCTGGGCTCAAGCCATCCTTCCAAGTAACTGGGACTACAGGAGTGTGCCACCACTCGCAGCTAATTTTTTTTTTTTTTTTTTGAGATGGGGTCTTGCTATGCTGCCTAGGCTTGTCTCAAACTCTTGGCTTCAAATGATCCTCTCTCCTCGGCCTCCCAAAGCACTGGGATTACAGGTGTTTCAGTGTTTTAATAGGTGGATTTAGTCCATTTATAATGATCTGTGTTTTGTCCAACTTCTTATTTTGGTGGTGCACCTCATCCTGTATCGTCTGAGACCCAGACTCCTGGGATCCGTGCTCATGGAGACCCATTTCACCCAAGAAATAGGCAATGAGAAGGACAATGTAGGATGGTGACTTCCTCCAATGGCCTTGGTGTCAGTGGTTGAAAGGGGACTGAGGAATATCTCTCTCTCTCTCTCAGTAGGCATCTTTATACTGCTCAGTCAGGAAAATAGTTGCCTGGAATCAGGCATGCTTGCCCAAGGGGTGGTCCAGCATAAGGAAAAGAACTCTGGATAAAGAACCGGAAAGCTGCCAAATGGCAGCTGTGAGTCCCGCCAGGTTTCCTCATGGAGCCAGGCCCCCTCGCCTGGTTGGTGGGCAGGCTGTGGGGAGAGGCGCTCCATCCAGGGGTTTGCCTGTGGTGGCTTCCTGGTCATTAGGGCTGACCTGCCAGCACACAGACCATCCAGCCCTTGTTTCCCTCCTGGTTTTCCTCCTTGATTCCTGCTGTTTCTTTTGATAGGGTCTCCTGCAGAATGTGGAAGGGGCCAGAAGGTGGAGGGCAACACAGATCTGTTGGCTTTGCTAGGCTGGCATAATGCTGGGAATGGGCTAAGCAGGCGAAGGAGGAAGTGGAAGCCTTTCATAAAAATCACTTGGGTTGTCCGGGCTCGCTGGCTCATACCTGTAATTCCAGCACTTTGGGAGGCTGAGGCAGGCGGATCACTTGAAGCCAGGAGTTCAAGACCAGCCTGGAGAACATAGCAAGATCTTGTCTACAAAAAAAATTGTTAAAAATCACCTGGGTTTTCTTCAAATTTGGTTTCTTTATGGTTGCATTAGCAGCTTTTTGCGTGGAGTGTCCAGGTCAGCTGTCAGGCTTGGACTGATGCGGGCTGCAGGAGCAGATAGAGTTAACGGTTTGCACTTCCAGGGTGATGCACCACAACTACTTCCACAGCTGGACTGTCAAGACTTTCCAGACCCAGGAAAGTGTGTCAGCTTTGAAGACTCATGTCCTTGGGCACAAAAAGTCTAAAACATGTACTAAGTTGTTCATACAACTTAGTTTGGGAAGGATCTAGCAGGTACCTGTCTGTATGTCTTCAATATCTTTCAGAGGCCTGAAATCCTATTATTCTTGTTTCCTCCTTATAGATTTTTGATTTCTAAGGGACTCATTTAGGACATACACATCCTCAGCCTGCAGCAGCTGGTCATTTTAGAGGGATGCCAGTGGCCGAAGGCAGGGCCATGATGGGAATGGAAGGCTGGATGATGGAGACACAGAAGTGGGAGAGTGGGCGAGGTAAACTGTGCCTACCTCACAGTTTTGTTGAAGGCTGGTCCTGGTGTTATTTTACATCATGTAGGGTACTTCCCACTATGTCAACACAAAGCAGTTCTGAGACACATAGCCGGGGGAGTAAGTGCAGGAGCCAGCCTGATGGGGGCTGGCAGATTCTTGGTGGCCTGGCAGGCATGAGACTTACCAGGAAGGGGCCCTGCCCTGCCCTGAAGTGTGCTTTGCAGGGCAAGACTCTGGGACAGCACAGCATTGCCCAAGTAGACGCTGATCATGCCCAGGGAGGGGTGTCTTCTACAGTGAACAGTAGCTCTCCTCCAAGATGTGCAGGGTGATGGGCTTGATTCTAGACCCTTCTCACAGCCCTGTCTGGTCCTACTGTTTGCTTTGACATTGACAGAACCCTGTGGTTCTAGGAAACTGGTGTGCAGTGGTGAGGGCTTAGGACCTGTCCCAAACCAGCTCCTGCCTCTCATATTAATATGGTTGATGGGATCCCACCTGGTCTCACACCGCCCCTGTCAGGGCCTGACTTGCAGCGGGAGGGCTGGGGCCTCAGGCCATAAGTCCCCTTGGCAGGCAACCCTCGATCTGTTGGTCCATTTGGTGGCGGAAGGTGCAGTTTCAGGGTGTATTTGAATGACCCTAGCAATGATCCTAACATGCTTCCGTTTCCTTTCATCTTGGTCCTGCATCACTGTGCCTTGAGCAAGCTGTTAGACTGGTTTGAAGAGGCAGTTCCAGAATAGTTAGCATAATCCCAGGCCCAGGTATGTTCACTGATGAGAAAGTGGGTGAAAGGTCCCAGGAGGCTCATTACCTCCAGTAACTGTGGAGAATCCAGCCTTGCCCGGCCCTCCCAGCCAGTGGCGATGGGAAGGCTGCAAAACCTTTGAGTTTCTACCTGGATCTTCAGCTTTCCTTTCATGTTTTTGGTCTCATCTTTTTACTGTTGCCTTAATATATATGTGTTTCTGATTTTTTTCTTTTTCTTTCTAACAATGGAGATCAAAGTCAATGTTTCTGTTTTTTTTTTTTTTTCCTAATGGTGGAAACATTTTCTTTCTTGTATTGTCTCACTCTTCATTCTCAATCCTCTAGGTTCACTTTCCTGCTGTTCTTTTTTTTGTGGAGCATTTGCTTTTGCGCATGTTCCAAGCCCCCTGTCCGCATGCTTGGAACTAGTGTGTGCTGTAGACAGGGATGTTGTGTCTCAATCAACCCATCAATGTCTGCTTGTGGCACCGAAACTTCTGCTAGAAGATACTGGTTAGGATTTAGATATGCTGATGGGACATTTCCCCAGAGGCTCTGGAATTGTGAAAGAAGTATTAAACTCCTTTTCTGTTAGACCTCACTGTGTTTTTGAAACGTTTATGGTCTTGTTCTTAGCGGAGGAAAGGAGGAAAGGGAAAACTCCAGAAGCCATCAAAGGCTTCCCAGTGAGGCTGGCATTAGGGCTGTTGGACAGCAAGGCCTCTGCTCTAGCACTGACGCTTCTGCAGCTGTCAAAGGGAAAGGATCCTACAGGAATCATTTCACTGTGAAAAACTGAGTTTGCTGAGGGCTTGCTGTGCATGCTAGGCCTGCAGTAGACAGTGTGCAGTTTAGGAGAGAAATTGAGGTAGTCCTTAGCCATGTTGGCAGGACAGGGTAATGTAGAAAGGAGCAGACCCCAAACGCAGGACAACTGTCATGCGGGAGAAGAGCACTTTTCTTTGCTTTTCTTTTTTTTTCTTTTTTTTTTTTTTTGAGATGGAGCCTCGCTCTGTCACCAGGCTGGAGTACAGTGGCACGATCTCCACTCACTGCAACCTCCACCTCTCTGGTTCAAGTGATTCCCCTGCTTCACCCTCCTGAGTAGCTGGGACTACAGATGCACACCACCACGGCCAGTTATTTTATTTATTTATTTTTAGTAGAGGTGGGGTTTCACCATGTTGGTCAGGCTGGTCTTGAACTCCTGGCCTCAAGTGATCCACCTGCCTCGGCCTCCCAAAGTGCTGGGATTACAGGCATGAGCCACCATGCCCAGCCAGAAGAGCATTTTCTTACTCCGCACTAAGGGTGGATGAGGCTCAGCACGGGGCCTCCTCCACAGACCTATGGCAGGACCCAGGCTGAAGGGCACTTCCATCTTCAATATCTGGCTTCCAAGGTTGCCTCAGAGAGCACCTTCCACCCAGCTGGCTGGAGGAGAAGGGCCTGTGAAGGGCAGGCATGGAGGCTCTCCTCAGGCCAGGCCTAGAAGGGGCCTGTACAAGCACTATTCAAATTCACTGGCTAGGAGGTAGTCCTTAGCTGGATCTGATGGCAATAGATGCTGGAAATCAGTTCCAGCTGTGGACCCAGGGAGCTGAAAACATGAATTTCGTCTGGTAACTGGCAGTGTGCCCTGTCCCAGTTAAGGAATGAGTTGTGGTTCTAAAGTGAAACTATGGATGATTTATATTGGTTTCTGTATATTTACCCGTATTTTTCAAAGTCCATTATTACATGTATTATTTTTATAATCGGAAAAAAGAAAATAGGCTTTATTTAAAAAAACATAATCCTGGACTTTGGAACTTAGAACATTATTATTTTGTTCCACAGAAAGAGTTGAAGTTGCTGTTTGAATCCCCAGGCAGAGTTAGAAAAGCCTATATAATCCACAAAGTAGTTGAAATGTGCCAATCGAATTAATTTTTAACTCTGCCATGTTTCTCTTGGGATTTACAGCTAAATATGAAGCCAACCTGAAACCTGTGCTCCAGCAGCAGGGCGATAAGGCAGGGGCAAGGAGGTGAGGGAGAAGGGAGGAGGTAGGGAGGAAGGGTGGAGGAGAGGAGGGGGAAGAGAGGAGGAGGGAGAAGGGGGGAGGAGGGGAGAAGGGTTTACTCCTCTCCAGGGCTGGCTGAGGATGCCCTATGCAGAGGGGCTTCCTGCTCCTCCCAAGTTGCTGCTGTCCACTTTATGTCACCTGAAGTGCCCTCAGAGTGGCTGTACCTTGCCCAGGCATGCCCACTTTCTACAGTTATCCATCCTCCAAGACTCCTGCTTATTTTCTCCAAACAAAGTGCCTCTTCTTTCACTGACTTCACCTAGAGGTTGTGGGGAAAACCCTCTTTAAATTATTCGGAGAGAGAGAGAGAGGAGGCCACTTAGACTTCTCAGAAGACCTGCGATTTTCAAAAAGAAAAATTAGTAAGCCAGATGCCTCTGTCATTGGTAGAACTGGAGGCAGGGTGACCGAGTCAGCATTCTCAGAGGGTACTGGGGCAGATGTTTTTGGTTGAGGCCCCATACCTGGATCAATACCTCCAGGCACTCCCTGCCTTTCCTAGCTTCCTGCTGCCTCCATTTCTTAGAGCCCCCAGTTGATCCCGGCAGCTCCGGGGCACAGACAGGAGTGCTCTTCAGGTGTTCCGTGTGCCCTGCGCTTCCCAGTCTCTCTTCCAGTTATGCGAAGCCTTGGGACAAGTAGAGGCTGTAGGCGGTGAGCGGAAGTGCGGTGCTGGCCTGGCTGGAGGCTGTCAAGAGGAAGTGTGAGTCCTGGGCACAAGCTTCCTTCCAGCTGTGTGGCTACAAGTGAAGATTGGGGGTGGCAGGGCTGCTGGAGGAGCAGGAGCTGCCAAGGAGGCCGTTCTGACCCACGGCCAGGTGTGAGGTGAGTGAGGAAGACCCGAATTTGGGTTGCTCTTCTTCTTCTTTTTTTTTTTTTTTAGAGATGGAGTCTCGCTCTGTCACCTGGGCTGGAGTGCAGAGGCACGATCTCGGCTCACTGCGACCTCTGCCTCCCGGGTTCAAGCAATTCTCCTGCCTCAGCCTCCTGATGAGATTACAGGCGTGTGCCACCACTCCCGGCTACTTCTTGTATTTTTTCTAGTAGAGACAGGGTTTCACCATGTTGGCCAGGCTGGTCTCAAACTCCTGACCTCAAATGTTCCACCCGCCTTGGCCTCCCAAAGTGCTGGGATGACAGGTGTGAGCCACCGCGCCCAGCCTGGGTTGCACTTCTAACACTTTGGGATTTACCTGTGACCATGTAGTCTAGCTTCTCCCAACTAACAGGCTCATGGAATGGGGAGGGGCCCTGACTGGAGTGGAGGAATGGAAAAGAGAGGGCTTTTGTAGGCCTAAGGCAGGAGTCACCTTTGAAGATGCTCTCCTTGTTGTGATACTTAACCTGAGGAAGGCTGGTGATGCCACTCATGAGGGAGCTGTTGAGGATGACATCATCATCATCATCATCATCATCATATTGGTTTGTGAGCAGAGAAATAATGTGGACAGACTTATTCAGCTTTGGGGCAAGGTATGCTTAGAGAGAAGAAAGAAAATAGAGCTGAGACTTTAGCTAAAAGGCAAGAAAATTTATCTTACTTCAATAAATTAGCTTCTAGGTGAAGACATGAGGATTGTTAATATAATGAAATATTAAAATACAAAAAAATGTACAAATATTGAGTGAGCCATACAGAATACAATAGACATTTGGTGAAAGAAAGACTACCATAGGCTGGGAGCCCAGAGAAGAGGAAAGTTTTCACAGAAGAGTGGGAATAGGAGACAGCCTTCTAAGACAGGCCAAATTTAGAAAGAGGAAAAGAAGAGAAGTGGGCCTTCTGGGTGGAAGGATTGACCTGTGCAGATTTTGAGCTAGAAAATCGTGTTAGACTAGTTTGACTGGAGTGTACTCTTTGGGAAAAGGCATGTTACCTGAAGGTAAGACTTCAGAACACTACAGAGAGCCTCAAATGCCACTGAATTACCTTTCAACTTTATCTTGCAAGATTCCTATGTCAATGGAATAGTGGATAAGTGGCAACAACCTAGATGCCCATCAGTCAGGGACTGGCTAAATATGTTGTGGTGCTTGCATACCATGACACACCATGCAGCAGTTATGAAGACCAAGTTGGACCTACATGCACTCACATGGAAAGCTCTCCAAGACATTGTCAAGGGAAAACACATCAGGATAGGTCACATCACTGTGAGGAGCAGGTGCACACTCCCAGCTGCGATGCTCCATATTCCTGAATGTACGTCTGTAGAAACACACACAGATGTGTCTGAATGCATCCTCCTTCGAAAAGAAAACACATAAACTCATGACAGTTGTTAATGTGTGGGCAAAGGCATGTGCTTGACCACAGTCCTGCCTGCTCGGAAGGGTGGGAGCCTTGTCCTTGGAGAATTCTGAAGGGAATGAAGCTGAACCAGGTTCCTCCCTGGTCACCTGAGCCTGCTGCTGTCCCCAGGCCCAGCTTGAACTGGATTTCAGCCTTAGTTATCAAGTAGGTGGACCTACATTGGACTTTCTCTCTTCCCTATCAATTAAAATGCATTTAAGGCAGTAAATGCCCTTGCAAAGATAAAGAGATCTCCCTATGGCCTAAAATTATTTCTCACTGAGTAATATTTCCAGCCAAGACATAGACATCCCTTTGAGAGAGATATTTTAACATTTCCCTGTATGAGAATATCTTTAAAACCTTCATTGGATTAAACAATCAAGAAAAATCTGAAGTGGCCAGTAACATTAAAATACATTTATTAAAACTACAGGATATTGCAGGATCTGGCCAGCAGCCCACAGTGCAACGGGGCTTTTTCTTTGTTCCCAGGCGGATCGGCAGGTTGAGAAATAAAAGACACACACAAGATAGTGAAAGCTGGGTCCAGGGGGGTCACCGCCTTCTGGTCCTGCAATGCCGCCAATGCACTGGATATACCAGCATTTATTACTAAGTTTAGTGAGGGTGGGGGTCAGTTAGTGAGGGATTTAGGGTCGTTTGATTATGAGGTGAAATGGTCAAATGGGGATGAAGCAATTCTTTAACATAACATTGGTATGCAGAAGTACAGTATGCAGAGATGAGAATTTACAATATAGTGTGTGCGTCAGCAATTTCTAACAGAGCCTTAAAACAGAAACACAGTCTATCCATAACCTATGATTAGCCAATATTAATCAGCAGTAACAGTTGCAGCAAAAGCTGGTTGCAAACAATCCATAGAAACAGGACGTGAAGCTAGACAACCAGTTAGACCAAAAATTCTCAGAAGGGAGTATGCCTTAACCCTAAAGAGACCTGGAAGAGCTGTGGCAAGATGAGGGCATTTATAACCCTATCTTATCCATATGAACCGGTGCCCCTCATGTGTCTGTTTATAGGCTCTCCACAAGGGTTGCATTCCATTCCCAGAGCTATGAACATCTGCTTTTCTGGGATAGGAATCTTGGTGATGTGAAACCTCCCTGACTGCACGTCCATTCATAGGCTCTCTAGGGGGGAAGCACATCACGCTGTTGGCTCGTTCTGGCAGCCCAAACTGGCATTGTCTTTACACAATCCTGCAGGCAATTTTGTATTTACGATAATCAGGGGCATTTTATCTTTTATTCCGTAGCAATAGTTTCAGGGGGTCTCCCTACAACAGGACAATGAAAATATTGAAAAAAAAAAAAAAAAAAGACCATGCTGGGTGCAGTGGTTCATGCCTGTAATCCCAGCACTTTGGAAGGCTGAGATGGGAGGATGGCTTGAGCCCAGGAGTTCAAGACCAGCCTGGGCAACATGGAAAAACCCCATCCCTACAAAAAAAAAAAATTAGCTGGGCATGGTGGTGCATGCCTGTCCCAGTTACTGAGCTGGACCTGAGTCCCAGCTACTCAGGAGGCTGAGGTGGGAGGATCACTTGAGCCCAGGAGGCAGAGGTTTCAGTGAGCCGAGATCATGCCACTGCACTCCAGTCTGGGTGACAGAATGAGACTTTGTCTCAAAAAATAAAAATTAAATAACAATAATAAAAGAAAGATCAAAAATTATTTAGAACATACTGTATGGGAAACATGAATCATTCAATAAACGGTATAAGAAAAAATAGCTGTAGAATAAGCTAATTTTGATTCTCACCTCACTTCTGCTCAAACATATTTCAGATATGTTAAAATCACTATCAAAATACAACATAGCAAGCAAAATAAATCCAGAATTTTATTCAAAATAAAAAGAGCAATAGAGTTTATCTGAGGAGTGCAAAAAAAATCTTCAATGTAATCCATCACACTGGCAAATTAAAAGAAAAAATCATATTGTTATATCAGTAGATTTAGAAAATTCACTCAAATATCCCAACTCTGCTTATGATAAATAATCTTTAATTTATTAAAAGTGTATTGCCTCAAAACCTATAGCAAACTTCACACTGAATAGTGAAATCTTAAAAGAGGCTCATTAAAATCAGACACAAACATCCCTGTTATCACCTCCACAGTTTAATATTACACTGGGGATTCTGGCCGATGTAAAATTTATACTGTCAGATGAAATATCTATAAGGAAAATCCAAGAGAATCTCATTATGAACTGTAACTACTATTAAGTGAGCTCAACAGTTTGTTGGATAGATCCTTTACAAATTCAACAATAAAAGATATTTGGAAAATCCCCAAATGTTTTAAAATTAAGTAACACATTTCTTATATAACCATGGGTAAAAGAAGACATCACAAGAGAAATTAGAAAGTATTTTGTACCAATAAAAATGAAAATAAAAACATATCATTTGTCACAAAAATGTACATGAAATGTATATGCTGTATTATAGCAAATAATACAGCATATTAAAATCAGAATCAGTGACTCCATAGCACTTGGGTTTGAGGTCGAGTTGGGAACCATGTGCGGTGATGGAGACATTCTGTATTGTGACTGAGGTGCTGGGCCATATGGGTGTATATATTTGTCAAAACTCACCTGGCTCAGTGTGGTGGCTCATGCCTGAAATCCCAACACTTTGGGAGTCCAAGGCAGGAGGACTGTTTGAGTCCAGGAGTTTGAGACCAGCCTGGGCAACATAGTGACACCTTGTCTCTACAAAAAATAGAAAAAATTAGCTTAGCTGGGCATGGTGGCATGCACCTGTAGTCCCAGCCACTCGGGAGGCTGAGGCAGGAGGATTGCTTAAGCCTGGGAGGTTGAGGCTACAGTGAGCTGTGTTTGCAGCACTATACTCCAGAAAGGGTTCTTGAATCTCATGCAAGAAAGAATTCAGAGCGAGCCCATAGAGTAAAGCGAAAGCAACTTATTGGAAAAGTAAAGGAATAAAGAATGGCTACTCCATAAGGCAGAGCAGCCCCGAGGGCTGCTGGTTACCCATTTTTACAGTTATTTCTTGGTTATATGCTAAATAAGGGGTAGATTATTCATGCCTTCCCCTTTTAGACCATATGGTGTAACTTCATGACATTGCCATGGCATTTGTAAACTGTCATGGCGCTGGGGGGAGTGTAGCAGTGAGGATGGCCAGAGGTCACTCTCATGGCCATCTTGGTGTTGATGGGTTTTAGCTGGCTTCTTTACTGCAAACTGTTTTATCAGCAGGGTCTTTATAACCTGTATCTTGTACTGATCTCCTATTTCATCCTGTGACTTAGAATGCCTTAACTGTCTGGGAATCCAGCCAAGTAGGTCTTGGCCTCATTTTACCCAGCCCTTATTCAAGATAGAGTTGCTCTGGTTCACATGCCTCTGACAGTTGTGTAATTCAGTTGGTTATAATGAAGAGGAAATTATAATAGTCTTTGTAGAGATGGGTCTTTGATACTTAAAAGTACACTAATACAAAACTAAATAGTCAAATCAATATTTTATTACAAATATTTGACTTTTAATGCATGAAGTTTTTAAACTTTAACATTCTATCATCTGTCTTTAACATTCTTCAGATTGATAGCTCAGAAGTTCAACTCTTTCTCTTGTGAAAAGGCAAGGCCTTGAATGGTAGCTTTCTTCTTTACCTTTTGTTGTCTGCTGTTACTTTTATTAACTGTCTAAAATAAGTGAGATAATTTTCTTGAAAATTGGCAAATAAAATATCTTTTGAAACTGCCTTTTTATTCTGCATGCTTTTTATATCTCTATCTTTATTTGTGTCATGGGGAAGTGATATTTTACTACCAAACTACATGAAAGAGCTCTAATCAAGTAACTTAAAAAATGTTAAGTGCTTATCAGATTGGTAGAAGCTAGCTCAGATGCCTTTTAATTCACATGACTTGGTAATCTTCGGTAAAATAAACTTGGTAAATTTAATCTTAAAACTCTCCCCAGTAATTTAAAATTTTAAAGTCATGTTAAAAACCTGTTTTTTTCCCCCACTGGAAATTTGGGTTACTAAAATTTAAAATAGTTGGAGCGTAAAATATGCTTTTGGCAAAATTTTATAAAACACAAGGATGTCAATTTTCAAAAAAATGTAAGTTTTTTGGTTAAGAAACTAAGAGTAGCTTTATAATGAAAGAGAATTATACAGATAAAACTAAATGGATTAAAAAAGAAAGCAAGCCAGGGCAACAAAAGTTAAATCTGAACCCTGTGGTAAAGCCAAGTAATCATTAAAAACCAGAGGGCATAATGTAAATTGTTCCATTTTGTAGACTGGTATCATTCGGCTTCTTTAAAAAATCTTTAGTGGATTGTAAAAGCCACCACTTTTAAGGACAAAATTATTCATTTTAAATGCTACAGAATTTAAGAGCGTGTTTGGATTAATACAGGACCCACAGCTCACTACTGAACAATCACTGATGAGTATATGTGATCCAAATGAACAGAAGGTTATTCCTGAGAAAAGAATCAGCCTAGTGGACTGGATAAATCCAGTAAGGTCTGTTTGCCCTGAGAAGGGGACTGCCCAACTCTCTCTATAAAATACCAAGTGAAGCACCCCAGGTGAAGCATTAACATGCTTCATATGCAAGCCATGTTGGACTGGCTTTATGATAACTGAGGTATCTTCCCACCAAATATGCCTACTACTCAAGGTCATGGTAAATTTGGGGGTTAAGGGGCCCCCTTTTACATGAGTGCCCCTTGCACAGAATCATAGGACTGTTTAAGAAGCCTTATCCAATTTGCTGTCCCTCACAGGTCTTACAGACACAACTCCCTGCTGGGAACCCAAACTCTTTTCACCAGAAAAGGTAAAATAGACTGGGGGTGTAAAAGGGTTCCTGGGACCCGAACATAAAAACATAGAGTTTAATAGAATTATACAATTTATGATGTTTAAACAAGCTTTATGTAAGGTAGTTGTAACCCCTTTTACCTAAATGTCTTATGAAAATGGGTACTATGTCTAACTGGGGGACGTTTTCCTTTTCCTAGTACTGTAAAACTGAGGGCATGTAAATCTGCTCTTCTAGGAAATGTTATTTGAACACACTAAATAGGAACTAGTAAAATCGTCTAAGCCCACAAAGTATAGGGTAGGAGCTGGAGTGCTAATCGGGACAAATCCTCCACTGCGTAGCCCTTTGAGTGGAACATTTATCGGGGCCGATGACAAAGATCATGAGTACTTTTCAATGACAATGACTGAATTAGAGAATTTCCACTTGTTGGGGCATTTATTGCCTTGCCATGAAATATTAACTGAAGCTACCCCTATGCTAATAGAAATAATATTTCCCCAAAGAGTTCTGTGATAAAATAAAAATGGTTTACATAAAATCTTGCTACCTAATAAGAAGAGAGCCTCTTTCCTAGAACTAATTGTGAGGAGCTACTAAATGCTACAGTGCCTGATAGACAGCTCTCATGAGCTGTTTTGTTTGTAATTGGCATTTCCAAGGTAAACAAGCATCTGGTTTTAAAGCTGCTGCTCTGGTTAAAGAAAGGTTAAGAAAATCTTTCTTTTTCTTTTAAGCTATTTGGCTAAAGTATGTTTATTTTTTATTTTGTCTTTTTTGGGGGAGGAGTAAATTGTGTTTTTGTAAGCAAACTTACCTTTTGGGTTCACCAAAATTCAGATTGTAATTTTGTGACGATATAGTTGTCCGCATAAGTTCAATAAGAGTTTAAAAAAAAAAAAAATTGGAGGCACCGGTTATTTTTCCAAGACTTAAACTAAAATAGCGTATTGTTAGGTATAGTTCCAGCAAAGCCAACTCAAAAGGAGTATATATGGCCAATGAATTCTTGCTGCATTTTATGCAAATAACCATGCAAGCATAATAAACCTAAAACTTGCCTGGCACACAAATTGGTGTTGCTATAATTTCTCTTTAATTAAAAAAAAAAAGCAGCTAGAGAAGCTTGTTTCAAGGGAAAAGTGTAACACTTAATACTAGATTTCAGCCCTAACTTTTTTTGAATGCAGATTAAGTCATTTCTTGGCTACAATAATCCTATAGAGAGTACCAGATTATAATTTTTCTTCATATCTTTAGTTGGTACCCTAATAGAAGAGGTTTCTTTTTCTGTTCTGACATACAAATACTTTTTTTTTTTTTTTAAGATGGAGTCTCGCTCTGTCACCCAGGCTGAAGTGCAATGGTGTGATCTCAGCTCACCGCAACCTTTGCCTCCTGGCTTCAAGCGAGTCTCCTACCTCAGCCTCCTGAGTAGCTGGGACTACAGTCACTCGCCATCATGCTCACCTAATTTTTGTATTTTTGTAGAGACAGAATTTCACCATGTTGGCCAAGCTGGTCTTGAACTCCTGACCTCAGGTGATCCACCCGCCTCAGCCTCCCAAAGTGTTGGGATTACAGGCGTGAGCCACTGCATCCGGCCACAAATTACTCTTATAATTGTCAAACTAGAAGTGTTATTTATCTCTCCTTGTTTTACTTCCACAGAGACCAAAATCATGGTATTCTGAAGACCAGAGATATGAATCTCCCTCATGTGGCACCCCACTGGGCCGGAATCTGTTTCACTGCTGATACTCTGCTGCTAAGACTATAGACAAGCAGCCTCCCTTTTTAGGCCCAGGTACTATCGTGGAGGAGATGGGTGCATTAGACTGTAAGGGCTGGTTTTGAGGGATAAAATTAGGTCAAGGTCAAACCCTCCAAACCAAGAAGGGGTACAAAAATGCCTAAACAGCTGGTAAAACAAGTTTAGTTGCCTCCCAAAGTATGATGTGCTACTGTTGCATCCACCCCTACCATAAAAATTTTCTGCTTACGATAGAATTAAAGAAAAATATTTACTAACAGGATAAAAATACCTCGGAACAAAGCCTACTGGGTATAATACTTCAAATTATGAGTTGTAAAGATAAATATATCTATATCTATATATATACATATTTTCAATTATTTTTCAGAACAAGGCTTAGGTTTTGTATAGCTGATTGCTATAAGTCTGTAACAAAAACCAAGCTTACAGTAACTCAACACATAGAAGTTAAAAATAAGTCAGTCTTGTAACTTTGCCTTTTGGTTTTGTTTGTCAGCTTTTTTTTTAACTTAAAATAATAATTTTTAGACGTAATGAATGCCTGTCCACATCCACTCCTATCTGGCCTAGAACAATTAATTGGCTATAAGTCTTTTGACTCTTAGGCCCTCAGTCACAGAGAGTCCCGCTGAGGGACAAGAAAATGACACCATAGAATTATGTGACTTCTGTGACAAAATTTCCTTTTCTTTCCCAAATACCATCAGTAGATGGTGCAATACAAAAGCGGTGGGAAAAATAGATTTGTCTACTGTTAACAGGTCCTATGTTCTTTTTTTTTTTTTTCCTCTTTTTTTTGAGACGGAGTCTCGCTCTGTCGCCCAGGCTGGAGTGCAGTGGTGTGATCTCGGCTCACTGCAAGCTCCGCCTCCTGGGTTCACGCCATTCTCCTACCTCAGCCTCCCGAGTAGCTGGGACTACAGGCACCCACCACCACGCCCAGTAATTTTTTTTTTGTATTTTTAGTAGAGACAGGGTTTCACCGTGTTAGCCAGGATGGTCTCGATCTCCTGACTTCGTGATCCACCTGCCTCAGCCTCCCAAAGTGTTGGGATTACAGGCGTGAGCCACTGCGCCCAGCCAACAGGTCCTATGTTCTATGACAATTTAGACACAGAGGCCCAGGCGTTTCTTGCATTTGATTTATACCCTCCTCAGGATGTCATACCTATTGAGACAGCCAAGTAAAAAGGGCTCCCCGGAGAACCTCTAAATGGCCTACACACTGGGAGGAGGGCGCACGGGGCTGGAGCCTCGGGAAGTTTGCAAGTTTGCAGTGGGGAGGACCCTGGCCTCTTCTGTTCCTGGGTGGTGTCCTGGGATTCAATCTGTGAGGTGGGAACCCTGCTAGCAGGACTCTCCCTTTGCTGAGAGTCCCTGTTTCCATTTTTTCCCTTTTTACCCAATGAATTCCATTTTTCTCATCCTTCTATGTGTCTGCAACCCTAATCTTTCCTGGTTGTGTGACAAGAACCCTAAGGAGAAAGTCCTAAAACATTATGGAGATAAATTAGCCAGAAGAGGGATTAAATTTATGGGACTCTGATTTAATGTCGGCCTTACATTCCTCAAATAAGGTTTATCATAAAGTTCAAATAACCCTTGATAAGAAGGGTAAATGCACTGTAAGTCTACTAAAAAAGTATGATGATGCATGCAGGGTTTTGTTTTTTTTTTCTTTTTTGCTGGTTGAGTTTACTGCCCTCTGATTCTACCTATAACCTTCTTGGATGCTTAATCTTTACTGTCTTTTTGATATTTTTTACTACATCACTTGTAAATGTTATGCCAGACACAGCAAAGGAAAAAGGCACAACTGAAGACCTGGACCATGATAGCTCGCAAAATAGACCTGACCTGGGATTTTTTAAAGACTAAACTCTAGGCCTGACTCCGTCTCACTTCTTAAACTATTGGCTATTATATCAGGTCAGACCATGTCCTCCCGCCATGATCCAAATCGCTAATATTTAAAACTATTACCATCAAGTCAGACAGTTCTAGGAATGAGCCTTTTTAGCTCAGTGGGACCTGCTGGGGCACATACATTCTATGGAATGCTTTTGGCCAAGAGAGGGGAATGAGGACTAAGCTCTGATTTTTTTTTTTATCATGCCTAAATTCCTCATTTCTGGACCAAACCAATGTATTTCTCAACTGTATTTGATTAATGGCTCATGCCTCCCTAAAATGTATAAAAACAAGCTGCACCCGGACCACCTTGGGCACATGTCTCAGGATCTCCTGAGGGCTGTGTCACCGGCCATAGTCACTCACATTTGGCTCAGAATAAATCTCTTAAATATTTTACAGAGTTTGTCCCTTTTCATTGACAATTGTTTGGGAAAGTTGCATCAGAATCAGCCCCTGTCCCCTCCGCAGAGTTGGGGGAACACTGAAGGACACATGGGAGTTTTTGAAAAGCAGGCACCTTGTGCGTCCTGATGGTCTGGGGAGGGTGGGGAGGGGGTGTCCGCAGCTGTCCTGGGTGCGTGCAGCCCTGGGCGTGTGGCTGAGGGAAGTCCGCTCTGTGTGCCCCCCGCGCCCCCGAAGGATACCAGCGAGCTGAGGGGCTCCCTGGCTGTCGCAGGCCCAGTGGCTTTCCAGGGGCGCAGGCAGATGGCGCTCGGGAAGGAGGCTCACGCCAGGTGGTCAGGGCTGCACTGTGCAGAGAGAAAGGCGAGGCTGGCGGGCTGGGGACAGCGCTCGCTAAGGCGGGGTCTCCTGTCAGTTGGGGATGGCGCTGGGGGCCACCCTCCCCTCTCTGGACGGTGGATCCTATCCAATGTCTATATGGAAAATATGCACTAGTGTAGGGGCGCTCCCTCGTCAGGAGGGCAGGGCCCAGCGCACTCTGCCAGGGAGCACTCCCTTGGGGACAGCCCGGGGGCTTCTCCTTTCACCCTCCTCTTTCCTCCCGCTGGGGGCCAGAGGCGAACGATTGCAAAGAGGACTGGAGCCTGCTGGATCTACCTGTTAAGTTAATAAAAGCCGCTTTTACAGGAACTCACTGGTTTAGAGAGAGTCCACTCCACAGACACGGTGGAGCTGCGCCTCCAGAGCCAGTGTCTGGCACACCTGCCAGCCCCAGGCACGCGCGAACCTAAGCTGCAGGGGTCTTTGTGGATTCCCCCTCGTCCCTCAGCCCTCACCTCAGCTGACACACGGTGCTTCCCGCGCTCTACCCCACTTCCGGGCTTGGGAGATGAAATATTTGCGTAGTGGTCAAGAAGGACTATTTACCGACACCGGTTTTCCTCCCCAGTTCTCATCCGTTAAATTCACAGAATTAAATACTCTTGTGCATTGCTCTACTCTCAGTGTTTTTGTTTGTTTGTTTGTTTTTGTTGTTTGTTTGTTTTGTTTTTTTGAGACGGAGTCTCGATGTCGCCCAGGTTGGAGGGCAGTGGCGCGATCTCGGCTCACTGCAGACTCCGCCCCCCGGGGTTCACGCCATTCTCCTGCCTCAGCCTCCCGAGTAGCTGGGACTACAGGCGCCCGCCTAATTTTTTGTATTTTTAGTAGAGACGGGTTTTCACCGTGTTAGCCAGGATGGCCTCGATCTCCTGACCTCGTGATCCGCCCGCCTCGGCCTCCCAAAGTGCTGGGATTACAGGCATGAGCCACCGCGCCCGGCCTACTCTCAGCTTTTACAAAAATAACTTTGACCCTACGAATGGTCAGTGCATAGAAGGCTAATGTGTGGTTCAGCCTCGGGATATCAGAATTGGCCCCGATTGTCATGCAATACCCCTGCAGGGGAGGGGAGGATGTGGAAACCCTGACCTGGGCTACTGGGCCTTCTAGTGGGTTGGGGACTGCGTAATGAGTTTCCGTGGGTGAAAAGACTCCAGGGTGGGCTTTCCCACGGTGCCTCAGTGACTTCGTCCTCATTTGTCTGGAGCTTTGCTGGAGCAACATTGACCTCCCATTCAGCATCCTCTTCCCTCAGCTGCCATGCAGGCGCTCTGCCAGGCTCCAGGGTGCCCCTTCAGCTCAGCTCTCCAGACCTTGACTTACCGTATGCATGTGACCCTCATCTCAGTCAAATCCTCCAGCTGCGGTGAGGTGGGGAAGAGTCTTCAGTACTCTTCTGGATTCTGTGCATTTTATCCTATAAAAATTCTTTCTGGCCCCAAATGATTCAGATGCAGAAATTGGACCGCTATTGGCTCAGCTCCATGAAGAGGCAGCATGGAGTGAGGGTTCCCAGCCCTTTCACAGCCTTAATTTCCTCACCTGGAGGGTGGGGGACAACAGATTCACCTGGGAGGAAGCTCTCAACACGGGGGCTGGGAGACGCTGAACACTCAGGCAATGTAGCTATTCTTATGTCGTTTATGGAATAGATGCCTCTATTGAACATACCTTAATATATGCTGCAGGAGAGGCATTGATGAAAATATGTACATCTCCAAAGGGGTGTGTCAAGAGGGTAGCAATTACTTTATATAAGAAAGTGATGTCAGTTTATGAACTGATTTCAGAAAGAAATGCTTTCTCTTACTGAAACCCTGTGTATAAATGGAAAACATTTATGTGTAGTCATTGAAAAATAATTTAAGAATTCTAGAACCCAGTGTGGCGGATGCCTGTAATCCCAGCACTTTGGTAGGCCAAGGTGGGAGGATCGCTTGAGCCCAGGAGTTGGAGAACAGCCTGGACGACATAGTGAGCCCTCATCTAAAAAAAAAAAAAACAACAAAATCTATTCAGGCCATTTTTGGGACGAGGGTGATTATATATTTACACCCTTTTTTTTAAAATAGCAAGACAAAAGCTAGATGTGTTTAAAATATATGCTTAGGCCGGGCTTAATGGCACATGCCTGTAATCCTAGCATTTTGGGAGGCCAAGGCAGGTGGATCTCTTGTGCCCAGGAGTTTGAGACCAGCCTGGGTGGCATACTGAAACCCCATCTCTACAAAAAAATACAAACATTTGCTGGGTGTGGTGGCATGTGTCTGTAGTCCTAGCTACTTGGGAAGCTGAGGCAGGAAGATTGCTTGAGCCTGGGAGGCTGAGTTTGCAGGAGGCAGTAATTTTGCCACTGCACTCCAGTCTGGGTGACAGAGAGAGACCCTGTCTCAAAACAAACAAACAAAAAAGAAATATATGCTTATTACTTTTAAGTAAGCAAAAGTCAATAGAACACATGAAGTCAGTGAGAAAAATATTTCTTTGATTCATTGTATTGAAAAGATGAAAAAAAATTTGCAAGGGAATGTGAGGATAATTTTGAATGTGAGAACTGCCCTGTGTTCATAGCCCAAACAGGAGTAGTGGCAGAATGATGACAAATAGTTGTGCCCATATACCCATTCTGTGGGAAGTTGTACTTGTGAATTTTGCTAAAGCTTGAGTGAAGAAAACACACTTTCTTCTATATGAAATGGTGGTGTAAAGGGTGGATGGGGCAATGTTTCCAGCCTCTCCCTGCAGACACGTAGGCATTAAAGGCCTTTAGTGATCATAACAGGGATGCAGGAAGTATTGTCAAAGAGGAAAATCACCTTCCTAGTAATAAAGATTTGGTAAATGCTAATGCAACATGCAATTTTTTTGTCCCCAGTTAAACTATGCTACTTTGCCGTATCTTCCCCTTGCACCCAGTTTCAGCAGCAAATTCAGAGAAAGCCGCTCCTTCTGTTCATAAAGCCTCGCACTTCTTCTAATTCCTTCCCCTCAGTAAGGCCTCCCTTTTCCCACCTTCTTTTCTCTCCCTCTTTTTCTATCCCCATCTGCCTTTACAAAGCTTCCCTTTACATTCTGTACTCCTTGCCATATTCACTATTTTATTTTTTCTAGAGACAAGTTCTCTTTATGTTGCCCAGGCTGGTCTCATACTCCTGGCCTCAAGCAATCCTCCTGCCCTGGTCACCCAAAGTGCTGGGATTACAGGCTTGAGCCACTGAACTCTGCTCCTGATCAGTTCCACTACTATTTTTTCCTTCTTTTTTTTTTTTTTTTTTTTTTAGACAGAGTCTGTCTCAGGCTGGAGTGCAATGGCACAATCTTGGCTCACTGCAACTTCCGCCTCTCAGGTTCAAGTGGTTCTCCTTACTCAGCCTCTCAAGTAGCTGGGATTACAGGTGCCCGACACCACACCTGGTTAATTTTTGTATTTTTAGTAGAGATAGGGTGTCGCCATGTTGGCCAGGCTGCCCTCAAACTCCTGACCTCAAGTGATCCACCTGATTCAGCCTCCCAAAGTGCTGGGATTACAGCTGTGAGCCACCGCCTTTTTAAGAGTCTCACTATTTCTTAATTGTGTGCTGCTGATGACGAAAAGGGAATTCATCCCTAGTGCATGGAAACAGAGACACATCTTTGCAACAATAAAATTGACTGCAATTTAAGATGTCCCCTCCACTTTTCTTCACTTTTCAGTCTTTTAAAAAATCTGGGCCGGGCGTGGTGGCTCATGCCTGTAATCCCAGCACTTTGGGAGGCCAAGGCCGGCAGATCACGAGGTCAGGAGATCGAGGCCATCCTGGCTAACACGGTGAAACCCTGTCTCTACTAAAAATACAAAAAAAAAAAAAAAAATTAGCCAGGCATGGTGGTGGGCGCCTGTAGTCCCAGCTACTCAGGAGGCTGAGGCAGGAGAATGGCGTGAACCTGGGAGGCAGAGCTTGCAGTGAATCAAGATCGCACCACTGCACTCCAGCCTGGGCGACAGAGCAAGACTCTAGTCTCAAAAAACAAAAAACAAAACAAAACAAAAAAACTTAGATTTCTATTTGTTTATACTGTTTGGAACTTAAACATCTTGAATCTGAAGGTTTTTGAAAATTCTTAGCCAGTAACTCTTTGACTATTGCCCCTCACCCATCTCTTTCAGAAACATCTCTTAGTGTGAGAGACTTTCTTATTCTAGTTTGTGTGTCTAACTTCTCTTGCATATTTTAACTGATTTAACATACCTCTGTTATCGCAAATGTTTGAGGCTGTAATTTTGCTGTTGACTGTGTTTGCTGACTTCCACTCATTGTTGACAGTCTCCTTTAGGTTTTGTCATTTTTTATTATGAGCTCGTGTTTAGTTGGGCTTGCTTCCTCCTCAAGGATCTCTTGTGGCTTCCTTGTGAAAGTCCTTTCACATCAGTTTTGCAGTCAATTTTATGATATGTTGGCTTGGGGGCTGGGCATGGTGGCTCACGTCTATAATCCCAGCCTTCTGGGAGGCTGAAGTGGGAGGACTGCTTGAGTTTAGGAGATTGAGACCAAGCTGAGAAACATAGCAAGACCCTGTCTCTACAAAAACAAAAATTTAAAAAAAAAATTTTTTTTGGCTTGGGGATAGTCGGGTAATGGAAATTCAACCTCCATCCCTGCTTGAAGAGCAGGCCTGGGGTTCTGAATTGTCACCCAGTGCCTAGAGCAGGTAAACTTCCTTTCAGCAGCTTGTTCCAGTGGGGAAGTTCTTCCTAGTACATTCTCTCACATGAGGAGGGGTTTTGGAACTAAGTATGTTTTCAGTTCCAATCGTCCTCCCCATGAAGCTTCATCTTATCTTCTGTGCAAGCTCCCAGGGGACGAGGGCAGCCACAGCATCAGCTCACACACATATGGCACCATTTTCACCTCCCTCCTAGTTTTTGACACCTGAGAATTACTGCTCCCGTCCTCCCTTCTCTTTAAAGATCAGCCTTGCATAAAAAAGATATTCTATTTTAACAATTCTAGGGACTTCAGGCCATGTTAATCAGCCATATTGCCAGAAAGAGAAATCATCACTAATAAAAGAGGATAAACTGACTATGGTCCTTCTTTGGTTGTTTCTTCTTATCAGTGTTGACTGAATAACAAGCAGAGGCTGCTGGTGTTTTAACAACACGTTTTGCAGCACTCTATGCTACGTAGACTGTATATGTGCACCGTGTAGTCAGGTCTAGATGCCAATCCATAGCAAGCTCTTTGGAAGTGTGAGGGTGACCTCCCTTCAGCCTCTGCTGTTCCCATAGAAGGTAACAGTATATTCTAGCCATTCAGAGCCCGAGCTTTGGCCTCATCTGCATCTGGACTTCTGTCCCAGTTCTGTCACTGACTAGTAGTGAGATCATGGGCCAGTTATTTTATGAACTTTGGAATTCCCAGATATAAAGTTGAGACAATAATGCCTGCCTTGATTGATTAGAGTGAGAATTAAATGAGATACTGCATATAAAGTGTTTAGTGTATATACAGTGCCTGGCACTGAGTAACAGCTTCCAATAAATGGCAAGTGTTTCTGTCATTATTCCATCACCTCCCTTGAGACTAAGAAGAGTGAGGAAGCATTTCTAAGCTCAGCAACCCAACTCCTTGGTTCTAGAACCCAACTTCCTGACTCTCCTCTTGCTCCCTGTGGTGTGAGTCATACGGGAGGATGAGGTGGCCCAGGTTTTTGGTGCAGAGCCCTGGGTCCAGATCAGCTGTGTCCTGCTGGCTGTGGGCATGTGACAGCCTCTCTGAGACACATTTTCCTCTGCTGTGAGATGGGATACCCCCTACACATGGGGCAATTGTGAAGGATAAATGAAAGCGTGGCACACAGCAACCACTTGATTTTCAGGAAGTCTGAATCAAAGCACAGAAGGACAGGGAGCCCTCTGCAAGCAGGGCCTGTGCATCCTTCAGGCACTCGCGGTGCCTGCTCAGCAAAGGCTTGTGGAACAAATGAAATGCCCGTGGAACAGTGACTGTTTACTGGCAGCTGTTACTCTGTGCCAGGGACTGTATATACACTAAACACTGTATATGAAATATCTCATTTAATCCTCACTCTGATCAGGCAAAGCAGGTATTACTGTCCCAACTTTATATCTGGGAGGACTGAGGTTCATAGAATAATTGGCCTATGATCTCACCACTAGATTAGTTACAGAGCTGGGACGAAAGCCCAGATGTAGACGAAGGAGGAATGAGACTTGAATATAGTAGGGTAGGTAACAGTGGCCCAGCCTGAAGGACATGACTCCATGTTGTTACAGGAAAGAGGCCCTGATCCAGACCCGAAGGGAGGGTCCTTGGATTTCGTGCAAGAAAGAATTCAGGGTGCATCCATAGAGTAAAGTGAAAGCAAGTTTATTAGGAAAGTAAAGGAATAAAGGATGGCTACTCCATAGACAGAGCAGCCCCGAGGGCTGCTGGTGCCGATTTTTATGGTTATTTCTTGATGATATGCTAAACAAGGGAACGCCTCCCCACCACCATTTTTTTTTTTTTTTTTTGAGATGGAGTCTTGCTTTGTTGCCCAGGCTGCAGTGCAGTGGCGCCATCTTGGCTCACTGCAACCTCCACCTCCCAGGTTCAAGTGATTCTCCTGCCTCAGCCTCCCAAGTAGTTGCAATTACAGGCACGTGCCACCATGCCTGGCTAATTTTTGTATTTTTAGTAGAGACGGGGATTCACCATGTTGGTCAGGCTGGTCTTGAATTCCTAACCTTGTGATCTGCCTGTCTCAGCCTTCCAAAGTGCTGGGATTACAGGCGTGAGCCATTGCCCCCGGCTGCTTCCCCTTTTTAGACCATATAGGGTAACTTCCTGACGTTACTATAGCATTTGGAAACTCTTATGGCACTGGTGGGAGTGTAGCAGTGACGATGACCAGAGATCACTCTTGTGGCCATCTTGGTTTTGGTGGGTTTGGGCCGGATTCTTGACTGCAGCTTGTTTTATCAGCAAGGTTTTTATGGCCTGTATCTTGTGCTGAACTCCTATCTCATTCTGTGTCTTAGAATGCTTTAATCATTTGGGAATGCAGCCCAGTACGTCTTGTCCTCATTTTACCCATCTCCTATTCAAGATGGAGTTGTTCTGGTTCACACGCCTCTAACAATGTGGCAACAGGAAGTGAGAACTTGAGTGTTTACGTTTTAGTGGTCATGGTTTTGCTGTGTGTTTGTGTGTCTCAGAATAGGGACATTGTCTTCAACTTCTTTGTATTTCCAAAGTGTGCAAAGCAGGCCCTGGACAAAGGACCTGTCACTGATGCTGAATTCCTGACTCAAGGACCGCCCAGAGGTGGGTGGAAAGGTTCAGAGGCAAGCTGAGTCACTGCTGGGCTGATAGGGGAAAGACTCCTGGGCTGTGTTTCGGGTGAAGGGCGTGGAGCTCTTGAAAGAACTGACTTGATTCTCTTCCTACCTTGCATAAGAATTTTGAACTTGACATTTCCATTTCAATAGGAGGGGAAAATACAGTATAATGAGAGGTAAAGCAGTTCTTCCTCCTCAAGTGGCTCAAGTTTCACTTGGACAGTGGACAAAACTGTTCACATAAAGCCAGGACAAACTCACTTGGACATTGATCGAAGGCGTATAAACAGTGGGCAAGGTCTTTCGGTCGGTCAGTTTCTCTTGCTTTGTCCATCAGCCACCCATTCAGCATTTCCTCTCTACTTCTAACAGCCCTGTGCACCTGCGCTGTGCTGAAAGCCCCCTCTTACCCCCAGCTTCTCTGCACCAGAGGCACTACTGTGCCCATTTTTATAAATGGAAAGCTGAGGTCGGAGAAACTAAGGGGTTTGCCCAAGGAGGAGGAGGAGACATCGACACATGGGGGTGATTGGTGTGAAGCTCTGTCCATCATCTCCTGCGTGTGGGTTCCTATTCACCGCGTGCTGCTCAGGCAGAGCCCACTCAGGAGATCTGTGCTCCAGGCTCTCTTCCATCTCTCACTAACAAACTGTAGGGGCTCAGGAAGTCAGTTCCTCCCTTGGGGCTTGGCTTCTTCCTCTATTAAGCTGGGGGAGTTAATCAGATTTGCTTTGAGACCCAAGCTTCTATGATGCTCCGGGACTTAAGGGAATACAGATCTCTGAGGGCCCATCTTCCATGTCTCATCACCTCACATGCCTCTCCTGAAAGTCTCAGGAAAAGGAGCAGATGGAAAGATGACATAGGGACCTTATATTTATTAAAACCTAATTTGCCCCAGCTGGGAGCTGTTCATCAGCGTTCCTGATCTTCATTAGGCCTGATAACTAATTTGCTTTGAATTCTTGGTATTTATAAACCCTTCTTTATTCTAGGATTACTATCTGTCCACTCCTTATGTCTAGAATGCTTTTCTTTCCCCCCGGAGAACTAGAGTAAGAATGACTTACCTTCGGTGGCCCCCACAGGAATGCCCTACTGTGCTGAGTTTTTGTTAAGAAGCTGCAGAGAAGAAGGCAGGGTAGGAAGGTCAGCTTAAAAAGAATGACCTTGGATGATTTTCTCTCAAAAGGTTTGGAGATTGTTTCTGACTGTTTATTAATTTGGACCATTTTGGGGACCTCCAGCGCTGTGAAACCTTAGCTCTTTTTTCTGGACAGGGATAAAAACATCTTTCCTGCTACTTTCTGTGACTTTACAGGAAACTTTTGGCTGTGCAGGACTGTCCTGCTCAACAATCACTTTTAATGCTTAATTCAGGGTCAGAGCTCTATGGATGACTCATTGTCTCTAGAAGAATGTCAGGTCCAGAAGGATGCCCTTGGCCTGTAAATGCTTTAAAGCACCACTGGCAATTCAAAACCTTGCCCCCTTGATTTTACTGGCTTAAATCTTGTTTTGAAGTCTTAGATACTAGACTTTAAGAAAATTATGGGGCCGGGCATGGTGGCTCACTCCTGTAATTCCAGCACTTTGGGAGGCCTAGGAAGGTGGATCACCTAAGGTCAGGAGTTTGAGACCAGACTAGCCAACATGGTGAAACCCTGTCTCTACTAAAAATAGAAAAAATTAGCCAGGTGTGGTGGCAGGCACCTGTAATCCCAGCTACTTGGGAGGCTGAGGCAGGAGAATCGTTTGAACCCAGGGGGCAGAGGTTGCAGTTAGCAGAGATCGCGCCACTGCACTCCAGCCTGGGCAGCAAGAGCTAAACTCAGTCTCAAAAAAAAAAAAGAAAAGAAAAAAAAGAAAATTACAAGAAATTGTTTGAAGAGGCCCAAACCACCCAGTCTTGGCAATCCCCATGGCAGCAGTGGGGACCCTGGAACCTTCCAAGTTCACACTTTATGGAAATGCAGAGACTGAAGAGTTCTTAGTGTCATGCACGTCCGTGTGAAGAGACCACCAAACAGGCTTTGTGTGAGCAACAAGGCTGTATTTCACCTGGGTGTACGCAGGCTGAGTCCGAAAAGAGAGTCAGCCAAGGGTGGTGGGATTATCATTAGTTCTTATAGGTTTTGGGATAGGCAGTGGAGTTAGGAGCAATGTTTTGTGGGCAGCGGGTGGATCTCACAAAGTACATTCTCAAGGGTGAGGAGAACTACAAAGAACCTTCTTAAGGGTGGGGGAGATTACAAAGTACATTGATTGTTAGGGTGGGGCAGAAACAAATCACAATGGTGGAACATCATCAGTTAAGGCTATTTTCACTTCTTTTGTGGATCTTCAGTTGCCTCAAGCCATCTGGATGTATACATGCAGGTCACAGGGGATATGATGGCTTAACTTGGGCCCGGAGGCCTGACACGCAGGACTGGCGCTCCAGCCTCTTCCTCCAGCTAAACCTAAAATCGTATAAAACTCCCAGGCCTAAGGAGTTCAGTTAAATTCACATCAATTCAACAGATGTATAGCAAAACCTTGCATTATGGCAGGTAAAACTGGTTACTATATTTGCTAATGTCCTTAATGTCAGTGGCTCAACACAATGGAAGTTGCTTTCTCATGTGAGGTCCAGGGGAGGCGCAGTAGAGTGGGAGAGGAGGGGTTTCCTCACAGCTGTTCCGGAATAGGGCCCAGGGGAGGCTCTGCCATGTGGCCTCGCCCTGTGTGTCAACACCCAGCCTGGGGAAGGAGGAGGGAGAGAGAGTGGGAGCTATCTTTTAGGAGAGAGCCACGGGGCAGTCATGGTGCCTGCTGTTGCTGGTGCAGACTCACTCACATGGTTCTGGCTAGCTCAATGTGTGAGGAAATGGGGAAGCAGAGCCTCCGGGCAGATGCTTTCCTGCAATAGCCCTGCATTCTACGGGCGAGCAGGCTCTTCGGTGGCTATGTCTAGCTGTCTCTGCCACACACCTACTATGCGCATGGCATCAGCTCCCAGAGAGCTAACAGTGTAGCCAGTGAGGACGTGCGCTTTGCTAAAAGGAAATCTGTTTTGCTTCTCTCCCCTAAACCAGTCTGGCAGCCTAAAGGCTATTGGTTCAGGCTTCGGCCTGTTTTCCTCAAACGCTGTTTTCATCAGTCCCTGCCTTGCTGGGAACTCCTGGGGACTCCTTGCTACACCACGGACACCCTCTTTTGCCTTTTGCTTAATACCAAGGGTAATGTGGCCCCTACTCCTGGGCCGAGCTTATCTCTCATGTCCCTTTGCTCCCCCACAGGGAATCGATCCTGCCCTAGTGGGGTGTCTGCACCACCATGATCTACCCAACCTCTGGACCTCACATTTTTGAAGCCGGTCCAGCTCCACCTGCAAGGGTGAGGCCTCCCGGGCTTGGGCCAACTAGAACTTCTTTTGGCTGGCGCCGTCCTGCTCCCCAGTTGTTGGATGCCTGATTCGGTGTCTTTCCTTGAACTACCCGCTCTTTAGAGAACCAGGCTGACACAGAGTGCTCCTGCTTATTCCCTGCTCCGCGCCCTGCTCCCGCGGCTGGCCTGTAACCGACAACTTTGCCTCTGAAACCTTTGCCGGCCTCCTCCCCTCTTCCAGGAGCCCAGCGCCCTGTGCGGTGTCCCTTGCCACGGCGCCGTCTGGCGGTGGAGCCGGGCACCTGCAGGCTGGAGCCCACGTTGCCTGAGAACAGTCCCAGGGGAAGGGGAGGAGGGTCAGGGCTCCCCTTTTCTGATGGGATGCTGGCTCCATTGCAGCCACAGCTGGGGGTTCATCCCTCCTTTGTACGCACCCCTTTTCCCCGGAGTGCCTAGCGATGGATACAGACTTGCAGGTTACTTATTTAAAATCAAAACCAGCTGCGGCCAAAGTGTAGTGAGTACTCATCACTGGCTGGGCGTTTTATGGCCTGTGAGTTTCCATTATCCCAGTTAAATCTTCAACAGCCCGGTGCCCTAGGAATTATCATCCCCACTTTGCTAAGGAGAACCTGGGCTCCTCAGATGTTAGGAGGTGAAAATGACAGGCCAGTAGGTGTCAGAAGCAGGGCTCTGGACTCCAGCCTTCCGACTTCAAACCCTATGCTTTTAAAAATCATTCCATTTGCTTCACTAATTTTCTGTGAAAAATCACTGGTTTCCATAGTGGAAACTCACAAGTGGCAGCTAAGTGATTGGAGAACAATCATTAGTAGACCCAGGTTTAAATTCAGAATCTGTAATGGACTTCCTGGAAGACATTAACCTGCTAGGGTGTCAGTTTCCTGTCCCCACCCCGCACTGGGCAAACCAGATCAAATGTGCAAGGGCGCTGTGGAAGAAAGGTTTCTCTCCTCTGTAGTAATATCTTTTGCTAGAAAGGTTTTTTTAAATAAATGTATTCTAAGGGCAAGGAGAAACCAAATTTGAAATCCATTTGTCTGCAGTGCACTTGACCCAAGTTTTTTCTGGAATTTTGCTGTCTTTTCTGATGTCATAAACTCTAAACTAGCTGGGAAATTCAGATGACAAACACAGACTCTGCCTGGGCTCCAGGAGTGTGTCATGGGCAGCAGCAGTAGCAGCCGGACGTGCCATAGACCATGTCATCCTTGTGGCTTCACTCCTCTCCCTGATGTTGCAATGGACGCCCAAAAAGCCACCTGGTCCTGTCTTTTTCTGACTCCTGGGAGGGCCCACAAAGTAGAGACTACCAGTATTTGCATAGTTCTCTGCAGTGTACACAGCCCTTCTTAATCACAGCTACACGTTCAGCCTCTGCAATAACCCGGTGAGGTGGGTGTTGTCACACCCATTTTACATTTGAGGAGTTGGAAGTTCAGATGTTCAGTAACTTGACAAAGGTTTCATTCTAGTAAGTGGCAACACTCATTCTCAAACCCAGCTCTTTGGATACAGGCCTTGTCTTTCTTGCTACACCAACACGTACCCCACAAAATCTGCTCAGTGCTTGCACTGGCACTGTGGGGGCACCTGCCTCTGAAGGTGCAGAGAAGTCACCCTCCTTCCTCCATGAGGCCTCTCTCTCTTCCTCGCTCCCTCTCTCTTTCTCTATCTCTTGCTCTCCCTCTTTTCACATGTTTATTGAGTGCTTATTACATTTGTCAAAAGACAAAAATTACAACAAATGCAGTTTAAAGATCCTAATTGGCCTTTATTTGTGATTCTAGAATTGAGCAACACTCCATTCCATAAAATAGGAGTGTTTTGATAAGGCCAGCAGAGGGGGTTGACTTTTTAAACAGAAAAAGGCTGAGGAAAACAGAAACAGGAAGCAGAAGGCGGGTTGGTTATTAGAAAGTAGTTTTTCTCGTAAAGGTTAAAGAAGAGGGGACTTCTTCCTGCTTGTTAAAACCGACCTGTTTGGGGATTTGGCTATTATCTCTCTCTCCTGATCTCTTGGAAGGTCAAATAAACAACTTAGTTTCAGTTTGGTGTCATGAAAGTTTGGCAGGAGTAACTCCATTTTGGTTTGCTCTGTTGGGTCTATTGCAGGAGCTCAGCCCAAACCAATGGCTTCCTATAAGTTCATTTAACAAATCTCAGACTTTGTCCTAGGTGCTGGAGATATAACAGTGAACAAAGCTTACATAAATCTTGGAACTTATTTTCTAGAGGAAGAAGATAGAAAATAAATTATTTGGCTGTTGGTGGTAAGTGCTAGGAAATTAAATATGCTGTCATCTTCTCTCACACAAGCTGGTTCATTTAAGAAGGAAAGAACCAAGTGAGATGTGGAAAGCCTGTGCAATCTTTGTTTATGTGAAGCCAGAGGGATCTTTTCAGAAGCTTGGATCTGATCCTGTCTGTTCTCCCCACCAAACACAAGCTCTCTTCCCCGCTTCCTGTGGCTCTGGAGAGCCTCCCCACCCCCGTCACCCCTCCTGGGCTGAACAGCTTCCAGGCTCCTCAGCCTCTCCAGCCTTCCTCACTCTCAGGCCCCCTGAGGTCCCGCTCACTGACCTGACCTGGTCCAACCTGGACCCCACTCCTTCCCCAAGGACTTACTTGCCACTCCCTGGCTGGGCCAGGCCTGGTGCTCTGCCCCCAACGCAGGGCTTCCCTCCACCCGTTCAGCTGCTCAGCTGTGGGAGCTCGGCTCAACGCCCTTCCTTGGGAGATGGCAGCCAGCCCTCCCCACTGCCCCACTGCCCCGATTTCAGACCCCATGTTCCTTTTTCTTTCACAGCCCTGATCACAGTGGCAAATTCACCCTCCTTGGTGTGGTTGGTTAATGATTCTCTCTCTGGATGCTGGCCCCCAGGGTGGGACCTGATGGGATCTATTCATCCAGCCCCAGTCCAGGGCCTGAACCCTGGTGGAATCCCCCCAGAGGCCACTGTGTGTCCGGAATTGGTGGGTTCTTGGTCTCACTGACTTCAAGAATGAAGCCGCCGACCCTCGCGGTGAGTGTTATAGTTCTTAAAGACGGTGTGACCAGAGTTTGTTCCTTCTGATGTTCGGACGTGTTCAGAGTTCCTTCCATTCTGGTGGGTTCGTGGTCTCGCTAGCTCAGGAGTGAAGACACAGACTTTCACGGTAAGTGTTATAGCTCTTAAGGCAGCGCATCTGGAGTTGTTCATTCCTCCCGGTGGGTTCATGGTCTTGCTGGCCTCAGGAGTGAAGCTGCAGACCTTCGCAGTGAGTGTTTACAGCTCATAAAGGCAGTGCAGATGCAAAGAGTGAGCAGCAGCAACATTTATTGCAAAGAGCAAAATAACAAACCTTCCACACTGTGGAAGAGGACCCGAGTGGGTTGCCACTGCTGGCTCAGGCAGCCTGCTTTTATTCCCTTATCTGACCCCACCTACATCCTGCTGATTGGTCCATTTTACAGAGAGCTGATTGGTCCATTTTGACAGGGTGCTGATTGGTGCATTTACAAACCTTGAGCTAGACACAGAATGCTGATTGGTGCATTTACAATCCTCTAGCCAGACATAAAAGTTCTCCAAGTCCCCACCAGATTAGCTAGACACAGAGCACTGATTTGTACGTTTACAAACCTTTAGCTAGACACAGAGTGCTGACTGGTGTATTTACAATCCTTTAGCTAGACATAAAAGTTTTCCAAGTCCCCACCAGATTAGCTAGATACAGATGCTGATTGGTGCATCCACGAACCTGGAGCTAGACACAGAGTGCTGATTGGTGCATATACAATCCTCCAGCTAGACATAAAAGTTCTGCAAGTCCCTACCTGACTCAGGAGCCCAGCTGGCTTCGCCTAATGGATCCTGTGCTGGGGCCATCCCATGCTGCGCAGGAGCCCACCACAGGGGAGGGGGTGTGGGGGCCTCAGGCATGGTGGGCTGCAGGTCCTGAGCCCTGCCCCACGGGGAGGCAGCTGAAGCCCAGCAAGAATTTGAGCATGACATGGGCGGGCCAGCAGTGCTGGGGGACCAGGTGCCCCCTCCACAGCTGCTGGCCCGGGTGCTAAGCCCATCACTGCCTGGCGTCGGCTGCGCCAGCAGGCCGCTCTGAGTGTGGGCGCGTTGAGCCCGTGCCCACCCGGTACTCACAATGGCCCCAGAGTGCCACATGCAGCCCCGGTTCCCGCCCGCGCCTCTCCCTCCACATCTCCCCGCAAGCAGAGGGAGCCAGCTCCAGCCTAGGCCAGGCCAGAGAGGGGATCCCACAGTGCAGCAGTGAGTTGAAGGGCTCCTCAAGCATGGCCAGAGCAGACTCCAAGGCCAGAGCATGCTGCGGCCCTGGCTACAGATCCACTAGGCAAAACCAGCTGTGCTCCTGAGTCGGGTGGGGACTTGGAGAACTTTTATGTCTAGCTGGAGGATTGTAAATGCACCAATCAGCACTCTGTGTCTAGCTCAAGGTTTGTAAACACACCAATCAGCACCCTGTGTCCAGCTCAAGGTTTGTAAACACACCAATCAGTGCTCTGTGTCTAGCTAATCTAGTGGGGACTTGGAGAAGTTTTGTATCTAGCTAAAGGATTGTAAATGGACCAATCATCTCTCTGTAAAACGGACCAATCAGCTCTCTGTAAAATGGACCAATCAGCTCTCTGTAAAATGGACCAATCAGCAGGATGTGGGTGGGGTCAGATAAGGGAATAAAAGCAGGCTGCCCCGAGGCAGCAGTGGCAACCCACTGGGGTCTCCTATCCACACTGTGGAAGCTTTGTTCTTTCACAGTAAATCATGCTGCTGCTCACTTTTGGGGTTGGTGCCACCTTTATGAGCTGTAACACTCCCTGTGAAGGTCTGCTGTTTCACTCCTGAGGCCAGTGAGACCACGAACCCACCAGGAGGGATGAGAACAACTCCGGATGGGAGGAATGAACAACTCCGGGTGGGCCACCTTTATGAGCTGTAACATTCACCTCGAAGGTCTGCAGCTTCACTTCTGTGGCCAGCGAGAACACAAACCCACCGGAAGGAATGAACAACTTCAGATGCACTGCCTTTAAGAACTCTAACACTCACTGTGAGGGTGTGTGGCTTAATTCTTAAAGTCAGTGAGACCAAGAACCCACCAATTCCAGACACAGGACCACAAGCACATGCCACTTCACCCAGCTTATTTACATTTTTTAAAAGGGAATTTATCTGAGAATCATATAAAGACATGACAGAACATGTCATAGGCCACTTTACACAATAAAATAGGCAATAATATGCATATTTTTGCGAGTATCAGGCATAGTAATGACAGTCTTACAGGTGTAACAGTTGTTAACAGATGAACTGTGTTCATAAAGAAATAGGTCAGGCCGGGCGCAGTGGCTCGCGCCTGTAATCCGTGCACTTTGGAAGGCCGAGGCAGGTGGATCACGAGGTCAGGAGATCGAGTCCATCCTGGCTAACATGGTGAAACCCCGTCTCTACTAAAAAATACAAAAAATTGGCTGGGCGTCGTGGCGGGCCCCTGTAGTCCCAGCTACTCGGGAGGCTGAGGCAGGAGAATGGCGTGAACCCAGGAGGCGGAGCTTCCAGTGAGCCAAGATCGTGCCACTGCACTCCAGCCTGGGGGACAGAGCGAGACTGCATCTCAAAAAAAAAAAAAAAAAAAACGTCAAAAAGGGAAATTTACAAACATTTATCACTATGGTTGCTAACTGTGTGCACCCAGGTTTGTAAGTGAAATACTGTGACAGGCCAGGAACGGTGGCTCATGCCTGTAATCCCAGCACTTTTGGAGGCCGAGGCGGGTGGATAACCTGAGGTCAGGAGTTGACCAGCCTGGCCAACATGATGAAATCCCATCTCTACTAAAAATACAAAAAATCAGCCGGGTCTGGTGGTGGGCACCCATAATCCCAGCAACTCGGGAGGCTGAGGCAGGAGAATTGCTTGAACCCAGAAGGTGAAGGTTGCAGTGAGCCGAGATCACACCATTGCACTCCAGCCTGTGCGACAAGAGCGCAACTCTGTCTCAAAAAACAACAAACAAACAACTGTGACGGACAATCTAAGCCTTGATGAGTTTAATCAAGAACCACAATAGGTCACTGCCACAGTCCTGCACAGAGTTGAAATCTTGAGAAATTTTATGATGAAATCAATTAAAAATATAATAGGTCACCACTGCAGTCCCCCAAAGAGCTGAGATCTTGAGAAATTTCACCTTTTCCCAAATGCAGATGTACAAAAACAAAATCTCTTCATTTGTTGAGGAAGTTTCAAAGTTTTTGTGTACATATGCAATACAGAGTCAACCTGGGGTGCTGGTAGCCTGGCTCAGGCTGAAAGCCTCAGGACCCAAGGGGTGGCTAGTGTTTGAGTCTTGAAGTCCAAAGGCTGGCAAGCCTGGAGTTCCAGTGTCCCAGGCAATAGAAGAAAATCCTTTCCCAGCTCTCAGGGTGAGACCAATTCTCCTTCCGAATTTGTTCTCTCTGGGCCCCAACTGACGGGATAGTGCCCGCCAACATTGAGAGTGGATCTTTCCTACCTAGTCCACTCATGCTCACACCCTAATCCCCTCTGGAAACACTGTCACAGATGCACCCAAAATAATGCTTTACCAGGTTTCTAGATATTCCTTAATTCAGTCACATTGATGCCTAAAATGGTCGCCCCTTGTCAATTTGGCGCTCATACACGCCTCCTGCACAGCCTGCACAAGGCACTGTGGTGCGGCTATCCCGTGATTAGAATTTTAGATGTTAGGGATTTTAGACTTTAGGGACTTAGAAGTTAAGGGTTTTGATCTTTAGGAATTTTGGTCCTTCCAGATTTTAAAATTCTGGATTATGGCATTTGGGATTTTTGTGTCTTTTGGATTATGATCCAAATTCCTTCAATTATTTGCCTCCTGCCTGCTTCCTGGAATGATCAAAATTCTCTCCCTGAGATATCTGCATCCCCATGTTCATTGCAGCACTATTCGCAATAGGCAAGACATGGAATCAACCTCGGTGTTCATCAATGGATGAATTAATAAAGAGAATTTGGTACATATATGCAATGCAATAACTATTCAGCCAGAAGAAAGAAAGAGATCCTGTCATTTGCAGCCACATGGATGGAACTGGAGGTCATTATCTCAGGTGAAACAAGCCAGGCACAGAAAGACAAATATCACACATTCTCACTCATTTGTGGGAACTAAAAAGTTCATCTCATAGAGGGTGAGAGTAGATTGGTGGTTACTAGAGCCTGGGAAAGGGTAGCAAAGTAGGGAGATGAAGAGAGGTCGGTAAATGGGTATAAGAATATAGATATATAGGCCGGGCATGGTTGCCCACGCCTGTAATCCCAGCACTTTGGGAGGTTGAGGCGGGCGGATCATGCGGTCAGGAGATGGAGACCATTCTGGCTAACACGGTGAAACCCCATCTCTACTAAAAAATATAAAAAATTAACCAGGCATGGTGGTGGGTGCCTGTAGTCCCAGCTACTTGGGAGGCTGAGGCCCTCTCAGCTGTGTGTGGCCTTGGGGTGGGGAACCCAATCTAGGCTCCAGGGTTAGACACATCTGGCATGATAATTTTGGAAAGCAACCTGAAAATATAACCAAAACCCACAATTCACTCAAACCCTATAACATAATAACACCGCCTATAAAAAAATATTACAATGAAATAACTGACAAGAAAAAAACATTTCCCTGTAATCCAATAATATATAGTTAAAAAGTCCAAGTAAAAACTAATATTCTCCTGTTTAGATATGGGGAAAGTTATTATAAGGAAAAAATGTAAAAACAAAACAAAACAGAACAGGCCGGGTATGGTGGTTCACGCCTGTAATCCCAGAACTTAGGGAGACCAAGGCAGGGGGATTGCTGGAGGCCAGGAGCTCGAGAACTAGGCAACATTGCGAGAACTCGTTTCTCAAAAAAAAAAAAAAAAAAAAAAGGAAGAAAAAGAAAACAGTTAGCTAGGTGTGGTGGCACCTGCCTGTAGTCTCAGTTACTCCTGAAGCTGAGGCAGAAGGATTGCTTGAGTGCAGGGGATAGAGGCTGTAGTAAGCTATGATTGTGCAACTTCACTTCAGCCTGAGCAACGGAGTGAGACTTTGTCTCAAAAAGTAAAGAAAAAAAAAAAAAAAGAAGAACAGAACATCAGAACACAAGATATGCTCATGCTGACCACGGGATTTAGTATTTACCTTTGGTCGCTAAAGAGAAACGAAAGAACATACTAAGATATGAATGGTGGGCATTTTGAAGTTATGAAACTTTAATGCTGTGTAAAGAAGTTTAGGTAGAGAATACTATACAGTAAAATTTGAACATAATTTTAAAGTTAAAAACACATGCTACTTAACAAAATAGGCAATCCACACATAGATAATGAAGGGTTGATGCATTCCGGCATGTTTTTGGCTGTGAACATGTTTGTTATTGATTCAAAATTGTGCACAAGTGTTGCTATCGACAAAAACAAGTGCTTTTGCCCAGTGCCTCTTTTCATTTTTAGCTCCCAGGAGAACGGAGGTGGCCTTGTTCTAGTCCTCCTGCTCTCTGGCGGAACAGCTCACATGTGTGGAGCTGGGGTGTGGGGCCAGGCCTGTGTCTGGATGAGGCTTCCTCAGGCCCCAGATAAACTACAGACACCCCCAGGCCTCTGCGCACGCCTGGCGAGAAAAGGGGACTTCACAGAGGACTCAGGTGTCACCTCAGCGGCGTTCTGCAGCTGCTGCTGCTGGCTGTATTGTCCACACCTTTCATATTAAGGGTGGGATCCCTCACTGTCTGTGACCTCAGAACTACCTCAAAATGCAAATAATCAACTAACAAGCCTGTTACTTCCGGGATCCCAGCCACACAGCAGAGCTTCCTGTGTGGGATTTCTTATTCTAACTGCAGCCCTCCAAGCACGTGCATGAATCACGCTTGTTGTACTAACACGGAAACTGAGGTGCAGAGACTTCAAAGACTTGGTCAGGGCCCCTCAGCCAGGAAGTGGCAGAGCCAGTGGTGAGCCCTCTGTGCTTCTCAGGCTGTCTTTGTCATGAAAGAGGCAGCCGGGACCCCACAGAGCTTCTCCTTGGCGGGGAGTTTTCATTAGGCCCTGGCCTTCCCTGTGTGTGTAATGGAAACACCTCGTGTATTTCACCACTGTCCGGGTTGGGGCATAAGTGTCCTTCAAAGCACAGTCCCATTACGTCCCTTTCTATGGCAGGTTGAAGCCCTCTGCAGGAGTGATATGAGTGTATGACTCTTTCCTAGGTGAGAAGGCCCAGCAATCATCAAAACCATGGTGGAGACATCTTTGCATCTATTGTCTCATCTTCCTCCTGCATCATATGTGCTTGGGAAGTTCTAGAGGCTTGGGTGGTGGGTGTGTGGTGGTGAAGGGTGTCCTGTGGGGGCTGGGCCATCCTTGGTGTTGGGTGTGTGGTGGTGGAGGGTTTCCTTATGGAGCCTGGGCCGTCCTTGGTTGTCAGTGTGTGATAGGGGAGGGTGTTCACAGAGGTTGCACTGTTCTTGGCAAGTGGGTGCTGCTGTCCTGGTTGACTGTCAGGGAACTAAAATGCGGTGTGTGTCAAGAGACTGGAAGGAAGGAATGTCGGTGGGGCAATGGCCCGAGGCTCTACTGAATTCCGCTGTCTGTCCTATTCTTCCATGCTGGGGAAGAATAGGAAGGATCAGGGTAGGGAGGGCCCCAAACACGGAAATGCTGAGGCATTTGTCCCAGAGCCGCTGCCCACACAAGGTGGGTCATAGGCCCACAGATATGTGGAGGCCAGGGCTTCCCTGTGAGGAGCAGGCAGGGCCCTGCCCCCTACTCTTCAGGCACAGAGGCTCCCAGAGGTTCTTGTCAGTAGGGAAATATTAGTGCCAGCATGATCCTTTTAGAAGTGTGTGAAACAGGCAATAAGCCACCTTTTAACCTATAATGTAGGAGTCAGTGGGAGCAGCAGGCTCCTCTGGGAAATACTAACATGTGAAATGGAAGCCAGGCAGCCTCCCAGACGCAGGTGCATCTGCATCCCGAGGCGCTTTGTTACTTGGCAGTACGTGATTGACAGAAATCCAGATTCCTATAGATCAACTGCCAGAAATTTAAAAATGCCAGAAATTTAAAAATGTCTTGATTTCCTGCCTCGGGATATTTTAAACTTAACGAGGACAGATTTATTTTTAAGTCTAAGTAAGAACACATTAACTTAACAACCAAAGTTAAATTTTCAGTTATCTCCAGTGTATTTATATGTTGGCTGCTGCTATGTCTTCAAATGTGTTTTCTTTTCTTTCTTTCTTTCTTTTTTTTTTTTTTTTTTTTGAGATGAAGTCTCACTCTGTTGCCCAGGCTGGAGTACGGTGGTGCGATTTTGATTCACTGCAAGTTCCACCTCCCGAGTTCCAGGAATTCTCCTGCCTCAGCCTCCCAAGTAGCTGGGATTACAGGTGCCCGCCACCACGCCTGGCTAATTTTTGTATTTTTCGTAGAGATGTGGTTTCACCCTGTTGGCCAGGCTGGTCTTGAACTCCTGACCTCAGGTGATCTGCCCGCCTCGGTCTCCCAAAATGCTGGGATTACAGGCTCAAAAATGCATTTAATATCACAATAAGCCCACTGTAAAGCCAAAAGAAAGTAAGTCCAGGAACATCTGTACTAAGAAGGAGTGGGAGCAACTGGCAGCTGTGTGGACTGACACTGTCCCCGAGGCTGGCACTGGGTACATTCGGAGACGAAGGGCTCCCTGTAGGCTCTCTCCTGTCTACCTCCTACATCACCCTGAGCTCTGGGTTCATTGATACAGCTGCCCACCTTTCACCAGATTTGGGTGTCTAGTAGGAGGCTCAAGCTCAGGAACAAACAGAATCTGTGACCTTCCCCCGGCTCCCCCAAACTGGTGTACCCCCAGACCAAATTATTCTCTTGGTGAAACCCTCCAATCACTATTCATTAACCTTAAAATGAAATCCACCTTTCTTACCAAGGCCTATGACCTGGGCATCAAAGTGAGGTCCACAGTCTGAGCACCCCCTGGGCTTGGTGGAGCAGATGCTCAGGCCCCCAGGATCAAGGCTGCATTTGAACAAGATGCTGGCTGTTCTGCACAAGGAGTTTGAGACTCGACAACCCTCTTCCAGCTCTAAACTTCTCAGGGTCACTGTACCCCTGGGGCAAGGGCCTCAGTCTTGGAGCCCTCGAGCTTCCCCCGGGAGCCTTTGCACCTGGAAGCCTTGCTGTCATGTCACCAGCCATGAGCCAGGAGGCGTGGGGTCCAGTGGGGGCTTGGCAGTGAGTAGTTATGGAGCCTGGACCAGCTGCTTCCCATCCTTGGTCCCTTTCTGGGACATGCACAGTGGTCTCTGGGTTTGCCAGGTGTGACTGGGCAGATAGTGGATTTGGGAACCATGAGAGACAGCCCTGGGCTCAGGCCTGGGTGGGCGTGTCTCCTACTCCAGCGAGTAAGCCCCATGTTGGCCCTTTCCAGAATGACCCCACAGACCTACAGGCCTAGGCCCCCAGTAAAGGCATAACTACCAGGGGTCCCGGGGGCCCCAAGGCCTCTCATCCCCAGCCCTGCATGAGAAGCTGCCCCGGGAACCAGGGCCTCCTCCCCTCACACCTCCCTTCTGGGCCTTGGCCCACCCTGCGCTGTGTGTCCATCAGTGAGTGAGGACAGATGGATACATATTGGGCTGTGTTTTGGCATCTGTTGGTGGTGGGGATGGGACTTCTAGACACTCAGGGTCAGCAGCGTCAACCCAGAGGCCACAGAGCAGCAGTGTGAATGCACAGATTGCTGCCTGGAGACCCCAGGCAGCAGGAACTGCATACTCAGGCTTTTTTTTTTTTTTTTTTTTAAGTAGGATGTGACTTCCTTCTATCTTGGCCCAGAGACTTGCTGCTACTAAAAGGGACTGGGTCACTGACCTCTGTCTAGTGAGGAACATTTCTGAAAAGGTTTTAGCAGGCTGAAGAGCAGAAGCCACCTTGAGGTTAGCAGAGCTGCTGGGACTCCTGCGGTGTTTTTGTCTCTCAGACAAACCCCTGGAGCAGCAGGTAATGCCCAGGACACCCTCTCCACTCCACTTCCACCCATGGGTTCCTCTTCCTAAACTGATGCCTCTCAAATTCCGCGTGGCCAATACTTTGCATGTTGTTCTCTGGCCTTGCTCGCGTGGCCAATACTTTGCATGTTGTTCTCTGGCCTTGTTCTCATTCTAAACACCTGAAAAACTCCCTCTTCCTGCCTCTCTCCCGCATCCACATTCCACACCCCAAGGGCTAGGTCAGTCCCAGCCCCGCCTTGAAGGTATCCCTAAGGGCTCTGGCCTGAGCACCATCTCACTGGCCTGGGGGTCCTCCCTCTGTTCTAGTTTGTCCGGAGTGTTTGGCACTCGGTTCTGCACTGTCTTCTATGCAGCTTCCCGTGTGCTGATGTGGCCTCCCCACATGCCTGTGTGATCTCTGGGTTAGAGGCCATGTCTCTATAGTCAATTACATGCACAAAGCATTTATGGGTCATCTAATACCTGTGTCTGCAAAGCGCTGTGCTTGGGAGTGTGTGTGTGAAGCAAAACGTGTGCATCTAATACCTGTAAATGCAAAGCATGTGCATCTGTGTGTGTGAGACACATCGAGGTTAACAACCCACACATCCTGCTCTGAGGAGCTCAGTCTAGAAGGGAGGGTAAACCGTGGCACAAATGACTAAGATGGGAGGCAAAGGAGGAAGACAACAGAGAAGGGCTGGGAAAGACCTTCGAGGAGTGAGTGGCCTCTGGAGTGGGTCTGAGAAGTGAAGTGAGTTCCACTTGGGGCCTCAGCAGAAAGAAGGAGGATTGAGAGAGGTCCCTTCCCTTCCGAGGAGGGAGTGCAGGTGTGTGTCGGGGGGGCGGGTGTGGAGAGCTCCAATTTGACTGGGGGCTGGCTCTGGCCATGCTCAGGGAGTCCTCTCAGGTGTTGGGGGTCCTCAGTGTGGCTCGGAGGCCTGGCCCACAGACACCACCTGCCTCTCTCTGTCCAGGAGGTCAGGTGGAGCCACGTCGGGGCCTTGGAGACTCGGCTGAGAGGTGTGATGGAAGATGGGGCGTGATGGAAGATGGGACATGAAAGTGCTGCGGCTGCACTGACATTCTTATGGCCCTCACTCCAAGCACTTCTCACCACTCAAACCAGCGGCCCCAAGTAAAGCTTTTGGGGGCACTGAGAGTCCATGCCTGAGTGAGGTACTGAAGGACAGACTCAGTGATGGGAGAGCACATTGATTTTCTCAATGCCTATGGCTCTATTTTCTCCCACTCCAAAGAACCAAGGCAAAATTCAGCATAAGTCAAGGTCCAGGCTTTGAAAGAAATCCAGGTGTTTGTTCTCCTGTAAAAGGAGCACGTCATAAACCCAGCACACACCCCAGGCCTGAGACGCCCACTCCTTCCTACCAGGGGAACCTGGCCATGTTCTTCGTGGAGAAGGCACCTCCAGCAGGTGGCCACCACAGCAGCATCCGGTGTGACTCAGTGGCCCCTGAGCTGGCATGTCTGCTGGGCCTGCTCCCTCCCACACTCGAGCTGCCTTCAGCCAGGGACAGCTCCCACTCCAGGTCCTCGATCCTCTGGGCCGGTGGACTCTCGTCACCACCAGCTCCAGTGCGTGGGGTCTCTTCAGGACCCAGGTTCCCGTTTCTCTCTGGCTGGGTCGCCTGCCTCCCGTGGGTTAGGTCTGTCTTCCTGCTACTCACAAGGGAAGACACTGGGAGCCACCTGGAAAAGACAGATGTGGAACAAGGAGAGGTGACCCCTGAGAGTTCTCACTTCACCCTGGCGTGGGTCATGACCTGTGTCACTCTGGCACTCTCAAGGCATCAACACCTACCCCACACTTGGGAAGAGTCAAACGAGCTGCCCCCAGGCCTGACCTCATGAAGACTAATGAAACTAATGAAGACAAAGTTTCCTGGAGTTTATGTGGCCACACAAAAGCACATCCACAGCCAATTATGTCATTATGCAATAGTCATGTTTAATAATTGGAACCATTATTGAATAATTAAACTTCACCACATGTTACAGCCCTTCACCTCATCTTGTTTTTTCCTTCCTTCCTTAGTACCAGGGATAAGAGAGGAACTGGCCCCATAGCTGAGCACGAACTCTTTGGAAGGAGTCTGTACAAAGCTCAGGGTGAGAATGATGAGTGTGTTGAGAACATGGCGGGAGGCTGGCATCTGCCTTTGGAGAGTCCACCTCTGGGGGCCTCTGTAGGGCCATGGAATGTGTGCTTCTGGCATCCCTGCTGGGAAGGCATCTGTGCATTTTATGGGCATTACTGGGGTCCCACACTGCCTTGCCGGCTCAGAGGCTATGTTTTCCCTTAGCTGTTTGAGACCACAGTGCCCTTTCTTGTCACTTTTGTCTCAAAAGAGAGTCCAGTCTGATGAAGAAAACTTGATATTCCAGACCTCCCGACATCAAGGCCCAAGCCAATGCGATGTTCTCATGGAATCCTTCATATTCAGGGCATATCCTGGCTCTCCCTGATGTGTGTACAATGAGAAGGACACACCCTGTTGCCCCTCCTTGGCCCGCTCTTTTGGTCATTGTGGCAGGGGGTCTGCTCGAGCTGGACACAAAGGATTCCATGGCGTCTCAGGGTATCCCAGTCCAGATACCTACTCTGAGAAGGCTAGTGTTGACCCACACCCTTCCACCACCCAGGGTGTCACCCATTTTTAGCAACTCAGGGACTAGGATGGGGCGAGGGAGGCCCTGGACTTGCGTGCAAAAGTCCGGGGGGGCTTACAGACTAGAAGGGAAGGTTAAACATGACACGATGACCAAAGTGGAAACCAGACACTCTGGAGAAAACGTGATGTGAGGGGAACTTCAAGTCAAGACAAATTGTATTTTATGCCATGTTAATCACACTGGCAACCTAAGGCCCACAGGCCAGCTGCAAGCTTTAGTAAATAAAGGTGTCTTGAGCTCAGTGGAGACACAGCTGTGTGATCACCTCTATCTCTTGTCTTTCTCCCTTCCAGCCTCCTCTGTATCTGCACAGCTGGGGACTGGAGCTAGGATGGAGGGCAGTGGGCTGGAGATGCAGCTCATGAAAAGCTCCTGCTTCCAGAGGCATGCCCTGTCCATCAAGCTACATCACTAACAGCTATTTTCATTATTCCCTTTCCATGCCCTTCCTCAATCTTTCCAGGCTGTGGATTTACTTAGAGAGCTGCAGCCCCAAGCTGATGATGTGGGCTTCCCTGTGTCCAGCCCCAGGTCTAAGGCTTCCTGGTGTAGTCTTCCACTTGCCAAACCAAACGTGCAGAACCTGACTTGGGTGGATAGTCTGTTCTGAGCTGGCTGTTCTGATCCCAACCCCCTCGCTGTGGAAGGGGCTGTGACCCTGTGGGCCCCACCTCTGTGAACACCTTAGGAGCTGAGACCTAAGCACATTTGCTGGGCTTACAGCAAATGTGCAGCCTTCATCAGGGGCCTGTGGGTCTGTCTTGTCTTTCTCTTTCTGGAGCTCCAGGGCCTGAGCAGTCGATGAGAACTCCTCACTCAGTTCATCCACAGTGTCTTCTATCTGCCATGTCATTCTCTGTAAATGAGGCACAGATGGTCTTCATTAATTTTACTTTTATTCAAATTTCATGAAACATTTCTTGTGCTCCCACTCCATGACAGGCAGTGGGGCCAGTGCTAGATACACAGAGTCAAAGCTGGGGGCTGCTCTCAGGGGCCTCAGAGCCTGCAGGCAAATTGAGCCAGACAGTCCCGCACAGGAAAACAGGAAAACTTATTGTGGAGAGAGACACGTGGCGCAACATCAGCAAACAGCAGGACACCTAGGACACCTTGCCCACATACAGTCATCAGGGAGAGCTTTCTGGAAGAGGGCACATCTCAGCTGAATCTTGAAGGATGCCCAGGAGTCAGCTGAGTGGTGAATGGAAGAAGCATGTTCCAGGCAAAGGGAACATCCTGTGGGAAAACAGAGATATGAGAGCATAGGGAACGTTCATTCATCTATCTGTCTATCCATCCATTCATTCACCTGTCCATCCATCCATCCATATACCCAACTGTCCACCCATCTCTTCACCCATCCATCCATAATTAAAGAAAGACTTATTAGGCACCCAGCAGGTGTCAAGCCAGTGATCATTTCTGAGACTCCAACTTCCATGGAGTTTACAGTCTGTCAAGAAAGGTAGATCAGACATAAAAGAATATTGTTGAGGAGGTGAATTCTGGAAAACCTCTTTAAAAAGGGAACCTGATTAAGTTCCCAGTTTACCTTCCTGCCTTTCAAGCAGCTGTCTTGTAACAAGTGACTGTGAAGATGGAAGAAGGTGTGTGCCAGGGTTTGTGAAACAGAAAGAAGGACCGTGGGTGCTGATGGCTTTTCTTTTGAATATGTTAACTTTTGGCTATCTGTGGAGCCTCCCATAAGCTAATGATTGCACAGTGAGGTCAGCCGCCATGAAAAGCCCACTTCTTGCTCCAAATATGAAATGGCAGAGAAAACAAAAATACAAACACACAGCCATGTTTGAAGGAGAACTCACCTGATGCCACAGCTGAAGAGATGAGCCGGGTGGAGGAGGAGGTGAAGGCATGTCGGTCTTCCTCCCTCAGAGGCTGAGTTGTGAATTCCCACCCTGGACAGGTGTTGAGGCCATGAGCAACCTTTATATGGGGGAACTGAACTCAGGCTGCCTGAGAAAAACCCAGACCCAGGAAGTGGCTGCCTCTCTGAACTCGGATGAAAAGCCTCCATCCAGCCTGTGGACATGGCTCTGTAGCTGAGTAGGCTTCTTTCTCAAGGCTGTGGTTGGAACAGTATCAGTGTGAGGAACTGGTAGCACTTGGCAGTACATCACGGGAGGCCAGGACCTACAAACAGGACTGTGCTATGGGGACAGCCAACCCCACGGAGTGTGAGTAGAGACAAACACCGTGGCAAGACAGGGAGGTCTGCACAGAGAACAATCCCACTGAAGCCAAGCTCAGAGCTGAAATACAAAACCTGCAAGGAAACCCAGTGATGTGAGAGTCAGCAGCAGACACATTGAAAATACACCCAAGAAACCAACGACAGTGACATCTGAGCATGACTGTCATATAAGCATGTAAGTAAATAATTTAATGATGATAGAGCACTGAAATTTCTTTAGACACGGTATTTTTAAGTTATATTTTTTCCTGGAGTACAAATATGAAATAGCACAAACTGTACCATGAATTAAGCAAACAGAATGAAAAAAAAAATTCTCCCAATCTAGTCCTCCATTTCTCACTCCCACTTGTCTCAGACTTCTATTGAAGATATCTAGTTAAACCTCTAATGGAACGGCTATGGGAACACTTACTGCCAACAGGGATGACTGACTAGTTTCCGGGCACTGAGCAGGGGACTGTGGGCTCTGGAGCAGTTTACTTCCTGTGGAAAGCCAGTCCCATTTCTATTTTGCTTCAACCCAGGCCTGTTCAGATAAAGCACCACTCAGTAGCTACTGACCATTTAAGTATGGAGAGAAAAGCGAAGTAGAAAAATGATTTTCTCTTAAAGAAAGAAATAGCAAATGGAAGACCAGCCATAATAGCTCTGTGGCACAAGAGACATGACAGGGATCTCCTCCCCAGATGTCCCCAGCTATTTGTCAGCCTCTCATATCCCTGACCCTCTGGCTTCTGGCTCTGTGACTACAGTTGCCACAGAGGATTCATGGACAGCAAAAAGCTTAAGGAGCCTGGAGGTTTTGCATAACATATACATTCTGCTGACAGAAGCACATACATGGTATGGACTATTATTAAAATTGTCAGCCTGCTTGCACTCAGTTTACAGGAGAGGCCCTGTTGGTCTTGGGGCAGCACAAAATGATGAGGCTAACTTTAGTAGTGACAAGAATGACCCTCTTATACCATATGGCCAAAGAATACCTGCCCATCCCCAAGTCTATGGGGGATCGGATGAAGTGTGGGGTTTGGTTGGTTAGTCAGTGAAGTTTTGATCGGTGAATACGTACATATGGCATAGTTAAGTACAATTATGTTCCATTAAGACTTACTGACTGCCAGTACCAAATGTAGAAGCCTCCAACACAGTAAAAGCATGGCAAGATTGGTGTCAGGATGGGTCAGCCCTGACATTACTCACTGTGAGTACAAGCACTGAGTTCTTTCTAGTTCTTTCTGAGAAAGGATTTCACCCACTGTCACTCAATCACCAAATAGGGAACAAGGCTTTTCTTGGCTTTGGCTCTCACTGTCCCTTGGAAGGGTTTCTAATTGGTGGAGGCAGAGGAGACAGTGAGTAGTTCAAAGTGGACTGATGGCCCCAGATGAGCCAACAGAACGCCCAGGAATTCCACCCACGCCAGGACCCAGAGACAAAAGGTAAGAGCTGTTGCCAGCCACAGGGGCCTTTATCAAAGCACAGCGGCACCGCCTACTACTCTGCCCCATTCCTCAATCTAAAGTCCAAGAGGGGAAGTTCTTTGGGAGAGAAGGGAAGCTGGTAAAGGCCGTGCCATTTCCCAAAGGCCTGACCCTCTAGGCCACCCCTAGCAATATAGTCAGTGTGGAATATGATCCTACCTAGAAAATGAATGGCACTATTTTAAGAGTAGGGCATCGGCCGGGCACGGTGGCTCACACCTGTAATCCCAGCACTTTGGGAGGCCAAGGCGGGTGGATCATGAGGTCAGGAGTTCGAGACCAGCCTGACCAATGTGGCGAAACCCCGTCTCTACTAAAAATACAAAAATTAGCCAGGTGTGGTAGCACGTGCCTGTAATCCCGGTTACTCAGGAGGCTGAGGAAGGATAATCGCTTGAACCCGGGAGGTGGAGGTTGCACTGAGCTGAGATTGTGCCACTGCACTCCAGCCTGGGCAACAGAGCGAGACTCCGTCTAAAAAAAAAAAAAGAAAGAAAAAGAAAAATAAGAGTAGAGTATCTTGGGGAAATCTAGGAGGCCTACTCTGAAGCTTTTACTCAAGTGTGGAAGCCACACCAGTATGCAGGTATACTGTCTTACAAATCTAGATGGATATTCTAGTTTTCAAGCACCCCATTAATACTTTTTAAAAAATTCAACCACTGGCCAGCCATGGTGCGTTCACACCGGTAATCCCAGCACTTTGGGAGGCCAAGGCAGGCGGATCATTTGAGGTCGGGAGTTTGATACCAGCCTGACTAACATGGTAATATTTGAGTCTGATGAATTTTGTTGAAGTTCTTTACATCCATGCTGGGAAGCAACTGTCAGAAATGTTAAAGAGTTATGTATAGTAGTGTTTCAAGGCAGTGGTTTTATTGCAACAAGCATTGTTTTCCATCAGCAAGACACGTGATGTATAATAATCTCACTGTAGGTAAGGTGACAAAAATATTTCTTTTTTTATTTTTATTTTTTGAGATGGTGTCTCGCTTTGTCACCCAGGCTGGAGTGCAGTGGCACGATCTCGGCTCACTGCAAGCTCCACCTCCTGGGTTCACTCATGCCATTCTCCTGCCTCAGCCTCCCAAGTAGCTGGGACTACAAGTGCCTGCCACCACGCCCGGCTATTTTTTTTGCATTTTTAGTACAGACAGGGTTTCACCGTGTTGGCCTGGATGGTCTCGATCTCCTGACCTCATGATCTGCCCACCTCAGCCTCCCAAAGTGCTGTGATCACAGGTGTGAGCCACCGCGCCTGGTGACAAAAACATTTCTATGCACTGCAGTTATGGAACTCGGCCCACTAGAATTACTTTCTCCCTCCATCTCTTTCTATCCTTCTGTTTTTAAAAATAGTTAAACTCTCTGCTCTTAAGTTTTGGATGATTCTATTCCAAGTTAGTAAATTCTACTTAAGAAAACTAGTATCTGAAGCGCCAAGATGGCTGACTAGAAGCAGCTAGTGTGTGCAGCTCTCACAAGAGGAGATGAGAGTGGTGAGTGAACATGAGCTCTTCAGGTTGATCGTCCAGCAGGCTGTGTTGGGATTCATCAAGGAAGCAGTGGTGACTAACTGAGAGCAGAGGGGAGTAAGGCAGGACAGTTGCCCACCTGGGTGCAGAGCAAGGGGAAGCTCCCTACAGCAGGGAAAGGATGAGTGAGTGAAAGCTCCTGGGGACCCATACTTCTGCCATGGACGTTTGTAATTCCCAGGCGCAGGAGACCCTCCATGACTCCACCCGCCCCACACACACACCCTGGGGCTCTAGACTGACATGAAGAGCTGCTTGGAGTCTGGGCAGAGCCACTGCTCAAGCCAATGTGGATCTCTGAGCACCCCAGCACCAGCTGCCACAGCCCGGCCAACAAGGTAGGCCAGGCTCTGTCATGTGCCCCTAGGATAGGGGCCATATCCATGATGCTGGGGAGCAGACAGACTGCAGGCCTTGCCTCCACTGCACCTTGCCAGGCAAGGCCCACTGGCCTGGGCCTCCATCGCAGCCATCCACCCCCGACCTGAGCACTCCGGCTGGTCACAGCCCTCATTGCTCTGGGATGGAGCTCCCAGAGGTAACCAACAGGCCCTCTGCACTGCTGCAGCCTGTGCCCCTACTGCCCTCAGGCTGGAGAGGGAGTAAAAAGCCCCGACAGCTGTCATGGGCCTCCAGCATGCCACAGCTGCCATATGGAAAGGCAGCCAGACAGTTTTCCACATGGGTCCCTGGCCCTGCTGCTCCTCACTGCGCAGGGTGCCTCCTGGCTTGGGCCCCCAGCACTACTCCTGCCTGATCACTTCAGTTGGTGATGGCTCTGTGTTTCTCTGGGATGGAGCTCCCAAAGACAACTGACAGGCCTCTGCCATTGCTGCCACCACAGTACCCGCCCTTGCTTCCCCCAGGCTAGGGAGGGAACAAAGAGCCTGATTACTTTCTCACAGCATCCTACAGAGAGGAGGCCAGGCTATCTTCAGGGTTGGGTTGCCTGACCTTCCTGCTCTTCAGGCAGGGCCCCCAGCTTGGGCCCAGCAGCACAGCTGCCCCAACCCTGGCTGATCACCCCAATTGGCTGTGGTTTTGCATTTGTCTGGGATAGAGTCCCCAGAGGCAACTGATAGGCCCCCTGTCATTACCACTGCCGGGGTCCCTATCCCTGCTGTCCCTAAGCTGAGGAGGGAACAAAAAGCCTGAGCTTTCCCTGGGGCTGCAGTGTTGAAGCCTGGGAGTGCCAAGGCGAGATCTGTAGCACACATTAGAGCAGGAGAGGAGCCCACACTCTCAGCGTACTGAGAGGGCTGAGTTACATGAACCTGTGGGCTACCACAGCAGTGGGCATGTCTCCCTCTGCAGGGCCAGCTGACTGGGAAAGGGGTGGCCTATCTCCCTACCACAGCCTCTGTGTGAGAGAGCGCACCTGCCAAAAGAAACATGGGCACAGTGCCATTGGTTGGAAGGGGCTTCCCCAGTGCCCAGGAGCGGACCTGACGAGGTGGTCACCTCTCTTCCCACTGTACTGCAGAGCACAGCCGGAAACACCAGGAAATACAAAGGAGCCATGTGGCTAAGCTCTATCTACCAACCATTACTCTTATGTGCCATCTACTGGAAGTCAACCTAAATTACAAAAATAGTTTGCTAATATACCTTCCTATAAAACCAAGGTGAGAATTCAGCCACAAATAAAGACCGTGCACAGAACCTTGGCCCTCAGAAAAATGCAGCCAACTGACTATACTCAACTTACGCCACAGTTAAAGGAATACCAACTCTCTCAGATGAGAAAGAATTGGCACAATAACTCTGGCAATTCAAAGAGCCAGTGTCCCCTTACCTCCAAATGAGTCCACTAGCTCCCTAGCAATGGTTCTTAACCAGTTGGAAATGACTGAAATGACAGACGTAGAATACAGAATCTGGGTGGCAAGGAAGCTCATCAAGATTCAGAAGAAAATTGAAAACTAATCCAAAGATTAGTGGTCCTAGATAAAGATAAAGGGATCCAAGAGCGGAAAGAAGAAATAGCCATTTTAAGAAAGAACCAAGCTGAACTTCTATAGCTGAAAAATTCACTATAAGAATTATATAATACAATTGAAAGTATTAACTACAGAACAGACCAAGCTGAAGAAAGAATCTCAGAGCTTTTCTAACCAACTCAGACAAAAATAAAGAATTTTTAAAAATGAGCAAAACTTGATGGAAATATGGGATTATGTAAAGAGACCAAAGCTATGACTCATTGGCATTCCTGAGAGAAAAAGAGAGAGAATAAACAATTTGGAAAATATATTTGAAAATACTATTCATGTAACTTTCCCTAATTTTGCTAGAAAGGTTGACATGCAAATCCAAGAAATAAAGAGAACCCAGGCTAGATACTATATAAGATGATCATCCTCAAGGCACATAGTCAGCAGATTCACCAAGGTCAATGCAAAAGGAAAAAATCTTGAAGGAAAAAGAAGAGAAGGGCCAGGTTATGCACATGGGGAAGCCCATCAGGCTAGCAGCAGAACTTTCAGCAGAAACCTTACAAGCCAGAAGAGATTGGGGATCTGTTTTCAGTGCCCTTAAAGAAAATAAATTCCAATTAAGAATTTTATATCTCACCAAAAAGCTTCATAAGTGATGGAGAAATAAAATCCTCAGAGAAACAAACACTGAGGGAATTCATTTCAACTAGACCAGCCTTGTAAGAGATCCTTTAAAAAGTGTTAAACATGGAATTGAAAGAACCTGCTACCACAAAAACACATTTAAGCACATAGCCCATAGGCAAAACAGAGCAACCACACAAACAAGTCTATACAACAACCAGCTAACAACATGATGACAGGATGAAAATCTCACATATCAATACTAACCCTGAATGTAAATGGGCTAAACACCCCACTTAAAATGCAAAAAATGACAGGCTGGATTAAAAGACAAGACTCAACCATCTGCTGTCTTCAAGAAACCCATCTGACTCCTAATGACATCCACAGGCTGAAAGTAAAGGGATAAAGAAAGATCTGTCATGCAAATAGAGAACAAAAAAGACAAGGAGTCGCTATTCTTATGTTAAATAAAACATAACTTTATATATATATATTTTTTTTTCATTAATTAATTAATTTTTTTTGAGACGGAGTCTCGCTCTGTCACCCAGGCTGGAGTTCAGTGGCGCGATCTTGGCTTACTGCAAGCTCTGCCTCCTGGGTTCATGCCATTCTCCTGCCTCAGCCTCCTGAGTAGCTGGGACTACAGGTGCTCATCACCATGCCCAGCTAATTTTTTTGTATTTTTAGTAGAGACGGGGTTTCACCATGTTAGCCAGGATGGTCTCGATCTCCTGACCTCGTGATCTGCCCACCTCAGCCTACTAAAATGCTGGCAGTAGAGGTGTGAGCCACCACTCCTGGACAAATAAAACATATTTTTCACCAATAAAAATTAAGGACAAAGAAGGGCATTCCTTATAGAATGATAAAGGGCACAATCCAACCAGAAGACTTAGCCTAAATATGTACACACCCAACATTGGAGCACCCAAATTCATAAAACAAGTTTTTCTTGGCCTACAAAAAGATTTAGACACACAATAACAGCAGGAGACTTCAACAACCCACTGACAGCAATAGACAGATCACTGAGGCAGAAAACTAACAAACTCCGTACTTGCACTTGACAGTTGACCAATTGGACCTGATAGACATCTACAGAACACTTTGTCCAACAAACACAGAAGATACATTCTCATGTGCACACAGAACATATTCTAAGATCAGCCACATGCTTGGCCACAAAGCAAGCCTCAATAAATTCAAAAAGTTTGAAATCATACCAAGCACACACTCTGACCACAGTGAGACAAAAATAGAAATCAGTATCAAGAAGATCTCTCAAAACTACATAAATACATGGAAATTACATAATTTGCTCCTGAATAACTCCTGGGTGAAAATCTTAATTAAGGCAGAAATTAAAAAAATCTTTGCAATTAATGAAAATAGGGACACAACATACCAGAATCTCTGGGATGCAGCTAAAGCAGTGTTAAGAGGAAAGTTTATAGCACTAAATGCCTTCATCAAGAAGTTAGAAATATCTCAAATTAACATTCCTACTTTGCACTTAAGGGAACTAGAAAAAAAGAATAAACTGATCCCAAAGCTGGCAGAAGAGAAATAACTAAAATTAGAAAAGCACTAAATGAAGTGCTTTTTGAAGTGCTGTTTTTTTTTGAGACTAGATGCAAAAATCCACACAAAAGATCAATGAAACCAATAATTAGTTTTTCAAAAAATATGCAAGATGGATAGTGTGATAGCTAAACAAAGAAAAAAAGAGAAGGGCCAAATAAGTACAATCATAAATGACAAAGATGACATTACAACCAATCCCACAGAAATACAAAAGATCCTCAGAGAATACTATAAACAACTCTATGCACACAAATTAGATAATCTAGAGGAAATGGATAAATTCCTGGAAACATACAATCTCCCAAGATTGAACTAGAAAGAGACTGAAACCTTAAATAGACAAATATCAAGTTCAGAAATCAAATCATCAATAAAAAATCTACCAACAAGGAAAAGCCCTGGACCAGATGAAGCCACAGCTGAATTCGACCAGATGTACAAAGAACTGAGGCTGGGCGCGGTGGCTCACCCCTGTAATCCCAGCACTTTGGGAGGCCATGGCATGCAGATCACAAGGTCAGGAGATAGAGACCATCCTGGCCAACATGGTGAAACCCCGTCTCTACTAAAAATACAAAAACTAAAAATTAGCCAGGCGTGGTGGTGAGCACCTGTTGTTCCAGCTACTCGGGAGGCTGAAGCGAGAGAATGGCGTGAACCTGGGAGGCAGAGCTTGCAGTGAGCCAAGATCTCACCACTGCACTCTAGCCTGGGTGACACAGTGAGACTCTGTCTAAAAAAAAAAAAAAAAAGAACTGGTACTAGTTCTATTGAAACTATTCCGAAGAACTAAGGATGAGGGGCTCCTCCCTAACTCAGTCTATGAAGCCAGCATCAGCCTAATACCAAAATCTGGCAGAGAAACACACAAAAAGAAAACTTCAGGCCAATTACTCTGATCAACATAGACACAAAAATTCTTAACCAAATACTAGGAAACAGAATCCAGCAGCACATCAGTAAGTTAATACACCACAATCAAGAAGGCTTCAGTCCAGGGATGCAAGGCTGATTCAACATATGCAAATCAATAAATGTGATTCACCACATAAACAGAACTAAAAGCAAAAACCATATCATCATCTCAATAGATGCAGAAACGGCTTTTGATAAAATCCAACATCCCTTCACATTAAAAACCTCAACAGACTAGGCATCAAGGGAACATACCTCAAAATAATAAGAGCCATCTATGACAAACTCACAGCCACCAACCTACTGAATGGGCAAAAGCTGGAACCAATCCCCATGAGAAAAGGAACAAGACAATGATGCCCAGTGTCACCACTCCTATTCAACATAGCACTGGAAGTCCTACCTAGAGAACTCAGGCAGGAGAAAGAAAGAATAGGCATCCAAAAAGGAAAAGAAGTCAAACTATCTCTCTTTGCTGATGATATGATTCTATACCCAGAAAACCAAAGACTCTGCCAAAAGGCTACTAGAACTGATAAACAACTTTAGCAAAGTTTCAGGATAAAAAAATCACTGTATAAAAATCAACATCATTTCTATACACCAATAATGTCCAGGCTGAGAGTTAAATCAAGAACAGAATCCCATTTACAGTAGCCACAAAGAAAATGAAATACCTAGGAATACAGCTACCAAAGGATGTGAAAGATCTCTACAAGAACTATAAAACACTGCGGAAAGAAATCGGAGATAACACAATTAAATGGAAAAACTTTCCATGCTCATGGATTGGAAGAATCAGTATCATTCAAATGACCATACTGCCCAAAGCAATTGACAGGTTCAGTGCTATTTCTATCAAACTACCAATGTCATTCTTCACAGAATTAGAAAAAAAGTATTCTAAAATTCATATGAAACCAAAAGCCTCAATAGCCAAAGCAAATCTAAGCAAATGGGCAAAGCCAGAGGCTTCAAACTATAAGGCTATAGTACCCAAAACAGCATGGTACTGGTACAAAGGCAGACATATAGACCAATGGAACAGAATAGAAAACCCAGAATAAAGCCTTACACTTATAACCACCTGATACTGCAAGGCTGACAAAAACAAGCAATAGGGGAAGGACTCCCTATTCAATAAATGGTGTTGGGGTAACTGGCTAGCAATATGCAGAATAATGATACTGGACCCATACCTTTCATCATATATAAAAATTAACTGGAGATAGATTAAAAATTTAAATGTAAGACCTCAAGTGATAAAAATCCTAGAAGAAAACCTCAGAAATGCCCTTCTTGACATTGGCCTTGGGAAAGATTTTTTTTTTTTTTTTTTGAGATGGAGTCTCGCTCTGTCTCCCAGGCTGGAGTGTACTGGGGTGATCTCAGCTCACTGCAAGCTCCACCTCCTGGATTCACACCATTCTCCTGCCTCAGCCTCCTGAGTAGCTGGGACTACAGGCGCCGCCACCACGCCCGGCTAATTTTTTGTATTTTTAGTAGAGACAGGGTTTCGCCCTGTTAGCCAGGATGGTCTCGATCTCCTGACCTCGTGATCCACCCGCCTCAGCCTCCCAAAGTGCTGGGATTACAAGTGTGAGCCACCGCGCCTGGTTGGGAAAGAATTTTTAACTAAGTCCCCAAAAGCAATTGCAATAACAACAAAGATTGACAAGTCAGACCTAATAAAACTAAAGCGCTTTGGCACAGCAAGAGAAATGATCGACAGAGCAAACAGATAACCCACAGAACAGGAGGAAACATTTGCAAACTATGCATCCAACAAAGGTCCAATATCCAGAATCTATAAGGAACTTACACAAATCCACACACAGAAACCAAATAGCCACATTAAAAATGTGGAAAGAACATGACACATACTTCTCAAAAGAAGACATACAAGTGACCAATGAGCATCTGAAAAAATGTTTCACGTCACGGATTGTCAGAGAAGTGCAAATCAAAACCACAGTGAGATACCCTCTCACACTAGTCAGAATGGAGATTAATAAAAACTCAAAAACAACAGATGCTGGCAAGGCTGCAGAGAAAAGGGAACGTTTATACATTGTTGGTGGGAGTGTAAATTAGTTCAGCCACTGTGGAAAGCAGTCTGGAGATTTCTCAAAGAACTTAAAACGAGCTACCATTTGACCCAGCAACCCCATTATTGGATATATACCCAATGGAAAAAAGACCATTCTACCAAAAGACACACACACTGATATGTTCATTGCTGTGCTATTCACAATAGTAAAGATATGGAATCAACCTAGGTGCCCATCAGTGGTGGATTGGATAGAGAAAATGTGGTACATATACACGATGGAATTCTACACAGCCATAAAAATGAGTGAAATCATGTCTTTTGCAGCAACATAGATGGAGCTGGAGGCCATTATCCTAAGCAAATTAATGCAGGAACAGAAAACCAAATACCACATATTCTCACTTATGAGAGCTAAACAACAGGTACCCTTGGACATACGGATGGGAACAATAGACACTGTGGACTACTAGAGGGGGATGGAGGGAGAAGGGTGCGGGTTGAAAAACTACCTATTGGGTACTATGCTCACTACCGGGGTGCAATATACTGATGTAACAAACTTGCACACATTCCCCCTGTATTTAAAATTAAAGTTAAAATTTTAAGACATGAGTATCATTCTGATCTAAGTTTCTTGAGTTGTTCAAAGAATCATTCATTTTGCATTCTAAGAAAGCAATACCCAAAGAGGCCTTAAATGAGTTTTCTTTGAATAAGCGAAAGCAGAATAGTGTGACAACTCATAATTTCCAGAAATTTTGGTGGGTCTTGGAGGTCTGGGGAAGAGAAACCTTAATGGTAATCTCCTTATTTCAAAAAGGGAAATTCTTAAAATAAAAAAGGGGGTTTCCTTCCTTCCTGTATTTCTGGTACTGAAAAAGACAGATCTTAATCTTCACTGAGCCAGCTAAGTATTTTCCTCCCTATTCACCTAAACCCAGGACATAATATGCCCTCTGTAGATTGTGGCTGTGTGAATTTTAAAGGAAATAGTGTAACCTATGTTGTGCCTACATGTTTCTGTCATATGAATGGCAGGGCATAATATTAACATGAAAGGAATTTGAAAGCACGTTCTATGATCTTTTCCTCAAAGCAGGAGCCAGGTCAGGGGGAGTAAAGGAAAAAGGCCTTAGCTGGGCTGCTGCATGGGCAGTCGGAACGTTTTTGGAATATTTAGAGGAGAAAAAATCACCTGCAGCGAGGTGGCTCACCAGTCTAGTGGGGCTCTTGGCTCCTGGCAGGTTGCTGCCTTCCGTGCCCACCATGGCTCAGGGCTCTACTCTCATCTGTGCCATTCTGGTACCCACAGCCCTTAGAGCAAGTATTTTTCTATTTCCACTCAAAAATTAAAAAGCTCTATGGCAAACTCCCGACACTGAGCTGCTGATTTGGGTGGCCCGAGCGGTTAGTGTGTTGGTTAGAAAGTTGCTATGCCGGACAGGATTGCCCTGGACTCTCAAACTGTATTTTCATGGACCGCTTCTTTTTTTAGTCCTTTCTGTAGAGTGCCAGGTTTTTCAGGAATGAGTATACCGTGTTTTAGCAGTGACACTTGTCTTATTAGTTGTTACCTTTCATTTCCTGATGAACTCATCTTGGTCTAGATTGTTGAGGGCCTTGACAATAAAAGGAAAATCATTCAAATAAGAATAATTTCAATAAGGCCAAGATAGAATGTTTTCAAGGACAATCATGGCCTGAAGATACAGTGGCAATAAAGGTGTTTTGAATAAAGTAACACCCACAGACTGGGCGTGGTGGCTCATGCCTCAATACCAGCAATTTGGGAGGCTGAGGCAGGCAGATTGCTTGAGTTCAGGAATTTGAGCTCAGCCTAGGCAACAACGGCAAAACCTCGTGTCTACTAAAAACACAAAAAATTAGCTGGGTGTGCTGGCATGCGCCTATAGTCCCAGCTACTTGGGAGGCTGAGGTGGGAGAATCACCTGAGCCTGGGAGGTTGAGGCTGCAGTGAACCAAGATCACACCACTGCATTCCAGTCTCAACAACCAGAGTGAGATGCTGTCTCAAGAAATAAAAAATACAAATAAAAAAATTTGTTAAAAAAAAAAAGTAGCACCCAGCACCAAAGAGGAAATAATAATGATTTCCTGTAGACATAAGGCTAACCAGTGTTTATAATGAAAAGATAACCTCCCTTCAGAGTCCTCCCAAGCTTAGGTGAATTGTGAGCAGGTGTAGTGAATTTCAAAATAATACACCTAGATTACTCTAAGAACAAATATTTCTTTTGATTTCACTTACAGTTTTAAACAAAAGCAGAAGTTACCAGAGATTACTTATCTTCATATTTACCACAATCTTCTTACCCCAACCCCCATGTCTGTGTGTGATTAAAGGAAGCTTGTCAAGTAAGCTACCTATTTAGTGCTCAGAATGAGAGACTGTGTGTGTGTTGGGAGTTGGGGGACTGCTTGTGTGAAACACTTCTCTCTTCTGGATTTAAAACTTAGTCTTTGTTGCCAATCTGTTAACAGACAGTTTGTAAATGAAGTGGAAGAAAAAATATAAATTAGCTTTCTAATAAATCTGAAATTACAAATGTGAACCAAAGCAGGGAATAAATACTTGACCAAAAATATGTAAGTGGGTGTTGGGGAATCACAATTTTTAAATATCTCAAGTTTTTGCTATGAAAGTTCTATTTCAAAGTTCTTCAAAATGATGCCTGATGTTCCTGCATACTGTGTTCCCAATTTATGTAAATACAAGATGGAAACTGTGAAGTATGTGCCTTCAAAAAAGAAGAAAAACACTGACATTTTATCTATATATATTTAATAGATTTATGAAGAACATATATAAACATATATAAATATAGATACATCATCAAGGAAGACTTAGGACATATGAACATGCACATGGCAGGGGTTGGAAAGAACATTAATTCTTTCCCAGAAGGGGAAGGGGAAACTATACTTAATCGGATCCAGCTACGTCATTGGAAGTCATTTCTCGCCAAAAAGTATCTCCACGGCAAATTCTGGTGGATAAATTTTCCATGCTTTTTGTTGATGTGGATTATCCAATTCATTTCTTGGTAGATAAAGCCTAAGAATAGAAAAAAAATTATTACATTTTATATTGGGGCTCACCGAAAAGCCACGCAGTTGGATACCCACGTTAGTTAGAGCTGGAAGAAACAAAAAAAGAAACTCACCGTGAATAGAACCTCAGCCCCTTTTTTGTGTCTCAGTTGGCTCCTTCCACCTTTTTGGTGAGACTTAAAAATACTTTAATCTTCAGCAACACATCAGTAACACATGCTGACTCTCTTAGCATTGCTTTATATGGCATTAATGACTTCCAAGTTTAATAAAATATCTAAATTTCTCTCTGTGACAGAAATCAGTCAGGATAGACATGAATGAAAACCCAGTAATAAAATACTATATCTCTTTTAATTTATGTGTGAGGTTGCAATTTTTTGAATTTTTACAATCAGACCTTGGAAATGACCTTGAGCAGTAGGATATAACTCCCACATGCTGAGCATTCCAATAATGGAACACTAGGCATAAATTGGTTAACCCACTTATGCCTAGTGTTCTAAATGATAGAAGTTAGCATTTTTGGCTAAACAACAATCTCATAACTAACAAAAACAGCTTTACCAAGTAATATGTAAATTTAAATGTTAAAGAAATCTTTAGAAATTTATATAAAAGTAAGAATAAAAGTGATCTAGCTTATCACTTCTCCAAAATGAACATAGTGTTTTAAAGGAAAAAGACTGTATCCTTTAGCAAGAACCACTTTCGAGGAGCAGCATCAAATGAAGCTACATCCAGGTCTCACTTTTTGAGGGACTTTGCTCATGTTAGAAGAAAAAGTTTAATGTTTGTATGCATCCAAAAAAAAAACTTGTAAAAATTTCCGTCAAATCCAAAGTTCACTCTATCAAAATCCATTAAATGTTTTGCATTGCAAGTATGTAGACCAGAGGTTTAATTTCCTGTTGCCTTGCTGGACTTAAGGAGTTATTCGATCCAGTTCACATTTGAAGAAAAGATTAGGACTGGATGTAACAATAACTATCAATTCATGCCACATATAATCATAGCCACTTCTTCAATTCTGACCTAAATCATTTAAAAAATATTTTGTCCTTTTGTATTGAAGAGTATGGTTGATACAAAAAAAAAATCCCAATTTTTCACCATCACAAAACAAATGCTACTTATAGTGGAGAACTTCTAGACTGAGAAATGCATTTCCAAATATGGTAGGTTTTTTTGGAACAATAATCTCCAAACCCAATTAATAATTTTTCAGAAAGATTTCCCAATTCAGTTATTAGAAAGCCACATTTAAATGGCTATTTAAATAGACCATTACTTAATGATATTTCTTAGCTGTATTCCTTAATACTGTGTCTTGTAACTTCTCCTAGATTTAAGTGTGTCTGTCAGCTTTTCATCTAGCTGAAGCCTCCCTAGGTCCTGCCTTACTTTAGCACAAAATTTGGTGGTGGTTCGTCACTGGTAAATCAGCACCTACCGACAGAGACCTGATATATTGAAGGTGCTGAGCAGACAGCCTAATGGCTGTTTCTATGGGTTTATATTATATTCATACCTGTTATTTTGAATAAAAGATGTGTTGAACCAGAAGAAAAATGAACAATTGTCATAGTATTTAGGAAGATTCTAAAAAGAAAAAAAATTTCAAAGTAAAACTGATACCAAGAACTAATCATTCCAAAGAAATTAAAGTTCCTTCCTTTATTCCTTTTTATATTTATCAAACAATTATAACCATTAAATATGTGGCACTCTGCAATCTATAATACACTCAAGACACAAAGGAGGAGGCTTTAAGAAAATGCTATTGCATTCTCTTGCTGTTTCTATCAAAATTTTCAAGGAATAGTATTTTTTCCATGATAGGTATTTAATTTAAATGCTGCTATTTGAATCTGGTTTAGATAGTGCCAAACAGACTCTACTAAGGACCTATGCCTATATATACCCAACTAGATTGTAGTGAATTCTTATAATTTTTTTGTTGCCTCAGCATCCCTTTTAAATATAAATTGGACTTTCTGATATCAGAAGCAGGGTTCAGTCACCCTCAGCAGTTTCCAGTTCATCTCCCAGTTTCTCCATGTGACTGATCCCGATATCTGCCTTATACAACCTTCCCCTGGTGACCACTTTATTATGGGACAGCTAGATATAACCTACTTGACTCCCCCCATAGGCCCCCATACTCTGCAGGGACCACGTGGATATATCAGTGACCACCTCTCAGTCACAGTAGAGACTCATGGCTGCTTGTGTTAAACCAAATTAGACCTCCCCACAGGAAACCTGCTCAGGTACCACCTTACATCCCAATAAAGGCTTCCACTCTCAGGTCCCTCCCTGTCTCTCGCTATTGCTCCCACCCATCAGTCGAGCACAGGTCTCCTGGATGGCTCCCCCTTCCAGTTGGCCCTGCGAAGTGTGCTGCCCTCTTCTCTCTGGAATTAATAAAAAACTGTTTTGGTTATTTCATGTGTTGTATTGTGCTACCTCCTCTGTGTTTCACCTAGCTGAGTCACCCAAACCTAACTCTCTTTCCAGTCAGTGCTCCCAGCTACTCGGGAGGCTGAGGTGGGAGGATTGCTTGAGCCCAGGAGGTTGAAGCTACAGTTAGCTATGATCATGCCACTGCACTCCAGCCTGGGTGACAGAGTGAGACTCTGTCTCAACTTCTTAATTTTTTAAAAAAGATGCAAAACAAAATGTAATCATTGCTATGCAGTAAAACATACCTTTGGGTTTTTTTTTTTTTTTTTTTAGCATCTTGGCTTTTACTTTTTTTGTGTTTATTTTGTATTTTTGTGTTTACATGTATTTGAGAATACATGTAAATTTAGAAAAATTTAGAAAATTTACAATTTAGAAAAAAACAAATGAACAAAAATTATTCAAATTACATATGTTCTTTTAAAAAAATTTGTTATAGATCTGATTTATTGTTTTCCTCCCCCTCCCCCTCCCTTGTTGGGAATTGTAGTAAAGCAAATCTTAAATAAAATCATTAGACCAGACAAGAACAATGGCAGAGGCTATTTTGTGATTACTCACCGAAGAGAAAAACTGCACTTTCACATCATCGTACAGAGATGGACTGTCATATACATTAGTTAATACACCAGCTGTTTCAATGTCATGCAGTATCTGTGAATGAACACATGGAATTGAGAACTACAAACCTAGATAACGATAACAAAAGGTCCTTTTCACTTATCATGACTTCCTATATTTATCAAGTACTTTTGGTCTCACAGCCCAATCACTACATGCATAAATAATTATTAATAATCTTTTCTAGTTGCAATACTGTTGTCTGTGTGTGTGTGTGTGTGTGTGTGTGTGTGTGTGTGTGTGTGTTTTCGTTTGTTTTTTGTTTTTTGAGACAGAGTCTCACTGTCACCCAGGCTGGAGTGCAGTGGCGTGATCTCGGCTCACGGCAACCTCTGTCTCCCAGGTTCAAGTGATTGTTGTGCCTCAGCCTCCCGAGTAGCTGGGACTATAGGCACATGCCATCATACCCAGCTAATTTTTGAATTTTTAGTAGAGATGGGGTTTCACTATATTAGCCAGGCTGGTCTCAAACTCCTGGCTTCAAGTGATCTGCCTGCCTGGGCCTCCCAAAGTGCTGGATCACAGGCATGAGCCACTGCACCCGGCCTGTTGTTTATGTCTTTTAAAGGCCAACATGTTTGAGGGTTATCATGAACCACTTTTCTTTTTTTTTTTTTTTGAGACAGAGTCTCATTCTGTCAGCAGGCTGGAGTGCAGTGGCATGATCTCGGCTCGCTACAACTTCCACCTCCCGGGTTCAATTGATTCTCCAGCCTCAACCTCCCAAGTAGCTGGGACTACAGGCACGTGCCACCACGCCCAACTAATTCTTGTATTTTTAGTAGAGACGGGCTTTCACCATGTTGGCCAGGATGGTCTCAATCTCTTGACCTCGTGATCCACCCACCCTGGCCTCCCAAAGTGCTGGGATTACAGGCATGAGCCACTGTGCCTGGCCATGAGGCACTTTTCAAAAGTGCCACACTTTTAAAAAGTATTGAATTTTCTATTAGACTTTAATCAATTAAATATTATCATTTAATGTGTGTCATTTGATTTTCATGTGTTAGGGCCTTTTTTGAGAATATATTAAGAAGCTCAATTTTAAAGCTAGCATTGACATTCAAAAAGCAATGTGTAACTCATCATGGTTTTATATTTCCTAAATTTAAAAAATAAGAACGGGGGTCTGCAATACTTGGGGGTTGGGCCCGCATGCCCCTCCCAAGGGAGAGGGAGAGTGGGGTCCCCCTGCTCATCATGTTTTATCAGAACTCTTGTGTTTGTCAATGGGATCTTTGAACTTGACCAATGCAGGCTGCTGGATGGAGTAACCAAAGATAGCTCAAGTTATGGTATGAATGACTTTGAGGCTATACTATTTCTTTGACTCACTCTCATATAAATAAAGGCACCCACAATAAGAAAGGTCTATGCTAGGCCCTGTAGAAAACACAAAAGGAGGTGCAGACTCAGTTGGCCCCTTTTGGGAGCTGTACACATAAGAAACAATAGTAGAATGGGACATAACATAATCTGTATGATAAAGACTGGGCGTGCTGTTATGCACTATTGGGGGCTAGTTAACAGAAGGTACAGAATGCAAAAATTTCATTAAGGAGGTAGAAATTGAATTGGGCATGAAGCAGTTTAGATAAAGGAAGAAGAGCTCTGAAAATAGACTCTAGTCCAAACGGAGGGAAAAAGACCAGCAATAATGCAAAGTAGAAATTAGAAAAATGGGCCAGGCATGGTGGCTCATGCCTGTAATCCTAGCACTTTGTGAGGCTGAGGTGGGCAGATCACCTGAGGTCGGGAGTTTGAGACCAGCCTTGAAGGGGTGGCCTGCCCCTCCACACCTGTGGGTGTTTCTCCTTTGGTGGGATGAGAGACTGAGAAAACAAAGAGACACAGAGACAAAGTATAGAGAAAGAAAAGTGGGCCCAGGGGACCAGCGCTCAGCAAAGGGAGGACCCACGCTGGCACCAGTTTCTGAGTCCCCTCAGTATTGATCATTATCTCTACCATCTCAGAGAGGGGGATGTGGCAGGACAATAGGGTAATAGTGGGGAGAGAGAGGGTCAGCAGGAAAACATGTGAACAAATGTCTCTGTATCATAAACAAGGTTAAGAAAAAGGTGTTGTGCTTTGATATGCACATACATAAACATCTCGGTGCATTAAAGAGCAGTATTGCTGCCAGCATGTCTCACCTCCAGCCCTAAGGCAGTTTTCTCCTATCTCAGTAGATGGAATATACGATCAGGTTTTACACCAAGACATTCCATTGCCCAGGGAGGGGCAGGAGACAGACGCCTTCCTCTTATCTCAACTGCAAAGAGGTCTTCCTCTTTCACTAATCCTCCTCAGCACAGACCATTTATGGGTGTCGGGCTGGGGACGGTCAGAACTTTCCCTTCCCACGAGGCCATATTTCAGACTATCACCTGGGGAGAAACCTTGGGCAATACATGGCTTTCCTAGGCAGAGGTTCCTGCCGCCTTCCACAGTGTTTTGTGTCCCTGGGTACTTGAGATTAGGGAGTGGTGATGACTTTTAACAAGCATGCTGCCTTCAAGCATTTGTTTAACAAAGCACATCATGCATAGCCCTAAATCCATTAAACCTTGAGTCAACACAGCACGTTTCTGCCAGCACAGCATCTCAAGGCAGAAGAATTTTTCTTAGTACAGAACAAAATGGAATCTCTTATGTCTACTTCTTTCTACGTAGACACAGTAACAGTCTGATGTCTCTTTCTTTTCCCCACAAGCCTGACCAACACGGAGAAACCCCATCTCTACTAAAAATACAAAATTAGCCAGGCGTGGTAGTGCATGCCTGTAATCCCAGCTACTTGGGAGGCTGAGGCAGGAGAATCGCTTGAACCCAGGAGGCAGAGGTTGTGGTGAGCCGAGATTGTGCCAATGCACTCCAGCCTGGGCAACAAGAGCAAAACTCTGTCTCAAAAACAAAAAGAAAAGAAAAAAAATTGGAAAAACAACAACAAACAATATCAGGCAGTGTGGCTCATGTTTATAATCCCAGCACATTGCGAGGCTGAGGTGGACGCGTTGCTTGAGCCCAGGAGTCTGAGACCAGCCTGGGCAACATAGCAAGTCCCAGCCTCTTCAAAACATAAAAAAACATTGGGGGATTGCTTGAGCTCGAGGTTGAGGCTACAGTAGGCCATGATCATGCCACTGCGCTACAGCCTGGGTGACAGAAAAAGACCCTGGCTCAAGAAAAAAAAAAAAAAAAGTAAAAGAAGAAAGGAAGGAAAGAAAGAAATAAGTTATTTCTTTAACTTATTTATAACCAAATAACTTATTTATAACCAAATAACTAAATTAGAGTTGTGTTCCAAGAGCAAAAAGGGATGACCCAGTTTATTTGGAATGAAGTCTGCTGGTCAAGCTACTGATGGAAAAAAGCTCAGGTATTACGTTAGGGCTATTATATCTTAAGAGCTCAACAGCCAAGGAAAAAAGAGAGAAGTTGTTGAAAAATATGGTGGGGCATTTCCTATGTGACAAAGAGGCCTGATAATTATCACATATGACACTTATTTAGTGACTTATAGTTCACAAAGAAACTTTATATATATTATCTAATTGAATTCCCATTACACTTGGATGTGTTATTTATTTTACAGATAAGGATGTTGAGCCAAAGGTGTTAACTGGCTCTGACCATGGGCACACAGTGTGTCTTCTGCTCTACCTACAATTTTTCACAATGAGAGGAATATTTCAGGATGCATATTTCAGGATTCTATACATTGCATTATAGAAGGAGAAAGAAAGGGTAAGGAGACCACTGCAGAAATCTACGCTGAGCAAAGGAGATTCTGGACAATTAGTGGCAGTGAGAACAGAAAGGAAGGAGAACATAGAAAACTGTCAAAGCCATAATCAACAGAGATGGATGACTAGCTGGATTTAGGGGGCTGAGGCAAAGAGAATCAAAGCCCAAGGCGTGAGTGGAAGAATGCTGGTGCCATTTGCAGAGGCAGAGAGAAAGCTCCTTGATAATTCAGACTGGCTAATGCATTTGAGTTGGAGTGGAAACTGTTCATGTTGTAGCTCCTGCATCAGCTGTTCAGTAAATGAACAAATAATAGTTGAAGTAAGGGGAATGGGTCACCCTTTAAGAATAAAGCATTTGCTAAGAACAGAAAACCAAGGGTCAGGCCTGGGTGAATGCCCTCAGTCGGGAGAGGCCAAAAAAGCCGGGGGCGGAGTGAGGAGGGGGTGGCAGGGAATAGGGTTAGTAATAGGAGAATTTGAGACAAAGGCCTGGGTAGGAATTCTAAAAGTTTATGGTTATTAGACCATGAAGGATGCTTTCTTACTGTTTCAGAAAAGGTATATAGTTTTAGGCATTTCTTCATTGTAGCAAAACATTGACTACCAGGTCCCTTTTGCTTTGGATAAAGAGGTTCCTCCCCAGTTCATTCATCCTTGCATTGTTTCTCACAGGGTCATCCCACAGAACGTCTGACTTAGAATCACTTGGGACATTGCTAAGTCTATAGATTCCTGGGCCCCATTCCAGATTTCCCGAATCATACTTTGGGGGTACAACCTAGGAATGTAAATCTTTACAAGCTCCTCAGTGGTTTTCATGCACACTGAAGTTTTAGAATCAGTGCTATATAATAAAAGATCAAATGACTGAGAAGAAGAGAATATGGTTAAAAATGACCAGATATGTAAATTAAAATCCTTAATACATTCCTGGGAACATGCTCAGCATTTGTGGAAGTGTGAAAGGCAAAGCAACACTGACCAGAAATAAATTCTGGAAAGCACCCTGAAAAAACTGTTTTGAACAAACAGGTTAATTTATCTCTGGTTTGCATCCAAACCCAGTGACACCAAGTTGGATGGTAACCAGAAAGCGTTACGGAATCTCTTTATGGTGAGTGATAGTTTAGGGAGGTGAACATTGCTGGTTTGACATTCAGCCTTAAAACAAACATCAGAGTTTTTCAATTCACATGTTTTCTCTTACTGAACAATTTCCTAATGAAGTACTGGAAAAGACAACCTTTTTCTCCATTACTATTTGGAATTTTAGATCACATACATCGCCTGTTCCAACACCTAAATGAAATAAAAAAGTTAGGTTGGTTAGCGTGAACATCAATATGTCTCACCAATTAACATCATGGATTAAAAAGAGAAAAAATTATCCAAGCTAACAATGTTATCAATAGTTACTTATTTGGTCTTGCATGGATTTTGTCTTTGAAAGACAAGTCTTCAAGCCTAGTTCTGTCTCCTAAAGCAGATTTTATAAGACTAGAGAAGAGAAAAAACATATACATAGTTCAGCTTCAAAGACTTAGAATCCCATCACTTTATCTTTCCAGAAAAAATATTTAGGGAAGGTAGGCCGGGCATGGTGGCTCATGCCTAGCACTTTGGGAGGCTGAGGTGGGTGGAGGATTACTTGAGGTCAGGAATTCTAAACCAGCCTGGCCAAGACGGTGAAACCACATCTCTACTAAAAATACAAAAATCAGCCAGACGTGGTGGCACATGCTTGTAATCCTAGCTACTCAGGAGGCTGAGACAGGAGAATTGCTTGAACCCGGGAGGTGGAAGTTGCAGTGAGCCGAGATCACACTACTGCATTCCAGCCTGGATGACAGAACAAGACTCTGTCTCCAAAAAAAAAAAAAAGAAAAGAAAAGAAAAGAAAAGAAAAAGACAATTCTGGGAAGGTGACTTGCAACCTTTCTTGCTAATATGTTGCTTTCCTCAGACTTCTAATCATAATGATTCTTAATAATAAATACTGGAGTTTAACTACTTTGGCCCTACTTTAAGGCCAGTTCCTGAGGCAATCTCTATAAAAATATAGGATTTTTATATCCAAAAATTCCCGTGGTGTTCAGTATATATTTATAGACAAAGGCTCTTTTGTTCCTTTTTTTTCAATTCAAATGACCCACTTCCCTCAGCATTTCCTCAAAGACTTGGTTTCTCAGCCAATTAATTTTTTTATTGCTTTTCTCTCAACTCTACGTTAATTTTAATTCAAATATGTACAAAACTAAAGGTAGAAAATTAAAACAAATATTTTAATAAACAAGTGTATTATCTTTGATTGCTCATCTCATATGCTGTTTGTTTTCTTTTCATTTAATTTTGTTTTCACTAACACCATGATATTCATTTGTCATTAGAAATCACAGTTTCTTGCCTCAGTTCCCTCTTTCCCATTCCAGGTGCAGAACTTCCTTCTATTGATGTCTACCAGAAATCAGTGAAATGTAGAACTAAACTCAGAAGGCTAAAAATACTACGCTGTCTGTGTGGACACCAGCATCCTGGCCCCATGGCACCTATAGCACCCAGCACTGGCACCATCTCAGGTCCACAAGCTGGCTGCTAGAAGAGGTTTGCTTTAGGGGTTCCGAAGCATCACCTCCCTGCTACCTCTCTGGCAGTGGGAGTGGTGAGTCCCCATTCCTTCCACACAGACACATCCTGCTTTCCCGCCTCCCCTGAGTGTAAGCTGGGAGTGAGAGGGTTACAGATGGAGGAGAGAGGGGAAAGGGAGAGCCCAGGGTGATGAGAAAAAAAAATGCCTCTAAAAGAAGGTGAGAAAATGATACGATACGGAGACACCTCCACCAAGGCAAACTCTGAACTAGAGGTGGTTCTGAGAAATAAGCAGGCTTGAGGGCACATGGGTCCTCCTCCTCCCTCATCAGAGGCTCCCTCTGCCCGGAAAAGTCCACCTGGGTTGAGACCGGAGGAGCAATGAGAACAGGAGAGATGGGAAGGGGATGAAGTCCCCCAAGTTGGTGATGGAAAAGAAAAAGTGAAGAACATCTCAGGGCTGGCAATCAATGGGCAATTGCAGGAGGAGGGGCATAAATAAGGAGGAGTTCCTGTGTGACAATATGTAAAAAGACAGGTATGAGTTAGGCTCATCTGTATATATAACTATGAGCAAAACTCTCCCAGAGTGGGGACATTGGCCCTCCTGCCCAATTCTTCAATTACACATAAAGCACTTACCACGAATCGAATAAATAATGAATCTTATTATAAAGAGTATCCGTCTTGGAGGGAGATTCCAGTTGTAGAGATGTTTCACTTGTGCAAAATATCCAACATATCTATTGTGAAAAGCAACAGAAATCTTCCTTTAAGTGGAGATGAAGTCTAAAGTCAGCATTCCTTTTTTTTTTTTTTTTTTTGCATAAAGCTTGTTAATGGAGGTAAGTAATTAAGAAAACATTTACTGGATGCCATTATATAACTGGACATTTTTAGGGATGCTGCCCCACAACTATCTACCTTGAGGGAAAAATACTGAATTCAGTGCAATGGGGAAGTAACAAGGATGGAGCCAGGCCCTGTTTATAGGCTGCTTATGGTTGAGAGGGCAACTAATCAGAAGCACAACAAAACAGTTACAGCATCATCAGTGTCCAGATAGAAGCTTAGTTGTGACTGAGTTAGAGGAAGGCTTGTGGTTTGGTGAAGAGCAGCTTCCTGGGCATGAGAGAATGGTATAAGTGAAAACTCCAGAGGAATACCTCCATACCTCAGTAGCAGGTTTTCCATCATTCTTCTCTTGTTCCTGATGCTAGAATTCTTCACTTTGCATTTCCTCAATTCTGTTTTCTCAAGGAAGCCCTGGAATTCTCTCAGCCTTGTCCTTTCCCTGGGGCAAGCTGTTCACAACGGCTCTCCCCTGAATCTTTCTTCAAGGTATTGAAGAGCTCTGGTACTCAATCAACTGGTTCAGAATTCAAAAGTTGGCCATCATGGTGGCTCCCGCCTGTAATCCCAGCACTTTGGGAGGCCGAGGTGGGCAGATCACTGGGCGTCAGGAGTTTGAGACCAGCCTCGCCAACAGGGTGAAACCTTGTCTCTACTAAAAATACAAAAATAGGCCATGCGTGGTGATGGGCACCTATAATCCCAGCCACTTGGGAGGCTGAGGCAGGAGAATCGCTTGAACCCAAGACGTCGAGGTTGCAGTGAGCTGAGATTGCACCACTGCACTCTAGTCTGGGCGACAGAGCGAGACTCTGTCTCAAAAATTAAAAACAAAACAAAACAAAACAAAACTCATAGGTTCACAGACTGTTCCTTACCCATTGGGAAATGCTCATTAAAGTAACTAGCTGCCATACTTCCCTTCAGAAAGGGCCAGTCATGAGATAGGCTCAAGAAAGTCCTTAACTTAGGAGTAGATGTAGTCAGTAGAATGGCTAACAATGCAGGATCAGAATGTGATGGTGTCTGAGAATCACCACCAGACACAGAGGGCACTCTGTCCTGAGGTCTTGCCAACAGCTCTCAAACGTGCAGCTGAATCCCTTTGTTGCTTTTTCAGTGAATCAGAAGAGATTCAGTTGCAGCTTTGATGTGCTAGTTCTGGACTAAAGTTAGGGAAACTATGCATGACTGCAGAAGAAATGGGGATGAGGAGATGTGTGGGGAGAGTTGTTGAAGGAGCTCCACCTAGCATCCCCTTAGCTTCTGCCACTAGATTCTCCACCTTTCCCTAAGGGCTGTAAAACACCAGGGCCCTCAAGCTGCTTGTGCTCCCACGCTTCCTTCTCCTACAACTTAAAACAACATGGACTTGTAGTAGAAATTAATACAACCAACACATAGGAGGCACTCACTACAAACAACAAGATATTACGAGAAAAGGGTGGAAAGATGGGTAAGCCATGGGCTTTGCCTTTAAAGGGGATACAGAAGTCACCACTTCAAATAACTAGAGAATGATGCAAAGTGATGTAGTCTCTAAAAGAAACACAAAGGGCTCTAAGAATTGAAAAAGCAAGAGACTACTTCAGGCTGAGAAGGGAAAGGGACTCTAGGAAAAGGGGGCATGAGCAACGGCATGAGGGTATCAAGTGTCCATAGGCTGGGAAAGAGCACACAGTCTAAATGTGTTGGAGTATGGGATGTGTGCATGCACATAGTGGAAGAGAAGGTTGGAAAAGTCAAAGTGTGGCTCTTGAGTGCCAGGTTGAAACGTTTAGTTTATTGCCATTGGCAGTGGGGACATAGTATGGATTTTGAGCATGGAAATGGCATGATTAGGGCTGCACTTCAGTAAATTCACCTATCACTTTTAGCTTAGGGTCTATGAATATCTTTGTTTTGTTTTGTTTTGTTTTGGGCTTGGGTGTGGGAGAAAAGTATCAGTGGATAAGGCTGAGTTCTTCTGGCCCAAACTAAAGGTTTAGGGCCGGTAGTTAGAGTGTTCTTCTAACGGGGCCAAGAGTACTTACTCAGCTCCCACCACTTAAAGAAAAACTCATTTACAGCCACATCCAAATCCATTTCGGAATTCCCAACCCACTCTCACTTCAGTTTCAGGGGCAATATAGAAAAGGCAATATAAATGAGAAGCTGTGCACAAAAAGGGCTTCAGAGACTGACATCTAGATTTCAGTCCTTGGTTCAAAAGTTACTTTCTCTGAACCTCAATTTTCTAATTTATAAGATGAGAATGACAGTAGTGCCTACTCATAGAGTTATTGAGAATATTAAATGAGATAGTGAATATTAGAATAGTTCAGCAAAGTCTAGAATGTTGTAAATGCTATAGGATAAACATCCTGGTTTCTGCAATAAACAAATTACAAGTAATAAAAAATGGTGAGAAATCTATGAACTTAGATTCTTAAAAGAGACTTAGGAGACACAGCAACCAAATGAAATGTGTGGACTTTGTTTGAATTCTGATTAAACAAACTAAATTTTCAAAGATTTTAAGACAATTCTGGAAACAAACATGGACTACAAATTTGATATGAAGGATTTTTAAGGTATAATATTTTTAGATATGATAAAAAGTGTTAAGGTTTTTTGTTGTTGTTTTAAGAGTACTTAAATGTCATACTAAAATGCTATGGGATAAAATGATCTGACGACTGAAATTTCCTTTAAAATAACTCAGATTTAGGGAAAGCAAGAGTGGAGAGTGGGGTTGAGGGGTGTGAGTGGAGTGGGAAAGAACGGATGAAATGTGGCTGGCTGCCGGCTGAAATGACTGTTGCAGCAATGTGACGACTATATGTGGATATATTGTATGATGCTCTGGACTTTTGTATATGATTAAAATTTTCCATAACAAAATGTTTCTAAAAGAAAAAACAGAGTAACAGTGTATATTTCATATAGGTGTTATGGGTATTAAATGAGATACGTAAAAGTGCAATACTGTCTGGTATACAGAAGGGGTTTTGAAAAGTTTATTTCTCCTTTTATTTTCTCTTTTAAAATACACCTCCCCCACAACACACAGAAAATACACACACACACACACACACACACACACACACACACACACAACCATGAGTCATCCAAAAACAGTTCTTTGTGATGTTTTGCAAGGGTTGAATTGCCCAAGTAAGGGTTTGTGAAAGACTTGGATCTTTTTTACATTGAAATCAAAGGCTGGTGATTTTAGACACACTTCAGAGTCCTGGAGCCTTGGGTACTGGACCTTCCTACTTTGGGAAAATAATCAACTCCTGAGCTCCATAAACAATAACCAGTATAGAATAGAAAGCAGGATTCTCTGAGGAGAAGCCAGAGTCCCCAGCATGTGGGCAGCACCTAAAGCGTGACCCTCAGACTCAGGGAGGGACCAAGGCCTGTTGCAGGGCACCCAACTGCTGCTGCCTGATCACCAAAGGAGAAGAGTCTAAAATGAAACCAAATAACAGCTGGCAATCTTAACCCACTCCCCTAAAAAAACCTCCCATTTTTAAAAAGAAAACTTACCTGAGAAGGAGTTTCTAGTCCCTGAAATTTACTGCTGTGCGTTTTATCTGTTCGCCTTTCTCCAAAATAATACAGGCTTTCCTGCAAAAAAGGGTACAATCCAACCATGGTTCATCTGCACTCTTTCCTTTCCTATATTAGGTACCCTTAGGGTTTCTACACCCACCTTCTTTCCTAAAGTCAGTGATTTTGTTTGTTTGTTTGTTTGTTTTTTGGTAGAGTCTTGCTCTGTAACCCAGACTGGAGTACAGTAGCAGGATCTAAGCTCACTGCAACCTCTGCCTCCTGGGTTCAAGTGATTCTACTGTCTCAGCCTTCTGAGTAGCTGGGACTACAGGTGTGTACCACCATGCCCAGCTAATTTTTTGGATTTTTAGTAGAGATAGGGGTTTCACCATGTTGGCCAGGCTGCTCTCAAACTCCTGACCTCAAGAGATCCACCTGCCTCAGCCTCCCAAAGTGCTGGGATTACAGGTGTGAGCCACCTGTGCCCGGCCGAGTGATCTTTGGGCAGAGGTTAGTGAAAATAACAAAATTAGGACTTCTCTCATTCAAGGATTCATACATTCATAAAATTTTAGAGCTGGAAAGACCTTAGAAAGCATCTGGTCCAACCCTTCTTTCCATATTACAAATGACAACACTGAGACCAAAAGAAAACCAAGCAACCTGCCAAGGAGATGCTGCAGCCAGTTAGAAGCAGCAGCACAGCAGATACAGGTCCCTGGATCTCAGTCTAGGGCTCTGGATCAATGGCTGTCAATGACTTTCAAACCTTTTGTTTTTTAAGCTGCAATCCACATTAATAAACCTAGGAGACACACACACACACACACCCCAATATTTAAACCTTTTGATATTTTCTATTCTGCTCTATTCCATTTTATTTTTAAAAGATGTCAGTTACAACCCAGTAACTTTATTTTACAACTCACTGATAAATCATGATCCATAGCTTGAAAAACACCATCCTAGAACACCCATTTTCAAAATCTGTGTATCTCAAATCAGAGAAAGCAAAGGTGGTGGAATGGGAGTGCTGGGCATTGTGCACAACCACCACCTCTTCCCTAGACTGCAGGCCAAACAACTCGAGCAGAGCTGCTGGAAATGGTAGCATCTCAGCAAGAAAATGGCAGAAAGAAAAATGACTGAGAACTCTGCTTTAAGTGGAAACAGCCCACCTTGTCTTATCAGAAATTTCTAGAGGTCACAGACTCCACATGTATTGACTAAGCAAAGATACTTACATTCAGGAGAGGCTTTGTTTTGAGTTGTGAAATGTTGCTTTTTATCTACCTAAGAGTTGTGAGGATGGGCAAGGCTCTTTGGAGAATTTATCTAATTAAGCTTGATACTATTCTCACGAGGAAGGAAGAAGACATGGTACTGGCAGGAGTAAGAGCAGAGCCAGGTGAAGTGAGGGAAGCATCTTGATTACTGAATGTTTTTTTCTGTGTAACATGGCTTTACACCCCGCACCTTAATCCTGCCCCATCAGGTCTTGTCTTTATTTAAAATGTTGATATTGTATACATCATAGATTTTTTTACGTTAATTTTTATTAAAATATTGTGTTAAAATTATTTATTTTAATTATTACAATTTTTAGCATTCCCTTAAATGTTGCACCTCATTGACCTCACTCTAGTCCTTGCCCAAAGAGATTCTGAGGTCAGCTACTAACTAGTGCACGTTAAACAAGAAAGTATCAAAAACAGACTTTCTAAAAACTGCTTCTCTAATTACAATTTTACTAAGCACCATGACTCAAATAACACCTTAACGTCCTACCAGTGATGTTTCAGAACTAGCAAACTCAATCATCATAAGACAAAGTTTGTAGAACATCTTTCATACCTCTGCAGTTAAAAATATTTCGGAGGCAATAAGGAAGGCACAAATCATAGTTCCGGTTCTTCCTAGAAAAGAAAAGAAGTTAGTTCAAGGAACATACGTGGTATAAAAATACACTCAGAAATATTCAAGGAGTGCATTTTAAGTTGATTTTCTTTCTTTTTTTTGAGACAGGGTCTTGCTGTGTCACGCAGGCTGGAGTGCAGTGGCACAATCTTGGCTCATTGCAACCTCTGCCTCACAGGTGAAAAATACGCAAGTTACATTTACAGTAAAAATATCTCTCACCATCGCTCCACAAAAGGACACGATGAGGTTTTTACTAAATCTATAAGAAAGCAACAATTATGTCTTTTATAATTTTTTTGGATAATAGTAAAAAAGAAAAATTGCCAACTCATTTAGTATATTAATATAACTGATTCCAAAATTGCACAAATACAGTAGAATAAAAGATATTTTTACACCAGTCTCACATATAAATGTAGATTTTAAAATATACATATATTTTCAAAGTGAATTCAGCAATGTAGAAACACCATGTATCAACACCAAGTGCCATTTCTCTTAAGGATGCAAGGATGTTTTTTCCAAGATGGCAGATTACAGGCTTTTAGCATGCCTCAGTCATTTGGAAATAGCAAGCAAGTACATAAAGACCAACTCTGTGAGCTTTAATTCAAGAAAGGAAATGGCAATTCCCCGGAATTATGAAGGACATCCCAGATCTTGCGGAGGACATTGCAGGCAAGCAGCCCTCAGGACAGCATTCGACTGATAGAAGTGAGTGAAGCCTCAGTAAGTGAGAGAGGCAGACAGCATCCCTCTGTCTCACCTTTCCACTGGAGATCCACGCAACCCGGGCAGAGGAAGAGATTGTTTCTCCCAAGCCTTGGAGCTCATTTGAGGAGAGACTTGGAGACTTTGTGGGGGAAAGACACAGGGAAACGCTGCCGGCATTGTCCCAAACCTGGACTGGGAGCAGGACAACACTGGGGGAATCTTCCCTATCTGGCTCCACCCATCTTGTGCCCCCAATCCCCCTACCCCTAGGGCTGAGGGAGCTCAGATTAATGTGTACTCAGGAAATCAGCCCTTTGCCTGGGGCAGGAGAGAGCTCCTCCCAATAAACAAGGATCAAGTACACAGCCAGCAGCACTGGCAACAGCCAGCTCTTACCCATGGCGCCATCTACTGGCTTGTAGGTCAAACCACACACCCAATATAAAACCTGCTGGCAGAAGTGCATTAGGGCTACAGAAGCAAAGCCAAAAGACCCTACCCAGCATGCTCTACAGCCACACCCCTAGGGAGGAGGGAAAGGGAAAGAAGAAAAAAATAACAATAATATTATAGAAAAGGAAAGAAAAAGAAAAAATCCTACCCAAACAAAAATAATTACACAAATTAGAAGTGCTAGCATCTCCAGATGAGAAGGACCCACACAAGAATTCTAGCACCATGAGAAATCTGAATGTAGTGACACTACCAAAGGATCACACTAGCTCTCTGGCAATGCTTCGTACCAAAATGAAAACTCAGAGATAACAATAAACATTTCAAAACTTGGGTTGCAAGGAAGCTCAATGAGATTCAAGGTTGAAATCAACAAAAAGAAACTTCTACATCAATCCGGGAAATGAAGGAAGAGATAAACATCTTAATAAGAAATCAATCAGAACTTCTAGAATTAAAAAAACTCACTTAAGGAATTTCAAAATACAACTGAAAGCTTTATCAATAGACTGGACAAAGTAGAAAACATAATTTCAGAGCTTGAAGACTGGTCTTTTGAACTAATCCAGTCAGACAAAGATAAAGAAAAAAGATTTTTTAAAAGTGAAGAAAGTCAGAAATATGAGATTATGTAAAGTGATCAAACCTACGAATTACTGGCATGCCCTAGAGAGAAAGAGAAAAAGAAAACAGCCTGGAAAACATATTTGATGGAATAATTCAAGAAAATTTCTTGAATCTTGCTAGATAGACATCTAAGTACAGTAAAGCCAGACAGCACCTGTGAGATACTATAAAAAATGAACATTACCAAGGCATATACTCACCAGACTGTCCAAGGTCACTGTCAAAGAAAAAGCCCTAAAGGCACTGGAGAAAAAGGCCAGATCACATACAAAGGTAGCCCCATCAGGATAACAGCAGACTTCTCAGCAGAAACCTTACAAGCCAGCAGAGATTGAGGTATCTATTTTCAGAATTCTTGAAGAAAATAAATTATAATCAAAAGATTCATATCCTGCCGAACTAAGCTTCATGAGTGAAGGAGAAATAAAAACATTTTTCTAGAGAAGCAAATGCCAAGAGAGTTCATTACCACTAGACCAGTCTTACAAAAGATGCCTAAGGGAGTTCTAAACATGGAAATGAAAGAATGATACCTGCTATCATAAAAACACACTTAAGTACATAGCTCACAGACCCTATAAAACAACCACACAATAGAAATTACAAAAAAACCAGCTAACAATTTCATGATAGGGTGAAAAGCTCACATGTCAATAGTAACCTTGAATGTAAACACACCACTTAAAAGTCACAGAGTGGGCTGGGTGCGGTGGCTATTCCTGTAATCCCAGCATTTTGGGAGGCCAAGGTGGGTAGATCACGAGGTCAGGAGATCGAGACCATCCTGGCCAATGTAGAGAAACCCTGTCTCTACTAAAAATATAAAAATTAGCCAAGCATGATGGCACATGCCTATAATCCCAGCTACTCAGGAGGCTGAGGCAGGAGAAGCACTTGAACTCAGGAGTCAGAGGTTGCTGTGAGCCAATATCATGCCACTGCACTCTAGCCTGATGACAGAGAGAGATTCTGAAAAAAAAAAGAAAGAAAGAAAGAAAGAAAGAAAGAAAGAAAGAAAGAAAGAAAGAAAGAAAGAAAGGTCACAGAGTGGAAATTGGATTAAAAAAACAAAACCCATCTGTCTGCTGTCTTCAAGAGACCCATCTCACATGTAACAACACCAATAGGTTCAAAGTAAAGGGTTGAAGAAAGATCTATCGCACAAACAAAACACAAAAAAGAGCAGGGGTCACTATTCCTAAAACAGATAAAACAGGCTTTAAACCAACAATAGTAAAAAAAGACAAAGAAGAGCATTACATAATGATACGGAGTTCAATTCAACAAGAAGCCTTAACTATCCTAAATATATATGCACCCAACATTGGCTCACCCAGGTTAATAAAACAGATACCTCTAGACCTATGAAAAGACTTAGCCACACAACAATAGTCAGGGGACTTCAACACCCCACTGATAACATCACACAGATCATAAAGACGGAAAACTAACACAGAAATTCTGGACTTAAATTCAACACTTGACCAATTGGACCTAATAGAAACCTAAAGAACTCCCAGCATTTTGGGAAGCTGAGGCGGGTGGGTGGATCACGAGGTCAGGAGTTTGAGACCAGTCTGGCCAATATGGTGAAAACCCATTGCTACTAAAAATACAAAAATTAGCCAGGTGTGGTGGCAGGTGCCTGTAATCTTAGCTACTCAGGAGGCTGAGGCAGGAGAATTGCTTGAACCCAGGAGGTGGAGTCTGACAAAGGTCTAATATCCAGAATCTATAAGGAACTTAAAGAAATTTACAAGCAAAAAACGTCATTAAAAAAAAAAGGGCAAAGGACATGAACAGACACTTCTCAAAAGAAGACATACACACAGCTAACAAACATGAAAAAGCGCTCAACATCACTGATCCTAGAGAAATGCAAATCAAAACTACAATGTGATACCATCTCATACCAGTCAGAATGGCTATTATTAAAAAGCCAAAAAATAGATGCTGGCAAAGTTGCAGAGGAAAGGGAATGCTTATACACTACTGGTGGATATGTAAATTAGTTCAGCCATTATGGAAAGCAGTTTGGTGATTTCTCAAAGAACTTGAGAATTACCCTGTGACCCAGCAATCCTATTACTGAGTATATACCCACAGGAATATAAATATCATTCTACCATGAAGACACATGCATGCATATGTTCATCGCAGCACTATTCACAATAGCAAACACACAGAATTGACCTAGGTGCCCATCAATGGTGAACTGAATTAAAAAAATGTGGCACACATATACCATGGAATACTATGCAGCCCTAAAATAAAAACAAGATCATGCACTTTGCAGTAATATGAATGGAGCTGGAGGCCATCCAGATCCAGCTTAAAAATTATTCTAAGCAAACTAACACAGGAACAGGAAACCAAATACCACATGTTCTCACTTATAAGTGGGAGTTAAACATTGAGTACACATGAACACAAATATGGGAACAACAGACATTGGGTCCTACTTGAGGGTTGGAGGCTGGAGGATGGTGAGTATCAAAAAGCTACCTATCAGGTACTATGCTTATCACCTGAGTGACAAAACAATCCGTACATCAAACCCCTATGACACAAAATTTACATATATAACAAACCTGCACATGTACCCTTGAACCTAAAAGTTAAAAATTAAATAAATGTGTATACAAAAAAATAAACGGGATTTAGGCATGTCTATTTATATATAAAAATGGAGCTACTAGCATAGTCATGAACCAACTGAATTATATCTCAGTATGTCAAAATGGTTAATATTTATGTAAAGATAATGAGAAGAGAAAATATTTCAGGTCAGATTTGGGATTTTACATGAAATTATTACTGCTGGGAAACCAACAGATTACATATCAGATGGATCCCAGGAGACATGTGAGGACTGACACAATGTGGAATAAACATTAAAAAAAGGCCAGGCATGGTGTCTCATGCCTGTAATCTCAGCACTTTGGGAGGCTTAGGCAGGCAGATTGTCTGAGATCAGGAGTTCGAAACTAGCCTGGCCAACATGGCAAAACCCCATCTCTACAAAAACAGAAAAATTAGCTGGGTATGGTAGTGTGTGCCTATAATCCCAGCCAATCAGGACGCTGAGGGATAAGAATTGCTTGAACCCAGGAGGCAGAGGTTGCAGTGAGCCAAGATGGCACCACTGCACTCCAGCCTGGGCAACAGAGACAGACTCTGTCTCAAAAAAAAAAAAAAAAAAAAAAATTCAACAACAGACTAGGTCAAGCAGTATAACAAATTTCAGAACTTGAAGACAGATCTTTTAAAATAACCCCATCATACAAAAATTAAAAAAAAAGAAAAAAGCAATGAACAAAGCCTACATGACACATGGGACACCACAAAGCAACCAAACATTTGAATTTTCAGTGTCTCAGAAGGCAAAGAACAAACCAAGGGGATAGAAAAGCTATTTAACAAAGTAACAAAACTTTCCAAGTGTAGCAAGAGATTTAGACATGCAGATACAGGAAGCGCACAGATCCCCAAACAGATATAATTCAAAAAGATCTTCTCCATGGCCCATTATCATCAAATTGTCAAAAATTGAAGACAGAGAAAAATTCTAAAAACAGCAGGAGAAAATAAGGGAACTCCTATCAGACTAACAGTTGATTTCTCAGCATAAGCCTTACAGGCCAAGAAAGAATGGCATGATATATTCTAAGTTCAGAAAGAAAAAAACCATCAGCCAAGGAAACTACATCCAGAAAAGTTATCTTTCATAAATGAAGGTGAAATAATGTCTTGCCCAGACAAGCAAAAGCTGAGGGAATTCATCACCACTAGACCAGCTATATAAGAAATATGTAAGGGAGTCTTATACCCAGAAGCAAAAGGATGGTATCTACCATCATGGAAACACAGGAAAGTATAAAACCCACTGGTAGAGCAAGCACACAAATAAGAAAAACAATTCAAAGGTTTTCACTAAAGAAAACCACCAATCCACAGTGATAAACAATAAGAGAGAAAGAAAGAGACAAAGGACAAATAAAGCAACAGAAATCAATTAATAAAATGACAGGAATAACCCTCACATATCAAAAATAGTCTTCAATGTAAATGGATTAAACTTTCCACTGAAAAGATATAGACAGGCTGAATGGATTTTAAAAATAAAAATGACCCAAATATATGCTGCCTACAAGAAACTCACCTCACCTGTGGAGACATATAGACTGAAAGGAAAGGAGTGGAAAAAGATATTCTGTGCAAAGGGAAACCAAAAGTGATCAGGAGTAGCTATACTTATATCAGATAAAACAGACTTTAAGTCAAAAACAGTAAAAAGAGGCTGGGCACAGTGGCTCACGCCTGTAATTCCAGCACTTCGGGAGGCCGTGGCGGGCAGATCACAAGGTTAGGAGCTCGAGACCAGTCTGGCTAATATGGTGAAACCCCATTTCTACTAAAAATACAAACAATTAGCTGGGTGTGGTGGCAGGTACCTATAATCCCAGCTACTCGGGAGGCTGAGGCAGGAAAATCACTTGAACCCAGGAGGTGGAGGTTGCAGTGAGCCGAGACCATGCCACTGCACTCCAGCCTGAGCAAAAGAGCAAAACCCTGACTCCAAAACATACATACATACATACACACATCATACATAAATATTGGGCAAAGGACATAAACAGATATTTCTCCAAAGAAGACATACAGGTATATAAAAAATGCTCAATCTCACTAATCATAAAGGAAATGCAAATTAAAACCACAATGAGCTATCATTTTCACCCAGTGAGAATGGCTATGATTAAAAAGACAAAATAATAATGGATGTGGGTGAGGATGTGGAGAAAGGGGAACTCTTTTACACTGCTGAGTAAGAATGTAAATTAGTATAATCACTGTGGAAAACAGTATGGAGATTTCTCAGGAAACTGAAAATAGAACTACCACACAATCCAGCAATGCCACTACTGGGTGTTTATACAAACGAAACAAAACCAGTACATCAAAGAGATGATACCTGTACTTCCATGTTTACTGCAGCACCATTCACAATAGCAAAAATATAGAATCAACCTAAGTGTCCATCAACAAACAAATGAATAAAGAAAATGTGGGCTGGGCACGGTGGCTCAGGCCTGTAATCCCAGCACTTTGGGAGGCCAAGGCAGGTGGATCACGAGGTCAGGAGTTCAAGAGCAGCCTGCCCAAGATGGTGAAACCCTGTCTCTACTAAAAATACAAAAATTAGCCAGGCATGGTGGCGGATGCCTGTAATCCCAGCTACTCGGGATTACTCAGGAGGCTGAGGCAGAGAATTGCTTGCACCCGGGAGGTGGAGGTTGCAGTGAGCCAAGATTGCACCACTGCACTCCAGCCTGGCCAACAGGGCAAGACTCTGTCTCAAAAAAGAAAAAAAGGAAAGAAAGAAAGAAAGACAGACAGACAAAGAGAAAGAAAGAAAGAAAGAAGGAAAGAAAATGTGATATATATATATATATATATTTTTTTTTTTTTCAAGTACTATTCAGCCATAAAAAAGAATAAAATCATGTCGTGTGCAGCAACATGGATGGAACTGGAAGTCATTGTTATGTGAAGTAAGCCAGGCACAGAGAGACAAATATTGCATGTTATCACATATGTAGGAGCTAAGAAAGTTGATGGTGGATAGATAAGATACCAGAGGCTGGGAAGCATGTGAGGGTTGGCAGGGAAAAGTGGTGGTTGGTTAATACAGTTAGACAGAAGGAATAAGTTTGAATGTTCTATAGCAGAGTAGGGTGACTACAGTTAGCAACAATGTATTGTGTGTTTCAAAATAGCTATAAGAGAGGACTTGAAATGTTCCTAACATATAGAAATGGCAAATACTCAAAGTGACAGATACCTTTAACACCCTGATTGATCATCACACATTCTATGCATGTAACAACATATCTGTTCCCCATAAATATGTACAAATATTTATTGTGTACCAATGAAAAATAAACAAAATTTTAAAAATAAAAATACAGTATGTCTACACAATGAAATATTATTCAGCATTAATACACTGCAAGTTGGATAAACCTTGAAAACATGCTACATGAAAGAAACAATGCATAAAAGATCACAAATTGGGCTGCACGTGGTGGCTCACGCCTGTAATCCCAGCACTTTGGGAAACCGAGGCAGGTGCATCACTTGAGCTCAGGAGTTCCAGACCAGCCTGGGCAACATGACGAAACCCGTCTCTACAAAAAAAATTAAGCAGGCTTGTTGGCACGCGCCTGTGGTCCCAGTTACTGACTACTCACAAGGCTGATACAGGATAAAGATATCAGGGCAGTTTCATGGCTGGGATCAACTCTTCTGGAAGCAGGTCCTAGCAGGACTGGGTGTCCACATCCAGGATATGGGCCCTGCAGAGAGCTTAGAATACTTACCTCTCAATCTGTGTGGAGAAGTAGGGGCTGGTGCCTTGAGGACTTACTGTCCTTCTGACCAGTCCTGATGTTTCCAAGGCACTGGGATTTCAGGTCTGGATAAGACTCTTCTAAGGCCACAGTGTGGAAACTGCAGTGCGGCAACTGCAATAAGTCGCAGGCCAAATCCTCAACTCTGGCACCATCTAAAGTGTCTTCCTTGGCCAGGTGCGGTGGCTCATGCCTGTAATCCCAGCACTTTGGGAGGCCAAGGCGGGTGGATTACCTGAGGTCAGGAGTTTGAAATTAGCCTAGCCTACTTGGTGAAACCCCTTCTCTACTAAAAAAAAGAAAATACAAAAAATTAGCTGGGCGTGGTGGTGGACACCTGTAATCCCAGCTACTGAGGAGGCTGAGGCAAGAGAATCGCTTGAACCCAGGAGGTGGAGGTTGCAGTGTGGCGAGATTGTGTCACTGCATTCCAGCCTGGGCAACAAGAGCAAAACTCCGTCTCAACAAAAAAGGCCAATTTATGTACTTATTTACTTCTAAAATTTGGCTTTTTGGAATATCACTCTTAGGATTTGCATAACAAATTGTGTATAAATTTACTAATTTTTATTTTATTTATAAGAACAACTCACTCTTAGCAGATAGGGCCATGAACACATCCTTATAACATAACAGGTACAGACAAGACTGTTTAAATCATGACCACTTTACTCCTATAGCAAGTAGGTAGAGCAGGAATTCCTACAGAGGGAAATTATTCCTCCAGTTCTTGCTAGCTCAGACTTCCTCCCATGCCAAATCATTGCTATGGCTCCTCCTTAAGTCTGCATGATTATCTGTCCATCTCAGTCCCCAATAGAAAGAACAGACTTTGAATCTCAGAGACAATTGGTGGCCACAAGTCCCTGAACTGCTACTTGGCTTTCTCAACAAAAACTCAGACTTGGCCAGGCATGGAGGCTCACACCTGTAACCACAGCACTTTGGGAGGCCGAGGTGGGTGGAGCACCTGAGGTCAGGAATTCAAGACCAGCCTGGCCAACATGGCGAAACCCCGTCTCTACTAAAAATAAAAAAAATTAGCCTGGTGTGGTGGCATGTGCGTATAGTCCCAGCTACTCGGGAAGCTGAGGCAGGAGAATTGCTTGAACCAGGGAGGCAGAGGTTGCAGTGAGCCGAGATCGTGCCACTGTACTCCAGCCCCTGGGCGACACAGCAAGAGTCTGTCTCAAAATAATTAATTAATTAATTAATTAAAACTTGTTCTTGTAACCCAAGGCAACCGATAGGCTCATTTATGCTTTGGCCTCCAGTGACAATGAGTTCTAGATGACAAGTCTCAAAGAGAAGAGCCCCTCTAATTGTCTGGGCCCCTGCCCTAAGCCTGCAGACTTAGGTTTGGTTCTCACTGATAATCACTGCCATTCACCATTGGTGATTAATTCAGTCATCACTCTGGAGATTCCAAGGACTTCAGGAACTGTGTGTCAGGAACTAAGGACAAGGACCAAATATTTATTTTTTATTATATCATAATATTAATAGCCAAAAATTTCATCACCCTTTATTGAATACTCTCATCTTTTACCACTGAGTTCTGATGCCATGTCTGTCATTTATATTTCCATATATTATTTGTGCACTTTCTAGGCTCTCTTTCATTTCATTAGCTTATACATCTATCTCTGCACCAATACCACACTGTTTAACTTAACTTTTTAATAATTATTTAAATCTGGTAGAATAAGTTTACCACTTCGATGCTTTGTTTTTAAACATATGCTCTTCCTCATGAATTGTAAGATTAGCTTGTTCAGTATTGTAAAAAATCCTCTTGAATTTTTATTGGAATTGCATCAAGTTTATGGATTAATTTTGGGAGAACTGACATCTTTATGATTCCATAGCAATTATGTCCTGGGACTAGATAGCTGTAGTACCAGCTACCCAGGAGGCTGGGGCAGGAGAATAGCGTGAACCCGGGAAGCGGAGCTTGCAGTGAGCCGAGAGTGCGCCACTGCACTCCAGCCTGGGCAACAGAGAGAGACTCCGTCTCAAAAAAAATAAATAAATAAAAATAATAATAATAAAAAATAAAAACATTTACTGACACTTTGGGAGGCTGAGGAAGGTGGATCATGAGGTCAGGAGTTCAAGACCAGTCTGGCCAAATGATGAAACCCCGTCTCTACTAAAAATACAAAAAAGTTAGCCGGGCGTGGTAGTGGGCGCCTGTAATCCCAGCTACTCAGGAGGCTGAGGCAGAGAATTGCTTGAACCCGGGAGGCGGAGGTTGCAGTGAGCTGAGATCGTGCCACTGCACTCCAGCCTGGGTGACAGAGCGAGACTCTCTCAAAAAAAAAAAAAAAATTTACTGAAAACTCTGTGTTCATACATATTGGACTTTTGTCCCCATCAAACATAAGGAGTCCACACAGGAAAAGAACACCATCATAAAATTCTTGAACATTAGAATGCTGGTAAACGATGGATACAAATTAAAAGCACAGAAAAATAATGTAATTAGCATATGTATTTGCTAAATACTGAGGTACCACAGCATGCCACAGACAGTAATCCTAATTCTTGGACTACTTAAAAACTATCTCTAGTAAATCAACATATGATGTCACAAAATTTTCTTCTTCATTGGCTGCCAAAACAAATGATACCAAATTATATTAAGTGTGAAGTTATCCTTGATGCAGAAGTGTACATTACTGAATATAATCAAAATAATGTTTATGATACATTACCACTGCTCCATTATCTGGCATCATTGGAGTTCCCATATTTGCGGCTCCTTCTGGTCCCATGGCAGGACCAGGACCCACTGGTGGGCCAGGTATAGTTGCTCTGTTGTTCATATTCATACCCGTCATTGGAGGAGGACCTTGGTTACCAGCAGGGGCTGTGTTAAACACATCTATGTAAAACAATCTATACTTAGAGCTGTCCTATCTTAGTTTAGTAAACATTTAAAATTTAACAATATTTATGCAATCTATATACCAAGACCGTTATTAAAATTATTTTTGTTCCTTGAGAATGTGATATGCATTATCTAATCTGTAATAGGGCATTACCTACACTCGAATTAGAATTTTCATCCCCAAGCCAAATGTACATAAAATCAATGAGGAAACTATCAATTATTTTAGGGCATTTAAGACTGTAACAGTTTGCAAGCTGAGACATCACTATTATTTGTTATAGTTGGCTTTTACACCAAATAATACCTAACAATGGGGACTACATTTTACCAGTTTAAATGAGTAACAAAGGATTAGCACTTACAAAACCACTTAATTTTTTTAAGCTGTGGCTAAAAATATTAGCATGTAAATTATGCTAAGTTGCCAGAGAGGAAATAATTTCCTGCAATATATACATAAAGATGATTATAACTAGCCTCTCATGTTAGTTTTTTTTTCCTCCTTGAGTTTATGGAATACCTTGCTAAATTACAGGAGGTACTCTCTTTTAACTTTTTATATTGAAATATGGAATGTAAACAAAAAAATTGAAATGACTTATAACAAAACTTATTTTTAAAAGCAACCGCAACCAAATGCAGATAAAATATATAGCTATCTGGATCTTTCTGACAAGCTTAAATTCCATAAATGGGGACAATCTGATATATTTCAAGTTTTTCATTAAAAAAATCCACCTACCTCCTATTAATTTTAATAGTGTCTGTGCTCTAATACTACATATATGATGATCTCAAATACAACACATTTTTAGGTATTTTCTTTGAAAATTTTTTTCCCTTTTAAGTGGTAGCACTTGTTTATCATTAAAAATTCGTAACAAAGCCATTCTAATTTAGGGTTTTCTTCTAGTATTTCATTACATAGATCAATTTTCTGACAATAAGAACTCAATTTCTCAAAGATACATTATAATGCAGCTGAAATTATACATTATACTCTCTACATGGCTGAGTCCCTACCAGCCCCTGCATCATACTTCTGCTCTTCAAATCCAATCCCCAGGAACCTAGCAACTTCGTGGGAAGGAATTGTTTCCTTCACCCCAAATGCTCTTGCCAATAAATATACTTTATCCAAGAATATTTTCACTCCCTCAGTATAGCCCTAAATAGCTATTTTAATAATTTCTACAATCTAGAAATGAAGAGAGTACAAGAACAATATCTAAGAAGGGTCTTACCTCAACTATCCCCCAAAAAACAAATTAAGTTTCTTTTTCTTCTTTTTCTCTTTAATAGAATGTAATTTTACAATGGTGGGTTTGGAAAATAACTATACATCTGTGGGTATAAAAAAATCAAAAATAATATTTCCAACTAACAGCAGTTAACTTAGAGCCTTACTTTTAGTACTCATATCTTTCACCACATAGCTATAAATAAATTTAAGGATCTAAGAAATGTTAGCATTATCTGGTTACTAGAAAGGTAGCATTATAATGTAGGTTTCACTTGGTTATACACACTAGTGATACACCAGAAAATCTGCTGCCACTTTCCATCAATGTAACTTGATTAGTTATGACAGTTTTAACTTCCCAACAACCCAACTGCATGATAATGATTAATAGCTCTACAAAACCATTATGATGAAGTCTCACATTGAATGAAGACTGAAGAGAAAATTAGATAAACTGGACTTTAGGAGAGTAAGTGCTAAAATGTAAATAGGTCCTCTGGTGAATAAAATGTCACAAAAAATTTTTAATTCTCCTCAATTCCTAACTAAATAAGGACTCTAAAGGCATATTCTTATATTTCTTCTCATAAAATTGCAGAGTATCTCTATACCATCAGAAACGGTTTTAAGTTTTATACTATTTTAAAGTTTAGTTTTGATGTTAATGTCACTCTAATAATGATAATGGCCTTTTAAACTGCCTATAATCTACAATAACCTTATTCCTAAAATCCTTAAAATTACATGGATTATATTAAATACCATCCCAAAATTTACTCTAAAAAAGACATAAATATTGGACCACTTGGACATCATTATACTCAATTATGCTTCATAGTTTGGAATGTAGACACTCTTGGTTCATTAATTATTTCACGTATCCACTGTAGTAATTTCACAATTAAGTTCTTTATGGGCAAGGGCCATGTTTCTTGCTTCCTGCATATACCAGAAGTATTCACTAACTACTTGTTGGTAAAAAGTGATCAAGTAAACAGCAATATATGACTCTACATCATCTGATTAGTAGTACTGAAAAACTGGCAACAGAAGTTTAAGAAAAAAAGCTGATCATGGAAAATGTTCATTCCACACATGACTTCTTTTAAGTTTCATTTGATAGACTATACATGCTAAGAACATACTTGATTTTGTAAATGGGTGTGCATGTTAAGAATATTGTTTGCCATGGTAGTGTAATCTTTAAAACAATATGTACATTTAAGTTATATAAAGATTTTTAGCTTCATAACACCTTTTGTAGGACAATTTAATGTGGGACAGCTTTTGTGGGACAATTAATTTAATAAAATTTAATTCCGTATCCAACTTTCAAATGTATGACATTTCAAATTTCAAATTTAGTAAGGCCTACGATATGCCACACTTGTTTTTCCTTCAGGTTACTTACTTGGCATTATTTCCCTTGCAACTTGGCTATATGAGCAAATCCAAACTGAAGTTGCTAATATACTTTCTTAAAAGCTTAGTCAACTCTAAAACATGCATTGGCAACACACATGTAATTCCCTTGACGAGTCATAGTCTACAAAGACTGAGTGCACTTCTGTGCACAATACTGTAGGTTAAAGGAAAAAAGTTCAATATTCATTAAAGTGAAGGAAAACAGCTTCAAAGTTACACAAAAAGCTAGTTTAAGACAGAAAAGTATAAAATGCTCTCTAAAAGCCTAAAAACACAACTCAGAAACTATCAATTTCCAACTCGGAAACTATCAATTTCCAATGTTCAATTAGGACAGGCAAGGTGGCTCACACCTGTAATATCAGCACTTTGGGAAGCTAACGCCAGCAAACTGCTTGAGCCCAGGAGCTCAAGACCAGCCTGGGCAACATGGTGAAATCCTGTCTCTACTAAAAATACAAAAAATAAGCCAGGTATGGTGGCGCGTGCCTGTAGTCCCAGCTACTTGGTAAGATGGAAGGATCTCTTGAGCCCTGGAAGTCGAGGTTTCAGGGAGCAGAGACTGCGCCACTGTACTCCAGCATGCACAACAGAGTGAGGTCCTGCCAAAAAAAAAAAAAAAAAAGCCAATTAGAAGGCATAAATTTGATTTTAAAACTGCAAAAACAGAGCTGTATTACACCATGCAATGACTACACTCCTTTCAGGCTGTATTACAACCTGGTTTATATGTTTCTTTCATTAAGCTTATGAATGTATAACACATCTTTTAGCCTTCAAACAAAAACAAAATGAGAATTTTCTTCCCAGGCATATTTTTTAATATAATTGTATTGCATTCCAGTTTAATGGATGTAAGAGATTTCACCTTTAGAAATGTTGGTCCCGTATTTTAGTTTCTTACTGATATATAGATACCACAAACAGCATAAACAGTCCCCCCAAAAATGATAAATTACAAAAGCCTTTTGCTTCAAATCCCTACCTCCTATGTTTATTGCTTCATGGGGACCCACATCACCCATTCTCATTTCCTGTTCTCTCTGTAAGTAAATATAGTTGTCACAGTCAACCTATTGATCTTATGACTTTACATTTCCCATCTAAAATCAAAAAGAAAAGAGTGAATTGGGACATCATTTTCCATTAAAAATTTTGAAAAATTTCCATCACCATATACTTAATAGGAACGCTGAAAAGAAACTTCAGTCTCCCAGGCTTAATATACTACAAGTGCTTAATGCACCCAGTTTATATTGCAAGATTAGATTACCAATGAATCAGATTATATAAAATATACCACAGATTATTTTTAATGCTTTTATTCCAATAGATGAAAGACACAAGCCTAGATTCAAGCAAAGGAAAATCTAGTAATAATAACCACTGGGCCCAATTATTTTCTCCTCCCAGGTCACTGAAGTCTTAAAATAGAAATGACAGTTACCAAGTTCATATTGAAATGCATTCAAACATATAACACAAATAGCTTTAGGGAATTATGCTAAAAATAAGGTTATAGGCAATCTTCATTGTCTAAATATTATAATTCATTCATGTATTTTTATTCATCTACTCAAGCATTATTTCATCCAGGGACTACAGATAGCCCATACAAGCAATTACTGAAAGCTGGACATAACATTGCTTTCTTTAACTGCACAGTAATTGTATTTGAAAACCTCAATAAAAGTATTGCACAGTTAACTATAAAACAGAAATATTCAAAACATCTGAAATTTCATTACAGAAACTGCTTCCTAAAAACTCTTAATTTACCAACAATAGTGACGAAGAATTAACTTCAATGAAATCTCTAAGTGAAATTACTCAAGATAACGTATGAAAATTGCAATTTTCCCTTTGGTTTGATGACCATTTCCAATCACAGAAAACTGTGTAATTAGTAATAGTGAATTTAAATGTTCTACATTATTTTAGCATTTTCTTTTTTTGAGACATAGAACCTAAATAGCATGTGGTGATTCCTAGACAATCCTTAAAGCTTCTTTTGAGATAAACATGAGAGGTCTTTATCAATAAAGAATTTTGACTGTGACCTAAAAAAGAATATTGATTGTGGCCATTAAGATTGCATTCACTCAAACTCCAGTGTGGGTGACACAGTGAGAGCCTGTCTTAAAAAAATTTTCAGCCGGGTGAGGTGGCTCAAGCCGCTAAATTTTGTATTTTTAGTAGAGATGGGGTTTCACCATGTTAACCAGGCTGATCTTGAACTCCTGACCTCAGGTGATCTGCCTGCCTCAGCATCCCAAAATGCTGGGATTACAGGCGTGAGCCACCGCGCTCGGTCCAGTAGTGCCATTCTTAACAACACATTATGCCTATAATCAATGATTTCCAGAATTACTGTAACTGTTTATACTTTACCAGTGTACATCCTGTTCTCGATATCAGAAATGTTTTCCTCTACTATTCTAACCATTTCTTTTTCATCACTCACATTGCTGTGTGAAGTATTCCTTGATTCTTGCTATCTTTCCTCAGAAAAACAGGCATCTCTTTCCTTGGGGCTGCCTTAGCACTGCATTGATTTTCCTAGTGTATATTTACCACCTGAAATGTACATTCTTTCTATGCATGTCTATCCCTTTTGTCCTAAACTGTATGGGACAATCTTTCAAATCATCTTTTCTTTTGTGTCATTTTTTTTGAGACAAGGTCTTGCTCAGTAGCCCAGGCTGGAGCACAGTGGTGCGATCTCAGCTAACTACAATCTCTGCCTCCCAGACTCTAGAGATTCTCCCACCTCAGCCTCTGAGTATCTGGGACCACAGGCAGCTGCCATGCTCGGCTAATTTTGTATTTTTTCAAGAGACTGGGTTTTGCCGTGTAAAAAAGGAAATGAAACTATTGGGGTGCAAAAATATTTTATGATTTATTACTATATAGATCTGATCGTATACCTTATTAAAGACAATGAATTTAACTGGGACATAAAGTAGAACACATATTAGATGCAATTATTCAACAGATTATGTGTCCTAGTAAAATTAAAATGTATTTTCATGTTATTTTTAATGACACCACCTTCCTTCAAACTAGTATTCCTAGTAAATTGTTATTCATGAAAACAAGGTGATAAACTGTGTGAACACAGCTGAAAAGACACCATCTAGCAAATTCTCAAGGATACCCATTCATACTGGGAAAGACAATTCTATACTACATAAAGTCACAGAAGTTATTAAAAATAACTTAATTTTGGGGTTTGGAAGGTGCTTTAGGGGCAACATTTTATATAGTTACAACTGATACAAATTCAGAGCTATGGAAATAAAGCAAAGAAACCACATTGTGTTTGAGCAGGCAATCAAACATCTCCCCCCCAGTCCCAAAGTTCTGCATGTAATCCTTGGACTCACATTCAAGTTTATGTTAAATGCTAGCCTAAACAAAATTACTCGTCCATCTCATTCTCTTTCTTATTTTTATGTTGCTTTGGTTAAAGGAAGAACATAAATGCCCTGCTGATAGGTCCTCTGTTTGGTTGTAGCTTGTATAAGGGGGGTGTAAACACAATACACACTTTGCCACAAAATGATTCTTTAAAAGTTACAACTATGGTATTATGAAGCCAAGTACAGCTACACTGGGACTGAATTCTCTATGCTTCTTTATTACCTTCTTTGCTGTCTTTGTTTTCTGGTAGCTGTGACTCACACAGGTCACGGAGAGTGTGATTCCAAAATAGAAATGCAGCTGCAGTGGTCATCTTTTCTTAATCTATTAAGTTCATCTTCCCCAAGTCTGTGGATCCCAACACAGTGTTGGTCATTGGTGGAGACACAAATGGACATAGATCACCAACTTTCAAATTCTCAGATCTTTCATGAAGCTCATTACTGAAGGTCAAACTATTAAAATCCAAAGCTGAAAAAGCTGAAAGTAAAGTTTTCATTATTAGAATGTAAATCATAATACAATTTGACTAACGTGGAGAAATTCCTTCTAAAACAGAAGCAGTCCCATGTCCTCCACTCCCCCAGAAACACACCACTCCTGCATGGCTTATTGTATTCTACATGTCCTGTACTTGCCATTCACTCACATAGGTTTTATTAACGATCATCTTTGACATTTTTATTTTTTAGTGTTACTTATTTGATTCACTCAGCAATATTATATATTTTGTTTTCCATGAGAGCTTTGTTTATTAATAATATTCTTCAGTAATATGAACTTTCTTTTAATAACAAGACTTATGTTTAACCATGAGACACGTGATGTGTCATAAGATCATGGGTGCTTAATGGGCCAGAGTTATAATGGCTATTGGAATGCATGGTGGTGCATGCTTATATTTTAAATTATTCAGCTTCAGTTTCTGATATAGTAAATATCAATAGATACAATCCACTTAAACAAAAGCTCTTTGGGATATGCCATCATTTTTTAATGTTTTTATCTTTTTCTCACCACAAAACAGAGTTGAATTAAATGTGGTACTGTCATAGCATGAAATACTATAGGAAATGTAAACTCAACTAGAACTACTTCTGAAAATAGCAATGCATCTCTTTGGACAAATCAATGGGTGTGAACAAAACATATCGACTGATCTCAAAACTATAACGCTGAGTAAGCAAAAGAAAGCTGCTGAATAATATATTTATAATGTACAATCAGTTATATGATTGAAATTTTAGGACAGAAACACCAATTCTACATATGATTTATGGCCATACACATATATGGTAAAATGTATGAAAAGTGCATGACAATGACAAACACCTAATTCAGGGTGTTGGTTACTTCTATGCAATAATTATTAATTGCACAAAAAACCCTAAGCCTATAAAGTTTCAGAATCACTCTTTGAAATGAGTGTGTCTGCCAAATAGCCATGAAAAAAAGATTACTTTCCTCATTTTTGTACTCCAAGATATTCCCTGCACACACACACACACACACACACACACACACACTAATCAAAACATCCAATTTGCTTCAGATAATCAGTCTAACACTAGGATGAAGTAATTAAACTTTATACAAAATTGACATGTTAGCAAGGAAAGCTTTCCTCTAGGTAAAGATCAGAATTCCAACAAGCATTTCAAACACGGGAAAAAATTGTAGTCTCATAATTCACTTCTGTGAAACCCGAATGAGTATAGGTATTCCCAACTGAGAACTTCAGCGTAGCAATACGTAATACAAGATACATCTAAGTTAGAGCTTACATTTTTAAAATCTATCTTATGCTTCTAAATATAATGTTTTTCAAACATAGATACCAATGCTAATATCTGCATTATATATATCAAATCTATCCCTCAAATTTGAAAAAAAAAAAGACAGGAATACGAAGACTGCTAGCATTTAAACTATTTTTAATGTGCTTCTTTCCAGAGTTAAATTTGTATTGCAAAAATTTTTACCTGATGTGCATGCTTGTACATCTTTCATTCCGACTGCCTGGTTCGAAACACACTCTTTCATTTCAACCTTAGGCTGAAAGGGTTTTAAGACAAAATGATTAATAAGTAATATATATTTCATATACTATGTGGTTAATAATTAAAGATAAATATAGAAAAGTTATTACCTTCAAGTGATGATATTGCTGAAGAGAATCTGGAAGGCAAAAGGGACATATAATCAATTATATATAAATATGATAAATCTAACCATACACTCAGAGTTAGTATCAAGCTGAATCTTAGTGCTTCGTTTTAAAAATAATGAGTTTAGATTTAGGGGTGCATTTTTTTGTCAGGACAACAACATGACAGAAATATCCTGAAGAAAACTAAGAAGATAGGTTGAATAAAACATGCAGTTAACATTTCAAAGGCAAGATTCTGATTCGAATATCTGTAACTGAGAGAAAAGTATGCACGCAACCATGTGTACATGCTGAGGAGGAGAAAAATGATCTTTAACCAGAGGAGCAAATCATGACCCTGGGCAGATAAATGTCAAAGCTGATGGTAGAATGCTATAGTGTGTCTTTAATGTGACACATCAGAATCATTTATACCATTCTACTACAAGTACCTACTATGTCCTTCAATTGGTCCTAGAATGTAGGAAGCACACAGTTGTCATGACAGTTCATTTGAATGTTTAATTCATTTCTCATCAGAGAAAGTGTTCGGATCCACACTTTCACAAGTGTGAATTGCTTTGGATCCACACTTACACAAAATAGTTCATAAAAATCTTCATTTTTTTCATACCTACTTGAGCTTACTGATAGGCCTACATTTCTTATATCCCGTAGTTTAGCCATCTTAAATTTTTTGATCCACTCATGCAAGAAGGTATATAAAACATGTCTAAAAATAATGTCTAAGAAGCTTTCAACATTGAAATATTAATAAAAAATGCATTGCTACACAATTATTAGTTACTACTGAGCTTTTATATACCAAAATGGGTGTAATATTTATGTAAAGTAATGCCTTTTGTATTTGAGGAATAAACTTTGTAATTTTTTTTGTTTCCAAACTTAGTTTGGGTTGGCATATCATGTCATCCATGATAAACTTTTACAAAACAGGCATCCTATTTAAAAAACCGGCTACCTTAAAGAAAAAGCAGCCAAAGCTCCTACATTTAACTTTACCTCAGTTGATTAACTCATATTGAGAGGTGACAGCGTGCTGGCAGTCGTCACAGCCCTCGCTTGCTCTCGGCGCCTCCTCTGCCTGGGTTCCCACTTTGGCGGCACTTGAGGAGCCCTTCGGCCCGCCGCTGCACTGTGGGAGCCCCCTTCTGGGCTGGCCAAGGCCAGAGCCGGCTCCCTCAGCTTGCAGGGAGGTGTGGAGGGAGATGCGCTAGCAGGAACCGGGGCTGCGCGCGGCGCTTGTGGGCCAGCTGGAGTTCTGGGTGGGCGTGGGCTTGGCGGGCCCCGCACTCAGAGCGGCGGGCGGGCCCTACCGGCCCCAGGCAGTGAGGGGCTTAGCACCTGGGCCAGCGGCTGTGGAGGGTGTACTGGGTCCCCCAGCAGTGCCAGCCCACTGGCGCTGCGCTCGATTTCTCGCAGGGCCTTAGCTGCCTTCCCACGGGGCAGGCCTCTGGACTGCAGCCCGCCCTGCCTGGGCCTTCCCCCGCCTCCATGGGTTCCTGTGCAGCCCGAGCCTCTCCGACGAATGCTGCCCCCTGCTCCACGGCGCCCAGTCCCATCCACCGCCCAAGGGCTGAGGAGTGCCAGCGCATGGCGCGGGACTGGCAGGCAGCTCCACCTGCAGCCCTGGTGCAGGATCCACTGGGTGAAGCCAGTTGGGCTCTTGAGTCTGGTGGGGACATGGAGAGTCTTTATATCCAGCTAAGGGATTGTAAACACACCAATCAGCACTCTGTGTCTAGCTCAGGGTTTGTGAGTGCACCAATCGACACTCTGTATCTAGCTACTCTGGTGGGGCCTTGGAGAATCTTTACGTCTAGCTCAGGGATTGTAAATACACCAGTCGGCACTCTGTATCTAGCTCAAGGTTTGTAAACACACCAATCAGCACCCTGTGTTTAGCTCAAGGTTTGTGAATGCACCAATCGACACTCTGTATCTAGCTGCTCTGGTGGGGCCTTGGAGAACCTGTGTGTTGAAACTCTCTATCTAACTAATCTGATGGGGAGGTGGAGAACCTTTGTATCTAGCTCAGGGATTGTAAAAGCACCAATCAGCGCCCTGTCAAAACAGGCCACTCAGCTCTACCAATCAGCAGGATGTGGGTGGGGCCAGATAAGAGAATAAAAGCAGGCTGCCCCAGCCAGCAGTGGCAATCCGCTCGGGTCCCCTTCCACACTGTGGAGGCTTTGTTCTTTCACTCTCTGCAATAAATCTTGCTACTGCTCACTCTTTGGGTCCACACTGTTTTTATGAGCTGTAACACTCACCACGAAGACCTGCAGCTTCACTCCTGAAACCAGTGAGACCACAAGCCCACCGAGAGGAACGAACAACTCCAGATGTGCTGCCTTAAGAGCTGTAACACTCACCGCGAAGGTCTGCAGCTTCACTCCTGAGCCAGCGAGACCACGAACCCACCAGAAGGAAGAAACTCCGAACACATCCGAACATCAGAAGGAACAAACTCCAGACATGCCACCTTAAGAGCTGTAGCACTCACCGCGAGGGTCCGTGGCTTCATTCTTGAAGTCAGTGAGACCAAGAACCCACCAATTCCGGACACAATATCAACAAAACATGCATCTTTGATGTCTGATAGTTACAGAGAGAAGAAATTAGTTCCTGTGGTTTACCCCCATTCTAGCACTCCCTCCTTCCAGTAATTCCTGGAACAGCAATCACCTAATCTTCTGTTTGAGTGCCAATATATTGCAGTCACTAGAAGTGACAGCTCTCAAGTTTCCCTATTATCAACTCCAAAATTAACTAGCCAACTTCTTTCTTTCCTCCCTCCTCCTCCACTCACAATCCCTCTTCCTTTGCAAAAGTAGTCTCTAGATCTGTTGTCCTGATTCTGACCTTTCTGCCGCCTTTTGATGGACTATTCCCATGACTTCTCTTCTCTTCATTTAGCAGTAGTATCTTCCAATGATGATTTCTGTTTCTTCATCTCTTTCTCCTTCCCCTCTGGCCAGAGACACGCTCAGAAATAAAGGGAAAATCATGCTTTCCCTTGATCCTGTTATGTCTTGAGTGGTGATCCAAGGGCTCTTCTTCGAGATTTCTCTGAAGGCACAGCTATACCCTTGCTACTGAGAGTGTGGTCCTAGGACAAGAAGGGTCGGCATCACCTGAGATCTTATTAGAAATACAGAATCGCAGACTTGTGGAATCAGAATCTGCACTTCCAACAAGGTCCTCAGCTGATTTGTTAAAATTTGGGAAGCTCTGGTCTATACTGAGTGTGCTCCCACATTAGTTAACCTCAACCTGCCCTTTTGGAATCCAGCCTCAAGCTCCACCCTATCACGTCCTCCAAATCTAAGCTGCATTACAAGTCGTAAAGTTACTAATGAACTTTTTATCAGGCTATAGCTTCCTTGATCTTTCCATAATTAATCCTACCCTCTTCTTTCCAATGCTCTTCTTTTGGCCCCTAAGATACTGTCCCATGAAGTAACAAGATTTTATAGCACATTAAATTATAGACATGTAATTTATGCACGGCTGACCATACATTACATTCCTCTATCGCAGATGAAACATAGCTCTGTGTGGTCAGGTACCTCCATCCTTAATGCATTCCCAAAAGTAAGGAAAACAGCAAGAGTGGCAACATTTTGCTTGAATTCTCTGACAAGTTTCGGTACTGGAAGCTCACTTTATATTCTCCTCAAATAATTATCTTACTCTATCGCCCTTCATTGCATATATCTTTTTCCCTCATTTACTCCCTGTACTCTCCGCCTTTTCACTCTTCATTCCTTCATTTACTCTTTTCTTCTTCCTTATTTTCTGACTTTCCTCAGGTCTTACAGTATCTTGAATTGGAACTAATGATTCAGCTCCTTTAGTGGCACTCTCAATTAAATTGGTTGCTAATGCCTTACAAAATATACAACATATCACTATTTCACTTCTCTTTTTTTGACTATGCACTTAATACCTTATTTTCCTTGGCTACTAGAACATAACAGAGCTCATGTTTTTAAACATTCTGTCAAATTTTTAAATAAAATACAGTTCTTACCTTCTTGTTCCTTTATTGTAATTTTTCCTCTTTGACCATCATCAGCTCCAGTTAAGTGACTATCATATTTCTGTGGAACATTCTCAAAGGTAGTCTGTTGAAATTATAATGAATAATGAGTTTCAGTGAAAAAACAATGAATTTCTCAATATTTCCTAAACATGTTCTGAATTTCCTGATTTAAAAGCAATGAGACCTAGAAGTAAGGAAAGCATGTATTGAAAACCAAAATATTTCAACAGAGAAACTCATATATGTTCTCCAGATCAAGCAAATATTTTATCTCCATATGGCTATTGACTCTGTAAACTGAACATAGAAAGCCAAAGGAAACATAGTCACAGATACAATATTAGCTCTTCTGTATATGTCAGCAAGGAACTAACTTCAAACACCTAACTCAACTTTGCGTTCACTACCAACAATAACAGGGCATTAAAAAAAACACACACAATTGGTATAATACTTACAACATTCATATTTAAAATATTTCTAATTACATAAATGATCTTAGTGTTAAAATAAGATACTCGGCATGATAGGTAACTTCAGGGTATGTTACGTTGAGTGTAAGCAGAACATTGTCAAAGCTGCTTTATTTAGGTGAGGAAGGGCTTGGAAAACTCAAAATATTTTTGGTAAAATTTTTACTGACAGGAAAAATGGCAAAATAGTAAGAAGCCTTTTCTTTATGCCTTGTTTAAATAAAAGCAAGCAAATATTAGATATAGTATGCCATTCTTTCCCAATTAAGAAATAACTTCAAGAAAGTATAGCAAGAGTTAGTAAAAAGGGAAGGAGAGGAACATTTATTATGAAGCATCTAAACAGTCCCAGGCCCTTATTTACACATTCTCTTTTCTACACATTCTAATAATACATATGAGGACGAGGATGCTTACCGTACTTCCTGCTTTTTGGATGTTGAGAACAAAATGAAAAACAGATGTGACCCATTGTTCTCTCTGTCCAGAATATCCTCCTTCTAGACTTTCACATGGCTCGCTGCTTCTTGTCCTCTAGTTGGTAGCTTAAATGTCACACTCAGAAAGATCTTCTCTGAGAACACAGTTCTACTCCCATTCCGGCCCCCATCCTAACTACGCACTTCTTCAATGTGCCCTAACCTAACATTCTCTGTTTTCTTTATAGGAAGCATTTATAGTGACTTAGAAGTGTTTGTTCTTTACTTGATTTTCTGCTCTTACTACTCTATCATAAGCCTCATCTTGTACATTCAGTGTCTCACTGCCTAGCACACAGTCAGGAGTCAAGAACAGAAATTCTTCCAAGGTCAAAAACACTTACAATCTCATCAGAAAGGTCTCAAGTGCCAAATCACTAGATTCCCTTAGGATATTCCCAGTCATAGTCTGCTGAAACTTAACATAAACCAAAGTAGAAATCGACATGCCTGTTCTAAATTTCTATTTTTTTTTTTCGACACTACTGCCATTTCATTGTTCAGGTTTACAAAAAGAATCTTCAATATTTACTAAATCGCTGAATCCCACCGTGATCATTTTGTCCTACACTTGTATACACACTTCACAGTTTACAAAAGGATTTCACATTTCTTCCCAAATTTTTTCATTAGACATACTTAGGAGATAATATTTATGAATGTCATTCTTATGATATTAACTACAGTAAGGTACATGGAGAAGTACAGATCTATATGGAGACTTTTGGTCATAGGATAGCCCTAAAAATACTGATTAGAATTTACAATTTTTTTGTAAGTATTTCTGTAATAAAGACTTCAATTTTCTTTCTACAAAATAAGACATTCATTCAGGTAAACATGGTCATCTACCACTATGTGAAAGCTGGAACATTATTACTACAGAGAGATAAAAGAGAAAAGAAATGTTTCATCAATATTCCACCAGGAGAAATCATAGGAAATCAAAATTATAAAGAGTAACATACAACCTGAAAAGATATATTTAAAAGAGCATAGGTTGGGGCTAAAAGAAAGCTTAAGAAATTTTCATCTAAAATCCAAATCTGAGCTTACAGTTAGAGGATATTAGAAAATATACTGTAATCTGCTTTCCTACTGATGACATATTTCTAATTTATTTCCTTCTTATTTATAACATATTTGCATAATTCATGTGAACTTATATCCTAAACATTAATTTAAGCCCCATTTTGGAAATGCGATAGATCTTATTATTAGATATCTTGTGCATGTTATACTACCTATAACATTCTATTATATAGAAATTTACTTGTCTGCTCATTTCTTCATGTTCAAAAATGATTAAAACACTTCTTACATGCAAGACCTTAGGTACATTAGGATACACAAGAATATGTTTCGTAACATTCAGTAGCTCACAGTGGTGCAGGATCTTTAAAATGATTATGTAAACAATGAAATACAAAAACTTCTGAAATTTGATACTTTAAACTATGATACAAAGATGCTCTGTGAATATTTTTTATAATACAGGGCAAAAAGTGTTTGAAATTAAAGTCTTACCACATGGTTATTAACAGTCTCTGCTTCTGGAGCTGGTTGTTACTTGAGGAAAAACGTGTATGCTCAATTAGATGAAGAGTTTTAAATATATTCTTCATAGAATGGCTTAGGAAACACATGGGAATCTCTTTGTAATACAGATTTTGAGACAGAAATTTTAAATTTCTGAATTTCCATGTTAAAAGAAAAACTAGGGGGGTGGAGCCTGTGGGCGGCAAGCCACCCAGGTGCTGAGGCAAAAGACCAAGGACACGAGCTGTTCCAGTATAATAAAATATAAAACAAGAATAGTTATACCAGATATAGATCTTAGATATGATTATATATGAATATCATTAATCATTAGTTGGTAGCAATTACTCTTTATTCCAATATTATAATAATCCTTGCTCCATAATCATAACCTAGGAAAAGCCAGGCCATACAGAGATAGGAGCTGAGGAGACATAGTGAGAAGTGACCAGAAGACAAGAGTGCGAGCCTTCTGTTATGCCCAGACAGGGCCACCAGAGGGCTCCTTGGTCTAGCGGTGATGCCAGCGTCTGGGAAGACGCCTGTTGCCAAGCGGACCGTGGTCTAGCGGTAGCATTAGTGTCAAGCAAAAACACCCGCTACTTAGCAGACCGGGAAAGGGAGTCTCCCTTTCCCCGGGGGAGTTTACAGAAGACTCTACTCCTCCACCTCTTGTGGAGGGCCTAACATTAGTCAGGCCCACCCGCAGTTATCTGGAGGCCTGACCGTCTCCCTGTGATGCTGTGCTTCAGTGGTCACACTCCTAGTCTGCCTTCATGTTCTATCTTGTACACCTGGCTCTGCCATTTAGTTAGCAGTAGCAAATTAGTGAAAGTACTAAAAATCTCTGATAAGCAGAAATAATAATGTAAGCTGTTTCTCTCTTTCTCCTTTCTCTCTCTGCCTTGGCTGCCAGGCAGGGAAGGGCCCCTGTCCAGTGGACACATGACCCATGTGGCCTTACCTATCATTGGAGATGGCTCACATTCCTTACCCTGCCCCTTTGTCTTGTATCCAATAAATATCAGTGTAGCCTGGCATTCGGGGCCACTACCGGTCTCTGCGTCTTGGTGTTAGTGGTCCCCTGGGCCCAGCTGTCTTTTCTTTTATCTCTTTGTCTTGTGTCTTTATTTCTACACTCTCTCATCTCCACACATGGGGAGAAACCCACCGACCCTGTGGGGCTGGACCCTACAGAGCCAAGATGGCCAAATAGGAACAGCTCCAGTCTATAGCTCTCAGCATGAGTGATGCAGAAGATGGGTGATTTCCGCATTTCCAACTGAGGTACCAGGTTCATCTTACTGGGGAGTGTTGGAAAGTGGGTGCAGGACAGTGGGTGCAGCACACCGAGTGTGAGCCGAAGCAGGGCAAGGCATTGCCTCACCCGGGAAGCACACGAGGTCAGGGAATTCCCTTTCCTAGTCGAAGAAAAGAGTAACAGACGGCACCTGGAAAATCGTGTCACTCCCACCCTAATACTGCACTTTTCCAACAGTCTTAGCAAACAGCACACCAGGAGATTATATCCTGCACCTGGCTCGGAGGGTCCTATGCCCACGGAGCCTCGTTCACTGCTAGCACAGCAGTCTGAGATCAAACTGCAAGGTGGCAGCAAGGCTGGGGGAGAGGCACCCACCATTGCCGAGGCTTGAGTAGGTAAACAAAGCAGCCAGGAAGCTCGAACTGGGTGGAACCCACTGCAGCTCAGGGAGGCCTGCCTGCCTGCCTGCCTCTGTAGACTCCACCCCTGGGGGCAGGGCATAGCCAAACAAAAGGCAGCAGAATCCTCTGCAGACTTAAATGTCCCTTTCTGACAGCTTTGAAGAGAGTAGTGGTTCTCCCAGCATGCAGCTGGAGATCTGAGAAAGGACAGACTGCCTCCTCAAGTGGGTCCCTGACCCCCAAGTAGCCTAACTGGGAGGCACCCCCTAGTAGGGGCAGACTGACACCTCACACGGCCGGGTACTCCTCTGAGACAAAACTTCCAGAGGAATGATCAGGCAGTAACATTTGCTGTTCACCAATATCTGCTGTTCTGCAGCCTCTGCTGCTGATACTCAGGCAAACAAGGTCTGGAATGGACCTCCAGCAAACTTCAACAGACCTGCAGCTGAGGGTCCTGACTCAGAAGGAAAACTAAAAAACAGAAAGGACATCCACACCAAAACCCCATCTGTACGTCACCATCATCAAAGACCAAAGGTAGATAAAACCACAAAGATGAGGAAAAAACAGAGCAGAAAAACTGGAAACTCTAAAAATCAGAGTGCCTCTCCGCCTCCAAAGGAATGCAGCTCCTCACCAGCAATGGAACAAAGCTGGATGGAGAATGACTTTGACGAGTTGAGAGAAGAAGGCTTCAGACGATCAAACTACTCCAAGCTAAAGGAGGAAGTTCGAATCCATGGCAAATAAGGTAAAAACCTTGAAAAAAAATTAGACAAATGGCTAACTAGAATAACCAATGCAGAGAAGTCCTTAAAGGACCTGATGGAGCTGAAAACCAAGACATGAGAACTACGTGACGAATGCACAAGCCTCAGCAGCTGATTCGATCAACTGGAAGAAAGGGTATCAGTGATGGAAGATCAAATGAATGAAATGAAGCAAGAAGAGAAGTTTAGAGAAAAAAGAATAAAAAGAAACGAACAAAGCCTTCATGAAATATGGGACTATGTGAAAAGACCAAACCTACATCTGATTGGTGTACCTGAAAGTGACGGGGAGAATGAAACCAAGTTGGAAAACACTCTGCAGGATATTATCCAGGAGAACTTCCCCAATCTTGCAAGGCAGGCCAAAATTCAAATTCAGGAAATATAGAGAACGCCACAAAGATGCTCCTTGAGAAGAGCAACTCCAAGACACATAATTGTCAGATTCACCAAAGTTGAAATGAAGGAAAAAATGTTAAGGGCAGTCAGAGAGAAAGGTCGGGTTACCCACAAAGGGAAGCCCATCAGACTAACAGCTGATCCCTAGGCAGAAACTCTACAAGCCAGAAGAGAGTGGGGGCCAATATTCAACATTCTTAAAGAAAAGAATTTTCAACCCAGAATTTCATATCCAGCCAAACTAAGCTTCACAAGTGAAGGAGAAATAAAATACTTTACAGACAAGCAAATACTGACAGATTTTGTCACCACCAGGCCTGCCCTAAAAGAGCTCCTCAAGGAAGCACTAAACATGGAAAGGAACAACCGGTATCAGCCACTGCAAAAACACGCCAAATTGTAAAGACCATCGAGGCTAGGAAGAAACTGCATCAACTAATGAGCAAAATAACCAGCTAACATCATAACAACAGGATCAAATTCACACATAACAATATTAACCTTTAATGTAAATGGGCTAAATGCTCCAATTAAAAAACACAGACTGGCAAATTGGATAAAGAGTCAAGACCCATCAGTGTGCTGTATTCAGAAAACCCATCTCACATGCAGAGACACACATAGGCTCAAAATAAAGGGATGGAGGAAGATCTACCAAGCAAATGGAAAACAAAAAAAGGGAGGGGTTGCCATCCTAGTATCTGATAAAACAGACTTTAAACCAACAAAGATCAAAAGAGACAAAGAAGGCCATTACATAATGGTAAAGGGATCAATTCAACAAGAAGAGCTAACTGTCCTAAATATATATGCACCCAATACAGGAGCACCCAGATTCATAAAGCAAGTCCTTAAAGACCTATAAAGAGACTTAGATTCCCACACAATAATAATGGGAGACTTTAACACCCCACTGTCAACATTAGACAGATCAATGAGACAGAAAGTTAACAAGGATATCCAGGAATTGAACTCAGCTCTGCACCAAGCGGACCTAATAGACATCTGACATCTACAGAACTCTCCACCCCAAATCAACAGAATATACATTCTTCTCAGCACCACACTGCACTTATTCCAAAATTGACCACAGAGTTCGAAGTAATGCACTCCTCAGAAATTATAACGAACTGTCTCTCAGACCACAGTGCAATCAAACTAGAACTCAGGATTAAGAAACTCACTCAAAACTGCTCAATTACATGGAAACTGAACAACCTGCTCCTGAATGACTACTGGGCACGTAATGAAATGAACGCAGAAATAAAGATGTTCTTTAAAACCAAAGAGAACAAAGACACAACATACCAGAATCTCTGGGACACATTCAAAGCAGTGTGTAGAGGGAAATTTATAGCACTAAATGCCCATAAGAGAAAGCAGGAAAGATCTAAAATTGACACCCTAACATCACAATTAAAAGAACTAGAGAAGCAAGAGCAAACACATTCAAATGCTAGCAGAAGGCAAGAAATAACTAAGATCAGAGCAAAACTGAAGGAAATAGAGACACAAAAAACCCTTCAAAAAATCAATAAATCCAGGAGCTGGTTTTTTGAAACGATCAACAAAATAGATAGACCGCTAGCAAGACTAATAAAGAAGAAAAGAGAGAAGAATCAAATAGACGCAATAAAAAATGATAAAGGGGATATCACCACCGATCCCACAGAAATACAAACTACCATCAGAGAATGCTATAAACACCTCTGCTCAAACAAACTAGAAAATCTAGAAGAAATGGATAAATTCGACACATACACCCTCCCAAGGCTAAACCAGGAAGAAGTTGAATCTCTGAATAGACCAATAGCAGGCTCTGAAATTGAGGCAATAATTAATAGCTTACCAACCAAAAAAAGTCCAGGACCAGATGGATTCACAGCCAAATTCTACCAGAGGTACAAGGAGGAGCTGGTACCATTCCTTCTGAAACTATTCCAATCAATAGAAAAAGAAGGAATCCTCCCTAACTCATTTTATGAGGCCAGCATCATCCTGATACCAAAGCCTGGCAGAGACACAACAAAAAAAGAGAATTTTAGACCAATATCCCTGACGAACATCAATGCAAAAATCCTCAGTAAAATACTGGCAAACCGAATCCAGCAGCACATCAAAAATCTTATCCACCATGATCAAGTGGGCTTCATCCCTGGGATGCAAGGCTGGTTCAACGTACCCAAATCAATAAACGTAATCCAGCATATAAACAGAACCAATGACAAAAACCATATGGTTATCTCAATTGATGCAGAAAAGGCCTTTGACAAAATTCAACAACACTTCATGCTAAAAACTCTCAATAAATTAGGTATTGATGGGACATATCTCAAAATAATAAGAGCTATCTATGACAAACCCACAGCCAATATCATACTGAATGGGCAAAAACTGGAAGCATTCCCTTTGAAAACTGGCACAAGACAGGGATGCCCTCTTTCACCACTCCTATTCAACTTAGTGTTGGAAGTTCTGGCCAGGGCAATCAGGCAGGAGAAGGAAATAAAGGGTATTCGATTAGGAAAAGAGGAAGTCAAATTGTCACTGTTTGCATATGACATGATTGTGTATCTAGAAAACCCCATTGTCTCAGCCCAAAATCTCCTTAAGCTGATAGGCAACCTCAGCAAAGTCTCAGGATACAAAACCAATGTGCAAAATCACAAGCATTCTTATACACCAATAACAGACAAACAGAGAGCCAAATCATGAATGAACTCCCATTCACAATTGCTTCAAAGAGAATAAAATACCTAGGAATCCAACTTACAAGGGATGTGAAGGACCTCCTCCAGGAGAACTACAAACCACTGCTCAATGAAATAAAAGAAGATACAAACAAATGGAAGAATGTTCCATGCTCATGGGTAGGAAGAATCAATATCGTGAAAATGGCTATACTGCCAAGGTAATTTGTAGATTCAATGCCATCCCCATCAAGCTACCAATGACTTTCTTCACAGAATTGGAAAAAACTACTTTAAAGTTCATATGGAACCAAAAAAGAGCCCGCATTGCCAAGTCAATCCTAAGCCAAAAGAACAAAGCTGGAGGCATCACACTACCTGACTTCAAACTATACTACAAGGCTGTAGTAACCAAAACAGCATGGTACTGGTACCAAAACAGAGATATAGACCAATGGAACAGAACAGAGCCCTCAGAAATAATGCCACATATCTACAACCATCTGATCTTTGACAAACCTGACAGAAACAAGAAATGGGGAAAGGATTCCCTATTTAATAAATGGTGCTGGGAAAACTGGCTAGCCATATGTAGAAAGCTGAAACTGGATCCCTTCCTTACACCTTATACAAAAATTAATTCAAGATGGATTAAAGACTTAAATATTAGACCTAAAACCATAAAAACCCTAGAAGAAGACCTAGGCAATACCATTCAGGACATAGGCATGGGCAAGGACTTCATGTCTAAAACACCAAAAGCAATGGCAACAAAAGCCAAATTTGACAAATGGAATCTAATTAAACTAAAGAGCTTCTGCACAGCAAAAGAAACTACCATCAGAGTGAACAGGCAACCTACAGAATGGGAGAAAATTTTTGCATCTACTCATCTGACAAAGGGCTAATATCCAGAATCTACAATGAACTCAAACAAATTTACAAGAAAAAAAACAACCCCATCAAAAAGTGGGTGAAGGATATGAACAGACACTTCTCAAAAGAAGACATTTATGCAGCCAAAAGACACATGAAAAAATGCTCACCATCACTGGACGTCAGAGAAATGCACATCAAAACCACAATGAGATACCATCTCACACCAGTTAGAATGGCGATCATTAAAAAGTCAGGAAACAACAGGTGCTGGAGAGGATGTGGAGAAATAGGAACACTTTTACACTGTTGGTGGGAGTGCAAACTAGTTCAACCATTGTGGAAGTCAGTGTGGTGATTCCTTAGGGATCTAGAACTAGAAATACCATTTGACCCAGCCATCCCATTACTGGGTATATACCCAAAGGATTATAAATCATGCTGCTATAAAGACACATGCACACGTATGTTTATTGAGGCACTATTCACAATAGCAAAGACTTGGAACCAATCCAAATGTCCAACAATGATAGACTGGATTGAGAAAATGTGGCACATATACACCATGGAATACTATGCAGCCATAAAACGTGATGAGTTCATGTCCTTTGTAGGGACATGGATGAAGCTGGACACCATCATTCTCAGCAAACTATCACAAGAACAAAAAACCAAACACCGCATGTTCTCACTCATAGGTGGGAATTGAACAATGAGAACACTTGGACACAGGAAGGGGAACATCACACACCGGGGCCTGTTGTGGGGTGCGGGGAGGGGGGAGGGATAGCATTTGGAGATATACCTAATGTTAAATGACCAGTTACTGGGTGCAGCACACCAACATGGCACATGTATACATATGTAACTAACCTGCATGTTGTGCACATGTACCCTAAAACTTAAAGTATAATTAAAAAAAAAAAACTAGAGGTGAGGTCTTCTTATGTTGCCCAGGCTGGTCTGGAACTCCTGGACTCAAGTGATCCTACTGCCTCAGCCTTCCAAAGAGCTGGGACTACAGGCATGTGCCAGCATGCCCAGCTACATGTCCACAATGTTATTGGAGTCTAATTACAGAACCAAGGACCAAAGAGAGAAAAAGTTTCCTACTAAAAACTGTGTCATCCCACAGTAAGCATCCAAGAAAGTAAAAGGAAACCATATGATATGTGCTTTACTGTTTTGGAACTGAAAGACCCCGGGGACATTCTATGGTTACTATAATGAGTAATTGAACCCATTAAAAGGTATTCAAGCACATGGATTATAAAGATCACAATAGTATGACTGAAAAGTTCCTGTGAGAATACTCACCAAATAAACCCTGACCAAATTTCAAGTTTCCTCTACTGTGGGAAAGCTTTTCCACATACAGTTTTCCTGTCACTATGTATTTCCCAGTTCATGCCATTTTTCAGCCCCCAATTCCTCTAAGTATTTAGCACCCTTTCCCATTTTCCAAAGAAAAAAGTAAAGGAAATTCAAATAGTCATATTTCTATAATATGTTTTTTTTCTGACCAACTATTCCCCAAGACTGTAAAACAATTATAGGTAGACCGCTGCCACAGTTGAAGAGTAAATACTGTGCAAAACTAGATTCAGAGCAAGAAAATTTATTTCACAAAAGAGCACTTTACCTTGGTACCAGAATCAAAGAGTTCATCATCTATTGAAAGCCATGAGTCACCAGAACTCTGTTCGTTGGACAGCCTAAAGATAAAAACATACAAGAAAAATGAGTGAGTTCACTTCTCTTAAAAAAAAAAATTATTTGTTTTGTGTCTGGGTATCACCCCCCACCAAAAAAAACAAAAACAAAAACAAAATCTGGGGAAAGGTCAGCTACCTATACAATAGATAATATTCCTTAATATAATTAAAATCGGCCTCTTTTTCAAAAAGATTTTAGTTACCTATTTCTGCCTCCACCTTTCCCAATCTATGAAATGTTCAATGAAGACTCACCCTTAGTTCCTTAACAAATAGTGACCAGCAATATATTGGCAGAGCCTGAGAATAATTTGTCTTCAGAAGTGTCTGTCCTGAAGGCTGAATTCAATATCCAATTAATGAGTGACATAACCTTTGTTACCTGAATTGGAACCAATTGATCACTTAAAACAAGGTAAGAAAGAGACACTGTGTCTTCTCCATTACCTGTCTCTGGTTCAAAGGCTAATCTGTGCCACTCAAAAATGGCAGTCTTGGTTCTTCAGCATGGAAACCACTTAAGTAGGCCCTATTGCTGCCCTTTACCCTAAAACAGTGTAGGCAGTTCGCTGAAATGTCTGAAATGCTTGACAGCTCAATGTACGAAAGTTAAAGGAACAAGTGTCTATGTCATTATTGGAAATATGCTTTGCAGAAAGATTAAAACCTTAGCAAAGATAAACTTTAATTATGTTCCCTGCGTAGGTCCTGCCTAGTTCAGGTCCACATCAACTAGCAAGCCCTTGAGAATCTTCACAGATGCTCTGATACCCAAGGAGAGAGACTGCTGGAAAAATAGAGTCCTGAAAGCTGTATCTCTGTTTTTCCCAATTGCTATCTCAAGTTCTTCTTTCCTATGGGCTCCTACTTACAGATCCCTCTAGGACTCAATGACAGTCTCCAACATTGAAGTCTTCCATGTATGAAAGCACCCATTCCAAAAAATGGGTTCAAATGATCAAGAGTAGGAGCTATTTCCCTCCTTCCGGTAAACAAACTACGTGTAGTCTCAGTCATCTGTCCCCAGTACAGACACGTTCCCCACCACCCAAGTGAATTAGTACAACCACCTTGGAGAATAGTTTTGAAGTTCCTGAAAAGACTAAGAATAGAATTACCATATGATCTAGCAATCCCACTGCTAGGTATAAACCCCAAGGGAAGGCAATCAGTATATTGAAGAACTATGAGTACATTCATATTTACTGAAGCATTATTCCCAATAGCCAAGATTTGGGAAATAACTGTTCATCCATAGAAGAAAGGGTAAAGAAAAAGTGTTACATAGACACAATGGAGTACTATTCAGGCATAAAAAAATGAGATCTTGACACTTACAACAACATGGATGGAAATGAAGGACATTATGTTAAGTAAAATAAGCCAGCCACAGAAGAACAAAGTTTGCAGGTTCTCACTCATTTGTGGAAGCTACAAATTGAAACAATTGAACAAAGGGAGATAGACAGTAGAACAATACTTAGGAGGGGCTGGGAAAGGTATTGAGATTGGGGGAGGGTGGAAGTGGGGATGGTTAACTGGTACAAAAATATTTAGATAGGATTAATATGATTTAGCGCTGGATGGCCCAACAGGGAAACTATAGTCAACAATAATTTATTGGCCGGGCGTGGTGGCTCAGGCCTGTAATCCCAGCACTTTGGGAGGCCAAGGCGGGCGGATCACGAGGTCAGGAGATAGAGACCATCCTGGCTAATACGGTGAAACCCCGTCTCTACTAAAAAATACAAAAAATTAGCCGGGCATTGTGGCAGGCGCCTGTAGTCCCAGTTAATCGGGAGGCTGAGGCAGGAGAATGGCGTGAACCCGGGAGGCGGAGCTTGCAGTGAGCCGACATGGCGCCACTGCCCTCCAGCCTGGGCGACAGAGTAAGAGTCCATCTCAAAAAATAATAATAATAATAATAATTTATTGTACATGTTAAAATAGCCAAAAAGTATATTTGGAATGTTGTAACACAAAGAACAGTAACTGCTTGAGGGGACAGATATACCCATTTACCCTGATATGATAATTATGCATTGTATACCTGTATCAAAATACCTCATGTACCTATAAATATATTATGTACACTTGCTATGTACCCATAGAAATAAAAAATAGGAAGACAACCCAAAAAAGAACAGCGAAAAAAAACGGCTGAGATAATAATGACACATTTTTACCAAAAAACTATTCTTACTTGGCTTTCAGAAAACTTTAGGCCAAAGAAACATCAAAATTCAAATGAATAAGCATGGCTCATTTTATTCAATATTTTGATTTATATGATATATGTAAATCAGATATTATCAATGATTAATATTAGTCTTTAAGACTTCTATAAGGGAGTGGGTTAAATTACTACTACCAGGTACTATGCTCATGGCAAGAGTGATGCCATCTGTCCTCCAAACTTCACCATCACTCAATGTTCCCATGTATGATATCTGCATATGTGCCCTCTGTATCTCAAATAAAAGTTGAAATTAAGAAAAGAGAAACACTGTTATAAATTTTCAAAAGGATAGTTTCAAGGTTATCTTTTACAACTTTCTACCTTCAGAAATGCTTTTGTTTGAAAGGAGGGAGGAAAAGCTTCAACTTAGATTAAGTCCTAATAGTCCAATTTTAATTCTCTCAACTTGCTCAAATTGGGTAGGTAAACATAAATTTTTTAAGCTTGGAAAGGTTCTGAGAGAGAGTAGAATACACAGTGGGTATTCAGGTCACATTTGGTGAATAAATGGATTAAAAGACTACGTAAATATATTTGAGGAGTTCAATATTTTTACAGAAAACTAGTAAAGATAAGTAACATTTGTGCAATAGAAATGATTTATATTTGCTATTTTTTATTTTCATAAGGACACCACTAAAATAAAATTATTAAATTATAATTGTTTGCATGTATGTAATAAATCTATCCATAATAAAAGACATGTATATGATAAAGAGTATACACAATACAATCTACCAGCACAGATTAAAAGAGTCCCTCTATTTCTGAAGAGGCTAAACCTTGGCAGAAGATACCAATCCACAAAAAAAAATTAATAGAAAGCAAGAACTTATTTTTATCTGTTCAAGTTTCATATTCCTGTTCTTACCTAGGATTATTTCAGTAATAATAAACTTTCACTAAACCTGTTATACATGCTCATTGTGGATATAACAATAAGAAAAAGGAAAATAAATCACCTGTAATACAAATGTCCCAAAATAACAAAATTTTATCACATTTTGTGTATACTTTTGGCTACCACAAGACCATTCTGTTTGTGTGTTTGTATAAACAAATCGATTTTTTCTCACCTCATATACCAAAGTACATCTTCCCATGTCAACATACATCCATGTCTATTGCTACGTTCAGTAGTTACACATAATTTCATCCTATGGATGCACTGAAATTTATTTATAAAATCCTTTATTTGTCCTCTCCTTAATACATTGCTATTGGAAGCAGTGCTGAGAAAAATGAATTGTATGCATCTCTAATTATTTCCTGAAAATATTTTAGTATAACGGAATTCATGAGTAAAGAATACATGCCTTTTTCAGAGTGATGTTCGCCACCAAATTGTTTATTTAAAAAGTTAACAGTAACTTAAACTTTAAGCACTGGTATAAGTACTACTGATTTTCCAGATCACTAGTAGATCTGGAAAAAGTACTTTGACCAATTTTAAATTATAGTTCCTATTTCTTTAAAAAAATTCTCTGTAAAAGGAAAATACATTTTTCATTGCAAATAATATATGTCTATATTTATGTATATAATGTGACTATTTTGCAAGTATGTTGTCTTTTGTTAATTTTTTTCTGATGTAAGGGGAGTTTTAATTTTTGTTTTCTAAATCAACCTGCAGAATGCATTCATAGGAAGGTCTTTGTCAACATAAAAATGTATCTGTATAAATAGGCATTCGTGTTGTATTCTGGCATTTTCTAATTTTGTATAAGTTTTTATGCATATTCTATCAATAACTTATTTTTGTAATGTACAAATCTAGCTAGTTTTCTCCGGTTAACAGACATTTCATTTACAAATAACTCATCTTTTCATACACATATGAAATGTCATCAGGATCAGGTTCTAAAATTTTACATATAGTTCAGTGTTTGTGCATTTTTTATTCTGTTCCACACATTTATCTGTCTTCTCATCTTTTAGCAAATGGAACTTAATATCACACTTTGATATATCAAAGGGCAAGTCTTTGCTCTTTTACAAAAATTTTCTTAATGTCATCATAACAGTAAAAGGTAGCATATGTAACCCAAAAATCTTAAAACCATGATGTTTTTATTTGGTTTATCTAAAATGAAGAGTTCACATCTTGAGAAAAATGAGTCTTCCCACATGCACACATATGTATATTGCGGCACTATTCACAATAGCAAAGACTTGGAACCAACCCAAATGTCCATCAGTGATAGATTGGATTAAGAAAATGTGGCACCATCTATACACCACATGGAATACCATGCAGCCATAAAAAAGGATGAGTTCATGTCCTTTGCAGGGACGTGGATGAAGCTGGAAACCATCATTCTCAGCAAACTATCACGAGATCAGAAAAGCAAACACCGCATGTTCTCACTCATAAGTGGGAGTTGAATAATGAGAACACGTGGACACAGGGAGGGGAACATCACACACCAGGGCCTGTCGGGGGCGGTGGGGGGCTAGGGGAGGAGAAATAGCTAATGTAGGTGATGGGTTGAGGAGCGCAGCAAACCACCATGGCACGTGTTATAGCTATGTAACAAAACTGCACGTCCTGCACATGTAACCCAGAACTTCAGGTATAATAAAAAAAAAAGAAAGAAAGAAGGAATGAAGGAAGGAAGGAAGGAAGGAAAGAAAAGAAAAAGAGAGAAAGAAAGAAAGAAAGGAAGGAAGAAAGAAAGAAGAAAGAAAGAAAGAAAGAAAGAAAGAAAGAAAGAAAGAAAGAAAGAAAGAAGGAAAGATTAGTCTTCCTATTCAAGAACAGGGAACCATGCTCTCACTTCAAAGGATCCTTCTGAGGTCATTCATGAAATAACTTATTACTCAGGTGTAGGTGGATACAAAAGGGATATTAGATTTTTATCCAAAGAATTTTTAGCCCAGAAGTTAATATAATATAGAAATTATTTTTCTCATGATGCTTGTTTCCACAGCATATATAACATTGTTTAAAATGTGTACAATAAAAAAAAAGCTAGGTATGTTTAATTTTTTTTAGTTAAAGCACTAAAACTTTCAGTAAAGTAACGGGAATTATGAGAGGATCGGACCAGCTAAAGTTTTGTTTTCATCGCGCTGCTCATAATGATGACCTTGAGGTTGCCACACCGGGTGCTGCGGGCTGCAGAGGGAACAAAGCCCAGCGCCCTCGGGGACAGGGGTGAGCCGAGAGCAGGAAAGGGGGCCTCTCCCCGACCCGCCCTCCTCCCTCCCCTGCCGGGCTCCAGTTCCTATTACCTGTTCTTCTCGTCTCTGTCATCCACGCCACTCTTCGGCAGAGAAAGGATCCGCCGCATCGTCTCTGTCCGGTGTCGGCCGGCAGCTCTGCGGAGCCTGTCGAACCCCTTGTCCGGGTCGTGGCGCCTGGGCTGGGAGGAGGCGTGGTCCGCACTCTCACTCCCGGCGCCCGCGCCCACCTTCCCGGGGCTGCTGACCGAGCCCCAGGGCAGCCCGCCCTTCCCCCTCCTGAAGCCCGACGTCTTCTTCATGGCTCCGTCTACCGGCTTCGGAGACCCGCTGGACTTTTCGCCGCCTCCGGAACCCTATATGAGGAAGCAAATCGCGTCCGCCACAGCCTCCAACTAGGAAACTCCGCGACTCTCAGCCCCTCAGAAGAGAAACGGAGACGCGCCAAGCAAAGCCGTTACACGGACTGTGCACGCGCCTCCGGTGTCCCTGCGCGTGACACAAATTTGGCCCCGAGGGAGCTCCATGTGCCTGAGTCCCAGGAGCCCTAGATGCCAGCGACAGCTTGTCACCAGGCCTGCGACGCCAATGGGCGGGAGTCGGCGGAGCTCAGGACACTGACGACGGGCCTGGGGGAAAGCGGTCCCCACACAGCCCGGGGCCAGAGGAGCGGGCTGCCAGGGTCAGACGGAGGAAGACCGCGGGAAACAGACTGGACGTGCAGGGAAAGGTCCAGTCCCACCCGCGGGTGCAGGGAACAGCCTGTGGGGAGGGGACCCAGGGCCGCGTGGGAAGAGTCAGGGAGCTTAGGTGGACCGCCCGGCAGGAAGAGAGGGGAAGGCTGAGCAGTGAAGGGGTCCCCAAGTCAGCCAAGGCAGAGTTCCCAGGTACGAATTCAGAGCCTGACGGTACTGGGCGGGGAGGTAGCCCCCACCTTCCTGAAGCCCCTTCCTTACCTCTGGGAGCGTGAGGCTGGAGACGCCTGGGTAGGTCTGAGGGTGAGCCCTGGGTGTGGGGTAGCTCCACCCTGCAAGTGCCTAGAGGCCCCACACCTCCAGCCTCCCTCTGAATTCAGGGTTCTCTGTCCTGAGGCTGCCCAGGGGAGCCTGGCTGGGGCGAGATGGGCCGGACATGGGCCTGGGCGAGTCTCGCCACAGAGGGGCGCCGCTGAGCAGCCAGGCCTCCTGAGGAGTGGACACTCTCCCGGCAGGCCCTGGGATCCGCCACCCACAAGCACACTTGGAGGCAGCATCCTTGCAGGACTCGCGCCGGAGCCTGAGCCCTCCAGCCAGCCCAGCGCGCCACCGCCCTTCTGTCCCCAGCCACCCACGAGAGAATCTGGGTCGCCAGGGCCTTGTCCTTCACCAAGGCAAAGCCGGCTCAGCCTCAGAGCCACAGGCGAGAGCGCCTGTCTGCATGAGTGAGCATATGGGTGTCTTTGAGTCTGTGGGTGTCACAGAGGAGATCAGGAGCTGCCTGCTCACAGGCACTTTGGGACCCTGAAAGAAAAGGCTGTGCCGAGAGAGTTCTTCCAGTCAGGAGGTTTCGGAATGGGGGAGAAGGGAGTGCCTGGAATCCCGACCTCAGAACTGAGCCTCCCAAGTGGGCAACGGTGGCTCCCCCACGCGCTCAAGGGCCAGGCAGGTGCATCCACCCCGCCTTGCATGGCCCAGGTGTGAGCCGGTGGGCAGAGGTGTGGCCCTGGGTCCAGCTGAGAAGGCTCCCGCATTGACTGGTTGGGGTTGGGGAGTTCTGCCTTCCTGCTTGGCCCAGTGCTGGGACGGGTAAGGGGTGGGGGTAGGGGTCCTATAGCTGGGTCCTAACCCCGCAGGCCACCCAGACCCTGCCCATGTGGGCACTCAGGGGTCAGGTGTTCTTAGAGGGAACTAAGCTGGGCAGGGTCAGCGTCCCATTCTGCAGAGGAGGAAGCTGAGGCCCACGAGGTAAACAGTGGGCTGGGAGTGGGCCTGGTAGACCCCAACCCCAGGCCATGGAGACCACCTACTCAGGGAGCACCACAAATGCCCCTTAACGACTGGATCCTCCAGTTTTCATGCAGTGGGATCTACACTGAACCTGGGGTCTCACTGGGGGAGAGCAGGAGGTGGCTTGAGGCTGGGCATGGGTGGCCACGGGGGTATGGACTGGCTGACCCCTGTGCATTGACCGCACTCTCCGTCCCCAAGGTGTCATGAGGACTGGACATGGGTCTATCAGGACCATCGGCATGATGTCAGCCAAGGATCTCGTGGCCTGCCTCTGCCAAGGGGGGACCAGCACCTTGTCCTGAGCACTTCCAGCCTCCCATTGCCTTCAACCTGGCTGCATTCAGCTGCCATGCCCCTACCTCCTGATGTGGCCAGCACCCTCCAGGACTTCATCTAGGTGCACCCAAAGGCCGAGGACGTTGCTGGCCAGCAGGAAATTCCTGGTGCATCCAGGAAGACTTCCAAGAGGTGGTGGAACAGGGGGCGCCACACCCAGACAGCTGTGTGTAACTGTGCAGCTTCGGGCTGCTGCAGGTGCTGGCCGGACTGTGTTCTGGGCACACTGGACTGTGTCACTGCATGGAGGCTGTTGCCGGAGGAGGAAGTGCAGGCCCCAAGGCCTATGTGCCTGGAAACCAGCTGGGGCTGCTGCAGGAGGAGGGCTGCAGGATGCTCCAGCTCAGACCTGACTCAGGGTTTTAGAGGGCACAGGGCATAAAGCTGTGGACATAGACAGCCCTACTGCGCAGGAAGAGCATAAACCAGCCAGAGGGCATGCATGGGGGCTGCTGTTGCATTCTGGTCTCCTTTGAGGTAGGGAAAGATGTGTTTCTTTCTATTTTATGGGTGAGCAAACTGAGGCAGAGTGGTGGAGTGATTTCCCCCAGCATCGATGGCAGATTTAGCTCCAGGGCTTAGATTTTAGGATCCTCCCTCTCAAATACCATGATGTATCATGGGCTTTTTCTCCACAGAAAATTAGAAACTCAGAAATGGAAAGGAACAATGAAACTTACCCATTCTCCCACTGCTCACATTTCCTTCTGGTCTTTTTGTGTGTGCATATAAAATATATCTCAGAAAATTGAGTTTGTGCTGTGGATGCCATTTATATCCTTTTATACTCAACAGATCATGAAAATCCCTTTTGTTGCTAATTATATTTCCTGGCAGCTCCATGGCCCGTCCTGTGCACATGCTGTTATTCCTTTGGAGAGTCCTAGATTTTTGCTCTTGGTTGTAACACATCATGAGTGACATCCTGTCTCCACGATGTTTTCTCCTTAAGATGGAGACAGATATAGAGCTCCTGGATCAGGGAGCACTGCCACCTGTAGGATCCTTGACTTTAGGAGCTGTCCCCCTAACCATCTGGTCACCTCTCATCCTCCACCCAGCCCTGATGCTCACTTTGCAAATTCTTTGCCAACCTAATGGGTGCAAATTCTTTTGCCAACCTCAGCTGTTTCGATGAGTAAGTCCTCTGACTGCTGGAAGATGACAGGAAGGAGTTTTAGCAATGTTAAAACCACTGAGACTGGGGATGTCTTGGGGTCATCATTGATGTCAGCCCCCACCCCACCAAACACACACACACACACACACACACACACACACACACACACACACTCTCACATTCTTCCTCTGCCTCCCAGGTGCTTAATTTGTATGGCTTTGGTTTGCTGGTGAGGAAGAACTTTCTTCTTTCTTTTATGTGATTTGAGGCCATTATATTTGTATCTGGAAATTGTTAAAATTGAGGCTCTGTCTCCTTTTCCCAGTGAGAATTCATGAGCATTCCCAACATTCCCACGTGGACACAGACACATGCCACTTGTAGCCCCTGTGTTACCTTGTTCTGCCTACAGACACACCCATGGGTCCAGAGACCAGCAAGGCCATATTGCTAATCCAAATTTTTGTGGAAAAGGAAACTGATGCAGGATCTGCTCAGGGTCAGCCCTGCTGCTGACCATCTATGTAACCTCAAATCTGTCATCTGTAAAGTGCCTCCCCCACAGGGCGACGGAGAGATTGAGGGGAAGGTAGGGTCGATGGCTGCACACCGGGAAGTGCAGCTGTGGGTTCTGGGGATGGCATGGCGTGGGGGTCCCTCCAAAGGGACACAGGTCTCTGCAGTCCTGTGGGAAGGAAGCTACCCAGGCCAGGTGCATAGAGACAGGATTTACCTGTGGCCCAATCAGCTGGGTAGGTGAGGCGGTGTGGGGAAGGGGCCAGCCCATCCTGAGGCACTCTCCCCACAGGGAAGCCCCACGGCGTGCACCAGCTGGCCACACTGCCAATGAGTTGGATGTGGAGGACGTATCGCACCTTCTGGTGGCCAACACCCTGGTGGCCACCTGGATGAGGCCCACAAGTCCCTGCTGGTAGCCCTCTCCTGAGGACTCAGATGGCCCCGTGCTGGCCCTGCTGGCCTTGCTGCGGCTGGGGAGAGGCTGCTTCTATGATGCCAACCCAGGTGGGCTGCAGAGGGCAGGTAGCAGCGGGACTCTTCTCTGAGGAGGGCACAGGCCTTCCGTGGCCCTTGCTCTCCACCCCACAACCTGGGCTTTGGAGCAAGCAAACCTTGTTCAGCCCTAGTTCTGCCACCTGCCACAGGATCTCACCTCTTTGACCTTCAGTCTCCTCATCTGTGTCCTGGTCTTTCGGGTTGTCATGGAAATTAGCTGGAGCAGGTACCCCAGGGCCCAGCAGGTTTCCTGCATACGGTAGGTGCTTTGTATTTGTTTTTGCTGTGGTTCCAATGATATCGGTGAAAGTTTTTGTTTGTGTGTTTTTGTCCCTATGCCCTTCCATACTACACTGCTTTTCAGGTGAAAGAGGCTATATGTATTTTACATGTTGTACATTACAAGAAAACTCAGAAGAATTCTTTTTACAAAAGGCACAATTCAATTGTATGAAAAGAGTCTAACACTCTCTCAGTAATTGTTTGAGCAAAGACATTTTGAAAAAAAGATCAACAAAGGTATGTAAAATATAAGTAGCAAAAAATAAAAACTTGATGCCCTTTTAGTTTATGTAATATTTCAACCTTCCTATTTTAAAGTCTAATATTTTATATATGTCCAGTAGACCATGCATTAAATCTAGAATAAATGATGAAATCCTAAGCTGCATGTGTCATAGGATTGTCATCACACAGACCACATTATTTAACCTTAATCTAATTGTCACAAAAATAGCCTTCATTTGGACATAAAATCACACAGAAAAAATAAACTTCTAAAAACCGATGATGAAAGAAGACATTAAAATGAATATTCTAAAATATTTAAAGGTTATACTTGGTAAAACTATAAATTTGTGGATACAACAAATGCAGTGCATTAGTTTCCTATCGGTGCTGTAATAAAGGACCATAACCAGTGACTTAAACAACACAAATATAGTATCTTAGAGTTTTGGAGATCAGAATTCTGAAATTGGCTTTAATAAAATAAAATCAAGGTATCTACAGAGTGGCATTCTTTGTAGATGTTCTAAAAGATCATTCTTTTCCTTGACTGCTCCAGTTTCTAGAGGCCACCGGCATTCCTTGGCTTGTGTCCTCTCCTTCATCTTCAAAGCCAGCAATATTGCATCTTCAAATCTCTCTGAATCTCTGCTTCTGTCTTCCACTTTTAGCCCATTGTGATTACATTGCATCAGTATCTATTACTATATGGACATATTTTGGATGCTGTTATTCTGCCTACCACAAGCAGTATTTAAGGAAATATTAGACTTATAAATGATATATTAGAAGGTAAGAAAGACTGTAAATTAGTGAATTGAGTTTCTAATCTGAGAAATATTAGAAAAAGTCTTCAGAATAAATCCAAACACATTAGTAGATATGAATTTCTAGTAAAAAATCATGGATAAAAAAATTGTAACAGAAATCCAGCAAAGTTCAATAAAGATCAACATTTCTTTAAGTACACTAATAAAAATGGTTAATCATCTGTCAAGATTTATCAGGAAAATAGACAATATTAGAAATAAAAGGATGAACATATTAAATTGCTGGAGCTTATGCCAGTAAGCAACTTTGTAACACTTTATTTGAAATTTTAAACTATCTGCATATATCCTCAAAAATACAGCTTACTAAACTTGATTAAATATTAATTATAAAATGTTAATGCTCCTGTAGCTGGTAAATAAACACAATCCATAGCATCTGCTTTGAGTATGATTGGTGAGGAGACAGCAAGGAGCAGGTGCCACAGGAAGGTGTGACTGGCCAGGTGGGTAGGTGTCCCTGAGGAGTCCCATCTGAGCTGGGTCCTGGGTGTGCAAAGTGAGCAGGGAGGAACATTCCAGACAGAAGAGCCTGAAGGTCTGGAGCAGACAGCGTGAGCGCACTGCAGATTTGATGCCCTCATCTGTAGAAAAATGAGTTCTGGGCCTGCCTGGGCATCTGGACCTCAGTTCCAGTAGGAGAATCTGTGTATGTCACTCAAGTTCTCTGAGCTCTGGTGGTTCATGGCTGCTTCCTCTTGTTTTGGGAGTGACTGCCAGGTCCAGGAGGTGCACCTCAATAAGTTCTTGGACAAACTGAGTAGCAAATCCATGAGGAAATGTGGATTCTCTTGGAGTTCTGGAGGTCAGAATTCTGAAATTGACTTTAATAAAATAACATCAAAGTATATACAGAGTTGCATTCTTTCTAGAGGTTCTAAAATATAAGCAAAGTTTTACCTGCAAATAGTGATATAGTGAAGTTTTCCCTGGAAAAGGTCAAAGATTTTCTGAAGAACATAAAATCCAGGTAGGCTGACCAGACCCCAAAAGGCAGAAGGAGCTGGCCTGAAATTCATATCCAGGGTCACAGGCAGCCTGCTTAGGAGCCCAGGGGCTTGCCCCTCAAGCTTAAAAGGAATATTTTGTCTCTAACTTTGGAAAGTGTTATGGCTCTTTGTAGCTCTGTTCTCAGACAACACAGAAAATTCTTCAGGAGGTTTTAAGGCAATTTAGTTTAAAGGTCAGAGCATGGACCTCCCCTTAAACAATTTAAATATATGTGCTTTTTGTTTTTTTTTTAAAAAAGGCAAAGTCATCATATAGAAACGTTCCCTTTATTCCTGCAGAAATTTGGTTATGAGCACACACGCATGCGTGCGCCGCACACACACACACACACACACACACACACACACACACACAATCCTTTAACTTACATTTTTTGGTCCAGGGTTTTATTAACAAGGTAAAATATTACAAGGTGAAATATATACACATACACCCATATACATATATATATACACACACACATACATATATGATGTTGTTTATATACATATCGGATCATACTATGCAACTTATTCTGTAACTGCAGACATATTTCAATTTTAAATAATCATGAATAATTCATTCATATGGAGGCTTTATAATGATCTATCCCCAACTGATTACCTTTTTTTATTGGTTCCAATTTCTAAGTATTACAAACAGTTTTCTGTGAACTTTCTTGTATCTTTGGGCTTTTGTAAAACTAGTTCTCTAAGAACCAATCACAGAATGGAATTTCACTACTAAATGACTGTAGTACTTAGAGTCTTAGATCAGAGGTCCCTGTTCAGAATGCTAATAAATGCTCCTTACGCCAGCTTCCTAAATTGAGTGATCAGTCCATGCAGGATAGTTTTCGAAATTAAGAAACTGTGAGTATAAAACATGTTTCTTTCCATTCTTAGGCTCAGGAGTTTATTAACAAGGTGAAACATTATAAGAAAGAATTTTGGAAGACACTATACAGTCAAATATTATAGAGTCCAGTCCCAGTTGTAATTATCATAAGAACAGAACGTGTGCACTTGATCAGCTTCTGATAGGCATTCCGGGTCAAGGGTAGATCTGTAACTTTACACATAGACTAACGGAAGAGAATGGAGAGTCCAGAAATTAATTTAAGCATCTATGGGTAATTGACTTTTCACAGCATTGCCAGGAAAATTCAATGGAGAAAAAACGCTCTTTTTAACAAATGGTGCTGGGATAATGATAGCCACATGCAAAGGAGTGAGGTGATGTTCTTACATGGCAGTATATACAACAATTAACTCAAAATGAATTAAAAACCTTAACATAAATGTTAAAACTCTTAAAAGAAAACATAGAAATAAATCTCCATGACCTTTGATTTGACAATGGAGTCCTAGATATAGCACTGAAAGCATGAGAAACAAGAGGAAAAATACATAAATTGGACTTCATCAAAATTAAAAACTAGAATCCATAAAAGAACATTATCAAGATAGTGAAAAGACAAGTTTGTAGTTTAGATTTATTTTAATCTATTTATCTATCTATCTATCTATCTATCATGCTTTGAATTGCTGCCCTGGCCCAGTTTTATTTGCTCTTTATTTTTCAACTTTTATTTTAGATTCAGAGGGTACATGTGCAAGTTTTTACTTGGGTAAATGACATGATGCTAAGGTTTGTGGTATGAATACACCCACCACCCAAATACCAACCATACTACCCAACAGTTAGAATTTCAACCCTCACCACCACCCTCCCTTTCCCCACTAGTAGCCCACAATGTCTTTTGTTTCCATCTTTGTGACCATGAATACCTGATGTTTAGCTCCCACGTACAAGTGAGAATATGCGGTATTTGGTTTTCTGTTCCTGTGTTAATTTGCTTAGGATAATGGCCTCCAGCTGCATCCATGTTGCTGCAAAGAACATAATTTTGTTCTTTTTATGGCTGTGTAGTATTCCATGAAGTATACGTACCACATTTTCTTTATCCAATTCGCTGTTGATGGGCACCTAGGTTGATTCCATGTCATTGCTATTGTGAGTAGTATTGTGATGAACATGTGAGTGCATGTATGACTTTTTGGTAGAATAATTGGTTTTCTTTTGGATATATACTTAGTAATGGGGTTGCCAGATTGACTGGTAGTTCTCAGTTCTTTGAGAAATCTGCAAACTGATATCCACAGTAGTTGAGTAGTTAAACTAATTTACATTCCCACCAACAGCGTATAAGTTGTTCCTTTTTCTCCACAACCTCACCAACATCTGTTATGTTTTTACTTTTTTGTAATAGTGATTCTGACTGGTGTGAGATTGTATCTCATTGTGCTTCTAATTTACATTTCTCTGATGATCAGTGACGATGAGCATTTTTTCATATGTTTCTATGCCACTTGTATGTATTATTTTCAGAAGTATCTGTTCATGTATTCTGACTATTTTTGAATGAGGTTATTTGTTTTTTGCTTGTTCAGTTACTTAAATTCTTTACAGATTCTGGATATGTGACCTTTGTTGGATGCATAGTTTGTGAATATTTTTCCCATTCTGTACATTTACTCTGCTGAAAGTTTCTATTGCTATGCAGAAGCTCTTTAGTTTAATTAGATCTACTTATCAATTTTTATTTTTATTGCAATTCCTTTTGAGGACTTAACCTTAGCTTTCCCAAGGCTGATGTCCAGAATAGTGTTTCCTAAGTTTTCTTCTAGCATTCTGTTAGTTTGAGGTCTCACATTTAAACCTTTAATTCATCTTCAGTTAATTGTTGTACAAATGGTAAAAGGTAGGGTCCAGTTTCTTTCTTCTGTGTATGGCTAGCCAGCTATCCCAGCACCATTTATTGAATAGGATGTCCTTCCCCTATTGCTTGTTTTTGTCCACTTTGTTGAAGATTAGATGATCGAAAGTGTGGGGCTTTATTCCTGGGTTCTCTGTTCTGTTCCATTGGTCTATGTGTCTGTTTTTGTAACAGTAGCATGTTATTTTGGTTACTGTAGCCTTACAGTATAGTTTGAAGTTGGGTAATGTGATGCCTCTAGTTTGGCTCCTTTTACTTACGTTTGTTTTGGATCTTTGGGCTCTTTTTTGGTTCCATATGAATTTTAGAAAAGTCTTTTCTAATTCTGTGAAAAATAGCATTGGTAGTTTGATAGAACAGAATTTGTAAGTTGCTTTGGCAGTATGGCCATTTTAACAATTTTAATTCTTCCAATCCATGGGCATGGAATTTTTTATTTGTTTGTCATCTATGATTTCTTTCAGCAGTGTTTTGTAGTTCTCCTTCTAGAGATCTTTCACCTCCTTGGTTAGATGTATTCCTAGACATTACTTCTTTTGTGGCTATTGTAAAGGAGATTGTGTTCCTGATTGGGCTCTCAGGTCATACATTACTGATGTATAGAAATGCTACTGATTTTCATTGATTTTCTATTGTGAAATTTAATGAAGTTGTGTATCACTTCTAGAAGCCTTTTGGTGAGGTCTTTAGGGTTTTAGGTATAGAATTATATCATCAATAAAGAGAAATAGTTTGACTTCTTCTTTTTCTACTTGGATGCCTTATATTTCTTTCTCTTGCCTGATTGCCCTGGCTAGGACTTCTAGTATGACACTGAATAGGAATGGTGAGAATAGGAATCCTATTTTGTTGTAGTTCTCAAGGGGACTGCTTCCAGCTTTTGCCCATTCCATATAATGTTGGCTGTGGGTTTGTCACAGATGGCCCTTATTATTTTGAGGTATGTTTCTTTGATGCCTACTTTGTTGAGGGTTTTTAACATGAAGGGAAGTTGAATTTTATCAAAAGCTTTTTCTACATCCATTGAGATGATCCTATAGGTGTTGTTTTTAATGTTTATGTGGTAAATCACATTTATTGATTTGCATATGTTGAAACAAACTTGATTCCAGGAATCAAACCTACATTTTTATGGTGAATTAACTTTTGGATGTGCTGCTAGATTAAGTTCACTAGTATTAATATTTTGTTGAGAATCTTTGTGTATAAGTTCATCAGGGATATTGGCCTGTAGTTTTCTTTTTTTGTTGTGTCTTTGCTAGGTTTTGATATCAGGATGATGCTGACTTCATAGATGAGTTAAGGAGGAGTTTCTCTATTTTTTGGAATAGTATCAGTAGAATTGGTATCAGCTGTTCTGTGTACATCTGGTAGAATTCAGCTGTAAATCTATCTAATCCTGGACTTTTTTTGCTTAGTTGGTTTTTATTCCTGCTTCAATTTTGCAACTCAAGATTGGTCAGTTCAGGTTTCAGTTTCTTCCTGATTCATTCTTGGGAGGTTTGTGTTTCCAGGAATTTATCAGTTTCCTCTAGAATTCCTAGTTTGTGTGCATAAAGGTGTTAATAATAGTCTGAAGATCTTTATATTTCTGTGGAATCAGTAGTAATGTCATCTTTGTCATTTCTGATTGTGCTTCTTTTGGTTTTCCCTTTTGTTACTTTGTTAATATAGCTAGCAGACTATCAATTCTGTTTGTATTTTCTGTGAACAAACTTTGGGTTTTGTTGATCTTTTGTACAAATGTTTGCATCTCAATTTCATTCAGTTGTGCTCTGATTTTATTTATTTTCTTCTACTAGCTTTGGGGTTAATTTGTTCTTGTCTATCTAGTTCCTTTGGTGCAATGTTAGTCTATTAATTTGTGATTTTTTTCTATCCCCTTGGTGTAGGCATTTAGCACTATAAACTTTCCTCTTGATACTGCTTTTGCTGTATCCCAGATATTTTGGCATGTTCTGTCCTGTTTTCATTAATTTGAAAGAATTTTTTATTTCTGCTCTAATTTTATTGTTTACCCAAAAGTCATTCAGGAGCAAGTTGTTTAATTTTCATATAATTGTGTGGTTTTGAGAGATATTCTTGGTGTTGAATTTATTGCCCTGTGGTCTGAGAGTATAGTCTAATTTCTATTTTTTAAATTTATTAAGAGTTGCTTTATGGACAAGCATGTGGTCAATCTTATAATATGTTCTATATGCAGATGAGAAGAATGTATATTCTGTGTTTGTTAGATAGAGTACTACTAACATAAAAACACACTTAAGTACATCGTCCAATGACTCTATCAAGCAACTGCACAATTGAGTCTACAAAACAATGACAGGATAAACATCCCACATATCAATATTAACCTTCAATGTAATTGGTCTAAATGCCCTACTTAAAAGGGACACAGTGGTAATTTGGATAAAACAATAAGACTATTAGGTCAAATTCGTCAAGTGTCAAGTTTAAGTCCAGAATTTCTTTGTTAGTTTTCACCACAATCATCCATTTAAAGCTGTCAGTAGGATGTTGAAGTTCCCCACTATTAGTGTGTGGCTAAGTTTTTTGCAGGTTTAGAAGTATTTGTTTTATGGATCAGAGTACCCCAATGTTTATCTCCATGTCTTCAGAACCAATGAATGTCCCAGCATACTACAGATGCCCAATAAATGTTCAAAAAGTGAATACAAAAAGGAATGAATGTGTAAGAATGTCTTTGTATGCCCTGGAGGCTAGCTCATAAGGAGCAGACTTCTGCCTTTCTTCACTCTACTGTTGAGGCAGATGCCCTTCTTTTTTGTAGCGTGTGTGGCTGACCTGTTCACCCAGTGAGGTTCACCCAGTGGGGGTTACCAACATCATCAATAGCAGACCCCTTTTTTCCCTGTTCCTGGGTAGCAACTGTGAAGGAAAAGGCAGGAGCCAAACCCAGGGTAGCTGTATCCAAACCAATAGGAGGGCTACTGGGGAGGAGCAAAAGAAAGTGAAGTCCCTCCCCATGAGGGACTGGGCTTGGGTCCCAACATGCCAGGACTGTGAACAGAGCATGTTAATCCAAGGGCTGTTTTTGAGCCCTTGGTGATTAATTTGCATGGAAGATTAAGATCCAACAGGGGGAAAACAAGTCAATGGCTAATCTACTATGCTCCTGGGGTAACATACTTCATCTGCTTCTAATGATTACTTCCTACCTGAGCATTCTAGAAGTAAGTGGACCTGAATCACAGAGAGCATTCCCAGTTGGGCTCATATAAGTGAGGACCAAGCTGTGAGGGTGGACACAGGAGCCTCCTATTCAGCAGGCAACCAACATGCGTGAAGTCCCCAAGGCCTGAGCTTGTGCTTCTCAGAGGTTTTTCTTGGCAATAATCTGCACACTTCAGTCTGGAGAACACAGATCTCTAATCCATCCTTTCCAGAGCCAAAATCCCCTACACAAGTCCCCCAGTGATGACGGGATTAACCTGGACATATGTAGCCATCCAATGGGTTCATTTTGCCCAGTGCCCAGGTACAGCTGATTTGTTAAGACAGGGGAATGCAATAGAGAAAGTTTAATTCATGCAGAGCTGGCTGAATGGGAGACCAGTTTTATTATTAGTCAAATTAGTCTCCCTGGAAACTCAGTGACTAGGGTTTTTAAAGGATAGTTTGGTCAGTAGGGGGCCAGGAAGAGGGAAGTGCTGATCAATTGGGTCACACGTGAAGACACAGGGAGCTGAAGCTGTCCTCCTGCACTGAATGGGTTCCTGGGTGGGGGTCCCAGGACCAGTTGGTGGGTCTGGGTGAAGTCGTCAGTCTTCAGCAATGCAAAAACCTGAAAAGATATATTAAAAAACCAGTCTTAGGTTCTACAACAGTGATGTTATCTGCAGGAGTAATTAGAAGCTGCAAATCTTGTGATCTTTGGAATAATGGCTGGTAACTGTTTATGTCCACACCTTAGCAGAATTCAGACTTCTCTCATGCTCACAACCTGACAGCCTCTCGTTAGATTTACAAAGGCAGTTAATTTGGGGGAAAAGTTTAGTTTATTTAAACTATAAACTAAATGTCTCCCCAAGTTAGCTCGACACAAGCCCAGGATTGAGTAAAGGCAGTTGGAGGTTAAAGGCAACATGATAATTGGGTAGATTAAATCTCATTAACTGTCATCATTTTCTCACTGTTAAAATTTTTCCGGCCGGGCACGGTGGCTTACACCTGTAATCCCAGCACTTTGGGAGGCCGAGGCGGGCGGATCACGAGGTCAGGAGATCGAGACCATCCCGGCTAAAACGGTGAAACCCCGTCTCTACTAAAAATACAAAAAATTAGCCGGGCGTAGTGGCGGGCGCCTGTAGTCCCAGCTACTTGGGAGGCTGAGGCAGGAGAATGGCGTGAACCCGGGAGGCGGAGCTTGCAGTGAGCCGAGATCGTGCCACTGCACTCCAGCCTGGGCGACAGAGCGAGACTCCGTCTCAAAAAAAAAAAATTTTTTTCCAATGGCTGTTTCACCTACTTCTCCAGCTAAAAAACGTTTTGTACGAGTTCAGAAAAAAACTTTTCAGAACCAAGTTAGTGCTTCCAGGAAAATATGCATATATAGCCCTAAATGCTAAAAGCAAGATATGGCACACAAATAATGTATGATATGCTGTTTTCTTTCACTGAATTCAACATGTATTAACTAAGAGAAGTTCCCAAGACACATCTCGTCAAATCTCAAAAAACACAATTCTGAGCACAGTAGGCCCACACAGAAAAAGCGATTATCTACCCTGAAAGTTAAACGCAAGCTTTGTGCCAAAAATCTATATTATGTGCTATTTTCTTTCAATAAAATAAACATGTTTTGACAATGATCACTTTTCAAACACACGTTTTGTAAAAGCTCAGAAAAAAATATTTCAAAGCCTAGTTAGCGCTTCCAGAAATATATGCGTATACAGCCCTAAATGCTAAAAGCAAGACATGGCACACAAATAATATACGATGTGCTGTTTATTTCACTGAATTCAACATACATTAACTAAGGTCACTTTTCAGGGACACATCTTGACAAATCTCAAGAAACACAATTCTGAGCAAAGTAGGACCACACAGAAAACGGGAATATCTAGCCCTGAAATGTAAATTCAAGCTTCGTGCCAAAAATTTAGACAATGTGCTGTTTTATTTCACTGAATTCAACATGTTTTGACATTGACCACTTTTCAAAAACACGTTTGTACAAGATCAGAAAGAAACATCTTGGAGCCCAGTTAGCACTTCCAGGAAAATAGGCATATACAGCCCTAAATGCTGAAAGTAAGACATGGCACAAAAACAATGTATGATCTGCTGTTGTTTTTTCACTGAATTCATCATGTATTAACTAATAGCAGTTTTCAAAGACACATCTTGTCAAAACTCAAAAAACACAATTCAGAGCATAATAGCCTCACACAAAAAATGCGAGTATCTAGCTCTAAAATGTAAATGCAAGCTGTGTTCCAAAAACCTAGGTTATTTGCTGTTCTCTTTCATTAAATTCAACATGTGTTGACATTGATCACTTTTCAAAAACCCATTCATACAAGGTCAGAACAAAGCATTTCAGAGCCCACTTAGCATCTCCAGGAAGATACGCATATACAGCACTAAATGCTAACAGCAAGATAGCAACAGAAATAATGTATGATGTGCAGTTTTCTTTTACTGAACTCAACGTGTATTAACTAGGAGCAGTTTTAAAGACATATCTTGTCAAATCTCATAAAACCCAATTTTGAACTTAGTAGGCCCACAGAAAAAATGCGAATATCTAGCTCTAAAAGGTAAACACAAGCTTTGTTCCAAAAACCTAGATGATGTGCTGTTTTTGTTCATTTAATTTGACATGTTTTGACATTGATCACTTTTCAAAAACACACTTTGTACAAGCTCAGAAAAAAATGTTTCTGTGCCCAGTTAGTGCTTTCTGGAAGATAGGCATAAAAGCCCTAAATGCTAAAAGAAAGATATGGCACACAAATAATGTATGATGTGCTGGTTTCTTTCACTGAATTCAACACGTATTAACTAAGAACAGTTTCCAAAGACACATATTGTCAAATCTCAGAAAACACAATTCTGAGCGCAGTAGGCTTACACAGAAAATGTCAATATCTAGCTGTCAAAGATAAACATAAGCTTAGTGCCATAAAGCTATGTGCTGTTTTCTTTAACTGAATTCAACATGTTTTGACATTGATCACTTTTTAAACACATATTTTGTACAACCTCAGAAAATAACATTTTGAAGCCTAATTAGCACATCCAGTAAGAAATGCATATACATCTCTAAATGCTAAGAGCAAAATATGACATGCAAATAATGCATGATATGCTGCTTCCTTTCACTGAATTCAACATGTATTAACTATCAGCAGTTTTTAATGACACATCTTGTCAAATTTCAGAAAACATAATTCTGAGCATAGTAAGCCCACAGAGAAAATGTAAATATCTAGCCCTAAATGGTAAATGCTAGCTTTGTGTCAATAACCTAGATGATGTGCTGTTTTCTGTAACTGAATTCAACATGTTTTGACATTGATCACTTTTGAAAAACACGTTTTGTACAAGCTCAGAAAATAACTCTTCAAAGCCAAGTTAGTGCATCCAGGAAGATATGCATATACGGCCCTAAATGCTAAAAGCAAGATATGGCATACAAATTATGTATCATGTACTGTTTTCGTTCACTAAATTCAACATGTATTAACTAAGACCAGGTTTCAGAGACATATCTTGTCAAATCTTGGAAAACACAATTCTTAGCAAAGTAGACTTCCACAGAAAATGCAAGTATCTACCCTGACAGTTAAACACAAGGTTTGTCCCCAAAACCTAGATGATGTGCTGTTTTCTTTCACTGAAGGAAACATGTTTTGATATTGATCACTTTTCAGAAACACATTTTGTACAAGGTCAGAAAAAAACATTGTGTAGGCCAGTTAGTGCTTTTTGGAAGGTATGCATTATACAACCCTAATTGCTAGAAGCAATATATGGCACACAAATAATATATGATGTGCTGTTTTCTTTCATTGAATTCAACATGTATTAACAAAGAGCAGTTTTCCAAGACACATCTAGTCAAATCTCAGATGACACAATTCTAAACATAGTAGGACATCACAAAAAATACAAATATTTAACCCTAAATTCTAAAAGCAGGCTATGTTTTAAAAACCTAGATGATTTGTCATTTTTTTTCACTCAATTCTACCTGATTTGATGTAGAGCAGTTTTCAAAGACACATCTTGTCAAATTTCAAAAAAAAAATATTCGGCCAGGCACAGTGGCTCACTCCTATAATCCCAGCACTTTGGGAGGCCGAGGTGGGCAGATCATGAGGTCAGGAGATCAAGACCATCCTGGCTAACATGGTGAAACCCCATCTCTACGAAAAAATACAAAAAATTAGCCAGGCGTGGTGGTGGGCACCTGTAGTCCCAGCTACTTGGGAGGCTGAAGGAGGAGAATGGCATGAACCCGGGAGGCGGAGCTTACAGTGAGCCAAGATCACACCACTGCACCCCAACCTGGGTGACAAAGTGAGACTCCATCTCAAAAAAATTTTATTTATATATATATATATATTTTCTGAGCATAGTGGGCCCTCACAGAAAATGCAAATATCAGACCTAAAACCTAATAACTAGGTTTCTGCAAAAATATTTTATGATGGGCTGTGTTCTTTGACTAAATTAACCATTTTTTTTACTTAGAACAGTTTTCAAACACAAGTTTTGTTGATGCTCAGAAGACACATTTTGAGAATAGCAGAGAATGATAGAAGCATATGAATATCCATCCCTAAAAGGTATAACAAGGTTTGTGCCAAAAATTTTTATGATATGCTATTTTCGTTCACTGAATTAAACACATTGCAACTTAGAACAGTTATCAAACCCACGTTTTCTAGAAGATAAAAAAACAAGTATGAGCCCAGTGAGCTCTTATAGAAAGATACAAATATTCAGCCCAAGCTTTGAGACAAAATTGTCTATAATAAGCAGGTTTCTTTCACTGAATTCAAGATGTTCTGACATTGATCACTTTTAAATATATGTTTATTACTAGCTAAGAAAAAATTTATTCCAAAGCCCATTTAGCATTTTCAGGAGGATATGTATATGCAGCCCTAAATGCTGGCAGAAGATATGGCACACAAATAACGTTTGATGTGCTGTTTTCTTTCACTTATATTAACATGTATAAGAGCAGTTTTCAAAGACACATCATGTCAAATCTTAGGAAACACAATTCTGAGCATAGTAAAGCTATACAGAACATGTGAGTAGCCCTAAGAAGTAAATGCAAGATTTGTGCCAAAAACCTAGATAATGGGCTGTTCTCTTTCACTGAATTCAACGTGTTTTGACACTGATCACTTTCAAAAACACATTCTGTACAAGCTCAGAAAGAAAACAGTTTGGAGCCAAGTTATTGATTCCAGGAAAATATGCATATGCAGCCCTAAATGCTAAAAGCAAGATAGGGCACACAAATAATGAATGATGTGCTGTTTTCTTTCACTGAATTCAAGTATTAAGTAGGAGCAGTTTTCAAAGACACATCTTGTCAAATCTCAGAAAACATAATTCTGAGCATAGTAGGCCCACAAAGAAAATGCGAATATCTAGTCCTAAAAGGTAAACGCAAGCTTTGTGCCAAAGACCTAGATAATGTGCTATTTTCTTTCTCTGAATTCAACATGTTTTGATTAAGAGCAGTTTTCAAAGACATATCTTTTCAAATATCAGACAACAGAATTCTGAGCATACTAGGTTCTCGCAGACAATTAGAATATCCAGCCCTAAAAGCCAATAGCAAACTTCTGCCTAAATTAATTATGTTGTGCTGTTTTCTTTCACTAAATTAAATAAATTCTTATTTGGAACAGTTGTCAAACCTACATTATATAGAAGCTAAAAAACACACACTTCAGCCCATGTAGCCCTTATAGAAAGATACGAATAACCAGCTCTAGTATTAAAAAAAAAGCAAGCTTTGTGCCAAAATATTACATGATATGCAGGGGTTTTTTTCTGAATTCCACGTTTTGCTCTCGAACATTTTTATAAACTATGTTTTGTACAAGCTCAGAGCAAACATTTCTGAGCCAAGTTAGCCTTTAAGGGCAGGTAGACATAACCAGCTCTGAATGCTAAAAGATGTGGCACACATATACGGTATAATGTGCTGCTTTCTTTCACTGAATTCAACAGGCTTTTATTTGAAGAGCTTTCAAAAACGTGTTTTTTCCAAGCTCAGAAGAAACATTTCTGAGCCCAGTTAGTTTTTTTATGCAGTTATGCAAATCCAGCCCTAAATGCTAAAAGCAAGATATGGCACACAAATACTGTATGATGTACTATCTTTTTTGATGAATTCAACATGCTTTGACATTGATCACTTTTCAAATTGTGCTGAATCTCTGACTACACAATTCTGCACATACTAGGCCCTCAAAGAAAATGCGAATATCCAGCTGTAAAAGCTAAAAGAAAATTTGTGTCAGAATATTTATGATGGGCTGTATTCTTTGACAAAAAGATAATATGTTTACACTTAATACAGTTTTCTTTTTCTTTTTCTTTTTTTTTTTTGAGAGAGAGTCTCGCTCTATCCCCCAGGCTGGAGTGCAGTGGCACGATCTTGGCTCGCTGCAAGCTCCGACTCTCGGGTTCACACCGTTCTCCTGCCTCAGCCTCCCGAGTAGCTGGGACTACAGGCGCCCGCCACCACGCCCGGCTAATTTTTTGTATTTTTAGTAGAGACAGGGTTTCACCGTGTTAGCTAGGATGGTCTCAATCTCCTGGCCTCGTGATCCGCCTGCCTCGGCCTCCCAAAGTGCTGGGATTACAGGGGTGAGCCACCGCGCCCAGCCAGCACATCATCAAGTTTTTTGGCACAAAGGTTGCTTTTAGCTATTAGGGCTGGGTATTCATATTCTGCTATGAGTGCCCACTGGGTTCATAAATGTCTGTTCTGAAGGCCTACAAAACCTGTGTTTGAAAATGATTCCATGTGAAAACATGATGAATTTCCTCAAAGAAAACAGCCCATCCTAATGAATTTAGGCACAAATCTTGCTTTTAACTTTTAGGACTGGATATTCACATTTTCTGTGAGGGTCCATTGTACTCAGAATTGTGTTGACTGAGATTCGACAAGACAAGTCTTTGAAAACTGCTCTACATCAAAACAGGTTGAATTCAGTGAAAGAAAACAGCATATCATAAAGGATTTTTGGCACAAAGCTTGCTTTTAGCTTTAGGGCTGGATATCTGTATTTTCCTGAGTGCCCACTGGGCTCAGACATGTCTTTTCTGAGCTTCTACATAATGTGTATTTGAAAACTGTTCCAGGTAAAAAGATGCTGAATTCAGTGAAAAACAAAAACAAACCCAAAACATCATCAAGTTCTTTGGAAAAAATCTTGTTTTCCATTTTTAAGGCCGAATCTTCTTATCTTCATAAGGGATCTCACTGGGCTCAAGAGTGTCATTTTTTAGTTTCTATGAAACAAGTGTTTGAAAACATTTCTAATTAAAAATGTGTGGAATTCTATTAGAGAAAACAGCACGTCATAAAGTATTTTAGCCCAAAATTTGCTTTTAGCAGTTGGGATTGGAAATTCATATCTTCCTATGAAGGCCTACAGGGCTCAGAAATGTTTGATCTGAGTTTGTACAAAACAAATTTTAAAAAACTGTTCTCAGGCAAAACATGTTGAATTCGGTGAAACAAAGCAGCACATTATACAGTTGTTGTTGTTGTTTTTGTTTTTTTTCTTTGGCACACAAAGGTTGCTTTCAGTTTTTAGACCTGGATATATCACATCTAGGAAGACATGCATATACAACCCTAAATGCTAAAAGCAAGATATAGCACACAAATAATATTTGATATGCTGTATTTCTTACACCAAATTCAACATATATTAACTAAGGGCTGTTTTCACGGGCACATATTGTCAAATATTTTTTAAAACACAATTTTTAGCACAAAATGCCCTCAGAAAAAATGAGAATTTCTATCCCTGAAAGGTAAATGCAAGCTTTTTCCCAAAAACCAAAATGTTATGTTGTTTTCTTTCACTGAATTTATCATGTTTTGACATTGATCGCTTTCCAAAACTTGTTTGTACAAACTCAAAAAATAACATTTTGAAGCCCAAGTAGTGCTTCTAGAAAGATATGCATATATAGCCCTAAATGTTAAAAGCAATACGTGGCGAACAAATATTGTATGATGTGCTGTTTTCTTTCACTAAATTTAACATGTATTAACTAAGAACAGTATTCAAAGACACATCTTGTGAGATCTCAGAAAACACAATTTTTAACTTAGGTGGCACAAACAGAAAATGCAAACGTCTAGCCCAGAAAGGTGGACGCAAGCTTTGTGCCAAAAACCTAGATGATGTGCTGTTTTTCTCACTTAATTTAATATGTTTTGACATTAATCACTTTTCAAAAACTCGTTTTGTACAGGCTCAGAAAATAAAGTTTGGAAGCCAAGTTAGTGCTTCCAGAAAGATATGCACATACAGCCATAAATGCTAAAAGCAAGATATGGCACACAAATAATGTATGATGTGCTGTTTTGCTTCACTAATTCAACATGTATTAACTAAAAGCACTTTTCAAAGACACATCTTGTAAAATCTCAAAAACCACAATTCTGTGCATAGTAAACCCAAAAGGAGAATGCAAATATCTAGCCCTGAAAGTGATCACTAATTTGTGCCAAAAACCTAGATGATGTGCTGTTTTGTTTCACTGAATTCAATGTTTATTAACTAAGAGCAGTTTTCAGAAACACATGTTTTCAAGTCAGAAAACAATTCTGAGCACAGTAGTCTTACACAAAAAATGTGAATATCTAGCCGTCAGAGGTAAACACAAGCTTTCTGCCAAAAACCTATATATTATATGCTGTTTTTTTCACGGAGTTCCACATGTCTTGACATTGAACACTTTTTAAACACACGTTTTCTACAAGCTCCAAAAGCAACATTTCCAAGCACAGTTAGCACTTCCAGGAATGTATGCATACACAGTCCTAAATGCTAACAGCAAGATATGGCACACAAAATATGTATGATCTGCTATTTTGTTCACTGAATTCAACATGTATTAACTAAGAACATTTTTCAAAGATCATCTTGTCAAATCTCAGAAAACCTAATTCTGAGCATAGTAGGCCCACATTGAAAATGCGAATATCTAGCTCTAAAAGGTAAACACCAGCTTTGTGCCATAAACCTAAATGATGTGCTGCTTTCTGTCAATAAATTTAAGATGCTTTTACATGATCACTTTTCAAAAACACATTTTGTACAAGCTCAAATACCATTTCAGAGCCCAGTTAGCGCTTCTGGGAAGATATGCATGTACAGCTACAAATGCTAAAAGCAAGACATGGCACCCAAAATATAAGTTATGTGCAGTTTTCTTTTGCTGAATTCAACATGTGTTAACTGAGAGCAGTTTTCAAAAACACATCTCAGAAAACACAATTATCAAAAACACATCTAGAAAACAGAGCTCAGAAAACACAACCTCAAGCTTAGTAGGCCAACAAAGAAAATGCAAATATCTAATCATAAAGGGTAAACACAAGCGGTGTGCCAAAAACCTAGATGATGTTCTGGTTTCCTTCACTTAATTCTACATGGTATAGCAGTTCTCAAAGACGCAGCTTGTCAAATCTCAGAAAAAACAATTCTGAGCATAGTAGGCCCTAAAAGGTAAATGCAAGCTATGTACCAAAAACCTACCTGATGTGCTGTTTTTTTCTCCAAATTCAACATGTTTTGACATTGATTCATTTTTAAAAACACGTTTGTACACACTCAGAAAAAAACTAATAAAAGCCTAGTTAGAACTTTCAGGAAGATATGAAAATACAGTCCTAAATGCTAAAAGCAAGATATGGCACACAAATAATGTCTAATACACTGTTTTTTTTTTTTTCACTAAATTCAACGTGTATTAACTAATAGCAGTTTTCAAATACACAACTTGTCAAATCTCAAACAACACAATTCTGAGCATAGTAGGCCCACACAGAAAATGCAAATATCTAGCTCTGAAAAGTAAATGAAAGCTGTGTGCCAAAAATCTAGATGATGTGCTGCTTTCTTTCACTGAACAGAACATGTTTAGATATTGATCCTTTTTTTAAACAATGTTTCAGACAACTTTAAAAAAAGCATTTCTGAGCCCACTTTGTACTTTCAGGAAGATATGCATATACATCCCTAAATGCTAAAAGCAAGATATAGCACACAAATAATACATGTGCTGTTTTCTTTCACTGAATTTAGTAATGTATTAACTAAGAGCAGTTTAAAAAAACACGTCCTGTCAAATATCAAAAAACTCAGTTTTGAGCATATTAGGCCCACACAGAAAATGCAAATACCTTGCCCTAAAAAGTAAATGCTAGCTTTTTGCTAAAAAATTAGATGATGTGCTATTTTCTGTAACTGAACTCGTTCCATATGCTTCAAAGAAAATGCTAAACTGACACAGCTATAGATCAAACACTTGATGCATCACTTTCTTTCGACCCCCATGTCCTCACCGCCTGCTTCTTTGTTTGATCACCAATAAATAGTGTGGGCTCCCAGAGCTCGGGGCCTTCACAGCCTCCATACTAGTGTCAGCCCCCTGGACCCACTTTATGCACCGTTAACTTATCTTGTCTTATTCATTTGACTCCGCTGGACTTCGTAGCCCCCACAGTCTGGGATTGGGCCTGATCACCCCAACAAATAATGAGTTGATGGGCGCAGCAAACAAACATGGCACATGTATACCTATGTATCAAACCTGCACGTTGTGCACATGTACCCTAGAACGTAAAGTGTAATAGAAAAGTAAGAAAAAAGAAAATGGGTCTCTAAAAAGTGACCAACGTAGAAACATGTTGAGTTCAGTTACAGAAAATAGCATGATAAAACGTGTTTTTGAAAAGTGATCAATGACAAATTATGGCTGGGTGCAGTAGCTCAGATCTGTAATCCCAGCACTTTGGGAGGCCAAGGTGGCAGATCACTTGAGGCCAGGAGTTCGAGACCAGCCTGGCCAACATGATAAAACCCCATCTCTACTAAAAATACAAAAAATTATCTGGGCATAATGGCGCACACCTGTAATCCCAGCTACTTGGGAGGCTGAGACACAAGAAATCACCTGAACCCTGGAGGCAGAGGTTGCAGTGATCTGAAATCATGCGTCTACACTCCAGGCTGGGCCAAAGAGCAAAACTCTGTCTCCAAAAAAAAAAAAAAACAAAGCCACAGGGGACAAACACACACACACACACACACACACACACACACACACACAGAGAGAGAGCATGAGAGCAAGAGCTGGCAGGGAAGCACATGCCTATAGTCCAGCTACTTGGGAGGCTGAAGGGGGAGGACTGCTTATGCCCAGGAGTTTGAGTCCAGCCTGAGCAACACAGCAAGACTCCATCTCTGAAAAAAGAATTTTAAACAAAAAACACAGAAAGGCCTTCTCTTATCTTAGGACAACTTAGTAACACTGTGAGTTAAGTACAGAAGAGAGGAACACAATTAACTCACTTGTAAGATGGTTATGGTTTTCTTCTTTTGAATCCTTTTTTTCCACAGGTGCTTCTTGATACCGTGCAACAGAAAATAAATTAGGAGAAGCACTTTTTGAAGTTAAGACAAAATCTCCATGGGCAGTTCTACAGAAGTTGCTTTGCTTATGGGATAAAATGTAGGAAGTGTATGTTTCTTCCTGAGTTAGGTCCAGGTAGACGTATGATAGGAAGCAGCGTGTGGCTCTCTATCCAGTGGTGGCATTTCCTGGAGACCTGTGCTTCTGGCTCTGATCATCAGGCAGGAAACTCAAACCTTGCAATTAAGAAAAGCAACAAAGCTGATGACTTCCTTCAACATTTTCTCTTTTATCCCCAGTAGTGACTCCACCCCACAAAGGCTTCTCCACAGTGACAAAAGTATTTTTTCCCTTTATTAGGAAGTGATGTTTAACAAAATCATGAAATATTTATTTATTTCTTTATTTATTCATTTATTTATCTTTTTAAGACAGAGTCTTGCTGTCGCCGAGGCTGGAGTGCAGTGGTGCAATCTCAGCTCACTGCAACCTCCACCTCTCGGGTTCAAGCTATTCTCATGCCTCAGCCTCCCGAGTAGCTGGGATTAAAGGCATGCACCACCATGCCCAGGTAATTTTTTGTATTTTTAGTAGAGATGCAGTTTCACCATGTTGCCCAGGGTGGTCTTGAACTCCTGAGCCCAGGCAATCTGCCCGCCTCGGCCTCCCGAAGTGTTAGGATTACAGGCATGAGCCACCATGCCCGGCCAAAATCATGAAATTTTTTAAATTCCAAAGTGACCTTCACATAGATTTAAGTAACAGTATATTTAGATGCTGCTTCTGTGCAGACAGTGTGGGCACGGCAGAGCTGCAGCTGCCTAACTCCTATTCCACGTGTGAGAACATGCAGGAGTCAACTCTGCAGCCCTGCAATCAGCACATTAGACCTGGAGCACCCACACAGACAGTGATGCGAATGATCTGAGCTGTTCCCTAGTTATCAAAACCCGCCCTTTAGATTATCCTTAAAATTTTGGTATCATTGGTTGATGGAATACAGGCTGACTTTTCCTTCTGGCATGATCTCAGCTCACTGCAACCACCACCTCCCCAGTTCAAGTGATTCTCCTGCCTCAGCCACCTGAATAGCTGGGACTACAGATGTGCACCACCATGCCCAGCTAATTTTTGTATTTTTAGTAGAGATGGGGTTTTACCATGTTGGCTAGGCTGGTGTCAAACTCCTGACCTCCAGTGATCCACCGCCTCAGCCTCCCAAAGTGCTGGGATTACAAGCATGAGCCACCACACCCAGCCAAGAGTTCACAACTTTTCATTGTTGGTCTGATGGTAGCAAGTGTCCACTCTGTCCAGAGAGGACATGTCAGGTGCAGTGGCTTACACCTGTAATCCCAGCACTTTGAAACACTGAAGTGGATCATTCGCGCCCAGAAGTTTGAATGTTAGCCAGGCATGGTGGCATGCACCTGTAGCCCTAGCTACTTGGGAGGCTCAGGCAGGAGGATCACTTGAGCCCAGGAGTTTAAGGTTATGATCACACCACTAGACTGCAGCCTGGGCGACAGAGTGAAACCCCCAACTCTTAAAAAGAAAAAAGAGAGAACATAAGTGCTAGCCTGGCCAAGGGATGATCCCCAAGCCCATGTCTTCCAGGCCAGAAAGGGGAATTCTAACAGGTTGGGAAGATGCACTGAGAGATGCATGTGTCTGGCCTCTAGGCAAACCCAAGAAAACCCACATCCTCCTTCACCTGCAGGAAGAGTGAAGGAGTTCTTCACCAAGGCCTGAAACCTCAGATTTCCAGAATTACTTCTGGAAAGTTTCTAACAACAACCTTGGGTGCTGAGAGACATTTTTTAAATCTTGGCAGTTTGATATAGGTAAATCTATTGCTGGTGCATTGGACTTACAACAAAACATCCTGGAAACCTAATGAGTCTATACAGCAAAGGGATTATCACATCCACTACATTCTAGAATGCCTGACCAATGATGAATGAAGTTGAATAGATAGTAAAGGATTTCTAGCTTGAATCTTTGTTGTAATAAGAGCAGAACAATACCATAATAGTTGTCACACCTGTATTTTTGCTTTCTTCAAAAATAGCAATAATTATATAGTAGTTGGATGGTTCTTCAAGCATTCTATAGGTTTTTATTACACATTTTTTTTAGATGGGATGACTCTATCACCCAGGCTGGAGGGCAGTGGCACAATTACAACTCACTGTAGCCTCAACCTCCAGGTCTCAAGTGTTCCTCCTGCCTCAGCCTCCTAGGTAGCTGAGATGACAGGCACATGCCACCATACCTGGCTAATTTTTGCATTTTTTGTAGAGATGGGTTTTCACCATGTTGCCCAGGCTGGTCTTGAACTCCTGGGCTCAAGCAATCCACCTGCCTCAGCCTCCCAAAGTGCCAGGATTACAGGCATGAGTCACCGTGCCTGGCCTATCATTTCTTGGAGGAGAGTTTTAACAGATATAGAATTCATGGTTGCCGGTTTGTTTGTTTTCTTTCAGCACTTTATATCATCCCACTGCCTTCTGGCTCCCATGGTAATAGATTGGCTGTTAATCTTATTCAAGTTCCTTTGTATGTAGTGATCATTTCTGTCTAGCTGCTTTTAAGCTTCTCTCTGTCTTTGGCTTTCAACAGTTTGATTATTAATATAACTCTATTGTGGACTTTTTGAGTTTATCATACTTGAAGTTCATGGAGCTTCTCTGAAGTGTTACATTATGTATTTTAACAAATTGGGGACTTTGGAGCCACTGTTTCTTCAGATACTCTTCCTGCCACCTTCACCCTCATCTTTCTTTCTGGGACCCCCTTTATGCATATGCTGATACACTTGATGGTGTCCACAAATCTTTTGGACTTTGATCTTCATTCTTCTACTTTCTGCTCCTCAGAGTTAATAATTTCAACAGTTTTATCTTCGAGTTTGCTCATTCCTTCTCTTACCTGCTCAAATCTACTCTGGAGCATCACTTGTGTATTTTTCATTTAAGTTATTGTATTTTTTTCTTTTTCTTTTCTTCTTCTTTTTTTTTTTTTTGAGACAAGATATTGCTCTGTCACCCAGGCTGGAGTGCAGGAGTGTGATCTTAGCTCACTGCAGCCATGAACTTCTTGGCTCAAGTGATCCTCCTGCCTTAGCCTCCTGAGTAGCTAGGGCCACAGGCATGCACCACCATGCCCGGTTAATTTTGTAATTTTTTTGTAGAGAGGGGATCTCCCTATGTTGCCAAGGCAAACTCTTGGTCTCAAGCGATCCTCCCGCCTTGGCCTCCCAAGACACTAGGATTACAGGCATGAACCACCATGCCTGGTCCTATTGTACTTTTTAACTACACAATTTCTTTTTGGTTCTTTTCAGTTCCAAAATGTGTTTGGTTCCTTTTATAATTTCTATCTCTTTATTAATATTCCTTATTTGTTTTTTAAATAATTTCAACTTTTATTTTAGATTCAGAGGGTACATGTGCAGGCTTGTTACCTACATATAATTCGTGGTGCTGAGGTTTGGGGTATGACTGAGCCCCTCACCCGGGGACTGAGCATAGTACCCAATAGTTTTTCAACCCTTGCCCCTCCCCCTCCCTCCCTGTCTAGTTGTCCCCAGTGTCTATTGTTGCCATCTTTATATCCATGAGTACCCAGTGTTTAGCTCCCACTTACAAATTAGAACATGTGGTATTTGGTTTTCTGTTCCTTCATTAATTCACTTACGACAATGGCCTCCAGTTGCAGTCACGTTGCTGTGAAGGACATGATTCCATTCATTCTTTTTATGGCTTCGTAGTATTCCATGGTGCAAATGTACCACATTTTCTTTATCCAGTCCATTGTCGATGAGCACCTAAGTTCATTCCATGTCTTTCCTATTGTGAAGCGTGCTGTGACGAACATACTAGTGCATGTGTCTTTTTGGTAGAATGAGTTCTCTTGTTTTGAATATGTACCCAGTAATGGGATAGCTGGGTTGAATAGCAGTTCTGTTTTCAGCACTTTGAGAAATCTTCAAACTGGTTTCCACAGTGGTTCAACTAATTTACATTCCCACTGACAGTGTATAAGCATTTCCTTTTCAATAAAGCCTTGCCAGCATCTGTTGTTCCTTGACTTTTTAATAATAACCATTCTGACTGGTGTAAGATGGTATCTCATTGCAGTTTTAATTTGCACTTTTCTGATAATTAGTTATGCTGGGCTTTTTTTCATGCTTGTTGACCATTTGCACATCTTCTATTGCATATTCTCTATTTATTGAGACTTTGTTCTCCTGGTTGTTTCTTTCAGTTATTTTTCTATGTTTCCTTTCACTTTTTGTCCATGTTTAAGACAGTTTATTTGAAGTATTTGTCTAATAATTCCTATGTCTGTGCTTCCTCAGCTCAGGGACAATTTCTGTTCATTTCTTTTTTCCTTTGAATTGGCCATTTTTTCGCCTTTTTTTTTGCATGCCTCATAATTTTTTGTTGAAGATTGGACATTTTGAGCATTACGATGTGGTAACTCTAGGAATCAGTCTCTCTCCTCCCCCAGAATCTCTTGTTGTTTCTTAGACAACCCTATAGAGTAGGTTGTAATGATGAAACTTGGTAAATTACCTTGTCCCCAGCCCCCTTGGTAATAAATTGTGGAGTCAGGATTCAACCCCATACCCTTTCCACTGTATTCTCTACTCTATCCTTTCTATTCTCATTTTATTCAGTATCCTAAAAATCTGAATCTTCCCCATTGCTTTATTCCCATTTCAGTGAATCTCAGATCTGTATCTCCAGCCCCCTGCCTCTCTTGAATGGCAGATAAATATATTTCCAACTAGTTACACTGTCACGAATTTCAAACGCAGGAAGGCTTAAAGTAAATTTATTATCTCACTCTCCTGTTTCCACGAACTTTCCCGAAATTTTCTTCTTTCCCGGCCTTGTGAATCCCTTCCATTTCTCAGTTAAAGGACAGCACCATCCACCCACCTCTCTCAAAGCCGAGCTTTGTATTAATCCTCATTGACAAAATCCCTCCTGAAATATGAAACTGAAAGCCCTGAACCCTCCGGCTGATCTTGGAAGAGAAACCCCGCCAGAGGCCGGGGACCCGCTCCCCACCTGGCGGACCCGATTCCGGGCGCGTTCCGGCTATCGTCCCTGCTTGGGACGCTGCGCCCGCCTGGTGCGGGGCGGGGTTCCGGCGCAGTGGCGCCCGCCCAGCCCCGGGGGCAGGGAGAGCCTAGATTACGGAAGTACCGCGAGCAAGGAGCGCGGAATCGGGGAGCGTCCGGAGCTAGCTGGATCCTCTAGGCAGGTGCGTGGGCGCTGCGGGGTGGGGGGCTGCAAAGGTCCCTGTAGTCCTAGCCAGGAAGTGGCCCGCGTACTACTTTCCCGCCAGTGGCTGCACCCTTGCCCTGCGCGGCGTTGGCGCTGTGGGCCTGACGGCGCTGCTAGGCTCGGGAGTGGACTAGCTAGTGCAGCCAGCGCCCTCGGGGAGGGATATTGCGGTCGTTCCGCTCTGCCCCGCGGCGCAGCCCTGGTGACGAGAAACCGGGTGCGGTGGGGGGCGCCCACCGGAGCCGACAGTCACACCAAGTCTCCGCACCCCGTGCGGTGCGGTTCGCAGTAGCACGCGTTGTTTCTTGTTTCCAGTATGCCAAACGGCCTTCTTTCCTAAAGTTAGGTTTCGAATTGTGCAAAAAGTAAGGTGGTTTGGTGAGTAATCAGGAAGTACTATCTGACCTCGTGAGTCATTGGGAACACCGTGATAGAAACAATGTGTTTGTTGAGGTCCAAAGTTGAAAACCTCTAACTCAGTTAAGTAATTCCTGCTAGGAGGGCCGAATGGTTCACCCAGGGATCGAGTTGGTAGATCACAGGTTCTAGAAAACTAAGGCGCTGCTAAATATTCAAGCCCAAGCACTTTCAATTCTGGACTGCTGGATGACAACAATTATATGACAATATCCAAGCATAGTGCTATGATAAAGGGGAAGTTCGCTCTGAGATGTGCGTGTTGCAGACTCATTACATCTGACTTTATCATTTATTAAGTAAACATTAGGTCTTGTTTGTGTGCGTAGAGCTACTGTATATCATGTAGGAGTGAAATAAAAGTAGTACCTTTGTTGTTTAAGGGTTTAATAAACCCATTAGGGAGGTGCATTACTGATGCCATTTGAGTCCAAAATGCAAATAGTGTCAGAAGGCTTTTCTGTAATCCTGGGCTTTAATGGATACGTGAGAGTTTTTAGTAAGCAAGCTTTTATTGAATGCCCACTGTATATCAAAAGTGATCTTAGCGTGTGCTGACTCACACACTTCGGAAGGCGGAGGCTGTAGAATCAAGACTGCCCAGAAAGGGACTCCTCAGGGTTTTCCGAGAGGAGGAAATGCCAGTGGTAAAGACGAAGACCTGTGAAGCAGGAAGCCACTTGATTCCACCTACACCAATGGTTTATGGAGCAGCCAAGAGTTTGTGAGGAGGCGCGCTGAGGGTTTCTTAGGAATCGGGGCTGTTCCCTGCTGTCTTTGGGTGGAAGACACTCTGTGAATGTTATTTGGGGAAGAAGCTGGGAAGGGGGACAGGCTGGAGTGACTGTGCAGATTTGCCTTAGAGAATAACCAGCCCCTAGCCCAGTGTCCGCCACATCTCATATGTACGTAATCAGCGCTGATGAAAACATGAACTAACTCTGTGTTTAGAGAACACTTTGAAACAAGGAAGAACTAGTGGCGCATGTCGGTTAGGCGCTGTTAACCCAGAAGAGGGCTGGCATTTTACAGAGACTAGAGATGAATCTGTGGAAAGAGAGAAGTCAAGACCTGACTTGAGATTTCACGAAACCCAAAGTGCGCCTTTCCATACCTCCCACGCAGCCGCAGGTGCTAAGAACAGACCGCAGATTTATGTTTAAAATGTTTTTACTCTGGGCCGGGCGTGGCAGCTCACACCTGTAACCCCAGCACTCTGGGAGGCTGAGGCAGGAGGATGGCTTGAGCCCAGGAGTTTGTGACCAGCCTTGGCAACATAGTAAGAACCCTGTCTCTACCAAAATTAGCTGGGCATGGTGGTGCAGGCCTGTGGTCCCAGCTACTAAGTAGGCCGGGTGAAAGGATTGCTGGGAGGGAGGTCGAGGTTGCAGTGAGCTGTGACAGTGACCACACCACTGCACTCCAGCTTGGGAGACAGAGCCAGACCCTGTCTCAAATAAAATAAAATGTTTATACTTTGATTTCACAACTATGTGTATGTACTTAATGCCACTGAACTGTACACACAGTTTTAAAAACTGTACCACAATTTTTAAAAGGCTAAAAAATGTTTATACTCCTTGATTCAGTAATTCCATTTCTGGCCATCAACTCTAGGGAAACTATGACAGAGATGTGGCAAAAAAATATATGTACAAGCATTTTAATTAAAGTGTATTTCTAATAGTGAACACTTTTTTTTTTTTTTTTTTGAGACGGAGTCTCGCTCTGTCGCCCAGGCTGGAGTGCAGTGGCGGGATCTCCGCTCACTGCAAGCTCCGCCTCCCGGGTTCACGCCATTCCCCTGCCTCAGCCTCCCAAGTAGCTGGGACTACAGGCACCCGCCACTACGCCCGGCTAATTTTTTGTATTTTTAGTAGAGACGGGGTTTCACCGTTTTAGCCGGGATGGCCTCGATCTCCTGACCTCGTGATCCGCCCGCCTCGGCCTCCCAAAATGCTGGGATTACAGGTGTGAGCCACCGCGCCCGGCCAATAGTGAACACTTTTAAGTAACCAAGTATCTGATGACTTGGGGAAGGATGAAATAAACGCAAAGCTTATGTAACCACTAAAAACACCTTCAAAGAATATTTAGTGACATGGGGAGGATATCACTAAAAGCTAAATAAGCTGTGAAAGTGAAAGTCCTATTTAAAAAGTAAAGAGCAACTGGCTATAACATTAAATATAGAATATTAATAATTTAGAAAATACAATGATACAAGAAATAATAACACCAAAAAAATTAAAATATCAACAGTGGGGGCTAGGTGTGGTGGCTCATGCCTGTAATCCTAGCACTTTGGGAGGCAGAGGTGGGCAGATCACTTGAGCTCAGGAATTCGAGACCAGCCTGGCCAACATGGTGAAACCCCGTCTCTACTAAAAATACAAAAATTAGCTGGGCGTGGTGGTGCGTGCCTGTAGTCCCAGCTACTTGGAGGCTGAGGCACGAGAATTACTTGAACCTGGGAGGCAGAAGGTTGCAGTGAGCTGAGATCATGCCACTGCACTCCAGCCTGGGTGACAGAGCGAGACTGGCTCAAAAAACAAACAAATAAAAATCAACAGTGGGGTTATTTCTGGATGGAGGGATCAGGTGCTTTTTTAAAAATAACTTTATTGACCCATAATATGTATGTAACTATTATGTATCCAAAAAATACTATTTAAAAAATGTATTGGGGTACAATTTACATACATTAAATTCATTCATTTTAATTGTACAATTTAGTAATTTTTCTCTCTTTTTTTTTTTTTGAGATAGGGTCTCTTGTCACCCAGGCTGGAGTGCAGTGGCATGATCACAGCTCACTGCAGCCTTGACCTCCCAGGCTCAAGTGATCCTCCCACCTAAGTCTCCTGAGTAGCTGGGACCATAGGCATGTACCACCTTGCCCAGCTAAGTTTTGTATTTTTTGTAGAGATGAAGTTTCGCCATGTTGGCCAGGCTGCTCTCAAACTCCTGGGCTCAAGCGATTTGCTCCACTTGGTCTCCCAAAGTGCTAGGGTTACAGGCATGAGCCACATTGCCTGGCCTAATTCAATAATTTTTAATAATTTACCAAGTTGTGCACCATCACTGCAGTCTAGTTTTGAGCATTTCCATCATTTTAGGTGCTTTTTATTTTTTCTTCTTAGTGATTAACTTTTAACACAAAAAAATTGTTCAAACTTTGATTCAGTAGTTCTAGTTGAGTATTATTTTCTAAGATGATTGTTGGAGATGGAAACAAGGATTTGCACATAAGGATGTTCATCATAGCTTTTTATGATACCAAAAATCAGAAATGATTTAATTTTCCAACAATAATTCATTTATGGTCCATATCTGATAGTCTCTATTAAAAATGTTTTCCAATAATATTTAATGACAAAATGCTAAAGATGCTGACTGATAACAGCGGGATAGGTAGTGTGATGTCAATTTTGATAAAAAATACAGTCTGTGGCTGGGTGCGGTGACTCATGCCTGTAATCCCAGCACTTAGGGAGGCCAAGGTGTGCAGATCACTTAAGGTTGGGAGTTCGAGACCAGCCTGGCCAACATGGTGAAACCCCGTCTCTACTAAAAATACAAAAAGTAGCCAGGCATGGTGGCAGGCACCTATAATCCCAGCTACTCGGGAGGCTGATGCAGGAGAATCGTTTGAACCCGGGAGGCGGAGGGTGCCGTGAGCCGAGGTCTCACCACTGCACTTCCGCCTAAGTGACAAAAGCGAGACTGTCTCAAAAAACAAAGTGTTATAATAGACCTAGAAAAAAGCCCAGAAGAAAAATGCAAAACAAGATGCTAACATAGCCCTAGGTTTTGAGATTTTTTTGTTTTGTTCTTTTTTTTTCTGTTATACAATTCTGTATTTTTCAAATTTTCAACAGTGACCATGAGTCACTTTTCCAGGAAACACGTTTTAAACAGGTCAGAGGATTTAACACATCCAGGACCCATCTGAAGGTGGACTTGAGCAGCCACTCCATGTCAGCCAACCTTGGTCAGCATAAGTGGGGGTGCAATTATCACATAGAGGCTGTCCTGGAAATTATTAAAGAGTCATTAAAGGCTTTTAGTGTTTTTTTTTGTGTGTTGTTTTTAATTGTCAGAGATTACGACTAGCATAGATTAACCTAAATAGTGTGGTGTAATCTCTTTTATGGTACCCCTCATTTCATCCCTCCTATCTATGCACAGATGCTAATTGAATGTGAGAGGCAGTCAACAAATGAAACTTTTCCATGCTAATGTTATGGAAAGGCAGAATTACATCAAGAGACTTCAGTTTAACCGGACCTCAAAAGAAAGATTAAAAAATATGAATCCCTAATGTGTTCATTCATTGTGTCCTGGATGGGGGATACAGCATGGGGTGAGGAAGGGCTGGGGGTCCCAGAGATAAGAACTATAATATATAACAGCATGTGTCAAGACTTGGAGGACCAAGCTGTGGGTTTCTTCCTCCTTTAGAAAAAGCCAGTGTGGCCAGGAGGGAATGAGATAGCTGTTGGCCTTGAACCATGATAAGCAATTTGTATTTTATTTGAAATGTAATTTAAAAACAACAAGTTTCCTGAAGCTGCAGTGTGGAGAAGAGATTGAACACAGGCGCAACAGGAGTGGGAGCCAGTCAGGATGCGAGGGCATGGGCCAGGGTGGCAGCAGGAGGGACAAGTTCTATACATTGGGGCTATATCAGGGGCTGTGATGGAAGAGATACAGCTGGCAGAAGGAGATGGGGGTGCAGGGAGTCAAGAATAGCACCCAGTGGTTGTCTCCAGCCAAGGGGGAGAGGGAGGCCTAGGCTGGGGACGTCGCACCTCTGTGGTGCCAAGGAGACCCAGAGGTGAGGTGTCAGGGAGGCAGTGGCACTGTGTCCTCAATTGAGAGCCCAGGGAATGGGTACCACCATCCAACACACACAGGGCAAAGGTACTGAAAGGTGACAGCGTGCTGGCAGCCCTTGCAGCCCTCGCTGGCTCTCGGCGCCCACTCTGGCTACGCTTGAGGAGCCCTTCAGCCCGCCGCTGCACTGTGGGAGCCCCTTTCTGAGCTGGCGAGGCCGGAGCCGGCTCCTTCAGCTTGCAGGCGCAGGACGGAACCGGGGCTGTGCGCGGCGCTTGCGGGCCAGCGCAAGTTCCGGTTGGGCGTGGGCTGGGCGGTCCCCGCACTCTGAGCAGCCCGCTGGCCCCGCCGGCCCCGGACAGTGAGGGGCTTAGCGTCCGGGCCAGCAGCAGCGGAGGGTGTGCCGGGTACCCCAGCAGTGCCGGCCCACCAGCGCTGTGCTAGATTTCTCGTGGAGCCTTAGCTGCCTCCCCGCGGGGCAGGGCTCGGGACCTGCAGCCCGCCATGTCTGAGCTCTCCCGCCTCAGTTGGCTCCTGCGCAGCACGAGCGTCCCGCAGGAGCGCGGCCGGCGCCCGGTCCCATCGACCACCCAAGGGCTGAGGAGTGCGGGTGCAAGGCATGGGACTGGCAGGCAGCTCCACCTGCGGCCCTGGCATGGGATCCACTGGGTGAAGCCAGCTGGGCTCCTGAGTCTAGTGGGGACTTGGAGAACTTTATGTCTAGCTAAGGGATTGTCAATACACCAGTCAGCACTCTGTGTCTAGCTCAAGGTTTGTAAACACACCAATCAACACCCTGTGTCTAGCTCAAGGTTTGTAAATGCACCAATCAGTGCTCTGTGTCTAGCTAATCTAGTGGGGACCTGGAGAACTTGTGTCTAGCTCAGGGATTGTAAACACCAATCAGCACCCTGTCAAAGCAGTCCAATCAGCGCTCTATAAAATGAACCAATCAGCAGGATGTGGGTGGGGCCACATAAGGGAATAAAAGCAGGCTGCCCGAGCTAGCAGTGGCAACCTGCTGGGGTCCTCTTCCACGCTGTGGAAGCTTTGTTTTTCACTCCTTGCAGTAAATTTTGTTGCTGCTCACTGTTTGGGTCCGCACTGCCTTTAAATCGCGGAGGTCTGCAGCTTCACTCCTGAAGCCAGCGACACCACGAACCCACCGGTAGGAGTAAACAACTCCGGACAAACTCTGGATGCGCCGCCTTAAAGAACTGTAACGCTCACTGCGAGGGTCTGCGGCTTCATACTTGATGTCAGTGAGACCAAGGAAGGAACAAACTTCGGACGCGCCGCCTTTAAGAACTGTAGCACTCACCACGAGGGTCCAGGCAGCTTCGTTTTTGAAGTCAGTGAGACCAAGAACCCACAAATTCCAGACACAGCACTAGGTAGGGTGGGGCCTCTGGCCTGTAGGAGTGGGAGGTGAAAGGGCAGGCAAAGGGGAAATGGCGGAGCCCAATCGCGGTGCAGGGCGGTGGGCTTTCAGCAACTCAGCTTAGTCCCAAGACGCGTGGGCCGCGGCAGAGAACCTGACCTGCCTGCCCAAGCTAACACAGGACCCGGAACCGCGATCCTCAAACTAATACAGGACTTGGAAACTGCTGTCGCCAAATGGCAGCTTACTTTGCGGGGAGCCTGTTAGACGTGACTCCTTGTTTTTAAAAATTGACAAATACCAGTCTGGGCAACATAGCGAAACCCTGTCTTTACTAAAAATGAAAAATATTAGCCGGGCGTGGTGGCGCGGGCCTGTAATCCCAGCTACTCGGGAGGCTGAGGCAGGAGAATTGCTTGAACCCAGCGTTAGCACAAACTGCAACATTTTGTAAGCTGCCCGCTATTTTGCAGACTTTGGGCAAAGTGAAACATTTCTGGGGGGTTTAGGCGGTGAGAAACATCCTTCCTAACCACTTGACCGCAAGGCCAACAGAGGCTTATCTGAAGAAACTTCCCTCTCATGACTTCTTGGGCAAACGTCCAAGGAACACCATGATGACATCCACCTGAATAAGGGCCAGAACCCTTATTGTACAAATCAATACAAATCATGGGAACATCTTATCGATATCTTGCAGGGCAACAAGCCATGCTGCCCAGACCCCTCCCGCCCATACCTATAAGTACCCTTAGCCTGTAAGACTTAGCAGTGGGCTGTGGCATTAGGCTGGTCCCCTACTTCTGTAGGTTTTGTGCTGCACATAAAGCCGCATTTGCTGTCAAGCTCGCGCTCTCTAGCTCTGTCTCCTCTCTCTTTCTTTCTCCTCTGTGTGTGTGTGTGTGTCTTTCTTTAACCCTCACCTTCTCTTCCCGGAAGGCAGAGATTGCAGTGGGCAGAGATTACAGTGAGCTGAGATCTGCTACTGCACTCCAGCCTGGGTGACAGAGTGAGACCCTGACTCAAAAAAAAAAAAAAAAAAGCGGGGGTGTGCCAGGTGCGGTGGCTCATGCCTGTAATCCCACAATTTTGGGAGGCCAAGGTGGGCAGATCACTTGAGGTCAGGAGTTCAAGACCAGCCTGGCCAACATGGTAAAACCCCCGACTCTACTAAAAATACAAAAGTTAGCCAGGTGTCATGGTGGGCGCCTGTAATCTCAGCTACTTGGGAGACCGAGGCAGGAGAATCAATTGAATCCAGGAGGTGGAGGTTGCAGTAAGCCAAAATTGCAATAGTGCACTCCAGCGTGGGTGACAGAGCAAGATTGTCTCAAAAAAAAAATTTTACAAAATGGAAATTAAACACAATTTTTCACCATGTATTAATTTATTGTTAAATACACATTTCGATGCAAAATTGAGAATGTGTTGTACAGTAAATTAATTAAATTAACCCAGGCTGGGTGTGGTGGCTCACACCTGTAATCACAGCACTTTGGGAGGCTGGGTTTGAGCCCAGCCTGGTCAACATGGTGAAACCTTTGTCTCTACTAAAAATATAAAAAGTAGCCACGTGTGGTGGTGCGCGCATGTAGTCCCAGCTACTCGGGAGGCTGAGGCAGGGGAATCGCTTGAACCAGGGAGGCGGAGGTTGCAGTGAGCTGAGATCGCACCACTGCACTCCAGCTTGGGTGACAGAGTGAGATTCCGTCTCCAAAAAAAAAAAAAAAAAAAAAAAGAACCTAAATGCAGAATATATATGTGTATACACACACATACATATTCCATTTAAACATAGTTGTATATTTTTATTATCAGCTGTTCAGTTTTTCCCCAGAATGGCCTAATAGAAGTCCACATAAAGAGTCTTTTTGAATGCATAGAATTATATATTAAAGAAACCCATGGTTTCACTATCAAATAATGTTAATTTCTAATTTAGAAATAAATGGTTCCATGTTCTGGAGTCACACACTTGATCTGTAACTTAAATCTGTCATGTTTTTATTAAGATGTATATCATGAGCCTGTACAAAGGGATTTTTGGTGGTGTAATATCAACCATAAAAGCTAGAAACGATTCTTAAACCAACACACATATTGCAAGCTAGGATATTATTCAATTTTTGCAATGTTCTATTGATAACATGATTGCAATATCTTTCTTAAGATAATGCCCAATTTTCCCACAGTTTGCTTGTATAATAATTCTAAATTCACTGTCATATTGACTTAAGAGAGGGTCCTTAAAAACTTTTTTTCCTACAGGATGGTGATGGGAATCTTTGCAAATTGTATCTTCTGTTTGAAAGTGAAGTACTTACCTCAGCAGCAGAAGAAAAAGCTACAAACTGACATTAAGGAAAATGGCGGAAAGTTTTCCTTTTCGTTAAATCCTCAGGTATTTCCAAGTGTCATAAACTACAGTGTGATAAAACATTGCGCATTCAGGGAACAGGGTCATGGTTAGAAGAGGAAGCAGAGATTAGCAGCAGGAGAGAGTGAGTGAGCTACTCGAAGTTCATCAGGAGAGACTGACATGGCCCATTGGGAGGCTGGGCTCCTAGAGGCAGAGGTGGCCCAGCCCTGTCCCCTCCCTGTTCCCTGAACTGCAGGACAATCCTACATGTCCTGTGAAGCAGGATATTACTAGAGCACAGCCAAATATGAAAATAGAATTTCAGACCAGCCATATCTATTCTTGAAGGAGAAAAGTCATAGTGCACAGGATTTGCAAAAAGCGCACTGTCGTCACTCACCAGTATGTCAACGCTGGGGTGATATACTGGTAAGCCAGGTTCCTGGGTGTAGAAAGAAATACATGCAGTGCAGACTCATCTTCGCAGTGTAGCTTGTGCTGTTTGTTTTGTTCATTTAAAGGCTGCAGGAATTTACCTTCTGCCTCTTGAACTTGTAAGCCTGGCAGTTCAGAATAATAGGATTTTACAGCTGGATGAAATCTTAGAAATAATTCAGTTTAACCTCCTCTTTTTTAAACCACCTCACTGTAAAAATAGAAATCCAAAGGCTCTAGGTGCCAGGCTGGCCTGCCCCTGTCCTCTGCTGTTCCCTCTGTTGACGAATTGATGAGCTGACTCACCCTGCCCCTCCCTGGACCTCAGCCCTGGGGCTTGGCCATTGTGAGCCTCATCTGTTCTGTGAAGCGTGTTCAACTCCAGCTGAATACCAGAAATGCAATGTCCCTGTTTACTTCCAATTCAGGTAGAATTGTATATACTTCCCTTATACAGCTTCCCACACTGAGCTGTCTCACCATCTCTGGACAGATGAGTAATTCGTGCCTGCTCTCCCTTCTCAGTTTGTCTTCTGTGTGAACTGCCAACATGGTCTCTCCTTTTTAGAAAGTCACATACTGTGAGTGCAACTTTGTGGAAGTCAATGTACATAAACATGTGAAATGTGCATCCCAGCTACTGTAGATAATGAGGCAGCTGTATATGTAATGTTGAGGAACAATCACCAAGATAATTTCAGTGGAAAAGCCAGCACGGAAGAGGCTGAGGAGCACGCTGCCATGTATCTACGCATAGTGTAGCTCTAGCAGGATTCGCGAGGAGCAAGTGACAGCAGGTGCCTCTGCAGAGAGGAACTGGGGACAACAGTGGGGATGAAGTTAATACGTCGTCATTATTTTATTTTTTAGATATTCTACAATGTGAATTTACTATTTATTAAAAAATAAATAAAATTATAAGCGGGCATGTTGGCTCATGCCTGTAAACTCAGCTGAGATGGGAGAATCACTTGAGGCTGAGAGTTCAAGACCAGCCTGGTCAACATAGCAAGACCCTATCTCTACAAAAAAAACAAGATTTTCTAAAATTACAAATCAAAATAAATAATAACCTTTGAACCTCCCTTTCCACTACTAAGAAAATAATTGAACAAGTGCACAAGGATGTGTACATGAGGATAGTCATCACAGCGTTGTTTACAATAATGAAAATTTAGAAATAACCTCTAGGGTTAATCAATTATGGTGCATTCGTAGCCATATCCTTTAAAAACAGTTGATTTTTAAAATGTTTATGTAACTAGAAACTGTGATATTTATAGAGGTTTTTCGAAATTTGAGAAAGATTATCACAAACTACCTTAATACTTTCTAAGGGTGAAAATTACAGATACAAATATCTTATTTAAATGTTGTTTTTCTTGATGCATAATGGATTGACTCTTTTTTTCCTTAGTGCACACATATAATCTTAGATAATGCTGATGTTCTGAGTCAGTACCAACTGAATTCTATCCAAAAGAACCACGTTCATATTGCAAACCCAGATTTTATATGGAAATCTATCAGGGAAAAGAGACTCTTGGATGTAAAGAATTATGATCCTTATAAGCCCCTGGACATCACACCACCTCCTGATCAGAAGGCGAGCAGTTCTGGTAGGTATTTCATAGCAAGCATTTAACGTATCATAGGTGCCATAGTACACGCTTGGGTTTGTCAAAGATACCATAGGCAGAGAATTGTCCAGAAATACTAAAAAAAAATTAGACTTATTACCTCAGAAAATGGACAGAAAAATAACAAAGGACAAAAGACTACTTTAGCACTAGAAACAGATTTCTTGATATCTAGCCTAGTAGGGTCAGACTCAAAATGGCCACAAAACACTGATCATCTCAGAAAACCTGATTGTGCTTTTAACTAGGGGGAGGGGAAAGCCTTTGTGTTAAACAGTGATTACTACAACCTAATGACTGGAAATTTGATGACCAGCATTTTGCTGAAGAAATTCTTTCCAAACAAAAGATTGTCTCCCCAAAAGAAACATATTTTCTTTATAAGCCAAGATTTTATTTTGGAAACTGGCCAAGAAGAAAGCCTTTGGACATGAAAAATGCACTCTTCCTGAGTCATATCAAAAATCACACAGTTCTGATAAATACTAACTCACAGTAAGCACACGGTATGTGTTAGATACCGTACTGACTTGGCAGGGTGGAGCCTCCTTAGACAATAGTCCAGAAATGCTGCTGCAGTCCCAGCACATGTCCCAGCAAATGATAGTTACAACAGAAATAAAATAGTAGACTCATTTCACATTGAAAACATACTGTATGACAGCCAGCATAATTTATTCAGATTCCAAATTACTACAAATACACTGATGATCCTTGGAATCTTGACAGTATAATTAAAACTGGAAAGAAGTCCTCACATTGAGTTATTCCTGTATATCACAATGCTCTAGATAGTGTTACTGTTTCTCTGTACAGAAAGTATGAAGCAAAAGCTCATGCAGAGCCCTTGACTTTCCCTCCTCTAAGCTAGAACATCTCCAGCTCCTTCGCTCGTGATGTGCCGACTCTCAGGAACTCATTCTGATCCTGTGCACTTTGTACTCTTCAAGAAGAAAGTGCCAATTGAAAATTGTATGGCTATCAATGAGTTTCAAATAATAACAGATGAGAATCCTCCTGATATGCTTATTAAAATAGAATTAGAGTATGTTCTCCCTATTTTATAAGGTTATACCTTCCTCTTTTCCCACTGGGTTATCCTTTGATCACCAAAATTATAACTAATTTAAGGATATATTTATGAATCTTAACAATTCCAGCACTTAGGTTAACTAATTATAGTAAGTCTTTGGGCAGTAAACAAGTGTGCTGTTTGCTTTTAATTCTAGAAGTGAAAACAGAAGGTCTATGCCCGGACAGTGCCACAGAGGAGGAAGACACTGTGGAACTCACTGAGTAATTTACTTCTTTCTGATTCCTGGGACTCTACAGAGTTTGTAAAATCTTGTGTAAACCTCAAGCACAGTATTAAAATTCTATTTGTAGACTTTTTCTTATTTTAATTTATTTTGCATATCTAACTCAAGTGATTTTTTATTTGAGTCTTTTTCTTCAACTAGTATAGTGATCATTATTTTAAATTCTCAGTATTAAATGAGATTGGGTGCAATTATTGAATTGATTTTTAAAAAGAAAACCAGTGGGTTTTTTTTTTAATTCTTTTAAAAAAAAACCTATTTTCATCCTATTATTTTCCTGAGCAGCCTTTAGAGTAAAGACAGTTTGTTACTTTTGCCTGATGTTTTCAAAAATGGAAATAACAACAGCCTTCCTCAAATGGAGTATGGGAGTCTAAAGTTCTATATGGTTTCTTAAAGCATACCCAAAACATCGGGTTAATTAGGCATCACATTCAATCTTGTTGTATTTGTTAATAATAGTGTTTAAAGAGAAGAAAATCCAAAATGAAAAGTACAGATTATGAGAAGTCTGACTCCTTTATTTTAGAGAGGAATGGACTGTGGTCTGGAGAGGAGTGACATAGCTTCTAAGAGTCAGATCCAAAGCAAACACAAGTAGCCCATCCCCAGAGTGTGCGGCCCACTTCTTTCTGCCTCTGCCGCGTGGAGACCATCTTCCAGTGCAGACGCTACAGTGCTGGGTATCTGAGCTGGAGATTATGCAGAGGAGGCATCCAGCTCATTTCCAATGATCTTTTAACAATTTCTGGAAGAGCTAAGGAGGCCTTAGGGACTTACCATGTGGACTTACCATGTGTTTTGTAAGGAATCTATCATGTATTTTGTAAAGATGTACAAGAAAAAATTTATGAAATTCTGTTTAGCCTAAAATCCATTTAATGTTAAAATTTTAATTATACACTACAAATTTCAGGTTTGGTATGCAGAATGTTGAAATTCCTCATCTTCCTCAAGATTTTGAAGTTGCAAAATATAACACCTTGGAGAAAGTAAGAATCTGATTTCTAGTTAGCAAAAAAAAAAAAAAACACACCTGTTTGAATGTCTTCTGGGTGTTTTTCCTATTCGGTCATTTTCTCATTGTTTTGAAAAATTATGCATATCCTGAATATCATATAGTCCTTAAAATATGAGTTAATTTTATTTATATATTTATTTTTGTGGAGACAGAATCTCACTATTTTGCTGGTCTCGAACTCCTGGGCTCAAGCCATCCTCCCTCCTTAGCCTCCCAAAGTGCTGGGATTACAAGCATGAGCCACTGCACCCAGACCTGATTTTTAACAGTCAAGAAAATGTTTATGTTTAGAATTTAAAGTTTAAATTTTTAGTGTTTATATTATAAAAGTAATGCATGCTCATAGCAAAAATTTTAAACAGTATAAAATATCAATATGGCATTAAACATAAAAGTGCTCTTCCCTGTTACTAACAGTTTCTTGTATTTGGAAAAGGAAGGTTTGACACTAAGTATTTACACTATGTTGCGTTTCCATTCCTTTTGCATTAGAAAGAAAAACAAAATCCTTTTTTTTTTTCCCCACAAATGAAAATCAACACTAGTGTCTGATGTGGCATCACTTGCCTATAGTCCCAGCTACTTAGGGGGCTAAGGCAGGTGGATCTCTTGAGCTCAGGAGTTTGAGGCCACCCTGGGCAATGTGGCAAGACCTGTCTCTAAAATATATATATAGATATAAATCGACACTAGCCTTCAAAGTGATGTTCCATTTGTATTTTGAGATATGTTAATAAAATGTAACTTGAAAATAACATTTCCCTCTTTGATAAGGAAAACATGAAAAGTGGTATGGTATAAACACACAGATCTATTTATGGGATGGTAAAAATACAGGAGGGAAACATACCAAAATATTAATAGTGATCGTATTGCTCTCGGGATTTTAGGAGATTTTAATTTTCTTCTTGATACTTTTCTATATTTTCTAAATTATATCTCTAAATGAACATATTTTATAATTATAATCAACATTTTCAAATGGCACATGTAGTTTGATGTTTCCCGAGTGCAGCTTCTGAAAGCACATCCTGTTTTCCAGGTGGGAATGGAGGGAGGCCAGGAAGCTGTGGTGGTGGAGCTTCAGTGTTCGCGGGACTCCAGGGACTGTCCTTTCCTGATATCCTCACACTTCCTCCTGGATGATGGCATGGAGGTAATGCTGTTTATATTGATTCCTATGTGTTTACTGACCTCTGTTCATAACTCATTTCAATGAATCAGCCGACCTCCCAACCTTTTTCTTCTTACCTGTTGTCTTAGCTCAGGCTGCTATTAATAAATGCAACAGGCTAGGGAGCTTAAACAACATTTATTTCTCACAGTGCAAAAAGCTGGAAGTCCAAGGTCAAAGTACAGCAGGGTTGATTTCTTCTGAAGTGAGGCCTCTCTCTTTGGCTTACAGACAGCTGCCTTCTTGCTGTGTCCTCACATGGTCTTCCACCTGTGGGCATCTGTGTCCTCATCTCTACACATGAGGATAGCAGTCATATTGGATCAGGGCCCACCCTTATGATCTCACTTAATTAATCAATTACCTCTTGAAAGGCTCTGTCTCCAAACACAATCCCGTTGTTGAGGTCCTGGGAGTTAGGACTTCAGCATATGCATTTTGTAGGGGTACAGTTCAGCCATAACACCTGGTAAATAATTTTGCAAAGGGGAAATGTGTTCTCTTTTGGAGTGTGGGAGGTGAGGACCTCACCCCCTGAGTAGATCAGCACAGGGTCCCGCTAGAAGGGAATGTTTACTGGGTGCAGGGTGTATAGCATTTCTGCCCTTGTTCCACATCACTTTTGGGATATTTTCCTAATATTTACACCTCTGAAAGCATTCCACTGATATACTTCATTAAGCACCTGCTGTGTACCAAGCAATCGACTAGGGCTGACACTCAAAGATAAAAATAGCTTCACACCCTGGCGTCAGAGATCACTGTCTAGAAAGAAATAACACTCATCATTACAATCCACTGTGACATTTCCAATCCTGAATATATATATGGGGTATTGAGGGCTCAAGGTCACAGAGCCCTGGGAACAACAAAGGAGGCTTTGCAGAGGCCATACCTTTGCCCTAGGTCAGTATCAGGTCAAGAGCACAGTTCCAATCTAAAACAATCATGAAACAAAAATAAATTTAGAATTAATGCCTGAAGTTCAAATAAAATGCTGCAACACCCACCAGGATGCCTTCTCAAGTAGACATTCAGAGTTACAGATCTATCTTTTTTTTTCTTCTTTTTCCCCGAGACAGAGTCTCACTCTGTTGCCCATGCTGGAGTGCAGTGGTGCGATCTCGGCTCACTGCAACCTCTGCCTCCCAGGTTCAAGCGATTCTTGTGCCTCAGCCTCCTGAGTAGCTGGGATTACAGGCATGCGCTGCCACGCCTGGCTAATTTTTGTATTTTTAGTAGAGACGGGGTTTCACCATGTTGGCCAGGCTGGTCTCGAACTCCTGACCTCATGATCTGCTTGCCTTGGCCTCCCAAAGTGCTGGGATTACAGGCATGAGCCACTGCGTCCTGCCTACAGCTCTGTCTTGGGCCAGGAAACAGTCACTTCTCCGTGAGAGTGGCCCTCACAGAGGCCCACACAGGCTCCAGGAGCTTTTCCCTTTGTTCCCACTCTGAGTGTCAGCTCAGGTACAAGAGAAAGAGACTCACGTCAGGTGGATGTGAGATCCACTTGGCTTGGAAGCCCTACCCCACAAGAGCCCATAGCTCTTGTAGCATTGTCTCGGGTTCCAGATGCCCTCAAGGGACATACCCAATTATATGAGTCACTGCTCTCTGACAAGCCCAAAGCTTGGGTTTCCCACCATTGAGCCCCCAGTATCAATGCAATTTATCAATGAGAGGCCACAATTACATAAGCAATTTTGCCTACTATTACAGCTGACATGCCATCTTTATCAGATTTCCATGGGAACAGAGCTAGAAAGCTAATCCATGGTCAAATGTGTCCAAGAAGGAGAAAGGGTTTTGTTACCCTTGTACCCTGAAATGCATACTGGATTTTGTGGAGGATATAGTTGTTTGGGTAAGAAGTAAGTAAAAATGAAGGTGAAAAACATGATAGAATGTGTTATTGTTTTCTTCATTGAGAAAGAAAACCATAGCATCGTTTAGGCCAGGACATCCCTCAGGGTGCCTTCCTCCCTTAGCAAGCCCGAGTCTGTAGAGATGATAGAATGTGTCGTTGTTTTCTTCATTGAGAAAGAAAACCGTAGCATCGTGTAGGCCAGGACATCCCTCAGGGTGCCTTCCTCCCTTAGCGAGCCCGAGTCTGTGTAGAGCACCCCTGGGTGAGCCTGGTTTGCTGAGCAGAGAAGCCTGTCCACCTTGATAGCAGTGAGCCTCAGTCCACCGTTCTGCTGAAGAGGATTTTCCAGCCTGCCCTTCTGCTTAATAAAACCATTTTGATGGGAATCTTCCAAAATTATGTTAAACTCTACCGTCTTAAATGGAGTGACTTCAACAGGCACTCCTATTTTCCAAGTTTCAGAGGCATCCTGCGGCCCCCCTATCTGGGAGGGCGGCTTATGGGTATCCTGAGTAGTGTGGCTTCCCAGGGGTCCACACCCCCAAGCCAGGGGCTCAACCAACACCTACAAGGACACCATGGCTTTGAGCTGGGGCAGGTTCTTCCAGATTTTCCTGGGGTTAATGTTAGGATCACTGCCTACTACAGAGGCAGGAGTTGCCCAGAAGAGCAGAAAGTGCCGCCTCCACAGGCAGTTTGGGATGAGGGAGGAGCTGGAGCCTTTAACATGTGCATGACCTAATAACTTTCCTGCCTGTCTACTGGCTGTGATTTCATTTTCGCTGTGTGCCCGTCTCTAACAGTTCTTCCTTTCTGAAGTATTTTTCTTTTCTTCCCCTTCCCCTCCAGATTTTTTTTTTCTCATTTCCAAAAAGCTGGAAAACCAGATTTACAAGCTAGTTAGACTGGTTTGTAAGGAGTCTGTAGACTTGGAAGGAAGCTTTGAGTAACTCTCCAGTGAAACAAATGATCTTTTCTGTCTGCTGTGCATTCTCAAGCTTTTTCCCCTCTACCTCCAGGTTTTAGGCTATTAAGAGTTTAAAATTTTGGTAATTCTGGCCAGGCATGGTGGCTTACGCCTGTAATCCTAGCCCTTTGGGAGGCCGAGGTGGGTGGATTTCTTGAGGTCAAGAGTTATTCAAGCCAACATGGTTGAAACCCCATCTCTACCAAAAAAATACAAAAAAAATTAGCCAGGTGTGGTGGCACATGCCTGTGGTCCCAGCTACTCAGGAGGCTGAGGCAGAAGAATCGCTTGAACCCAGGAGGTGGAGGTTGCAGTGAGTTGAGATTGTGCTACTGCACTCCAGTCTGGGCGACAGAGCAAGACCCTGTCTCAAAAAAAAAAGAAAAAGAAAAGAAAAAGAATTTAAAATTTAAGTAATTCTTTGAAAAAAACTAATTTCTAAGCTTCTTCATGTCAAGGACCTACTGCTTTATTTATGTTCAATAAAGCTAGATATGTAAATAATGACTGTACTTTTGCTATACACCATAATTCACAGACTAGAAGACAGTTTGCTATAAAGAAAACCTCTGAAGATGCAAGTGAATACTTTGAAAATTACATTGAAGAACTGAAGAAACAAGGATTTCTACTAAGAGAACATTTCACACCTGAAGCAACCCAATTAGCATCTGAACAATTGCAAGCAGTGAGATTGATTTATAATTTTTTTGTTGTTGATTGAATATTTTTAATAGAAATGTTTTCTCTATTACAAATAAAAGACTGGGCCAGGCTTCGTGGCTCATGCCTGTATCCCAGCAGTTTGGGAGGCCAAGGCAGGAGGATCACTTGAGGCCAGGAGTTCAAGACCAGCCTTGGCAACATAGAGAGACCCATTTCTACGTAAACTGAAAAACATTACCCAGGAATGGTGGTGTACCTGTAGTCTTAGCTACTCATGAGGCTGAGGCAGGAGGACCACTTGAATTCAGCAGTTCGAGGTTACAGTGAGCTATGATCATGCCACTGCACCCCAACCTGGGCAATACAGCAAGACCCTGTCTCAAGTAAATAAATAAATGTCAGGAGGGAAGAGGAGGAGTTCAGAAAAGGAAATCTGAACTCATAGAAAGGCATGGAAGTTGAGTGGGGAATGTGTTTTAGAACAAGACAGGAGATGTATTGCTTATTTCAGCAGCAGACCCTCCCAGCTTTTGGGAGATGTCTTTACAACCTAGGCCATGAGTCAAGGGTCCTTAATCCTGACTTCGTGTGTTGACTACTACTGACAGGCCTAGAGCTTACAGGGTGAAGGAAAAAAATAGAACAGGAAGAAAAGCGGGTAGGAGGGAATCAGAGAAGAGAGAATGGAGGAAGACAGAGGGAGGATCTAGTAGAGAAAGGATTTAGTTACCTGGCTGGGGATGACTCTCCTGGGCTCTAATCAATTATTTCTCCTCACACCTCTGTTCGTTGGCCCATGTAAGTTTTACACAAACTCACACATGATGACTTTTTGGTGGCATTTCTATTTTATTATTGTAGTTGCTTTTGGAGGAAGTCATGAATTCAAGCACTCTGAGCCAAGAGGTGAGCGATTTAGTAGAGATGATTTGGGCAGAGGCCCTGGGCCACCTGGAACACATGCTTCTCAAGCCAGTGAACAGGATTAGCCTCAACGATGTAAGTTGGTGTGTCGCTGAAACAGAATGTGAAAAATCTGCCTCCTGGTTGATTGGCTTCAGCAATAACACGTGTGTTTGCATGCTGGCCTGACTGCTCTGGAATTCATTCCTAAATGTTCTTTCCTTGTACCGGTACTGAAGAAAGAGACCACTAACAGCACTAAGGAGAAAAGCTTCTGAGAAAACTAGACATCCCTGTCTGTAAAATGTCAGCCTCAAGAGCTGATCGAAGGCAGGCTTCTGGTGCTGGCCAATTAGGAGGCCTGATCCTCTGTGCCAAGAGGCTTGCAGGAAGCTGGAGGGTTATGGGTGGTCTTGGTCCCCAGTCAGATGCCTTAACCGCAGTCCATTTCCTAGTGACTCCACAGTCTTGCACCTTCTGTCTTAGGAAAGGCAGGCATGCCTCCAGACCACCAGAAAATGTTCTTCCCTTCTTGATTAAGCATAATTGCAATGAAAAGAGCAGACAAAAGAAGATACCCCAATGGTACAACTTGTGCAACTGCATTGTTGTATTGAAATAATATGGTCAATTTTCCTCTGTGGAATTAAACTAATTTATCTCAAGGAGAAAATGGCTAACTGGGATAAAGCCCATGAAGTACTTGTGTAATTAGAAACACATTCAGGAGGTTTTTATCCCTGGTCTGATTCTGACAGCTTTCTAAATTTCTCATGTGAAAAGCAAGTCTATCACAGTTGCATTAGTGTTTCTCTCTCTGTGTATAGGTATGTAGATGTGTCCACATATGTATAGAAATATAAGACTCTGGTTCTTTCTTCTAGTAAAACTGAGCCTAGTTTTGCAACAATCCTCATGGCATCTTTGCCACAACTGAGATACGTCTCCAATAAAGATCAGCATTTGCTTTGTGAAGGCTCTCCAGTAGAAAATGGATAGTCTTGACATGTCTAACAATTATTTATATAGTTTTGTGCATGCTCCTTAATTTCTGTATTGAGATTTCATTGTAATAAGCATATATGATCTGTTGAAAGGTGAGCAAGGCAGAGGGGATTCTCCTTCTAGTAAAGGCAGCACTGAAAAATGGAGAAACAGCAGAGCAATTGCAAAAGATGATGACAGAGTTTTACAGACTGATACCTCACAAAGGCACAATGCCCAAAGAAGTGAACCTGGGACTATTGGCTAAGAAAGCAGACCTCTGCCAGGTAAACCTCTGAAATATAGAATTCTATTTATTATAAAATATGTTGAGGGTGGGGGTCTTTAGAAATCTGATGAATGAGGTAACACTGAATCATGAAATTGTCTCCAGAGTTGTACTAGAAAATAAATTGTTGAACCATTTTAGAAAGCCCTGGATCCTTATGAAAGTTAAACCATATTTTCAAATGTGAATATGTTGGCACAGTGACATAAGTGCAGAAATAGGTTTAAAATTGCTATCTTGTAAAATAACTTTTCAGACTCTGGAATGAGTTCGGATCCTCTGCAGGAGAAAGGGGAAACTGCAGCTGACTTAAACGATAAGGACATTTACGTTCTCAGACAATAAGAAGTCCAGCTGTGGGCTGCCTGCTGGCCCAGGTCACCCCGAGACTCAGTGTGTCAGTGTTATCAGGGTCCCAGCCTCCTTCCGTCCCTCTGTACTTCCTGTAGAGTGACGGCTCTGCTCTTAGCCTGGCTTCCTCGTGATCTGCAGATGGCTGCAGTAGTTCATGGCATCCCATCTGTAATAGTTCTTTTTGTGTCACATAGAGGAAGCCCCTGGCAGACTCATATTTCTCTGGTCAGAATGAAGTCATGTGCACAATCTCAAACCAGTCACTGGTGAGGAGATTGGAGCCACTGTGGCTGCTCAGAAATGGGCCATCTCCTCTGAGCTGCCAGGAGAGAAGCAGGCTTAGTGAGTAGAGGAAGGCAGCCACAGCAGCCAACCCTGCCTTAGACTAGGCTGAAGTCACTCTCTTGGTCCGTGTTCCCTCATCTGTGCATGCAGGGATTTGGCCAAGATCAGAGATTTGTGTCCTAGACTTCAGAGGAGTTTATAGATGTGAAATTTTGCATGTTTGGGAAATAATCGCTTTCAACAGATTCCCAGAGGAATCAGTAATCCAAAATAAGGAAAGAACTGGTCAATGAGAAAATATAAGACCCTTCCAAATTTAAAATTCTATGATTTACCTAACATCAAACATAAAGAGTCTGTCAGTCGGGTGTGGTGGCTCACGCCTGTAAGCCCAGCACTTTGGGAGGCCAAGGCAGATGGATCACCAGTCAGGAGTTTGAGACCAGCCTGGCCAACATGGTGAAACCCCATCTCTATTAAAAATACAAGAAGTTAGCTAGGCATGGTGGCATGCACCTGTAATCCCAGTTACTTAGGAGGCTGAGGCAGGAGAATCGCTTGAACCCAGGAGGCAGAGATTGCAGTGAGTCAAGATCATGCCACTGCACTCCAGCCTGGTCAACAAGAGCAAAACTCCATCTAAAAAAAAAAAAAAAATGTCAGTCATGAGTGTTGCTAAGAGGGAACGTATAGTGCCCATTCAAATACAATTCTGGAGGCTAAGGTAGGAGGATCTATTGAACTCAGGAGGTTGAGGCTGCAATGAGCTATGGTCATGCCACTACACTCCAGCGTGGGTGAGAGCAAGACCCATCTCAAAAATAAATAAAGTAAAACAAGCTTTGGGGGAAAATGGACTTTTCCTATCTTTTTGAGAAAGTGTTAATGTGATATAAATATTAATTTTGATATGTGGTGATTCTGACATCTGTGTATTATTTCCACCTACAGCTAATAAGAGACATGGTTAATGTCTGTGAAACTAATTTGTCCAAACCCAACCCACCATCCCTGGCCAAATACCGAGCTTTGAGGTGCAAAATTGAGCATGTTGAACAGAATACTGAAGAATTTCTCAGGGTTAGAAAAGAGGTTTTGCAGAATCATCACAGGTAAGCATAAAGGAAATATCTCAGGATCTGTTATAATATAATGCTCTTTGAGACTCCGTTAAAGAGCTAATTACAGTAATTACCTAGATAATCTTCAGCAACAAGCCACAGTAGCGGTGGTGTGATGACACATTACTTTCTTCTCTGTTCAGAACGGTGCCTGGGGCAGTTTTCTGTGCTTGAAAACACCCTCTATATTCCACTCCGATTTCAAGGTTACCTAATCTTGTTGAGGGTTAAATTTAAAAATTTTAAAACGTGTTTGAGTTTGTATTTTGTAGGTTATTACAGAGAAAAAGCCACTTAAACTGATTTAAATGTGCAGGAATATGGGTATGGCGTCTCTAACGTGGCCTCTCTGTGGCATGAAAAACTGCCCCTGAAAACCTGGAAAACACGTTCCTAAATACCAGTTACACTTGGGCCCTCATTCACTGTGCATACCCAGGGTCCTGCGCTGAGGGGCATTCTCCAGTAACAACAAACATGATGGACCACCTGCTCAGATGAGCCCTTGCTGGGTGTCAGCACCCCTGAGGGTCACCGTGGCTGAGTCTGTGCCCAGCTTCTCAGTTTGGAAACCCCATTGCATGCTTGTTCTCAAGCATGGGACTGACTCTTTTGACCTGGTGGTTCATTCCATTGCAGCAGTTCCTCTTCGTCAGCTTGGCACAGCCCTTAGAACAAATGGTGGTGAGTTGTAGCCGCACACACCAGCTTATGAGAGCCAGTTGTCAACATTTAAGAGATTTGGTGAGCTGGTTGTTAAACCATGGGTAGCTTGAAATTGGACACGGGGAGGATTTGCGCCATGGAAATCAGCAAATGCTGCAAATCAGGGCTGTGCGGGGGCGTTGCTGCTGTTGTTTAGAGAGCTGGTTTTCCAGAGCCCCACTAAAACCACACCCAGCCACTCTTACCTTATGGCCTGACTCAGACCCATCTAAAATTATGTTCTACTTTCCTTTATCATTCTCAAAATCCATTCCCAAAACCACTTCACATTTACTAAGATGGCTATGATTTCTTTTGTTTTTTTATTTTATTTTTTATTTTTTTGAGACGGAGTCTCGCTCTGTCGCCCAGGCTGGAGTGCAGTGACGCGATCTCGGCTCACTGCAAGCTCTGCCTCCCAGGTTCACGCCATTCTCCTGCCTCAGCCACCCCCCTCAGCTGGGACTATAGACGCACGCCACCACGCCTGGCTAATTTTTGTATTTTTAGTAGAGACGGGGTTTCACTGCTTTAGCCAGGATGGTCTTGATCTCCTGACCTTGTGATCTGCCAGCCTCGGCCTCCCAAAGTGCTGGGATTACAGGCATGAGCCACCACGCCCAGCCATATGATTTCTTTTTAATGGAAAATTATAAGTGTTGGTGAGGATATAGAGAGACTGAAAGCATCACACATTGCTGATGGGAGGGAAAAATGATGCAGCCTGCGTTAGATGATTCCTCAACAAATTAAACTTGATTACGATAAGACCCAGCAATTCCACTCCTAGTTCTATACTCAAAGGAATTGAAAGCAAGTACTCAAATAGGTACTTGTACATGAATATTCATAGCAACACTATTCACAACAGCCAAAAGGTGGTTAAATAACCCAAATGTTCATCAACAGGGAAGTGGATAAACAAAACGTGATAAATATATGTAATAGAATATTATTCGGCCATGAAAAAGTAATGAAGCACTGACACATACTACAAATGGGTGAACCTCAAAAATATTACGCTGAGTGAAAGAAGCCACATATTGTACGATTCTGTTTATATGAAATATCTAGAATAGATAAATCCACGGAGACAGCAAATTGTGTGGTGCCATTAGAGGGAGGGTTGGGGACTGACAGCCAAAAGGTACGGGGTTTTCTTTTGGGCAAATAAAAATTTTGGAACTAGAGGTGGTGATTACATGACATTTTGAATGTTCTGTACTAAATACTACCAAATTGTACACTTAATGGTTAATTTTATCTTTTTGGAATTTCACTTTAATTTTTAAAAAGTCCGGGCCGGGCATGGTGGCTCATGCCTGTAATTCCAGCACTTTGGGAGGCCGAGGTGGGCAGATCACTTGAGGTCAGGAGTTTGAGACCAGCCTGGGCAACATGGTGAAACCCTGTCTCAACTAAAAATACAAAAATTAGCCGGGCATGGTGGCACACGTTTGTGGTTCCAGTTACTCCAGGGGCTGAGGCACAAGAATCGCTTGAACCCGGGAGGTGGAGGTTGCAGTGAGCCAGGATTGCACCACTGCACTCCAGCCTGGGAGACAGAACAGGACTCTGTCTCAAAAACATTCATTCCCACAGGCCTTCTCCAGATTTTGTTTTTATATGTAATCAAATTCTTTTGGTTTGACTTTTGACCCTCCCCTAGGTGTCCGCTGAGATCTGTACTAAGAGTCCGGTGACATGGAAGGTAGAATCAGGAGGGCAATAAGCTTTCTCCAGGAAGACAGGAAGAGCCACGTCAAGCCCCGGGAGTGGCAGCTGCAGTTCAGCCCTCCAGGGCTACCTGAGCAAGCCCTTGGCGAGCCGCCCCACCCCCTAAGTACAAAAGCAGTCACACAGCTAAAGTGGGCTTCTTCCTAGGGAAAGATCCTGCTGCTGTGAAAAGTTAGATTTCCTTCATTTCACTAATCATGATTTCTTTATATTACTTTTTTCTAGTTATAAAACTCATGTTCTTTTCTAAAAGCTTAGAAAATATCTAAAAATATGAAGAAAATTAAAAATCACTCAAAATCTCACCACCCAAAGACAACCCTGAGATAATATAACCACTGTTAACATTTGGGTGTAGAACATAACCCAGCCTGAATCACCCCGATGCTGCTCACCCGGGGGTGTGCTGGTAAGCCAGCTCTGTGAAGGAAAAGTCCTGGTCTGGAATATTTGCTGAGTTCTGGGAAGCAAATACTCCCACCACAGCTAATGTCAAGGTGCTGACCTGAGGCCACTGGACATGGGGTTGGGAAGATGTGCCCTTCCTCCCACCACAGCTGCCCTCAGCCGTACCCCCGTCTCCCCCAACAACTGCCCCATCTTAGCTACCCACTCAGAGCCAGTGTGGGGTCTCTCTGTCCCTCATCCCCACATAACCATGTTCTGTCAATTCTGCCTTCAAAGTGTCCTTCATCTGTTGGCTACTTCCATTCACTCTGCCGCCATCTTTAATCCAGATCCTGTTATCCTGTCTACAGTGTCCTTCCAGATGCTCCCCTCTACTCCTGCCCCATCCAACCCATCACAACCAGTGAGGTCTTAAAATAGACATTTTATGGTGCCACATTCCAATAAATGTCACCTCCCAAGAGAGTACTTTCTTGACAACCCTCTCTCCAAACCTGCTTGGTTTCCTAAACAGCACTTAAGGTATTTGATCACTTTTTTTTTTTTTTTTTTGACGGAGCCTTGCTCTGTGGCCAGGCTGGAGTGCAATGGCGTGATCTTGGCTCACTGCAACCTCTGCCTCCCGGCTTCAAGCGATTCTCCTGCCTCAGCCTCCTGAGTAGCTGGGACTACAGGTGTGCACCACCATGCCCTGCTAATTTTTGTATTTTTAGTAGGGACGAGGTTTCACCATGTTGGCTAGGATGGTCTTGATCTCCTGACCTCATGATCCGCCCACCACAGCCTCCCAAAGTGCTGGGGTTACAGGGGTGAGCCACCATGCCCGGCCGATAACTTTCTTTTCTTTGAGACAGAGTCTCGTTCTGTCGCCCAGTCTGGAGTGCAGTGGCGCGATCTCGGCTCATTGCAACCTCTACACCACCCCCCGCCCCGGGTTCAAGTGATTCTCCTGCCTCAGCCTCCTGAGTAGCTGAGACTACAGGTGTGCACCACCATGCCCTGCTAATTTTTGTATTTTTAGGAGAGACGGGGTTTCACCATGTTGCCCAGGCTGGTCTCAAACTTCTGGGCTCCAGTGATCTAACTGCCTTGGCCTCCCAGAGTGCTGGGATTACAGGCCTGAGCCATTGCGCCCAGCCAGAAGTTGCATTCTTTTTTATTGTTGTTGAAAGACATGGTCTTGCTCTGTTGCCCAGAGCAAGAATTATATATTCCATATACTATTGTTTATTTGACAAAATTGGGATAATACTATGTATAAAGTTTTGTAATCTTTTAAATTTTATATTTTACTGTATACTTTACTACATATCCTTATTTTTGTTAAATAATATGGTTATTTTAATACCTACATAATACTTCCAAGATATGCTGTGCTGTGACTCATTGAATCAGTTTCCTGATAATGGACATTTGGACTCTTTTGGGATTTCTTCTGCTATAATGACTTTTTGTTTTGTTTCCAATTATGTAATCTAAAGGCTTTTCTTCTAATTCTTACAGTAAGAGCCCAGTGGATGTCTTGCAGATATTTAGAGTTGGCAGAGTGAATGAAACCACAGAGTTTTTGAGCAAACTTGGTAATGTGAGGCCCTTGTTGCATGGTTCTCCTGTACAAAACATCGTGGGAATCTTGTGTCGGTAAGAGTAGCCATCTTTATTTTTCAAAAATTTCAGGCTCACAAATGTGAAGTGTTTTACTTCTTTTTTTCCTACTTTTTTCTATATTACGTGAGTCTTTTCAGTTAAAATCAGCTAGCTTACTGCATTCTGGAGAAAATTACACACTTTATAATTAAGTGTGTAATTTAAATTACATATTTATGGCCAGGCATGGTGGGTCACACCTGTAATCCTAATACTTTGGGAGGCTGAGGCAGAAGGATCACTTGAGGCCAGGGGTTCAAGACCAGCCTGGAAAACCTAGCAAGACCTTATCTCTATTTTGAAAAATTATGTATTTATTATTTTTAAAGTGTAGTATATAGGTATGAATTGCTTCTTGAAGACTGTATCGTATGAAGAAAAGTGATTCTATATTCATGAGTCTTCCATGTGTATCTAATCTAGGGATAGCCCAATATTTAAAGAGAAGAGTCCAGAAATTAGAGTGTGCATCAGACAACATGAGTTGTTTATTTGAAACATAACTCTAAGATTCTGTTTGCTTTGAATTACTACTTAATATTAGGGCTGAAACTGAAGTCACAGGAGCAGGAGAAAATATTGTTAAATGTAGATCCATTAATTACTCAGAAGAAACTTAAAAAGAAACATACAAGATCCACCTGGGGAAAAGAAAGAAAAAACCAAAAAACCATTAAACTGCTACTGAGGGACCCAAAAGACAACTTGCATGAATCAGAAGGATGCCAGTTTTTCTTGGATTAGTCTATAGATTTAGTGCAATCATGATAAAATTACCAATAAGATTTTTTTAAAGAAGTGAAAAGCTGATTCTACAACATATTTTTTTTATATTTTGAAATTACCAGAATAATTCTGGAAAAGAAGCACAATGAGGGTGACATTAATATTAAACACAAATGAACCCAAAAACACAGAAGATTTAGGATATGATACAAGTAGATCTTATCTCTGTGGAAGAAAGACAAGTTCTTCAATACTATCTATAGAGATAAATGGGTAACCACAAGGAAAAAATACAAAGTTGGACCTTTACCTCATTTCTCATACTTTAACTCCAGACAGAGCAAATATTTAAATATTTAAAATCAAACCATAAAAGTATACTAAATGAAAAATGGGAGAATCTTCTTAAAATAATCTTTAAGTAGGGATGAGCTTTCTAAGTAGGACCAAAACCCAAAAGCTATTTTACAAAATTCATTCAATCTCCTAATGTGAAATTCAAACAATAGATGTTTATATAATAAAAGGCAGAAATTTCCCTTGTGTTTCCGGAAACAACCATGGCTTCACCCTGATTGCAGAGTTCTCTGAATGCCAGAAGTTCAGTAGGAACCTGCCAAAATTCTGAGCAAGGAAGAGATGCAGTCAGTGTTGGGCTTACACCTTATCCTGCCCTTCTCTTTTCAGAGGGTTGCTTTTACCCAAAGTAGTGGAAGATCGTGGTGTGCAAAGAACAGACGTCGGAAACCTTGGAAGTGGGATTTATTTCAGTGATTCGCTCAGGTATGTTCGATCCTTAATCACAGAATCGTTACTGAATACTTGCTGTGTATTTTCTTCTGTCTTTCCTTGGTGAGGGAGTTTCTCAACCAAAACACAGATTTATCTATTATATATGACCTCAATGTGGCTGGAATACTATTTCATCTTCAGCATCCTTGATAATGTTTAAATCTGCCCTTATGCCAGACATGGTGGCTCGTGCCTGTACTCCCAGCTCTTTTGGAGGCCAGGGTGGGAGGATCACTTGAGCCCAGGAGTTTAAGACCAGCCTATGCAGCATAGCAAGACCCTATCTCTACAAAAAAATTAAAAAATTAGCCGTGCATGGTGGCGCTAATAGAACCTATAGTTCTAGCTACTGGGGAGGCTGAGGCAGGAGGATCACTTGAGTCCAGGAATTCAAGGCTGGAGTGAGCTATGATTATGTCACTGCAGTCCAGCTTGGGCAACACAGTGAGAAGAACCCCATGTACATCATCTGCCAACCTCATAATTGGTATTGTGACATCATTTAATGCAAGGAAACAGACTCAGGGAGGTCAGGGAACTTGCCTAAGGTTGCAGAGCTAATTAAAGGATGGAGACTGAGTTCAGGCCCAGGACAAAGGATAATGATCCAAGATATTTAAAGAGTTCCTACAAATCAATAAGGAAAAGATAAACAATCCTATAAGCAGATGTGCAAAAGACTTAAATAGAAACCTAATAGCAAAGAAGACGAGCTGGGGCCAGGCGCAGTAGCTCATGCCTGTAATCCCAGCACTTTGGGAGGCCAAGGCAGGTAGATCACTTGAGGCCAGGAGTTCGAGACCAGCCTGGCCAATGTGGCGAAACCCCATCTCTAATAAAAATACAAAAATTAGCTGGGCGTGGTGGTGTGCACCTGTAGTCCCAGCTACTCAAGAGGGTGAGGCAGGAGACTGGCTTGAACCTAGGAGGCAGAGATTGCAGTGAGCTGAGATGGTGCCACTGCACTCCAGCCTGGGTGACAAGAGCAAGATTCTGTCTCAAAAAATGAGCTGAGTGCAGTGGCACACACCTGTAGTCCCAGCTACTCAGGAGTTTGAGGCAGAAAGATTGCTTGAGTCCAGGAGGTTGAGATTAGCCTAGGCAACACAACAAGACCCCATCTCTAAAAAAAACTTTTTTTTTTTTTTTTTGAGACGGAGTCTCGCTCTGTCGCCCAGGCCGGACTGCGGACTGCAGTGGCACAATCTCGGCTCACTGCAAGCTCCGCTTCCCGGGTTCACGCCATTCTCCTGCCTCAGCCTCCCGAGTAGCTGGGATTACAGGTGCCCACCACCGCGCCTGGCTAATTTTTTGTATTTTTAGTAGAGACGGGGTTTCACCTTGTTAGCCAGGATGGTCTCGATCTCCTGACCTCATGATCCACCCGCCTCGGCCTCCCAAAGTGCTGGGATTACAGGCGTGAGCCACCGCGCCCGGCCAAAAAAAACTTTTTAAAATTAGCCAGGCATTGTGTCACACACCTGTAATCAAAGCTACTCAGGAGGCTGAGGCAGGAGGACTGCTTGAGCCCAGCAGTCCAAGGCCACAGTGAGGTATGACTGAACCACTACATCCAGCTTGGGAGACAAAGCGAGACCCAATCTCTTAAAAAAAAAAAAGAAAAGAAGAAAAAAAGAGCACTGTAGTAACAGAACACTGGAAATCATGCAGATGTCCATCGACAGTGGAATGGATCCGTACATTTTGGTGGAGTCCTACATGAAGTCCTGTCCTTCAGTTGAAACAAGTGGACTGTGGCTACACATGTCAAATGGATGAGCCTTAGGACCTTAGTGGATGAAAAGTTATTAGATGATTCCTTATACAGGCATACCTTGGAGATATTGAGGGTTTGGTTCCACACTACTGCAATATAGCAAATACTGCAATAAAGTGAGTCACACACATTTTTGGTTTCCCAATGAGTATAAGAGGTTTACACTCTAGTCTATTAAAGTGTGCAATAGCATTGTGTTTAAAAAAAAAACAATGTACATAACCTTAATTTTAACTTACTTTATTACTAAAAATCCTAACGATCATCTAAGCCTTCAGTGAGCCATTGTCTTTTTGCCGGTGGAAGGTCTCGTGTCAATGTCTATGGCTGCTGACTGATTAGGGTGGTGGTTGCTGAAAGTTGAGGTGGCTGTGGCAATTTCTTAAAATAAGACAACAATGAAGTTTGCCTCAGCAATTGACTCTTCCTTTCATGAAAGATTTATCTGTAGTATGAGATGCTATTTGATAGCATTTACCTAAAGTAGAACTTCCTTGAAAATTGGAGTCAATTATCTCAAACACTGCTGCTGCTTTGTCCACTAAGTTTATGTGATATTCAAAATCCTTTGTTGTCAGTTCAACAGTGTTCACAACATCTTCACCAGGAATGGATTCCATCTCAAGAAACCACTTTCTTCACTCATAAGAAGCAACTCCTCATTCTTTCAAGTTTGATCATGAGATTGCAGCAATTCAGTCCCATCTTCAGGCTCCAATTGTAATTCTAGTTCTCCTGCTGCTTCTGCCACATCTACAGTGACTTTCTTCACTGAAGTTTGAACCCCTCAAAGTCACCCAAGATAGTTAGAGTAAACTTCTTCCAAACCCCTGTTAATACTGATAGGCTGACCTCCTCCCATAATTCATCAAATGCTCTTAAGGGCAAGGAGAATAGCAAATCCTTTCCAGAAGGTTTTCAATTTACTTCGTCCAGATCCATCAGAGGAATCACTGTCTATGGCAGCTATAGCCTTACAAAATGTATTTTTTTCTTTTTAGAGTTGGGGTCTTGATCCATTATTGCCCAGGTGAGAGTACAGTAAGATGCAACCATAGCCATAGCTCCCTGGAACCTCAAACTGCTGAACTCAAGTGATCATCCCACCTCAGACTCCTGGGATTACAGGCATACCTGGCCAAAATGTATTTCTTTCTTTCTTTTTTTCTTTTTTGAGATGGAGTTTGCTCTTGTTGCCCAGGCTGGAGTGCAATGGTGTGATCTTGGCTCACTGCAACCTCCGCCTCCTGGGTTCAAGCGATTCTTCTGTCTCAGCCTCTTGAGTAGCTGGGATTACAGGCGCATGCCACCACGCCTGGCTAATTTTTGTATTTTTAGTAGAGATAGGGTTTCATCATATTGGGCAGGCTGGTCTCGAACTCCTGACCTCAGGTGATCTGCCTGCCTTGGCCTCCCAAAGTGCTGGGATTATAGGCATGAGCCACCACGCCCAGCCCAAAATGTATTTCTTAAATAATAAGACTTGAAAGCTGAAATTACTCCTTGATCCATGGCTGCAGATTGTAAGTTGTGTTAGCAGGCATGAAAACAACAAATTCCTTGTACCTCTCCATCAGAGCTCCTGGATGGCTAGGCGCTTTGCCAGTGAGCAGTCATATTTTGAAAAGAACCTTTTTTGTTGAGCAGTAGATCTATACATTGGGCTTAAAATTCAGTAAACCATTCTGTAAACAGATGTGCTGTCATCCAGGTTTTGTCGTTCCATTTGTAGAGCACAGAAAGAGTAGATTTAGCGCAATTCTTAAGGGCCCTAGGATTTTTGGAATGGTAAGTGAGCACTGGCTTCAGCTTATAGTCACCAGCTGCATTAGCCCCTGACAAGAGTCAGCCTGTCGTCTGAAGCTTTGCAGCCAGCCATTGACTTCTCTCCGGCTGTGGAAGTCCTAGATGGCATTTTCTTCCAATAGAAGGCTGTTTTGTCTACATGGAAAATCTGTTGTGTGGTGAAGCCACCTGCATCAATGATCTTAGCTAGATCTTCTGGAGAACTTGCTGCAGCTTCTACATCAGCACTGGCTGGTTCATCTTCCATTGTTACGTTATAGAGATGGCTTCTTTCCTTAAACCTCAGCCAACCTCTGCTAGCTTCAGGCCTTCTTTCTGCAGTTTCCTCACCTCTCTGAGCCTTCATAGAATTGAACAGAGTTGGGGCCTTGCTCTGGATTAGGCTTTGGCTTAAGAGAATGCTGTGGCTGGTTTGATCTTCTATCCAGACCATTAACATTTTCTTCATATCAGCAATAAGGCTGTTTTGCTTTGTTATCATTCCTATGTTCACTGGAGCAGCACTTTTAATTTCCTTCAAAAATTGTTTCTTTACATTCACCACTTGGATAACTGCCACAAGAGGCCTAGCTTTCAGCCTGTCTTGGTTTTCAACATGCCTTCCTCACCAAGCCTAATCATTTCTAGCTTTTAATTTAAAGTGAAAGATGTACAACCCTTTCTTTCACTTGAACACTTAGAGGCCGCTGTAGGGTTATTATTAATTGGCCTAATTTCAATATTGTTGTATCTCAGGGAATAGGGAGGCCAGAGAAGGAGGAGAGAGATGAGGGAACCACTGGTCAGTGGAGCAGTCAGAACACACAAAACATTTGCCAAGCCCACCACCTTGTATGGGCACAGATTGTTGCAGCCCAAAACAATTGCAATAGTAATGCATCCAGAATTGGTGGGTTCTTGGTCTCACTGACTTCAAGAATGAAGCCGCGGACCCTCGCGGTGAGTGTTACAGTTCCTAAAGGCGGCGTGTCCAGAGTTTGTTCCTTCTGATGTTCAGATGTGTTCGGAGTTTCTTCCTTCTGGTGGGTTCGTGGTCTCGCTGGCTCAGGAGTGAAGCTGCAGACCTTCGCAGTGAGTGTTACAGCTCTTAAGGCGGCGCATCTGGAGTTGTTCGTTCCTCCCGGTGGGCTCGTGGTCTCGCGGGCTTCAGGAGTGAAGCTGCAGACCTTCGTGGTGAGTGTTACAGCTCATAAAGGCAGTGTGGACCCAAAGAGTGAGCAGTAGCAAGATTTATTGCAAAGAGCGAAAGAACAAAGCTTCCACAGTGCGGAAGAGGACCAGAGCGGGTTGCCACTGCTGGCTGGGGCAGCCTGCTTTTATTCTCTTATCTGGCACCACCCACATCCTGCTGATTGGTAGAGTAGGGTGGTCTGTTTTGACAGGGCGCTGATTGGTGCGTTTACAATCCCTGAGCTAGACACAAAGGTTCTCCACCTCCCCACCAGATTAGCTAGACACAGAGTGTCCACACAAAGGTTCTCCAAGGCCCCACCAGAGTAGCTAGATACAGAGTGTCAATTGGTGCACTCACAAACCCTGAGCTAGACACAGGGTGCTGATTGGTGTGTTTACAATCCCTGAGCTAGACATAAAGGTTCTCCACGTCCCCACCAGACTCAGGAGCCCAGCTGGGCCCCCTTTGCCAGAACGTGGTGAGATAGGAAGGAATAGAGAGAGCTCCAGGGAGAAGTCCAGAGTGGGGTTTAATGAGAAGGAAGAAAGCATGCTTGTAAGTTGCAGGAAAAGAGCCCTCCAAAGGGGAGAGGATTTTAGAAGGAATGGGGGAACTGATTTTTTTTTTCAGTAGGTGAAACAAAGAAGGGTCGTCTGGCCATACTTCGGCATTTTGAACTTAATCTTTAAAAAACAGACATGCGTCTCCAAAATGTTGTGTCCAAAGGTGTGTCCTAGTCTGTGCTCCTAATAGCAAGAGTTGCCTTATTAAAGCTGCTGATTCCCAAAGAAAGATAAAACAACATTTCTCATTTGGATATAATTTGAAATGTTTGTTTTTCCTTTCAGGAGGCTTTGTGAGAGCTTGTCTTTCCCTTTGACCAGTTCTTACTCACTTGGTACCCACGGTTCTTATTCCTTTCTGAGCTTTAGTGCAGAGAATTAAATCTACTTTTTCCTAATTAATAAGGTGGTGATTTTTCCTTCTCTTTACCACCCTGGTATTTATGATAGTAAAATGTGTATATTTTAGTAGCTAACAAAGATTTAGGAGAACAGTAGAATTCATTTCTCTCTGGAAACAAAGTGCTTTGAGCACTGCCTAGCACAACATAAGGGCAGTATACATATTTGTCACATAGAAATGCGAAATAGGCCAGGCATGGTTGCTCATGCCTGTAATCCCAGCACTTTGGGAGGCTGAGGAGGGAGGATCACTTGAGCCCAGGAGTTCGAGACCAGCCTGGGAAACATAGTGAGACCCCATCTTAGCAGAAAATTTTAAAAGTTAGCTAGGTGTGGTGCACATCTATAGTCCCAGCTACTCAGGAGGCTGAGGCAGGAGGATCAGTTGAGCCCAGGAGTTGGAGACTGCAATAAGCTATGATCATGCCACTGCACCCTAGCCTGAGTAACAGAGCAAAATTCTGTCTAAAAAAAAAGAAGAAATATTAAATAAATAAGTGCATAATAAAGTTCTAAATTGAGTCTTTGGAGATATTTCAATAATAGGAAAATTTAGAACAGTTTACCAGGAAAGTCTTTTCAATAGTATGTTATTGACAAGTCACTCTAAGCTGTAAATATGTGTTTATTTCCTTTCGCATGTAGTACAAGTATCAAGTACTCACACCCGGGAGAGACAGATGGCACCAGACTCCTGCTCATTTGTGACGTAGCCCTCGGAAAGTGTATGGACTTACATGAGAAGGACTTTTCCTTAACTGAAGCACCACCAGGCTACGACAGTGTGCATGGAGTTTCGCAAACAGCCTCTGTCACCACAGACTTTGAGGTATTTTTATTTCAAGGAAGAAGCAAAGAGGGTCTTGAATGCTCAAAGAAAGGCCTTAGTTTTTTGCTCCTATTTTCATTAAATATGCTTAAGTTTAAATAATTGTTATATATTTACTGCATGAATTAATTCAACATTTTCTAAATTAGCAAACATGCTTTTATGAAAACATCTGCCAATACAGGTTTTTTGTTGCTTCTGTTGTTAATCACCTACTGATTTCTGTTTGCTCTAGGATGATGAATTTGTTGTCTATAAAACCAATCAGGTTAAAATGAAATATATTATTAAATTTTCCATGCCTGGAGATCAGATAAAGGACTTTCATCCTAGTGATCATACTGAATTAGAGGAATACAGACCTGAGTTTTCAAATTTTTCAAAGGTTGAAGGTAGGACAATTTTCTTGAATGCTGTTTTATGTTATTATATTTATAGACCTCAAATGTTATATTTTCAATGGAATGTATATTTGCATTTGTTATATCTATGACCTCATCCATAAGTATTTCATTTCCTTTCAATCTCAAAATTGTTTCCCACAAATTTCTCTCAGTGTTAACATCAGTCAAACCCCTCTGCCTAGTATCAAAATAAAGCACTTAATTTTAAAATATATATATTTCTTTTTTTTTGAGACAGGGTCTCACTCTGTCCCCCAGGCTGGAGTACAGTGTGTGATCAAAGTGCACTGCAGCCTCAAACTCCTGGGTTTCAAATGATCCTCCTGACTCAGCCTCCTGAGTAGCTAGGACTACCATCCGTGACTTTTTTTTTTAGAGACAAATTCTCACTATGTTGCTTAGGCTGGCCTGAAATTCCTGGCATTAAGCGATCCTCCTGCCTTGGTATCCCAAAATGCTGGGATTACAGATATGAGCCACCATGGCCAGCCTCATTTCCTTTTTTATCTTGCGTACATAACAACTAGGATGATTGAGAAATTCCATGTGACTTCATTAACACACTGAAGTTGAGCTTATTCGCTTCAGGAATAGCCAAGGCTAAAACCTGTGGAACCTTGCTAAGATGTCATGGTGCAGAAAGTGTAATGGGGTGGGGAGAGCAGACAGCAGAGCCGCTGTAGAGCCAGGAAGCCCAGGGTTTGAGTGTCGCCCTGCCACCTTGCAGTTTTGAAACTGCATGACCTTTTGCGCTCCACCTTCTCTCCGATGGGAATGAGAGCAGTACCCGCATGACAGAATTGCTGTAAGGGCTGAAGGGGAAATTGAAGGCACTGAGTAAATTGCCATGTGTGGTGCGTGTGTTAGCCATAGTAGTGCGAGCATACAAGAGGATATTCACTTCTCAGAGTATCATGAGGCCAAACAATTACAGTATTAATTAGTAGGACTGTAAGAACACATTAACATTTTTGACCATGCTCAAATTATTTTTTGTCAGAAACGCATGAGTTCATGTGTGTTCAGGGGTGACTCCAGTTTTTTCTCTGGGAGTCATTAAGTGAAATATCTGGCAAGACAATATGTATTTATATTTCCTAACCTTATCTGTATGTTTGTGCCACTTAGAATAGGATGTGTACATTTTTCAATATGCTGCCATAGGAGTTGATTCAGTCTTCCTTGGATTGAAAATCTACGTTGTTTGATGCCATCCCAAAATGCTTGTGTGGCACCATAAATAATAGTGACCGAGCCCTTCCACACTATAAGCCAGGGAATGCAGACACCTGGATTCAGGCTTCAGCCACACTTCAGACAGTCTGAAGACCTCTGTGTATTTGTGTGTATGTTTAAATGTATGTCAAGTAATGCTGTGTTTTCAGGAGGACACCCCACAGTCTCTACATTAAAAAGGCAGAAGAGCACATGTCTGTAGTCGCAGCTACTCGAGAGGCTAAGGCAGGAGGATTACTTGAGCACAGGAGTTCAAAACCAGCCTGGGCAACATAGTGAAACTCCAATCTCTACCAAAGAAAAAAAAAAGAAAAGAAGAAAAAAAAATTTAAGCTGAAGGGTCTTTAAAAAACAAAAAAAAAGGCAGGCCAGGTGTAGTGTCTCACGCCCATAGTCCCAGCACTTTGGGAGGTCAAGGCAGGTAGATCCCTTGAGTCCAGGAGTTCAAGACCAGCCTGGACAACATGGCTAAACCTCATCTCTACAAAAAATACCAAAAAATTAGCTGGGCATTGTGGTGCATGCCTATAGTCCCAGCTACTCGGGAGGCTGAGACAGGAGGATCACCTGAGCCAGAGAGGAGGGGTCTACTGTGAGCAGAGATTGTGCCACTGCACTCCCACTTGGGTGACAGAGTGACATGCTATCTCAAAAAAAAAAAGGCAGAAGGCACCTCTCATTTTTCTCATGTGGGTTCACTTGCTTTTCAGAATTGGCTATTGAAAATCATAAAATGCTATTTGCCCATTTTCCCTAAAATAAAATGCATGAAGGCTTGAAGAAGGAATAAAGATCAAGATAACAAAAATAGACAGGGATGGTTTTGAAAGCTAATAGTAACATTTTTAACGTTTAGATTACCAGTTACCAGATGCCAAAACTTCCAGCAGCACCAAGGCCGGCCTCCAGGATGCCTCTGGGAACTTGGTTCCTCTGGAGGATGTCCACATCAAAGGGAGAATCATAGACACTGTAGCCCAGGTATGTTGTCTGTGGCTTTATGACACTTAAACTACATGGATGTAAACCATACATGAGAATTTGATTGCAGTTGCATGAACTGAAGGGAATAGATAGATTTCTAAAATGTATTTTATTCAAGAGATATTCACTGAGCACTCCATGCCAGGGACTAGCTAGGCTCTGAGCATCCAGCAGTGCACAATACAAAAGCTCTGCCCTTGTGGAGCACACACTGTGTGGGGGAGTAGGCAATAATCATGATGAAAGAGTGAAACACATAACATGTTAGGTGGTGACAGGTGCTAAAGAGAAAAAGGAAAGCAGGAGGAGCTGCTTTCACAGATAGGAGCTGTGAAAGACAGGGGCTTTGAACCTGTAAACAGAATGGCCATGGAGGCCTCCCTGAGAAGGTGACATCTGCATACAGACCTGAAGGAAGTGGGGGCTAAACTGTGTGGACGTCAGGGGATGCTTATTCCAGGCAGCGGGAACATCACATGCCAAGGCTCAGAGGTAGGAAGGAGGCTGATCTGGCCCAGGCGCGCCAAGGAGATGCACTGTGGCTGCAGTGGGGTGGAAAGGGGAGAGTGCATGGGGACTGAGTCAGAGAGGTGAGGGGCTCTCACATCAGTACACAGGTCATGCTGTCCTTGACTCTGAGTGAAATGGAAGCTTCTAGATGTTTGGCAGAGGAATGACATGAACAGACCTGTTTTAACCAGCTCACTCTGGCCACCATGTTGGGAACAGTAGGAAGAGGCCCAGTGGGAGAAATGTTAGGTCAAGTTCCCTAGAAAGCAGACTCTGGATGGAATTTGTTTTCAGGAAGCCTGTGGGACTGTGCCTGCGGGAGCCGCACCTGTGAGGGAGTGAGGGAGGCAGGACGTGGCCGAGGAGACAACAGAGTCCTCAGATGATCTTGGGGGAAGCTCTGGGCCAGAGTGGTCCTTGAGAGAAGGTCTGAATCAAGGCAAGGGGGCCGGGCTTTGTAGCCCCACTGGGGCCAGTCCTGGGATGTGGGCTGCTCCGGGGAGGGGTCAGAACCTTGGCTAAGGCAGTTTGTCTTTGGCTGAGGATGGTTCCTGGGGAGGCGCCCCACAGGTGACACTCCTAGCAGTCTCAGCCCTGAAGGGGACACAGCAGGCCCAACGTCACATCACATAGAGGAGACGATTGACAATTCAGTTAAGGGACCTGGTGATGTGGAGAAGAAGGTTTGCAGTGGGGGTGTAGGAAGTGATGGAGTCCGCCAAGGCCTGAGAGCAGAGCCAATCAGATTTGCTGGTGGGGACGGGACACAAGAGAAAGACAGCGGCCCAGGAAGACAGCAGAGTGTTTGCCCTGAATAACTAGAAGGATCATGTTTGCACTTACTAGAATGGTCAAAGTCACAGGAGGGCAGGTTGGGGGCCATCAGGAGTTTATCTTTGGCCACGTAGGTCTTGTGACTACATAGGACCAGGGAGGAGACCCAAGTTGGACTTATAAGTGGGGAGTCAGCAGCATTCACATAGTGTTTAAAGTCATGAGCCCAGATTAAACACCCAGAGAATCAGTAGAGCACAGAGGCCAACGTGGAGACGTAGGGGAGGAGGCTGAGTCAGCCACAGAGACCAGGAGGGAGCGGCTGTGGAGACACACGAGGACAGCTGAACAGGGAGGGGAGGCTGGTGGGTCTCATGAATAACAACCCAGCCCTGATCACTGGATTTAGCAATGAGATTGTTGGTGACCTTTGCCTTTTGATGGTGTGGTGGGGGTGAAAGGCTGATCAGAGTGAGTTCAAGAGGGAATGGGAGGAAGAACTGGGAGACAGAGGAGAGAAGATGAGACAGCAGCTGAAGAGAAGTGGGGTTGAGTATTTTCTTTCTCATTTTAAGATGCAAGAAACAACAGCATGTGTGGGAGTCAGCGCAGGAGGGAAACCTGGCGACCTGGGAGAGGGGAATTGCTGGAACTGCTTCCTTCTCTATACCCTTCTCTATGTTTTATTGCATAAATAGGAAACATTGTTGAAAAGACTTTCCTGGTAAACTGTTCTGAATTTTACGTTTATCGAAATATCTCCAAAGACTCAATTTAGAACTTTATTATGCCCTTATTTATTTAACATTTCTTTGTAACAAACATGTATATTGCCCTTATGTTGTGCCAGGCAGTGCTCAAAGCACTTTCTTCCCAGAGAGAGATGAATTCTACTGTTCTCCCAAACCTTTGTTAGCTACTAAAATATACACATTTTGCTATCATAAATACCAGGGTGGTGGCCGGTGCGGTGGTTCATGCCTGTAATCCCAGGACGTTGGGAGGGAGGCTGAGGTAGGAGGATTGCTTCAGCTCAGGAGTTCCAGACCAGCCTGGGGAACATGGAGAAACCCCATCTCTACAAAAATTGGCTGAGCGCAGTGGCGTACACCTGTAGTCCCATCTACTTGGGAGGTCGAGATGGGAGGATGGCTTGCCATTACTAGAATGGGCAAAGTCACAGGAGGGCAGGTTGGAGGAGGCAGAGGTTGCAATGAGCCAAGATCGCACCACTGCACTCCAACCTGGGTGATAGAGTGAGACCCTGTCTCAAAAAAAAAAAAAAAAAAAAAACTCAGGGTGTTGAAAGAGAAGGAGAAAATCCCACCTTATTAAATTATCTGCACTGAAGCTCAGAAAGAGCATTAAATACCAAGTGAGTAAGAACTGGTCAAAGCAAAAGACAAGCATCACAGGAGGGTTATCTAATGCGGGTGCTGGGGCCGCAGCCAGGAGCTCGCAGCAGGTTCATCATCCACAGTCACAGGATGGAAGGCAGCGTTTCAGGGGTGCCAAGTGGCCAGATGCAGTGGTAGAGCTTGGAAAGTTAAGTTTTTGGTTTTCTAAAATTGAATTGGTTTGCTAAGATTTGGCCTCATGATCAGCTTCTGACTCTGAAGATTGCATTGAACAACCATAAAGGCCTTTGAGGAGATTAAGAACGTTCAAGTACAGTGCCATGATGTTCTGATCCCTGTAGAGGAAAATTAGTTCCATTTCAGTGATCACCTTAATCTGGGGAGACGGGGCGTTGGGTGAGAAGAGCAGTTTGGATATAGCTGACCTCCACCCCTGGGCCCACTCTGACCCATACACACATCCTCAAGGCAGCTCAGAGCAACGTCATAGACTTTGAAAAGACCCAGCTGTGGGCTCATGGGACATGTTCCATTTCCACCAATCCCTTTGGCACCACTTAGGATCTGTAAACATAATGGTTACCATTTCCTAAGAGTCAGGCCCTCAGCCGAGTTTTCCACATGCAGTACTTAATTCTCTCAGACTCCATGCCAAGTGCTATAATTATGCCCATTGTTTGGAAGAAGAAGCTGAGGCCCAGAGACAAACAATATGATAAAGCCCAAATTTGAACTCAGATCATTCTGATTCCAGCGTCCAGATTCTTAACCAGTACACCATAGTGCAGCATGGTAGATCATACAAAGCAAAGGATCCGGAGTTTGTAAGGCTTAGCTTTGAATTCTTGTTTATTCTTTCTAGTGCTGTGAGTTTGGGAAAGTTACTTAACTCTTTTGCCTCGTTTTCCTCATGTGTAAAATGGAAATAATAATATCTGCCCATCAGTGTAGTGGCTATTCAATCTAATAAATATAAAGGACTTAGGGCATTGTTTTTGTGTGCAAAACAAATTATGACGAGGTTACAGGGAGAGGCGTGTGTCCTCCATGCCTTACTTGGGATTAGATGACTTGTACCATTTGATATTTCAAACCCGAAGAGGCCTGTTCCCTGGGGAAGTTTGCCCCAAAATAACTCGATTTAGCAGTGAATTTCTCACTCATTTTATGATGAAACAGCCAGACTGTAGATTTAGCTTGAGTATCCAAGCAGAGGCTGGGGTGTAGATTCTTATATGTGCATGGCTCATACATTTTGACCCTTCTTGGAATAAATTGATGATGTTAAGCTTAGTTACATCATGGTTTTATCTAATGGAAGAAAATTAAGATGTCAAAATTTGTTACATTGTATTAGTTTCTGTTCTAAGGCCTGGTAAAAATACTTTTATTGTCGTTATCTAAAATTATTGACCTTTGTGAGTGCCCAGCCACACAGTGTGATATGCAAAGAGAGTGCAGCTGCCACAGGCCTGATGTCTGGGGACTCCTGCGCAAAGGCGGGCCTGCTAACTAGAACAGGCAGGAAGGCTACTGAGTAGGAAGAAACATTAGTCTACACCAAGTACAATTAGATAGTGATCCTGATCATCAAACTCAGGGCAAGCATACATGCCTTTGAGGGTTTCGTAAAACTGAGGAAATCCAAGACAGGATGAGAAGGAGTTCCGTGCACAGTCAAGGGGACAGTGTCTGACGTCCCCCCAGTCAGTACTAGGTGGGCCCCAGTCCTGGTGCCTCCTCACCAGGCACACTCTAAGCAGTCATTGCAGGCAGCATAGCCCAGATCGCTGAGAAACTCCAGGACGCACGTTTGCCTCCTCTTGGGTGGCTGGCCAGACCGGGATTCCAGGAATCCTACCCACTGGCCAGCAAGGTGTTCATTTGCAGGATGGCAAGAGATTCTGTCTCCAGGACGGTGCTGACCTGCTGATTTGGGGAGACTCAAATTGCTCATATTAACAAGGACTCCTTGAAAAATTTTGCCTGGCACCCTACACACCCTAGGGGCAGCCAAGCTTGCAGCAAATCCAGGTGTGGACAATGTTTTCAAATAAGTTAGATTTTTTTTTTTAATTTTTCATTTTGGTGTCTTCCCTGGATTATTGATTACAGATCATTAAATATTTTTGCCTTATTATTGTCACATGTTTAAAATCTTACTGTTTATTGTATGTCTGAGGAGTTTTTTCTTAATTTTCAAATATTTAAAGCCTCCCGCCTTTTCCTGAGTGAGGGAGTGATGAAAACAGTCTGTTGGAAAGATTAATTAGATAATAGAGACAACAGAGAGTAGTGGAGAAGACTTGATTCTGGAAGAACCAACGCACACAGAGATGAGGAGCTAGATGAGGGCTGTGTAGAGAGGGGGAAAGCCACAGAGAGGTCCCCAGGAGGAAAGGCCAAGTCCTGAGAGCTGATAGGATAGAAGGACTATTCTGGAATCATTTCCAGCCAACATGGCACGAAGGAGGCATCAAAGCCCACAAAACGAAAGGGGCAATTTTCCAGCTGTCTTAACAAGAGCTATATTGCGTCTGCTAAGTCAGTGTTGGTAAGACTTCAGGTGGCTTCTATTCCAGTCAGACATGAATGAACCACCTAACCGTGGGACTGGTGCATTTTATCACATGACATGGGCTCTCCATTGCAGAAGTGAAGCCAGGGTTGGGAATTTGAGGGACGTGATACAAATTCAAGGAAATTCAAATAAATATGCAAAATCATTTTCGTTCGTCCTTGTTCCTGCAAATGTAGTCCATGTGGTCTCATCAATTGTATGGATTTTTTTTCTTCTTCAGGTCATTGTTTTTCAGACATACACAAATAAAAGTCACGTGCCCATTGAGGCAAAATATATCTTTCCTTTGGATGACAAGGCCGCTGTGTGTGGCTTCGAAGCCTTCATCAATGGGAAGCACATAGTTGGAGAGGTAAGGCAAGAAGATGCATCGTGCCCGCTCTCGGCTTTCAAAGTCAGCTTCCATTTCCCAGAACCTTTGTTTTTGGAGTCCCCATGGCTACAAGGTTGAGTAGCAGCCTTATCATAAAACGAGAATATTCTTTGAAGAATCAGTTCTTGCGCAGTGAGCCTCCCTCAAGCATCCCTCCGTGATGAAGGGTTTCTACCCCCATCTGTCCAGTCTTCATCTTCAGTGTCTTGCACATTCTTTGCCTTGGCACCGTAAGAGTGATTTCAGTATGAAAAGTTAAAGAGGGCCGGGTGCAGTGGCTCATGCCTGTAATCCCAGCACTTCGGGAGGCTGAGGCAGGTGGATCACTTGAGGTCAGGGGTTCGAGCTGAAATGAAAGCTATTGTAACTTTCTAAAAAAAAAGAAAAGAAACAACAGTTGATTAATTCTTTGTTTATTGTAAGGATTAGTCCACAGTTACAATTAGAAACTACAATTTCCCAAATTTAAAGTAATTATTATGTTTTGTTCCACATAAACTCCCAACCAGAAAAATTTTTTTCACTATTGATTCTGAAATATTTTGATCCCAACTGAAAGAGACTTCTCTTTAGTTGGCCTTTTCTGGTTCAAGTTCTTATCAGATAAGTATATTTCGATGATCACTTCATTTAAGTTTCCATTCACCTTAGACTCAGTTTTTAGTTTTTGCCTGGGTTTTAGTAAACATTGATGTTGTTTTCTTCATTAAAGCCTGAAGTCACTCTTCATGTAAGGAATGATTTAAAACTCATCTTTTCCAGATTAAAGAGAAGGAAGAAGCCCAGCAAGAGTACCTAGAAGCCGTGACCCAGGGCCATGGCGCTTACCTGATGAGTCAGGATGCTCCGGTATGGCTTGGTGTGCATGCCGCATGCATACAGGAGAGGGAAAGAGAGTTAGAACAAGATATGAAATACGAATTTCATGCTAGAGGCTAAGATAATTTGCACTGTTGTAGGCCCCAGAGTTCCACTTGGTCTGAGTAAGGGGAAGCCACGCCAGTCAGACCCATTTGACTTAACAAAGGAGGAAACAGCATCAGTAGTTCCAGACAAACAAGAAGAGCTAGGCCTGTCATTGGGAACTGAGTTTCCCAGAAGGAATGACAGACAAAAAGATAACATTTGAGGTATATAACTTTCATCTTCTGATAAGAGTGTGATATACTGGCTGGGCGCAATGACTTATGCCTGTAATCCCAGCACTTTGGGAGGCTGAGGTGGGCATATCACCTGAGGTCAGGAATTTGAGACCAGCCTGGCCAACATGGTGAAACCCCCTCTTACTAAAAGTACAAAAATTAGCTGGGCATGGTGGCAGGTACCTGTAATCCCAGCTACTGGAGAGGCTGCAGCAGGAGAATCGCTTGAACCTGGGGGGCAGAGGTTGCAGTGAGCCAAAATTGTGCCATTGCACTCCAGCCTGGGCAACAAGAGCGAAACTCCATCTCAAAAAAAAAAAAAAAAAAAAAGGAGTGTGATATATTTACAATTTTCCTGAAGTAAGCTCACCTAGCAGATGGTCCAATCATAAAGCAGGGAGGCATTTCTGCCGGGTCCTCCTTGGGCCAGCTCCTGTGCTTTTAGGTGATTAGCTTTAGCAGGGACGTGACGTGGACAGTGTGGAAGAGGGAATAGCTGGCAGGTCCACTAGACTACTTTCCTTAAATACCAGGTGTTTTCACGAGGCCTCTGGCAGGTGCTAGATTGTGTGTAGTCAGCGTCTAACTCTAGTGCAGGTATTTTAGTTATTCTTGCAGATGGGGCCATATGTTTGAGTATCGCCTCTGAGGGTGACACATGGCCATGGTGTTTTGAAAATTTAATGTTTGCTGGGGCTAGGGGCACATTCAAGATTAATATAGACAAAGGGGTAAATTATTGCTCTTGACATCTAAGATATCCACCTGCAGGATGGGAATAAGTAATGAAGAGGTGATTATTGAACAGTTAAGAATGCTGGCTCTATGTATGGCCAAACTGTATGTATAGAAGCCTGGGGTTCATTTGAGAGGCTGCCACTTAATATTATCAGGTTATCCTCCTACGTGTGTTGGTAAATGTTTCCTCCTTAATACTTACATATTTCCCTAGGAATAGGGTCCACAAGAAAACAGCCTTCACAGAAGGTATTACCTATGGGTAAAGTCTGATCAGAACTATTGCTAACCCAAGCCTTCAGGTCTCCCAGAATGTATTGACATCTTGTGACTATAATGTTCTCATATCATAATATATGGTATTCATGCATTGTTATATAAATACCATATATACCAGGTGCAGTGGCTCATACCTGTAATCCCAGCACTTTTGGAGGCCAAGGCGGGAGGATCACTTGAGCCCAGGAGTTCGAGGCTGCAGTGAGCTCTGATAATACCACTACACACCAACCTGGGCAACAGAGCAAGATTCTGTCTCTAAACAAACAAACAAGTCTTAGCTTAGGAATCCCTCCATCTAAGCTTTTCCTGCCTTCCCCCGGAAAGACCCATGGCTTCATTTTCCCATGGCAACCTGGACATATTTGTCTTATAACTCTTAATATACTGTTTGTAAAGATAGAGGTCTAGCTCGTAATCCCCAATATTTAAGTGTGGAAGTAACAGAAAAGGATAGTTAGTGGTACAATAAAGAGAAAATTGTGGTGCCGAAACCAAGGATGAAGACAGTGCCCAGCCTAGGACGACTTATGTCCTCCTCATTGCCAGATTAAATGGCAGTGTTTCCAAGACTTCAATTTATGTGACCATTTGATGGTTTTCTCCTTTTCAAAACATCTAGACTGACTGACTTGTCACTATAACCCTATACTACTTAGATAGCGTACTGTTGAATTTTGCTGCTTTATCCAATCTGTGAGTTTCTGCACTTTGTATTGTTTAGGTCATTTTTATTTAATACAATTATTGATCTGGTCAGATTTATATCTACCCTCTTGCTAGTTGTTTTCTATTTGTACCATTTGTTCTTTGTTCCTTTCCCTCGCTTTTCCTGCTTTCTCTTGTATTGTTTTTTAAATGATTCCATTGTATCTCCATTATTGGCTTATTAATTTTATCTTTTTTTTTTTTTTTTTGAGACAGAGTCTCACTGTTGCCCAGGCTGGAGTGCAGTGGCGTGATTTTGGCTCACTGCAACCTAACCTCTGCCTCCCAGTTTGAGCGATTCTCCTGCCCCAGCCTCCCAAGTAGCTAGGACTAAAGGCACATACCACCACACCCAGCTAATTTTTGTATTTTTAGTAGAGATGGGGTTTCACCATGTTGGCCAGGCTGGTCTCAAACCGCTAACCTCAAGTGATTCTCCTGCCTCTGCCTCCCAAAGTGCTGAGATTACAGACGTGAGCCACTGCGCCCAGCCAGTTCTCTCTCTCTTAAAAAGTTTTGATTGTTGGCCAGGTGTGGTAGCTCATACCTGTAATCCTAACACTTTGGGAGGCTGAGATAGATGGATCACCTGAGCCCAGGAGTTCAAGACCCCTTGGGCAACATGGTGAAACCCCAGATCTACAAAAAATACAAAAATTAGCTGGGTGTGGTGATGCATGCCTGTAGTCCCAGCTACTTGAGGGGCTGAGTTGGGAGGATCACTTGAGCCTGAGAGGTGGAGGCTGCAATGAGCCATAATGGCGCCACTGCACAGCCTGGGCAACAAAGCGAGACCCTGTCTCAAAAAATAAAAAAATTAAGTTTTGATTGTTGCTCTAAAGCCACATGTTAAATATGTGTTAAATATGGTAGCCACTAATTACATGTGTATATTTACATTTAAATATAAAATAAAATGTTTTATGTGGCCAGTGGCTATCTTATTACTTAGTGCATATGTAGAGCATTTTTATCATCATAGAAAGTTACATTGGTCAGCACTGCTTTAGGGTTTACTACTATATACATCTGTAACTTACCACATACAGCCTACAATATTATACTACTTCATATGTAAGAACCTTACAACCAGAATACATTACATTACAACCAGTATACGTTCGTTTCTTTTTTCCCATATCCTTTGTGATATTGTTGTCGTGTGTTTTATTTCTTCATATATTATAAATTCTACAATGTGTTGTTATATATTCAACTATCTTTTTTTTTTTTAAAGTTCTGGGATACATGTGCAAGACATGCAGGTTTGTTACATAGGCAAATGTGTGCCATGGTGGTTTGCTGCACCTATCAACCCATCACCCAGATATTAAGCCCCACATGCATTAGCTATTTATCCTGATGCTCTCCCTCTCCCTGCCTCCGCTACAGGCCCCAGTGTATGTTGTTTCCCTCCCTGTGTCCATGTGTTCTCATTGTTCAGCTCCCACGTGTAAGTAAGAACATCCTGTGTTCAGTTTTCTGTTCCTGTGTTAGTTTGTGAGGATAATGGCTTCCAGCTTCATTCATGTCCCTGCAAAGGACATGGTCTGCATGGTATTCCATGGTACATATGTACCACATTTTCTTTATCCAGTCTATCATTGATGGGCATTTGGATTGATTCCATGTCTTTGCTATTGTGAATAGTGCTGCAACGAACATACACATGCATGTATCTTTATAATGGAATGATTTATATTCCTTTGGGTATATACCCAGTAATGGGATTGGTGGGTCAAATGGTATTTCTGGTTCTAGGTCTTTGAGGAAGACCCACACTGTCTTCCACAATGGTTGAACTAATTTACACTCCCACCAACAGAGTAAAAGCATTCCTATTTCTCCACAGCCTTGCCAGAATCTGTTGTTTCTTGATTTTTTAACTATCGCCATTCTGACTGGCATGAGATGGTGTCTCATCGTGGTTTTGATTTGCATTTCTCTAATGATCGGTGATGTTTAGCTTTTTTTCATATTTTTTTGCCACATAAATGTCTTCTTTTGAGAAGTGTCTGTTCATGTCCTTTGCCCACTTTTTAATGGGGTTTTTTTTTCTTGTAAATTTGTTTAAGTTCCTTGTAGATTCTGGATATTAGACCTTCATCAGATGGATAGATTGCAAAAATTTTCTCTCATTCTCTAGGTTGTCTGGTCGCTCTGCTGATAGTTTCTTTTGCTGTGCAGAAGCTCTTTAGTTTAATTAGATCCCATTTGTCAATTTTTGCTTTTGCTGCAATTTTTGATGTTTTCCTCATAAAATCTTTGACTGTGCCTATGTCCTGAATGGTATTGCCTAGATTTTCTTCTAGAGTTTTTATAGTTTTTGGTTTTATATTTAAGTCTTTAGTCCGTATCGAGTTATTTTTTGTGTAAGTTTAAGGAAGGGGTCCAGTTTTAATTTTCTGCATATGGCTAGCCAGTTTTCCCAGCACCATTCATTAAATAGGGAATCTTTTCCCCATTGCTTGTTTTTGTCAGGTTTGTTGAAGATCAGACAGTTGTAGATGTGTGGTGTTACTTCTGAGATCTCTATTCTGTTCCATTGGTCTATGTGTCTATTTTTGTACCAGTACCATGCTGTTTTGATTACTGTAGCCTTGTAGTATAGTGTGAAGTCTGGTAGTGTGATGCCTCCAGCTTTGTTCTTTTTGCTTAGGATTGTCTTGGCTCTACAGGCTCTTTTTTGGTTCCATATGAATTTTAACCTAGTTTTTTCTAATTCTGTGAAGAATGTCAATGGTAGTTTAATAGGAGTAGCATTGAAGCTATACATTACTTTGGGCAGTATGGGCATTTTCACGATATTGATTCTTCCTATCCATGAGCATGGAATGTTTTTCCATTTGTTCGTGTCCTCTCTGATTTCCTTGAGCAGTGGTTTATAGTTCTCCTTGAAGAGGTCCTTCACTTCCCTTGCTAGCTGTATTCCTATGTATTTTATTCTCTTTGTAGCAATTGTGAATGGGAGTTCATTCATGATTTGGCTCTCTGCTTGTCTGTTGTTGGTGTATAGGAATGCTTGTGACTTTTGCACATTTATTTTGTATCCTGAGATTTTGCTGAAGTTGCTTATCAGCTTAAGAGGCTTTTGGGCTGAGATGATGGGGTTTTCTAGATATAGGATCTTGTCATCTGCAAACAGAGGTAGTTTGACTTCCTCTCTTCCTATTCAAATAACCTTTATTTCTTTATCTTGACTGAGTGCCCTGGCCGGAACTTCCAATACTATATTGAATAGGAGTGGTGAGAGAGGGCATCCTTGTCTTGTGCTGGTTTTCAAGGGGAATGCTTCCAGCTTTTGCCCATTCAGTATGATATTGGATGTGGGTTTGTCATTAATGGTTCTTATTATTTTGAAATATGTTCCATCAATAACTAGTTTACTGAGAGTTTTTAACATAAAGCAATGTTGAATTGTATTAAAGGCCTTTTCTGTGTCTATTGAGATAATCATGTGGCTTTTGTCTTTAGTTCTGTTTATGTGATGATCAACTATATTTTAAAGCAATTAAAAATAAGGGGAAATGTCTCTACATTTATTCACATTTTTACCGTTTCTGGTGCTCTTCATTTCTTTCTATAGATACAAAGAAATCTTCCTTCTGCTTGAAGAGTTTTCTTTATTTTCTTTTTCTAGCGCAAGTGTGCTAGCAAAGAGTGCATTCCTCTTTTATCTAACAAAGTCTTTCACCTTCATTTTTGAAAGATATTTTTTGCTGAGTATGGGATTCTAGGTGACAGTTTATTTGTTTTCCTTTCAGCATTTTAAATATGTTAACTTCATTGTCTTCTGGCTTATATGGTTTCTGAGCAGAAGTCAGCTCTAATTCTTGTGTTGTTCATCTATATGTGAAGGTGTCTTTTTTTGTCAAGCTATCTTCAAGATTCTCTTTATCTTTGGTTTTCAGTGGTTTGACTATGATGTGTTTATGTTATTTTTTAAATTTATTGCTTATTTTGCTTGGAGTTCTCTGAGTTTGGATTGTCTCACATTCATTTTGGGACAGTCTTGATCTTTATCTATTGAAATATTTCTTCTCCCTCATTCTCTCTCTTTCTCCTTCTGAGACTTCAATACATATACATTAGACCGTATTTGATATTGCACCACAGCTTTTGGAGCTCTGTTTTCACTTTCATTTCTTGTTGCATTTTATTTTGGATAATTTCTATTGACCTAGGTTCAAGTTCATTCATTCTTTTCTCAGCTATTGTCAGTCAGCTGATAGGCTTGTCAAATTCTTCAACTTTGATAATGTGTTTGTTTCTAGCATTTTTGACACTTAAAATATAATTCAGTCTCTCTAATGAAAGGTTCCATCTATTCATATGTATTCCTCACCTTTTCTGTATGTCTTTTCATATATTAATCATAGTCCTGTCTGTTGCAGTGTCATGGTCATCTCTGAATCTGCCTGTTAATTGCTTTATCTTGACATTGGGTCATTTTTTCCTTGCTTTTTAAAAATGTGTATATTTTGGAATTTGTGATTAAATGTTGGACATTGTGTGTAAAAGAAGAAGAGAGACTGAAATAAATGACATTTATGCCCAGAAGTGGCAACTCCTGTTCTTTCAGGTTAGTGTAGGGGTTGAAGAGTTGAGTTTGAGTTCTGCTGTTGTTATCATTACTCTCTGTTGTTATTATTACTCTCCGTCTCAAATTCCTCCAGTGGTGGACTGCCACTACCTGTGCCTCTTGGGTTCTGGATCCGGAACAATTCTCACTGAGGTTCATTCTCTGCCCCCAGCTTTCAGCAGACTCTGCACACTGTCCGACAGAGGTGATTACAGCAACTCTTCCCCTCCCGCAGTGCTAGGCTGCTGTTGCTTGATGTGCTGTACTAGGCTCCTGGTGGGGCAGGGGCATTCTTCTGGTTCAGCCTCAGTCTTAGGCAGGGCCTGCAGTCCTGGACCTTAGGATGGGAACTAATTAGCACTTCTGTTCATTGTCCTATCTTAGTGGCAGCCAAATTCTGCCTTGTGTCTGTTAAGAGTTGTTTGGGAGATGGTTTCCTGCCTTTCCTCCAGTTGTAGCAACCCCTGCTTTGTACTAGTGCAGGATCCTGGGCCTAGGAGGGTGTCATCCCCTGCCCCATGGGGAGGTGGCTGTTTCTCTCTAAAGCAGTGGAGCTTTACCTGGGCACAGGGCTAGAAAGGAAGGCTTCTGATCCCTGGTTTACTTCTGCCCCTTCCCCGCAGCTCTGGAAGTGAGAGTTTGCTGCCCTTCCCCCAGCAGCTGGAGGCTTTTGCTTCATGTGGGGAAAGGATCCAGGGAAGTGGCCCCAGCACCTCCCACACACCTGCTCCACGGAGAGGTGCTCCCCTTGGTCTCCTGCCCTGCTCAGCCTTTCCAGTGGGCCCAGTGGAAGGCTGTGGGGATATGGGGAAACGCCTGCAAGAGAATGCAAACTCCCCTTGGGTCAGGAGCTCCCAATTCTTCTAAACCAGTAAGCTTACCCACTCTCAGCCGGGAGGAGTTCACACAGATCCTGTGTCCCATCTGTCCCCTCTTTGGAATTCAGTTCGCTTGGTTGATGAGTTCAAAACAAGTTATGATTTTGTAGATTGCCTGGTGTGTTATAACAGAAGTGACATTTTCTGCATCCACCTATATCCTACCCAGAAACAGAACTGCAATCCCACTCTATTAAGTGGCAGTGTCTCAAATGAACCCCAGGTGTTTATACATACATTTCTTTTAAGGGCTAGCACTATTAAGTATTTAATAATCATCTCTTTATTGTCTGTTTCCATCCTGTAAATGGATGTCTTTGATGTCAAAAGTAATAATTTAACCTTTAAGCCTAAATTAATCCTAATCTAAATATACAAAATTTTCATGATGGGGTGGTCAACTAGAATGGTGAACATAGTTGGGGATGTTGAGAGGATCTCTGCATAGTTATCAGAAAAAAATGTATCTAGCCTCTTTTTTCTGCCCTAGCTAGTCATGGGGTTGCCACCTTATATAGCTATTATCAACATCCCTTTAAAAGAAAGCTAAAGACTTTTTAGTAAAAAAATAACATGATAGGCTGGGTGTGGTAGCTCACACCTGTAATCCCAGCACTTTGGGAGCAGAAGGTGGAAGAGTCACTTGAGGCCTGGAGTTTGAGACCAGCCTGGGCAACCCCATCTGTACAAAAATATTTAAAAATCAGCCAGGCATGGTGGTGCGTGCCTGTAGTCCCATCTACTTAAGAGGATGGCTTAGACCTGGGGTTTCAAGGCTACATTAAGCTGTGACTGCACCACTGCCCTCCAGCCTGGATGACGGAGCAAGATCCTATCTCTAAATAATGAATAAATAAAAATAAAAATAACATGAGAAATTACCATAGGGTAAAATAATTAAGCAAGGGCCAAGCTTAGAAAAAACTGCCCTGGTTCTACAGCTGCTGGCAAAAGTGGTGTTGGGTGCCATGGAGGTCAGGGAGGGTCTTCAAGAAAGGGCTTTGTGGAGGCCATCTGTGCAGCAGAGCCCACCCATGCAGCAGAGCCCACCCATGCAGCAGAGCCCACCCGTGCAGCAGAGCCCACCCGTGCAGCAGAGCCCACGTGTGCAGAGAGCTCACACATGAGAGCCCCCTGGGGCAGAGTCCATGAGTGCCTCTTCCCAGTTCCGCTGCCAAGGGGGCCCCTCTCCATCTGCCTGCCACGGACATCACCCTGTTCCCACCACTGGTGAATGGCTCCAGGATTCTCCGTTAGCCCCACCAATGTGTCTTTTAGGTTTTATTACTGTTTTCTGAGGAAGAATTTGGCAGGTTGTCATTCAAGTTGCTTAAGAAGTACGTGGAGTTAGCTGGCATATAATGGGTATGCTTTCAAGTTGGAAGCTAAGTCATATGTTTCTGTTTCAGGACGTTTTTACTGTAAGTGTTGGAAACTTACCCCCTAAGGCTAAGGTTCTTATAAAAATTACCTACATCACAGAACTCAGCATCCTGGGCACTGTTGGTGTCTTTTTCATGCCCGCCACCGTAGCACCCTGGCAACAGGACAAGGCTTTGAATGAAAACCTTCAGGTTTGTACGCATAAGATTTGAAGAAGCATTTTGGCAGCAGTGGAGGGGGAGTGGTGGAGGGCTGTGGAGGAATTTATGCCTGGGGAGAAAAACATGTAAAATAATCTTTTAGGCATAAAGTTAATTTTACTGACATGCATTTAGATACATTATGTGTATAAAATGAAAAGAATAAAAGTTACAGATATGATCAATAAGCATATTTTTATTCTGCTTAATCACTCAAAAAATGTTATATCTGTAGTGCAAGTTCATCATGAAGAACTAGATAAGCATAGAGAATACAAATAAGCCAAAATAAGAAAATTAAAACCATCCTTTATCCCATTGCCCAGAGTTAATGGTTAATACTTCGGTATATCCCTCCAAACTTCCTACTTTGTATGTACAGCACATGTATAAAATGTGTGTGTGTGTGTGTGTGCGTGTGTGTGTGTGTATACACACAGACATATGTAGAGTTTAAAATCTCTGTCAAAATGGTGAGTTGTATTTTAGAAGTTCCTGTCATTCCATGAGCAAACTTTCTGTGTTTCACTGCTTGAAAGTGAAACCAGCTGTCTTGCTGACAGTTGTGGCCTTGCCAAGATTACATTCACTTTAGTCTCATTGTGAAACTTAATATATGCTTAGTTATACAAATGTATTTTTCTTTTAACAGGATACAGTAGAGAAGATTTGTATAAAAGAAATAGGAACAAAGCAAAGGTTAGTACCTAAAATATAAAACCTGTCAATTCAATGGATATTGGTTTTCTGGTTTAAATTTCCATTTAGAATTGTTTGAAATAATTTCAGATAGAAATTTAAGATCGTAGACTAAGACAACTTTCTCTTCATTTTTGCTAGCTTCTCTTTGACTATGTCTATTGAGATGCCGTATGTGATTGAATTCATTTTCAGTGATACACATGAACTGAAACAAAAGGTTAGTGCATCTTTGATTTCTTAAGAGCTGTTATTTTAACACTACTTTTATCTTATCAAAGCAATGTATGCACGTGGTTGAAAAGTGAAATAATGCTGACAAAACTTCTAACAAGAAGCACTACTCCTGCCCCTGATTCTCCCCAGACCAGTTTCCAGAGACAGTGAATCATTTGGACTATTTGAGCTGTTTCTTTGATTTTGCCTCCAATTTTTAAATATTAATTTTTAATGCTTTTTCTTGATTTCGCCTGTTTCAGAAATTATCTTTTGACTTCCTGTTTTGGAAGTTGGACGTGTAGCTCTTGCCCCCTCCACCCACCTAACTCACTACTTTTCCTCTCCCCTTCATTCCAAAAGACCTGTTTCACAATAGTCAGTGATTATCATGTAAATGATGTTTACCACTGAGCCAAGAAATGTATAATATTATGATGAGTTTTTTTTGTTTGTTTTGTTTTATTTTTTGAGACAGGGTCTTGCTCTGTCACCCAGACTAGAGTACAGTGGTGCAGTCATGGCTCACTTCATCCTTGACCTCCTTGGATCAAACAACCCTCCTGCTTCAGGCTCCTGAGTAGCTAGGGCTACAGGCCTGTGCCAGCACACCTGGCTAATTAAAAAAAAAAAAAACTTGGCTGAGTGCGGTGGCTCATGCCTGTAATCCCAGCACTTTGGGAGGCTGAGGTGGGTGGATCACGAGGTCAGGAGATCGAGACCATCCTGGCTAACATGGTGAAACCTCGTCTCCACTAAAAATACAAAAAATTAGCCGGGTGTGGTGGTGGGCACCTGTGGTCCCAGCTACTCGGGAGGCTGAGGCAGGAGAATGGCGTGAACCCAGGAGGCGGAGCTTGCAGTGAGCTGAGATTGCGCCACTGCACTCCAGCCTGGGCGTCAGAGCGAGACTCCATCTCAAAAAAAAAAAAAAAAAATTGTAGAGACAGGGTCTCACCATGTTGCCCAGGCTTTTCTCAAACTCTTGGGTTCAAGGGATCCTTTTTGCTCTGGCTTCCCGAAGTGCTAGAATGACAGGTGTGAGCTACCACACCCAGCCTATTTTCCTTTTTAGAATTCTGCAGGAACTTCAGACCTTCTCTTTATCTCTGGTATTCTGAAATTTCATAACAGTATGATTTTCATTCATTGTATGTAACTGGTGGTCTTTAGTTCTGAGAAATTTTATTGTATTAAAAAAAAGTTCCTCTCTTGTGCCTTTCTGCAGTGCCTTTCTTTTTTTCTTTTTTCTTTTTTTTTTTTTTTTTTTTTTTTTTGAGACAGAGTCTTACTCTGTTTCCCAGGTTGGAGTGCAGTGGTGGGATCATGGCCCACTGCAAACTCCACCTCCTGGGTTCAAACGATTCTCATGCCTCAGCCTCCTGAGTAGCTGGAACTACAGGTGCCTGCCACCACGCCCAGCTAAATTTTCTATTTTTAGTAGAGACGGGGTTTCCCATGTTGGCCAGGCTGGTCTCAAACTCCTGACCTCAGGTGATCTGCCTGCCTTGGCCTCCCAAAGTGTTGGGATTACAGGCGTGAGCCACTACATAGTGGTGGAGGAGTCCTCAGTAGCAACAAGAGAGTGCCAGGCCCGTTGCATGGACACTTTTCACGCCCCTGCTTGTATCTCATCTGCCAACATATCATTGGCCACAGCAAGTCCTTTGGCCAACTCCAGTTTCAAGGGTGGAAATATAGCTGCTGCCTCGTGGCAGGAGGAACTTCAAAAGTCACATTGCAAAGGGGCACGCAGACAGGAGTGGAGAGACTTTGTGGTCATGTGACACTCTAGCACATGCCTTTGCCTTTGTTGTTGTAAAGCTTATTTACATTTTCAACAGCTTTTTTATATTCATGAAAATATAATATACAAATAAGTTATGATTCTAAGATTTCTGTTGAATTTTCTATTTTAGTCTTCTCGGTTTTAATTATCTGATGTGCCGTCTGCTATACCCAGATAAGTCTAACTGAATGGGTAGATCTATAATCTTTGGATCCAGGGTTTGAGACTGTCTCACACTTATTTGACCGTGTGAATCAACCTTAGGATTGCAGAAGGGTGACTGATATGCTCATGGTCTTCTAAAACCTACATTTTGTTATTTTGTTTTTTTTGTTTTGTTTTGTTTTGTTTTTGTTTTGAGACAGAGTTTCCCTGTTGTTACCCAGGCTGGAGTGCAGTGGCGCGATCTTGGCTCACTGCAACCTTTACCTCCTGGGTTCAAGCGATTCTCCTGCCTCAGCCTCCTGACTAGCTGGGAGTACAGGTGCCCACCATTACGCCCAGCTAATTTTTTGTATTTTTAGTAGAGACAGGGTTTCACCATGTTGGCCAGGCTGGCCTCAAACTCCACCCACCTCGGCGTCTCAAAGTGCTGAGATTACAGGTGTGAGCCACTGCACCCGGCCTACATTTCATTATTTTGGAATTTACCACTACTTTGTTGATTCTTAATAGAGTTATGTAAGCTATGCAAGGGTTTGCTCCATGACAGGTAAGTGCAGACTGCTAATATGGTGTTACTCCATTACTCACCTTGTTGTCGCGGTGTTTGTTTTGCAGCGCACAGACTGCAAAGCTGTCATTAGCACCATGGAAGGCAGCTCCTTAGACAGCAGTGGATTTTCTCTCCACATCGGTTTGTCTGCTGCCTATCTCCCAAGAATGTGGGTTGAAAAACATCCAGAAAAAGAAAGCGAGGTATACTCCTTTTTACTTAGACATAGGAGACACTATTGAAAAAATGTTTCAGAATAAGCTGGTTAAACTTGCAAATTATTGATTGTCCTGAAAAACTAGCATTACAAAATGAACTCTCACATCTCAAGATTCTGCAACTAAAAATATTTATGATATCAAGCATGCCAAACTTCTGACGTTTCATCCAAAACCCTTATGTGGATGATTTGCCTGTACAAATTCGCATTTTTACCTTAAGCTCCACCAAAAGAACATGTGCCATCAGACATTACATTGGGTATTCTCTATAACTTGTTATAGTTTTAAAATACTGATACTGGAAAAACAAATAAGCAGTTATTTGTGGTTGGTAATAAGATCATTTTGTGTGGCTGTGACAAAGAGTCTCTTCTTAAGTTAAAATAAAAATAGAAACTTAGGCTGGGTGTGGTGGCTCACACCTGTAATCCCAGCACTTTGAGAGGCCAAGGCAGATGGATTGCTTGAGCTCAGGAGTTTGAAACCAGCCTGGGAAACATAGTGAGACCTCGTCTCTGTAAAAAATTAAGAAAAAAAATTAGCCAGGTGTGGTCATGCACACCTGTGGTTTCAGCTTCTCAGGAGGCTAAGACAGGGCGATCACTTGAGTCCAGGAGGTTGAGGTTGAACTGAGCTGTGATCGTGCCACTGCATACCAGCCTGGACAACAGAGGGAGACCCTGTCTCAAAAAAAAAAAAAAAAAAAAAGGAAACTTACATGATAGTAGTTAAATATTGGTTAATTAATAGAACAAAAGGTATGTGTGTGTATTTTAGTAATCACAATGGCATGTATATTCCTCTTAGAATAGTGTGATATATATATATATATATATATATATTTGTTCCATAATGTTGATGCTATATGATTTTTCAGATACTAATTCTTGACCTCTCAGAAGTTTATGTCAGAAGTTGGAAACTCCCAGTTCTAACATTCTACTTTTGACTGGAACTCCTAGTAGGCCATCTTGTTGTTAATTACATCTTATTCTTTCTGTTTTTATAGCATTAGTTTACCTCACTAGAAAGTTTTGGAGTTTTCTAAGTAGACCTTTTGCAGTTGAAGTGACAAGAAGCTCCAGTCCAGCACCTTCTTTCTCCTTTCAGGCTTGCATGCTTGTCTTTCAACCCGATCTCGATGTCGACCTCCCTGACCTAGCCAGTGAGAGCGAAGTGATTATTTGTCTTGACTGCTCCAGTTCCATGGAGGGTGTGACATTCTTGCAAGCCAAGCAAATCGCCTTGCATGCGCTGTCCTTGGTGGGTGAGAAGCAGAAAGTAAATATTATCCAGTTCGGCACAGGTGAGTGCGCTTTGGCCCTGGTCCTGCGTGTGCTTCCCCTACATGTGAATCACATTCTGTAGAGCTGACAACTGTGGGTACCCGACCCTGCCTGTGTGGTGAGGGGCAGCCTAGTATGAAATTGAAGAACAAGAGCTCTGGAGCTGGACCCCCTAGGTCCCGGTTCCAGCTGTACCACTCACAGGTTCTGTGTGTCACCTTGGGCGCACTACTTGAACTTCTGGTGCCTCCGTTTCCTCATCTGCGATCTGAGGATAATTGTCCCTAACTCACAGTGTTGCTGTGAGGAGGATTGAGCTAATGTATGTAAAGGATTTTTAAACTGTGCCTGTTCACAGTAAGTGAGATATAAATGCTACTGTTGTCATTAGCAACTGAACCAAATACAAAACCCTTGGTCTGTTGAGTAGGAGGTCCCAAGTCTAAGGACAAAACATTTGCCCTCAGCGCAGTCATAGAAAATCTATAAGGAATGGTCTCAGGAAGTATCGGGCCAGCACTGCTAGAAGGGAGGTAGTACCACCCTCCAGATGGGGCCCAGGGACGTCTCAGCCACCAGAAGGCAGCACCTCAGGGATGAGAGGTGCGTGGAGTGGAGTGAGGGGACAGTCTTATCCTATTGATTCTCATCCTCTGTGCAATCCAGCAGAAGACCCAGCCCCTTTTCCCCAGAGGTACAGTCTGCTGTTGCTGGGACAGAGGTCGGATAAGCATGGGGAGTGCAAAGGGCGTGAGCAGAGACTGGCCTTCCAGGGGCCAAGCTGCTCAGGCCATTGCAATGCCCTGCACATTTGCACAAGTGATCTGCATGTGCACATGGAATTTGACTCAACATTTTGCATAGTAAAGCACCACGGTTTGAATGCTCTATGATGTATCATTTAGAAAAATAGTGTGGTGAATTTTTTTTTTTTTTTTTTGAGACAGAGTCTCGCTTTGTTGCCCAGGCTGGAGTGCGGTGGTGCGATCTCAGCTCACTGCAACCTCTGCCTCCCGGCCTTAGCCTCCCCAGTGGCTGAGATTACAGTGCTCACCACCACACCCAGCTAATTTTTGTATTTTTAGCAGAGACAGGGTTTCACCCTGTTGACCAGAGCTGGTCTTGAACTCCTGACCTCAGGTGATACACCCACCTCGGCCTCCCAAAGTGCTGGGATTACAGGCATGAGCCACCGTGCCTGGCCTGTGGACAATCTTTTGTATGTTAAAATTATCAAACAGTTTTCTAAAAAGAAAGGTACACACATAAATATATAATATCCTTTACAACAGCCGTGATGGTATGAAATAACATTATTGTTTGTTAGTGCTCAAGCAAGTGAACGTGTGGAAGCAGCACCTCATGCTGATCTTATTACACAGGTTACAAGGAGCTATTTTCGTATCCTAAGCATATCACAAGCAATACCATGGCAGCAGAGTTCATCATGGTGAGTGCAAGAGGCTTCCTGTATCTCCTGGGTCTTTTCCTACCATGCTTTAAGGGGACCTCCAGGGCTTAGGCCACTCAAGCCACCATCAGAGCACCCCTACTCCTGTGGTTTTTGTATATTGGTGGGCTCTTTATTTCATTAATTAAAATGATAACTCATTAAGGAAAAATTGGAAATTAAAAAGAATAGAAAAAAAAAATCACCCATGTCCCAACACCCTAATGCAACTAGCATTAACAGCTTTGAGAAGTTTTCTTCTGTCCTTTGTTTTTTTTCTCTTAAAATGCAGCCAGCTTTATCTAAAAGGGTTGAGGTTTAAAAAAAAAAAAGAAAGAAAGAAAAAAGAAATGCTGGGTGTGGTGTCTCACACCTGTAATCTCAGCACTTTGGGAGGCCAGGGCGGGTGGATCACCTGAGGTCAGGAATTCGAGACCAACCTGGCCAACATGGTGAAACCCCATCTCTACTTAAAATACAAAAAATTAGCCAGGCGTAGTGACGGACACCTGTAATCCCAGCCACTTGGAAGGCTGAGGCAGGAGAATCGCTTGAACCCAGGAGGTAGAAGTTGCAGTGAGCCGAGATTGTGCCACTGCACTCCAGCCTGGGCAATGGAGCGAGACTCCATCTCAAAGAAAAAAAAAATAAATAAAATGAAATAATAATAAAATTGAGCAAGCTGAGACTGACCAGCTGCCTCAGCCAGGCTGGCAAATCCAGGGCTGATTGGATGGGACATTTCTTCCTGTAGATGTCATAGTCCTCTGGAAACTGTAAAAAATCAAATAAGCGTGAGGTGATAATATTATAGTTACTGTGTGACATGAAATAAACTAAAAGGACATAAGTTTAGTTGTTTCACAAATTAGGGAAAGAAAATATTTTCGGTGTCACCATATCCCTACACTGTCCTTAGATGTGTCAATGATGACAGCAAATGGTGACTGCATCCAACAAGGAGAACATAATCTTTCACTTCATTTCCTCCAGTCTGCCACACCTACCATGGGGAACACAGACTTCTGGAAAACACTCCGATATCTTAGCTTATTGTACCCTGCTCGAGGGTCACGGAACATCCTCCTGGTGTCTGATGGGCACCTCCAGGATGAGAGCCTGACATTACAGCTCGTGAAGAGGAGCCGCCCGCACACCAGGTTATTCGCCTGCGGTATCGGGTGAGTCTCAGAGAGCTGGTCACATAGTCCAGACCCACGGGGAGGTCGTCTTGTTGCCCTGCAGGGGACTTTGGCAAGCTTGGAAGTTGACACTAGAATACAGAAGCCTTACAGCATAGAGGGATGGGGCTCCGGGCTCCCAGCCAGACTGCCTGAGTCTCAGAACCTGGGTTGGCCACTCATTAGCTTAGCCGTGACCTTGAGCAAGTTCCTTAACCTCTCATCTGTAAAACCAAGGTGATAATGAAAATACCTACCTCCTAGGATTGCTGAGGAATAAATGAGCTCATACATAGAAAGCACTCAGAACAGAACTGAACCAAAAGCACCAAATCAGTTAGATGTTATTATTTAGCATAAGAATCCAAATCTCCGCTTGTCCCGAAGGGCCTGGGTAAACCTCCTCACTGGCTGTGCTGGACTCGTGCTGGGGGCATGTGACCTCCAGGCAGACCCCGCCAGGCTGCTTTGCTCCTTCGCATCTCTTTTCTGGCCATTATGAGCACTTGCATTTTCAAACCCTGTGGTGTGCATAGAAGCTTTCCATGAGAGGCTAACACCCCTACATTGTTGGAATTGCCCCTTCCCCATTAAAAGTTAGTTCTTTTGGATGGCACTAAGGTATGCGGTGTATGTGTAAGGAAAACATCGAACAGAGGGGGCCACTTGGTGTCTGCATAGGACTTGCCCATCCTGCCTGCCTCTGTGGCCCCTGGACTCCTACCTGTGGCCACCACCTCAGCAAGTGGTCACCAGCTATCTGGTGGCAGTGCATGGAGCAGATCCTCAGCTTCTTCATGGGGCAGAATGGGGGCCTCTTTGCTGTCCTTGCCCCTGAGCCTTGACCTGGACTCGCCCTGAGCTCCAGGAGCCAGCACCCCCAATGCCCCTCTGTGGCCCCGATGCCCCTCCATGGCCCCCAGTGTCCCTCTGTGGCCTCCGACACCCCTAGCTGCTATACTCAAGCCAGCTCTGCCTGCCTTGAGGGCTTTCTTCTCTTTGTCCTCCACTGTCACAGCTCCTGGCTCTGTTCTCTGTAATCTAAGGCCTAGCCCAGCATCACAGGCCAATGAAGAAATATATCCAGCCTGAGCAGCTCCACCAGGAGTTGTTCCTGATGGGACTTCACCTGCTGAGCTCACAGCTGCGCTCAGGGCAGCCTGTGCACCGTCTCCTGGTCTCAGCAGCCCCTCCCTGCCCCCTGCTCCCAGGTCAGGGCTCAGACACCACAGGGCAGAGGTACTGGCACCTATTCATGCCTTCCTCAGTGAGGGCCTATTCTGGGACGAACATCGGGCCCCGACTCTGGGGCTGGGAGATGGGATTTTCCCATGTGCCAGGGAGGAAATCAAGGGAGTGTGATGAGGTCAGGCTCAGAGGCTCACTCCTGTGGTCCCAGCACTTTGGGAGGCCAAAGCAGGAGGATCGCTCCAGCCCAGGAGGTCAAGGCTGTAGTGAGCCATGGTCAGGCAGTTGCACTCCAGCTTGAGTGACTGAGCAAGACCCCATCTTTAAAAATAAAAAAAAAATTGAAAAATGTAAGGCATGTGACGGGGAGTCTGGGTGTGCAGTGGGGGAGCCTGCTCCAAGAGGAGACTCTGCCAGTTAGCACCGCCCATGCCTGGAGGGGGTGGTATCCATTCTGCTTTTCTGTCGAGTTTTTGGGATCTTTCTAAGTGTTTCTCCCTCATCTTCCAAGCATGTGTTTGCAATTACAAACTCTAGTAAAGTGAGCTTCCCAGGGGTAGAGACCATCAGCCCTCCTCCTTGGCGTGAGTCCTGGTCCTCTGAGAGCCGCCCTGAAGGAGCACAGGAAGACTCCAGCCTGCCTCGCTAACAGACAGAAGCTGTAACTACCAATAACCCATGTTAGGGATCTTCTAGTCAATGTTATGATCATCACCAATTAATATGGAGGGTAAAGACAAATCCATCTTTATCCATAGGTTGAAAAACATCTTGGAAATTATTTTCATAAGCTCTTTTTCTGAAAAATAATTGATGTTTTCTTTAATATTTCAGGAGGAATTCCTCTAAGCAAGGAGTTCTTGATAGTTGTAGAATTATTGTAGAGAGAAAAGTAATAGGGCACTTGTCATTTAAATGTCAGAGATGCTCTTTGCTAGAGTGAGAGTTGCTTCTTTATGCCTTTTGCTATGTTGATGTGTATCAGATTTCAAGAGGTAGACTTTATTCACTCTTTGCCAGCTCTAGGCCTTTGGGATCAGATTCAGGTAATATTGTTATTTATGGAAATTAAGTTGATATCTTTGTCAGCATTCTGATACCTTATAGGGTTGTTTTTAGAGTCATCTACTCCCTCCCTCAGGAACTGAAAGTCAAGAATTTCAACTTTTTTCTATTTGAAGGATAAGTCAGTCCTCTGATAGATGGGAGCTTAAATTAGCCAAACTTTCAGATGTTTCCTTCTATTATCACTTTCTCTGTTTAACCTCAGCGACACACGAGTACATTCTTCCCCACGTCATGTCTCTCCTATTGAGTTGTGAGCTTTCTCAACACTGTTAACATGTACTTCAAAAATATTTCTAATGTCTTCAAAATTAAAACATGTGAAATGTGATCAGTTCTACAGCAAATCGTCACGTCTTAAGGATTTTGTCCCAGTGTGGTGCCGGAGTATTTGAATATTTTAATGCAAAATCCAAGCATAGTTGGAGAAAACAGGTATGTTTTTTAAACATCTGGTTTTATATTTATGTTTGGAAATCTCTTATTCTTCCGAGACTAAGAAATAGGAATATCTGTGTTTCCTTGAATGAGAGGGGAGCCGTAAAGAGGCAAGCACTGCCGCAGGTGTGAGCCCTGCCTCAGGACTGCACCAGCGGGAACACAGGTGTTCTTCATCAGGTCATTCTCCCAGCTTATGGTTTGATTTCTGCCTTAAAAATCATGGACTGATTTTTTTTAAAGTGAATTATTAAATATGTTTTGCTGAAATTGTTTCCTTATTATGATAAAATTTAGCATTTTAATTTTTTTTTTTTTTTTTTTTTTGAGACAGAGTCTTGCTCTGTCGCCCAGGCTGGAGTGCAGTGGCGCCATCTCGGCTCACTGCAAGCTCTGCCTCCCGGGTTCACGCCATTCTTCTGCCTCAGCCTCCCAACTAGCTGGTACTACAGGCACCAGCCACCATGCCTGGCTAATTGTTTGTATTTTTAGTAGAGATGGGGTTTCACTGTGTTAGCCAGGATGGTCTTGATCTCCTGACCTCATGATCTGCCCACCTTGGCCTCCCAAAGTGCTGGGATTACAGGCGTGAGCCACCGCGCCTGGCCATTTTAACCATTTTTAGGTGTACAATTTAGTGGTATTAGCTACATTCACAATGCTGTGCAACCATCACCATCTTCAAACTGTTTCATCAGCCCAAACAGAAACTACGTACTCATTAAGCAGTAACTCCACATTCCCTCCTACACCCAGCGCCTGCTAACCATGACTCTACTTTCTGTCTTTATGACTTTGCCTTTTCTGAGTATCTCATATAAGTGGAGTCATAGGACATTGTCCCTTTATGTCTGGCTTATTTCACTTAGCATGATGTTTTTAATGTCCATCTATGTTGAAGCATGTGTCAGAATTTCCCTTCTTTTTAAAGCTAAATAATATTCCATTGCATGGATGGACCACGTTTTGCTTATCCATTCATCTATCGGTGGACACTTGGGTTGTTTCTGTCCTTTGGCTATTGTGAATAATGCTGCTATGAGCATTGGTATACAAGTGTCTGTTTGAGTCTGCTTTCAATTCTGGATATATGTGCAGCGTGGGATTGCTGGATCATATGCTCATTTTATGTTTAGTTTTTTTGGGAATTGCCATGCTGTCTTCCATAGCAGCTGCATCATTTTACATTCCCACCACCAGTGCACCAGGATTCCAGTTTTTCCACATCCTCACCAACACTCATCATTCTTTTTTTTTTCCTTATTGATTGAAATCAATCAGCTTTTCTTTGGTTTGTTTTGGTTTTTGAGACACAGTGTTGCTCGGTCATCTAGGCTGGAGTACAGTGGTACAATCATAGCTCACCACAGCCTCAACTTTCTGAGCCCAAGCAATCCTCCCACCTCAGCCTCCAGAGTAGCTGGGACTACAGGCATATGCCACCACTTTTTTTCTTATTGTTTTTTGTTTGTTTGGTTGGTTTTTGTTTGTCGTTGGTGTTTTTTGAGACAGAGTATCACTTTTTCACCCAGGCTGGAATTCAGTGGTGCAAGCTTGGCTCACTGCAGCCCTGACATCCTGGTCTCAAGCCATCTTCCTCCCTCATCCCCCAAGTAGGTGGGACAACAGGCCCACACCACCACACCCACACCACCACACCCAGCTAATTTTCTGTAGAGACAGTGTTTCGCCATGGGCCTAGGCTGGTCTCGAATCCCAAGCTCAAGCAATCTGCCTGCCTTGGCCTCCCAAAGTGCTGGGATTACAGGCATGAGCCACTCTGCCCAGCCACCACTTGTTTTTTAATAACAGCCATCCCACTGGGTGTGAAATGGGATCTCACCGTGGTTCTGATTTGCACTTCCCTAATGACTAATGACATCAAGCATCTTTGCATGCACTTGCTGGCTTTTGTGTATCTTCTTTGGAGAAATATCTATTCAAGTACTGGAATCTACTCATACCAAGGCTGCATATTAGTAATTAGCTAAAGGCATAATTTCAGGATGCTTTGTAAATGAAAAGGATATGATCATGCTATTATTTAAAATTCTAGCTGGGCGTGGTGGCTCATGCCTATAACCCCAGCACTTTGGGAGGCTGAGGCAGATGGCTCACCTGAGGTCAGGAGTTCGAGACCAGCCTGGGCAACATGGTGAAACCCCATCTCTACTAAAAATACAAAAATTAGCTGGGTGTGGTGGTGTACGCCTGTAGTCCCAGCTACTTGGGAGGCTGAGGCAGGAAAATCACTTGAACCTGGGAGGGGGAGGTTGCAGTCAGCCAAGATTGTGCCACTGCACTCCCGCCTGGGCGACAGAGCAAAACTCCATCTCAAAATAAAATAAATAAAATAAAATAAAATTCTGTTTAAACTATTTTCGGGAAAGTACCCTGTAGCAGGAAGGAGAGAAAATACCAGAGTTATAAAATTCCCAAAGGATAGAATGTATACTTTATTTTAAATGTGAAGTAACTATTTTCTGGATGGAGCATTGAAAGAGAAATAATTCCTCTTTTATAAATAGATAGAAGACCAAATGACCAGGCTATGTTCTCCGAGTTGCCACTCTGTCTCCGTCAAATGGCAGCAACTCAATCCAGATGTGCCCGAGGCCCTGCAGGCCCCAGCCCAGGTGCCGTCCTTGTTTCTCAATGATCGACTCCTTGTCTATGGATTCATTCCTCACTGCACACAGGTAAGAAGACGCAGAGTTTGTTATTCTATGGGAAGACCAATATATTTTGCTAATTTTTTTTCTGTCTTCTTCCCTCCCCTTCTCACCAGCAGATTTTCTTCTTCTGGGAACACAGCTGGTGGTTAGCCAGGGCTTTGGGGAGGCTTCTAGTTTTTATTGAAAGGGGAGAGAAAATCACCAAAAGAATTTCTGTTAAACCAAGACACTGCAGAGTGGAAAGGCTAATGAGGAATTTATTTTTTTCCCCATTTCAGGCAACTCTGTGTGCACTAATTCAAGAGAAAGAATTTCGTACAATGGTGTCGACTACTGAGCTTCAGAAGACAACTGGAACTGTAAGATTCAAAACCTAAACTATCAACCCATTGTTTGAAAGTTATGATTTTATATTTCCATATATAATGCTCTATGTCAAGCTTGTCCAACCCACGGCCCAGGGCAGCTTTGAATGCAGCCCAATACAAATTCGTAAACTTTCTTAAAACATTATGAAATTTTTTTTCAAGTTTTTGTTTTCAGCTCATCGGCTATCGTTAGTGTTAGTGTATTTTATGTGTCACACAAGACAGTTCTTCCTCTTCCACTGTGGCCCAGGGAAGCCAAAAGATTGGATACCCCTGCTGTCTGTACTTTGTTGTTTTCCTGTGTTGAAATTTCATTACACAATATGGAGATGGACTATATGTACAAATGAGTATACTTTCCTTCAGTTTCTAATGCAGCACTTCTTCATCTGGGGTAGTTTGGTCTAGGTATGTCTATATGGGCATCAGTGGGTGGCAATAACTGCAATTAAGTATGGCATTTATGCATGGAAATTTTGCTAGAGAGGTTCTCAAAGATGTTCATAACTCAATAAAGGTACATGCCACTGGCCTACTGATGCTATTTAGAAATACTAGTTATAATAATACTGGACTAAGAGTAGATCATATCGTATATTGAGGATGTGGGTTTATTTCCTTTTTTGATTAAAAGCAAATGAATTATGAAAGAAAAAATTCCTGTTTCCCAAATACACCATTTCTGGTTTCCAGATATGTGTTTTTCCCAACCAATTCTCTGACACCAGTTGCATGTCCTACAATTTAATTCAATTCTGACACTGGCCGCCTGGGGTTGGCACAGACCTCACAGAGTTGAGGGCTCAGTCCCACAAGACTGATTCCAACTCCAGACACCGGTAGCAAGTAGCAGGTCCCCAGGTTACCCACACTTCTGGTCAGCTCCAAGTCAGTGTTCCCACAACCCTTTCTCACAGAAATTTCTCAAATTTCTTACAGTAATTTGCTGTAACAGCTCACAGAACTCAGGAAAAGTTTACCTTAGTATTACTGATTTATTGTAAAGAATATTATAAAGGATACGAATGAACAGCCAGATGAAGAGGTATACAGGGTAAGGCCCAGAATAGTCCCAAGCACAGGAGCTTCTGTCTAACATACAGTTGGGGTGCACCATCCTCCTGGCACATGAGTGCTGACCCAGAAGCTCCCTGAACCCCTTTAGGTGGGGTTTTTAATGCAGGTTTCATTACAAAGGCCTGGTTGATTAAATCATTGGCCATTGGTGATTAACTCTCCCCTCTCTGGAGGTTGGGGAGTGGGGTTGAAGTCCCAGCCCTCTAATCATATGGTTGGTTCCCCAGCAACCAGCCCTCATTCTAGGGACTTTCTAAAAGTCACCTCATTAACATAAACTCAGGTGTGGTTGAAGGGTCCTGTTAGGAATAACAAATACATACATTTCTTATGTCTGTAGGGAAGTTCAGACTTTCCCTCTGAAGTTTCCATGTTTGGTCTATAAAATAATCCAACGATAGATTAACAGGGGAAGAGACATGCAGATGTCGTTACGTGTGCACGAGCCACGTGAGACTCAAAGAAGGGCCAGATGAGTGAAGTTTCATACCGTACAGAGGCGGGTAGGATTGTGGGGCTCCTGGGGGAGGTGGGGACAGGTTGTGGGAGGGTGAGGGGAAGAAACACGTGGTGAGCAAAGGCTTTCTTGTGATGCAGATGAAGTCTGGCAGGCAGCAGCCCTGAGAGAATAGAAGCACCTCTGGTAACGGTTTCTCTATCATCCCTTTAAAGTATCAGACTTTAGCCTCCTCTTCCTGGGAGTTCATCTTTCCTAAATCTGGATAAGGCAGATAAGGGGGTCTCAGAGAAAGCCTGTTTGCATCTGCTGTTTCCTTCACTGACATACGATTCCTCTGCAGATGCAAATATTCCCTGCAAAAGGACTGCTTTTCAGAGCTACTCCTATGTCTGCTGTCCCTCTGAATAGCATCTCAAAATATGCCAAAGAAGTCTCTTTTGGGGTGGCCTATTTTAGCTTTTTGCATATCACAATATCACAAATTATTACCAAGAAGTTTGTAATATTTGCACTGGTACTGAATCCACTGTAGTTTAGCCTTGAAAGTTCCTAGCCTATATATGCTATTTATGTAGTTTTTTTATTCAAAGGAGTATCAGTATAACCAGATAAATCATTTCCCAGACATTGCTGGGTTTTTTTCTCAAAAGTGCACAGCTTACTTTTCAGCACTAAATCGGTATCATTGACTTACTAGTTGCCAGTGACTTATGTATAGAACTTAAGCTCAATATTGCTTTAAAAATTAGATCTTTGTGGGTACTGATAAGGGAGAATAAATTAAAAGTATATTTTTAAAAATTAGATCTAAGGGGGAAAGAAGGTAAAATAATTTTACCTGGGAAGAGGTCGTTTTCCATAAAGTCACAGCAAGTTGTACTTCCTCTGTGAGAAGCAGCCTTATCAATGACAAATTACAAGAGTTGGAATGAAGGGAAGTTCCATCTCTCAGTTGTTGGAGAGGAAGCACCTGGTGGTGCACATTGTGCAGTCTTCACCCTTCAGAGTGCAGACCATGTTCACGGACGGGCATCCCAGGGCCAAGGTGGCTCTTCCCATGGTAGAAAAGAAGTTTTCAATTTTTTAAATAAAATGAATTAGCAAAATGGCCTTTTATAGAAAAAGCAAAACTCTAGGGACAGAAAGCAGATGAGGAGCTGCCAGGGCTTGAGGAAGCTACACGGGCACACAGGAACTTTTCAGGGAAAAGAGAATGTTCTGTGTCTTCACTTCAACAGTGGTCACACAACTGTATACATCCCTTAAGACTCATCAAACTGTGTATTTAAGAGGAGTGCATTTTACTGTATGCAGATTATACCTCCATTTTTAAAATGATGTTCTTTGCAAGTCTTATATTAGAAGCCATGTGAATATTTTTTTTCCTTTGCTGCTTAAACACAGATGATCCACAAGCTGGCAGCCCGAGCTCTAATCAGAGATTATGAAGATGGCATTCTTCACGAAAATGAAACCAGTCATGAGGTTTGTTCTTTTCATTGTAAAAATGATTAGACATTCTTCTTGAGCATTCTTACATTGATTTTATCTGTGGAAATGGAAAGTGAGGTCAGCTGCGTGGAGAAGGAGACTGGTGTCAGGGCATTCATCACTGTATCTGTGACACTGTGCCTGGGATGTGGGGTGTGTGGTAAATGTTTGTTGAATGAATTAACAAAAGGATGGATGTCAGTGGTTTCCAGAAAATTCTGTAATGTTTTACTTATCAGAAGAAGCCAGAGGAGGGCTCAGAGAACACTCGCTGAGTGCCTGTAGTGGACGTCACCTCAGATCTCTCGTGTGGTAGCGTTAGTATTCCCATCTTACTGATGAGAGGCCTGAGAGCGAAATGCTGAGTGACCTGCCAAAGCCCACCTGACTCCCCCCATGCTGTGCAGACCAGGGCCTCAGCAGAGGGGCTCCTCAGCCAGGCCACCGGGACTGCCCAGCTGTTCTCTGAGGGATGAGATCTTCAACAAGGCTGTGAACGTTAGTCCTCAATGCCATCCCCACAAGAAGGTGACAGCAGGCCCTGGAGACCCTCACAGTCAGTTCTAGTGACAGATGGTCACCTGGTGGTCTCCCTATTCTCCTCAGATGCTGCTGGGTTGGCAGCCTCTGTGTGCTGTTTTGTTTAAGGCCCTTTTATCCTGAACAAGTCATTCCATCTTTCCAATTCCTCAGCTTTAAATTGGGAGCCACAGACTGTGAAAGAATGAGAAAGCCCACTGCCCGGGAGAGCTCTCTGAACTAGAGGGAGCTGAATAATGAAGAGCGACACTTTCTATGACTAAGTCAGTTCATCTCATTTTAAAGGGAATATTGAGCCACCGATTTAGATGGGACCTGCAATTCAATATTTAGTCTGAAATACGAATCTTAAAATGATTTACTGACATAGCGAAATAGAAATAAAACAGGACATGATTTATGTTTTATTCTATCCTAGATGAAAAAACAAACCTTGAAATCTCTGATTATTAAACTCAGTAAAGAAAACTCTCTCATAACACAATTTACAAGCTTTGTGGCAGTTGAGAAAAGGGTATGTATTATTGGTAATTCGAGGTTAAATTATTTTATTTGTATTTCCACATTAAGAAAGTCACCCTTGCTTTGATGGTTAATGACGACATCCACACCCTGGGCCTGGGAAGTGTGGGTTGCAGACAGGTCAGCAGGCCCCACGAGTCCCAGCCTCCCATTCATGGGGGGCTTCGGTGTTGGGACTTAGGGTGATCTTTCTAAATGAGTTGAGTATGTTATCATTTTTAATGTTATTATTAACAATTGGCTAATGTGTACTTTTCGGTTATACTATAATTTTGTTACAGTTTTGGCGTTTATTGTCTTTTATTAATCCAAGACCCTCAAAAAATAGAAAAGGCCGAAAAGGCCTGGGTTCCCTGAGAGCCCTTCCCCTTCATAAGTTTAAGGGGGAAATTCACGTAACGTGCCCAGCACAGTGGCCAGCACCTGCCAGTGCTCCGTAAAGAGGAAAGCCACTCCACCTCCCCACTTCCCCTCACGCTTGTGGCCCACGGCACAAGCTCCAGTCCCACACACCAGCATATCCCAAACCAACACCCCATAGGCTTTAGAATGTGTAGTCATCATTTAATTGGATAACATCTGTTTGATTTAATCTATTTGTGATTCAATATAGGATGAGAATGAGTCGCCTTTTCCTGATATTCCAAAAGTTTCTGAACTTATTGCCAAAGAAGATGTAGACTTCCTGCCCTACATGAGCTGGCAGGGGGAGCCCCAAGAAGCCGTCAGGAACCAGGTAAATGCTGATTACCGAATAAGTTGATATTGAGCTTTCGTTTTTTCATGAAGATGAAGGGAACCCTTTGCTAAAATAGCTCCCTTCTTACCTGTACATGAAGAAGTTGTATCCCTGATGATGGAAAATATTCATGCATTTATAAAATGTTGAATTACATCATGTTGCATTACAGAGACTTCACAATGTGTGAATGGAGCTGTATAGTACAAAAAGAGAACACCTCTGGCTGTGCTTCTATCATGGGCAAATAGATTGTCATCCAGGAAGCTAAAGTCATTTAGGTAGTATAATAGGTTTGTCATGAAATTATCAATAGAAGTGCTATCTAATAATCTAAATTCACCACCAATATTTCTTAAAGTTTATAGTGCTTTATACCGTGGCCCTTATAACCAGAAACATAATAGAAATGGAAAAATGTGGCTTAAATAAAAATTGGAAGAAAAATTCAAAAACAAAGGAACAACACAGTGCTGACAACCCTCTTAGGTCTCTAGGTTAAAAAACTAAAATTTCCAGAATTTAAAAATTTAAAATCTGATCCGGCACCGTGGTTCACGCCTGTAATCCCAGCACTTTGGGAAGCTGAGGTGGGAAAAATCACTTCAGCCAGGAGTTTGAGACCAGCCTGGGCAACAAAGCGAGACCTCATCTCTACAAAAAGTCTTTTAGGGCGGGCACAGTGGCTCATACTTGTAATTCCAGCACTATGGGAGGCTGAGGCAGCAGACGACTTGAGCCCACAAGTTCAAGACCAGCCTGGGCAACATGGTGAAACCCTGTCGCTACAAAAAAATACAAAAATTAGCTGGGCGTGGTGGTGCTTGCCTGTAGTCCCAGCTACTCAAGAGGCTGTGGCAGGAGGATGCTTGCACCTAGGAAGCAGAGGTTGCAGTGAGCCAAAATGGCACCCCTACACTCCAGCCTTAGTGACAGAGTGAGGATTTGATCATAAATAAGAAAATAATATACGAAAGATGTGCAACCTTGTTTCTAAAAGAAGTTAAAATGTAAACTGCCATGAGATTCCTTTTTATTTTTTAACTCTGTCAGGTTGGCAAAGATCACAAAAGGTAGATGATTGAAAGTCAGTAAACACAGTGGTTAAGATCACAGGTGCTGTGGCCGAATGCTCAGGTCTGAACCCCAGCCCGCGCTTCACTCTCTGGGACTTGACCTTCCCAGTGCCCCAGTCCTAATGCCCTAGTGGGGAGAGCAGTAAAATCCACCTCAGGTGGTTGTGAAGAGTTCTAAGACCATTCCAACACGTCTAGCTCCTGGATATTTGATAAATATTAGCTGTAGTTATTAATTCTCAAAGGTGTCTGAAACGGGCACTGTTGCCCAAACAGATGGGGCAGAAAGCTGAAAAGTGGCCTTGGGTTTGGAGGGATACTTGATTTCTTTTTTTTTTTTTTTTTTTAATTTTAATTTTTTTTTTTTTTGAGATAGAGTCTCGCTCTGTCGCCCAGGGTTGAGTGCAGTGGCATGATCTCAATTCACTGCAACCTCTACCTCCTGGGTTCAAGCAATTCTCGTTCCTCAGTCTCCTGAGTTGCTGAGATTACAGGTACGCGCCACCACACTCAGCTAATTTTTGTATTTTTAGTAGAGATGGGGTTTCACCATGTTGGCCAGGCTAGTCTCGAACTCCTGATTCACCCGCCTCGGCCTCCCAAAGTGCTGGGATTTCAGGCATGGGCCACTGTCCCCAGCCTTGCTTTCTTACAGTGCACCCTTTTGTATATTTTGAATTTTGAACCATGGGCATGGATTGCCCATGAAAGAAAAATAATACTTTAAGCAAACACAAAGAGTTTGGGGAGTCAGGAGTAGTAGGAGGTGCATTCAGCCAGGCTCAGGTGGCCCCGTAGGCTCACCCACAGGCAGGGCAGATGTTGGCAACATCGTGGGCTCCCACACTGGTCCGGACTTCCAGGTCAGCCAAAGAATGGGACTCAGGGCTGCTTGAAGGAAAGCGAGGGGCTAAGCTGAGGGGCTGTGACCTGTGGCCTCTCTCTGACTGCACAGGGGCCCTTGGAGTGCATTGTTTTGGGGAAAAAAAAATTCTGATGTACAATTAAGAATCAACTGTTTGTCCTTGAGACTTACTGTTAAAATGGGCCCTGGAAAATATATACTTATCTTATATGTGCTTCAAAAGGGCACACCCAGAAGCAGCTCTGAAAATGGAGATGGTCATGGTTGCACAACAGTGTGAATGTACCTCGTGCCACTAAACTCTAAAAATGACTAACATAGCAAACATTGTTATATACATTTTTCCCACAATAAAAATTAAATTAACAAAAATAAGAGATACGCCCCTACACTCTGCTACATATGTTAAGTGTTTTGTTCACAGAAAAGGTCTGGAGGGATATAGGCCATAGATCAGATAAGACATTCTGTATGGCTTTTATTTTCTTCTTTGTGTCTGTCTACTTGTGTCTACTTGTATTTTCTAATTTTCTCATAGTGCACATGTGTTGTTTTTAGATTTTTTTTTTTTTTTTGAGACAGGGTCTTACTCTGTTGCCCAGGCTGGAGTGCAGTGGCACCATCATAGTTCACCGCAGCCTCGACCTCCTGGGCTCTAGAGATCCTCCTACCTCAGACTCCCAAGTAGCTGGGATTACAGGAGCGAGCCACCATGCCTGGCCTGTTTATAGAAATTTTTGAAATTATTTTCAAAATTGGTTCTAAATTAATTTAGGTTTTAATACAGTGTGATGATAAATTATTTCATACTAAATTTGCAAATACGTTGGATCTTAATACTTCCAGATCCAAACATATCAGATGAAAAATATTATCCATTAGCTTGATGACTTGAAAGTTTATGTTAGCTGCAATAAGTTGTTTGAACGGACCATGTAATTTAGCAAAAATGTCAAGCCTCTGTTACTCTTCCTCGATATCTGTTTTACCAAAATGTGGCACCTGCCGCATTCTACACGGAGTCATTCCACTGAATTCAGTAACACGCCAGCCGCAATAGAGCCCGGACATCCAGGTCTGTTTGGTCCTTCCCGACTCGCTGAAGCTTGGGGCATTTCCTTATTTGATACATCTTCATTGTGAAATGAGACCCTCCAGGGAGCGCAACACCTTTTCTGCTGGGACGTGCTCAGGAAGGACAGCGCTCAGTGCTGTGTGCTCTTGTCCTCCCACAGCCACGCCTGGGCTTAGGCGCAGTGTCTTCTGCACCAACCCCAAATCCACTTCGTTCCCTCCCGCTCATGAAAGCACATTGAGAACAAGCGAGAGGCAGAGATTTTTAAAACATACCTCCTAATCCAAGTTTTTAAAGTAAATCATTTGTAAAATTCAGTGCTATAACTCTTAGCAAGAAATTGAGGGCACTGAAGCTGAGGGTCCAGAGCCCACGCTGTTCCTTAAATCAGGGGTCCCCAACCCCCAGTCCCTGGCCTGTTAGGAACCAGGCTGCACAGCAGGAGGTGAGGGGCAGTGAGGGAGCATTACCGCCTGAGCTCGCCTCCTGTCACGTCAGCAGCGGCAGTAGATTCTCATGGGAGCCCCGAACCTGTTGTGAACTGTGCATATGGAACATGTGGAATACTTTCATCCCAAAACCATCTGCCCCACCCCTGTCCATGGAAAAATTGCCTTCCATGAAACCAGTCCCCACTGCCATAAAGGTTGGGGACCACACCTTAGGTGATCAAGATGTGAGTATGTGGTTAAGCAAAATAAGCAATTGTGAACTTGAAGGGAAAGAGGAAGCAAGTGAGTGATTTTGACAAATAGAAGAATCATAATGAGGCCAGGCACGGTGGCTCATACCTGTAATCCCCACACTTTGGGAGGCCAAGGTGGGTGGATCACCTGAGATCAGGAGTTCAAGACCAGCCTGGCCAACATGGTGAAACCCTGTCTCTACTAAAAAATACAAAAATACTATTCAAGAAGGAGTTTTATAAAATAAACAAAAATGACCCGTATTTCTCAGTATGATTCTTTTTTTTTTTTGAGATGGAGTCTCACTCTGTCACCCAGGCTGGGGTGCAGTGACTATTCACAGGCTCTATCACAGAGCACTACAGCTTTGAACTCCTGGCCTCCAGCGATCCTCTCACCTCAGCCTCCTGAGTAGCTGGGATGCTCCACAATACCTGACTTAATCAATTTTTTGATCTTTGCATATCTTACAGGTGAAAAATGTATTGGTGACATTTAAGTTTTTGTTTCTTTATGAATGAAGAGGAGCATGTTTTATATTCTTACAGCCCTATGTATCACTTCCTGGGTGTTATCTGTTCACATCTTTTATTTTTTTAATTGAGATTTTAGTCATTTTTTTATTTATCTTAGGTAAACTTTTTATGTTAGGGAAATTAGCCCTTTGTGATATGAGTTGTGAAAATTTGTTTCCCGGTATTCCACATGTTATTTTGATGTTGCTTATTATCTTTTGGTCATGCAGATTTTTTAATGCAGTCAAATTTTTAATCTTTGTGTTTCTTCTTTTTGTTTAGTGTTGTTTTGCTTTTCATCATGCTTAGAAATACCTTTCCTAGTCAGAGATTATACTTTTAAAATTTTTCCCTTTATTTTTAAAATAGTTTTATGTTTTCATGTTTACATTCAATTTTTCATCTGATTGAAATTTATCCTAGCATAGGATAAGAGATATGGAACCAACTTTATTCTTTTCCAGATGGCTCCTCCTTTTCCTCTTATTGACTTGAAATGCCACCTTCATAATCTAGTAATTCTCAGATTTAGGAGCTATTGCTGGACTTACCTACTCTGTTCCATTGATTCGTCTACTATAATTATTATAATTTTATAAGAGACTTTAATATCTGATAGTTCTAGTCCATCACTATTGATTGGTTTTTTCCAGTTTGCTTCTCTAATTTTTAAAAATTTAACCTCTGGTTAGCATTATTTTAAAATATGTCTTTTCATATGTTCTATAATATTAATTATTCAGGTATAAACTTGAAATTTGACTGAGTTGGGAAAGGACTACTCCTTTTTTAAATCATTCATATTCACAGGTAAAATTACAGGCTAATTATTTCAAAAATATCAAGGACTTGACATGCATATAAAACTGGATTTTATACATGCAACTTTTTAAGGAACACTCTTTACATTTAGATTGAAACAATAGTAGTAATATAGCATCCCTCAAAATTTGTTTTACATACATATTGTTCATGTTCTAGTATAATTATATGTTCATTTAATTACTTGAAAGCTTTTGGCTGGACACAGTGTCTCACACCTGTAATCCTAGCACTTTGAGGGGCCAAGCTGAGAGGATCACTTGAGCCCAGGAGTTCAAAACCAGTCTGGTCAACATAATGAGACCACATCTCTACAAAAGAATAATTTAAAAATTAGCTGGGTATGGTGTCACATGCTCATAGTCCCAGCTACTGGGGAGTCTGAGGCGAGAGGATCACTTGAGCCCAGGAGTTCAAGGCTATAGTGAGTTGTGATTGTGCCATTGCACTCCAGCCCCAGGCAACAGAGCAAGACCCTGTCTCAAAAAATGAGTAAGTAAAAATAAATAAAGCTTTTGAGACTGTTTTTCCATTTTGATCTCATTTTCTTAATATTGCTGTAAAGCAGTATAAAAACTGCAATAATTGACTTCAAATGACTGTCTTATTTTAGGCCTAAGTACACCCTGTGATACTGCTCATTGTAAAATCTTGGGCAAGTCACTTCTGTGCTCCTCAGTTCCCTCATGTGTAAAATGAGGGGTGTTTAAAATTCCGCAATTCTAAGAACTAAGAACTAAGAGAGAAGGTCTTTCAATATATTGATTGCTGATATTCTCTCCAGGTCTCAGCTTCCATGTCTAGAAATAGACAGCCTTGTACTGAAATGATCTTGAATGTCTCTGGTGGCATTATTTTCTTTCTTTCTTTTTTTTTTTTTTTTTTTTGAGACAGAATATTGCCCTCTCACACAGGCTGGAGAGCAGTAGTGCAAATCTGTTCTCATAGCTGCCTCAGCCTCTCAGGCTCAAGCACTCCTCCTGCCTCAGCCTCCCAGGTGGCTGGGACTACAGTCATGAGCCACTACACCTGTCTAATTTTTTATTTTTTGTAAAGATGGAGCCTCGCTGTGTCACCTAAGCTGTTCTCAAACTCCTAGCCTTGAGCGATCCTTCCTCCTCGGCCTCCCAAAGTGCTGAGATGACACGCGTGAGCTGCTGCACGCAGCACTGGTGTTATTTTCAACATCCCAGCTCACATTGATGATCCTGATTCTGGATGAGCAACTGCCTGATGGGTGGGAAGTCAAGTGCTAGGAAGAATGTTTGCTTGATTGTTCTTTTTATTCTGTGTTTTCCCCTTACGTTAATAATTCTGTCTTCTGGGCAGTCTCTTTTAGCATCCTCTGAGTGGCCAGAATTACGTTTATCCAAACGAAAACATAGGAAAATTCCATTTTCCAAAAGAAAAATGGAATTATCTCAGCCAGAAGTTTCTGAAGATTTTGAAGAGGATGGCTTAGGTGTACTACCAGCTTTCACATCAAATTTGGAACGTGGAGGTGTGGAAAAGCTATTGGATTTAAGTTGGACAGAGTCATGTAAACCAACAGCAACTGAACCACTATTTAAGAAAGTCAGTCCATGGGAAACATCTACTTCTAGCTTTTTTCCTATTTTGGCTCCGGCCGTTGGTTCCTATCTTCCCCCGACTGCCCGCGCTCACAGTCCTGCTTCCTTGTCTTTTGCCTCATATCGTCAGGTAGCTAGTTTCGGTTCAGCTGCTCCTCCCAGACAGTTTGATGCATCTCAATTCAGCCAAGGCCCTGTGCCTGGCACTTGTGCTGACTGGATCCCACAGTCGGCGTCTTGTCCCACAGGACCTCCCCAGAACCCACCTTCTTCACCCTATTGTGGCATTGTTTTTTCAGGGAGCTCATTAAGCTCTGCACAGTCTGCTCCACTGCAACATCCTGGAGGCTTTACTACCAGGCCTTCTGCTGGCACCTTCCCTGAGCTGGATTCTCCCCAGCTTCATTTCTCTCTTCCTACAGACCCTGATCCCATCAGAGGTTTTGGGTCTTATCATCCCTCTGCTTCCTCTCCTTTTCATTTTCAACCTTCCGCAGCCTCTTTGACTGCCAACCTTAGGCTGCCAATGGCCTCTGCTTTACCTGAGGCTCTTTGCAGTCAGTCCCGGACTACCCCAGTAGATCTCTGTCTTCTAGAAGAATCAGTAGGCAGTCTCGAAGGAAGTCGATGTCCTGTCTTTGCTTTTCAAAGTTCTGACACAGAAAGTGATGAGCTATCAGAAGTACTTCAAGACAGCTGCTTTTTACAAATAAAATGTGATACAAAAGATGACAGTATCCTGTGCTTTCTGGAAGTAAAAGAAGAGGATGAAATAGTGTGCATACAACACTGGCAGGATGCTGTGCCTTGGACAGAACTCCTCAGTCTACAGACAGAGGTATGTGTCTTATTTCTCCTTAAATCTGTGGTTGGCTGGCTTCATAGTTTAGAACGGGGCTCCTCAAAGCAGCTGGTCAAGGAACCGTCTATCATCAGTCTGTAGTGAAGGAAGGGGTTGTACACTGGGTATAAATCATACTGCTTCCTTCATTGAGGAACTCTTGCTACAAAACAAAACAGACAGCTGAACAAAACAGTGTGCTTGATGCTGGCTGGTGTTTCTCTACAAACATTAGACCAGAACCTCATGCTGGTGAATGTTACTATTCCTCACATGAAAATGAACATCTCTGAACAGATGATGGGGTGAGATCTTAATTTCCTAGATTCTAGAACTAATGGATTGTAATCCACATAAATTTCCCACTGTGAAGTAGAGCACAAGCACTTGTACCTGTACTCTAAATATTTTCACATAGGTCATGGGAATACAGATATTATTCAACATGTATATTGTGTTAGAGCTTATCACTCCATTTGTTAAGCTGATAAACACCCTGTAGATTTGGCCCCATCGCTGGTACTAAGACCCAGTCCTGCATCTGTGATTACTTGTTTTGGTGTCAAGTAGTTTAGTGAAACGGAAAGGGCTTGATGTAGTATAAAAGTAAGCCTGAGTCCCAGCCCACTTTGTGATTTGGGGCAAGTCAGGTAACCTGTCTGAGCCTCAGCTTCCTCATCCATATAGTGGAGATAATGATAGTGTCTACTTCACAGAGTGGGTTTGAGATTTAAACAGGATAATCACAGCTGCCCAGTTTCCCTACTTGAGACAGTGCACCCAAAAGCCTGCCAGGAGCATACTGCAGATGGTCAAGAGTGTGGATCCCACGGCCACTCCTGGCTCTGCTGCTTGTTAGCTGTGAGACTTTAGACAAATTGCTTTACCTTTCTGTGCCTCCATGTTCTCATCTCCAGTGTGGGTGTGATAATAGTTGTTGGGGTGATCAGACCCAACACCAGGTCATGGGGGTGACAAAGTCCAGTGGAGTCAAAGGATTGAGAAAAAGACAGTTTGAGAGAGAAAGGTGGGACACCAGTATGCCATCACTATGGTGGAGGCTGCGAAGGCCCCGAGCTCTGGGAGCCCACGGTATTTATTGATAATCCAACAAAGAAACAGATGGTGAGAATGTGGAGGTCAAAAGGACACGTTGCATTAAGTACATGATTTACAGCTGCGATGGTTTAGCATTTATATGGAACATATTCTGCTACTTGAGATAATGGGAACAGGAGCCTAGGAAGGCTAGAAGCAAGGAGCCAGCAAGTCTAGACACATTCCAGAGGACGTTACGCAAGCCCTGCCTCAGTTTCCCTCCCAACACTCAGCTTTTTCCCAACAATAGTACTCCACAGGAAGTGGCTAAACATATCAAAGAACAGCACCTGGTACCACTTCTCTATGGGTTGGTACATATTATCACTGCGGTCATTTTTCAAGGTATTGCCATAGATTCTTCAACCTGTGCACCTGCCTAGGACCACACCCTGCTTTCTACTCCCTGTGTTGGTTTCCCTAGGGTCTTGATTCTGTCTCCGTTGAGGTTAATATCCCCAAGCTCAGGCTTAGCACATTCTCCTGTGCATGTGATGGGGCAGGCAGATGATGGGGGATGCAGGGAAGGTAGTTTTAAAGTGCATGTTTAATATAACAATTTTATGCTTAGAAAAAACTGTCATTTTCATGTTTCAGACTACATCAGGGTACATTTTTATGTTAAACCAAAGGAATCATGCTGGAGATCTACTGTACAATACAGGGCCTATGATTGACAATCCGATGTGGTATACTGAAGCATTTGCTAAGAGGTCTATCTTATGTTAAGTACTCTTTCCACAAAAGGGAACAAAACAAAGCAAAAGGGGTGGAAGGAAAGTTCTGGGAGTGGTGGCTAAGTTCATGGCATTGATAAGTGATGGTTTGATGGTTTCACAGGTGTATATTTAACTCCAAACACATCAAGTTGTATACGTTAAATGTTGGTGACTTTTTGTATGTCAATCATATTTCAATAAAGTGGGTTTTTTTTAAAGAGGGAATCATGCATGACATATACTTTAAAAGCTTGAGAAATACCGGTTCAATGCTCATTGCTAGTTGACAACCCAGTAGGGTGACTATCGTTAACAATACATTGTATATGTCAAAATAGCTAGAAGAAAATATTTGAAATGTTGCCGACACAAAGACATGATAAATGTTCAAGCTGATGGAGATCCTAAACACCCCGACCTGATTATTTACATTCTATGCATGTATCAAAATATCATGCGTATGTCAAAATACATACAAGTATTATGTATCAATAAAAAATGAAATAAAGCATTGCTAGAAGGAAAAAAGTACCATTTAAAAAAATCTCGGCCGGGTATGGTGGCTCACGCCTGTAATCCCAGCACTTTGGGAGGCCGAGGCGGGTGGATCATGAGGTCAGGAGATTGAGACCATTCTGGCTGACATGGTGAAACCCCGTCTCTACTAAAATAAAAATTAAAAAATCTCTACCCATGAGCCTCTTTCCACACTTTTTATAAGTGCCACCAGATATGTAGTGTTCATAGCATTTATGAGGTTCCAAACAATACTATGTCACTAGTGTATGAAGAACTTTATTTTACAGTAATAAAAATGTTAGAAATGCCTTAATTAACTGAAATAAATGGAAACATTTATCACATAACTTCTTTTTTCATTTAATTTGTTAAAGTTTTATTTTAGATGCAGAGGTACACGTACAGGTTTATTACATGGGCATACCGTGTGGTGCTGAGGTTTGGGCTTCTAATTGTCTTGTTGCCCAAGTAGTGAAAATATGTTTTTCAACCCTTGCCCCACTCCTTCCCCCACTACGTAACTTCTTATGTGATAAAATGTGAATAACATAACTTATTTTTGTTTCCTTAATTTTGTAGGATGGCTTCTGGAAACTTACACCAGAACTGGGACTTATATTAAATCTTAATACAAATGGTTTGCACAGCTTTCTTAAACAAAAAGGCATTCAATCTCTAGGTAAGGCACTATGTTTCCATTTATTAAGTCATTATTTTCATTCATTAATAAGCATGCTCCTAATTGTTGTAAACTGTTTTGTAAGCTAGTGTATTAATGTAATAATTATGAAAGTTATATTCGAATGGAATTATATTTAACCATTAAAGGAAATGGGAGATGGGTTTCTAGTCATATTTTTACCACTAATTAGGGTATTATCTGAGCAAATTTATTAGCATAAATAGCACCAAGTGCTGTAAAAAAAATCTCAGAAGCTTAACATGGTAATCAAAGATTACTTTTTTGTCCGTATCACAGTCAAGTATTGGTCAGGAAGAAAGTTCCACTTATGTGGTCATTTAGAGACCTTGACTCCTTCCATACTGTGGCTCCACCATCTTCAATATATGTCTTTAAAATTATCCTGGTAAGAGAGAAGAACAAAGATTACCCTGGCATCATCCCCCTGCTAGACAAGAGGAAGAATACTAGTCACATAGCCCCATCCATGTACGAAGGCCTGAGAAATGTACTGTTAAGCTGCGTGTCCAGGAGGAGAAAAGAGCTCTGATGAGCTCCTAGCCAGCCTCTGCCAGAGGCAGTTGTTCAACCTCTGGACCTGTTTCCTATCATGACAACAAGGGGATAGATGAGGAAGTCCTGAGCATCCTTGACCCAGCAAGTGGTTTGAAGGTCAAATGCTAGCCCTAGGACAGGAGCTGTTGTTTGTTTGTTTGTTTTGAGACAAGATCTGGCTCCCTTGCCCAGGCTGGAGTGCAGTGGTACTATCTCGGCTGACTGCAACTTCTACCTCCCAGGCTCAAGGGATCCTCCCACCTAAGCCTCCTGAGTAGCTGGGACTACAGGCACCTGCCACTATGCCTGACTAATTTTTGTATTTTTTGGTAGAGATGGGGTTTTGCCATGTTGTCCAGTGTGGTCTCGAACTTGTGAGCTCAAGCAATCTGCCCACCTTGGCCTCCCAAAGTGTTGGGATTACAGGCATGAGCCACCATGCTCAGCCTGGAGATTTTTTTTTTAAATAAAATACACATTATTAAACAACTAGCCAATATTCATGGATAGATAGAGCAGCAGCGTCTCACTGCCCCACCATCACCTCTAAAATGCCAGAGTTTTCATATTCCAGGCTGGGTGGGTGGGCAAATGCATAGCCTGTTTGACCTGCACTAGGCCAAAAAGGGGTGATGACAATTTACGTGAGGAGTGAGTGCTTGATCCTGGAATAATAGAAGAGCCTCTATCTGACTAACTCTCCTGCCAATAACAGTTATTAACTTTGAATAAAATATTTAAAACCATTCTTTGAAGGCCAGGAGAATAATCCAAAACAGGCAGAAGCTAGAGTGAACATAATCTTTGAAAGAAAGAAAGCCAACTAGGTGGGCTCCACACGTATCCAGCTTGTCACCTAAAGGCATTTCTCAGCTCATGAGACACAATGGGATGTTTGAACTAAAACAGAAAGTCTTAACGGGATGAGGACATGGGGTTGGAGTTTAAGGTTGCCAAAGTGGCTGGAAGTTAAGGATTAAAATCCTATAAAGGAGGGAACCACAGAGCAGGGAACTCTGAAATCTGCATCCAGATACCCCGCAGATCCTTGGCTGTCTCCTAACCTCTACATATACAGGTGCAACCTCAAGGAATCCAGAAAAAAGCAACAGCTGGGAAGCTACAGAGCTAAGCAGAGATTTCAGCTGCTGCCTAGTACTGGCCAGAGTTTAGAGTTCAAGTGGCACCAAATTAGAGAGACTTTATAAATATCTTTCCATTGAAACCATAAAAGGGTCATAAGGATCATATCTCATGATCAAGGACTATACCCCAGGACATAGGGATAAGCCAAAATAGACCCATCCTAATAAAGCCTAAAACAAAGCCTACACAGGACCTACCAGAACAAAACTGAACATTCTTTAGAGTAAGATAGCATAGCTGAGAGTCTCTACAAGGCGTCATTTTTAATGTTCAGTATGGAATGAAAATTTAATAACATACGAAGAAGCAGGACAATATGATCATGATCAAGGGGAAAATGGGCTATAAATGCTGACCCACAGATGACCCAGATGTTAGAATTAGCAGACACAGACTTTAAAACTGCTATTAAAAATATAGTGAAGGATTGACTTACCAGAAAAGGATGGAATGGGTGAATCGCAGAATCTCAGCAAATAGATGGAAACTATAAAGAAAAACCAAATTAAAATCCTAGAACTGGAAAATATAGTATCTGCAATGAAAAGGTCATTGAATGAGCTTAACAACAGAATGGACAGAACAGGAAAAAAATCATTTAATTCGATTGACAATGCACTCAATAAACTTACCTAAACTGAAATATAGAAAGAAAAAAAATAGAATGAAAAAAGAACAGAGGAGCCAAGACTGTGGAATGATATCAAAAGGTTTAACATTTGTGTAACCAGGGTTTCAGAAGGTGAAAGGTTAGATAGAAAAATATTTGAACATTTTTGTAAAATTGATCAAAGACAGCACCTTCCAGATCCAACAAACTCAGCAGAACTCCAAGCACTATAAATACAAAAATGACCACATTTAGATAGGCCAGAGTCAAACTGTTGAAAACCAAAGATAAGCCAGGCACAGTGGCTCACACCAGTAATGCCTGCACTTTGGGAGGCCAAAGGGGGCAGATCATTTGAGCTCAGGATTTCGAGACCAGCCTGGCCAACATGGTGAAACCCCATCTCTACAAAAATTAGCCAGGCATGGTGGCGTGTACCTGTGGTCCCAGCTACTTAGGAGGCTGAGGTGGGAGGATCACCTGAGCCCTGGGATGTTGAGGCTGCAGTGAGCAGTGATTGTGCCACTGCACTCCAGCCCAGGTGACAAAGTGAGATAAAAATTCAAGATAAATATATTGTCAAGTGAGGCTGGAGCTCATGGAAGAGGTCAGAATTGGAAAAGACTGGGAAAATTCTCAACGTTAGTAGTATTTAAAGCCTGGCTCTGGATGAGATCACCCAAAGAAAGAAGGTGGACTGAGCAGAGCAGGTGCTAGGACCAGCCTGCTGCACAGCAGGGTTTAGTGTTCAGACTGGACAAGAAACAGCAAAGACGCTGAGAAGGAGCGGCCTGAGAAACAAGAGGAAAACTGGAGAAAATTGAGTCACAGATGCAAGGGGATGGGATTTCACAGATGTGCCTTATCCATGGGCTTTTCCTGTGTTTCACTGTATTGCTCCCTATTATCTGTGTTATTTTTCTGTAAGCGTGTGCTTTTCTGCCTTCCTTCTTCGACGTAGAGTCTCAAGCTGTCTTTTTTCTCTGACTTGTTTTTATATCTCTGTACCCAACTTTGTCTTTTATCCTCTTCTTCATTTCTCTTTTATCATCCCCTCTCCTTCTGAATTTGTTTTTTAAATGACGCTGATACACATTAGGTATTTCATCAGTTTATTATTTATTATATTATTCTTGGAGTTGTATGTTGCTTATTATTAATATTGCTTAAAAATTAGTCTAACATTTTGTAAATAATACTCAAAAAATAAGCCACAAAAGAATCCAGCAAATTAAACTGCTTTTGTCTCCACTGATTTTCTTTTGTGGGACAATGGATTGGTTTTGTTATTTTGTTTTTAAAAATGTATTCAATTCCTTTTTCCTCTATTAAGAACATTATATTATTTAATAAAAGCCCACTTACGAGCAGTTTTGGCTACCTCAACGATGTAAAATTAATGGTGTATATGCAGATATGTACATACTATGCCAAGTCCTTTTGTCTTTACTCAAAAAAAGTAATTGTATATTCTTAATTATAAGACAAAGATTTGGGTTTTTCTTTTCTTCCCTAAAACCATTTTTTGGCTATGTGTTGTGGCTCTTGCCTATAATCTCAACACTTTGGGAAGCCAAAGTAGGAGGATCACTTGAGTCCAGGAGTTGGGGGCTACAGTGAGCTCTGATCACACCCACTGCACTCCAGCATGACAGAGTGAGCCCCTGTCTTCTCCAAAAAAAAAAAAAAAAAGAAGCTTGGATTTTTAAAATGAAAATGGGTTGTTAATTGAGTTCAACACATGTAAACATTCATTTTTCAATTTTGATATTTCATAATATAGTAAAATATCTTGGATACCTATAGGTACTAACCACTAGAAATAATTTGATACACCAGTGTAATTAGTCATATCTGTTGTTTATCTGTTGAATATTTAGGTTTACTCTTCTAAGCTATTTGTAACAGGAGCCTAAAAACTGGATTTCTTTTAGTGAACTTCATGGCTCTTTGGTTATTGAAGATGGCAAGTGAGGGGCACTCTGGATACAGTTCAGTTTCCTGACAATGATCAGGATAATATCATAGGCACACGGGTCTAACTGTCCTCATTTTTTATTTAAACAGCAAACCATTTAAGGACCTTGAAGAGTATTAGAGTTTCACGATCTGCTCATGTACTGTGATTTAACCGTATTATAATTCTTTTTTTTTTTTTTTTTTTTTTTTTTGAGACAGAGTCTCACTCTGTCGCCCAGGCTGGAGTGCAGTGGAGTGATCTCGGCTCACTGCAAGCTCCGCCTCCCGGGTTCACGCCGTTCTCCTGCCTCAGCCTCCCGAGTAGCTGGGACTACAGGTGCCTGCCACCCCCGGCTAATTTTTTGTATTTTTTTTTTTAGCAGAGATGGAGTTTCATTGTGTTAGCCAGATGGCGTATTGTAATTCTTTAATGAGAATTTTATAAACAGGCACAGTTTGAGATGCAGAGTTTCCAACAGACTTAACGGAGTTTTTTTCCTTTTAGGTGTAAAAGGAAGAGAATGTCTCCTGGACCTAATTGCCACAATGCTGGTACTACAGTTTATTCGCACCAGGTTGGAAAAAGAGGGAATAGTGTTCAAATCACTGATGAAAATGGATGACGCTTCTATTTCCAGGTGGCTTTAACTATAGTATTATGCAACTTATTTATATTTTCAACTATTTATTTAATAAACCTTAGAAACAGCTATAGGGAATTATCTTACATGTGTACACTATAAGTATGTAGCAAGAGAATTTGTTTGCAGGTGACAGCTTGCCCATAGTCTCCTGTGGCGGGCAGGGCTGATGTATTTGTGCCTTGGGCTGCACAGGAAATGGGCTCAAAGAGTTTCAGTGCAGCTCCCGCTGGAGGCTGGCGCTTCTGGGCTCTGGATGTGGTACTCTTCACTGCAGTCTGCTGATCCTGGGTGCCTCCAGAAGACCCACAATGTGACTGTTGGGCCCAGCCCTGTTCCCAACAATGGCAGGGCCTGGGACAAGAATACAATACAAGTATTTAAAGTTTATAACTTTGTAGTTTATAACAAGTGTTTAAAGGTTATAAATCAAACTAGCAAACTATTAGATTAAATGTGTTCTAATCTCCTCCCTTGGCAAATACAACTTCATAACCACCTGGAAGGCCAGGTTCAAATTCGGCCCTTGGTTGACCCCCAGCACCCTAAGAGGGTTTGCCTGCAAACGTGAATACCCCACCCCACCCATCAAAATGCCATCCAGACCCCATGCCAGTGCCCCCTCACACCAGCCACCTTGTAGCACCAGTGAGATGGCAACACTGTTCAAACTCAGGATGACAGACCAGGGAAGACCCTGGAAGTGGACTCAGGGCCATGTGGTCAGGGATGCTGGAGTTGCAGGGTCTAAAAAGGAGGATATGGGCTCTGGGGTGGGCATATTCTCTTGTCCCTACAGACCCCCCACCCCATGGCAAGAGGGTCAAGACCAGAGTAGGATCCCTCTGAGATATATAGATATAGATATAGATATAGATATAGATATAGATATACACACACACACACACACACACACACATGCACACATGCATACACATATACACATATACATACACATGTAATTGGCTTATGTTCTTTTAAAGGCAAGATAAGGGGAAAACTAATCAAACTAATAATATTATTGCTACGGGGATTTGATAGAGGGGACAAAGATAGAAGCTAGGTTTCTCCTAGTGTGCTTTGTTTTGCAGTTTTGACTTTGGAACTGTGTAAATATTTTACATAATAATGCATAAGATTGATATTTATTTATTTATTTATTGAGACAAAGTCTGGCTCTATCGCCCAGGCTGGAGTGCAGTGGTGCAATCTCAGCTCACTGCAACCTCCGCCTCCTGGGCTCAAGCCATCCTCCCACCTCAGCCTCCTGAGTAACTGGGACTACAGGTGTGCACCACCACGCCCTGCTAATTTTGGTATTTTTGTAAAGAAGGGGCTTTGCCATGTTACCCAGGCAGGTCTGGAACTCCTGAACTCAAGCAATCCTCCCGCGTCAGCCTCCTGAAGTGCTGGGATTACAGACATGAACCACTGTGCCCATCCTGGGAATTAATTTAAGGTGAATTTAAAACATAGTACTGGCCGGGCGCGGTGGCTCACGCCTGTAATCCCAGCACTTTGGGAGGCCGAGGTGGGCAGATCACGAGGTTGGGAGATCGAGACCATCTTGGCTAACATGGTGAAACCCTGTCTCTACTAAAAAAAATACAAAAAAAAAAAAAAATTCGCCAGGTGTGATGGCGGGTGCCTGTAGTCCCAGGTACTGGGGAGGCTGAGGCAGGAGAATGGCGTGAACCTGGGAGGCAGAGCTTGCAGTGAGTCAAGATCGTGCCACTGCACTCCAGCCTGGGTGACAGAGTGAGACTCCGTCTCAAAAAAAAAAAAAAAAGTACATAATTTGACTATATCTCTCTAGTGGGATAGTACCTAAGGATTAAAAAATATTACAAAGAAATCTCACTGGGAGTAGTCATGGTGTTAATAATACTTTTGATTTGTTATTTTGGAAGGTAGATATTAATATTGTTAGAAACTAATATGTATAAAATCAAAGAAGTTAAACAAAACCCCTTGATTTCTAAACTTGAATTAGATCAGAGAATAGAGGAACATGTTACTTGACACCATGGAAATGCAGTCAGCGAAGTCTGGAATGTGGGGAAATAAATGGCAAGAGAAAAATAAATGGCAATAGAAAAAAAAGGTTGAGGAGCAGAACCTGTAAATAAACCTTTAGAGACATATCAACCAAAAGCAAGGGTAGACCTTGTTTAGGTCCTGATACAAACAAAACCCACTGCATTTAAAAAAATGAGATAGGAAAAATTAAACACTACCTGGATATTTTATGATATTAAAGAAATATTGATAATTATTTTTTAAGTGTCATGATTAAGAAAAAGTTCTCAAACACAAAACAGGTGTTCAGGAAGTTCTGGGCTAGGCAAATTGGCTCATGCCTATAATCCAAGCACTTTAGGAGGCTGAGACGGGAGGGTCACTTGAGCCCACCAAGATCAAGCCCAGAAGTTTAAGACCAGCCTAGGTAACCAATGAGACTGCCATCTCTACAAAAAACTTTTTGTAATTACCCAGGCATTGCTGGGCACGGTGGCTCACACCTGTAATCCCAGCACTTTGGGAGGCCAAGGCAGGAGGATTGCATCCAGGAGTTCAAGACCAGCCTTGACCACATAGCAAGACCCTGTCTCCACAAAAAAATTTAAAATTACCCGAGTGTGGTAGTGTGTGACTACTCAGGAAGCTGAGGTCGGGGGGATTGCTTGAGCCCAGGAGGTTGAGGCTGCAGTGAGTTGTGATCGTGCCACTGCACTCCAGCCTGGGCAACAAAGCGAGACCCTGTCTGAAAAAAAAAGAAAATCATAATTTACTATATGTAATTTATACTTCCATTTTTTAAAAAGCAATACCTTCTCATTAGTTTGCCAAGAAAGATGAGAATTTATTTTGTTTTTCTATTTTGGGAGTTTTCTTTTTTTTTGTTTTGTTTTTATTTATTTATTTATTTTTTGAGGCCAGATCTCGTTCTGTCACCCAGGCTGGCGTGCAGTGGCACGATCTCGGCTCACTGCAACCTCCACCTCCCAGTTTCAAGCAATTCTCGTGCCTCAGCCTCCTGAGTAGCTGGAATTAGAGGTGTGCACAGCTAATTTTTATATTTGTGGTAGAGATGAGGTTTCGCCATGTTGGCCAGGCTGGTCTCGAACTCTGGCCTCAAGTGATCTGCCTGCATTGGCCTCTCAAAGTTCTGGGATTACAGGAGTGAGCCACTACACTAGCCTATTTTTTGTATTTTATTTTAAAATAAACCAGTGCCACTTGCCAAGAGGATTAATTAAATAAATATCAAAGAAAAAACACTTTGAACAGCTAGGAGGTGGGACTAAAAAATTAGTATTGACTTAATAGGCACATCCAAAGACGCATTTATTCTATTTAGATCATTGCCAATTATTAATATTATAGCTGTTAAAACAAGTATAAACTTTGAACCTGCTTTTGAACTGTAATATCATAAAGTAAAGATTTTCAAAATTGATCAAGTATATTCCAGCATATTGCTCTTACTCCATTACTGCTACTGTGCTAGCAAAATGGTTTGTTGGCACTTGAGTACATAAGACAAACAATTTTAGGCCAGACACGGTGACTCACAGCTGTAATTCCAGCACTTTGGGAGGTTGAGGCGGACAGATCACAAGGTTAAGAGATTGAGACCATCCTGGCCAAGATGGTGAAACCCCGTCTCTACTAAAAATACAAAAACTAGCTGGGTGTGGTGGCACGTGTCTGTAATCCCAGCTACACAGGAGGCTGAGGCAGGAGAATCACTTGAACCAAGGAGTCAGAGGTTGCAGTGAACCGAGATCGTGTCCCTGCACTCCAGCCTGGCGACACAGTGAGACTCCATCTAAAAAAAAAAATTAAATATTTTTTATTTCCTGTTTATTGCATATTTGAAACTTTGTTCTATATTTTCTATTTCAGGATGTACATAACATTGATGCAAGAGCACATTATATGGGGGTGTAGGCACAAGATTTTCTTGCTAGCGGAATGTGAACCAAAAAGTGTAGAGGCCAATCAGTAAAAATATTCAAAGCCAGTTTTGTTGTTTTCAGCAGTTAGTAACTATCAGTAGATGAATATTTACTAGGAAACATTGGTCTTTTAACCACTTTGGGCATGCTTCTTATTTAGTATGTTCATCATGATTTAGTATCATGACATTCAGCGAACATTTATTGAGTGCCTACTGTGCACTAGGGACTAGTAAGCATGTTAAGTTTGTAAGCTTTGTTGATTTCCACCACAAACCCATAGGACCTCAGGTTATTCTCATAATTGAGGAAACTGAGATTCCCAGTGTTGAATGAAAGCCACACAGTATCACATGGCCAATATCATGTGATTGCAGAGTCAGGACTCAAACCCAGCTCTTAACCACCACGCTATACTGACGGCCCTTTCCCAGTTCACAGGGAAAATTCAGGAACAGGGAGAGAATTTTCAAAATATTAAGTTTCCCCATAGAATTTTCTGAAGAACTTTGGTATATGTTGCCCCTTGTTCACTAACAAGTTCTAGCAGATGACAGAACAAATGAGGAAGTAGCTAATTAATATTAATGAACAACCTCAGAATTTTTCTGAGTGTTGAATAGACTTGAATATTCAACAGTCTCAAATATTTGACACCATTTAGTGGACACAGACTTGACTCGATATGCTTATTCTACCAAGTTGTTCCTGGTTTACGTGACACAACTGAATGTATGCCAGTTTCATGGGGGACTCTCAGATATTCTGAAGGTACCTAATCAAGTCAGTACAGTGGGAAGGAGAGAGAAACAGAAGCCTCATTTGTGAAATAGTACTTGAGTTTGTGCGTGAAGAATGGATAGGATTTAGACTGAGAAGCGTGGAAAGGGGACAACCATAAACAACTGTAGAGCGGCTGGAACGTGAGCTGTGCTGCAGGCAGCAGGGATGCCTGGAGGCACGTGGAAGCCAGGAGGTGGCGGGCACAGGGCACTTGACAATGCAGTGCATAAGCTCAAGGTCAGACGGGCAGAAGAACTTCCGTAAGATGCCAAGGAAAACTGCTTTTATTAAATATCTTAATTTTTGGCAGAATCATTTTGTCTGATATAATGTGATGGGTTTAGTACCACATTACATTTCACATGTTATATTCTGAAATCTGAAACTTTTTTTTTTAATCTAGGAATATTCCCTGGGCTTTTGAGGCAATAAAGCAAGCAAGTGAATGGGTAAGAAGAACTGAAGGACAGTACCCATCTATCTGCCCACGGCTTGAACTGGGGAACGACTGGGACTCTGCCACCAAGCAGTTGCTGGGACTCCAGCCCATAAGCACTGTGTCCCCTCTTCATAGAGTCCTCCATTACAGTCAAGGCTAAGTCAAATGAAACTGAATTTTAAACTTTTTGCATGCTTCTATGTAGAAAATAATCAAATGATAATAGATACTTATAATGAAACTTCATTAAGGTTTCATTCAGTGTAGCAATTACTGTCTTTAAAAATTAAGTGGAAGAAGAATTACTTTAATCAACTAACAAGCAATAATAAAATGAAACTTAAAATATTTCAGTTTTCTGTGTCTCATTTTTTTTGTTGATTTTTTTATGTATTTTTTTTTTTTTTTTTTTTTTTTGAGACAAAGTTTTGCTCTTGTTGCCCAGACTGGAGTGCAATGACGTGATCTCAGCTCACTGCAACCTCTGCCTCCTTGGTGCAAGCAATTCTCCTGCCTCAGCCTCCCGAGTAACTAGGATTATAGGCACCTGCCACCATGCCCTGCTAATTTTTTATATTTTTAGTAGAGATGGGATTTCACCAGGTTGCCCAGGCTGGTCTCGAACTCCTGACCTCAGGTGTTCCACCCGCCTCGGCCTCCCAAATTGCTGGGATTACAGGTGTGAGCCACTGTGCCCGGCCTGTTGTTGTTGTTTTAGAGATGGTCTCAATCTGTCTCCCAGGCTGGAGTGTGGTGGTGCGATCATACCTCACTGCAGCCTCAAACTCCTGGGCTCAAGGGATAGTCCTGCCTCAGCCTCCCAATTAATTGAGACTACAGGCATGTGCCACCACACCCAGCTAATTTTGGGGTGTACTTTTTGTAGAGATGGGGTCTTGCTCTGCTGCCTAGGCTTGTCTTGAATTTCTGACCTCAAGCGATCCTCCCACCTCAGCCTCTGAATGTGTTGGGATTACAGGCATAAGCCTCTGCACCCAGCCGGTGTTTCAGAGTTTTAAGGTGATGAGAGATGCTTCTGGATAGTCCTGGGAGCCTGTGTCCTTCTCACATTCAGGAGTCCAGTGGAAAGCTGGCTCAGCTGGACTGAGCAATCTGAGAAGAAACATGATCTTTTGTAGGGGATCTGTCAGGGTGGTGGGAGAAATTATAAAAATTAAGTTGTAGGAAACAGACACAAAACTTCTTGGAAGGCCAGGAGGTTTGCATAGCTTCAGTAAAAGATTTGGCTGAAGGCAGCTGAATTCTCTTAAAAGCTCAGGGCGTAGATACATAGGAATGTAGAGGAGTTTATCTAAATGGCTTGTTTACTCATGTGGTCCTAAGATCAACCTTTGATAATCTGCAGGCACGTGACTGCCGTCTACTTGGGAGGTCAGCAATGTTAATTACCCTCTAGTGGTGTTTACTTAAGACCTTTGTCCTTAAATCTGTACTGAATAAATGCCTGGAGCCCCAGCCTGTCAGGGCCACAGCTGCTGACTCTTTACAGCACCCTCCTCAGTGTCTGGGAGCTGCCGGTCCCCTAGCCTGCTGTTTCATGGGATACCTGTGTCTGAGTGCATTTCTTCATCCGTCACACGGCCAGGGTATGGAGGTTGGACCCAGCAAGTTACTGACACAGTTTGAAAATTACACAGGATTGGTCGTTGAGTTGGATATTTTAGTCAACATTTATTAAGCCCGTGCCTCAGCAGTAGTTGACTTTTGTCTAAAGGGAAAGAAAGAAATTCTAGTTTTCCCAAACGTCCAAGGCTCCATCCAAAACATGCTGAATCAAGATTTCCAGAAGAAAATCCTGGCAACTTGGATATTTAATAGGTGTTCCAGGTTATCAAGCATATTTGAACACAGTGGCCCAGGTGCTGTATCTCAAAGTGTGAGTCTGTGGACTGGCATTGTCTCCCTCACTCAGGAGCTCATCAAGACAGGCAGAATCTCTGGTCCTGTTCGAGGCTATTGAATCAGAAGCTGCATTTTATTTAGCAAGGCCCCCAGGCGACTCCTGTGCACATTTATAGTTGAAGGGCTAGTGGACTGTGGTGACAGGAACATATTTGGTGCGTGCAGGGCCTTGTTCTAAGAACCCATGATGCTTGGGCACAGTGGAGCATCTCATCAGTCCAATTGTTGGGCGAAAAGCTGAGGCAACACTTGCTAGTCTGACATAATATAAAGAGTCTTGGAACATGTCCTGGGTCCAGAGTTTGAAACCTCTTGTGGCCTATGGAACACCAAGCTCTGTACTTAAGAGTGGAAGGCTGCCCTGCCGCACTACAACCTAAGCCCAGGGCATAAAACCCCTCGTGGCTTGGATGGAATCCAGGGCTCAGGGCATAAAACCCTTCGTGGCCTCTGGAATGTGTCCAGACTTGCTGGCTCCTTGCTTCTTGCTCTCCCAGGATCATAAATTGATTGTATCTTCAAAACAAATAACCCCATTAAAAATGGGCAAAAGATATAAACGTACACATCTCAAAAGAAGACATACCAGTGGCCAACAAACATATGAAAACATAGAACTACCATTTGACATTGCAATCCCATTACTGGGTATACATCCAAAGGAAAGTAAGTTCTACCAAAAGGACACATGCACTGTATGCTCTTCTCAGCACCATTGACAATAGGAAAGACATAGAATCAACCTAGGTGCCCATCAATGGTGGACTGGATAAAGAAAATGTGGTACATATACACCATGGAATACTACACACTCATAAAAAAATTAAAATCACGGCTGGGCGCAGTGGCTCACGCCTATAATCCCAGCACTTTGGGAGGCGGAGGCGGGTGGGTCACCTGAGGTCAGGAGTTCAAGAGCAGCCTGGCCAACATAGTGAAACTCCATCTCTACTAAAAATACAAAAATTACCCAGGCATGGTGGCAAGCACTTGTAATCCCAGCTACTTGGGAGGCTGAGGCAGGAGAATCGCTTGAACCTGGGAGGTGGAGTTTGCACTGAGCCAAGATCATGCCATTGCACTCCAGCCTGGGCAACAAGAGTGAAACTCCATCTCAAAAAAAAGAAAAAAGAAAAGAAATTATGTCCTTTGCAGTATCATGGATGCAGCTGGAAGTCATTATCCTGAGAAAATTAATGCAGAAACAAAAAACCAAATACCATATGCTCTCACTCATAAGTGAAAGCTAAACAATGGGTGCTCATGGATATCAAGGTGGCAATAATGGACCCTGGGGAGTTCTAGAGGGGGCACAGCAGAAAAGGGCACAGGTTGAAAAACTAACTATTGGGTCCTGTGCTCAGTACATGGGTGATGCGATCACTCACACCCCAAACCTCAGCATCACACAATATTACCAATAAACCTGCATATGTACTTCCAAATCTAAAAGTTAAATTATACCAAAAATCTAAGCTCAAAAAGAATAAAAGTCTTTTGCCCATTAAAAAACATAATAAAAGAATACGAATCATCCTATATCAGAAATCTATGTTAATGCAATTTATCATATTCATCAATTAAAGAAGACACACCTTACAATTATCTCAATTAGTGTAGGAAAAAGCATTCACTAAAATTCAGCCTGCACCTGTGACTTTAAAAATTAACAACAACTAGGAAACTTCCTTAACTCAACAAAGAGAATCTACCCAAATACCTACCAGGAACATCATATTAATGACATAATATTGACAGCATTTTCTTCAAAGCCTGGAATTAAACAAAAATGTCCTCTCTTCTTTGCTTCCATTTAACAATATACTACAGAGCCTAAACAGTGTAGAAAGTCAGTATAGTAAGTAAGTCTACAGAATAGCTCCTTAATCTAATGAGAGAGTTTAGGAAGATTTCTAGATGCAGGCTCAACATAAACAAAAAATAATAGCTAAGTCAAGGATGCGGTTGAAATCTTTACAGTAATTACTAAAAACAGAAAATGAGTATATGACTTTGAAGGTAATGATAGAGGGTGAGAAGGAAAGAATTACATTATTAAAATTCAATCAAACAAAAGTAGAACATCAGTAGGAATATAGAAGGGTTAAATAAAATAATTAACAAATAGATGTACATAGAACACTGTTCTCAACAATGCATAATACATGTTCTTTTCAAATGTACAGAAAACATTTGACAGTATTGACCATATTCTGGGCCGTAAAGCAAGTCTAAACAAATTTCAAAGAACTAAAAGAAAAAAATACATAGTATGTTCTGTGTCCACAACACAATATAATCAGAAATCAAAAATTTAAAAACAAAATTCTCATATGTTTGGAAATAAGGAAGTATACTTCTACATAACTCATGGGTCAAAAAAAAAAAAACAAGCACAGTCAAAATTGGAAAATAGTTTGAACTAAGTAAAATAAAAACAATACAAATAAAAATTTATGGAATGAAGCTAAAGCAATTCTTAGAGGAAAACTTGTAGCCTTAAATGGTAAATAGAAAAGAGAGTGGTTGACACTCTAAGAATTATCCATGTCAAGAAGTCAGGAAAAGAACAAATTAACCCAAGGACTACAGAAGAAAATACTAAATATCATAGTAATTGATGAAATAAAAAATAGAGACCACCAGTAAGGCCAAAAATTTGGTACTTTTAAAAGACTAGTAAAATTGATAAATCCCTGGTGAGACTAATCAAAAGAAAAAAGGGGAGAAGGCACCAAGAAAGCAATGTCAGGAATAAAAAAGGGAACACCTCTGTAGACATTAAAATGGTAAAATGATATTGTGAACAATTTGATGTCAAGACATTTGCAAAGTTAGATTAAATGGACAAATGCTGGGAAAACTATAATCTACCAAAATTGGCAAAAGAAATAAAATTATAAAAACATTCTATATATGGAATTGAGCCATAATTTAAAGACTTCTCTCCAGAGAAAACTCTAGGCCAATGTGCGTTCACTGGTGAATTTCACTTTACACTTAAGAAGGAAAAAAATCAGCATGCATAAATTTACCCAGAGAAGAAAAATAGAGAAAATGAAATGTAACTCATTTTATGAAGCCAAAATTTGAAAAAACTGTGAGAAAGGAAAATTATAACCACTCTCCCAGATGACATGAATTTGAAAATCCTAAACAAAATATTAACAAACAGAATCTGGCAATTTAATAATAAAATTATTTAATAATTATTTAACAAAATAATAAAGCACAACTAAATTACATTTATTCCAGGAATATGTTGGTTTACCACTTAATCAATGTAATTAACCACATCATCTCAAAGATTCAGAAAAATCTTTAAAAATTCAACATCCACTCATGATTTAAAAAAAAAAAAACTCTTAGCAAACTAATTTCTTTTTTCTTTTTGTTTGTTTTGTTTTTTGAGACAGAGTTTCACTCTGTCATCCACGCTGGAGAGCACTGTGCAATCTTGGCTCACTGCAACCTCTGCCTCCTGGGTTCAAGTGAATCTCATGCCTCAGCTGGAGTAGCTGGGATTACAGGCATGTGCCACCACACCTGGCAAATTTTTGTATTTTTTAGTAGAGACAGGGTTTCACCATGTTGCCCAGGCTGGTCTCGAACTCCTGGCCTCAAGTGATCTGCCCATCCTGGGCCTCTGAAAGTACTGGGATTACAGGTGTAAGCCATGGTGCCCAGCCAAGAAATTTCTTAATCTGATAAATGGTAGCTCACACACACACACACACACACACACACACACACACACTCGTAAAGCAATTGGGGAGATGTTGAAAGCCTTTCCCTGGAGAATGGAACTATATGTTGATGGCTGCTATTGCCACTTCTAATTCTACACTGTACTGAAGGTTCTAGCCAGTGCTAGGGGAGAGAAATGACTGAAATGGAAAAAATACAATTTACTATTTTTATATGATGTAATCATGTACCATAAAATCCAAAAGAATCTATAGATAAATTAGTAGAACTAATAAGTGAGTTTAGGCTGGGCATGGTGGCTCAGGCCTGCAGTCCTAGCACTTTGGGAGGCAGAGGCTGAGGCTGGCAGATCACTTGAGCCCAGGAGTTTGAGACCAACCTGGGCAACATAGCGAAACCCAATCTGTACAAAAAAATAAAAAAAATCACCTGGGCATGGTGGCACCTGCCTGCAGTCCTAGCTACTCAAGAGGCTGATATAGGAGGATCACCTGAGCCCAGGGAGGTTGAGGCTGTAGTGAGCTGTGATCATGCCACTGCACTCCAGCCTGGGTGACAGAAAGAGACCCTACCTCAAAAAAAAAAAAATGAGTTTAGGAAAGTTGCTAATTGCAAGATTAATAAATAAAATGAGCTGTATTTAAAACAACAAAAAACATTTAGAAAATATTTTTAAAGGGATATCATTTAAATAACCATAAAATATCAAATATCTAGGAATAAATCTCACCAAAAATATGCAAGCTTTCTATACAGAAAACGAGAAAGCATTGTAAAGAGAAACTGAAGAGGACCTAACTAAATGAGAGAATACCTCTGTTCATGGGTGGGATGAGTCAATGTTGTAAAGATTCAATTCTCCCCAGTCTATAAATTCAATGCAATTCCAAACAAATTTCTATCCGGTGTGTGTAATTTGACTAGTTGATTTCCAAATTTATATGGAAAAGTAGGTGACCTAAAACACCCAAACAATTGTGAAGAAAAAGAAAAAGATGATTATACTCACATGACTGGAAATGAGGACGTATTAGAAAGCAACAGTAAAATAGTTGTGCTATTGGCACAAAGATGAAAAATCAATGAACAGAATAGAAAGGTCAGAAACAGATTCATGTTCTTCAGGGTAGTAAAGAAATGAAAATCTTCTCAACCAGTGTGCTGGAATGACTGGATAGCCATACATGGAAAAAGATGAAACCTGATGCCTTCCTCACATCGCACACATAAATCAATTTTAAAAGGAATGAACCTTCTAGAAGAAAATATAGTAGTAAAATGTCCTTTAAACTCAAGGAGAATTGTCTTAATCAGGACACAAAAATACAAACTTTATAAAGGGAAAGCATGATACCTATGATGGTAAGACAACTAAGAACTTCTGTTAACCAGAAGATACTCCTGAGAGAGAGAAAAGGCAAATCACAGAGCAGAAAAGCTTTCTTGAAATACATTTATGACCAATAACAAAACTGAAATCAGAATACATAAAGAACTCCTACAATCAGGAGAAAAAAGATGAATAATCCAGGAGAAAAATGGTTAAGAAAATTAAAAAGTTACTTTACATAAAGGATATCCAAATACTTAATAATCTTAAGAAAACTTCCTCAATCTTATTCGTAATTATAGAAATGCAAATGATCACCACCATAAGATGCCATCACACAAACACCCAAAGGCTAAAAATAAAAATACTCAGAACTGCAAATATTGGGGAAGATATGGAATGCTTGAAGTGTACAATACCAGTGGAGTAAAAATTGGTACAACTGTTTTAGAAAACAGGTGACATTATCAAGTAAAGTTCAAGATTCATTACCCTAAGACAGAACAATTTTAGTCTGAGGTATACACTCAACAAAAATGTGGCCACAGGTGCAACAAGAAACGTGTATTTTTAAAAGCAGTATTATTGGGCTGCGCCGGGTGGCTCATGCCTGTAATCCCAGCACTATGGGAGGCAGAGGCAGGCGCATCACTTGAGGTCAGGAGTTCGAGACCAGCCTGGACTACATGGCAAAACCTCATCTCTACTAAAAATACAAAATTAGCTGGGTGTGGTGGTGGACGCCTGTAATCCCAGCTACTCAGGAGGCTCAGGCATGAGAATTGCTTGAACCCAGGAGGCAGAGGTTGCAATGAACTGAGATGGTGCCACTGCACTCCAGCCTGGGTGACAAAGGGACACTTTATCTCAAAAAAAAAAAAAAAGCAGCATTATTTCTCACAGTAAAAATTGGAAACAACTCAAATGTAATAGAAAAAAAGAGATTCCATTTTCAGTCACAATTTGTGTAGGAATGAATTTTTGAAAAGATGTGCAAAGACATGATAAAAAAGTATAAAATATTATTAAAGAATGAACAAGATGGTTCACATGTACAACTCAATATCGCAAAGTTGTCAGTTCTCTCAAGTTAATCTATAAATTCAATGTAGTTCCAATAAAAATCCTACAAGTGTTTTATTATGGCACTTCACAAAATGATTTTAAAATTGAATGTCATAATAAAGTTCCAAGAAGAGCAAGACAATTCTGCCTTTATCAAACTATATTATAAAGCTACAATAATTACAAAAGTGTGGTAGAGAGAACTTAGAAACAGTTTTGAATATTTATAGGAACTTGGTATATTACTGAGAGGGACTACAAATTAATGGAGAACAAATTAGCATGCAATTGATGGTGTTAGGACAATTGGCTATCCATATGAAAAAAAATACTTCCCCCCCAACTTCCAGTTAGATTAAAGACCCAAATACTAAAAATGGAACTTGAATATTTTTTAAGAAATGTGGAATATCTTTACTACATCAGTATAAGGGTGAATTTCATAAACATGACAGAAAAGCATGAAATACATACACACACATAGATGAACAAATTTTACTACATTCAAAATTACAAACTTCTCTCCAGACATGAAGGCTCATGCCTGTAATCCCAGCACTTTGGGAAGCCGAGGTTGGTGGATCACTTGAGTACTTGAGTCCAGGAGTTCGAGACCAGTCTGGGAAACACAGTGAGACCCTGTCTCTATAAAAAATACAAAAATTAGCCAGGCATGGTGACGCTCGCCTGTAGTCCCACTTACTCAGAGGGGCTGAGATGGGAGGATCGCTTGAGCCCTGGGAGGTTCAGGCTGCAATGAGCCGAGATCGTGCCACTGCACTCCAGCCTGAGTGACAGAGCGAGATCATGTCTCAAAACAAAACAAAAATTTACAAACTTTTGTACAACAAAATAAATCACAATCAAATTTAAAAGGCAACATGTGGGGAGAATATAATTGCAATACTAAGAAAAATTGACATTCAGATTCTTTAAAGAACTCCTATAAATCAATATAAAATATTTTTACCATCATGATAACCTGCAGGCAGCAACCAACCAGAAGACAGCAAGACTAATATGAATGAACACATAAAAAAGAGGCTGCTCTGGTACATACCAGCTGAATATTAGCCCTCTAAACAACCTTTAACAAAATCATCAAAATATTATGTGAACACAGAATAATGTAAACCCCCTCTCAGCAAAAAAGAAAAAAATCAAATTTGAAATGAATGTTTTCCTTCAAGCAAGGAATTAGCATTAGTTAATAGAAAACTGATGCTAACTTCTTGAATAATAACATTTTAGGTTGGGCAATGTGAAATGGCCATTTTTAAAGCAAAAGATGGTTAAAAACTGGCAATTTCAAAGGATTCAACCTCTATATTCTTAATTTAACTATGGTATTGTAAATTGCCAGTTTATACACAATATTCCAACCTGTAGAGCTAAACACAGAACCTGTATATTAACTAATATACAGCTAAACACAGAACCTGTGTATTAACTAATGGACTTGAAACTAGTCAATAAGACTAAAACTTGATTTTACTGAATTATGTAAGTCAGTTTACAGTGCTATGTTTTCCTGGAATTTGATATAAAAATTGATTTAGAGCCCACTAAAAATGTAATTATTTGTGTTTGTCAAAATTTGTGAAATATGCTTAGATGATTATTTAAAGCCTAAACCTGAATGAGAGAAAACCTAATTGAACTTAAATTGGTTGGATTTACAATGGCTTTTTCCCCCATTTTAACCCCACCAATGTCAACTTCTTTGTATCATTACACTACAAAAATTCCAGTATAATTTTTGAAATAGCATCTCTGTTGGCTCACTTAATCTAAAAGGTTCTCACAAAGTTTAAGAACAACCTTAAATATTACTGGAACAAAAACAGACATCTAGACCAATGGAACAGAATAGAAAGCCCAGAATAAGTCCATGCATTTATACTCAGCTGAGTACAAAGGTGCCAAGAATCCAAGATGGGGAAAGGACAGTCTCTTCAATAAACAGTACTGGGGAAACTGAATATCCACTTGCGGAAGAATGAAATTGCAACCTATCTCACCCAATATACAAAAGTCTACTCAAAGTAAACGCTTAACTGTGAAAGCTGAAATAGGAAAACTACTAGAAGAAAACATAGGTGAAAATCTTCTTGACATTGGTCTGGGCCAAGGTATTTTTGGATATGACTGAAAAGCATAGGCAACAAAAGAAAAAGCAGACAAATGATACTTTATCAAACTAAAACACTTTTGCACAGCAAAGGAAACATTTATAGAGTGAGGAGACAACCTACAGAATGGGAGAAAATATCTACAAAGCATACATTCAACAATAGGTTAATAGATTATTTTTAAAAAGGAAATCAAACAACACAATAGCAAGAGAACAAGTTACTTCTCTGGAAAATGGGCCAAGAACCTGAAAAGATATTTCCCAACAGAAGACATACAAATGGCCAAGAGGTATATGAGAAAATGCTAAACTTCGTTAATCATCAGGGAAAAGCAAATTAAAACCACAAAGAGATATCCTCACACCTGTTAGGATGGTCACTAACAAAAAGACAAGAGAAGAGTTGGTGAGGATGAAGAGAAAAGGGATCCCCCTTGTACACTGTTGGTGTGAATGTAAATTAGTAGTTATTGTGGAAAACAGCACTGAGATTCCTCAAAAAACCAAAAATAGAACTACCATATGATTTGGAGAGTCCACTTCTGGGTATATATCCAAAGGAAATGAAATCTGCACTCCCGTGTTCACTGCAGCATTATTCATAATACCCAAGCTATGGAGTCAATCTAAATGTCATCAGTGGATGAATGGATAAAGAATATGTGCTATCTATAAATAAAGGCATACAATTCAGCCTTAGAGGATATCCTGTCACGTGATAATATGGATGAACCTGGAGAATATTATGCTAAGTGAAATAAGCCAGGCATAGAAAGAAAAATACTGCATGACTCACTTATTTGTGGAATTTTAAAAAATCATATTCATAGAAGCAGAGAGTAGAATGGTGGTTACCGGGGGCTGGGGGGACTGTGGAGATGTTGGTTTTTACTTTATTATTTTTTTAGATGGAGTTTTGTTCTTGTTGCTCAGGCTGGAGTGCAATGGTGCGATCTCGGCTCACTGCAACCTCTGCCTCCCAGGTTCAAGCGATTCCTCTGCCTCAGCCTCCTGAGTAGCTGGGATAACAGGTGCATGCCACCACACCCGGCTAATTTTTTGTATTTTTAGTAGAGATAGGACCTCACCATGCTGGCCAGGCTGGTCTCAAACTACTGACCTCAGGTGATCCACCTGCCTCTGCCTCCCAAAGTGCTGGGATTACAGGTGTGAGCCACTGCGCTCAGGCTGAGATGTTGGTTAAAGGATGCAAAATTTCAGTTAGACAGGAAGAATAAGTTCAGGAAATTTATTGTACAACATAGTGACCATAGTTAATGTATACTTGAAAATTGCTGAGACAGTAGATTTTAAATGTTCTAACCACAAAAAAGTATGTGGAGTAATGCATACGTTAATTAGCTTGATATAGCCATTTCACAGTGTTTATGTATATCAAAACATCATATTGTACACCATAAATATATTTTTATGTGTTAATTTTAAAATAAAAAATCAGCCTTAAATAAAATAAAAGTACTCTGACATTCTAAAATTAAAGACTGTTTGTATTTTGAGAGATATAAACTGGCAAACCAAAAATAAAGAAAGCCAAATACTAGGAAAACAAGGGAAAATATGCTCAACCTTCCTTAGTTCTTTTTTCCTACTTTCTTCCCTTCCTTATCCTCTCCCTATCTCCCACCCTTCCTCCTCTCCTCTTTCCTTTCTCCTTCCCTTCTTTCCACCTTGGAGCTAATATTTTAAAATGATAACAGTTATTAATACGTATTAATAGCAATACGTATCTTGTTCTTGTACTTTATATTTACATGTATTTAGAAAGGGAGAAATGAAAAGGAAAATGTTATTACCTTTGCCTCCTTTACAGTGAATCGCTACGATGTTTTCAAGATCTTGAGCCATCCACTCATTTACTTCCTTGGTGAAAACCACCATCTCACTGATTTCAAGTTTAAGATTTTTAGTTAAAATATCTTCAAAAAATCAAGCCCAATATATTTAGCCCTCTTCTGATAGCCAGCTTAGCATAAAACTTACTGTAGAGTGGGGACATTATGATCATCAATCATGAGTCTACCAACGCTATTATGGAAGTGCTTAGGATCATAAGCTCTTTCACCTAAAATAAATAATATGTATGTCCTATCTCTACAGGGAATAACATGATAAATGATGAAGTTACGAATAAGTTAACATATCTTATTAGAATTCCTCATCTATCTTCAAAAAGAGCTTTCCAAGTTGCTCCTGCTCTCTAAAGTAAATGCAAGGTCTCAAAAACATAAAGATGGTAGTGGTTTATCCATCTCATGTAATCTAACCTCAACTTATTTTTGTTTAATAGGTATAATTTTTAACTTTCTAGCAGACTATTCATTATATTATTGCAGGGTAGTTAGAAACCACACAAGAGGCAAATGTAGCTGACCAAAATCATTGCCCCCTGAAAATGTCTACTGAGTATACAGGTAGAGGTAAAAATCAAGAGAGACAGAGTATTAAGCTGGGTAACAACCTATTTTCTACAGAGTTTTTTGCCTTTTTCCCATCTAGAGCCCTGCTCTCATCACATGCCACTGCTGATGGGTCAGAAGACTCATTTGTTAAATTGTCTATGTCCTCATAACACAATCTGGCAGGAAAAACAGAAAGATTTTCCTAAACCTAATATGGGTAGAACAGATCTTCCCTAAAATGGTTTGCTTCCACCCCAGCATCACTGGTACTGCCAAAGCCACATCCTTCATACGGTACTTTGTGCTGCTGGGCTAACTCTTTCTAGTAAACGGGGCCAGTCCAAGATAGGGATTTTTAAATTCATTCCTTGCCACCACCAAATACTTATGATTAAATGCAATCTAAAAAACAAAATCATCTTCTTACATGCAGTAATCTGTTTTCTATCTACAGTAGCAAAATATAGAGTAACGTACACACTGCATAGATTGTAGACTTGATAGTGGTTTGGATGCTTCTCGTCTAGAAAGTGCACAACTTCCTAAAAAAGAAAAACACATATCTTACCTATTTACATGACACCAACACAAGCTATTTCCTAGGGGGAACCTAAAATGGTTATTACTTTCATTAATTTGTCTCTCACTAGCATCTTCTAGGGGAGATTCGGGGAATAACAGGGTATGCAAATTTCAAGTTCTAATCCACTGTGATTTTTCAAATAGTCCACAATGTGTGTTTGGCTACACAGTTGAGTCTCTATTGTAAATACACACTGTTTAAAGCTATCACATAAGTAAATTAGCTGGTTAACTAACTTTAAGTAAATTTGTTCTAAATCATTAATTCACAGTTAATGTGGTTCTTGTTTAAATCTAATTCATATTGGTTCTTATTTAAATTTAATTTTGAATGGATACAACTTTAGAGAGTGATCTGCATATTACAGTCTACGTAAGCACTATGTAAACAAATAAATGCAAAAAGTATATAGTATGATTGTGTGTATGCGTGATAGAAAAAGATAAACATAACAAATTTTAAATAACTGGTAACAATATGGAGACTTTTTTGGCTCATCGGTTCTCTTATTTTTTTAAATGAAGATATACATGTACCTATAAGTGTGTGTGTATATATATATATATGTACGTATAACCCTTAAAATGAAAAACAAATAGTATTTATTATTTAAAATACAGTTAATACCACTATATGAATCCAACTTTCAGTAAATACATCTTTCTGAAACATACACACACATATGTATATATGTCTGTGCAACAACAAAAATGACACGAAATTTTAAAACTGATTAGTATGGTACCCTCAGAGCAATGTTTACCGGCTTAATATTGAGAAAAATAAAATGAACATATCAAAATCATCCATTTATTAAACTGGCTATCTCTGTTAGGAAGAAATAATAAGTCAAAAAGATGAACACTCTGAATCTGCATAGTGGGGGAGGCAAGGATAAACAGTTTTATATACTTCAGAATTCATGGAATTTCTTACATAAAATCCATACGGGCTTAGAAATCACATATAAAAACTATAAATATCTATGAGAAATTTAAGCAAATTTTAATCAATTCTTTGGCTGAGGAAGAACTAAAAGTGTTGAATCAATGGAAGATCAATAGGCTTAGGTCTGACTTCATAAAAATCTGAAATTTCTGCTTTAAAATGCTATAATGAATAACAGGGGAAACGATTTTTCAGAAAAATTGACTAAATGGGGACTATGCCGAGTATGATAAATTAATAATTCATTAACAACAACTTAAATATTACTCACTCACCTTATAGATAAATGGGCCAAGGACATAAACAATCCGTAAAAGAGAAAATCTAACTGATCAACAACCTACACAGATAAATATTCAGTGTCACCAATAACGAATTCAAAACAACAATAACGTGCCATTTGCACCCATGAAATTAGCCCTTTCTCTTTTAATGAGAAAATCCAATGTCGGCAAAATAAGGCATGAAATTTAAAACTTTGATTTATTGTTGATACAAGAATACAGTTGCTCTTGGATTTGGCAATATATATTAAGAACACTAAAAATATTCATACTCTTTAACTAGGTAATTTCACTTCTAGCAATCTATTACAGTTAAAAAGCCTTATGCTCAAAGATGTCTGTTGCTGTATTACTGATTATACTGACACTTACATGTCCAACATTAGAGGTTAATCATAGCACTAATTAAATATCATGCAACCATTAGAATACTGTTCTGTCCTTCATTTTATTTTACTTTATTTTATTTTATTTTATTTTATTTTATTTTATTTTGAGATGGAGTTTCACTCTTGTTGCCCAGGCTGGAGTGCAATGGTGCGATATCAGCTCACTGCAACCTCTGCCTCCCAGGTTCAAGCAATTCTCCTGCCTCAGCCTCCTGAGTAGCTGGGATTACAGGTGCCCACCACCACGCCTGGCTAATTTTTTGTATTTTTAGTAGAGATGGGGTTTCACCATGTTGGCCAGGCTGGTTTTGAACTCCTGACCTCAGGTGATCCACCCTCCTTGGCCTCCCAAAGTGCTGGGATTACAGGTGTGAGCCACCATGCCCACCCCTGTCCTTCATTCTCTCAACAAGTAAATATCTCTCAGTGGTAATTTATGTGCAGCCTTGCTTAGTATACATATATAAAAACAGTCAATATTCGCTTTTTTGTGGGAAAACAAATATACCTGGATGGTTAAGCTTTAGGGATTTTTTTGAATCCCCTCATAGTTCTCTCAATGTCTAAAAAAGGATATGTGTATATATATATATATATATATATATATATATATATATATATATATATACATATATATATATAATTTTTTACAATCATATATATATCAACTCAATATTTAGATGATTTTCTGCTGTGTTTTCTGATCTAAGTAGTTTACTGAAGACTCCAAATACCTCTTATCCAAATTAGGTGAAAAGGGACATAAAGAATCTAGAAAAAATTTCAACTCTGCCAAGAATCTAAATTTTTCTGGTCACAATCTCTCACCAAATGGACAGTGTCTGTTTTCAGCTAGAATAAAGTGCATTCAATTCTATCAAGAACAGAAATTAAAAGATGGCTAAGGAGATTCTAGGAATGTAGGTAATTGTATATCTGATTTTTCTCAATAGTTCAGCCTTTGCATGGGCTTACAAAGTTTATAATTTCTGAAACTCTTCCTTGTGATGCAAAAGTAGAAAATGCTGTCTGCTCTACAAGGCCAGGTCTGGTGGCTCGCACCTGTAATCCCAAGCCTTCTTGCAACAACCTCCACCTTCGGGTTTTCCTAAATCTACCATACTCTTCTCTCTGCCTATCTTAGCACATTCCTTGATTTGGAGGCAAAGGTATACCTTCCGTACTTGCATGAGGTGGTAGCAGTGGCCAAACTTGTTGATGCTTCCACCGTAGTGCTTGTTTCTCCACTAACTCTATGGGTCCTGCATCTCTACAGTTTTTGCTACTTCAAGGCAGCATCTGACACTTCTCCACTAGCAAATTTACCACTTATGAAATTGTAATGTCTGCTTTGCGTATTCGCTGCTGTTCAAAATGTAACCCTGCAACTTGATTCCCTTTTAAGAATAAAGGGGAATCACATGACTGTTTAGCATCCTCTCAGGACTTAAGTATGCCTGGATTTCAATCTTCTCCCTTTTAGTCAACCTTGATTTAATATACTTTGTAGATGGCTCTCAAATATGACAGAGACACTCCCAGTGCAGGACATGTTGTTATCACTGAACATGCAATCGCTGAAGGGCTCCATGGCCCGATTCCCAGCCTGCCCAGGTAGCTGAACTAGTAGCTTAGATTTGGGGCTGCACTCTGGCAAAGATGAAAGACTAAATATTAATATGGATGGTAGATTTGCTTTTTGGGTGGTTTATGATTTGTGGAATTTATTAAAACACATGATTACCTCCTTTTGGGATACTCTGATTAAAAATGGTAAAGGAATCAATGACTTATTAGTACTTTGTCAATGCCCCAAGGAGATAACAGTTGAGATAACAGTTTAATAACTGATAGAAACCAAGAGTCTAGAGATCACCCCAGAAAAAAATAGTAATGTCTTTGTTTTGATTTACATGCTAAAAGTTTTTGGCTTTTTAAAAACACCCCAGCTAATATTAAGTGTTGCCAAGTTTATATTAGTCACCACCAAATCTACTGAAAGAAAATTGGCTCAATCTAGATGTAGTATAATTAACTCACAGTTATTAGCTTAACCTGCTTTAAAAAACAATATTAGCAATCAAGAGGTGTTTTCCCCAAAAAGATGGAATTTGGAAATTTTGGGATGGCTGCCCTCAGTGCCATGACCCATACAGTGGACCCTGGTCACATTACTCCATGACTGTGCCCATTCGGAGTGACAGAAAGTACTTCCACCTCAAATAGTTTGAAATAATTTTCAAAATTGGCCAAGGGAGTGGTAGAGTCATGTCTTAGCCGTGAATAGCATAACCTGGGTGAGATGTGGTTCAGACCCTTCTCCTCAAGGTCTTTAGGTATTTACAAATGTATTTTTATACAATTGCTGAAGTCTTGAGTCTCTGACTATATAGTAGTTATTTCTTGTGAACTATCTGCATGGATGAAAATGCTTCACTGCCTGAGGATACGGTAGAATGATTCCATCAATGGTCTCAATTCTTCACCTATTCCTAAATCCAAGCCCTCACATTTCACCTCGTAGTGCCCTTTCACTCTAATTTTGTGTTCCATTATGTGAGTTGATTTGGTCACCGGGATGCCACAAAGGAGAGGCTTGCAAAAGCATTTGTAAGATTCCACTCTAGCTCTTTCCTTTTGCCATTACCTTGAAACATATCCATCATATTCATCCTGACAGAGGATGAAGATGAGTTGAGCAGATAGGAGTCACCCAAGCCACCTAAGCTAATTGTAGACCAGCTGATAAAGACATTTCAAGGAAAGAAAACTACATATCACTCATGAACACAGATGAAAAGTTCTAAATAAAATATTAGCAAATAGAATCTAGTGATACATCAAAAAGATAATACATTAAGACCAAAAGGAGTTTATTCCAAAAATAAAAAAGGTTGGTTTAACATTTGAAAATCTCATTAATGGAAAACAGAAAAACGTTTTGATTACCTTGATAGATGCAGAAAAAATATCTGATATATTCAACACCAATTCATGATTCAAAACTTTTAGCAAACTAGAAATAAAATGGACTCTCTTAATCTAGTGAAGAATGACTACAAAAGCCTATAGCAAACATCATTTCAAATAGTGAAGCATGAAATTCTTTCCACCTGAGTTTGGGAACATGGCAAGGCCGTCTCCTCTTACAATTTCTATTCAATATTACAGTGAAAGTCCTAGATAATTCAATAAAGAAAAAAAGTATAAAAAGTGGAAAGAAAGTAGTAACTTTATGTGATTGCATATATTTAAAAAATCCAAGGGAATCTACAAATTCATTATTAAAATGAATGTGTGAATTTATGAAGGATGCTAGATGTAAAGTCAACATACAAGGCCAGGTGTGGTGGCTCACACCTGTAATCCCAGCACTTTGGGAGGCTGAGGTGGGAGGATTGCTTGAATCCAGGAGTTCAAGACCAGCCTGGGTCAGTGAGACCAGAGAGACTCCTTCTCTACAAAAATTAATTTTAAAAATTAGCCAAGTGTGGTGATGCCTGCTTGTAGTCCCAGCTATGTGGGAGACTGAGGTGGGAGAAATGCTTGATCCCAGGTGCCACTGCACTCCAGCCTGTGGTGACAGAGCAAGGCCCTGTCTTAAGACAAACAAATGAACAAAAGTCAATATACAAAAATTAGTTATGTTCCTATATACCAACTGCAAATATTTAGAAAATGAAGATCTTCAAATGTCATTTAAAATGGCATAAAAATATATCAACTGCGTAGAAATAAAACTAACAAAGATGTGTAAAACCTGTACACTACAAACATTGCTAAAAGAAATCAAAGAAGACCTCAGTAGAGAGATATATTATGTTCATGAGTTGGAAATCTCAACAATTTTAGATATTGTATGTGTGTGTGGGTTTGGGGGGTGTGTGTGTATGTAAATTGCCAAGATGATTCTAAAATTTATATGGAAATTCAAAAAATCTAGGAGAGCCAAGATAGTTTTTAAACAAAGAAGTACAAAGTTGGAAGACTTATACACAAGTTCTCAAGAGTCACTATAAAGCCAGAATAATTAAAACTGTGGTCTGGACTTAAGTATAGACAGTCGTAATGAAAGAAAAAGCCCAGAAACAGACCTACACATATATATTCACTTTATTTGCAATAAATGCACCTCTGCGATTCATTGGTGGAAATTATGCTCTTTACAATAAATGGTACAGGAGGAATTGAGAGCTATGTGAAAAACATGAACCTTAACACTCTATATCTTTACAATTAATTGGAGGTCAGTCATAGACCAATATATTGATAGAGGTGTTGGTTACATGCATATATATACTTAGGTATAATATCATCAAGATATATACTTGATTAGTGCAACCTACCATATATGTTATACCTCAATAAAAATGTGGTTATAGATGCATGCATATATAATGTATACTTATATCAGGGCATATGTATATACAGATAATTTTATATATCTTTTTTACTTCAACTTTTAGGTTCAGGGGTACATGTGGAGGATGTGCAGGTGTGCTACACAGGTAAACGTGTGCCATGGTGGTTGGCTGCAGATCATCCCATCCCTAGGTATTAAGCCCAGCATCCATTAGCTATTCTTCCTGATGCTCTCCTTCCCCCATCCCCTCCCTCCCCACAGGCCCCAGTGTGTGTTGTTCCCCATTGTGTGCTCATGTGTTCTCATTGTCAGCTCCCGCATGTAAGTGAGAACATGCGATGTTTGGTTTTCTGTCCCTGTGTTAGTTTGCTGAGGATATCAGCTTCCAGCTCCATCCATGTCTCTGCAAAGGATGTAATCTCATTCCTTTTTATGGCTGCACAGTTTCTCATGGTGTTTGTGTACCACATTTTCTTTTTTGTTGTTGTTTTTTTAAGTGTTAAATAATCTTTATTTGATATTACACATAAACCACACTAAAATGCCTTTGAATAAGTAAAAGGAACCATCTTAAACACAGGGAATTCTAATGACACTGGCATAGTTAAGGCCAACAATACAAAGAAGACATTGCTACCTTATCTTCAACCCTTGCCTTTAAGAGGCAAATAAACACAAAACACAGGTGCATCTTGCTTGGTTCTGAGACAGTGAAGGAATTTCCCCAGTATTTAAATATATTCACATAACCAGTCATATAAATCTAAATATAAACCAATATAAATATAAATATAAAACCAATCTCCAATAAGTTTTAAGATGGTACTCACCATCTTAAACATTATTAACAAAGTCTAATCATATCTTTAGAAGGGGTAAACAGTGATAGCATTCACTGAATTGGAATTACTATTAATATTCAAAAACCAAACTTATTCATTTAACCACAAGCCAGTCTTAGTTTTAAATCAGGACTGCCCAACAAAATATTCTGACAGTCATTCATAATCTGAACTCTGGTGTATGAGATCTATTAAATTATGGTACACATAAAAAAGTCATGAGACATTTCTGTTTTGCAATATAAGGCAGTGGCCAATTATTACTCCCTAGCAGCTTTTTTGAGATAAGTTATCAAGTCTGCCCTTTCTGCCTTCTTCTTAATGCTGGAAAAGATCATTTTTGTTCCAGGAATGTACTTCCTGGGATTCTCAAAATACTTCATCAGTGTATCCTCTCCCCAGGTGATGCCTTTGTTCTTATCGGTGTCTATGTAAGATAATCCAATGGCCTGACCTATCTTCCACCTGAAGAGACCATGGAGATTAGGCCCAGTCTTGTGCTTGCCTCCATTTTCCATGGTGTGGCACTGGGCACACTTCTGAACAAAAATCTTCTTGCCTTTCTCAACATCTCTCTTTCTCAACATCTCAATATCTCTCAAATTCTCTCTTTCGTCACTGGCACTACAAATGTTCTCGCTCAGAAGCCACACGTCCTGCTCTATGTTCCACATTTTCTTTATCCAATCTATCATTGACTGGCATTTAGGTTGATTCCATGTCTTTGCTATTGTGAATACTGTTGCAATGAACATACGTGTGCATGCATGTATTTTTATAAGACAATGATTTATATTCCTTTGGGTATATACCCCATAATGGGATTGCTGGGTCTGATGGTATTTCTGCCTCTAAGTCTTTGAGGAATTGCCACACTGTCTTCCACATGGGTTGAACTAATTTACACACCCACCAACAGTGTAAAAGCATTCCTTTTTCTCCACAATGTTCCCAGCATCTGTTGTTTTTTGGCTTTTTAATAATAGTCATTCTGACTGGCATGAGATGGTATCTCATTGTGATTTTGTTTGCATTTCTTTAATGATCAGTGATGTTGAGCTTTTTTTTCATATTTTTGTTGACTGCATGCATGTCTCTTTTGGGAAGTGTTGTTCAGATCCTTTGCCCACTTTTTAATGGGGTTGTTTTTTTCTTGTAAATTTAAGTTCCTCATAGACTCTGAATGAGGTATTACCAGTGAAGGCTGAAAAACAGCAAAGATGGCAGCCAGCTCCTTCCTTTGGAAGCTCCATCCCAGGGGGATACTGACCTGTAGCCAGCCCACACATACCTGCAGGAGGTGGCTGGAGACCCCTGTTGGGCATTCTCACCCTGTCAGGAGGCATGGGATCAGGGACCCATCCAAAGAAGCAGTCTGGCTGCTTTGGGGTAGAGCAGGTGTGCTGCATTGTGGGGGATCCTTCCTCCTCCGGACCACCTGTATTCTCCAAAGCCAGCAGGTTGGAGTGGCTGAGTTGACCAAACTGCAGAGATGGCAGCTGCCCCTCCCGCCAGGAGCTCCATTTCAGGGAGAGATCAAAGCTCTGTCCATAGAACCGTTGCTGGAGTGGTTAAAGCCCCCACAGGGATTCCTGCCCAGTGAGGAGGAATGGATGGGGGTCCTGCTTAAAGAAGCAGTCTGGTCATGATCTGGCAAGCCAGCTGTGCTGTGTTGTGGGGAACTCTTCCTTGTCCAGACTGTCTGTATTCTCCATAGCTGGCAGGCTGGAGTGGCTGAGTCTATGAACCACAGTGGTGCCGGCTGCCTCTCCCCACCTCCCCGGGAACTCAGACCCATCTGAGGTGGATTCCAACCCGCTGCTGTTGGCAGGCTAGGATTCCAAGTCAGTGGGTCTTAACTTGTGAGGTGCTATGGAAATGGGGCCTGCAGAATGACGCTGCCTGGCTTCCTGGATTCGGCCCCCTTCCCAGAGATGCGTACGGACAGATTTCCTACTGTGCTGAAGATCCCGGAGGCTAGAGTGTGTAAAACTCCTGGGTTTCTGTGTGTGCCTGAGCTGATGTGCCCAGACTCCATACAGGTCTGTGTATCAGACCCACGGCCCTGGTGGCATGGGCTCACAAGGAATCTCCTGATCCATGGCTTGCAAAGATCCATGGGAGAAGCACGGTTTCCCGGGCAGGACTGCACACTCACTCACTGCTTCCCTTGGCTGGGAGTGGGGGTTCCTTTGGCTCCACGCCACCCCTGGCTGGGCCATCGCACCCTCTGCCTGCTTGTCTTCATTCTCCATTGGTCGACCTGTTCATCTAGTCAGTCCTAATGTGAGAACCTGGTTGTCTCAGTTGAAGGTGCTGAATTCCCTCGCCCCTTTTCATTCCTCTTTGTGAGCGCGGCAGACTGCAGCTGCTTCTAATTGGCCATCTTGCATCACTCTAAACATTTCTTTTCTAGCCTTAGTTCTTAATTCCTATAGTCCCTCGTTTATCACCAGTTTCTTGATAAAATAATCTGTCCACGTTCTCCAGTCATGGGATGATGACTCAGGCAGGGGATCCAGGACATTATCTGGGAAGTAGCTGAACTTGCAGCCCTGTCCTGTCCGGAACTGAGTTAACACACTGCAGAGAGGTACTCCTTCCACCTCTCGGCAACTGATGCCAGCCCTCAATAATTACATTTTTATTGAGGTATAATAAGTATTGTAAATTACATAAAATTAAACAATGATCCTTTCAGCTGGCACTTCACAGTAAACAGCATTATATGTTTGAAATTAATTTAGTCATCCACAGAGCCTAAAGCCATATGCCCTGACTATAATTTAGGATCTCAACCTAAGAATACACATTTTGGGTTATAGCATCCCCATCTTTCCTCCCTATGGTAGACTATCAAAAACCGCCACAATTCTTTATAGTTCCTTCCATCAAGAGTTGGAGTTTATTTTCTACTCCTTGAATCCAGACTGGTAGTGTAATTTGCATTGTCCAATAAAATGGGGTAGAAGTAATATATAATTTTGAGCCTGGGCCGGAAGAGGATTTGCATTGTTTTGTTGCCGCTCCTGGGACTCTTGCCTCTGCCGTCACGTGAACAGGCCTGAAGTAGCCTACTGGAGAATGAGAGACCACATGGGGCCATTCAGCCAAGTCAGGTAATTTTCTTTCCTTTCATTTAAAAAATCGGTTTCCTTCATTCTTTAAAAATATTTTTAACTGACACATAATACTTGTTCATATTTATGAGGTACACAGGGATATCTCAATACTTGCATACAATGTGTAATGATCAAATCAGGATAGTCAGCATATCTGTCACCTCAAATATTTATCATTCTTTGTGTTGGGAACACTCAACATCCTCTCTATGTAAAAATATACAATAAATTATTGTTAACTGTAGTCACCCTACAGCACTATAGAACACCAGAACTTATTCCTATCAGTAAGCTTAACTCTGTTATTTCTTTGTTGATTTTCTGTCTAGATGATCTGTCCAGTGGTAAGAGTGGGGTGTTAAAGGCCCCAACTGTTGCTGCATTGGAGTCTATCTTTCCCTTTAGACCTAATAATATTTGCTTTGTTTATCTGAGTGCTCTAGTGTTAGGTACATATATATTTACAATTATTATATCTTATTGCTAAGTTGATCCCTCTATCATTACAAAATGACCTTCTTTGTCTCTTCATACAGTTTGACTTAAAGTCTGTTTTATCTGATGTAAGTATGGCTACCTCTGTTCTCTTTTGATTTCTGTTTGCCAGGAATATTTTCTTCTATCCCTTCACTTTCAGTCTGTATGAACCTTTACAGTTGAAGTGAGTTTCTTGTAGGCAGTATACAGTGGGACTTTTTTTTTTTTTTAATCTTGGCAGCCAACTCTATATCTTTTAATTGGGAATTTGATCTGTTTACATTATATTCAAGGTTACTATTAATAGATGAGGCTTTATCCTGTCATTTTGTTCATTTTTTTTCTGGTTGTTTTATATATCCTTTGTTCTTTTCTTCTTCTATTTTTTTTTAATCTTTGTGGTTTGGTCATTTTCTGTAGTGATAAAGTTTGATTCCTTTCTCTTTCTCATGTGTATATCTGCGCTAGCAGTGAGTTTTATACTTTTGTATGTTTTCACAATAGTAATCATCCTCTTGCTTCCAGAAGTAGAACCACCTTAAGCAGTCCTTGTAAGGCCAGTCTAGTGGTAATGAATTCCTTCAGTTTTTGCTTGTCTGGGAAATACGTTATTTCTCCCTCATTTCTAGGGATAGCTCTGCTGGGTATAGTATTCTTGGTTGACAGTTTTTTTTTTTTTCCTTTCAGTACTTTGAATATATCATCCCATCTCATTGTCTACTGACCTGTAAAGTTTCCACTGGGAAATCCACCGTTAATCAAATGGAGTTTCCCTTATATGTGACTTGATGCTTTTTTCTTGCTGTTTTTAATATTTCCTTTTTTTTTTTTTTTGGATACAGTCTCAATCTGTCACCAGGCTGTAGTGCAGTGGTGTGATCTTGGCTCACTGCAACCTCCACCTCCTGGGTTTAAGCAATTCTCGTGATTCAGCCTCCCAAGTAGCTGGAACTACAGGTGCATGCCACCACACCCAACTAATTTTTTTGTATTGTTAGTAGAAATGTGGTTTCTTCATGTTGGCCATGCTCATCTTGAACTCCTGGCCTCAAGTGATCCACCCGCCTCAGCCTCCTGAAGTGCTGGGATTACAGATGTGAGCCACCTCACCTGACGAATATTCCCTCTTTTTGACTTTTGACAGTTTGACTATCATGCACCTCAGAGAAGACCTTTTTGGGTTGAATCTATTTGAGAACCTTTGAGCTTCCTAGATTTTGGTCATATCTCCCAAGTCTGTTTTTAAATCTCTTGATTGTATTTTTCTTTTTTTTTTTTTTTTTTTTTGAGACAGGGTCTCACTCTGCCACCCAAGCTGGAGTGCAGTGGCACAGTCTTGGCTCACTGCAACCTCCACCACCTGGGTTCAAGCAATTCTTGTGTCTCAGACTCCCAAGTAGCTTGGATTACAGGCATGCGCCACCAAACCCAACTAATTTTTGTATTTTTTAGAGACAGGACTTTGCCATTTTCATCAGGCTTTTCTTGAACTCCTGGCCTCAAGTGATCCACTGCCTTGGCCTCCCAAAGTGCTGGGATAACAGGTATGAGCCACTGCACCTGGACTCTTCATTGTGTTTTTTATTTTATTCCTTAAATTCTTCAGCTCCAAGATGTCTGTCTGGTTTTTAATGACATATATATCCTGTTGAATTTCCCATAAGATCATAAATTGTTTTTCTAATTTCATTGATTTGTCTATCTGTATTCTCTCGTATCTCATAGAGTTTCCTTAAGATCATTATTTTGAATTTCTTCTTAGCCATTTGATATACTCTTACAATTTAGAGTCTGTTAATGGGGAATTATTGTGTTTCTTTGGAGGTGTAATATTTCCTTTTTTCTTGTGGTCCTAAATTGATTTTTGCATATATGGGGTAACAGTCGCTTCTTCCAATGTTAGGGAGATTTCATAGAGAAATACTTTTTCTAATAACTATCTCTTACAGTGTTCATTGAGTAGGGTGCCAGTGAGGAAATGGCCAAACACTGAGAAGGTGTCCCCGGCCAGCTGACCCCCCATGGTGGCTGCCCTGTGTTGGGCAGTTGCTCCCAGCCTGAGCCTGGGCCTGGGGCAGGGGGCAGGAGGAAGGGGGTCTGCAATGGGGTGGTTGCCCTGCTGGAAGCTTCTAGCATAAGTGGTCACCTTAATGGCAGACAAGTGGGGAGACTGTCCGAGGTGCCTAGCGCCAAGATGCTGGGCGAGGTCTCCAGGGAGGTGCGCAGAAGGGGAGGGGCTGTGCACTGCTTCTTGGGTGGGACAGAGCAGGGACAGGGAATGAGGAGGCTGAACCTAGGGACCAGGATGGCCAGAGGAGGCTGGGTGGGGTAAGGGTGCAGGCAGGTAGGGAGCGTGTGTCTGAGAGGAGGGCAGTGTTGCTGGGGGAGCCAGCATGCTAGGAGGGTCAGGGAGGCTGGAGAGGAGGAGAGGGGTTGGAGCGGGGGTGGGAGGGGGGTTTCTGCTTAGGAACTAATTTCCTGCTTTGTGATGTCCTCAGGTTTTAAGTTGCCTGTGAGGAGGATCCTGATCCTGCAGGTGGAAAGGCTGACGGTGGCAGGTGGGGGTCCCCAAGCTGCCCCCCAGAACTGAAGGTCAGGCGAAGGCTGCAGGGTGGACATCAGCCCTGAGGCTCACCTCCCTCTTGGCCTCTTAGGGTGACACCTTTTCCTAGGAGCTCCCAGCGGGGCAGCCATCCCAAATCCAGGCCCATTGCCTCCTGTCTCCTTCCCCAGCCTCACTCAGGAGCCAGCTGGCCAAGGTCACCTTGCCTGTGATAGGCCAGTGTGGTCCCAGGTGGGGCCCTGATGCCTTGTCTGAGAGACAGGGAGGAGGAGGGGCCCCAGCCCCAGAGACTCTCTGCTATCCACACCCACAGACCCTCCCCAGCCCCCCAGCCTCCCAGCCCATGAGGGCAAGGGCCCAGGTGGTGGCTCTCTGTGGTCCCTGCAGTGAGTCTCCTTCCTGCTGTCAGTGTGCAGAGGGCCCCACATGCTCTGGGACCACGATTACATTTTCACAAAGAAATTGAGAAATTACAGCAAACATAGTTCAGCCACAGCACTGAAGGGGTTCCCTTTCTCTTTCTTCTTTTTGTCCTCTGTGAGTTCACAGTTACTTCTGCCCTGGCCATGTGCAGCCCCAAGTCTGGCATTGGAGATGGGTTTGCTGTTTTGAGGGTGGAGGACGTGGCCCAGAAATAGTAGTAGAAGGCAGCTCTCGGTGTGGCCAGCTCCCCAGCATGGCAGCAGACAAGAGAGAGAGAGCATGTGCAGGGGAACTCCCCTTTGTAAAACCATCAGATCTTGTGAGACTTATTCACTATCATGAGACCGGCACGGGATAGACCTGCCCTCATGATTCAATGACCTCCCACCAGTTCCCTCCCACAACATGTGGGAATTATGGGAGCTATAATTTGAGATTTGGGTGGGGACACAGTCAAACCATATCACTGTCTATGACTGCTTTCATGCAACAAAATCAGAGTTTAGTAGTTGCAACAGATTGCCTGATGCACCAAGGCTAAACTATTTACTAGCTGGCCTATTGCAGAAACAGTTTGCTGACCCCTGGTTTAAAGTGTTTATGTTATGATTCCTTTATACTACAAATTGTAGAACAAGCCCTTTATCAAAGATAAAGTACACATTAATTTTTAGCCAATTAGATCAGAATTATTCCAAATCTGTAGAACATGAATTCCCAGGAATGGGCATCATAACTTCAAGTTACAGTCTGAGCATGGTGGAAGTTGGAAAGAAAATGCTTGCACAAGGGCAGGTCACTCCTACCCTGCTCTCATCTCCTTCCTCCACGGCCCTGCCTCACCCACTCTGTGTTGTCCCAAGTACCAGGGTCTTTGTCTTGCTCACTTTTAGGAGGTCTCTCTCCTTCTCCCACTAGAACATGAGCTCCTCACTAGAGGAACATCTGTCTGCCTCACTCTTTGTCCCATGGGCAGCAAAGGCCCAGCTTGGGTCATGGACCAGATGAGGAATAAGCCCAGATATGGAAGGACCGGCTGTGAGTTCCAGGTCATGATCCAGCACACTGGCTTTCGGAGGCATAACTTTACCTTTCTTTTCAACAGTAGTGAATTTCCCCCTCCCCTCCTCACCCTCTCTGTTTTTCAGTTTTTTAGCTGATATCTATAATTTAGAAAGCCATAAATACGAACATAGATGAAATATTAGAGGGTGGCAGTCTGAGAAAAGTGTGGACAAAGAGGCTCTCACTGCCTTCAATAGGTCTTAAAACCACTTTCGTCTCCATGCAGCCTCAGCCCAGTGAAACTGATTCATTGACCAAATTGGCCATTTAAAATTTAAAAGCCTAAGCTCTCTCTGTTCAGCTCCCTCCTCTCCAGATTTGTGGGGCTGCAGAGAGGCACTCGGGGTGTCTCTAGTTTCTTTTTTAAGGATGATCTACAGTGAGGCAACAGGCCCCTTCTTCCTGGAGAGCACACACTTGCCCACAGCCACAGCTTAAAGCGGGCGGCCATGCCAGGCACTGGCTCTCGGGACCACAGAGGGCACCTTTGCAGGTGCTGTCCTAGGAGCCCATCTGTGGGGATAACCTCCCCTCTGAGCTCCTGTCCTGGTCATTTGGAGGAATAAGGACTGGCAGTGCTTCCCAGGAAGGAAAAAGGTGGAGAGCAGCCTGGGATCCCAGTCCATGGCAGCAGCTGCATGAGCCAGGGCTGCTCTGACTAGCCTCAGGGAGGCTGAGAGTGCCCGATCTCTTCTTCTGAAATCATCTTGCTGTCCTGAGCAGAGTTACAGCACTGGGCAGGCCTGGAGGCTGATCCCAAAGGTGACACAGGAGTAGGCATAAGCCTCCTGTGCAAAAGAGTTTTATGGCAACCAGAGGAGACAAGGAGGAAGGGCATCCACGAAGGGCTCCCTGCAGGAGGGGGAGCAGCAGCATGATCCGCCCGAGAGCCCATGAGCCGGGACATCCAGCCACGCATCCCAGGCTCTCTGTTCCAGGCCAGCTCCCGAGGAGGCTAACTTCATGGCACTTCTGCCCTGTGACAGAGACAGCAGGAGGTCCCAGGGCATTTGGCAAAGAGCTGTGGGCGTTGGCAGCCTGAGGTCGGCCCTGTGTGCTGAGATACAGGGGGGGCTCTACAAGTCCCAAGGCCTTGTCCTCCCGAGCCCCTCACCTCCAGGACGGCAGAAGGTCAGCCCATGCCGGGCCACACCCCCAACCCAGGCCCTGCCGCCAGGAGGCTGGCTGCTCCCTCTCCAGTGCCCACTCTGGATAGAATCAGGAGCCTCCCAGCCCCAGCCCCCTGCAAAGCCCCAAGTCTCCGTTTAATTACTCTATCTTATTTTGTAATTACACAATAAGTGACATACTAAAAAACATCATTAAAATTTAAGCCTTCGTAATAACACCATTTTATTACATTTTGATGACTTTCTAACTGTGATACTCTATTATTCATTCCATGTAATTTTATGAAGACACAGAGATTTTTAATATCTAATTACGGCACGGAGTGATCGTGAAACCCGTCTCATGCAGAAGCGTGCTAAACCTGGTTCCCAGGAGCACCTGGTGCCCAGGGAGGAGGAGCCCGCCTCATCTAGGGTCAGGAGGGACCCACGAGGCTGCGCGGGCAGCAGTTCTGCTGTGCGCTCTCAAAGGAGCGTGGAGACGGATGGGAATTCTGCAGCCAGACCCACCGCGGCAGTCAAGAGATGTTTCCGCAAGGTGAGCTGGACATGCCTAAGGTCCTGGGGCTCCCGGGTGGCGGCTCTGGGTGGCCCAGCCTGTCAGGCCACTGCCTCAGAGAGGCCCCAGCTCCATTGGACAGCTCCCTGCAGGGGTGAGTACCCTACAGCAGTGATTCCAAACCCCCAGGAAGGCTCCTGGGCTGGCCTGGACTTCAGGACATCCCACACGAGGCGCTAGGCAGAGTCTCTCCTCCCAGACTTTAACACCTGGGGGACTCCAGGGACTTCTAGTCTCCTAGAAGCAAAAACCTCAGACTAGGGAGGGGTCACCTGCCCTGCCTGAGGCCACCCTTCAAGCCATTTGTGGCCCCAGGAGAACTCAAGTCCCACACCTGGGCCCCCAGCAGACTGACCTGCTGTAGACCTACCTTATGGGTGAGAGGCAGGCAGGTCGGGGAGTCCTGCAGGGAGCCTCGGGAGGCAGGAGGGGAGCAAGAGAGGCGGACTAGAGGGTACACTCCACCGAGCTTCCCACCCTCCGCCTTCTCCAGATGCTGCTCGGACGATTCCCGCGGAGGGTCCCACACCGGGCCCTGCCTGCTCAGCATGCCTCCCTCCAGCCTGTCTTGTCTCAGGGACTGGCCTGAGAATTCCTCGGAGCAGAGGAAGGCCCTGGACCCCTAGGGAGGAGGAATTCTGAAACGCCGTTACTGGAAATGTCCTCTCCCTTGCGTGGCCTGGGAGGTCCTGCTCCTGTGAGCCTTGGCCGCTGGCTGGTAACCCCACTCCCTCTGCTGCAGCACCCCCATACGGGCCTCCTCTGCCTGTTCTTGGACCTCTGGCTGCAGATCTTAGAAGGCTGAAATGGGTAGATGCGAGGCCTGGGAGCACCGTGGCCCCTCCTGGCCCCTGGGCCTCCTGCCTGGCACTCCATGTTTCTCTGAGTCCCTGCTGGGCCTCGGGCCTGCTCTCGGTCCAGGTCACTGAGCGCACCCCACCCACTGCCACACCTGTCACACGCCAGAGCCCTAAATGTGGTGTCTGGACATAGTCTCTCTCAGGGCTGAGTTTCTGCCATCCTGAGAAGTGAGAAGTGGCATCTCACAGTGCCCCCTTGCCTCCCATAGCAGACCCAGGGGACCCCAGACCCAGGGGCCAGTGAGGTCGCACCGGCAGACTGGAGGCCCCAGCTGGCAGGGCCCAGGCAGCGTGGATGGGGTCCTGGGGCCACTCCACAGGTCCAGGCAGCATCTAGTTGAGAACCCAGAGCATCCCAAGGCAGGCAGGCAGGCAGGTCCTTGGCGACCCCCTCCCTCCCCCAGCGCCACGGACATGGAGCACTTGCTGCCTTGTGCGAGGACGGTAGTCCACACAGCAGCCCCTGGCCCTCTGAGAAGTGCTGCCCATGGCGGCAGAGAGGTTCCGCCCCAGCCAAGATGAAGGGATGGGGCCTTGGCTGTGGCCCTGTCAGCTCCAGGGCAGAGGCTCACCGGGTGAGCCGGGGTAGAGACAACCGTGAAGCTGAACGCTGGGCTGACAGTGGGGAATCTGGGGAGTCCGTGTCATCTGAAGGGGAATGGGGTGTGGCTGCATTTATTTCCGTAGCTGGGCCTGGGGCCTCTCTGGAGGGATCTTCTCTGCAGGAATGAAGTTCCAGCCACGTGGGGCTCCCACCTTCCAATCTCATGACTGAGTAGCTTTGCTCAAGCTCTGGCAAAACTTGATCATCCTAGAAACGAGAACGCTCGCTTGTCCCACTCGGAGGAAGCTCAATTAATGGCGTCAGGCGCGGTCAGCCCTTCATCAGTGCGGGAAGGTGGCAGCCCTGAGCCACGCAGCAGTGCCAGGCCTGCAGTCCTGACAAGGGGGTGTAGACCCCAGCCCCGAGGGACCACAGACAGCCCTCTGACAGATGATTCAGTGTGGGACCACCACAAAACCACGCAGGCTGGGCAGGCTGGGTACCTCCAACCTTTTCCCATTTGCCTAAAAGTAAGTGAACATAAAATTGAAAAATCTGAAAGAGGATGTCTGGGGTGATTCTGGCTCCATGCCATAGGGGTTTCTTTCTATCTGGAGGGGCCCAATGCTGCCTCCATGACATGGGGCTTTTTAACCAAGAGGTTCATAGGCAGGGGCCATGGCTGTCCTGGGGTTCATGCAGACAGGCAGGACCTGCCTTGTTCCAGGGTCCCCATGTCTGTCCTTACCTGCATCTTCCAGCACAACCTGCCTGCCCAGGAGCCCCTGACGGGAGCCCAGGGCCTCGGAGTCTCTCCCGTGTGACACCAGTGCTATGCTAGTGAGACCCCGTGCTTCTGGGCCAGGCATGCAGGGCCGTTGGTGTGGGGACTCAGCCCCTCTGCACTCCTGAGAGAGCAGCTGGGCTGCGTCTACCTCCTGCTGCCAGTGGCATCTCCTCTGCACCCTCCTCTCCCCTGCAGCACCACCTCCCTTCCCTTCTCAGGAGAAAGCTGAAGGAGCCATGGCAGCTGGATATGCAGCCACCCACTACTGTCCCCAGACCTGCTCCTGGTGAGGTGCTGCGTGTGAACAGGGGGTCAGGGCAGGCTCTGGCAGGGAAGGTTCCCTGGGGAAGGGCTGGAGAGGGGCCAGCCGGGGCCTATTGAGGAGACAGTTCCCATGAGAAGTCTTAGCCGGCTTTTCAAGGCATCGGGCACAGCAGTAAGACAACTTTTATTTAAAATGCCCGAGCCTCAGTTTCCTCTTCTGTAAGATGTTGATTCTGCCTCATACCTCCCAGACTTTTTGCCCGTGCAGAATTCAATGGTTTTTAGTATATCTACAAAGCTGCACAATCAAACCATTACCATCATCTGATGTTAGAACCTTTCCACCACCCCCAAAAGAAACCTCCATATCCATCGTGGCCACTTCCCATCTGCCCCAACCCCAGCCCCTGGCAACCACAAAGCTACTTTCTGTCTTTAACAGCTTTGCCTGTTCTAAGCACTTCGTATAGAAGGGGCCATTTGCTGTGTGGCCTTTGTGACTGGCTGCCTCGCCCAGCATGGTGTGCTCAGCCCCTGTTAGCATGTGGTTGGTGCCTCACTCCGCTGGTTGCCAAATCACATCGAAGGCCTCCCAGGTTCCTGCTGGGTTCCACCCAGTGGCTGCATTGTTCTATATTCCCACCAGCGGCAGGCAAGGCTCCAATTCCTCCATGTCCTCACCAACACTCGCTATTTTCTACAGAGAGCAGCTGGGGCTGTGACCATCTCCTGCCTCCAGGGTCCCCATGCCTGTTTCCACCTGCATTTCCAGCACAACCTGCCTGCCCAGCAGCCCCTAATGGGAGCCCAGGGCCTTGGAGTCCCTCCTGTGACCCTTCCTTTCCTCCCTCCCTCCTTTTAACCCTCCTTCCTTCCCTCCTACCTTCCTTCTCTTCCTTCCTCCCTCCTTCCTTCCCACCCTCCCTCCCTTCCTCTCTCCCTTCTTCCTTCTCTGTCCTGCTCTCCTTCCCTTCCCACCCTCCTTCCTTCCCTCCTTCTTTCCTTCCTAACCTCCCTCCCTCCTTCCTTCCCTTCTTCCTTCCCTCTTTCTTTCCTTTCTTCTCTCCCTCCCTCTCTCCTTCATTCCCTCCTTCCCCTCCTTCCCCTTCTACTCCTCCTCACCATCCTGAGGAGTGAGAAGTGGCATCTCGCTGTGGTTTTGGTGGATTCTCTAATGACTAATGGCGTTGAGTCTTTTCATGTGCTTGCTGGCCATTTGCAGGTCTTCTTTGGAGAAATGTCTTTTAAACTCCTGTGCCCAGTTCCTGGTTGGGTTGTTTGTCTTTTTGATGCTGATGCTCCTAGGAGTTTTGTGAGACTTGATGTGGGACCAAGGGGACCATCTTGAGCTAGCGGGAAGCCACGGAGCCAGGAGCCCTGTTCTCCTTCGGATCCCCCAACCCCAGTTCCTCTCTCCTCCCCTCCTCTGTCCCTAGCTCCCTCTCTCTCCAGGCTTTCTGAGGTTTGTCCACACTTTGCAGAAAAGGCAGGGTTGGACCCAACTCCAGGGTGGCCACTGACCAGGTGTGCGACTCTTATCACTGGGAGAGGGGTTGACATCTCTGACAGCGTCATTTGCCTGACAGTCTGAGAGTTGCTTCAGACCCCAGGCTCCCTGAAGGGGCAGAGAACACAAATCAACATAGAGATAGTTACCTGCAGAGCCACTGAGGGAGAAGTCAAAGGGCTGATGAATGCTGAATGGCTTCCAGACACGCCTGACATCAGGGAGGAACGCTGGGCCTCAGCTCGCCCCCAGCCACCCTTGGCGCTGCCCCCAGGAACACTGACTGTGTTCTGTGCCTGGGGGCCCAGGCGTGTTTGAGCAAACAGCTTTCCTATTCCCAGATCCCAGGAGAGGTGGGTGGGAGATAGCTGGGTGGAGAGGGCGTATCCCCGATCCCCAGGTGGGGGAGGCCTGGGGAAGGCCCCATGGAGGGTGGGGAATGCTCTTGGCATCCTCTCTGCCCCTGCTGCTCCCACAGCCTCTTCTGACGTCATCCACGGCTGGGAAGCCCCTTTCTGTGCCCTTACCAGGAAACCGTGGAGGGCTACTCTGGGGCCCTCTTGCAGCCAGGGCCAGGAAGACCTGCCCAGGGTCACATAGTCACCAGAGGCAGACTTCCAGCCCTGTGGATCCCACAGCCAGGGATGACCACACAGCCCTGACTGTTGCTTGGACGGACACCCACAGCCTTTCCCCTGCGCAGGCGCCACAGGCCTCCCACACCCGTCTTCACAACAACCCTATTAGGTAGTGATTCCCACCACCACTTTACACCTGAGAAAACCAGGGAACAGAGAGGTCACGTACCTGCCCAAGGTCACACAGCATGTGCCTCCAGGGCCGAGAGCTCGAGCCCTTGCTATGAGCCCTCTTTTAGCCCCTCCAGGCTGCTGTGACTGTGTGTCACACACTCGGGGGTTGTGAGCGACAGACATTTATTCCTCACTGTAACTGCGTGTTACACACTCAGGGGTTGTGAGTGACAGATATTTATTCCTCACTGTAACTGCGTGTCACACACTCGGGGGTTGTGAGCGACAGACATTTATTCCTCACAGACCTGGAGGCTGCAAGCCCAAGATAGTGGCATGGCGCATCTGGTGTCTGGGAGAGTCGCCTCCTGGCTTCTCCATGGCGTCTCCTCACTGTGTCCTCACGTGGGGAGCAGCAAGTGTCTCACTAGGCCCCTTCACAAGGGCACGAGTCTTGTTCCTGCAGCTTCCCCCTCATTACCTCATCACCTCCCAAAGCCCCCACCTCCTAAGACCATTACCGTGGGGGTGAAGATTTCAACACAGGAATTCTGGGGGACTCAAATATTTGGTTTATAATGAACCCTGTGCCCAGCCCGAACACTGACCTCCAACCCAGGGAGGAAGCCTTTGCCAGTGGGAGGAAGGGAGACCAAGAACCACAAGGAGGCCTCCTCCCCTCACCCAGACAAAGCGAGAGGCCCGTCTCCGAGCGCCCACACTTCCCTCTGCCACGGAGCCGCGAGATGAAGCTGTCCTGTTTCGGATTCCTTCACACGCCCCTCACCTCACTCCTTTCATGCAGGAGGAGGCTGATTCGGGCTCGGATCCAGTTCTCACTGCCCGGGGACCCCCAGGCCTAGGATGTCACCTTTGGTGTAGGATGTCATGTGTGCTGTGGTGGGCAGATTGAGATGCTATTGGAGCCGGCCACTCAAATGTGACAGACGAGGACAAACAGCCTGGATGACCTCTAGCTGCAAGGACTTCCATGGACAGTGGACATTCCCGGGATAATAGAGCTGTGAAAAGGGGCCGGGTGGGGGCAGGGGGTGCCAAGCCTGCAGGGCACCACAAGAGCAGTGAACAAGGTGCTGGTCAGAGACCCTGCCCATGGCAGGATCTCACCTGGGGCTCCGGCGTCACGTGCTGGGTAGAGGCTCTCGGCCCATCTGCGGACAAAGCCCGGGCTCCCCACTGCTGGGAGAGGGGCTTGGAGGGGAGGTGGGCTACAGGGCCTGCCTGGGAGGGGCAGGGGTCTGGAGGGCATCCCGAGAGCAGCATTGAATGTTGGGGGTGTCCTTCCAGCAACCCACCTGTCCCCTCAGCTGGGACACCCATTTGCAGGATTGAGGGGAGGGTTGGGTGAGCGGTGCCTAAATGCCCTTTCCTTCCTTGGGGCCGTCCTTGTCCCTTTTCCTCTTCCCTTCACCCTCACCTCTCCTCCTCCCAGGATTCTAAGGGGACCCCTGAGGCCCCCTCTGGCATGCCCTGTGCAGCCCTCTCCACTGGAGGGGACAGGGTACGGAGCAGTTGACTTCGAGTTACTCCGAAGGGAGATTATTCTGGGTGGGCCTCCTTGAGTGGGCAGAGCGCTTCCAGCAGGGACCCTGCTAGCCCTGGAGGAGGAGACCACCCTGATGGCTAAGCCTTGCAGAGCTGCCAGCATAGGGGACACTCAGGAGGAGCTGTGTGCTGAGCCGGTGTTAAGAAGGCCTCTGCTGTCCCCAGAGAGCCAAACCGTGCCTCTCTGCTTGTTTACAACATGGCCATAGATGGAGGGACAGGAGCAGGGAGCAGAGGCCTCTCTCCTGGGTGCCCAGCCCTTCCCTGCCTGCAAAGTCAGGTCCCCGAAGGGTCCCCTTCGCTGGGGCCCTCCAGCGGTCTCCTTCACAGGTCCAGGCCCAGGCTGTCCTTCCCCGCCAGGCCTGGGTCAGAGGGTGCCTGCTGCCTCAGCCCGAGGGCCCGGACACTCATGAGGGGGCCATCTCCGGGCAGGTCACTCCCACTGTGGTCTTCCTCTTCCTTCCATCAGTGGCTTTCCTCCCTCTGCCCTTCCCCTCCCGCATGGTCCCCTTGACTGGCGTCCCCACCGAGGCCACAGCCACTGTCTGCCGGCACGTGGTCTCCCTGCCAGGCGACTGCTCATGTTCCTGCCTTCATCACCATCACTGGGCCTCGTGGGGCCTGCGGGGACCAGACGCCGTGGTCTTCCCCTCTCTGTTCAATGGCCTCACCTTTTGGGAAACCCCGCCAGCCACCTTAGCACCATGGTCTCATATTCCATGGCTGAGCTGGCCCTCCTGATTCATGGAGGAACTGCATCTCTGGGGATCCCCTTGTTTTCAGTTTTAGGGTTATTCTTCCTGATTCTACAAACAACGCTGTGGGTAGAAACATCCTTGTTCTTACATCTTAGCAGACCAGTGCTTTCATTTCTACAGAAACAAGCACAAGGACTCTGCAAGGGGCCGAGCTGGGTCCCCTCCAGTTTCCTACAGTAAAGCCCCCACCCTGGTATGCAGAGTGTGCTTGAGTTTGGAGATGGGGTCTCTAAAGAGGTAATAAATTAAAATGAGCTCATTAGGGTGGGCCCTGATGACTAGTGTCCCTAAAAGAACAGGTGATTAGCACACAAGTGTGTGCACACACGCGCGCGCACACACACACACACAGATGAACAACCATGTGAGGACCCAGGGAAAAGACCACGTCACATGCCCAGGAGGGAGGCCTCAGGAGAAAGCAGCCCTGCGGACGCCTTGACCTCAGACCTTCAGCTGCCAGGAGCGTGAGAGAATCTCTTCCTGCCGTGTAAGGCGCCATCTGCGCTGCTGTGCTGTGGCTGCCCAAGCAGATACTACAAAATGGGATTTGGAGGTTAAGAAGCATAGACGGTGTTTCTTTGAACTGACATTCTTAGATAACCTTCCAAAAATGCTGCCGAATTCCGCTTCCCAGCAGCAGCGATGCACGCTCTCTCTTCTTCAAATTCTCTCCCCAAATCCGTCGCGCTGCCCTTTTCTTTTAATTTGCGAGTCAGGTGGGTTTTAAGTGACAGCCGCTTGTGACTTTAACTTGTATTTCACCAATTATTGGTAATTTTGAACATTTCTTATATGATGTTAACCGTTTGGATTTACTCTTGTGAATGTGTATTTTTTTGACACTTTCTCGATTGGATTTTTTTCTCCTATCAATTCATAAGCACTTTTCATATCTTACAGATAATAGCTTTTTGAATGTTGTTTTAATCATAAATCATTTCTTGTGTTTTTTTTGTTGTTGTTGTTGTTTGTTTGTTTGTTTTGTTCTGTTGCCCAGGCTGGAGTGCAATGGCGCAATCTTGGCTCACCGCAACCTCCACCTCCCGGGTTCAAGCAATGCTCCTACCTCAGCCTCCCAAGTAGCTGGAATTACAGGCATGCACTACCACGCTCAGCTAATTTTGTATTTTTAGTAGAGACTGGGTTTCACCATGCTGGCCAGGCTGGTTTCAAACTCCTGATCTCAGGTGATCCTCCCGCCTTGGCCTTCCAAAGTGCTGGGATTACAGGCGTGAGCCACCACATCTGGCCCACTTTTTGTTTTTCTAAACTTATACTTTGGCTGTTGACTTGGTTTTAGGTATCTATTCATAGATGAGCTTTAAATTGTTTTATAGTTCAGCGTGTTTATACTATCTTCTAAGAACTTCTGAGTTTTCAGTCTTGCTTAATGAGGAATCCTTACCCTAGATGGCATGGTCTTCCAGATTTTCTTGCAGTATTTTTATTTTATCTTACTTCTTTTACATTAAAGTCTTTAATCCACTTAGAATTTATTTCTGATTAAGATGAAGGAGTGGATCCACTTTTATTTTCTTCTAGCTTGCCGCTGGGTGTGCTAGTCCCATTAATTAAATGGTGCTTCCTTTTACCCTGAAACAAATGAAGCTTGGTCGTACCTTCTTGCTTATCCTGAGGCCATTTTGTGGTTTTCTGTCCCAACCCATGGGGTGTTGTCAATGTGTGAACAGTGGCAGGGTTGTCTCATCTTGCATGAGTATTTATCCTCCCTTAAAAATGTCAACATTAATTCTACCCACCAAGACCACACCAAAACCCCCAAAACTTTATTGGGAATCTAATGAAATGGCATTCGACTTAAAGATAAATTTCAGGAAAATTAACATTTTTAAATTGAAAGTTCTTATCCAGAAAAATGTGTCTGTTTTGTGTCTTTAAATAAGATTTTATCATTTTTTTCCATAGGGATTGTATTAGTCAGGCTCTGACCTGGAAACTGGAAATCTCTCTAGATCTTTCAAGCAGAGGGAATTTAATGCAAGGAACTGATTGTAGGGGTTAATCTGTATGGTGGTGAGGATACTTCTACCCCAGGGCTGGGCCTGGAGGGTCAGTGTGGAGCATGCTCTAATCATATTAAGACTTCAGCCCCATCTGGGACCATGGAGAAAGGGGCTTTCAGGTGGGAGCCCACAACCACCGAGGAGACCCAGCTGCAGCTGGAGGTCCCACTGGAACAGAGAGAGGGAGAGGAGGGCTTCGTGTGTCCTTTCATCCCACCCTTCAATCTTGGGTCAGCACCATCCATTGACCAAATCTACTGGAAGACAGAGGGGAAGGGAGACTAGAGTATGGAGCAGGGCGGGACAGAAAATGGCTCTGAGTGGCTGTGAGCAGATGCCAGGCACACAGTTCCTGGGTCCTGTTCCTCTGATCCCTAAGTAGCTCACGGTTTTGTCACTGTTGCGAACAGACTGATTCTTCCCCTTTCCGTTTCTAGTTGCCTATCACTTGAAAAGAGATAATGCATTGGTTTCTGCATAACTCTATGACATCGTCTCATCCTATCACATTTTATTTTTAATTCTTATTTTTAATACAATATCTGGGTTGTAATAACTAGTAGCTGTATCTTTTCCAATGCTTAAATTATATGTTTTATTTTCTTGGCCATTTGCATCTGCTTGAACCCTCAGTGCAATATCAAACAAGAATAGTGGGCCTTCCTGGCTAAGTTCTGGTTTTAATTGTATTAGTTTGGTGTTTCATGATTTGGATATCATCTGTGTCAGGCGGCCAAGTCATCCCGAAAGGGAGCATGGCTGCGGCTGTGAGGTCAGCAGGCCTCATTCCCATAGACCTGGCTGCCAAGAAGACAGTGCGCCCAAGAGGAATCAAGACAGTTTATGACTCACACAGACAGCAAAGCCACGAGCAGTGTGGTGTCAGGTCCCTGGGCCCCTACTCCAAAGGTCGACTGAAACAGAAAGCTCAGGTGATGGCCGGCTTGAGTGGTGGGTCACTCTGCGACTGAGGAGTCCTCTCTAAACTACAGCCAAGCATTTGTACAGACTACACGGAAGCCGGCAGCTCCACAGGACAGGGGAGTGGTGAGGAAGAGCTTTGTGCTCAATGGAAACTGGGGAGATGGATGAGCAAACCTTGGAGGAGGCATTCTCATGCGGATCGGGGGCTGCCCTCACTGACTCCTCCCCAGGCTAATCTCCCCTTGCTTCAGGAGAAATCATGCCCAGGACTCAGCTTAGACTGTGGTCAAGCCTCCTCTAGGAGGCCTGTAAGGAGAGGTGCAACATGGTAGAGGCACCATGGGAGAACAATTCCGCTGCAAATTGCTGCCGGGTTTTGAGATCTCTTTTGTAGTAGTTTCTTTTTAGTATTACTTTTCTCAAGACTTTTTTTGCAGAACCAATTGCTGAGTTTTCTCAAATGCTTTTTCTGTGTCTATTGATGGGATCATATGGTCAATGGATATACTAAATTTTGTAGCTAGTTTCTTGGTATTGAACTCTCTTGTATTCCTGAAAAAAGATACAGAATACTTGGTCATAGTGGATTTTTAGAAATATATTTCTGGATTCTATTTGCTAATATTTTATTCAGATTCTTTTTGCATGTATATTGTGAGTCAGTTTATAATTATCTTTTTCTGTTCTCTTTTAATTATACAATTAAAGTTTCACTTACACAATTAAAATTTCCCATCTTTTCCCATGTCCCAGAATGTTCAAAATAACATTGAAATTATTTTTACTATTATGTAAAGAAAGCCAGCTTTGACCTGTTTAAACCTGGTGATGTTTTTTTTAAAAAGAAACAGTATCATGGAGATATAATTTGCATACCATGTGAGTCACCTAAAGTGTACAAATTGATGTGTTTCAGTATATTCACAGGGTTGTGCAACCATCATCATAATCTAACTTTAGAACATTTTTGTTTCTCATAAAAGAAAACCTTTATCCATTAACAGTCACTCATATTCCTCTCTGCCCACTTCCCAGCTCTAAGCAAATTCTAATCCATTTTCTGTCTCTATGGATTGGCCTGTTTTAAACACTTCATTACAAATGCAATCCTATAATATGTGGCTCTTTGTTACCAACTTCTTGCACCTAGTGTGTTTTCAAGGTTCATCCCTGTCAACATTTTGTGGAATGTGTCAGTATTTTATTTCCTTTTCATTGCCAAATAATATTTCTTTGTAGTGATATAATGCATTTTATTTATTCATTTATTGGTTGATGAATATTTAAGTTATTTCAATTTTTGTCTATTATGAATAGTGCTGCTATGAAAATTTGCATGTAAAATTGTGGACATGTGTTTTCATTTATTTTGGGTATATACACTTAAGAGTGGAATTACCAAGTCATATTGTAAATCTATGTTTAACATTATAAGAAATCGCCAACCTGTTTCCAAAGCAGCTGCAGCATGTTGCAACCCCATCAGCAAAACAGGCTTCCAGTTCCTTCACATCCTCATCTGCAGCTGTCATTATCTGTCTTCTTGATCCTAGGCGTCCTCAGGATGTGGAGTAGAATCTGGTTGTGGTTTTGGTTTGTACCTCCCTGATGAGGAAAGATATTATGCAGCTTTTCATGCGCTTATTGGCCTTTTGTATATTTACTTTGAAGAAATGTCTATTTAAGTCCTTTGTCCCCTTTTAAATGGTATTTTTTGTCTTTTTGTTATTGAGCTATAAGGATTTTTAAATATATAGTGGATATAAGACTTCTACCAGATCTATGATTTGAAAATATTTTCTCCAATTCTATGGTGGTGTACTTTTGCTTTCTTGGTGGTATTATTTGCAGCATAAAAGTTTAAATTTTGATTGGCCCAGTTTATCTATTTTTGGTTGATATTTTTGTGCTCTTGGTGTCCTATTTAAGAAACCATTGCCTAACCCAAGGTCATGAAGGTTGACTTTCATGTTTTCTTCTAAGAGTTTTGTAGTTTAAACTCTTTTATCTCATAGACATTGAGGTCTATGATCCATTTTGAGTTTTAATTTTTGTGTATGGTATCAGTTAGAAGTTATTCATTCCTTTGCATATAGAAATACAGCTGTTCAAAGTCATTTATTGAGAAGACACTTCTTTCCCCCACTTAACCGTCTCAGCACCTTGTTGAAAACCAATTGACGATGAATGAAAAGGTTAATTTCTGGACTCTCAATTCTATTCTATTGATTTGTATGTCTGTCTTCATGACAGTATCACATTGTCTCGGTTACTGTCACTTTGTAGTAAGTTTTGAAATCAGGAAGTGTGAGTCTTTCAACTTTATCCTTTCTTTTCAATTTGTTTTCCTTGTTATTCTGAGTCCCTTGTGTTTCCATATGAATTTTATAGTCAGTTTGTCAATTTCTATAAAACAGTCAGTTGGGATTTTGATACGAATTGAGATGACTCTGCAGGTTGATTTGGGCAGTACTGTCATTTTAACAATATTAAATCTTCTGACCCATGAAGATGGTATGTCTCCATTAATTTTGATTGTTTTCAGTTTCTTTCACCAATGTTTACAGTTTTCAGTGTACAAGGTTTATGCTTATTTTGTTTAATTTATACTTAAGTATTTCATGTTTTGAATGCAATTATAAATGTATTTTTCTCCTAATTTTATTTTCAATGTTCATTTCTAGTGTACAGAAATACACTGATTTTTGTCTTAATATGTTAATCTTATATCCTTCAAATTTGTTTAAGCCATTTATTAGCTCTAATAATTTTTATTTTGTGGATTCTTTGAGGTGTTTTTTGCATTCAACATAATATTATTTGCAAACAGAGATAGTTTTACGTCTTCTTTTCTAATCCGAATGCTTTTATTTCATTTCCTTTCCTAATTGTCCTGGCTAGAAACTCCAATACAATGTCAAATAGAAATGGCAAGAGCAGACATCCTCATCTTATTCCTGATTATAGAGGGCAAGGTTTTCAATCTTCCACCATTAAGTACGAAGTTTGCTGTAAGTTTTTTGTACGTGCTTTTTTTTTTTTCTGAGATGGAGTCTCTCTCTGTCACCCAGGCTGGAGTGCAGTGGCATGATCTCGGCTCACTGCAACCTCCACCTACCAGCTTCAAGCAATTCTCCCACCTCAGCCTCTTGAGTAGCTGGGATTACAGGCGAGTGCCACCACACCTGGCTAATTTTTGTATTTTTAGTAGAGACGGGGTTTCACCATCTTGGTCAGGCTGGTCTCAAACTCCTGATCTTGTGATCTGCCCACCTCAGCCTCCCAAAGTGCTGGGATTACAGGCGTGAGCCACTGCATCTGGCCATGTACATGCTTTTTATCAGATTGCGGAAGTTCTCTTTTATTTCTAGTTTGTTGAATTTTTTTATCACAAAAAATGTTGCTTATTAAATACTTTTGCTGCATTGAGATGATAACATGATTTTTGTCCCTTAGTCTATTAATATGGTGTGTTACATTAATTGATTTTTTAATGATAAATTAACCTTGTGTTCCTGGGATAAATCCCACTTGGTCATGGTACATACTCCTTTTTATATGTTGCTGGATTTAGTTTGCTGGTATTTTTTTCAAGGATTTTCCCATCTCTATTCAGAAGAGAATTCACCAGAGTTTTTTTGTTTTTGTTTTTCTTATGATATCTTTGTCAGGTTTTCGTATCAGGCTAATACTGAACTTATAGATTGATACTAATTCTAAGAACATTTGATAGAATTTGGCAGTTAATCTAGGACCTGGGCTTTTCTTAATGGGAGGTTTTCTATGTTTCAATTTGGTTTTTAATTCTAATTCAATCTCTTTACTTGTTATAAGTCTATTAAGGTTTTCTATTTTTATCTTGAACCGGTTGTGGTAGTTTTCTCTTTCCAGGAATTTGTCTATTTCTTCTAAATTATATAATTTGGTGGCAGACAGTTGTTTGTAGCATTCCCTTATTCTCCTTTTTATTTCTGTAAGATCAGTAATCTTATAGATTTTAGCGGTTTGAGTCTTCTCTCTTTTTTTCATGGCCAGTATAGCTAAAGATTTGTCACTTTTGTTCATCTTTTCAAAGAACAAAACCTGTGTTCAAAAGAACAAAACCTTAGACTTTGTTGACTTTATTGTGTTATATTCTTTATTTCCTTTATTTCTATTCTAATCTTTATTACTTCCTTCCTTTTCTTTGCTTTGGTTTTAGTTTACTCTTGCTTTTCTACTTTCTGAAATTGGAAGGTTAGGTAATTAATTGGAGATCTTTCTTCTTTTAAAATATAGGTAGAGGTATAAATTTTCTCAGAGCATCTTTATTTGCTTATTTGCATCTCATAAGTTTTGGTATGCTGTGTTTTCATTTTTATTCATCTAAATGAATTTTCCAATATCCCTTGAAATTTCCTCTTTGACACATTGGTTATTTGGAAGTGTATTATTTCCCACTATTTGTGAATTTTAAATTTGCTTTTATTATTGATTTCTAATTTAATTTCATTGTGAGTGGAGAAAATATTTTGTATCATTTAAATAATTTTAAGTTTATTGGGGTGTGCTTAAATGTCTAACTCAAGACAATTGTGTTTATTGGTCTATTCCAAGAAATGTTCCATGTGTACAGGAGAAGAATGCATATTCTACAGTTGTTGGTGGCATATTCACTGGTGTTTATTAGGTCTAGTTGTTTACAGTGTTGTTCAATTCTTCTCTTTCCGTATTGGTCTTCTGCCTTAGTTGTTCTATTCATTATTGAAAGTGGGGTATTAAAGTCCTTAACTATTATTGTTGGAATGATCAATTATTTCCCATTTTAGTTCTGTCAGTTTTATCTCAAATGTTTTTGGGCTGTCTTGCTAGTTGCATATACATTTATAATTGTTATATCTTCTTTATAAGTTGACCCTTTTATCATTGTGAAATGTTTCTCTTTATCTCTAGTAACCTTTTTGCTCTTTTTTTTTTTTCAAGACAGAGTCTTGCTCTGTCGCCCATGATGGAGTGCAGTGGAACAATCTTGGCTCACTGCAACCTCCGCCTCCTGGGATCAAGCAATTCTCCTGCCACAGCCTCCCGAGTAGCCAGGATTACAGGTACCCACCACTGTGCCTGGCTAATTTTTGTATCTTTAGTAAAGACAGGGTTTCACCATCTTGGCCAGGCTGGTCTCAAACTCTTGATCTCATGATCCACCCGTCACAGCCTTCCAAAGTGCTGGGATTACAGGTGTAAGCCACCACACCTGGCCACTCATTTGTTTTAAAGCCTATTTTGTCTGATCATAGGAAAGCCACTCCAAGTCTTTTATAATTGTTGTTTATATGGTGTATTCTTTTCCACCCTTTCTTTCAACCCATTTGTATCTTTGCATATAAAATGTGTCTCTTGTAAACAACATGTAGTTTGATCTTTTTTTTTAATTTTTAAAATTTTTTTGGACAGAATCTCACTCTGTCGCCCAGGCTGGAGTGCAGTGACGTGATCTCGGCTCACTGCAACCTCCACCTCCCAGGTTCAAACAATTCTCATGCCTCAGCCTCTTGAGTAGCTGGGATTACAGGTGCATGCCACCACGCCTGTAGGGACCAGCCCCACAGGGTTGGTGGGTCTCTCCCCGTGTGCGGCGATGAGAGAGTGTAGAAATAAAGACACAAGACAAAGAGATAAAAGAAAAGGCAGCTGGGCCTGGGGGACCACTACCACCAATGCGCAGAGGCCGGTAGTGGCCCCGAATGTCTGGCTGCGCTGTTATTTATTGGATACAAAGCAAAAGGGGCAGGGTAAAGAGTGTGAGTCATCTCCAATGGTAGGTAAGGTCACGTGGGTCATGTGTCCACTGGACAGGGGGCCCTTCCCTGCCTGGCAGCTGAGGCAGAGAGGGAGAGGAGACAGAGAGAAAGACAGCTTATGCCATTATTTCTGCATATCAGAGACTTTTAGTACTTTCACTAATTGACTACTGCTATCTAGAAGGCAGATCCAGGTGTACAGGATGGAACATGAAGGCGGACTAGGAGCATGACCACTGAAGCACAGCATCACAGGGAGATGGTTAGGCCTCCGGATAACTGCAGGCAAGCCTGACTAATGTCAGGCCCTCCACAAGAGGTGGAGGAGCAGAGTGTTCTCTAAACTCCCCCAGGGAAAGGGAGCCTCCCTTTCCCGGTCTGCTAAGCAGCTGGTGTTGTTCCTTGACACTTTTTGCTACCGCTAGACCACGGTCTGCCTGGCAATGGGCATCTTCCCAGACGCTGGCGTCACTGCTAGACCAAGTAGCCCTTCTGGTGGCCCTGTCTGGGCATAACAGAAGGCTCGCACTCTTGTCTTCTGGTGACTTCTCACTGTCCCCTCAGCTCCTATCTCCGTATGGCCTGGTTTTTCCTTGGCTATGATTATAAAGCAAGGATTATTATAATATTGGAATAAAAAGTAATTGCTACAAACTAATGATTAATGATATTCATATATAATCATATCTAAGATCTATATCTGGTATAACTATTCTTGTTTTATATTTTATTATACTGGAACAGCTCGTGTCCTCTGTCTCTTGCCTCAGCACCTGGGTGGCTTGCCGCCCACACACGCCTGGCTAATTTTTTGTATTTTTAGTAGAGATGGGATTTCATCATGTTAGCCAGGATGGTCTCAATCTCCTGACCTCGTGATCTGCCTGTCTCAGCCTCCCAAAGTGCTGGGATTACAGGTGTGAGCCACCGTGCCTGGCCTCAATCTCTTAAAAATTCAACCTGACAATCTCTGCCTTTTGATTGGAGTGTTTAATTCTTTCATATTTAATGTTATGATCAATATAGTTAGATTGACATTTGACATTTTACCTTTTTCTATAGGTCTCTTATCATCTTTGTTACATGATTTCTCCTTTATTGTTTCATTTTGTATTAAGTAGATATTTTCTAATGTAACACTAGACATCACTAATTTCTTAAATAAATTTTATATTATATTTTGAGGGTTTTTTAAGTGGTTTCCCTAGGGCTTACAGTATATATCTTAATATATCAAGTTTATTCTGACATTTCCAGAGAAATATAGCTTTACCCTTATATTCCTCCATTCTCTCCCCATTTTTTGAGGCCATTTTGAGGCCCAACAATACACTTTTATATTACATATATTGTTTTATGTAATTACTTTTTAAGTAAGGCAAGAAAATAAAGCGAAGGTATGCAATTATGCAGTCTACTGACACTTTTGTTTATTTGTGTGGATTTGAATTACTGTCTTGTGTTGCTTGTTTTCAGTCTGAAGAACTTCCTTTAGTATTTCTTGTAAGGCAGATTTGCTAGCAATAAATTATCTCAGTTTTTATCTGGGAATGTCTTTATTTCACCTTTATATTTCAAGATGGTTTTGCTGGAAATAAGATATTTGGTTGACCGTGTTTTGTCTTTCAACACTATTTCATTCCACTGCCATCTGGCTTCTATTATTTCTAATGAAGTTAGTTGTTAATCTTATTGGTGTCCCTTCGCATGAATTGTTTTTTGTTTTTTTCTCTTGCTGTGAGGACTAAATAGGGACCTTTTTTTCTCTTGCCCAAATTCCTATCTAAAGGGGACTGGGGAGTCCTGCTCTACAAACCATAAAAATCTCACCAGACAGGTTTTTATTAAATGTGGCTTGCTTTCCACTTGACTTTGGTATACTATCACATGACAGATAGCAGACTCTAAAGGAAATACTAATAAAAATATTTTACCACAAAATATATTTCTTTAACATACTTTGAAATGGCTGCCATAGTGCCAACAGATTAAAATGGCCCTGCAAAACCATCTTTTATGGGGAAAATTTGCAGCTACAGAGAATCTCCATGAATATAACCAGGTATTTTCCCTTCCAGGCTTTCTCAGCTCTAGGAGAGATTAACTGTGAGCCTGACACCTTTAAAGTCTGAAAAGAGTCATTCACCAACTATTATATCTCTGAGAGCTGCCACCCATGAGGCTTCATCTACATAATAACCTCAGCCTCCAAAACTTCCTAATCTTAACTCAGGCATTCCTTTCCACTGATTTCAAGTCCTTAGACGATAGCTTAACTGTCTCAACCAACTGGCAACTGAAGAATCCCCTAAACCCACCTATGACTTGTAAGCCCCCGCTTTGAGATGTCCCGCCTGTTCTGGCCAAACCAGTGTGCACCCTTCTCATATCAATTTATTATTTTACCTGCAATTCCTGTCTCCCTGAAATCTGTAAAACTGCCAAGGCCAGCTCAGTCATGGAGAACCTAACCCAGTGGTACTAGAGGAATTAAAGACACACACACAGAAATATAAAGTGTGAAGTGGGAAATCGGGGGCTGACAGCCTTCTGAGCTGAGAGCCATGAACAGAGTTTTACCCACATATTTATTGACAGAAAGCCAGTGATAAGCATTGTTTCTAGAGATTATAGATTAACTAAAATGGGAAACAAAGGAATGGGCCGAAACAAAGGGATGGGCTCTGGCTAGTTATCTGCAGCAGGAACATGCCCTTAAGGCACAGATCGCTCATCCTATTGTTTGTGGTTTAGGAACGCCGCCCTGGGTGGGCCAGGTGTTCCTTGCCCTCGTTCCAGTAAACCCACAACCTTCAGTGTGGGCATCATGGCCATCACGAACATGTCACAGTGCTGCAGAGATTTTGTTTATGGCCAGATCTGGGGGCCTGTTCCCAACATAAAACCAAACTATAACCCAACCTCCTCAGGTACACTTTATCAGGACCTCTTGAGATTGTGTAACCTGGACCATAGTCACACAAATTAGCCCAGAATAAACCTCTTTAAATATATTTTGGCAAAATTTGGATTTTTCTGTCATCAACTGCTTTCAAACTTTTCTGTTTGTGTTTGTCTTTCACGTTTTGATTATGATGTGTTTGGGTGTGTTTCTCTTTGTTTTTATCCCACTTGCAGTATTGAGCTTCCTGGATGTGAGGCTAGTATTTTTCATCAGATTTGGAAAGTTTTTAGCCATTATTTCTTTGAGCACTTTTCCTGTCTTCTTCTATTTCTCCTCCCTTCTGGCACTCTCAATACATGTAGGTTGGGGTGCTTAGTGGTATTCCACATTTCACTGAAGCTGTGTTAGTTTTTTTCTATCTATTCTCCAAATTGAATACTCTGTATTTATCATTTAATTTGTTCATTATCTCTTCTGCCAATTCAAATCTACCATGAAACCTCTCTAGTAAATTTTCTACTTTAATTATTATACTTTTAATCTCCAGAATTTCCGTTGACACTCTAGTCACAATAAGCACACCCAGTGCCCACATCTTGGTTTCTAATGCTTTTCTCCAATAAAAGGAATCAGAAATCCTTAGATAGGGCTGGGGTAGGAATTATACAAAAGAAGCCTAGAGCATCGTGTAGTGCCAGGAAGTAAAGAAGTGTTTAAAAACCCCACAAGAATGAGATTATGCCGGAGGGACACAGGAACTACTGAAAGAACTCCCAATAGCCAGAGCTGGAATAATCTGAGCAACAAAATAAAGCACATGCAATGCAAAATAGGAGATCAAGACCATCCTGGCCAACATGGTGAAACCCAGTCTCTACTAAAATATAAAAACAAATTAGCTGGGCATGGTGGAGTGTGCCATCAGCTACTACTACTACACCAGCTGGGAGTAGTCCCAGCTACTCGGGAGGCTGAGGCAGGGAAAGCACTTGAACCCAGGAGGCAGAGGTTGCAGTGAGCTGAGATTGTGCCACTGCACTCCAGCCTAGAGACAGAGCGAGACTCTGACTCAAAAATAAATAAATAAAAATAAATGTTCATGAATCCTTACTGATATATATGTGCATATATGTATATATACATTATATATAAAGTAGTATTTATACATATGCATGTGTATTTCTAAATAGATTGCCTAGTGATACTTTTATCAATAGGCAATGTACATTATCTACATCCTCACTAGGCAATCTACATATTTATGAGTAAGCCTTGTAAGTCTTCCAAGTTGCTGCCACTCTCAACCGCTTTCTACTGCCACCTGTCTGGGGCAGGGAGGACTCAGCCCACCCAGTAACCAGCATTCATTTCAGAAGAGGTGGGTAGGTTGATTTGAGAAGGGAGTGATAAAGCCATGCTTCCAGCATCCCTCTTTCACGATTTAAAGTGGAAAGTCACATCAGACCTCTCTCCAAACGCCCCAAGTCTCTGCCCTTGACTTGAAAGAAAGAGACCAGATGTCTTTAGGAGGGCCAGGTGGCCAAAGCCACCTGCCTCGAGCTTTTCAAGGGAAGTTGTGCCTCTGATTCTGCCAAGGATGACGTGTCTCTAAACATCAGTCAGTTAATATTTTGCGAGTCACAAATTTTGCATCGAAGTGACATAGAAGGATAGCTTTTCTCTCCCACAGCAGTGACTGCTCAGGGACCACTGGAGCAGAGTAAGGAGAATGGCTAAAGGAGACACCGAGGGATGCTCAGAGCCGCCCCCTGGAGTATGGTCCAGACACCTCCGTGGTAAGTCCGGGGTCAAGAGCAGGTGAGGGGAGGCTCAGGGAATAACCACTGAATCACAACATTGTAAGTCATTTTAAAACCAACTTATCTGCCAGTTCTTCCTTCCTTTCTTCCCTCCTTCATCAGCTCACCCTCAGCCCCGTGGCAGGCGTGTGAGTGAGTGAGATATGCTCCTGTGGCCTCAGATGCCATCCTGAGCCTCACGACTCTCAAATCCTTTTTAAGCGCTGTTGACCCACGGCTGTGTCCAGCCGCTGCCCCTGTCAATAGTACCCCTAACTTCAATGTGTGAATTCAACTCACATCCTCTGCCCTGGAACATTCCTTTTTCTTTTGGGGTGGGAAGCATTGAGGAGAGGAAATAAACATAACACAAGAGATGCGAGAAGCCCAGTCACGGCCCTGCCCACCCCACTGCTAGGCTGCACTCATCATATGGGACACCCAAGCGATTGGAGGGCAGCAAGGAATGCAGGGGGTGCTGTGCTGGGCCGATGGTGCTGTGGGTGCATTGTCCTAGAGACAGAGTGGATGAGAGCCACTCAGGAGGCAGGCCCTGAATCCTGGCACTGGGGGAGGAGTGCACTTGGAGAACCCAGAGAGGCCCTCAGATCCCTGGACGCTTAGCCCAACAGTCACCAGATTGCCTATTTGGTGGAACAGATGTGTATACATCAACCTTTTTGCTCTGGAGAGAAATACATACACCTATTCCCTGGGTCAGTTACTCCTTTTGATGGAACTACCCCTCTGTGGGAGGCTCTTTGGTAATAGATACCTAGATAACGGCTCCACTCTCTTCCTAGAAATTTTTGTCCATTGAGCTATGTGTATATGTGGGGGTGGGGATCATCAACAAGAGCCAGTGGTCAGCAGAGCACATGGCCAGCCTGCCTGGTCACACCAGGGGTGAGGATGGGGAACCAGCTGCAGAATCAGTTATGATTCAGTTGTGATGATCCAGGCTTTGTCCTGGGAACATAAGCATAAAGTATCACTAGGAAACTCACTCTTATTTTCAGCCTTATCAATAAGTCTCAGGAGAGAAACTTACCATCATCTCAGAGGATGTAGCCTGGGTTTATTTTACCCTCCTTCCCAGCAGAGGCTCTTAGATAACAAGAGCTACAAGGATGACCTTAACCTGATAAAACGCAGCCACAGCCAGCCTGTATCAAAGCTCAAGCTTCCCATGAAACTCCAGATGCAGTCCCATTAAAGTGGAAAGCAGGGAGTTGACTCTCTCATAGCCATCACTCAGCATGGTCTGATGATCCAGCCAACGTTGCAAGACGAGATGGAAAAAGAGGAGTGAGGATTGGAAAGGAGGAGACATAAATTTTCACATTTTTTGGGTAGACAATATAACTTTCTACACACAAAAATTTTTAAGACTTTACAATGAGAGCTAATGAGGTTTAATATAAGAAGATATAAAAATCCACAGCACGGCTATGCAATAGTCAACACCAATTGGAGAATGTAATAGAAAAAACACACCTTTCGCAATAACAATAAAACTCTAAGGTATTTAGAAATAAGTATAATAAAGACGTGGGACATCTTAAATGAGAAACTAAAACAATTTTATTAAGGGCTATAGATGAAGATTTAACTAATTGGAAGGCTACATCATGAATGCAAAATCTCAGTTTCAAATGTTCAGCTCTCCTGTAAAATAATCAATAAATTAAATGCAATTTCATTAAAATCCTAGCAGTGTTTTCTCATAGCACCAGGTAAGATGGATTATCCCTTCATATGGAATAGTAAAGAACCAAGGATGGTGAAGACAGGGTTGAAGAAGAAGCAGAGGGTAGAGATGTTTTCTCTACCAAATGTGGGCAAAAGATTACCTACGTGCCAAGGCAAGAGACTGAAGGCACAAACTGTTTCAGTATAATAAAGAAAATAGAATACGAATAGTCATAATACAAATTAGATATAGAGATGTTCATAGACAATTATCAATCATTATTATAAACATTATTAATCATTAGCTTTTAATATTACTCTTTGTTGCATTACTAATATAACCTAGGAATAACTGGCGGGTATAGGGTCAGATGCTGAAGGGACATTGTGAGACGTGACCTAGAAGGCAAGAGGTGAGCCCTCTGTCACAACCACATAAGGGCCACTTGAGGGCTCCTTGGTCAAATGGTAATGCCAGTATCTGGGAAGACACCCACTATTTAGCAGACTGCGAAAGGGAGTCTCCTTTCCTTGGAGGAGTCAGGGAACACTCTGCTCCACCAGCTTCTTGTGGAAGGATGGATATTATCCAGGCCTGCGTGTAGTCATCTGGAGGCCTAAACCCCTCTCTGTGGTGCTGTGCTTCAGTGGTCACGCTCCTTGTCCTCTTTCATGTTCCTCCCGTACTCCTGGTTCCTCTTTGAAGTTCATAGTAGATAGCGGTAGAAGAAATAGAGAAAGTCTTAAAGTCTTTGATCTTTCCTATAAGTGCATAGAAGAAAACGCTGACGTATGCTGCCTTCTTTCTCTGCTTCAGCTACCTAAAAGGGAAGGGCCCCCTGTCCTATGATCATGTGACTTGCTTCACCTTATCAACCACTTAGAAGATTCACCCTCCTTACCCTGCCTCCCTTGTCTTGTATGCAATAAATATCAGCATGCCCAGCCGTTCGGGGCCACTACCGGTCTCCGCATTTTGATGGTAGTGGTGCCCCGGGCCCAGCTGTTTTCTCTTTATCTCTTTGTCCTGTGTCTTTATTTATTACAATCTCTCATCTCCGCACACGGGGAGAACACCTGCTAAGCCCCGTAGGGCTGGACCCTACACCAAATAGCAAGAGATTTCCTCTAGAGTTTTGATAAAGACTATTCAAGAATAAACAGATCAGCAGAACAGAACAGAAAAGCAAAAGCAGACCTGCACAGAGTGGAAACTCGGTACGCACCACAGGAATCCATACATCAACAGGAACAAGGGTTTGTTGGTCAAATGTCACTGACAGAAAGGTAAAATATTCATATTATTATCTAACACTGCACCAGGAATAAAGTTCAGATGGGTTAAAGTCCTACTTATGAAATGCAAAACTTTAAAACATTTGGAATAAACTATAGTGAAATAGCTTTATGATGTCAAAGTACAGAAAAGTTCCTTTTTCTTTCTTTCTTTTTTTTTTTTGTTTTTGTTTTTGTTTTTGAGATGGAGTCTCACTCTGTTGCCCAGACTGGAGTGCAGTGGCTCACTGCAACCTTCACTTACCAGGTTCAAGCGATTCTCCAGCCTCAACATCCTGAGTAGCTGGGATTACAGGCACACGCCACCACAGCGGGCTAATTTTTGTATTTTTAGTAGAGATGGGTTTCACCATGTTGGCCAGGCTGGTCTTGAACTCCTGACTTCAAGTGATCCACCTGCCTTGGCATCCCAAAGTGCTGGAATTACAGGCGTGAGCCACTGCACCTGGCCCATAAAAGTTTCTTCAGCAAGACAGACAAACATAAACCACATAAAATTGAAGTTTGATAAAGCTGACTGTTATGATTAATAGCTTCTATACAACAAAAGGTGCCACAAACAAAGCTGAAAGTCAAAAGACCAGCCACACTCAGGAGGAAACATTTGCTATAAACATAACAGAGAGATGATGGTTATCCATTTCATATAAAGAGCCCACAGAAGTCAATAAGACAAATAGAAGTGAAACATTTATGAATAGAGTTGAGACCTGGTATGTCATTTACCAATCCCACTATCTTCTCTCCTTGACAGCCTTATCAATCACGTTTGATATGTTTACCACAAAGTATCCTGTTGTTTTAGTAAAGATATATACGTTTACATATGCATGTTTACTGTATAACGAACTTAGTGAAAACCAGGCAAATGATACAAACTCGCAATTATCAGAAGAGGAAACAAGACACACAATGACCTGAAAAGATGCAGCCTCTCCCCAGTTGCCAGGAAAATGCAAATTAAAGTAACCTTTTGCTTTATAGTCATCAGATTAACAGAGATTAAGGATCTAAGAGTAACAAAGCTGGCAGTGGGCAAGGGAGCGCTAGGCCCATGCTAAAGGGAAGGTTTGTTGGCTCCACCCTTTGGAGAGCCATTTAGCTACTCCTAATGAAGCTGGAACCAGGCATGTTCCTCCACCTGGCAAGTCCCTCTCTCCTAGACTGGAGACCTTTTTGCATATTTGCACAAGAAGGTCTCCCCAGGAATGTGTCGGCTGCCCCCCTTATGACAGTGACCCATCAGAACAATGAGGGCTGGCGAGTGAACACAGGCTATACATCCATGGCATATGTGTACAAAGTACTATCCAGTAGTTGGTCTGCTTACACATAACAGACCAGTGTTCATCATCCAGCGTGTGTAAAGAACTCACAGAAATTAGTAAGACAGGGGCATCTGCAACAGTTGGTCCTGCACAGATGCAGACCAGCCTGAAAATGTAATGTTGAGTTAAAAAAAGAAACAAGGGGCACACATGATATGCACCGTGGGATACCATTTGTGTAAAGTATTACAACATATCTTTACTAAACAACAGGATAGATTGTGGTAAAGATATCAAACATGATTGAGAAGGCTGTCGAGGAGAGAGGAAAATGGGATTGGTGAATGATATACCAGGGGTCTATTCATAATGTTTCACTTCTAAAAATGATTACCTAAAGCGAATATGGCAGAATGCTAATATTTGTCCAGTCCAGGTGGTGGGTTCATATTACCCTATGTAATTTGTCCTGAATGTTGGAACTATCCCATAATAAAACACTAGGACAAAGAACACAGATCATGAAGGAAAACAAAACCTAAGAAGAAATACAAGAAAACAAAAGATGCTAGGGTCGCAGAATAGGGTGGGAAAGCGAGCCAGTGGAGTCAGGCAGGACAGGCGTGAAAGAGAGAAACCAGCTCAGAAGCAAGCAGGGGAGACTGCTGGAGGGGGTGTCAAGGACATTTATTCATTCAACAAATAATCACTGAGCACTGTGAGTGAGAGTCAGGGCCTGGGGACTCAGAGGCGCCTCCCCGCGGGGAGAGAGGCAAACAGCCAGGAAGAACAAGTCCAAAAGATTTCAGATTGTACTGCTGAGGGCTGTGGAGGGCTGTGCCTGGTGGTGCGGCGGAAACAGGACAGGTGGGCTTGCTCTGCAGGGGTGGACCCAGGACCCAGGGCAGCAGGGCCGGCGCTCAGAGCCTGGCCAGCTTGGTGCCGGCAGCGGGAGTGGCCAATGCAGGGCTGGCTGGAGGGGGCTTGGTGGGGGCTTGGTGGGCCTGGGAAGAGAAAGGCGCCTACTTGGTTGGGGGATGAGAGGAGGCTCCGGTCCTCTCCGGCCAAGGTGTGGACCTGGAGCTCTCGCTAGAGCTGGAACACTTCATCTCCATGGGTGTTTGAGCGGGGACATCAGGGCCACCCAGGACGTGCGGGGGAGCTGTGGGTAGGGAGCGAGCTTCCTGGGGAACTGGAAGCCCAGCCGGGAAAGGGAGCCTCAAGCTTCGGGAAACATCAGAGTGGCAACCTTATGCAGTGGCGTGGCCTAGGAACCACAGGGAGAGCAGAGGAGCATGGAGATAAAGGCGCTTAGGGAGAAGAGGTATCCTTCTGTTTCTACCTCCAAACAAAAGAAAAAGAAAAAAGAAAGAAGAACAACAAAAAAATGAAAAGAATTCAAGCATGGATGGGTTTGGGTGGGGCTGGGAAATGGAGCGCTCCAAGCAGTAGAGCAGAGGGTCCAGTGCAGAGAGGTGAGGTGGGAAGGGCTGGAAAGAAAGCCAGGATGGGCCCAGCCTGAATCACTGTGGCAGGGATCCTCAGGGGTTGCCCAGGAAACTGCCACCAATCTCGAACCCATCTGTAGTGGTGACAGGGGAATGGGTGGGAAAGCTAGAGAAGCCATGAGCTGGTGGAAAGGTCCTGGGTCCCCCTCACCTTTCAAATTTCACCTGGCTTCTCCCATTGCCAACCTCACTGGAGCCATCCAGGGGACGGGGCCTGGGGGTCCTTCCTGGATTCTCCCTCTCAACACAGGAAAGAACTTGAAACCGGGGAAATGAATGGATGCTGGACCAACCACCCAGCCCGAAAGATGCAGGAGAATGAAGACAGCCCCTGTCGCAGAGAAAGCCACCAGTCGGGGGGCCAGCCTAGCATGCTTTGCTCCAGGAACACTTTCTTGACCAACACCGCACCGTGAGAGATGGCAGAACAGGGTCCTGTAAGCCTCCTGAACGTGCTGATGGTGTGGTGCTGATTAAGAGAATGTTCTCATACACAGGAGAAGCAGGCCGAGGGATGCTGGGTGAAAGGCCATGGACCTGCTAAAATTCTCATAGACTGTGTTTATTTCCTGTAAAAATAAGACCAGATCCCACTGGTGACAAGTGCCATGACCAGGACTGAGTTCTTTGAGGTTGCAGGACAAAAGTCTGTGTTCTTGCTATTGTCGTCTCACGGCCATTCCCACTTCCAGACGCTGCTCCGTTCCTTGATGAGTGGCCTCGCGGCTCCACGTTCCAGCCAGCACTGGAGGGCTGAGTCTTCTTGCTCTCTAGGGGGCCCTCCCTTTGCTCTCAGCAGGTGTCTGTTTACCCCCCAGAGCAGTGTTTGATGCCAGGCCCTTGAAGTCTTCAGTGTTCTCGGCACCCTTGGGACCCTGCACAGATGGAGCAACCCCGTGGTGGAAAATCCTTGCTGTTCCATGTCACGTGTGTTCCTCAGGCTGCAGGCCGCCATGCACCCTCCCCACGGGCAGGGCCTCCTCATTCCTGTCTGCTGGAGGAGGCTTCTGGGGGCCTCTTCTGTGGCTCAGGGACTGTACGTGGCCGGACAAGAGGAGCTTGCTCTGTCAAAGGTGGACAGCGCTTTGAATTTCAAGTGCACGACTCAAGTGCTGTTTCTGGGAGCATCTCGGGGCTTGGCCCAGGTGCCTCATGACCTCTACAGGCTCGGTCACTGCTTTTCCAGAAATACTCTGAGATGCGTCTGTGCATATTAAAGAAAATCCATCAGCACCATTTTAATTTTCAGTTCCTATTAGCAGTATTGACCAGAGGGTTCCCCAGGGCAGGGGACAGATGGGGTGAGGGCAGCTCCCCTGGCTCAGCCTGTCCATTTTTTCTGCCCTACTGGGGTTTAGATTATAGTTCAATTCCATTTTAATCCACTTCCAATTCAATTCCATTCAGTTCAAATCCGAATTCCATTCCATTCCAATCCATTTTCATTGTCTAACTCAATTTCCTTTCAGTCCAAGTCCACATTTAGTTTCTATTTTGCTTAATACAGGTTCACAGACCTTCCACTGTGCTCCAGCCTCACACAGAAATGGCCACTAGAAGAAGCAGGAGTGTGTGGGGGCGACAGGACAGGAAGTCCATCCCTGTTCCTTAATTGAGCCACCCACGTTAGCGTGACCCATGCTCAGGCCAGCACTCTTGTCTGGACCTGTTATGGTGGTTTTCCCAAGCACATGCGTGGCCACTGTCCTGTGGGTCAAAGGCATGGGTGGGCCAGTGGGAAACATGGATTAAACACATTGACTATTTTACTACAGTCCTTCCCAGAGTGGCCTGGACACTCATGGCCATTGGCAGCTTCTAAGAAAGGACAGGTGTAGCTCTGGGGCTGCAGAGGGCAGAACCTGGCAAAAAGCCAGCTGGCCACTTCTGGGCAGGTGGGCAGGGCAGAGCTGCTGTCTCCCAGCATGGAAGGAGAGTCAGTGTGTCAGGATGGCCGGGCTCTGGGGCACTTCCTGGGCTAGAACCTCAGCTTTCAGGATCCCCAAATGACCCCTCATTTCAAGGCTGCCAGGGGCACGCTGTCTGCCTCTCAGGACAAAACTGAGAAGGAATTCACCAAGTCCTGCCTGTTCAACCACGTGTAAGTGATGAGGGCTTGTGCAGACACACATCTAGTCCCTGGACTGCCACGAAAGAGGCAGAGGAGCATCTGCATCTGCAGGAGCTCTGCCAGTGCTTCCCAGCACGCTTCGAGCTGGCCTGGAAACAGAATCAGGCTCCATGGCTGCTCTCCTGGGATGCGGTGGGCAGGTCTGCCGGGATCCCACAAATAGGCGAGCAGAGAAGCCAGTTCCCCCTGCGCTCTCTCCCCTTGGGAGATGATGGCCACACTGCCTGCAAAACCACCCAAAGTTGCATCTGGGACTCTTTGGAGCAGGAGTGGTTTGCATGAGAAATTTGAGGATGCAAACTCAACTCATCATTATTTCCGAACCAGCACGGAGGAGTTTATTATCTCATCACTCACTAATCATGCCTTATAAATGCAGGGACAGACAAAATCCCACAGAATCAATAAAATCGTAAGTTCCCGGTCTAAACCACAGCACCTAGGATTCTTGAGTAAACCTTTTGGTAATTTACAAAGGCCGTTGAATTTTATAATAAGTGTTTTTCAAACCAAGCTGGATTCTAAACAATAATGAATTTTTAACGTGGCTCTGTGATTACATGGTTGTGGTGAAATATGGGGGTCTTTGACTGCATCTGAAATGAGCCTGGTGTGAATTACTCACAGGCATAGACCAGCATGCCCCCAGGTAAAGCAATCTTCATAAGTTACCCTCCAATCCGGGTGGCCTGGCAGGCAAGGCCTGATGCCAATGTTTGCAACTCAATTTTCAGTGAACAATTTGTAAACAAGTTCTTCCTTTTCTTCGGGGCAGTGGCCATGGCCACCACCTCTGAGTGGAATGGCTGAGCTCCCCCCAGCCTGCCACACGCCAGCTGAGGCTTTGTGTGTGTCCAGGATGGTGGCCACTCACCCACGGAGGTGCTTAGAGGGAAGTGAATGAAAGGAACTGACACTGGGCGCCAGCCACATGTGCCCACGGCCCACGCGGCACCATTTGAGGAGCCAAGAAGAAAGTCCTGCTGGCCTGCTGTGGGCCAGGGCCTGTGCTCCACACAGTGAGAGCAGGTTTCCCTCAGAGACCTTCAGCCCACCCCAGGGGACTATGAGACAAGGCTGGGGAGCAGGGGGAGCCATGGACGCTCTTGAATCCAAAGCCACTGGGCAGACAGGTGAGCTTGGCTCAAATCCATGAGCCCGGGTGTGGGCAGTAGGGCCTGCAAGGCTGGGTGAAGGCTTGGGGGCTCTGGAGGCTGAGGCAACCAGACTGGGACCACAGCCATGGGTGCTGGCACTTGCCTGTCCTTGCCTTGCAACTGTCACTCCACAGGCTGGGGAGCCCGGGCCACTGGACCAGGGACAGAGTGAGGCTCCTCAGTCCCAGAGGCAGCTTCAGGTCAGGGACTGGGTGGGGCGGGGGGGGCAATTGAGGGCGTTCCCACCTGGACTTTCACACCAGGGCCCCTCGCCCTGTCCTTCCCTGCTGCCCCAGCCTGGGAGCTCCAGGACAGGTCCCGCCTCACCCCGTGCCTGGGTCTTGGGGAGAGTTTGCTGAGGGCATCCATGCCCAGGGCCCTTGGGGGCAGGACCAGGATTTGCACCCCCCACCCCAGGTGCCTCAGTCTGAAGGGGCCTCCTGGCAAATGAGCTCACCCATCCCTGGGGCAGAGGGCCCCACTTCCTGGGGTGTAAAGTCACCTCCTCGTTGCCCCGGATGCTTCCATGGTAACAGATTCTTCTGCAGTAGAGTGGTGGGGCACCCCTTCCCTGACCATCTGCCTCCCAGCAAGCTGGTGGAGGGGCTCACTCCCATCCACGTGCCTCCCGTGGGCTCCCGCCTTCCTCTGGGCACCCTGGGTGCACCAAGGTGTTTTAGAAGGAGCTGCACCGGCTTGGAGGCAAGAAGGGCAGGAAGCGGCTGTGGAGGTGCCCAGCAGGAAGGGCTTGTGTCTTAAGGTCCTGGGTATTTAGAAATGTTTTACACAGGCTCTCTTTTTGATTTTATGTAAAGGGAGTTTTCACAGCTACGCACATTTATTCCAATGTTCCACTGGGGAGAGCTTTCCCAGAACCCCGGGGCTCCCAGCCCCCATGGCTCTTGAGGTGGCTCCAGTATGCAGTGGATGCTTCCAGGGTGCCCCAGGGTCCCTTGGGGGCTCTGTGGAGCTTCTGTTTCTGAGGGTGGAGGCCTGTGTTCATGTGAGGGTGGAGGACTGTGTTCACCTGAGGGTGGAGACCTGTGCTGAGGGTGGAGACCTGTGCTCATCTGAGGGTGGAGGCCTGTGTTCGTCTGAAGGTGGAGACCTGTGTTTGTCTGAGGGTAGAGCCCTGTGTTCATCTGAGGGTGGAGACCTGTGTTTGTCTGAGGGTGGAGACCTGTGTTCATTCTCCTTAAAGGCCTGCCTTCTGGTGCTGCCCTGCTATTTGTGGCTGTTTCCAGAGGCAAGCTGGAAGTGCGGTGCAGCTGGGGCTGTGGAAAGCACTCCCTGCTGTGCCCTGGGGGTCTCTATGGGAACACAGAGACTGGAGCTGGAGGGGCTGGGGGTCCAGGGAAAGTTGAAATAAAGGCTGCCTGCACCAGGGCCTTCCCCAGCACCTGTCACTGAGGCTGCTGAATGAACCGGGCAGGGATGGCCTGCAGGCCTGTGGTCCTGATGACTTAGTTTTCGCCCTGATCCTGCTATCTGGGGGCTGAGGTTCTGCCTGGACGGCTGCCCCAGAGGAGACTGGGCAAACCCCTGGCTCCTGGGGTGGTCTCCTGCAGCCTGTCAGCAAGATCCCCTCTGCCCTCAGCAGGGATGCTGGGTGCCCTAGGGAGGCCTCAGCAGCCTGTTTCATAGCTGAGGACGCTGAGACCTGGAGCACAGGGATGCCCACCTGAGGCCCCACAGTTGGGGAGAAGCAGGCGTGAGGGTGGGGCCCTCTGGGTCAGATGCTGTCTGCCTGGCGGTATGGCTGTTGGAGTAGGGGGAGCTGGTTCGGGGAGGGGTCCGGGAGCCATTCCACTGGGGTAGTTGCAATGCCCAGAGCTAAGCTCTTGGTACTGGCTCTGTTCCATGCCCTGGGCAGGCATCGCCTCCTTCCATCCTCAAACCCTCTCCAAGGTACTCAGTATCTTATCCCTGTTCTGTTGATAGGGAAACTGAGTCAGGGTCGCCATCACTGGGCTGGCCAGATGAGCTTGGGTCCAGGCCCAGGCAGCCCTGCTTTGTGGGTATGAAAGGCCTGGTCCCCACTGCCAGGCCAGCACCCAGCTATGGGTGGTGACCAGGCCCGGGGCCTCAACGTGCACACACACGAGCTGGGTTCCTAGCGGCCGCTTGACTTCACAGGATTGCTGAGAAAATCAAACAGGTTAATGAATGACAGTTGGTTGGACCCAAGTAAGGAGTTGTTAGTAAGTTCCTTTCTGGTATTTAACCAAAGCATTTGTTTGCAGCCCTGGGACTGTTTTCAAGAGGAAAAAGTCCCCGCAAAGCAGCAAGCAGAGTCTCTTTAATGTCCCTTCTTAAATTAAAAAAAAAAACGGTAGAAGTCAGGAGTAAAATTGCCTCTCATGAAGACACCACGGAGAACCGATGTAATTTCCATAATGCAGGACAACAATGAGCGCACAGCCTCATGGGAGAATAAATCCAGCCACTTTAAGGGAAGAAGGGAGGCGCTAAGTATATCACATCAAAAACTAACTTATGAACTTCAAATCTATGCACCAATTCAAAATCTGATTTAACAAACTGCTCTTACTAAAGTCAATTGGTAAGCATTCCATTATAAAAACAAATGAAATCTTCCCCGTCTATGAGATAAATAATTTTCTCCCCACACCTAAGCGGGAGGCATTAGCTTAACGAGTAACCATCTAAATTATGTATTAAACTCAATTACTTTGTATTACTGCTTTCCAGTTAGGGTTCCCTGATTGACTCACGTGGCATGGAGACTCCTCCCGGGCAGTCCCCGATCCTCCTGGCCCCTGGATCTGGCTCTGCAGATGCCATTCACCCCCAGCTTGAGTGTGTCTCTCCCTCGCTCTAAGAGAGTGAGGTGTGGCTTCTGATGGAGAGTGAACACGGACGGCGGCATGATCACCAGCTAAATCACCATCTCAATCTGCCAGAGGCACTCCTGGCGGCCACTTCTGAGGCTGCAGTATCTCCCGGCCCTCTAGAGAGAGCTCCCGAAATCACCAGCATCGCCAGGGCAGCTCTGCTGAGCCTGTGGCCTCTGCAGGTGCAACCAGTGTGTTGCTGCTACCATGAGTGTCTTCCTGTCCTCAGAGGTGCCAATCCCCCAGCTCCTGCCCTGTGCTGGCCATGCCTCAGCCAACACTGCACCACGGTGAACTCCCCTATGTAATCAAGAGCTTTCCTTTTAAGTATCCAGACTCTCTGAGAAGGGCTGTGTTCCTGGGCATATTTCTCAAACAGCAGGGACACACTCCTTTTAAAATGAAAAAACGTGTAGATTCCCAAGTGCAAAAATGCTACTTGTGAGGGGTCACTGCGCAGTGATCGCAGAGGCCAGCTTGCCCTGCAGAGCCCGCCGTGGCCTTTATGGAAGCCGAGGAGCTGTGGGAACCCCATTCCCCGGAGTCGCCGTGCACCGTGAGCTGCTCTGAGCAACACGGCGGGAGCTGGAGGATGGGGCCAGAAGGGGCTCGATGGTGAAAGCACACCGGGAGGGAGAAATGACTGGGCAGCCTGCTGCAGGTGGCAGACACCTGGGAACACGTAGCACAGGTGGGTGGGGAAACTAGGAGCACCGGTCAGGGGTCTGGGTGAGAAAGTAGCTCTGAAACGGCGACGTGAGGGAGGCGAGGGGTCGGTCATTCTGAGATTAGAGGAAGGAGTCCCAGCAGGGCAAGCCACCAGGGCAAAGGCTCTAAGCCCCCATCTCAGGGTGGGGGTGGCAGCAGGTGGGGACAGACACCTTCAGGCTGGGCTTCAAGAGAGGCCTCAGAGCTGGCACCAGAGGCCCCCTCTGTCCCCTTCTCTGACTGCAGGAAGAATAAAAGCCTGGAAAGAGGGCCTGGCCGAGTTACACAGAGGAGCCCCCTCAGCCAAAAAGAGCCAGGGGAGCCAGAAGCTGGAGAGCTGCTCAGGAGTTGGGGACGCTACAGGCAAGGTCCCTGCTTATTCCTGAGTCTTGGCTTGGAAGCCTCGAACTTTCATGTCCACCCAGGCTTCTCTGAGCGACCCTAACAGGGACCAAAGGCCCAGCAGCCCACACATCACCCTTGATTGGCACGAGGTGGGGATGGGGCCCCCCAGGGCCCTGGGAAAGGGGGCTGGACTTGAGCTGCCAGGTAGGGGCCCCCTGTGGGGCTTGGGGTGGGTGGGGCAGGGGTGGAGCTGGCTGGGCCTCACAGGCCCGGGAGCCAAGGAGACAGCTTCAGTGCCTTCCCTGGGGATCCCCAGACCAGGCACTCCGAGAAGCCGGCTCTGCACCATGACAGCCACTGCTGCCACACCACCTAGGTCCCAGAATGAACCCTGCCAGCCCACCCCAGAGACCGAGAGACAGGTAGGTGAGCCGCAGAAGGGACCCAAGGGCACTGAGACAGAGGCTTAAAAGGCCAAATCTAGCTTTAAGTCATGGAATCAAGCAGCCGACCATCCCGGTACCCGGCCACAATGGCATCCAGAGAGCGGCCCCCCAGCAGTGTCATTCGGGCCCCGTCCGGTTCCTGTTCAGGGCCTGGAAGGCCTCCGTGATTTAGCTGCACAAGCCTGGGGCTGTGGCACTGTCGGAGGACCTGCCTGGCCTCTTCATGCCGACGAGGTTCTCATGTAACCGGCAGCATAACCCGCAGGGCCAGATTGACCTTCTCACCTAACCTGAGAGGGAGAAGAACCAAGGGGCTCTCAGGAATAAGGCATTCTTCTGGGCAATCGGGAGTGCAGGGGGCTGAGCTGGGATTCCAATTCTGCATCACAGTGGGCTCCAGGTTCCGCAGCAGTTTCAGGGGCGACATTACCGAGGTCCTCGTGGGCGGGAGAGGGAAGTGTGATGGGGCACGTCAAGGACGAGGTGCCAGCTGGCCACTGAAGGATGGTGGGGCTCCATTCAGCAGAGGTGGGGGCTGTGATGGGGGTGGATGGGTGTGTGAGGTGATTGGATTTGTGTGTGTGGTGTGTGTGATGAGTGTGTGCGGTGCATGGTGTCTGTGTGATGGCCCGATTTGTGTGTGTGGTGTGTGTGATGAGTGTGTGTGGTGCATGGTGTCTGTGTGATGGCCCAGTGTGTGTGGCCGTGTGTGCAGGTGTATGTGTGATGAGTTTGTGTGTGTGGTGTGTGTGTGCCTGTGATGGTTGAGTGTATATATGGTGTGGTGCGTGTGGTGTCTGGCAGGTGTGCATGTGTGTGTGTGATGAGTGTGTGTGGGTTGCTTGTGATGAGTGTGTATGATGAGCGTATGTGTGGTATGTGTGACGTGTGTGATGATCATGTGTGATGAATGTGTTTGCGATGAGTGTGTGATGAGTGTGCACGGTGTGAGTGTGATTAATGTGCATGATGAGCGTGTGTGGCATGTGTGATGAGCATGTGTGATAAGCATGTGTGTGGCATGTTTGATGAGCATTGTGTGGCATGTGTGTGATGAGTGTGTGATGAACGTGTGTGTTGTGTGTGTGATGAATGTGTGTGATGAGTGTGTGTGGTGTGCATGTGATGAGTGTATGAATATGTGTGTGGTGTGTGATGAATGTGTGTGATCAGCACGTGTGATGAGCATATGTGTGGTGTGTGATTAGTGTGTATGATGACTGTGTGTGTGGTGTGTGTGATGAGCATGTGTGTGATGAGTGTGTGATGAGCATGTGTGTGATGAGCATGTGTGTGATGAGCATATGTGATGTGTGTGTGATGAGTGTGTGTGGTGTGTGATGAGTGTGTGATGAGCATGTGTGTAATGAGCATGTGTGCTATGTGTGTGTGTGATGAGTGTGTGATGATCATGTGTGGTGTGTGTGTGGAGTGAGCGTGGTGTGTGATGAGCATGTGTGATGAGTTGTGTGTGTGATGAGTGCATGTGGTATGTGATGCATGTGTGTGATGAGCATGTGTGTGGTGTGTGTGATGCGTGTGTGTGATGAACATGTGTGTGGTGCATGTGTGTGATGAACGTATGTGTGATGAGCATGTGTGGTGTGTGTGTGAACATGTGTGTGATGAACATGTGTGTGATGAGCGTGTGTGGTGTGTGTGTGATGAGCATGCGTGTGATAAGTGTGTGTGGTGTGTGTGTGATGAGTGTGTGTGATGGTGTGCGTGGTGTGTATGATGTGTGTGTGAGCATGTGTGTGGTGCATGAGTGTGATGCATGTGAGATGCGTGTGTGTGATGAACATGTGTGATGAGTGTATGTGTGGTGTGTGATGAGCATGTGTGTGATGTGTGTGTGGTGTGTGTGTGATGAGCGTGTGTGTGATGAGTGTGTGGTGTGTGTGTGATGAGTGTGTGTGTGGTATGTGATGAGCATGTGTGTGATGAGTGTGTGTGGTGTGTGTGATGAGCATGTGTGTGATGAGTGTGTGTGGTGTGTGTGTGATGAGTGTGTGATGAGCATGTGTGTGATGAGTGTGTGTGGTGTGTGTGATGAGCATGTGTGTGATGAGTGTGTGTGGTGTGTGTGTGATGAGTGTGTGTGTGGTATGTGATGAGCATGTGTGTGATGAGTGTGTGGTGTGTGTGATGAGTGTGTGTGATGAGCGTGTGTGATGAGTGTGTGTGGTGTGTGTGATGAGCATGTGTGTGATGAGTGTGTGTGGTGTGTGTGATGAGCATGTGTGTGATGAGTGTGTGTGGTGTGTGTGTGATGAGTGTGTGATGAGCATGTGTGTGATGAGTGTGTGTGGTGTGTGTGATGAGCATGTGTGTGATGAGTGTGTGTGGTGTGTGTGTGATGAGTGTGTGTGTGATGAGTGTGTGTGTGGTGTGTGTGGGGAGCGGGGATGGGTGCAGGTGGAGGTGGGTGTGCTCACCAGCCGTGTTCTGAGGCTCGTCCTGGTCCCAGGCCCCAGTGCTGTACCTGGCACAAGAGGTGGGAAGGACCACTGCTCCCCCCAGTAGCCAGAGCAGTGTCCCGCTTTGTCTCTTCCTTCACCACTGAGTAGCCCCAGCCATGTGATGTCATCTCCCCAGGCCTCACCCGCCTCTCTGCTCCTCCCCGTGGACTATGGGGTCGGCACAGGGACTCTATCTGGCTACCCAGTGGCCCCTCTGACCATGCCTGCCTGCTGGAGAATCCTCCTCGCATCCTCCGAGCCAGGCCAGGCGTGGCCTCGCTGTGCGGCCGTCCTCTTCCTGTGTCCACCCACCGCGTTTCAGTGGCTCCATCCTTTGTGCCACTACCAACCCCTGGACATTCCTCAGTCCCTCCAGGGACAGTGTGACTCACAGGGCTGGTGTGCTGAACAAGGGCTGAGCTTGGCCGAGCACTGCAGGAGCTAGGACGGGGGTAGTGGCCCTTGAGCCCTCTAGAGTGCCTGGCCCTATGCTGGACTCTGAGGGGCCACAGGCAGAGAGAGAACCTGGCCTCAGCCTCTGAGACTGAGGAGCCCTAGTTCAAGTGTGTGGGCCAGGCAGGAGAGAGCCCTGAAGTTGGAGCAGTCAAGGAAAGCTGCCTGGAGGAGGAGGCCTTGGAGTCACAGCTCAATGGCACCTGAGAAGGACGGCCAGGGTCCCCACCCGGGGCCTGCATCCCTCTCCATCAGCACAGCTCGGGGGAATGGCCTCGAGCTTCCATGCCAATGACAGACGGCGCGAAAGCGCTGTCCCCACAGTGGGCACGGAAAACCACCGACCCTCACCCTGTCTTTCATAATCCCTGAAGTTTGCTTTTTGTTTGATTGATGAATTCCTTTGATGTTCAAGAAAGAAATTAATTTTTCTTATTCCTCAAGTGGTCATTAGAAAAACTTTTAATGAATACAGTAAAAACCAGCTAATTATTGCGATGGCATTTTACTCTAAGTAAAATTGACAGGAACCAAGAAGATGGTGCCTATAATTCTCCTCAGTTTATTAAAACCCATTTATCACATTTTATCCTAGAGGAAACTGATCATACCAGTCTGTGAATTTTCAACTAACATTTCCTCACTGCATCTAATATGTAAGAAGCGTTTACTGACATTAAAGTCTTAATGCATTATATGGAGATGAACTTGCATTCTAATTGCTGTTCTTGGGGAGCAATGGGGAAGAGAATGATTCTGTTCTGCACACTCCAGATGAAGCCAATGCATGCTTAATGTGAGGCCTCTAACTAGAAAAAAATTCCCTTCTCAGTTTCAGCAGAGTTGATCACCTACCAACACAGGCACTACACGGTCATTTTTCCTTGTGAAATGTGTGCTGGGGGCCTTGGTGTTGGAGCCCTCCCCCTACCGTAAGGGTGGTGCCCGTGCTTCAGAAACTCACCATGTCCATCCATTCCCTGAATGACCACTGTGAACCCACACGGCCCAGGTGCCTCCAGAAGCCTGGCAGACAATTTCTAACTGTGAAAGAAAGTGTTTGTTTCTGTTTTTTGTTAAAAGTCAGAAGTTACATTCTTCCAAAAACCATTGGAAAATTTAGCTTTTTATTATACAACCTGCTCTGAGAGCCTTTTATTGTGCCAGATCATGAAATATCACAGGCTCAGAGGATGTGACATCTGATTCACTTCCTAAATATGAGTTGCTTCTGTTGAGTTTTGCCACCAGCAGCTCCCACATGCTTGCACCCGTACCTACATGTTCATGCAGAGACCCACCCAGCTTCTGCTCACAGACATACATCTCACCTCCCACACCATCTTCCCTGCTTATGATGTTTAATTTTAGGTGTCAACTTGACTGCACTAAGGAAGGGTTGCCTAGATAGCTGATAAAATGTCATTTCTGGATGTGTCTGTGAGGGGGTCTCTGGAAGAGATTAACATTTGAGTCAGTGGACTGCGTACAGACCTGCCCTCCTCAAAGTGAGCAAGCATCACTTAATCCATGGAGGGCCTGAATAGAACAAAAAGGCTGAGGAAGGGTGAATTCACTTTCTTTTTTAGCTGGGACATCCATCCTCTTCTGCCATCGAACATTGGTGCTTCTGGTTCTCCAGTCTTTGGACTCAGATCGAAGAACACCATTGACTTTCCTGGGTCTCCAGCTGGCAGATGGCAGACTGTGGGACTTCTTGTCCTCCATAACTACATAGTTCCTATAATAAATCTATCTATCTATCTATCTATCTATCTATCTATCTATCTATCTATCTATTCTATTGATATATATATACTATTGATACATATATTCTATAGACATATATATCTATTGATATATATCTATATCTATCTATTTATCTATCTATCTATCTATCTATTCTATTGAGTCTGTTTCTTTGTAGAACTCTGACTAATATAGATTTTGGTACCAAGAGTGGATCTAGAGGACCAGAATTTTGAGGATGAGTTTTCTGAATTCTTTCTGGAGTTTCTGGAATTGGATCTTTAATCTGACTATATGTGAAGACACTAACGATTCTATTTCCAGTAGTAAAGAGAGCACTGATCATCCATGGCATAAACTATACAGATATGCAAAATATCTGCATTGGATCCTCCTAATAAACCACTTATAAGAAGCAAGAAGCTACATGACTCTGTATATCATACTTTTGAACATTTTAGGAAAACTGAGGAATATAATGACATTGGTTGCTTTTAATATCATTGCACAAAGTGGTAAAAGAAAAAGATGAGCTCAGGGATTGAAATTCCCAGCTCAAGAGCCACAAAAGTGACCTAAGAGCTTCTATGTGTTCCCAGAGAGCCTTATTTCATACAACCACAGGGCTGAAGTATCTGAAAATCAAACTCAGGACCTCATCCTGCAATTGGCCAAATTATTAATACAATGCAAGTTGAGCTCCCGGTCTCCTAGGGTGTCTACTCTTAAGTGGTGAAATTGGGAAAGAATGAGAAACTGTAAGATGGAATGGGGACATGTGGGAAGACCTGATGAAGCCGGGGGTATCAAGGCCTTAAATTCTGATGTATTCTTTGCCAGTGGAAGAGGTCCCACCACACTCAACCAAAGGGGCCTTCACATCCCCAGTGGCGGCAGCATCCCTGCCAACACTGGTATAGCCTTTCCACCTGATTTGAGGGAGTTCCCTGCATCCTGAGTCATATCTTCCTCGAGGTGGTGGCAAAGTGGGATAATGCTGATTCTTTTCAGGACCCAGATCACCACCCTTCTTTGCCTCTAGACCTATAACTAGACCCAAGCCCAGCAGACCCCCAAAGGTGAGGGACAAACTGTGAGTCACAAGCAGTTATGCTGCACTCCAAAAGAACAACATGGGTTTTCTGATTTATACAAGCAGAAATCCAGGGGACATGGGTGAGAATGAATATTAAGGATGTGAGATGGTAGTGGAAGGAACATAAAGTTGGATCAGGTCAAATTTATTGATATGGGCTCACTAAGCAGAGATTGTGGATTTAAAGTTGCAGCTCAGTGAGTTAGAAAGGGCGAAGTTTGGTTGGATGGCTGAACAGGGGTCAAAAGATAGTCTGCCCTGCCATGAGCAAACTGGAAAGATCCAATCTCCCCTGGTTTAATATACAGGAAGCTTAAAGGGCTAGGGAAGCTGATGTGTTAGAGTGGGTTTGTCATTTCAGACCTACTCACCCACACTGGGGGGTCTGGAAGACAGCCTTTCACCAATACCTTGAGAAAGAACTGTGTGAGGGAGCCCCAGCTTCCTTGAAGAGCTCTGCCATAACTCTTCTCTGTAGGTCAGACCTTATGGTGGGAACCACAGCCACTCAGCTGGAAACCTAAGTGCAAGGGAAGCAACTGGATCCAGCCATTGGGGAGGCCACAGTGAGTCGGGTGCAAGTATAGCAATAGGCAGGATTGGCACAGCAGCAATCAGAATAGCCTGGCTCATGAGACTCATGGCTCTGGCCCATTATTATGGGGCTCCTGGAAGGGGATTTGATCAGAAGCCGTGATCTGTATAAGCAGGAAAGTTTTAGGTCAAGTGAATAAAAGTCTAAGTCAAATCTGGGCATAGCAGCACATGCCTGTGGTCCCAGCAACTCAGGAGGTCGAGGCAGGGGGATCTGTTGAGCCTGGGAATTTGAGGCTGCAGTGAGCTATGATCACATTACTGCACTCTAGCCTAGGTGACATAATGAGACCCAGTCTCTAAAAACAAAAGTCAAATTCAAATAATAAAATCATTACTCTCAAAGCAGAGAGTTATGGCCCCTCAATCAATTCTCAGACCTGAGCCGATTTACAGACTCAGAACTCGTGAATGAAGGGAAAACAATGTCCCCTTGGAAAACAACCCTGGTACACTACCCAAAATGTACACTCTTAATCTTTTCCCCAGCCTCCTCCAAAGGGACCTACCTTACCTTTTACTAGGGTAACTGTGCACTGGGGAAAAGGGAATATTCAGACCTTTCAGAGACTACTGGACACTGGATCTGCACTGACATTGACTCCAGAAGATTGAAAAGGACACTGTGGCCATCCAGGCAGAGTAGGGGCTTATGGAGCTCAATGATCAATGGAGTTTTAGCTCAGGTTCATTTTACAGTGGGTCAAGTGGGTCCCCAAACCCATCCTGTAGTTATTTTCCCATTCCAGAATGCATAATTGGAAGAGGCATACTGAGGAGCTGGTAGCATCTACACACTGGGTCCCTGACCTGTGGAGTAAGGACTATTACAGTGAAGAAGACCAAGCAGAAGCCACTAGAACTGCTTTAACCTGGGAAAATAATGCAGTAGCCCCCCGTTGTCTGCAGGATATATGTTCTGAGACCCCAGTGGATGCCTGAAACTATGGATATATAAACCACCAAAGCCTAGCTATACTATGTTTTTTTTGATACATACATACCGATGATAAAGTTAAATTCATAAATTTGGCACAGTAGGAGACTATCAACAATAATAAAATCAAACAACTAGAAGAATATACTGCAATAAAAGCTATGCAAATGTGATTTCTCTCTCTCAAAATATCTTGTACTGTGCAACAGGTAACTTAAAATGTGGAAAGTGAAACCAGGGATAAGGGGTGACTACTGTAAGTCAAAAACAATCCCACATTCCTGGAAGGATGACCAGAAGCAATTTTCTTTCAGCTGGCAAGGCCAGCAATACACATTCACTGTCCCACCTCAGGGAGTGTCCCATCAACTCTCCAGCCCTACATTATAATTTAGTCTGCAGGAATCTTGGTTGCTTTTCCCTTCCATGAGATGTCACACTGATGCATTACATTGATGACATTATGCTGATTGGACTTAGTGAGCAAGAAGTAACAACTATTCTACATTTATTGGTGAGATGTCTATGTGTCAGAGGGTGGTGTCAGAGGGTGTTATCTGACCCAACAAGCCATACAGTTAGGTGTGCACAGCAACACTCTGTCATCAAATGGAAGTGGTATGTATGTGATTAGGCCCAACCAGCCCCTGAATGCTCAAGTAGTTTACATGAAGAAGTGGTCCAAGTGCCTATGGTCCCCACTCCTGCCCCACCGCCTTTCTCAGCTGAGACCCTCTCTCCTAGCCTGAGCCTGTAACCTCCTGGGGAGGTCCCTATGATATCTGACAGAGGAAGAGATGACTCAGGCCTGGTTTACAGACGGCTCTGCCCCATATGCAGACACCACCTGAAAATGGATGCTGCAGAACTACAGCCCCTCCCTGGGACATCTCTGAAGGATAGTGGGGAAGGGAAGTCCTCCTGGGCAGAGCTGCGGGCAGTGTACCTGGCTGTGTGCTTTGCTTGGAAGGAGCAGTGGCCATTTGTGCAGTGATGGACTATTTCACCAGCTGTGCTCAATGCTTATGCTGGGTGGTCAGGGACATGGAAAGAACAATTGGAAAAATTGGTGGCGAAGATATTTGGGGAAAAGATATGTGGATAGGCCTCTCAGAATGGGCAAAAATCATGAAGATATGTCTATCCTATGTGAATGGTCAGCAATGAATGAACACAGCAGAGAAGGGTTTTAGTAATCAAGTGGATAGGATGACCCATTCTGTGGACACTGGTTAGCCTCTTGCCCAAGCCACCCCTGTCATCACGCAATGATGAGCTCATAAACAAAGTGGCCATGGTGGCAGGGATGGAGGTAGTATATGGGCTCAGAAACATGGACTCCCACTCACGAAGGCCTACCTGGCTCGGCCACTGCTGACTGCCTAATCTGCCAGCAGCAGAGACCAACACACAGCCCTTGATATGGCACCATTCCCAGGCTATCAGGAAGCTACCTGGGGCAGGTTGATTACATTGGATGGCTTCCAGCATGGAAGGGGCAGAGGTTTGTCCTTACTGGAAAAACCACCACCCATGGACTTACAGAATGCCTCATCCACTGTTACAGTGTTCCACACTGCACTGCTTCTGATCGAGGAGCTCACTTCACAGCCAAAGAAGTGCAACAATGCCCCTGGGACTCACTGGTCCTGATATGTGCTCACCATCCTTGCAGCTGGTGTGATAGAATGGTGGATTGGCCTTTTGAGGCTCAATTACAGCACCAACTCGATGGCAATACCTTGCAGGGCTGGGACCAGGTGCTCCAGAAGGCCACAGATGCCCTGAATCAGTGACTAATACATGCTGCTTGTTCTCCCATGGCCAGGACTCACGGGTTCAGGAATCAAGGGGTGGATACGGGAGTGTCACCACTATTACCCCTAGTGACTCACTGGCAACATTTTTATTTCCTCTTCCTGCAATTTTGTATTCTGCTGGCCTAGGGGTCTTAGTTCCAGAGGCAGAAATGCTTCAACCAGGAGACACAACAGTGTTTCCATTGAATTGTAAGTTAATATGCCATTTTGGGGTCCTCAAGCCTCAGAATCAGCAGGCTGAGAGGGGAATAACAGCACTGGCCGGGGTGATTGATCAGACTGAGGGGAGACTGGATTGTGCTCCACCATGGAGGGAAGGAAGAGCGTGTCTGGGAGACAGGAGATCCTCAGGCATCTCTTGGCCCTGCCATGCTCTGTGATTAGTCACTGGAAACCACAATAATACAATTCAGGCAGGACCTCTAATGGCCCAGACCCTTCAAGAATGAAGGTTTGGGGTCACTCCACCAGTAAAGAACAATAGTCAGCTGCAGCACTTGCTAAGGGCAAAGGGATGTGGACTGGGTGGTGCAAGAAGGTGGTTATTAATGCCAGCGACAACTACATGGCCGGCGGCAGAAATAAGAACTGTCATTGTCAGAATTTCCTGTTTAGTGACTTTTTGTGTGAATATATACATATATTAACCAAGTATATTTTTCTTTTCTCTTATCTCCTTATCATGTAGCATAACATGTAACAACTTCACATCAGTATTTAAGCACTGTTACTTTTACATCTTGGTATTCATGTTATGGGACATCAGGAGAAAAGTGACTATCACTCAAGGACTTTTCCAGCTCTTTTGGGGAAGAAATTGGTGTGCTTTTGGTTGTATGTAGGATAGTTGTATCATATTAGGCAGAACTGTGGTCTTATCATCTTTTTTTTTTTAAGTTGTAACCCAGCTTCCTTTTTATTTAACGATTTCTTTAAAAACTTTTTCTACACAATCCTTTAAATATTCTATTTTTTTTAAATTTTACTATTATTATACTTTAAGTTTTAGGGTACATGTGCACAACGTGCAGGTTCGTCACATATGTATACATTTGCCATGTTGGTGTGCTGCACCCATTAACTCGTCATTTAGCATTAGGTATATCTCCTAATGCTATCCCTCCCCCCTCCACCCCCCCAACAACAGTCCCTGGTGTGTGATGTTCCCCTTCCTGTGTCCATGTGTTCTCATTGTTCAATTCCTACCTATGAGTGAGAACATGTGGTGTTTGTTTTTTGTCCTTGCAATAGTTTGCTGAGAATGATGGTTTCCAGTTTCATCTATGTCCCTACAAAGGACATGAACTCATCATTTTTTATGGCTGCATAGTATTCCATGGTGTATATGTGCCACATTTTCTTAATCCAGTCTAATGTTGTTGGACATTTAGGTTGGTTCCAAGTCCTTGCTATTGTGAATAGTGCCACTATAAACATACGTGTGCATGTGTCTTTATAGCAGCATGATGTATAATCCTTTGGGTATATACCCAGTAATGGGATGGCTGGGTCAAATGGTATTTCTAGTTCTAGATCCCTGAGGAATCGCCACACTGACTTCCACAATGGTTGAACTAGTTTACAGTCCCACCAACAGTGTAAAAGTGTTCCTATTTCTCCACATCCTCTCCAGCACCTGTTGTTTCCTGACTTTTTAATGATTGCCATTCTAACTGGTGTGAGATAGTATCTCATCGTGGTTTTGATGTGCATTTCTCTGATGGCCAGTGATGATGAGCATTTTTTCATGTGTTTTTTGGCTGCATAAATGTCTTCTTTTGAGAAGTGTCTGTTCACATCCTTCGCCCACTTTTTGATGGGGTTGTTTTCTTCTTATAAATTTGTTTGAGTTCATTGTAGATTCTGGATATTAGCCCTTGGTCAGATGAGTAGGTTGCAAAAATTTTCTCCCATTCTGTAGGTTGCCTGTTCACTCTGATGGTGGTTTCTTTTGCTGTGCAGAAGCTCTTTAGTTTAATTAGATCCCATTTGTCAATTTTGGCTTTTGTTGCCATTGCTTTTGGTGTTTTAGACATGAAGTCCTTGCCCCATGCCTATGTCCTGAAAGCTATTGCCTAGGTTTTCTTCTAGGGTTTTTATGGTTTTAGGTCTAACATTAAAGTCTTTAATCCATCTTCAATTAATTTTTGTATAAGGTGTAAGGAAGGGATCCAGTTTCAGCTTTCTACATATGGCTAACCAGTTTTCCCAGCACCATTTATGAAATAGAGAATCCTTTCCCCATTGTTTGTTTTTCTCAGGTTTGTCAAAGATCAGATAGTTGTAGATATGTGGCATTATTTCTGAGGGCTCTGTTCTGTTCCATTGGTCTATATCTTTGTTTTGGTATCAGTACCAGGCTGTTTTGGTTACTGTAGCCTTGTAGTATAGTTTGAAGTCAGGTAGTGTGATGCCTCCAGCTTTGTTCTTTTGGCTTAGGATTGACTTGGCAATGCAGGCTCTTTTTTGGTTCCATGTGAACTTTAAAGTAGTTTTTTTCCAATTCTGTGAAGAAAGTCATTGGTTGCTTGATGGGGATGGCATTGAATCTATAAATTACCTTGGGCAGTATGGCCATTTTCATGATATTGATTCTTCCTACCCATGAGCATGGAATGTTCTTCCATTTGTTTGTATCCTCTTTTATTTTCTTGAGCAGTGGTTTGTAGTTCTCCTTGAAGAGGTCCTTCACATCCCTTGTAAGTTGGATTGCTAGGTATTTTATTCTCTTTGAAGCAATTGTGAATGGGAGTTCACTCATGATTTGGCTCTCTGTTTGTTATTGGTGTATAAGAATGCTTGTGATTTTTGTACACTGATTTTGTATCCTGAGACTTTGCTGAAGTTGCTTATCAGCTTGAGGAGATTCTGGGCTGAAACGATGGGGTTTTCTAGATATACAATCATGTCATCTGCAAACAGGGACAATTTGATTTCCTTTTTTCCTAATTGAATACCCTTTATTTCCTTCTCCTGCCTGATTGCCCTGGCCAGAACTTCCAACACCATGTTGAATAGGAGTGGTGAGAGATGGCATCCCTGTCTTGTGCCAGTTTTCAAAGGGAATGCTTCCAGTTTTTGCCCATTCAGTATGATATTGGCTGTGGGTTTGTCATAGATAGCTCTTATTATTTTGAGATACGTCCCATCAATACCTAATTTATTGAGAGTTTTTAGCATGAAGGTTGTTGAATTTTGTCAAAGGCCTTTTCTACATCTATTGAGATAATCATGTAGTTTTTATCTTTGGTTCTGTTTATATGCTGGATTACGTTTATTGATTTGTGTATGTTGAACCAGCCTTGCATCCCAGGGATGAAGCCCACTTGATCATGGTGGATAAGCTTTTTGATGTGCTGCTGGATTCGGTTTGCCAGTATTTTATTGAGGATTTTTGCATCGATGTTCATCAAGGATATTGGTCTAAAATTCTCTTTTTTGGTTGTGTCTCTGCCCGGCTTTGGTATCAGGATAATGCTGGCCTGATAAAATGAGTTAGGGAGGCTTCCCTCTTTTTCTATGGATTGGAATAGTTTCAGAAGGAATGGTACCAGCTCCTCTTGGTACCTCTGGTAGAATTCGGCTGTGAATCCATCTAGTCCTGAACTTTTTTTGGTTGGTAAGCTATTGATTATTGCCTCAATTTCAGCACCTGCTATTGGTCTATTCAGAGATTCAACTTATTCCTGCTTTAGTCTTGGGAGGATGTATGTGTTGAGGAATTTATCCATTTCTTCTAGATTTTCTAGTTTATTTGCATAGAGGTGTTTACAGTATTCCCTGATGGTCGTTTGTATTTCTGTGGGATCGGTGATGATATCCCCTTTATCATTTTTTTTGAGTCTATTTGATTCTTCTCTCTTTTCTTCTTTATTAGTCTTGCTAGCAGTCTTATCCATTTTGTTGATCTTTTCAAAAAACCAGCTCCTGGATTCATTAATTTTTTGAAGGGTTTTTTATGTCTCTATTTCCTTCAGTTCTGCTCTGATCTTAGTTATTTCTTGCCTTCTGCTAGCTTTTGAATATGTTTGCTCTTGCTTTTCTAGTTCTTTTAATTGTGATGTTAGGGTGTCAACTTTAGATCTTTCCTGCTTTCTCTTGTGGGCATTTAGTGCTATAAATTTCCCTCTACACACTGCTTTGAATGTGTCCCAGAGATTCTGGTATGTTGTGTTTTTGTTCTCGTTGGTTTCAAAGAACATCTTTACTTCTGCCTTCATTTCATTATTTACCCAGTAGTCATTCAGGAGCAGGTTGTTCAGTTGCCATGTAGTTGAGCGGTTTTGAGTGAGTTTCTTAATCCTGAGTTCTAGTTTGATTGCACTGTGGTCTGAGAGACAGTTTGTTATAATTTCTGTTCTTTTACATTTGCTGAGGAGTGCTTTACTTCCAACTATGTGGTCAATTTTGGAGTAGGTGTGGTGTGGTGCTGAAAAGAATGTATATTCTGTTGATTTGGGGTGGAGAGTTCTGTAGATGTCTATTAGGTCCGCTTGGTGCAGAGCTGAGTTCAATTCCTGGGTGTCCTTGTTAACTTTCTGTCTTGTTGATCTGTCTAATGTTGACAGTGGGGTGTTAAAGTCTCCCATTATTATTGTGTGGGAGTCTAAGTCTCTTTGTAGGTCACTAAGGACTTGCTTTATGAATCTGGGTGCTCCTGTATTGGGTGCATATATATTTAGAATAGTTAGCTCTTCTTGTTGAATTGATCCCCTTACGATTATGTAATGGCCTTGTCTCTTTTGATCTTTGTTGGTTTAAAGTCTGTTTTATCAGAGACTAGGATTGCAACCCCTGCCTCTTTTTGTTTTCCAATTGCTTCGTAGATCTTCCTCCATCCCTTTGAGTCTATGTGTCCCTGCACGTGAGATGGGTTTCCTGAATACAGCACACTGATGGGTCTTGACTCTTTATCCAATTTGCCAGTCTGTCTTTTAATTGGAGCATTTAGCCCATTTACATTTAAAGTTAATATTGTTATGTGTGAATTTGATCCTGTCATTATGATGTTAGCTGGTTATTTTGCTCATTAGTTAATGCAGTTTCTTTCTAGCCTTGATGGCCTTTACAATTTGGCATGTTTTTGCCGTGCCTGGTACTGGTTATTCCTTTCCATGTTTAGTGCTTCCTTCTGGAGCTCTTTTAGGGCAGGGCTGGTGGTGACAAAATCTCTCAGCATTTGCTTGTCTGTAAATTATTTTATTTCTCCACTTCTGAAGCTTATTTTGGCTGGATATGAAATTCTGGGTTGAAAATTCTTTTCTTTAAGAATGTTGAATATTAGTCCTCACTCTCTTCTGGCTTGTAGAGTTTCTGCTGAGAGGTCCACTGTTAGTCTGATGGGCTTCCATTTGTGGGTAACCCAACCTTTCTCTCTGTCTGCCCTTAACATTTTTTCCTTCATTTCAACTTCGGTGAATCTGACAATTATGTGTCCTGGAGTTGCTCTTCTCGAGGAGTATCTTTGTGGCATTCTCTGTATTTCCCGAATTTGAATGTTGGCCTGCCTTGCTAGACTGGGGAAGTTCTCCTGGATAATATCCTGCAGAGTGTTTTCCAGCTTGGTTCCATTCTCCCCATCACTTTCAGGTACATCAATCAGACATAGATTTGGTCTTTTCACATAGTCCCATATTTCTTGAAGGCTTTGTTCGTTTTTTTTCTTTAAACTTCTCTTCTCGCTTCATTTCATTCATTTCGTCTTCCATCGCTGATACCCTTTCTTCCAGTTGATCGCATCGGCTACTGAGGTTTCTGCATTCATCACGTAGCTCTCATGCCTTGGTTTTCAGCTCCATCAGGTCCTTTGAAAACTTCTCTGCATTGGTTATTCTAGTTAGCCATTCATCTAATTTTTTTTCAAAGCTTTTAACTTCTTTGCCATTGGTTCAAATTTCCTCCTGTAGCTTGGAGTAATTTGATCGTCTGAAGCCTTCTTCTCTCAACTCGTCAAAGTCATTCTCTGTCCAGCTTTGTTCCATTGCTGGTGAGGAGCTGCATTCCTTTGGAGGAGGAGTGGCACTCTGATTTTTAGTTTCCAGTTTTTCTGCTCCTTTTTCCCCATCTTTGTGGTTTTATCTACCTTTGGTCTTTGATGATGGTGACGTACAGATGGGGTTTTGGTGTGGATGTCCTTTCTGTTAGTTTTCCTTCTAACAGACAGGACCCTCAGCTGCAGGTCTGTTGGAGTTTGCTAGAGGTCCACTCCAGACCCTGTTTGCCTGGGTGTCAGCAGCGGTGGCTGCAGAACAGCGGATTTTGGTGAACCGCAAATGCTGCTGCTCCCTGATCGTTCCTCTGGAAGTTTTGTCTCAGAGGAGTACCCGGCCATGTGAGGTGTCAGTCCTCCCCTACTGGGGGGTGCCTCCCAGTTAGGCTACTCAGGGGTCAGTGACCCACTTGAGGAGATAGTCTGCCCGTTCTCAGATCTCAAGCTGCGTGCTGGGAGAACCACTACCCACTTCAATGCTCAGTTGGAAATGCAGAAATCACCCGTCCTCTGTGTGGCTCATACTGGGTGCTGTAGACTGGAGCTGTTCCTATTCGGCCATCTTGGCTCCTCCCCGGTCTTACAGTCTTTATTCGGAGATTAAACATAGTTGAAGATGTGTATGGATGCCAAGCTGACAAAATGTGGACTGGTGGGGTTTTCATGCATCAACTTGACGGGGCTAAGGGGAAGCCTAGGTAGCTGGTAAACATTCTTTGTGGGTGTGAGGGCGTCTCCAGAGGAGATTAGCATTTGAACTGGTAGGCTGGGTGAAGATCTGCCCTCACCAATATCATCTAATCCACCATCACTGAATTAAACTAAGGCCCTGGTAGAAGAGAAAGGCGGAGGCAGGACACCTTCTCTGTCTCCTTTTGAGGTGGAGCAGCTGACTTCTGCCCCTGGACCTCAGTGTTGCTCCTTCTCTGGCTTCAGACTCAGACGGAGTCACATCACTGGCCTTCCAGCTCACAGACACCAGCTTATGGGTCTTCAGACCTCTTGGCCTCTATAATCTTGTGAGTCAATTTCTGTAATAAATTTCATATATATATATATATACACACACACACACACACTCACCTGTTGCTTAATGGGGATGAGTTTGGAGAAATGTGTGGTTAGGCGATTTTGTCCTCTTGCTTCAGACGTCACTTACAAACCTGGAGAGTACCACCTGCCACATGCCTGGGCCACAGGGTGCAGCCTATGTCTCCTAGGCTACTAACCTGTACAGGGTGGCTTGTACAAACACGGCAGGCAGCTGTGACACAATGGAAAGTAATGCCATATCTCAATATAGAGAAGGTACAGTAAAAACATGGCATAGCCAAGATTAAAAGTGGCACACTGGTGCAGGGCTCTTACCATGAATGGAGCTTGCAGGACAGGAAGTGGCTGTGGGTGAGTCGTGAGTGACTGTGAAGGCCTAGGAATTAGTGTACACTACTGTAGCCTTTATAAACACTAAATGTATTCAAACTTTTTTCTGTATTTTATACAGTTTAACATTTTGACTCCTGTAATAAAAAAGTACAGCTGCACAAAAATGTTTAAGATCTTTATTCTAAAATTGAGAAAAGCTTGTATTTTGCTTTTTAAACTTTGTTAACAAGTAAAGCAAGAACACACACATTAGCCTAGGCTCACGCAAGATCAGGACCATCGAGATGTCACTAACCCATAGAGGCTTTCCGCTGCGTTTTCTTCTTACGGGCTATAGATCGTATGTGAGAGGTCCGTGCTTGGAATCACTGAGATGCAGGCGGGACTCTGTGTGTGTGTGTGTGTGTGTGTGTGTGTGTGTGTGTGTGTGTGTTTGTGTGTTTGTGTGTGTGTGTGGTGTGTGTGTGTGTGTGTGTCTCCAGCTGGTTCTCTGTCTCTGAGGAACCCTAAACCACCCTAAGCCATTGCCCACATGGCTCCCTTATGGACCAAGGCTCCCGCACCCACGCACAGTAGGGGTAGGGTAGTTTGTGCCCCTGTAACAAAGCATCTGAGACTCTAACCGGCGTAAACCAAGTGCGGTCCATTTACCTCTCCCAGCGGGGCAGGCGGGGCTGAGGCGCGGGTCTCATGCCCAGGCCCGCGGGCCACCGGCTGTGGATGCCACCTGGGCAGCGTTGGCTCAGGGTGGCCTAAGCGGCAGGAGCCTGGCAGCCCGCTCACCACGCTCCACAGCTCACCCTTCTATGTAGGTGGCTCGGGAGCCTGGTGGGCCGTGGTAAACCCGCGCGGTGGCTGGCGAGTCCCCAGGCTCCACAGCGAGTAGGCATGCGCGGTGACCCCGCCAAGCAATGCCACGGAGCCCCCTCGCTGTTGTCCTCGCTGCTTAGCCTACAGGCCAAGGGCCCCGGACTCACTCCCCCTGGAAATGCGCCTCACCCGCCCCTCACACCCCACCCCCACCCCCCCAACCCCCCCACCACACCTGCCTTCGGGGCAGTCGGGCGCAGGGACCCAGGCCGCAGCTCCCACCCACGCTCACTCACTGCTCCGGTCCCAGGCGCTGCGGGACCCCAGGCCCAGCGAGAACGGCGCTGCCTGCTCCTGCACCGCCGCACCTTCTCCTCCTCCAACTTGGCCCATCCTCGGCTACTAAGCACCCCACCACGGCCTCGCTCACCCCACTCCTTAGAGAGTGACAGCCTTTTCTCCCCCAGCTCCTCCCGCTGCTACCGGGGGGCGCCTCTTTCCGGGGACAGGGCAGCGACACAGCCCAGCTCTCCCCATCCCACCCCCTTTCCAGCCAGGCCCTGCTCCTCCCCTTCCCTCAGCAGCTCCCGGGATGCTGGAGCTCCCCCGCAGCTCTGAGCCGCTTGCCCAACGCCACCCCAGCCTCTTATGGCGCCGCCGGCCCATCCTTCCCACTGCCTTCGCCCCGGGACCTTCCAGGAAGTCTGCGGCTTCCCTGGCCTTTTCCTTACCTTACACTCTTGGGTCTCCCCATCCCTCTCACCAATACTTCCTGGACCGCTCCTCAGCACCGCCATGGGCCTCACCCCTCTGCAATTCCTATGTGTCAGGATTTGGTCAGTTCTTGGTCTCGCTGACTTCAAGAAGGAAGCCCTGGACCCTTGCAGTGAGTGTTAGTTTTTTAAAATGGCGTGTCCGGAGTTCGTTCCTTCAGACGTTCAGATGTTTCCGAAGTGTCTTCCTTCTGGTGGGTTCGTGGCCTACACTAACCTCACGAGCGAAGCTACAGACTTTCGCTAGGAGTGTTATAGCTCTTAAACGCCGCATGTCTGGAGTTATTCGTTCCTCCTGGTGGCTTCCTGGTCTCCCCGGCTTCAGGAATGCAGCTGCAGACCTTCGTGGTGAGTGTTACAGCTCTTAGAAGGTAGCACGTCCAGAGCTGTCTGTTCCTCCCATTAGGTTCCTGGTCTTGAGGGCTTCAGCAGTGAAACTGCAAACCTTCCTGGTGAGTATTACAGCTCACAAACCTAGTGCAGACCCAAAGTGCTAGGAATAACAACATTTAGTTCAAAAAACCAAAAAAACCCCTCCTCCTCTCCCCCCCCCCCACCCCCCCCCAAGAAAGTGACCCAAGCAGGTTGCCGCTGTTGGTCTGCGTGGTCTGCTTTTATTCCCTTATCTGGCCCCACCCACATCCTGCTGATTGGTCCATTTTACAGAGAGCTGATTGGCCCATTTTACAGAGAGCTGATTGGTCCGTTTTGACAGAGTGCTGATTGGTGCGTTTACAATCCTTTAGCTAGACAGAAAAGTTCTCCAAGTCCTCACTGGACCCAGAAGCGCAACCGGCTTCACCTCTCGCAGTCCAGGCGGGACTTTGCGGCACCTGTCCCAGGCACTCCTGCTTCCCAGAGGGAGGTCTTCCCAGCCAATCAAGAGGAAGAGAGGAGAAGCTAGTAACAGAAGGAGACCCGCCATCGTGGCCAACGACACCGCGAAGAGGGAAGGGCGGTCCATGCACGAGACCCAGCGTCCAATCAAGCCCAGCAGGCGCCGGCCAGCCGCGGTGAGTGCGGGGCCCGCCGATCCCGTGCCCACCCGGAACCCGCGCAGCCTGCGAACGCCTCGCGCAGCCCCGGTTCCCGCCTTCGCCTCTCTTTTCAAACTTCCCCGCGAGCAGAGGGACCCGGCCCCGGCCTAGGGGCAGCCCCAGAGAGGGGCCCTCATAGTGCAGTGGGGGGCTGAAGGGCTCCTCCAGCGAGGCCAGAGTGGACGCCGAGGCCGAGGAGGCGCTGAGAGCGAGGGAGGGCTGCTAGCACATTTTCACCTCTCAGTAAGACATCACCTGGTCTAGCGCGGTCTCCCTTCTCACCGCACCGCACCTTCCTCTTGCGCTCCAGACCACGTCCAGCTGCCTATTCCAATTTCATTTTGCTGTTCAGGCGTTTGTTTAAATTATGGCAGGAGCACATGACCTCGGGCATGGGGGCGCCAAGCATGCCAGAGTATCTAGACACAAAGCAGGGCTGGCTGCATCTCCAACCCCGCCCCACCGTCTGGACTGCTTTCTTTACATGGATCTACACACTGTGTGTACATACGAAATAAAATATACAGTTTTTTCTAGCGATGCTGCATTTTCACAAATGGAATCATACATATTTCATGCGTTGTCTGCAACTTGCTTTTTACATATAACACCATGTCCCGGGAGCTTTCCACGTTGGCCCACTTAGCTCGATCTCATTTTCTTTGATGGCTGCAGAGGCCTCTGCCCTGTGGGGCGATGCTGCTGTGTAACAAGATCTCCTCCGCCGGCGAAGAATTAAGGTGCTTCTCTTTTCTTCCCCTTCTAATTCTTTTTTTTTTTTTTTCTATTACCAAAATGACTGCAGCTAGCATGGATGCACATGATTCCCCTGTGTTCAGGCAGGCATCCCTATCCACAGCAGAGGCCTCAAACAGGCTTTCTCTGCTGGCTTGTGCTGGACGTTTCCATATTGTTTTCTGAGAAGGTTGTAAAAATTATTCACCACCAGCCGCGCAGCCAAATACTTTTTACACCTTTACCATCGCTAGAAACGTTAATCCTTGTCTTTCACCTCCAGTTTTATGAGTGAAAAACAATAGCTCATGATTACCTTCATCAACATCTTTGATTTCCAGTGAAATCAAGGATTCTTTAGATTTGTGTTTGTAGATCTCTAGATATCTTTCTTTAATCCACAGAATTTACCCGTGTTTGTGACTTGGAACTCTGTGTTGATTTTGTCCCCTGGCAGCCTGTTTTCCAGACAGTCCATCTGCTCTTTCCGTGGAACATGCCCTTCCCAGTGTACCTCACCGCCCGGAGATACATCCGTTTCTTTCTGGGATCTCTAATTTGAACCTTGTCTGCAAGACCAATTTTCATTGTTTTTTGGGTTTTTGTTTTTTGTTTTTTGTTTTTTTTTCCCCCCAGGAAACCATGTTTACTAAGCATGTTCTTTTCCAGGTGAATTTCAGTCAGTGCGTCAAATTCCGTAAAAGATGCAATTGCAGTTTAACTGGGATTCCACGGTGCATTTCGATCACTTTGGGAGACCGTTGACATCTTTACAATGTTAATTTTCTCGTTCAAGATTTCTCTCCATTTACTCAGAAAGTTTCTTTTGTGTCTGCCAATAAAGTTTTAGTTTTCCTCTCACAGGTTTTGTGTGCATTTTTGTTACTTCCAACCTCTGCCCCCTGGTATTTTACAGTTTTTCTAGCTATTGTAAATGGGACAGCTTCTTTCAAATGGTTATTTCTTGTGTATAAAGATATGGATTTTTATATGTTGGCCTCATCTCTGACTATATTACTGAATTCCTTTATTAGTAATTTTTACTTTTTTTTTTCTTGGATTTGCTAGATATGATCATATTGTCAGTAAACCACAGCAGTTTTTGCCTCTTTGCAGTATTTATAGCTTTTATTTTATTTTTTTGGAGACAGGCTTTTGCTCTGTCACCCAGGCTGTAGTGCGGTGGCGCTAATGTGGCTCACTGCAGCCTCAAACTCGGGGCTCAAGTGAACCTCCCCCTTCAGCTTCTAGTGTAGCTGGAACCACAGGTGTGCACCGCCACGCCAGGCTAATTTTCTTATTTTTTTGTAGAGAAGGGGTCTTGGTCTTGCTTTGTTGGTTAGGCTGGTCTTGATCTCCTGGCCTCAAGTGAGCCTCCCACCTCAGCTTCCCAAAGTGCTGGGATTACAGGTGTCAGCTACCGCGCCTGGCTCTTATATCTCTTAAAAATCATCTTGCGTTGACTTGGCCTCCCATGTGGAATACAGCATGAGTGTTGATGTCCTCATCTTGTCCCAGATTGTAATGGGTGCCTCAGGTGCTTTACCAAGCATGAAGTTTTCTCTGTTCCCACCTCTGGAGGAATTCTCATCCTGCATGGAGGTAGGATTTTAACAAGTGTTATCTTGGATGCATGTTAAGTTGAGCCTGTGGTTTCTTTTTAATAAAAAAAAAGACTGTCTGGAATACACTTTAAGTTCTGGGATACATGTGCAAAATATACAGGTTTGTTACATGGGTATACACGTGCCATGGTGGTTTGCTGCACCCATCAACCCGTCATCTACATTACGTATTTCTCCTAATGCTATCCCTCCCCTAGCCCCCCCACCCACCAACAGGCCCCGGTATGTAATGTTCCCCTCCCAGTGTCCATGTGTTCTCGTTGTTCAACTCCCACTTATGAGAGAGAACATGTGGTGTTTGGTTTTCTTTTCTTGTGTTAGTTTGCTCAGAATGATGGTTTCCAGCTTCATCCATGTCCCTGCAAAGGACATGAACTCATCCTTTTTTATGGCTGCATAGTATTCCTTGGTGTGTATGTGCCACATTTTCTTTATCCAGTCTATCATTAATGGGCATTTGGGTTGGTTCCAAGGCTTTGCTATTGTGAACAGTGCCGCAATAAACATACGTGTGCATGTGTCTTTATAGTAGAATGATTTAGGGTCCTTGGGATATCCAGTAATGGGAGTGCTGGGTCAAATGGTATTTCTGGTTCTAGATCCTTGGGGAATCGCCACACTATCTTCCATAATGGTTGAACTAGTTTAGACTCCCACCAACAATATAAAAGCATTCCTATTTCTCCACATCTTCTCCATCATCTGCTGTTTCCTGACTTTTTAATGTATAATGAATCATAACAAATGACATTAATAGATTTCAAATGTCATAAGTCCTTGAATTCCTAGAATAATCTTCCTCCAGTTTCCAGCTCCTCAAGGCTGGCTCTTGCTTCCCTTAGCCGGTGTTCCCTCCTTGGAGATGGCCTGGCTCCTGTGGATGCATGGACAGATGGATGGATGGAGGACCCCAGCAGCTCCCCAGCCGGCTGTCAGCTCGCTATGGAGGAGGGCTGGTGTCTGTATTTCCCACCTACAAGTTTGTACTTTTCTATCACATGCTTGCATCCATATTTTTTGTGCCTTAAAGATGACATAAATGGCAAAATGGTGTAAAGATTCTTGCAACTTGCTTTTTTTCACTCAACATCAAGTTTTTGAAATTTATCCATATTGATGGATATCAATTCAGTGTGTTTCTGTTAAGTAGAGTAGAATATTCTGTCATGCCAATGAGGCACAGATTAGTGATCCTTCCCCACTCAGGAACTTGCAAATGAGTTCTGCTTTCCCACCATACCACGAGCAGCCTTGCTTGTGTCTGCTGGTGCCGTGTGCAGGGGATCTTGGGCCAGGCCACTGCAGAAAGAACCCTGGCTTCTGGGAATGTGTGTTGTCAGCTTTCCACACCAGCTTTTAACAATGCCTGGCACTTTATAAATGTTCAATAAGTATTAAACATTAGTGCTATCATTGCCATTATTATTAAGTATTGCTGCTTTGCTGTCCAAAGTGGTTATACCAATTTATACGCCTTCCAGCAGCAGAGTTTCCATTTCCACAGATTCATGGCAACACTCATTAGTATCAAACTTCTTAATTTTTTACACTCTAATGGGTGAAAAATGGCATCTAGTTGTTTTAATTTGTGTTTCTCAGTGTTAGCAGTGAAGTTCAGCCACTTTTCACGTATTTATTGCCCATTGTTTTCTCCTGATATTTATTGTTTCTTATCATTTGCTCATTTTTCCATGGGGTCGCTTGCCTTTTTCTTACTGATTTTCAGAACTATTTATGTATCTGGATAGTGATACTTTATTGGTTATGTGGATTGCAAATATATCCTCTCAGACTGAGGCATGTACATTTTTTTGCTTTATTGATGGTGCCTTGTTCTGAACAGAATTTTAAATTTTAATGTGTCTGATACCTCAGACTGTTCCTCCTGTTTTGATATTAGTATAAACTCATGTTATCTTTTACAGCTTTGCATTCTCACATGTAGGTGTTGACCTACCTGTGACTTATTTTTTCTTGATGAATTTGTTTTCTGTTGCTCCAGCACCACGTGCCAAGTAGTGCACCCCTTCCCCATTGAGGGGTAATGCCCCCATCATATACCAAGTTCACATGTATTCATGGTTCTTTTTCTAGCTGTAGCCTCAGTTTCATTGTTTTATTTACCCATCCCTGAACCATATCACACTCTCTTAAGACTTGTAGCTCTATAAAACAAGTTGTGATATCTGTTATCTCTCTCGCCTTTATATTTAGGTATGTCTTGGCTATTTTTGGCTCATTGCTCTTGTATGTTAATTTTGTAAATCAGCATGAAAAACACATTTTGGGAAAAGATTTTGGAAATACATTTTATCTTTAGATCAATGTAATGATAGTTTTCATCATTATTGAGTCTCTCCATTCATGAATATGGCATATTTCTCCATTCACTTAGGTCTTCTTTCATGCCTTCCAAGAAAGTTTACCCATTTCCTCCTATTAGAAACATCTTGCACATTATTATTACATGTATCTCTAGGAACCTTGTGGGATTTTTCACTGTTAATGGAATCTTATATACTTATCTAATTTTTGCTAGTAATTTTTATGCTGAATTTATATCCTGCAATTCATTGAACTCCCTAGTTAATTCTAATAGCTGTCTCTAGATTATCTTGAATTTCCTCTTCAAAAATATTCTGCACATAATAATAGCTTAGTTTTTTTTACTTCTTAGACCCTATAACAGATTTCTTTTCTTCCCACAATGTGCTCCTAGGGTCTCTAGCACAATGAGGCATAAAAATAGAGCTGATTTTAGAGTAGCACTGAATTTTACAATGAAAGATAATACTTTCTATATGATTTAATCTTCTTTATCAGGATAAGGAAATTCTCTCGTATTCTTAGGTTAAGAGGTTGTTGTTCTCCTTAAATCATAAGTTAGTGTTTATCTTCTATAAGGTTTTAGTTCAGTAGTATTTTTTTACCTGCATTATTAGTTATTATTATTATTATTTTACACACTCAGTGCTCCTTCAGATTTACCTGTATTATCTTGCATTTTCTTTGCTCACCCGAGCTTCATGTATCTTATTCCATCTTCCCAGGTTCAATTTACTTTTGGTCAAAGTGTACCTCTTAGTGGGCTGTTGTGTGTAGGTCTTCAGTGGGACACTCTCTCAGGATGCTTTGGTTCTGAAAGTCTTCATTTCATCCATTCTGTCAGTTCTCTTTTCACTATATTGATTGTTTCCTTTGGTATGCTGAAGCGTTTTACTTTTATGTAATCCCATTTGTTTATTTTTGCTTTTGTTGCCTGTGCTTTAAGGTCTTATTCATAAAATCTTTTCCAAGACCAATGTCGTAAAGCATTTTCTCTGTGTTTTCTTCTAGTAGTTCTTATAGTTTCAGGTTTTATATTTAAGTCTTTGATCCATTTTGAGTTAACTTTCGCATAGGGTGAGAGATACTTGCAAACTATTCATCCAACAAGGGATTCATATCTAGAATATACAAGGAATTCAAACATCTCAACAGCAAAAAAAAAAAAAAAAAAAAAAAAAAAATTAAAAATGGGCAAATGATTCAAACAGATAGTTCTCAGAAGGACATGCAAATGACTAACAAATATATGGAAAAAGTTCAGTATCACTAATCATCAGATAAATGCAAATCAAAACCACAGTGAGGTATCATCTCACTTCAGTTAGAATGGCTATTGTCAAAAATACAAAAAAATAATAAATGCTGGTGAGAAGGTGGAGAAAAGGGAATTCTTACACACTATTGGTGGGAATGTAAACTAGTACAGCCACTATAGAAAACAGTATAGAGTTTCCTCAAAAAAACAAAAATGGAACTAGCATATGATCTAGCAGTCCCACTACTGGGTAAAGAGCCAAAGGAAAGAAAATTAGTACATCCAAGAGTTGTGCACACTCCCTGTCCATTGCAGCACTATTCACAATAGCCAAGCTATGGAGTCAACCCAAGTGTCCATCAACAGATGAATGGCTAAAGAAAACGTGATTTTATACACACACACACACACACACACACACACACATATTATGGAATATTATTCAGCAATAAAAAAGAATGAAGTCTTGTCCTCCACGAAAACATGGATGAGTCTGGAGGACATGGTGTTAAGTGAAATGAGCCAGGAACAGGAAGTTAAACATGTTCTCACTCATATGTAAAAGCTAAAATAGTTGATCTCACAGAAGTAAAGAGTAGAACCCAGGTTATTAGAGGGTGGAAAGGGAAGGGGGATATAGGGAGAGATTTGTTAAAGGACACAACATTACAGTTAGGAGGAATAAGTTCTAATGTTTTATAGCACTGTAGGATGATTATAGTCAAGCATGTATATTTTCAAATAGCTAAAAGAGGATATTGAATTCTCCCAACACAAAAAATGATCAATATTTCAGATGACAGATATGCTAATATCCTTGATCTGATGACTATACATTGTATGTATAGGAACATCACTGTGTATCCCATAAATATGTATGGTATTTGTGGAATTTTTAAAAATAAATAATTTTTTATAGTCAATGAAAAGAGTATATTCTTTTATTGGTTTTTGTTCATACATGTTAAGTTTCAACTTTCAATAATAAAATTCAATAAATTTGATTCCTTAATCATAAAAACTTGCTTTACACATTATTTACATGTTGTTAAAGTCCATACAAAACATCACAAGGATTTGATTGACTCTGTGCATGGCACCATCACAAAGAAGGAGGAGGGAGCTAATCCAGTAACATACATTCAAAGATTAAATTGTAGATATGCACAGTGTATTTGGCACTGTTCATTAATATTATAACACCTTCCTCTCAAAGACAGGCATTCTTAAGCGTTAGTCACAATATACCAGAATTTGCTATTCACATTAAAACCACCTTTTAAACTTTATAACAGTAATCAATTATTATTGTTTTAAGAAACAAAACACAATGAGAACTGGGAATGGAATTCAAATCCTCCAACTTCTTGCTATGCTCCAAGCTGCCATCCATAAAACAGGTTTAATTTGGTAACTTTTCCACTGAGGGGAGTGTCAACAAGAAACAACTTAAAGACAATATTTTCCAATACAAATAAAGACATACACTTTTGTTTAAAATGAACAGTTCTTCTTGGGAGTGCAAAGGGAGCCTTGATGACGTACAGCTTGTGATGATTTTGGCAGCAATTATAGAACAACCAATGCCATTCAAGTTATGGAGATTGTACTAGCAGGTGAACTCATAAAGAGAAGATTCTGGAATGCCTATATCTGAAATCAGAATCCTGGTAGTTTGTAGTTTGCCTCTTCCTAGAAGTTCAAGAGACTCAAGTCATAGGCTACAGATGTACTTTCAAGTATATACTTATAAATGGAAGGAGAAAATAAAAGCAAAAAAATGCAAATATTAAACCTTTAGTGGCTTGGACTATATTCCAGTAGGTAATTTATTCCACTAACTTCACTTTAACAAAGATTAAATCCCTTCATTTTAATCAGGTCCATTAAATTTCATTCATTAAAGCTATACATACTCCAGAATGTTTATAAGACATTTACACCGATCATGTTTACAAAAAGCATAAATTCAGTCTTAAGCTGCACTACAAATGCCTCAATATAACATAATCACAGTATAAGGAAACAAATCAGAAATTCTCTGATTAGATATGCTGTAGCTTTACAGAAAAATCTCAGTAATAAAACAAAAAGACTTACAATGTATAATAGGCTATGCAGTGCAAAGTAATGTCACTGGACCAAAATTTAGTTCAATCATTTTTATTTCAAGTGTATTTAAAAAATCATAAATGGGGTTTCATAATCTAAAGTTGAAACATTTATTCTTCATAGCTTCAGAATTTGACAAGCAATTGTAGACCATGCTTTCCAAATCCAGTCTTCTTTGCTATTTTTCAAACTTCCGAGATCTAGTATTAAACTCCTCCATTCTAAATGTACAGTTTTAGATAACTATTGTACACTTGTTGATAAGAGTTTTCTGAAAACAGTCTATCAAATATAAATAATGGTTTCTATCTAAGAATCAGCAGTGAGGAAAGAAATATTAAACACCAGTCAAGAAATCAATTATTCATTTTAAAAATAACAGAACCAGTGCTGCTCTCTGTCATAAAAGAGAACATGTAAAATTTATTTTTATAGGCTTTGGCAATATTTTATTCCCCACAGAGGCCTTCAATCCTACTTAAAGATATTTTACACACGGTAACCATCAGGTTTACTGAGTAAAAATCTCAGGTATTAACCATGCCCCTAAAATGTGCAGTTCCAAAGAGGAACAGGTTACTTTTGAGGAAAAAAAGTTGCCGTGGTAACTTCCCTCAAATGTTTATTTTAAATAAAAATAGTTGATGGGAATATTTTTTAAACCAAGTTTGGGTATAATATGGCATACTGCCCATCAAACAAAAAAGGAAATCAAAACTTTTTTTCCACTTATCATGAGTTTTTGACCTTTACTTTTAAGATTACAACTTATTGACCTTTTATGCTTGTTTGGTTTGTTTTCTGACTGCCTAATCCAATATTTATTTATTTATTTATTTATTTATTTTGAGAGGGAGTCTCATTCTGTCGCCCAGGCTGGAGTGCAGTGGCGCCATCTTGGCTCACTGCAAGCTCCGCCTCCTGGGTTCACGCCATTCTCCTGCCTAAGCCTCCCAAGTAGCTGGGACTACAGGCGCCCGCCACCAAGCCAGGCTAATTTTTTGAATTTTAAGTAGAGACCAGGTTTCACCGTGTTAGCCAGGATGGTCTCGATCTCCTGACCTCGTGATCCGCCTGCCTCGGCCTCCCAAGTGCTGGGATTACAGGCGTGAGCCACCGCGCCAGGCCGCATATTTAAATTTTTTAAAGTCTGCATTTCAATGTAGTAAGAGTTGTTTTTCAAATAATCTTCATAAGCCAGAATACAGACACCAGAGCAACACTCTCAAGTCACACTGTTTGACTATAATGAAGAGATGAAAATGGGCGGATATCTGAAGATAGGTATTCCCTCTGCTCTGAAGGTGAGCAAGCTTTTAACATGTGAGCAACACAGAACTCCTTTCCTCTGGAGCTCCTTTCAACTCAGAATGCTTCAGTTCAGTAAGTCAATATATTATTCTTAAAAATTAAAGTTTGGTCACTAAGAAGGACTGAACAAAATTTATTCCCCTCCCGCCAAACACAACCAGAACAGTTCTAATCAGGCCCTCTTCTCCCCACGAAAACAGGGAAGTAGCTGGGCTGAAGACTTTATTAAGTGTGACATTTCAGTTCCTAAAACATCACTGCTATATGCTCAAAGTTGTAGGTCTATGTATTTCCTTCTCCAACACGTCCCCATTTATGTTTATTTCCACACATACAAACGTGCACATGTGTGCACGCACACACGCACACACTCACTCTCAAGTAAGACACTTTTTTGTTTGTTGATAAATTATGAAGATTATGAACTAGGTGTGTACAGGGTTTCATAGGTGCTTTCTAAACATCAGAGTCACTTGGGTCCTTTCCTCCATAAGCCTCAAATGGAATTATGCAACCAATGACCACGACTTTCCCAGACGCTGTTCACAGGCTGCATAATGACGAAGGGCAGAGAAAAAGTCCTCATAACTGATGTTTAGATGGGAAGGCAAAGAGACAATCTCAGTCAATCTGATGTGCCAGGTAAGAAAGCCTCGTGTGCTGTCCACAGGACCGAACTTCAGTACTAAATCAGGATCAGGACAACCATTTGAACTGAGTAAACTAACATATCTACATCCAAATCTTTGGGTCTCCTTTGCTTCTGGGCTACTCACTGGCAAAAGTCCTGAGCGGCTCTCACAATATCTGCTTTTCCATCTTCCGGGGATAGCACCTTCACTGCCAAATGGCAATTTAAAACTTGATCATCTTTGTCGTTACTATTTGCAAACTCTGGTGAGTATTTTGAACAATCTAGGCCCAGAAGTTCTTGCTGTTGTTTTAAAATTCCATCCATCAATCTGGAATTATTTCTTTTGAAAATACCTTGGTGGTCGTAGATGCTAATGTAGGAGATGCCCACGGCCATACACCACACCACGAGGCTCGCGATGTCCGAGAAGCTGGGTTCCTGCTCCACCTCGGTGATCACCAGGCCCATGCGCACAGGCAGCTTCTCCAGGGAAGGGCCGTCCGCGCGCCAGCGCATTCGGTGGTGGGCTGCGGGCAGGCACTACCCCCCGCGCGGGTGCGTGTGGTGAGGGCTGTTCCATGCTTGCGGAGCGTGAAGCCAAGCGGCTCTAGGACCGCGGCAGAGGCGGCGCGGCAGCAGCGCCGCCAAATCCAGTTCCAGGTGTGGAACCGAACGCGGAGCCAGGAGGTGAGCGTGCGGTGCAGACGGAGCAGCGCATGCAGCACCCGTCACAGCAGCTCGTACAGCCCCGTCATACTCTTGTGGCCCTTGGGCACCCCCTCTCCCCCCAGCCCACTCCCGAGGCGCGACGGCTTTTTTTTTTTTTTTTTTTTTTTGAGACGGAGTCTCGCTCTGTCACCCAGGCTGGAGTGCAGTGGTGCGATCTGGGCTCACTGCAATCTCCGCCTCCCAGGTTCACGACATTCTCCTGCCTCAGCCTCCCGAGTAGCTGAGACTACAGGCTCCCGCCACCACGCCCGGCTATTTTTTTTTTTTCTGTATTTTTAGTAGAGACGGGGTTTCAACCGTGTTAGCCAGGATAGTCTCGATCTCCTGACCTCTTGATCCGCCTGCCTCGGCGTCCCAAAGTGCTGGGATTACAGGCGTGAGCCATGGCGCTACGGCTTTTTATCCGCCCCTACGGCCTGCGCGGGCATCGCTCCGTGTCCCCCCGCCCCCTGAGCCCGAACTCCTTCCCGCTGCCAACACCTCACCTCGCCCCCGCAGCCATCTTCCTCCTCCCTTGGCAGCCCCGCCCTAAAAATAAATAATTTTAAAAAGCATTCATTTTATACTATCTCTTGAACACTGTTCAGCAGGGTAGATTCCATACTGATGATTATTTTCATCAGCACTTGGAATATACTGTTCCACTGTGTGTGGTCGTGATTGCTGCAGTTGTGAAGTTTGCTGTCAATCTAATCAGAGTCCCTTTACAGTTATGCCTTTTTTAAAGTGCTTTTAGTGTTTATCTTTTACTCTGATAATTTACAATTTAATTTTAATATTTCTTTTTTAAACAGTGTTATTGAGGGGTGATTGATATACAATAAACCGCACATACTGAAAGTGCAAAATTTGATGCATTTGATGTGTTTATGCTTGTGAAACCATCACTAAAGTTATGATAATAAACATATCAGCCAGGCACGGTGGCTCACGCCTGTAATCCCAGCACTTTGGGAGGTGAAGGCGGGTGGATCATGAGGTCAGGAGTTGGAGACCAGCCTGGCCAACATGGTGAAACCCCGTCTCTACCAAAAATACAAAAATTAGCCAGGCGTGGTGGAACATTCCTGTAATCCCAGCTACTCGGGAGGCTGAGGCAGGAGAATCGCTTGAATCCGGGAGGTGGGGGTTGCGGTGAGCCGAGATTGTACCACTGCACTCTAGCCTGGGTGACAGAGGGAAACTCCGTCTCAAAAAAAAAAAAAAAGATAATAAACGTGTCCATCACCCCAGTCTCTCCTTGTGCCCTTTGTAATCCTTCCCTCCACTTCTCCACCCTCAGCCTGTCCCCAGGCAACCACTGACATACTTTCAGTTATCATAGGTTAGTTTGCATTTTCTATAGTTTTATATACCTGGAAGCATAGTGTATGTCCTCATACTTTTGTGAAGTCTGGCTTCTTTCCTTCAGCAAAATTAGTTTAAGATTCATCCATGTTTTTGGCAGTATCAACAACCCCATTTCTTTCTATGGCTGAAGAGTCTTCAATTTTATGAGTAAAGGCAATTTGTTAATACATTCAGGAGTTGATGAACATTTGGATTGGTTCCAGCTTTTGGTTATTGCAAATAAAGCTGTTATAAACATTTGCATACAAACCTTTATATAGACATATGCTTTTCTCTCTCTAGGAGTGGAATGGCTGGATCATATGGTAGGTGTATTTAGCTATTTAATAAACTGCCAAACTGTTTTCCAAAGTGGTTGTGCCATTTTTACCTTCCCACCAGCAGTGTAGGAGGTTTCTAATTTCTCTACATCCTTGCCATCACTTGGTATATCAGTCTGTTTAATTTTACACCTTCTAGCAGATGTGTAGTGGTATCAGCTTGTGGTTTCAATTTGCATCTCTTTATTGAATAATGATATTAAGCCTCTTTTCATGATCTTGTTTGCCATCAATATTTCTGTTGGTGAAGTGTCTGTTCAAATCTTTTGTTCCTCTTTTTATTGGATGTTTGCATTTTATTATTGAGGTTCGAGGGTTTTATATGTTCTGCTTAGAAGTCCTTTACAGATATGTGATTTAAAAATACGTCCTCTTGATTTATGTCTTCATTCTCTTAACAGTATATTTTGAAGAGTGGAAGTTTTTAATTTTGATGAAATGCATACTATCAATTTGTTCTCTTGTGAATTATGCTTTTTATGTTGTATCCAAGGTCACGAAGATTTCTGCTCTATTGTTTTTTTAAATTTTATAGTTTAAAGTCTATGATTCCTTTGAATTAAAGTTTGTATATACGGTGAGGTATGAATCAAAGTTCACTTTTTGGGGGATTCAGCATCATTTGTTGAAAAGACTATACTTTCTCTATTGAATTGTCTTTGTACTTTGTCAGAAATCCATTGGCCATATATATGTGAGTCTATTTCTGGAATCTCTATTGTGTTTCATTGATCTATTTGTCTATATGTATGCCAATACCATACTGTTTTAATATAGCTTTATATTTAGCCTTGAAATCAGATAAGTAAGTCCTCCAACTTTGTTCTTCTTTTGCAAAATTATTTTCACTATTCTAGGTTCTTCATTTTTTCCATAAAAACTTAAAGTTCAGTTATCGATTTTTACTTTTAAAAGCCTTCTGGAATTTTGATTGAGATTCCACTGATCTATAACTCAACTTGGGAGAACTGATATCTTAACAACTTCAAGTCTTCCTGTCCATGAACATGTTACATGTTCCATTTAGTTAGGTCTTCTTTAATTTCTCTCAGCAATGTTTTGTAGTTTTCAATGTACAAGTCTTCCACATGTTTTATTTGATTTATGGCTAACGATTTTATATTTGTTAAAGGTATTGGAAATAACTTTTAAAATTTCAATTTATGATTGTTATATGTAAAAATACCATTGATTTGTGTATATTAATTTTGAACTCTGCCACCTTGCTAACTCACTTATTAGTTCTAATAGCTTTTATTTCATGGATTCCATGGACTGGTCTACACAAATGATAAGGAAAGTGTTACTCTTTCCAATCTAGATGACTGATTTCTTTTTCTTGCCTTATTTCATGAGATAGAACCTCCAGTACAATGTTTAATAAAAGTGGTGAGAGTGGATATCTTTACCTTGTTCTCAATTTTAGGAAGACATAGATTTTTGTGTAGATGGCCTGCATCCTATGAGGACTCTTCATTTTATCCCTGGTTTTCTGAGGGCTTTTAATCATGACTCAATGTTGGGTTTTACTAAGTGCTTTTTCTATTGAGATGATCATATGCATTTTTCTTTTTGTCCACTAATATGATAAAGTTCATTTATTGATTTTTGAACGTTAAATCAACTTTGTCTTCCTGCGATAAACTATACTTTGTCATGAATGATATAGATAAACTAGATTTGCTAAAATTTTGCTAAGAATATTTTCATCATTGTTCAGAGGGATATTGGTCTCTATTGTTGTTTGTTATGATGTCTGTTTGATTTAGTAAGAAAGTAATGCTGTCTTCATCTAATAAAAAAAGGACCTTTTCCTTTTCTATTGTCTGGAAGGATTTGTGTAGAATTGTTATTGTTTCCTTAAATATTGTTAGACTTCACCATGAAAACCACCTGGGCCTATAGTTTTCTTTGTCATCAGGATTTTAATTAAAAACTTGATTTTGTTACTAGATACTCATGTTATCTATTTCTTCTTGAGTGAACTTTGATAGTTTATGGCTTCCAAAGAATGTGTTCATTTCACCTAAGTTATCAAATTTATTAGAAAAAAATGGCTTACAGTAGTCCATTGTTTCCTTATAATTACTGTAGAAGATTTGGTGACACCCACCCTTTCATTCCTGATGTTGGTAATTCGTGCCTTTTTACTTTTTTCTTGATCAGCTGACTAGAAGTTTAACAATTTAATTGATTGTTTAAAATGATTAGCTTTTACTTTCTTGGATTTTTCTTATAATTTTCCCTTTTTTCTTTCACTGATTTCTGTTTTTTTATTATTATTATTTTCTTTATCTGCTTACATTGTGTTTAATTTGCTGTCTCTTTCCAGTTTCTGAAGGTGAAAACTCAGGTCACTGATTTGAGACATTTCTTTTTTGCTATAATGTAGGATCTTAGTGCTTAAATTTGCCTCCAAGCATACATTAGTTGCAACTCCCTGATTTTGGTATGTCATGTTTTCATTTTCAGCTCAACAAACTTTCCAATTCCTCTTTTGATTTCTTATTTGAATAATACGGTTTGGCTCTGTGTCCCCACCCAAACCTCACCTTGAATTGCAATCCCCATAATCTCCAGGTGTCAAGGCAGGGACCGGGTGGAGGTAATTTAATTATGGGGGTGGTTCCCCCATGTTGTTCTTGTGATGATGAGTGAGTCTCATGCAATCTGATGGTGTGGTTTTTTTTTTTCTTTTTACAACCATGCCCTTTGATGTCCCCGTGAGGGTTGGGCCCAGGCAGAACCCATCCCGGCACCCCCACCTGCACTCAGAGACCAGCCCTGGGGGCCCAGGATTACCCAGCCACCGCCAGATCCCACACAGGGTCCATTCCTTTCTCGCAGTTCCTCATCTGTGCCCTCTCCCGGCATCCGGCACTGTGGACCCTGGAGCATGGACTCCCTCGGCCCTGGAGGCTGGGGAAGTCCTGGATCAACAGGGGTGGGCCCTGGTGTCCTCGCCACTGTGTGCATGTGTTGGGGGCATATATAGACGTGTAATGAATGTCCGTGTGTACACATAGATAAGGGTGAATTCTGCATGCACTGGCTTCCTCAGGTCTCTACAGGAAGTGGCTCCGTGCCCACCACCTGGCCCCGGATATTATTTTTTCCAGGCCAGGAAGGCCACACCGAGGATCAAGGCTATGGCTGCCACGGCATAGGCCACTCCCAGCAGGGGCCTCAAGTTCTCGCAGGACCAGGGACCTCGGCCCCTAGGACACCTACCGGCAGCCTCGTCCTCCGCCGCCCCGTCCCCAGGACCCTTGGGCTCCCGGGTTGCAACGGGACTGCTGGGGACCATGGAGCCCGTGGGGACCAGCTTCAGGTGGCTGTGGTTGTTGAGAAGGGCGGGGTCTTCTTGGCAGGCACTGTGGTGGGGGCTGCCAGTGGCTGCTGCTTCTCGGCCGGGGCCTCCTTCTTCGAGGGCTTGGTCAAGCGGGCTTTCCCATCGTCTGCCAGAAGTACCTTGGCCTTGGTGGTGGCTTTGGGCGCCTTGGTGTCTGGTTTGGGGCTGCTGGCTCATTTCCCTCTGGACTCCATGGTGGGCGGGGTGTATGGGACAGGCAGGTGGCTGCACCAGAGGGGCTCAGGAAAGCTCGACGCGGAAAGTGTTAAGACTTTTGGAAATGTTGAGATGGGGCGAAAATGTATTTTGCACAGGTGAAGGAAATCAACTTTGGGAATCAGAGGGCAGATTGTTTTGTGTTGAACTGTGTCTCCCAAAAGAGATGCTGAAGTCCTAACCTGTACATGTGACCTTATTTGAAAATAAGGAGCTGCAGATATGATTAAGATGGGTCATAGTAGATTAGGGAAGCTGTCCTTGTAAGAAGAGGAAAATTTGGCTGATACAGAAGGAGGACAGCCACCTGAAGATGGAGGCGGGGACTGGAGTGATGCTGCCACCAGCTGCCAGAAGCTGGAAGCAGCAAGGCTGCATCCTCCTGTATCCCCTTTGGAGGGAGAATGGCCCTGCTGCTACGGTGATCTCAAACTTCCAGCCTACAGAACTGTGAGAAAGTCCATTTCTGTTGTTTAAAGACTCCCAGTTTGTGTACTTTATTAGAGCAGTCCTAGAAAACACATAGAGATTCAAGTCTGGCAAATAATGATCGAACAATGATTTGTTGGGTAAAATGGTGATTAAAACCTAGGTTAGAAAATGAGCAAAGTGGGAGGGAGAGCACCAGGACAAATAGCTAATGCATGCAGGGCTTAATACCTAGGTGATGGGTTGATAGATACAGCAAACCACCACAGCACATGTTTACCTATGTAACAAACATGCATGTTTTGCATATGTATCCCAGAACTTAAAATAAAATAAAATTTTTTTAAAAGACAAAATGAGCAGTGTCTACAGCTTTCTGGAGTATGACAGCATCACCAGCTTAAAGCTGTTGCTAGTACTAAATTGAATAAACATTTCCCTCTAATTTCCCCTTAATGTCCTCAGAAACACAGATGAGGGATACATCTTCATATGACTCCTCAGAGCACTAAAATGATATTAAAACACTCTTCCCACAAGAAACGCACAGACGAGGGATTCTTCAGATAATAGGAATAAGAAATGTGAAATAAATTAGAATAAACCATGCAGCTATTTTAAATATTTACTCCTGGAAAAATAGTAAGTTACACAGAATCAGTTTTGGGAATAACTTTTCCATTTTCACCTTTTTATGATTATTGTAATAATTGGAGGAATTAATAAAGTAAAACCATCTGAATAAGTTCATCCCAAGCTGATTCTGATGGATGGTGTGGCGGATTTTTAAACTCTCCTCTGTCACGGGCTGCTGAACAGAAGGAACCCTGTGAAAGTTGTGTCATCGTCCTCATCAGCAAACAAGCCATTGAACCTCTCTCCTCCTGTCACCTGCAGCCACACCTCATCCCCGAGCTTCAGCTGCAGGACAATGCCGCCAGAGGCCTGGTCCTCAGAGCTCATGTAAGCATCTTTGGTGTGCAGTATTTTTACTCCATTTTTGACCAAAGACACCTGAACATTTCTGGAGAAAACAGTGATGTGGTAGGTGAAGTAATAGACCCCAGCAATGTGGCACGTGAATTTCCCCGCTGCTGTATCATAATGGTTGAATTCGTTATACAGGATCTTATCAAATTTAATGGGCATATCTGAAGAAGGAAACTTGCTCAGCACCGTGAGCCCCACAGTGAAAGCACTTTTTGGCAAGACTAGAGTCTCACCGATTTTCCCTTTCTCTCCTCGATCTCCTTTCCAGCCTCTTATTCCCCGGACTCCTGGCTCACCCTGGGGCCCCGTGGGTCCAGCTTCTCCTTTGGGACCAGGCTTTCCAATAGGGCCCATGGGGCCCGGTAAACCAGTTGGGCCCAAAGGCCCAATGTTGCCCCTTGGCCCCTCAGGACCAGTGGGACCCACGTCACCCTTATTCCCCTTCTGCCCCTGAGGCCCAGTCTCTCCTCGGAGGCCCTTCTCTCCCATGGGCCCTGCAAGCCCCTTGGGGCCATGTTTTCCTGGGGATCCTCTTGAGCCTTGATCACCTTTGATGCCTTTTGCTTCAACTTTTCCATCTGCTCCTAAATAGAGAAAGAGCAAATAAAGAGATAGCTTGTGAAAGATTCCCTTGTGAACAACTTTGGTTTTTCTATAATTGAGCTCACAAATGAAACAAAGTAGTGCACAGGTTCAGTATATGCCCAGAGTTTAAAATTCAATTACTCCATCTGGGTGCAGTGGCTCACACCTGTAATCCTAGCACCTTGGGAGACCGCGGCAGGAGGACTGCCTGAGGCCAAGAGTTCAAGACCAACCTGGCCAACATAGCAATACCCTGACTCTAAAAAAAAAAAAGAAAAAGAAAAATAAGAAAATAAAATTCAATTACTCCAGCCCAGCTCAGTGGCTCATGCCTGTAATCCTAGCACTTTGGGAGGCCAAGGTGGGCAGACTACTTGAGTCCAGGAATTCAAGATCAGCCTAGGCAACATGGCCAAACCTTATCTCTGCAAAAAATACAAAAATTAGCCAGGCGCGGTGGTGCACAACTGTAGTTCCAGATACTCAGGAGGCTGAGGTGGGAGGATGGCTTGAGCCCAGGAGGCTGAGGCTGCAGTGATCCGTGATCAAACCACTGCACTGCAGCCTGGGCAACAGAGTGAGATTCTGTCTCAAAAAAAATAAAAATAAATGAAAATCAATTACTCCAATTACACACGTGTGTGCACATGGACACACACACATCCCAACACACCTTTTGACTACCGTCTACTAAATTAGTGTCAGGGCTCACGTTAGAAATTACAACCCTACCATCTAAGTCTACCATGCTGGCCATTAAATAATGTCAATCCATGACAGAAAGCACTCTTCAGAGCAGAGACAGGTAGATTAACTGACACTCAACCCTAGTCGTGACATCCTCTAAAAACCTCCTCCCTGGAGTGAACATAAAATAAAGCCTGCATCGAGGCATTGCCCTCTCCTGCCCAACCCCAGCCCCAACCCACCTATCCCACCGGCAATTCATCATCTACAGAAACCTTGCTGCTTCCTTGCACCCCCACCCATACCAAAGAGCCGTGGTTGCAAGTGTGGACTCTGAGGTTAAATGCCAGGTTTCCATTCTGTCCCCATATGCACACAGGACGTCAGATGAGCTAGTGAGCCTCGTGCCTCTGTTCCCTCACATATGGAACTAGGGTAATAAAACTACCTAGCGTCTGGGGATATTGCATTCAGTGAGTCAGTACATGAAAAGCACAAAGTGAAGATTACACAAGTTTGCCACTACGACTACATCCCGACCCATCAGGGACCAGTTCTAGTTCCACCTCCTCCATGCAGTGCTGCCAGATGCACCAAGTCAAAAACTCAGTCTCACTCCTCAGTGCTCATCCACTGCAAGGTTCAAGGTTCAACAAACTACAGCCACAGGCCAAATTCAGCCTCCCTCCCGCAAGCTAAACAAATATGGTTTACATGTTTTTTTGTTTTTCTGGGTTTTGTTTGTCTGCTTGTTTTTTTGTTGCTTTGAGACAGGGTCACCCACTCTGTTACCCAGGCTGGAGTGCAGTGACGAGATCATGGCTCATGGCAGCCCCAACCTCCCAGGCTCAAGCGATCCTCCCACCTCAGCCTCCTGGGTAGCTGGGACTACAGGCACGTGCCACAATGCCCAGCTAATTTTTTTTTTATTTGTATAGACAAAGTCTTACTATGTTGCCCAGGGTGGTCTGGAACTCCTAGGTTCAAGCGATTCTCTTACCTGGGCCTCCCAAAGTGTTGGGATTACAGGTGTGGGCCATGGTGCTCGGCCATGGTTTGCATGTTTAAATGGTCACAAATAATATTCCACAATACATGGAAACCATGGGAAATTCCCATTTCAGTCTTCACACATATGGTGTCACTGGAACAGAGCCATGCTTATTTATGGAGCATCTACAGCTTCTTTTCACTACAAGGGGAAGTTGAGTAGTGGTGACAGATCTGTATGGCCTGCGGAGTTGAGAATATTTACTACCCAGCCCTCTGCAAAGCCTGCCAATCCCTGCAGAATCCCCCCGTCTGGAGAGTAAGAACTGTGTTGCCTTTATTGTAAGATTATAATCAGCATGGAGGACTTGTCCATGGTAATATTGTTAAATAGTCGACAGCTCAGAATTAGAGCACCATAAATAGGAACTACTAACCTCGTTCTCCCTTCTCTCCACTCGTCCCATCCTTCCCCGGGCTGCCAGGACGTCCTGGTTCTCCTAGGTGGAAAAGCAGAAAACAGGCATGAGTTGAAATTCCATTTCTGATTTTTCTGGCCATTGGTCTCCATCAGCCATGTGTGTTGGAGAGTCTGGGGGTGACCCCCGCCCTGACGGGCACTCTGTCCTCCACACAAGCGCAGGTGGAGAGAGGCAGGCATGAGCGGGCATCTGGGGTGCTGAGCTGCGTGGGATAAGTGACCTAAGAAATGAACTGAGTGACTTCCCAAGCGCCCATCTCTAGGACGTGCCTAGAGCGCACAGCAAGACAGGACGAAGAGGGAGTGTGTGCAATGGGGACTGACTGTCACGATTGTGTTCCTCTCCTGCGACAAGGACTTGGGACGTGGTCTGAATGTTGGAGGTGCCAGGAGGTTTCCTCACTCTGTTTCTCTTCCATTACTCTTGAGGAGAGTGGAACGGAAGATTTACTAGGCTCCTATGAAAACACAGATGACTATGGTTACGTGACACTATCCCAAGATAGAAGAGAGAGTTCTGGAAGGATCCCTCTAGTGCCTTACACTGGGGGAAATGCCACCAATCAAGCTGGCAGAGAACATCAGGTGAGTGGGGCTCTGCTGACTACACTCAAGTCCTTGTGCTCAGAACAGGCCCCCCTGAGCTCCAGGTCGGCGTGCTATCCGTCAGCAGGTTGAAGGTGGCTCTGGCTATGGCAGTAGAGTGCTCATTGGGCCACAGCTCACCCCAGACTCTGGCTTCTCACAAAGCAGCAGAGACTCCCATACTTCAGACCCACTGACGTGGCTGTGGGGCGACAGGGGCAGGCTGGGCCGGCTTGCAGGTCCTGAGACAGGACTGACACAGGCAGACTTATTTCTGTCACGATGTCTGTTCTCCTGGGACACCAGCGCTCCTGAGTGGGGCCTTGGTCAGCGTGGGACCTCTGAATGGAGGGGGCTTATCCCTACATTTGCCCCTCCCTGCGCTCCCCTCCCCTCCCCTCCCCTCCACTGGCTGCTCCCCTGTGTCTTCCTCTCCTTCCCTCTTTTTGTTTCCCTGCTTGGCTCTCGTTTCTCCCATTCTCTAGAGCGGTGGCCTCTGAGCTTTCATGATCACGCAACCACAACTCACAAAGCATGAACACAGACCCCAATCAGTAGATATTTATATGTTTCTACATTATGCACAGGTAGTATATGGAAAATATGTTTGGTATAAAACATATACAAAAATACACTTTAAGATAAGATAAAAATGAAGTAAATTTTTAGTGTGAGCAATGTGAATGAATATCCTTCTAAGAAGTAATATATATTATATATAATACCTATGAACTACGTAGAAAAATAGATACATAATTTGCTTCTAAGAAGTATATAAAACTTGAAAGAATGGACACTGGTGAGAAAAGAGGAGAGAAATTCAACAGGGAAGAGGTAGAGAAATTTGGTATTGAATATAGGAGTGTTTGTCTTTGTCCTCTATTTTTTATCTATCACCTATTTATCTCCTTTTGTGTGTAAAATTTTATAACAAAAAATGAAAATCTTATATATTCAGAAATACAATACACACACACACACACACACACACACACACTACTGTGGTCCCAGTGTGAGGGCAGAAGACCTGATTTCATTAATGGTAAGGTTTTGCTATTCATTTGGACTGGGCTGTTTGCTACCTGGGGACTGGAACAGTGTCAATGAGCTGGAGATGTGAGCCAGGAGAAGACACCTCACAGAGCAGATGTGCAGGATGGTGGTTAGAAAGAATGTTGCTTCCTGGTGACCCTTGGCTTCATCCAGCCCACTCAAAACATCATCAGGCCACCAAATGCCATAAGCTGAGATGTGTTAGAAACACAAACTTATCTTTAAAAAGGTCCATAGAAGTTTTGATATATTTTTTTGTAATGCCACTGAACTGTGCCCTTAACCCAGATGGATCATTCTGCATATGCCTTAGATATGTGACCCTATGGTCAAGACCAGGCCTCAAGAATGGTACCCCATTCGGAAACCAAGTCTATTGGTTGTTGTTATGGAAACCACTCGGACTTCTCAGCTTTGGCAAATCTCCCTCCCAGAGGCTGAATCCTGTCCCCCAGATCCCCAGACCCTGGGACAGGGTCCCAACCTAGGTCATATAGATGCATAAGCAGCAGCTGTATGGTTTCAGATTCTCGTCTCCTTTTGTGTCATCTGTCACTCCGCATCTCCTGCTTCATGGCATGATGCGGTATTAGCTCTCACCTGCACTGCAGCTGGGTGCTTGCTGCCAAATAATTCGTGATCAGATCTCTCTATTAGCCTTTTGTTGCCAAAAATCCATCATACCTGTCACCTGAGATGGGAGGATCCATGACATCGTATACTACTGAAAATGTTCTGCGGTGTCAGAGATGAGAGAACCCAGGAGGGCAGGGGTCATGGCGATCTTGCCCTGTGCTCTCCACCAGCACCTGGCACAGAGTCTGGCATGGAGCAGACCCCGTGAGTGTTGCTGGGCAGATGGGTGGATGGATGAATGGGGTCAGGCTCCAGTGAGTGTTGCTGGGTTGATGTATGTATGGATGGATGGGGTGTGAGTGGGTAGGTGGAAAATCACACAGATGATGAGTGAATGAGATGAAAGGAATGAAGAGAGAAGTTGAAAGGCAGCCGAAGCCGTCAGGTGAGTACCTGCATCGCCTTTGTCACCCTTCGCTCCGTCTCGTCCATCTCTTCCAGGCAGACCATTGTGACCGGGGTTCCCAGGGATTCCAGGGTGCCCTTGCCTGCAGGTGTCCTGTGAGTTTATGTTCCCTGTGCAGATTTCAATGGCAAGCAGAAGCCACCAGATCCTCATGGTTCAGATGACAGACTCTGAACTGAAAGAGGGAAACAGAAACCCAAAGGAGAAATCTTTGTTGCTGGGGCCCTGGACACAGCCTCTGTTCCGTGCAGTGGGAAATGGATGAGCTGTCCCCTGCCCCAGACCCACACCTGCACAAACTTGGACAGAAGGCTCAGGGCAGGGGAGCAAGCTGATTATAACCAGAATGACACTGTCCTTGGAAGGTAACACTTGTGATTGGAACCACTCTTCAAGGTGAACGGGCAATTTAAAAAGCCAAGTTTAAGGTCAGGATACTCTTCCGTTCATCATTTCACTTTGAAGAAATCACTTTTCTGAACCAGAGATCAATGCTTACTTATCTCACAGGACTGTCGTACAGATCAAATTTTATCACGATATGCATAAAGGCACATTCCAAGTAGTGAAGCAAACATAGCATTACCATCTGATCCAGCAATTCCACTGCTGTGCATCTACACAAAATAATTGAAAGCAAGGACTGGAACAGATGTCCATGTTCGTAGTTGCATTATTTTCCATAGCAACCCAAGGGTCCCTCAGTGGATAAATAGATACATGCAATGTGGTAGGTCCATACAATGGAATATTCTTCAGCCTTAGAAAGAGAAGAAATTCTGACACATGTTACAACATGAATGGACCTCGAGAACATTATGCGAAGTGAAACCAGCTAGTCACAAAAAGACAGACCTGGATAATTTCACCTATAAGAGGTTCCTAGAGCCGTCAAACTCATATAAAGAAAAAGTAGGATGGAGGTTGCCAGAGGTGAAGAGAGAAGGAAATGGGAGTTGTTTGATGGGTACAGAGTTTCTGTTTGGGAAGATTTTAAAAGAGTTCTGGAGATGGGTGGTGGTGATGGTTGCACAACAAAGAGAACGTACATAATGCCACTGAATTGTGCCCTTAAGATGGTTAAGCTGGTTAGTTTTACGTTTTATGTTATATATTTTTTACCACATTAAACAATTAAATTAAATTTTTAAAAAAGTAAAGCATTCCAAGAAGTCTTACTGTAGTGAGAGGTGTTCTTTGAGTCAGGGTCTTGTTTTTCTAGGAGGCCACTGTGAAGAAGGGCCACACACACGGAAACATCACCTAGTTCGGGAGAAATGCATTTTCAAGTCCTTTCCTTATATATAATTTTTGGAGACAAGGTCTTGCTCCATCACGCAGGCTGAAGTACAGTCATGCAATCACAGCTCACTGTAGTCTCAACCTCCCAGCTCAAGCGATTCTCTTGCTTCAACCTCCCAAGTAGCTGGGACTACAGGCATGCACCACCACACCTGGGTTTGGTTTTGTTTTGTTTTGTTTTCGAGATGCAGTTTCGCCCTTGTGGCCCAAGCTGGAGTGCAATGGCCGATCTCTGCTCACTGCTGCCTCTGCCTCCCAGGTTCAAGCAATTCGGCTTCTCAAGTAGCTGGGACTACAGGCGCCACCACCACGCCTAGCTAATTTTTGTATTTTTAGTAGAGACGGGGTTTCACCATGCTGGCCAGGCTGGTCTCAAACTCTTGACCTCAGGTGATCTGCCTGTCTTGGCCTCCCAAAGTGCTGGGATTACAGGCATGAGCCATTGCCTATTTTTCTTTCTTTCTTTTTTTTTTTTTCTTTGGAGAGACTGGGTCTCACTCTGTTGCCCAGGCTGGTCTTGAAATCCTGAGCTCAAGTAATCCTCCCGCCAGTCTCCCAAAGTGCTAGTATTACAGGCTAAAGACCCTGTACCTGACTTTTAGGATTTAAAAAAATGAAGTAAAACAAAAACGTGGGCATAGTGCAACTGGTCAGAACCCAGATCCTCTCACAGTGCTGATAGCCATGTAAATCTGCACATCTTTCTGGAAAAGTTAAAGAGCAAAAGACATCTATGTCTTTCACCCTGTATTGCTATCCCTAAAATTCTTCCTAATGTTCCAAAACTGTGTGCCAATTGTGTGCCATTACCTGCAGCATTATCTATAACAGGTGAAAACGTGCATACTACATACTATGTAACAATAGGGGAAAGGTTTACTATGTGTAATAGTATGTAACTGCTGCAATAATTATGAAGGTCATGTAGAAATATGTAAATGATATACATTGTGCTGAATTTTGATAGTAGACTAAAATGCCATGCACATTATAAATGTACTTACGACTGTATGAATATTGACAAAAACTCAAAGTGAATATATGCAAATAAAGATGGTTGCTTTAGAATGGGGGGCAGTTATGGGAGCTTTTCATTTATAAAAAATGCTTTTTTATAGTGCCTACACAAATATTTCTAGAGATTTTGAAAACCAGCAAGACTCTCTGTCATCCAAAGACTGTATTGCCATCTGGTGGAAATGTCACAGGGAGCAGTCTAATGCAAATGGAGTATTTTTGGGAAAGGAAATGCAGATGCTTCCCTTCGAAGTCACAAATTCGCTCCATTCCAGGAAATTGAGTTGAGTTTTCTTGGAGCCAAATTCCATGAAGAATATACACGAGCCTCCTTTGCTAAACTCAGAAGTGGCCGGAAGCAGTCAAATCGAAATTCCATCAACCAAACTTTGTTGAGGGTTCTATAATTTTCATTTTAACTTTTCAAAATGTGGAGTACAACTATTCCAGGAATAAAATGATCAGAAGATCATAAAGGTGTCAGGTTAGGATAAACTCCAATTTGCTCTCCAGGGAAGAAGAAGCCAGCCTGGAAGCAAATGGTTACTCTTCTGTAATTATTTCACTAGTTTTGCATATTTGATGTAGGTAGAGTCTATCTAGCTTGTTTATACAGCATGTAGACAACCTTCAGCAAATGATTTTGATTAACTAATATGCGTTCTCCCAAATACGTAGCAAAGTAAGTTGTGCCACTATTTCTGTTTTATTTGTTTGTTTGTTTGTTTGTTTATAGAGATACAGTCTCATGAATGTTGCCCAGGCTGGACTCGAACTTCTAGGCTTAAGTGGTCCTCCTGCCTCAGCCTTCTGAATAGCTGGGATTAGAGACGTGGTCACCACCTAGGTTGGCACTATTTTTTTTTTCTTTTTTTTTTTTTTTGAGATAGAGTCTCGCTCTGTCGCCCAGGCTGGAGTGCAGTGGCGCGATCTTGGCTCACTGCAAGCTCTGCCTCCCGGGTTCGCACCATTCTCCTGCCTCAGCCTCCCGAGTAGCTGGGACTACAGGCACCCACTACCATGCCCGGGTAATTTTTTGTATTTTAGTAGAGACGGGGTTTCACCATGTTAGCCAGGATGGTCTCGATTTCCTGACCTTGTGATTCGCCCACCTCGGCCTCCCAAAGTGCTGGGATTACAGGTGTGAGTCACTGCACACGGCCGCTTGGCACTATTTTTTAATAAGAAATTTTAGCAAGTTTATACCTCCTATTTAGCCTCTTCTTTAATGTAGAAGGTTGAGGATTTGCACAAGGAATATAGAAGAAATTATATTAATGTTATTTTGAAAAATAAAAAATTACATTTGTGCCTCTCACAAAGCTATGGGTTGGACCCTCAGTTTCATTAGTTCAACTACAGTTACACTCTTGACTTTTAATTTCTGGGTCTGGTCTTTTCCCAGAAGGCACTAGAGCTAGGAGCCTCTTCTGTCTCCCATCTTTCCCTGCAATCATCCACTCTCTCTCTCATCTGAATTACTGTCCTCCCCAGTCCCCACTTACTCTGTACACCACACCTAGACTAATGATCACTTAGTAGGCACCAACCTGGGTTAGAGCTTTATGAAGATGGTGACTGCATTTTTCTACTTCCTTATTTTCAGTCAAGTATTTGTTGAATGAATCAATGCAGGCATGCAAGAAATACTATCCTGGTTCCAACTGTGTGTGGACCATCACTTGGGAAGGTGACTGGGTATCAACTCTGATCCTTGTCAGTGCTTTCGTGGAGTTGCTAGTAATCTCCAACACCCCTTCTCACCTTCATCCAGAGTAATAGAAATTTTAGCTGGGCTTCTAGGGGCCCATGATAGACTGCACTCCCTAGCCTCCCTTGCAGCCTGGGTATGACCATGAGCTAGATTACGGGCCATGGGGATGAGCAAAAGTGAGACGTGTAATTGTGTGCAATGACCGGCCTTAAAGGGTAAGGGGGTGCCCTTTCCCGCTTCCTGTGGGGGGGTGTGCATGGCATGGTGAACCATGTGGGACTCCTTGAAGGAGGGCAACAATTTGGGGATAGAAAAACCCCTGGCCTCAGATGACTCCACAGACCAGACCTGCCAGCACATCTTTGACATAAGCATATGAAACAGAAATAGACTTCTATCTTGCATAAGCCACTGTTATTTGGGGTCTTGACACACAGCTGAGCCCACATCCTAATTCAAGGCATGCGCTGCCCAAGGTGCGGCCGCTCTTCAGAAGTGAGGAGGCTTGCAGACATCTGTAGTCAGCCAGAGTGACAGCTGCTGGGGACTCACTGGGCATACAACCCTCCCAGTAATATATGTAAAAAGCGACAACAGTCACTGCCTTGGACAAATCAAGACAAGATCTCTATACATTGATATCATATGTATGTATAGAGAATAGAGGCCATCATTCTGCAGAATGCTGTGACCGCATGAGCCAGACATACTGGCATGGTCAGGGCAAAGGGACACAGACTGCAAATAACTTTGAAGTTAATGTTTTTTAGTCCCCCCAAAATAGTGTTCTTATTTAGTTCACTTATTTCTGACTCATTCTCCGATTCTTTACCTATATCTGTCCTTTGCTAAAGAATCTCTTGATAAATGGTCACCCAGTGCCCTCTTCCTGATTAATTTTCTCCAAGAACATCATATCCTTAATTCTACAGCCAAGGTTATCACTCCTCAAGATTCTTAACTCTCCAAAACTAAGATTTAATGTAAACCTGCTAGAAATCAGCTGAGTGATATCTCCTGGGTTTCCAAACCTCAGAGCCTCAGCTTCCTCCTGCATGCACTGGAAAGGACGAATGCCCTCCCGGATCTGACGATCTAAGAGTCAAAATAGCTCTAGGCTGCCTTCATCGAATATATTGTCTTCCATGCACTCTCTATATTACACACTTTATACATTTCTTCAACATATCTTTTTTTTTTTTTTTTTTTTTTGAGACAGAGCCTCGCTCTGTTGCCCAGGCTGGAGTGCAGTGGCGCGATCTCGGCTCACTGCAAGCTCTGCCTCCTGGGTTCACGCCATTCTCCTGCCTCAGCCTCCCGCGTAGCTGGGACTACAGGCGCCCACCACCACGCCTGGCTAATTTTTTGTTTTTTAGTAGAGACGGGGTTTCACCTTGTTAGCCAGGATGGTCTTGATCTCCTGACCTCATGATCCACCCGCCTCAGCCTCCCAAAGTGCTGGGATTACAGGTGTGAGCCACCGCGCCCAGCCTTCTTCAACATATCTTGACAGTTATTTTTTTCCTGCACTGTAAATTAGCATAGCCATAAAAATGAAAATGTGTACAATCTGAATATGATGAACCTGATCAGGAAAAAAAAGTACACATTAAAATTTGTGCAAAATAATCTATAAGCTTCTCTAGAAAGCTCTCTTAAAAAGATCCATCATAGGCCGGGCGTGGTGGCTCATGCCTGTAATCCCAGCACTTTGGGAGGCCGAGGCAGGCGGATCACGAGGTCAGGAGATCGAGACCACAGTGAAACCCCGTTTCTACTAAAAATACAAAAAAAAAAAAAAAAGTAGCCAGGCGCGGTGGCAGGCTCCTGTAGTCCCAGCTACTCAGGAGGCTGAGGCAGAAGAATGGTGTGAACCCGGGAGGCGGAGCTTGCAGTGAGCTGAGATCCTGCCACTGCACTCCAGTCTGGACAACAGAGTGAGACTCTGTCTCAAAAAAAATCCCAGCACTTTGGGAGGCCAAAGCGGTTGGATCATAAGGTCAGGAGTTCAAGAGCAGCCTGGCCAAGATGGTGGAACCCCATCTCTACTAACAATACAAAAATTAGCAGGGTGTGGTGGCCCATGTCTGTAATCCCAGCTACTCGGGAGACTGAGGCAGATAATTGCTTGAACCCGGGAGGCGAGGTTGCAGTGAGCTGAAATCATGACACTGCACTCCAGCCTGGGCGACAGAGCAAGACTACATCTGAAAAAAAGAAAAAAAGCCCACTATTCTTATGACTTATTCTATGGTTTTTCTCTCTCCTCCCAGCCAATTGCAGAGTTCCAGCAGAAGAATTTCAAAATCTGCTTTTATCTCCTCTTTAGCCTCTTCCTCAAGAATGAATTTTGAAAGCGGCTTACCCCTTTCCTACCCAAAACTGTATAGACATCTGACTATTTTGCAAATAACTAAGCAGGATTATCCCACAGATAATATAAGCGTTGTTTTAGGACCTAGATGGCTTAAATTGAATGTAAAGAAATCCTTTCCTGATGAACTTACCTGGACCCTAGGGCTGCAGGCTGGACCCAGATACTGTGCAAACCAAGAATCAAGGGCCAGCTAAATAAAATCAGCCTTCCTGCCATACAATTCCCCAGTGGATATGTCTGCAAAATAGCAGGAAGGGGAGGGAACAGAGGAAGGCCAAGATGTCTTGGAAGAGCTTCAAGAATTACAGCAACACGTAAATCAGGTAGCATATTCTACCAGCACCACTTAGTTTAGAAAAGTTAAATCCTTTTGAATGAAATGAGGGAATACTTTCAAGGGGAGTCTGAAGGAAGGAGTGCCCCAGGCAGGTTTCTTTCATATATATATATATATATATATATAATACTTTAAGTTCTAGTGTACATGTGCACAACGTGCAGGTTTGTTACATATGTATACATGAGCCATGTTGGTGTGCTGCACCCATTAACTCCTTTCTTTTTCAAAGTGATGTTCATGCCTTTGCTTCAGTGCTTCTCCCTGACCTTGGGGTAATTACGGGCAACAGGACAAAACTGAAGGCTGCTAACTGTTAAGTGGCTGGGTCTCATTTGGATCCCGGACCATTAGAATTCCTACCGCTTAATTAGATTTTCAGATGGGTGTGTCGTAATGCCTTACGAGTTTAGGCATTTGTGTAGGTAAGGATTCAGTGTCCATTCCCCTCTCACAATCACACACTCCACCTACCACGGAGAACGCGGTGCAACCATTTGTTCAATGCCAGTAATCATGGACTCACTTTCCTCGTGTCTAGTAGTAACATTTATCTAAAACTTACAGTAGCTTCCAGAGGACAGAGGAGCCCAGCCCGGTTTCCCGAGATGCCGCAGTGCACGCAGCAGGAGCAGAGGCCACGCACAGAGCAGGAGGCCACGCAAAGAGCAGGAGCAGAGGCCGGGTGTACGGGTGGGTGCGGGGCTCACCCCAGCTCGGCGGCGAGGCCACGCACAGAGCAGGAGCCCACGCACAGAGCAGGGGCAGAGGCCGAGTGTACGGGTGGGTGCGGGGCTCGCCCCAGCTCGGCGGCGCCGACTCCCTCTCCCGCCTTACTCGCCCCCGTGCCTCAATTTCCCCGTCAGTGCAGCGGACATGACAATGCCGTGGTCCCAGGTGGGCGGCGGGATCTAATTAGTCGGTGTAAAATGAGTGAGATCTGGCTTCTCCCCGGCACCCCGCAGCCTGCCCCCACTCTTGGTGGCTAAACGCAAGGAGCCCCTGAGTCCCAGCTCCGCTGGGGGCTCTCAGCAGTTCTGGCCGGGCTCCCTCTTGCTCGCGTGGCTGGTCTCTGACCCCTGCACCGCAGGCGGCCCCGACGGAACGCGCGACGGGTCCCCGACCTCCTGCTGGGGACACCCGTCTCGCTGCCCGGCCCTTCCCCGCTTCCCGCGCCTCTGCGCCCCGGAGAGCTCTGAGACAGGACCACCTGGGCAGCCTGCCGGCCTGGACCTCTGCCTCAGAGCCAGCGACGGAAGCACAGCCTCGGGCCTCCACCGGCCACGCGCTCCCCATTCCGGGCTCTCCCACGTCTGCACACTCCAGCCCAGCCACGCGGAGAGGCTTCCAGAACCTGCCCTGCGGCCCCGCTTTGCTGACACCCCACTCACTCCGTGGGTTCTTCCTCCCGCCAGGACCCTGCCGGGGCCTGGGGTCCGTGGGAAGCCGGCTCAGGAATCAGGATCCTGGCCTCCTGCTTACAGGGAAAAGGGCTCCATCCTCCTGGTGTTTCCCGACTGCAGCGCCTCCAGCCTCCGGGGCTGCTGCGGCCCAGGTTCAGCTGGGTTCACTCCAGCTTTGCTGGTCTCGCCAGTGCAGAGTAGGGGCGCGCTTATGACCTAACGGTCATCTCCCCACAACTCTCCTGGAAGAAAATGCCACCCCCATCTCTTTCACTGTGTCCTATACATGGAGCCACTATGCTCTGCCCTATGGGTTCTGGGGCTCGCCCCCTCCCCACCCTAGCGACCGCCCTTCCCCAGTGCAGCCCAAGGTTGGGAGGAGCAGATCACTTTGGGAAGCAGGTGGATATTAAGAGTAAACAAAAAGTGGGCAGTAGCCACTTGGCAGCCTTCATAGGAATCCTTTTCTGATTACAGCCACAGCAAACAATGGGCTGTTGACTTAGCTCTTCTGAGCTGTTGGAGAAGGAAATTCTAATCTACCCACCCGCAAAGGGCGAGTGAGCAGGGCCACTAGCACAGCTCCTGTGGCAGGGCCTAGCCTTCAGGGGCAGTCAGAGGGCACAGTCTGTTGTTCTGTCTCCTCTCCATGATCCCTAGCAAAAGCGGCCCCGCCCCACTGCTCCCTTCCGCATCCCTCTTACTCCAACCACTGACGTTTCTCAAGCCAGGGTGCCCTCCGAGGTTGCCCTCGGAGCCCCCCTTCTCCCACGCCTACCCAGTGGTTACATGGAGCTCCTGAATGGATGAGTTGTTGCCACTGAGAAGTCTAGGGACATCAGGGCAGCAGAGGAGCTACAAATCCCAGAAGCCCCCGCACCCAGCTCTCCACTTCCTCCTTTTAAAGGCTGCTACTCAAATGCATCATCAGAACGAGTTTGGCAAATGAATTTTAATATACAAAACAACAAATATAGATTCACAGCATTTAAAAAAATCATTCAAATAACATTGTAAATAATTTTTTTTTACAAAAAACTTCAACAAAAATACATATCAAGTTACATCAATCTTGTACACTATACTTTGGCTGTCAACAGCAAATTCCTCAGTTCAGAAGTCCCATTCTTTGACCTATACAGATGACACATCATCTTGAAGTTAATGAGCTAAAATGTTGCCCAAAGCCTTGCAAAGTAGGTTAGCGAGTCATACAGAATGGACACTAATATTTACAAAAAAAGATTAGAAAGATTAAAAGTATTTTCTAAATATAAAATGTCAGTGCCTGTGAGATAACTAAAGGCAACAATGTAAAGTATGTTGTAGCTAAGTAAACTTGTATCAAATATTTAAGCTTTTGCTTTTTTTTTCAAGATCAGTCATGTTCCACTTATTTTTCCAAAGCCTTTTGAAATCCACTTTCATTGCATCCTGAAAACAATGAGACTTTAATAGAACAATTTGCAGATTAGGTTATTATGGGAAAGCTGGGTCTGCTAGTAGTTTCACCTAGTTGACTTGGGTCCTCCATTTCTGGCCTGTGAGCTGGTGAAAGGACATTTATTCATACTTCTTGACACTCCTTTGAGGGACAATTCTAAGTTTCTTCTCTCCCTGACAAGTAATAGTGCAGAAATACTCCCCCTAACTCCAGGTAATTATGCTGTTCTATTCTGACTGGGACACCAAGTTGATCTGCATGAAGGAGTATCAGCAATTTGGCTTGCAGAGATTTCCACCTGATAAAATGCTGGTTCAGCTGGCTTTTACAAAATACTTATATTGTGAACCAAATTTTGAATTAAATGCACTTTGCTTTATGTCTAGATAACAGTCATGTAGGATGGGGGGATTTTCTGAATAAGAATGGCATCGGTTTTCATCTAGGCTAGGTATAAAAAGGCACAATATTCAGAAATAGTGTTTGATGGTGGTGAAATGTTTTCAACTACAAAATCAGATCTACAGTGGGAAACAAAAATCAGATCTAATGAAAAGAAACCATGTGGCTGGTATCCCAGGGAAGCTCCAGCATACTACTGCTGCCCTCTTTCTAGTCCGCAGGCCAAAGACAAAGAAATCTACTGCTCCAGGATTCTGCAAACATTCAATTTTATGATTTTATAATTGCTTTTAATCTACGGCAGGGTTTTTATATGTTTTAGGTATGATCACAATTGAAAAGGTTGCTTTTGACCCAAGGCTACTTCAATTATCTTCTAACAAAGTCGACCAATTCTGAAACGTGAAGAATGGAATAGGTGAAATTCATCAAAATGTTATGTCATCTTTTCTTTTCTTGGCCCATCTATAATATTATGTAAAGTAAGGTTAAAAAGAGAGAAAGGCATAGAGGCGGGAGAGAGCAAGATTCCCAATGAAATTCATACACTGTCCATGGAGGAGGCTCTCTGTTCCCTTTCTTTCCAAGTGGAACACGTGACTCAAATCAGGAAGGAAGTTTGGCAAATGGAAGATGAGAATACTTGAGCCTTCCATTCTTGAAGAACTCAGGCATGTGGTAATAAAACCCAAGCCAGACATGCAGATTTTCAAGAAGTCAAAGGATGTTCTAGCCTTTTAAAAATGTTAGCAGTTTTCAAAATCACCTGAACATCCAAGTAGGATCCACCCAGGAGAGATCTTTAATGGAGTGACCCTCACACTCTATAAAACTGACAGGGGCAACGAATTGAACCTGACTTAACAAAAACACATCCTGGTATTCATAAGTCTCTGTTAGGAAGTCCGTGGAGGTAGGTGGGAGCCGGAAGTTAGGGCTCAGCTGGAAAATAAATTAGGACTGGCCACAAAATGCAAACCATTTCTTCATTACCCATGAATAAATATTAGGAAATGGAAGTCCTAAGAATGACTCTTAAACTGAATCCTCACTGAAAATGTAACACAAGCAAATGATTCTCTTTACTTCCTTAAACTAATTCTCTTATATTACATTTAAAACAATTTGTTCAAAATTGCTGTACATACAAACAACTCTAGCAGAGACCCCTACAGTTATTGCTAAGGTGTGCAGGAAAAGCATATTAAGTAGTTTCCAACATATATCATTGTATTTTGTTAGTAAAAAGGTCAGTTCTATAAACACATCTAAAGTTGGAATGTCTGTTCAAGAAGGAAACATACACACACACACCCCCACACATGCCACAGGACCTCTCCAGAAGCTCCTTCCTGCAGCAACTTCTGTCTCAGGACGTGCCGAGCGGCATGATGGTCCACAGAAGCAACTCGGGCTGTCAGCCATGGGGCACCTGAACCCTTAGCAGTGCTGCCTGTAAGCATGTGTGCCAAGGTGGCTCAGAATGGACATCAGGCGGTCACAGAATGTTCCAAGGGTTCACCTGAGGACCAAGGTTATGTTTTCTTGATGCATGATGTCACTCTCAGGAACGGCTCTGGATGTGGGGGGCTGCAGGGGAGAAGGGAGGTGCCACACACCTGCAGACTGAAGAATACACCTTTGTCTCTGACATCACAGACTTGTTTATTCTCAAACATGGGCCTGTTAGAAAAAAAAAAACTGCAGGGATAGCATACAAAAATGAGCTTCTCATATAGATATCCATTAACAGTTTAACACAGCATCTCCTGTCCAGGGCACTGAGCGGGTTGAAAGGGCACCTCTCTTGCAGAGCCTGCCTTCTCTAGACATAGTTAAAAGTTATATCATGAAAATGTACAACATAGACAAAGAAAAGGAGATGATTATCTGCAGGTGTCAGCCTAGGTGGCCTTTGTTAATAAAGACTGCTATCTCTAAGCCAAGATATTTTGTGAAGGTCTTTTTTTATAAAGAACAAGTCCTCAGAAGCCTGATGACATGCTCACGTGACATGGTTATGCCCTGTTTGGCTTTATATGTGATAAAGGCAGCTTCTGATTTCCAAGAAGCAGGACTGCTTTGGCTGTCTTTGTGACTTCATTGCTAAGGACGATGTCAGGAGCAGTGCGGCTCTTTGAGAGTGCCTTCTGACCAGTGCATTTTCATATTCACTGTATCATAAATATTACAGTAAATGAGCTTTTTATATTGCAAACAGTTGTTTGAATGTTTTTTGTTTTTGTTTTTGTTTTTGGAGACAGTCTCGCTGTATCTCCCAGGCTGGAGTGCAGTGGTGCGATCTCAGCTCACTGCAACCTCCGCTTCCCAGATTCAAAAGATTCTCCTACCTCAGCCTTCCCAGTAGCTGGGATTACAGGCATGCGCCACCATGCCCAGCTAATTTTTGTATTATTAGTAGAGACTGGGCTTTGCCATATTGGCCACGCTTGTCTCGAACTCCTGACCTCAGGTGATCCACCTGCCTTGGCCTCCCAAAGTGCTGGGATTACAGGCATGAGCCACAGCACCCAGCCTTGCATAGCAGTTTCTTAGGTTACAGCATGTGGGCAAGATGTGATTTCTGCTCGGAGTTACTGAAGGCGTGCAGGCAGGAGGGAATCCGACTCCGGGACAAAGCCAGTGTGCAGCAGGATTTCTCCCTCCTTGCCTGAAAAGCAGTGGATTCTTGAGGATGCGTAAGTTGCTCTGCACTGAGGACCCTGATGAAGGTGACAGATGCATCTTCTTTCTCTCCACTTTGCTTGCAGGAAGAGGAACCTTGCAGGATGACATTTGCACTACCAGTTAGCATCTGTGTGGACACAGACGATGCCAGGGAACACCGTGGTCAGCCCCACGGCAGCTGTAGGTCCCCCAGTATTACAGAAGAGAGTAAGAGCTCAATTTCTAAGTGTGACCAGACACGTGCAGCATTGTGTCAACCCCGTCTTGACGGCATCCTTGAAAATCAAATGCAGAAGTGATCCTCTAACCTCATCACTCCTTAGGAACTGCAAAGCCCTGGATGCTGTGTTTGGACCTGCAGCAGGCACTTGCTCATCATCAGCAGGGGTGGCTTCAGCTGCTGCCTAATCACTCGCTTTAGAGCATGGTACCGGGTCCCACATCTGGGCCATCTCATAGTGGGTCACGGGTGTTTCTGTGTAGGATAAAGCTTTGTGTCATGACCGTCTCCTCCCTTCCACAAAGGCAGCTGGGTCTCCAAAGACTGAAGGTGATTCCAAGACCTTCTCTCCTTCATTGATCCCTAAAAGGAAGTTTTTATCACTGGGTCCAAGAAACTTTCCCTGGATTGAAGCACACAAGAAACAAAGACAGTTCTTCTCTTGACACCCAGCTCCATGGAAGCACAGCCTCCTGTTTTCATTTCCGGAAGGGGGTGAGCCTGTTGAAGGTGTGCCAGAAGAGCGAGGACTTCCTCTTGGGTTCCGCCAGGCCAAAGACCTGCTGCTGGGGGACGCTTGTGGGCATAGTGATGTGGCGCTGGTGGATGGGGTGCAGGCCCTGGTGCGGTGGGGCCACAGGGCACCTGTTGTAGCCTGACTCGGGAGGGGAGAGAGATGGAACAGGGACTGAGGGTCGCTTGTTAACCAGAAAGGAAAAAAATAAAAATGCTGAGACTCCAAGTCCAAGTTCTCAGCTAATTCTTTTTTTTTTTTTTTTTTTTTTTTTTTTTTGAGACAGGGTCTTACTGTCACCCAGGCTGGAGTGCAGTGGTGTGATCTTGGATCACTGCAATCTCTACCTCCCAGGCTCAAGCGATCCTCCCACCTCAGCCTCCTAAGTAGCTGGACCTACAGGTGTGTGCCACCACGCCCAGCTAATTTTTATATTTTTTTGTAGAGAGCTAATTCTTAATTCACGTTAACCAAAAAGAAGGTCCAGTAGCTACACTTGTTATGTTCAGGTACTCCGTGTGGAGCGTGACACAGTCTCTCTCACTGAACTCTCCCAAAAAGCCTCCAAGGAGGGTATTATGACAACAACTTGACAGGGAAAGAAACTGAATGCCAGGACGTGCAGCGGGAAGTGGCAGAATCTGAACCAGACTGACAGTCAAGGTGAGTAGCAATAAAATGCTCTAAATGGAAGTCTGGAGCTCATGCTGCCTTGGCCCAAATTCTTCTGTGCCATTTATCAGCTGGGATTACTGGGGAAATGATATGATTTCTCTACGCCTTGGTTCCCCAATCCCTAAAACGGGGATTACAGTACCTATGGGGTTGCTATGAGAATTAAATGAATTAATAGAAGTAAAGTGCTTAGAACTGTGCCCTCAATATCTAATCACTCTAATCAAAACTTCACCGGCATAGGTATTTTTAATCTGTGCAGAGGTAATTTAGAAGGTTTATTAAAATTAGCGATTAGATTAAAACGTAACTGTGTAAGTCAGCATGGCACGAAGAGGGTGGGCCCTGAAAGCAGGAAGGCCTTGGCTCAGAACCCGTCCCTGCCCCTGGCCTGCCAGAAGGCTCTCCCTACCTCCCGAGGTGGCAGGAAGGAAGAAATCAGATAACCCAGGCACAGCGTCCCACCCGGTAGCCACCTGTGAACGTCAGCAGTCCTTCCGTTCTTGAGAAGCCTGGCTGCTGGGCGAGTGACTCGCAGAAGATATGGACAGAAAACAATGTATTCTAACAAATTGATTTACTAGTCATCTGACATTAGAAGTGGAGATTTAAAAAAATTAATAACATGGGTTTTTCTGCCTTAAAGATATTTGTAACTTAGTGGGGAAAAGAAATTCTGCATTTGCATGGAGAAAGCAGGGGAGTGTTAAGTGTGGTTTGGGGAATCAGTTCTTCACTGACTAAAGGTCAGTGGTCTATTGCAGTCCTGGGATTCGTTGGTCCTTGTTTTTGCATTTGCAGTCAGGAAAATACCAAAAGAGATACATTTCATGGGGTAAATGCCTTTTAAAGTAGAAAGATGACGGGAATAAAGTTTCTAAGAATACAGTGCATATTTTTTGGGGAAAAATCCTTATTACTGAATTCCTGTTGGGCCAGATTATCTGCATCCTGTTGGGCCAGATTTGTGTGGACAAATCTTAGTGCATCAGAGCCCCTGGGTATGCGGCCTGGGCATCAGCATTTTTGAACAGCTTCCCCAGGGAATTCTAATGTGCATGGAGATTAGGGAATCACCGCCCTAAATCAGCTCACGTGTCTTTTTTTGTCTAACTCCTTGCCTGATGTACCGAACCTTTACATCTTTTTCTTACTTAAACTAGACTATATCCAGCCTACAGCTGACAAGCAGTTTGGGGTTTGAGATTTTGTCCTCTCATGCCTAAAAGATGCAAGAGTCCTTGGTTTGCCTCAGACTGGGGATGTGCGTGACCTTGTGGCTAACACCATCAGCACTTGGGGGAGGGGAGCAGAGGGGCCCCAGGCAGGCAAGGAGGTCCACCACCCTCCAGCAGCCCCTCTGAAGGTTTCCTATGCCCACATTCCAATGGAAGCAAACACTGACGCACATTCAAAACCAAACACAGGCCACCTTCACCTGGCCCCTGTTCTGGACCTGCCCTTGAGTTCTAACTTCTACTGTTCTCCTTGCTCCAAGCTGGTCACAGGCTGACAACTTGGGGTATGCTCCCATTTTCAGGAGAATACTGATAAGCATTAAGGGGACAAAGCCTTCTCCATAACTTACCTTTTGACTTTCCATGTCCTGCCTTTTGAGCATTTAACATGGCAAGTTTCTTCTGGTTTTCTGAAATTTCCATTCCTGCATTTAGAAATAAATGTGATATATATTCAGAACACGTGGACATGTTTCAGAGCAAAACTTGTATCACAGCCCATATCAGCATTGAGGTTATCACCACAACCTGAGACAGAGAACCTTAATCCTCAAAGAACGTGGACAGGTTGAAGATCAGAAAAGGGGAAGTCACAAGGATTATCGCCAAGGTGGCCATGTGATTGTCCTGCAAACCCGGACAGTTTGGAGAGTGAAATGGGGTGGTGCTCATGAGAATGCAGAATGTCTGTGTGAAGCCCGACGCTCCCGGGCAAATATTCCCACAGGGTCATCCCAATTATAACCTAAAGGATGAGGCCCCAGAAGGAGAGGACAGAGCAAAGGGTCCCAGGGCGTGTTCACCCATACGCTATGAGAGCTTTGCACGTTAGCAGTTCCACCCTGAACAAAGGTACCACGTGAGTAGCAGGTAGCGGATTCTGTACCCCAGCTGTGTGTAGTGTGTGCCCTGAGCATTCCCTCACTGTAAAGTCCAGTAGCACAGTGACAGTGTACGTGTGCAGTGTGTGAACTGGGTGAAACAAGAGTCACTGGAAAGACAAGATGAGGCAACCCTTGGCTTCGCAGGGTGTGGGGAAGGAGAAGGAAGGACAGAGCTGAATGGCCAGGGCTGGGTGCTGGGGCCCTGCCTTCTCCCGCGGGAAGCCTTCCTCCTGTAGGCAGGTACTCGCTCCAGCTTGGCAGAGCTGACCCAGGCCCTGTGTCTGCTAGCTTGCACTGCCTGGCTCGCTCCCGAGGCTCCCTCTCTACCTCTGCCCACTCTGCTCCCCTGGCCCTGATTCCTTCACATGCCCAACATCTGTCCCAGACTGTCCTGACGTCAGGCTCAGGCTCTGTACGCTGGCCACCGGGCTGTCCCTGCCTCCAAGGCCCTCCGTGTCCATTCTCTCTGATCTGCTACCTGAAGCTTCTACCCACACACATGCATCAAGTACGAGGGCTGCCAAAATATTCGAGGCAAGGAATGCATCCAGTTTTATCCCACACGTGCCAGTTCACAGACTTACTGGCTCAGGAGTGCCTCAGTCATGCACTTGCATCTCTGAGCACTGGCCACAGGGAGCATTACATGGCAAAGGGCACCACATCGGGCCCCTCCTTTCCTTCCTATTGAGAGACACTGTTGAAAGCACATAGGATGCCCCCACTAAATAGTGCCGTCTTTGGGAATCCAAACACTCTGACTTACAGATGACTTCAGGGCCTGCGCTAGACAACGTCATATGACGACTAAAACTAAGATTTTGTGGCTCTGTCATTTTGCATTTTAGTAACTGTCATCTTCAAATGAATTCTGGGCACGAGTGATTAGCCCTATTCCAATGGGGCCCCAGAGTCTGCACCAATAATCTATGGCTGTTGCTGGGAATCAGATTTCCTCTTAGTGTAAAGGACACCCTGACACTTGGTGTAAGGGGCTGCCTGTGATGTGGGGAGCTCTGTATCTTGGAGTGGCCCAAGTCCAGGCCAATGTCTACCCATTGAGTGTTTCCAAGTCGATCCCTGCTTCCGTTTTAGCCTGACCAACTTGTAAATCCCTCCAACTCTACTGCAGAATCTCACAAAACCTCCTGTGGGTGAGACCAAATTCTGTAGCCAAGCTTAGAGCCAGTGGCTGGGGAGGACAGAAAAAGCACCTCCTGGTTTTTAGTCCTGCTGTCCTCATGGCAGTGGGCAAGGATGGGGAGGGGCGTATGCTGGCTCCCCTCCGTCCTGGACCATGACTTTTGAGGGCTGGGCTCACTTGGGCTGCAGAGATGAATATCCTTCACTGTGGCTCCCTGACTTCCATTCAACAGATTGTGCTCAAAACCCTAAAGAGCTTGGGAGGCAATGAAATAGAGGCTCAGAGACTGTGGGTGCTGCCATCATTAATGCCAGGCATGGCAGCTTCAGTCTCAGGGGCCACACTGCACCTCCAGGTCAGCAGAAGCTGGGAAGACAAACCAAAGAAGTACAAATGTAACACTGGGTGTGAAGTACCATCGCCTTAACTGCAATGGACGATGCGGCATCCTGAGTTTCATAGGGAGAGATGGGAAGCATGAGGGCAGGCTGCTGGGTGTGGATCAACTGTGGCAGTGAAGAACACTGAAGGTATTGCACAGGCACAGCCAAAGGGGAGGCCTCCAGAATCACGTGATACTTCTGATAGCCTGGGTGATGGTCACCATAGTGGGGTTCCATCTCTGGGGTCACACTGAACTGGTTTTATTATTTATTCTTCATACCCTGCATGTGGCATCCAAAGTGCTGGATTTAAATGTTATGTGGCCACAGTGCAAGAGTGGGCCAGTTCCATAAGCCTCAATTTTCTCATCTGTAAATTGGGTATAATAACAGCAACCACTTCATAGGGATTCAATGAGACAATCTCTATAAATGGGCCACAGAATGTCTGGCACAAGGTAAATACTGAATAAATGTTGCCGGTAGTAACTACATCTGACATGGTCTGTCTTGTAAGTGCATTCAGAAGTATTTAGGGTTTGCAGATCCCTTGTCCTTTCCCCATGGTGGGATTCAGCTCTGAGGGAGAAGGCTGGGCAGAGCAGGCCCATGGGAGTGGAGAATGAAGCTATTACAGCAAGCAGAGGCACAGGTGCCTGCAGAGCCAAGGGCTGCTCACCCATCTCCTTGTCCTCTTGCACCCGCCTCCTTTCATCTGCACAGGCCTGCAGCCACCTCGCCTTGTCTTCTTGTTTTTTGGCACAAAACAAATAAACCTCGTCTGTGGTCCTACTGACGAGCTTGAAGGCATTTTTCACGCTGAGGTTGCAGTCCTTGTCGCGCCCATCCCCCAGGTCCACAAGCTCCATCTCATCCATGTCCAGCCGGCCCTTGTAGTACAGCATGTCCCTGCGCAGCAGGTCCTTCTTGCAGGACACCAGCTGGTGGTCAAACAGGAAGAACGTCCGCTGCTGGCTTTTGCCTTGCTTAGTGATTTTGGTCAGCTCCCCAGAATGAATCAATTCTGAGCTTCGGTCTAAGATATCCAGTCCCTGGAAGGATGAAAACACATCTTAAGACCTTCCAATTCTACCACAGCTGTAGTCCTAGCTACTTAAGAAGCCAAGGTGGGAGGATCGTTGAGGCCAAGAGTTTGAGACCAGCCTGGGCAACACAGCAAGACCCCATCTCCACATAAAATTTTAAAAATTAGCCAGGCATGGTGGCACACACCTGTAGTCCTAGCTACTTAGGAGGCTGAAGCGGGAGGATCCCCTGAGCCCAGGAGTTTGAGGCTGTAGTGAATGGTGATCACGCCAGTACACTCCAGCCTGAGGGGCAGAGCAAGACCCTTCTCTCTAAACAACAACAACAACAAACAAACAAACAACAACAACAACAAAAACAAACTCCCAATTTGGATTCCTTCAGGTGTTAGGATATGGAAGAGACTCCTAACACAGAATCTTTCTCAGACTTTCTAGGTACCTGAGGCTGCCTACCACCTGTCCCCATTCACAGGTGGGCAGGGCCTCAAAGGTTATTTGTAATAAACCTGGATTTATTGGTCTCCTGGTGCCTGAAATTTCTTCCTTTTCTTTTTTTTTTCCTGCTTACTAGAAAAATGTGACAGTGCCTCTGTGTTAGCTGAGGGGTCTTCCTAGCCTGAAGCCTCTGGTAAGAGGCATGCTGAATTAATGGAACCCAGTCAAGATCTGAAACAGCAGCTGACCCAAACGGAGCCTCCAAGAGTGAGAGCACGCAGGCTTACATGGGAGAAAGCATTCATGCAGGGGACACAGTATCGTGATTATGGACCTGACATTATTTGCGTTGAGTATATGGCAGCTCCCTGGAATTGCAACTTGTTCAGGGTCATAGAAACAAAAGGCCAGACGATAAATTGTCAGCAAGAAATTAACTTCTGACAAATTATCCCCTAAATGTCAGCGTCCAAAATCAAAAAGAAAAACACACTTTTATTATATTTAGGTTGAATCTAATCCAATGTTACTTTATGGTATTTGGTATGACAATGGCCTTTGTTAAATAAGATTTGATTCTCCCTTAATCCCAGTCACACACAATATTTTTTGGAGGCAAAAGAGCCTGACTCCAAAATAGTTCTTCTATTTACTTGCTCAGAGCAATTCCGTGCCCTAGATTCTTCACTGATGAAATAAAAGAGTTGGACTCAGTGTTCTCAGAGATCCTGCCCAAACTCCAGAAGTCTATAAGGCCCTTGAAATGTATGTGTTTCTCTCCAATTTTCACCACCTATAGCCTATTTCAGTTAAAAACCTAACTTCTTGCTCCAAACTTTCTCAGTCCTCTGGGAGAGTGAGTTCTGACCAATTAATAGATGTAAAATCAATGTAGCTTGGTCTAAAAACAATCTGAATGGCATCTGCTTGTTGTTCTTAATTTAATGGCGGTAGAGCACAGTGATCACCAGCACGGACTTTGAAGCCAGGGTGCCTGCTTGGGTTTGAATCCAGCTCTGCTACTTTTGAGCTGTGTGGTCTTGGGCAAGTTATTTAACCTTTCTGTGCTTCAGTTTTCCCATCTGTTAAATGGGTATAATAATAGTGCTTACTTCATAGGATGGTGTAGAGGATTAAATGAGTTCATATATGTACAAATGGCTCAGATCAGTGCCATTCAGACATGTGGTAAACACATACAGGTGCTATTGTCACTGTTTTTATGAATACAGAGAGAGAGAGAGAGAGAGAGAGAGAGAGTGAGAATTTGTTGGACCATTATTACAGGCATTGTATTTGTGGTCTTTCCTTTTTTTTTTGAGACGGAGTCTTGCTCTGTCACCCAGACTAGAGTGCAGGGGCACGATCACGGCTCACTGCAGCCTCAACCTCCTAGGCTCAAGTGATCCTTTCAACTCAGCCTCCCGAGTAGCCAGGAATACATGTGTATGCCACCATGCCTGGCTGATTTTTTTTACTTTTTGTAGAGATGGGGTCTTGCCATGTTGCCCAGGCTAGTCTCAAACTCCTGGGCTCAAGCGATTCTCACACTTTGGCCTCCCAAAGTGCTGGGATTACAGGTGTGAGCCACTGTGCCTGGCCTGTACTGTTTTATAAAATGCTCACGGTAGCCTATGAGGTAGGTAATATTTTCCTCCCCAATTTATAAGATAAAAAAATTAATCTTGGCCAGATCATACAGGATTCACATGTGGGCAGGGACTCCAGAGTCCCCCATACTTCTACTACTATGTTATGTGGCTGCAACTGAAATGCCCTCTACTGTTCCCACGGTACTCCCTCTACGAGGAGAGAGAGAGGCTCAGCAATAAATTAACTGCAGATACTCTTCAGATTTTATTTCTTATGGGAGTGGGGTATAAAGTAGTCGACTGTTAAATTCAACAGTATGCCTCGAAATACATTTACCATTAATGGTATATGTACCATTAAAGCCAAGAATATAAGATATTGACCACAGGATATTAAAGTGCATCTGCACCAGATCAAAGGTGCGGGAAGGGCGAGTGGCATGGGATCATGTGGGGTGCTTTCCACTTACCTCCCAGCCCACGATAGACACCTGCCAGCGAGCTATCTTGTCGATGCTCTCCAGCTTGCGCTTGCGCTCGTTGATCAGACAGGCCACATTCTTCATGGCCTCATATGCTGCCTTTATGTTGCTGTAATCACTGCAAGATGGGAGGTTAATTTTAATCACATAACATGCACCTTACAAATGAGGACTGGCAAAATAATCCACTGGGGCGCTTCTTCGTATACGAATGCTCTAGACAAAGTGACATTTACGTCATTAGCCACTGTTTCCCTTTTTCTTGTTCCCTTGTGAATAGACTACAGTCTGCCATAGATTAAGGGAGCTGACCCAGTGCAATTCAGAATTCTTTGGAATAAAAATGTTTTCACTCATTTCCCAGAAATTACAATGAATGACAGTAAATGCCACAAATAAGTAAGTTTTAGTCACGGTGACAATGGGTGACTTTCATTAATACAGAAAGAACAGTCTTTATTATGGCTCTGATTCTCATATAACCACTCTTGCTACATAAAGTACTTTAAAAATCACTAACCATTTTCAACAGTGACTATTTGCTCTGAGTCTTCATCTTTTATGCTGTTCGGGAAAGGACAGGAGAGGACAGGCACCTGAAGTGGTGAGTTACGGAAATGCCAGTATGGCATTCGCCTCACCAACAGATCTTCCTTTCTGGTGCTTTCCGTCCACCACAGTCACGTCAAGCTAAAATGTTCTCCCCAGGAGGGCCCCGCTCCCAAGCCCGCTAAAACTGTAGGCACCGGAAAAGCAGAAACTACAGTTTTAATCTACACACAGGCTAGCACAGAGCATGTCCAGTATCTGCAAGCTTCCCATTCAGGTTTTGCTCAGCGTTAATAATGCGGGGCCATGGAGACCAACCATCCAGCTAATGAGCTATATTTTCCGCTTTCCCGTGGCAACTTACAGCACAGACAGGGCCACTCCATCACAGCTGGAATGAATTAGAATCCTCCTGCGCAGCCATGGGAAAGCCTTGAAAGCAGATTCTATTGTCTATTTACCAAACACAATTCATCCCAGCTCCTGTGAAGTCCCCAGACACTGCCCACCAAGCAGACCCTGCTGTCTTCAGAGACGCCCATTCACACCCAGAAGTGGCGCAGAGAGCAGGAGCAAGAATGACACCAGGGACTGCCAAAATAATGGGCACAGAGCCCCCAAAGAGGCCTCCAGCAATGAAGAAAGGGTCGCAAAATAAGTTTTTCTGGACAAAACTAAATTGTAATGGTTTTTTTAAAAGAATTTTTGCTTTGTTTTACTTAAGACAAGGAAATGGACTTTCTGTCATGTCAACTAATTTTTATTTTGAAAAAACCAAAATCTGCAAATGCTCTTGGTGAAAAATGCCCTTAAAGGAAGAAAATCAACTACTGAAGAGTGAGGTGTGGACTTCTGGACCCAGCTTTCCCATCTCGGAATGTACTAAGCTGCCTGCCCACGTCTTTCAAGAAGTCTTTGCTTCTTAATTTTCTTATTAATTGTCTTTGGCTCTGACTCCTCATCATGCCATCAGGACATTTTCTTAAAAGTGTCTTTGAAAATCTGTAGAAGGTATTTACAACTATAATTTTTTTTCTTCAATTTTGTGGCTCTCTTGACTTCCCTGTTTTTTTTTTTCCACTGAACTTTTCTGATTTCTCCATCAGAAAAAGAAAAAAATATATAGCTCTCTCTTCTTTTATCTATTTCAATGAACTCCTTTTTCTAATTCCTTTAGTCCTAACTCTTTAGCTAACACCCATATCTAGTGTCTATTGTTCAGTGATCTGCTCTTATTCTTTACTTTCCAATCTAATTGTAAGAAGGCTCTCCCCACACCCTCGCCTTTTTTTTTTTTTTTTTTTTTTTTTTTGAGACAAAGTCTCACTCTGTCACCCAGGCTGGAGTGCAATGGTGCGATCTCGGCTCATTGCAACCTCCGCCTCCTGGGTTCAAGCGATTTTCGTGCCTCAGCCTCCCAATTAGCTAGGATTACAGGTGCCCGCCACCATGCCCAGCTAATTTTTGCATTTTAGTAGAGATGGGATTTCACCATTTGGCCAGGCTGGTCTCAAACTCCTGACCTCATGTGATCCACCCGTTTCGGCCTCCCAAAATGGTGGGATTACAGACGTGAGCCATGGCGCCCGGCCAGAAGTTTCCTTTTTTAAGTCTGTCTCTCCACAGGAGTTCAGAGGCAGAGAGGACAAAATAATGATTCACTCTCCACTCCCTGCAGGAAGATATTTAGCTGCTGAAACCCAGAACTGTTGTGGTTTGCCATAGAAATTTCCTCCTGGTACAATCCCTTCCCTCTTCCTCTTCTCATTAGGACCCTTTGAGATGACCCTCTCCAGAGCTGCAGGTGCAGTTAAAGACTTTGTGTCAGGGGCATGGACCCTGTTTCGATTCTCATCTAAAAGAGTCAGCTTTAGCCTAGACCCCTGCGCCCCTGGGTAGCCTGGCTTGGAGCCTGGCACATAGCAGTTGCCCTATGACTATCCTGTCCCTGCTGGCCAGGTGAGAACTCAGAATTAGCCAAGCACTGCTACCTTGAGGTACCCAACAGCTGGGCTGTGCTGTGATGACATTTTCCCATGGCATGGAAAATGGGCATGCACATTCCAATGCTGAATGGGTGACATGCCTAATGTATAACCACACAAAGGCTTCTGTGCATGCACGAAATGATGGTTGGCTATTAAGGAAACAAAGGGTAACTTTTGGCTCCCCCAGAAGAGATCATATAGCTAGGGAACAAGGGCGTGAGAAGAATCCAGAAACAACCAAGGCAGATAATAAAGACAGAGAGAGGCCGGGCGCGGTGGCTCACGCCTGTAATCCCAGCACTTTGGGAGGCCGAGGCGGGTGGATCATGAGGTCAGGAGATCGAGACCATCCTGGCTAACAAGGTGAAACCCCGTCTCTACTAAAAATACAAAAAATTAGCCGGGCGCGGTGGCGGGCGCCTGTAGTCCCAGCTACTCGGGAGGCTGAGGCAGGAGAATGGCGTGAACCCGGGAAGCGGAGCTTGCAGTGAGCCGAGATTGCGCCACTGCAGTCCGCAGTCCGGCCTGGGCGACAGAACGAGACTCCGTCTCAAAAAAAAAAATAAAAAAATAAAAAAATAAAGACAGAGAGAGAGTGTATTTTGTTGCTTGTTGTTCAGGAGAAGCCGAGATCCAAACAACAGAAGTGTGAGTAACAAGAAGAGCTTAGTCAGGCACCAAGGAAGCTCGAAGGGAGATGCAGCATTCAGGTAAGCATGGAAGGAAGCCCTGTGCTCCCAGCAGGAGGGAACAGGGAGAAGACCAGAGAGTCGGCACCCCGGTGGGTAGGGAACGGCTCAGGGCCCAGCAGGTGCCCAATGCCCTGGTCTTCTCAGCTGCCCCATATGGGTTTGCACCCCTGACAATCCACACCCTTTTACAGTTCAAGCTTGTGTGTGCCCTCACCCCTTCTAAATAGAGAAGGGGTTGCTAAATAGAGACTGCTTAACAACAAGTAACTTTAGGTAAGCCACTAGTAAGTAATGTTTCTGCCATAAAGAATCCTGCTCTGAGCCGAGCTGCTGTACGTCAACCTCAAGGGTACAGGAGAGAACCAGAGTTATGGCTTTCCATTCACACTGGTCTGTTTCCCTCAGAAACCGTCTTTACTAACTACTGAGTACTCAAAGACATGTTTATAAAATACAGGTAAGCAACATAACAATACAACAAAAGCCGCCATGCACTCGTGGCACAGCTCACGAATGGCCCTTGTGTCTTCATAGCTCTAGGACTGGATATCCTGGAGGCTCTTCAACCACTCTATTTCAATAGTTAATTGCACACATTCTAAACAACCTGAAAACTTCTCCCATGGAGCTCCCAAAGTGTTAAGGCTGACACTGAAGCCCACCTATCACTGCCTGGAGTTAAGAGCTGCCTACGGGTAATGGCAGCAGTGCTCTCACCTGTGCCCCTTACCCATGCCCCTCACCCGTGTTCCTGTGTGGTATACTTGAGCAGCTCGGCCAGCTGCAGCGGGTATTTGCAGATCTTCTGCACTGGTGTGAGCAGGAACCCGTCGATGGCGATGTCAATCATCTGCTGCAGCAGGCGGCAGGCTTCAAAGAAATGTCTGTACTTGCCCTGCTTCATGAGGTTGGCGAGCTCCAGGCAGGCGCCCGGGTGGTTGTTGCAGTACTCGGAATAGATGGCAAAGCCCTCTTGCTGGGAAGGAAAAGTACAGCTTCGTCAGCTTCTGGGGTGCCTCTGGGACATGACAAAGACAGGCATCATCCCAGCCCTCTCTAAGGGACACTCCTAGAAAGGAGGAAGATGGACTACTGCAAGAAGGACAGGGCATGAAATCCGCTGGCACCCAAGCTGCCCTGCCATGGTTTCCGCAAGCGTTATCTGGCCGGCGAGAAGGGGTGCTTCAGCAGGCTCCTGAGGGGGTTGGGGATGAGGCTGCCCTGGAACTCAGCACCCTGGTCTCTTTCTAGCCTGCCTCACGCTCATCCTGGAAGGTGGGGAGCAGGGCCTCTAACGTCCCCCTCCCACAAATTTTTTCAACTCGCTGAAAACCATGTATGCAGTTTTAATCGTTGCTTATTCTTTGTGGTTTACAACTAGTCTTGTCAGGTTTTCCTCAAAAATGCCCATTTCAACATACCTCTCTTCCCAATTCTCTGCCGTCACCCTGGCTGGGCCCGCCAAGACCCCTTCCCTGGTGGCAGCAGTACTCCCCTGTCCTCACTGTGAGACTTACCTTCCTCATGCCACCACCTGGCCTCCAGCCTGTCCTAAGCTGGCTCCTGCAGGAACCTTCTGCACAGGCCACACAAGGAGGCCTGTGACAATGTCCCAGATATGCCCACGTCACACATGGGGCCCAGCCTCCAGCTGACTAACTTAACACAAAAACATTATGCCCAGCCACTTAAAATCTATCTGCCCCAGAGGACTCTAGACAGCTACTGAGCCCAGCACCCAGGAAGTGAAGGTGTGGTGAGGCTGTCATTGTTATTATTATTACTCTTACTGTTCCCTAGCTATTTGGGCTGGGACTAAAATCTTCCTCTGAAATCCTTTAGCGGTTAAGTAGTAATAGTCAATCATAAGTTAAAAAATGATAAATGCATGTTATCACAGGAAGGTTCTGAGGCAGTTACAGTATCACAACCATGCGTCCTGGAGCCGCATGCCCGGGTCTGCCTTCACAGATGCCTCTTACTGGTATGTGGTCTTGGGTTACTTACTCTCTGGGCCTTAGTTTCCTCATCTAGAAAGTGAGAGATAATCATATCTACCTCATAGCAATACACAAGCTAATATAAGAAAACCCTGGAAACAGTGCCTGAAATGTAATAGACACTTCCTGGATATTATTAGGAAGGACTCCATAGTTCTTATGGCATAACCCTTAGAAATTTTTAAAAAGTAATTACTCCAAATGTAACCCCCTAATTCCAGACTACATAAAAGGATTTTGAAAAAATGAATTTGGGACATTTAGACAAGATTAACTATACAGATTTTGTTTATATGATAAGCATATAAGATAGAAGAAACATCTCCTTTCTATGGAAGATTCATCTAGCAAACAAACAATAAAACAAAAGAGACTCCTGTTTTCTGTGGAGATGCACTTCAAAATTATGTAAGCAGATGTTATTAATAATGAAGTAAAGGGTGACGCACATTTTGAAGAAAGCAAGATCCTATTTCACTTAAGTGAGGTTCCTCTTTGTTGTACTGTTTCTCAAGGTCTTTCAGAAACTTTCTTTGGAATTTGTAAATATCTTCAATGTTTCCAAAAATAGTGGCTAGCTGCGCAACGGTGAACATTCCTGTGTGCTTGCGGCACTGTCGGATATAGCCCTGCAAAATACAGAAGTAATACTTTTTATTTGGAAATCCAAATAAATTATTTGAATAGTACAGCTTTTGTAGGCCTAAAGCCATGAACTTGGAATGAATTTTAATTAAAAAGACTCTATGAGTCTCTGATGAGGTCATCGTACTTCCATGACTGCAATTTGCCATAGGTGTTTTAAAATAAAAAGAAAGCAAAAAGGCTCATGCGGTTGGATTTAGGATCCAATAAACCATATAATGTTTCCAGAAACAAGTTTCAAATACCAGAGCTCAAAAATTGGTGTCGTCACGTGTTTTTCCAAACTCTTCAGGTAATCATTCTCCCAACCCTAATTCCATTTCACAGCCCAGGAGACTTGTCAAATGCAGAATGTCACTGCTTGCTGAATAGCCCATGCAGCTCTGTGCACTGTTCATCAGGGCAAGGATTCCTCTTACCCAAGGATTCCACCAGCACCGCCTTTCTATGGACAGCATCAATCTGTGGGTCTTTAATCTGAGGCTTGCACTAATTATCTATGTGCAACACCATGGCTATACTATGGCTTAGGTAGGAGCTAGTGGGATAAGAAGAAAAGGCTGTACATACATGTAACAGCTAACTCAAAAAGAGTTATCATGACATTCAGTAGAATAAACTGACCATGGAGTAAAACACATACCAATGACTACTTGGTATGAATTTTAACAGGAAAACAATATAATGTAATAGTTCAGAAAAGGATAGGTTCTGGGGCAGACTGCCTGGGTTTAAATCCAATCCCACCACTTAACTTCTCTGTGCCTTTGTTTCCCCATCTGCAATGGGGGCTAACAGGACCTGCTCAGGGGGAATGCTGTGGTAGCTGAGTTAATCCAGGTGAGGGGTGACAAACAGTCAATGCTCAATAATCATGGGCACTTCCTCTTATTTCCCTAAATGGCACTGCAGACCTGCTTCTTTCGCCACACACTCATACAGAACGAGATGGCTGGCACAAAGAAGCTAAACACTGGCATGTCCACACAGCTGGCTAATCCGATTAGAGAACGGGCAGTTCTCTGACTTCAACCTGTCTTCAGCACTGAATGGTCAGCGTTGAACTGATAGTGCAGATATCAGCATTTACAGCTAGGAGAGCCGTAATGAGCAGACAGGGCGAACAGCAGTGTAGTGTGATGCTCGTACACAATCCATAGAAGCACAAAATACCACAGGAAGACAAAACCTTTCAGGTGCACCTCTACTAATGACAAGTTCTCTGAAATCAGGATAAAACTATAAAATAAAATTTGTTGCCAAGTAGAATAGCATGACAATAGAATATAGCCTTTCATATGACCAATATAAAACCAGCATTTTTTCCCATCTGTGTCTAAATGACTCAGGATCTCATCTGTCAGTTGGTGATTAGATGCAGCGGGGTTGCAGATAGTGACAAACCTTTGACTCTTTGTAAAATCAAGTGAGGGTGTTGCCTTCTATGAAAGCCATTCTTTTCAAATAATCTCAGGAATTAGGTCCTGATAGAGATAGTTGCAGAGTGCACTTAAGAGAGGGGCCGGGCACACTGGCTCACGCCTCTAATCCCAGCACTTTGAGAAATCAAGGCAGGAAAAGTGCTTCAGTCCATGAGTTCGTGACCAGCCTCGGCAACGCAGTGAGACCCTATCTCTATATAAAATTTAGAAAATTAGCTGGGTGTGGTGATGCATGCCTGTAGCCCTAGCTACTCGGGGGGCTGAGGAGGGAGGACTGCTTAAAGCCCAGGAGTTTGAGGCTGCAGTGAGCTATGACCACGCCACTGTACTCCAGTCTGCATGACAGAGCAAGACCCTATCTCTAAGAAAAGCCTTGTCTCTGAAAAGAGACCCTGACTCTAAAAAACCTCCACCAACAGCTAGGACAGCCGCAGCACTCAGACTTAGCAGTGCAGACAGCAGAGGCGGAGAAATGAGCATACATGTGGGAGCCTGATGGGGGGGCGGGGGGTGGAGGTGGGGAGAAAGCCCAGGCACCTCATGCAGCCTCATACTGTGACCCTCAGTGAGGTCCCAGCCTGGCGTCCCACCTCACAGATGTCCCTGAGGTGTTTGATGTACACCCGCTCGGTGTCCATGATCTCCCGGATGACGTTGGTCCGCATCTGCTGCTTGTTCTCACAGTGTCTGTGGCGGCTCTGGCTGGCCTCCTCGTCCTGCTCCTCACTGGGGGTGCTGCTGGAGTTTTCCGACAGCTCTTCCTGATTCACTCGCAACTGCAACCCACATACAGGGGACAGGTGACTTGGGGCAGGGGAGGGCAGCATGGAGCAGAGGCAGGAGACCTCCCAGGTTCCTACTTTCCTGTGACCTGTTAGGAAGGCAGCCTGGCCCTCGCCTGAGTCTCATGGCCTCAGCAGGGCTGCGGCTATGCCAGCAGGCACGAGGACCACAGAGAAACACCGAGCAACTCGCTTGCCTGCCTTTAACATTTTTGCTCCGACCCAGCCTAATTTCTTACAGGTGTGACTTGCATGTCAGATATCAATTACAAAAGAGCTGACCTGATAAAAGGCGAGTTCTGACCTGAAAGGATCCTGCAGCTCCCCCAGGTACTTTGGAAAAGCTGCAAGCACCCCACACTTACTCTGACGAAGCTCGCGGGGAACCAGGCTTCCTTATCTTCACTGCGGCCCCACCACCAGTCCTTGTTGGAGGCTTCCAGAACCTGGATGACATCCCCGGCTTTGAAGCCCAGTTCCTGGTCATCCATGGTCACATGGTCCCACAGGGCTTCTGCGCAGACCACGTTGCCATCACTGATCAGCTGAAAGGAGACAGTGGGGTGCGCTCAGCATAGAGCACGAGTGGGCGGGATGGTGAGGGAGCCACTAGGTGCACTCTCTCAGGGTGACACTGGTATCCTCTCACTTGGATATGCTGGTGGCATTTGGTCCACACTGACTATGTGACTGGTTACACAAAGAGAACCCAGGAGAACAGACTAAGAAAAAACAAAGTCAGGAGGACATCTCTACCTGCTTTTAAAGAAAGCGCTTAAACTGGGCGTGGTGACTCACACCTGTAATCCCAGCACTTTGGGAGGCCAAGGCGGGTGGATCACCTGAGGTCAAGAATTCAAGACCAGCCCAACCAAGATGGTGAAACCCCATCTCTACTAAAAATACAAAAATTAGCCAGGCGTGGTGGTGGGCTCCTGTAATCCCAGCTACTCGGGAGGCTGAGGCTGGAGAATCACTTGAACTCAGGTGGTGGAGGTTGCAGTGAGCGGAGATCGTGCCATTGCACTCCAGTCTGGGAACAAGAGCAAAACTCTGTCTCAAAAAAAAAAAAAAAAAAGCCAGATGTGGTGGCACATGTCTGTAATCCCAGCTACTTGGGAGGCTGAGGCAGGAGAATTGCTTGAACCTGGAAGGCGGAGGTGCAGTGAGCCGAGATTACATCACTGCACTCCAGCCTGGGCAACAAGAGCAAAATGCAAGAAAAAAGGGAGGGAGGGAGGGAGGAAGGCAGGCAGGCAGGCAGGCCCCTTTTTAAAAAAGTACTAGCTGCTCACTTAGCAGCAGGTCAGTTATCTAGCAAACTTGAATTCTGAAATATTTGCTCCAAAAATGGTTTCTGGCAGCCGTACTAGATGTCACAGAGCCAAGCCTACTAAAGTTATGCACATATGCTATTGGAAGTCCCTCACATCTCCCTCCAGTGTGGATCATTCATACTTTATTCACAATTCGAGTAAGTTTTGCATCTAACTTTACACTTTACAGCAATTGAAGAGAACATAGCATGATCTTGAGATCGTTAACAATTAAAAAGTCAGGAACAGATGTGGCTCCTCCATCCCCTGGCCACGGGAGCAGGTGATTTTGCCCATCTCCTTAGCGCCCAACGATACACATCACTGGCCATCTCAGTAAAGACGCTGACTCACTAAGGAGTTATGCTCCACACGTTCTGCTCAAGAATGCCAAAAGCTGGAGGTATCTTCCAGAATGATTTCCTAAAAAAAAAGCTAAAGCTGCAGGGTGGCCAAAGGAACACCAGATTTGGAGGGAGAAATACATGGGTGCCTCCAGCTCTGCCATTCGCCAGCCAGTAATTAGACATCTTTCCTTAGAGCGTTGATGAAAATGTGGATAATAACCATAATGTCCGCTTCTTAGATCAGTTGTGAGAATTACATGAGATAGTGGAGGGGAGGGTATTCTTTATCAAGTGGAAAGCACTGGCCGAACACTGATGGGGAGCTGCTGTTCCTTACCTAAAAAGACGAGCTGCCTCTACCCAGAAAGCTTAATCCCATATATTTTCCTGGACGAGGTCAGAGAATCACAGTGTTGTTCTTTCTTTATTTTTGAGATGGAGTCTCGCTCTGTCGCCCAGGCTGGAGTGCAGTGGTGTGCTCTCAGCTCACTGCAACCTCCGCCTCCCAGCTTCAAGCAATTCTCCCTGCCTCAGCCTCCCAAGTAGCTGGGTTTACAGGTGCGCACCATCATGCCTACCTAATTTTTTTGTATTTTTAGTAGAGACAGGGTTTCACTATGTTGGCCAGGCGGGTCTTAAACTCTTGACCACTAATGATCCACCTGCCTTGGCCTTCCAAAGTGAATCACAGTGTTGTTTTAATCAGAGTTCCAGGTTTTCGGACATGCTTAGTAAAGAAGAACTAGGGAACAAAGTCAGAAGTGGTTGTGGACCCTGAAAATCAGGTATCCCGTATCCACTACTGTCGTGTGGAATTCCAGTACCTCATTGATGGCCAGCTGCTCCCCGCCGGGCTGCAGGTACCGAGGGCTGGCCTGGCAGAGGTCTTCATAGCTGAAGTCCTCCTCACTACCGTTGTCATCCACTAAGGCAGAGGGCTCAGTACCTCCATCTGAAGAAACTAAAACATACAAAACAAAGGCATGATTTAAAAGACACAGCTAACAAGATTTTTTCATATGATGAAAAAATTTGGTAACATACTCCCAAGGGAAGGTAATCATCTGCATCTTACTCAGAATAAGAAACTATTAGAAAATGTCTACATTACTCCAAAGTTAAGAGCTGCAGTTAAGTGTGACATTAAGTGAGAGGTGGAATGTTAAAGAGTGTATTGCCAACACAATACCATTTGCAGAGTGAAGACCATCAGGATATTATGTGTAATTTAGTTGGAAGTCTGTGCTCCAAACTGGATATTAACAACATAAATATAGATAACAATGCTGCCAAGCAATGTGCTGGAAAGCTGAGGAGGTAAAAAAGATGAAAAAGATGATCCAATATTCTGCTTCCATCCTTTATCTGCAAGGCAACAGTATTACTAAAACCAGTACATCCCAACAGTGTCTTGAGTAGAAAAGTGCCATCATTCTTACTCTCTGTACATATTTGAAAGGCTTGGAACTCAAAATATGAGAATGAGGAATTATATAGTACTTTTACCAGAAAAGAGAGAGAAAGATCTTTTAAGGATGGTGCAGCTTTTTAGATTGGCCACCCTGCTAGTCAGATTTTCTTTCTTGGGAAAATGAGCCACCCTTGGCAAAGCCAACAATCTGTCACTGAGCAGTCTCTTCTTTCAGACTCATGGCCTCAGTCCTCCTGTGCAAGTTCAGGGATGTCTCCATCACTGTTTCTCTACTTGATCTTAGCCAAAAGTCCAAGAAGCAATCTATCAGTATTTTTTCCAACGGAATGACTGTCAGGTGCTGGGGACAGAAAGCTATACAACAGATGACCCTTGTCTTTAAGGGGATGCAATAAAACCCGAATTCTGATGACTGCAGCCAGGAAGTGGAAATATAATAGGGAGAGTCTGAAGCAAGTGGCAGGATTTTAAAGAGGAAGGGATCCTCCCCAGTCAGGGAAAGGCTTCCTGGAAGAGGAGCAGGCGACTCAGAACAGTGCGATGGCCCGATTGCAAATCACAGGTGGCTTGATTCGAAGCACATGCTCCACAGACTCCCTGCACATCTCATGAAAGACAAGACTGCAAAGATCGGGGGCACACAGAAGGGTCTCACAGGCTAGAGTTCATCCTGGGCTGCTGTTCCAGGGTTTGGAGAAAGGAAGCCACAGGACCTAAGTAGAGTCCCCTCATATGACAGAAAGAGAAGAGGTTTTAGGGTCACAGAGTCTCGTCTGAATTCTGGTCCTGCCCTTCTGTGGGCATGGGACCTAAATCAAGTGACTGCATTTCTCTGAGCTTCATGTCCTTCTTTTTGAAGAATCAGGCCACAGAATGCAGGTGAAACTTTTAGCATCCTTGACAAGTAGCTGGAACTCCACAGAGAGTGCTACTGTGGTGATGGTGTCCCGCACGATGAGGGCTGGGCTAATGACAGACTTTGCTACGACGTGGAGGAAGAGCTGTTGGGGCAGAGCCTGGGGCCAGGGAAGCCAGCTGGGGAGAACACAGGTTAGTGGGAGTGGGCAGCAACAAGAGCTGCCCGAGGAAATGGCATCAGGAACTGAGATCCATGTTGGGAGGCCAAGCTCATGCCTGCAGCAACAGAGATACAGTCAAGGATGTTTTGGAAAAATTCCAAGTTCCCTGGAGATTTAACAAAAAGCAGAAGCCTGAGGGAGAAGCTGGTGTGCCAGCAAGGACAGAGGGCTGGCTGAAGGTCGCCCTGGGATGGTGCTCCATGGGCTTGCTTTCCTCAAGGACTTGGCAAATCCACGTTTCTAGTTACTTGACTAGAAAAGGATGGGTCTGGTTTCTGACTGAAGAGTTCTTTCTTGGGGAGATGTTTTATATTCGGATCAATCTAACCTGCATTTTCTATGCACAGTTCATCTTACCTGCACTGGCCATGTGCCAGGTGCTCGGCAGACACACGTCCAGCCCCAGACTCCCACCCCCCACCATCATGCTTAGCCTCCTGCTCCCCTTATGCCTCTCCTCCCTTCCCTCCCCTCATCACTTCAGCCACACTGCTGTCACAAGCAACCAATTCTGTAAATAGAGCCCAGGAGTCTGGCACTAGAACAATGATAAACATGGAAAAAGATCCACAATAATGGGGGTAATCAACACTGCAGAAGTAGTATTTCATGCACCAGCATTTTAGGTCTTCCTTGCCAAGCACAGACAGGGCTGTCATGATGAGGAGGAGTTCAAGCTCATGCACTGGTGATGCACGGAGCTCTTGAAGCAGGACGGAGGGAAAGCAGGAAGGTGTGCACGTGCTGCCAGCGGCGCCTCTCCCAGCCCGGCCCCAGCCCCTCTCTCAGACTGTGCTCAGGCCACCTCCCACCTGGCAGCCCCAGTCCTGTAAGCCTGAGCTCTGGACACAGCACCTGTGAGTGGTGCCCACTGAGCTGGGTCTGCTCATGGGCTCTGGCTTTCCAGTTGCTTCCCCCTCTGCCTGGGGTGCCCCTCTCAGAGAAACCCCGACATCCCAGCCACCATCACCTCCTTTCCAGAACCCTTCTGTGATTCCAGGAGAACCAGCTGCTTACGTCCATGACAGCACACGCCACATTGAGGCATGGCCCATGGGTCCGCACCTGTGCCCCAGCCGTGAAACCACCCAGACAGGTGCGCCGGACACCGCGACAGCCAGGGAACCTTGGAGCAGCTGACAATGGAAGCCAGGGGAGAGCTCTCAGTGTGGACAAAGTCAGGGTTCCAGGCTCTGAGTGCATGGTGCCAGTCACCCTCTACCCACCTCCACTCCCCTGCCTGGGCCCATCCCCAGTTTTGGTCAGGAAAGGTCAGGGCCTGTGTCTGTGAGGAAAAAGTGAAAGTGAGCTGTCTAAGAGACCAAGAGACGGGGTTGGAGGGGGAGGAGTAAATTCCCGGGCCTAAGCACAAAGCCAAGAGGCAGAAGAAAGCGCTCCACAGCCTTGGTCTTGCCTTCTGGGCCCTAGCTTTCTTACCTGCTCATTAAAGGAGAGGGGACGGTTGCCAGGGGCATGGCAGGGCCTGGCGCCTCAGGAGAAGGGAGTGCACCCTGGGAGCACGGGTGGGTGGGCAGCAGGGAGCCAGCTATGCATGTGTGTACCCATGTCTGTCTGGCTGGGGGTGTGGCTGGAGGCCTTGAGAAAGCCAGACATGTGCTGTCTGAGAAACACGGGAGCCTGAACAACGCATGGTGACTGTTTCGTTTTAAATGTAACTTCTGCTTCCTATGCTAGGCCAGGGTGCGTACAGTCGGAGAGCAGGAGGTCACCTAGTCTAGTATGCTTTGCTGGTGTGTGAGTTTGGGGGTGGGTTGGGGGATGTCTTGAGGAAGCACATCATTTTTTTCATGCATGAGTGTGTTTTAGACTCCAAGGGAAACAACACTGAAGACAAAGGCCTTCTCTAACCCTGGAGCGGCTGCCCAGACCACGAGGCCCAAGAACTGTGCTGCTTACTGGCCGAGATATCCTGATGCTCCTGGGTGAGGAGCATATACACAAAGTCTGGGTGTCTAATGCCTAAAGCAGCAGGAATCTTCCAATTTTAGCAACCACTGATCTGGCACTGTCTGGTACCAATAGCATTTTTCCTTATCAATTTAAACCGTGGTTGAGCCAAAAAAAAAAAAAAAGTGCATCTCAGTAAAATAAAGGCATTGGGGCTTCCCACCCACAGCACAGCTCTGAAAAATGACGCTTTCTCCTCGAAGAACTGAACAGTGTTTTCCAAGGGAGAATTCTTTACCATGATCTAGCTATTGCTGTGAAAATCAGTAAAGAAAGAAAAAAAGCTGGTTGTAATCATGTATAAATTCACAATTAACAGGAGTCTATTGAAAAGTTAGACCTTTACAGGAGGTACCAGGAGAAAAACCTCTGGACAGAGACACGGACTGGAAATACTGACTGCTCTCTGAGTTCTTCATAAACACTTAGCAAAACAGCTCTACCCGGGGTCGTGGTACGCACCTGTAGTCCCAGCTACTTGGGAGGCTGAGGTGGGAGGATGGCTTGAGCCTAGGATTTCCAGTCTGCAATGAGCTCTGATTGTACCACCAGACTCCAGCCTGGGCAACAGAGCAAGACTTTGCCTCAAAAGAAAAAAGTAAAGAAAAAAGACAACTCTGGCTGAGGTTAATCACAAGAGAGGTTTCAACAGCAACTGTTTCAACATCATGGATTAGTAGTTAGCGACACTGCGGAAGCAAGATGGCTTGAAGCGCTCATGGGTGGGCTGACTCAGTCCTGGCCAGGAGATGGGGGGCAGAGGCCAGGGGCAAGAGACTTGAAACATGGACGAGGGAAAGTCATGGAGCCTGGAGTGAAAATTCCTGGGTGAATGTCCTTGCTTCACTAACTTCCTAACTAAATGACCTTGGTGCAAGTCACTTCAGCTCTTTGAGCTTCAGTTTTCCCATCTGTAAAGCAGGCATTAGCCTGTATGTTTTATCTATTCAGAGGTTATTCTTCCACCTCTCACATCCCACGACCCACTCACTGGCAGATCTGATTCAAGTTCCTGAAAGTGTCCAGGATCTGGCTACCTCTTACCCCTCTGCCACCACTCAAGCCTGGGTCCCCTCCCACCACTTAAGCCTGGGTTCCCATCCAGCTTCGGGCTCCCTCCAGCAGCCCCTCCTGGTCTCCCTGCTGCCACCCCTGCCCCCGGCAGGCCATAGCTGCCAGAGCGATGCTGCCAAACCATTCCTAGACTGGATTGTGTCACTCCTCTGCTCAGAATCATCCACAGGGGAGACAGCCAAAGTTCTTGAGACCTCTCCCCAGATACACTGTGCCTCCCACCCCTCTCCAACCAATGGGCTCTTGGCTGCAAAGACCGCAGGCACTCCTTGCCCAGGGCCGCTGCTCCGTGTGCCTGACAGCCCTCCCCAGGTACACACACACTGGCTCCCTCTCTCACCTTCACCATACCACTCAAAACCACAACCCTCACTCTCACTCCACTGTCTCCCCTGGTTTAGTTTTCTCCATAGCATTTGTCACCGTCTATAATGTATTCTGTTCACTATCCAGAATGTAAGCTCCAGAAAGGCAGTAATTCTTGTCTGCTTTATTCTTAACTGTGTTCCTGCCTGGCATACATGGGAGGCAGGGAAGGAAGGAAGGAAGGGAGGGAGGGAGGGAGGGAGGGAAGGAGGGAAGGAAGGAAGGAGGGAAGGAAGGAAGGAAGGAAAGAGGGAAGGAAGGAAGGAAGGAAGGAAGGAAGGAAGGAAGGAAGGAAGGAAGGAAAGAAAAACAGCATGTGGACTTCATGCAAGGCTTTGGGGTCAGATGAACTTGCCTTCAAATGATAGCGATGCACATTTTTTTTCTTTTCTATATTTTTCTTTTTTGAGTATGAGTCCTTGGTCAAGTTTCTTTCTTTGTTTTTTCACCTGTTGAATGTGGATGATAAAACCCATCTCTCAGGGTTGTTTATACATTCTGAACAAGTACTTGTTATTGGTGTGCTTTGAGCCTCAAGTGGAATGATGATACATGAAAGCACCCTGTAAATTGAAAAACAGTATAGAATTGCAAGATGTGGCTGGGCGTGGTAGCTCATGCTTGTAATCCCAGCACTTTGGAAGACTGAGGCAGGAGGATCCCTTGAGCCCAGGAGTTTGGGACCAAGCTGGGCAACATAATAAGACCCATCTCTATAAATTAAAAAAAAATTAAAAATAGAATTGCAAGATGTTATTTTATCAGGTGCCTATAATGTGCTAGGCACTGATTTAAGCTGTGGAGATGAACCGGCTCATATAATCCTCATGACAATGCTACATGGGAGGTACTGTCAGTTGTCCCCACTTGCAGATGAGGAAACTCAAGTCCCAATAACACACAGCTGTGTGCAGCAGGCTCAGGCCATCTAACTCTTACCCACTGGGCAGAACTGTCTCCTCCAGCAGTAGCTGTTACTTGTAATAAGACAAAATGATATTAAAAACAGTGTTAGTATCCAAATCTGTGTGTTTTGCTCCCATTCTGGAGAGCAGCCGTATGTCCTGCCCTCCGTTCCCTCACTAACCCTTCCTTCCAACTACCAATCCCTGCTCCCAGTGGGGCCTGTCAAGGACCTGATTCCATTTTCTGGTTGTATCCTTTTCCCTTCACCACCCTAACTACTTTCACGATTTTAAAGTCCCTTAAAGTTAATGACTCCTGTGTTCCTGTCCCATAATTCAAGTGTGTTTTATGGAGTGGGATTTCTCAGTGTCTGATGTCTAGACAGGAAGAATCTTTGTGCTATGCTTTGATGCTTCGTCCAGGCCTGGTGGTTTTCTATGATTCCCCACGCTTACTGTCTAGGTCGCTTACCATCTTAAAGGACAGGACAGACTTAAAGGAAAGGACAGACGTTTGATTTTTGTCTTCCCAGCCCCTAGCATAGTACCTGGCATACAGAAGGCACTCAGTATGTGATTTCCAATTGAACTGCAAATTGCTGATGTGGAAACTGAGGTTCCAAGAAGTTGAGTCATTTATCAGGGCTATACAGGGGCTGGGTCCGAACCAGGATAGGAACCCAGGTCTCTCTGACTCCCACCCCTGTGCTCATCTGAGATTCTAGCTAGAAAAATCCCTCAGCCAGTCTTCATGACTCTGTTTCCCTCCCCAAGCCATCCTATATATTACTTCCAAGGTGAACTTCTTCTTTTTTTTTTTTTTTTTTTGAGACGGAGTCTTGCTCTGTTGCCCAGGCTGGAGTGCAATGGCGCGATCTCGGGTCACTGCAAGCTCCGCCTCCTAGGTTCACGCCATTCTCCTGCCTCAGCCTCCCGAGTAGCTGGGACTACAGGCGCCCGCCACCACACCCAGCTAATTTTTTGTATTTTTAGTAGAGACGTGGTTTCACCATGTTAGCCAGGATGGTCTCGATCTCCTGACCTTGTGATCCGCCCGCCTCGGCCTCCCAAAGTGCTAGGATTACAGGCGTAAGCCACCGCGCCCGGCCCAAGGTGAACTTCTTAAAACAGTGGTTTTATGATGTCACAAGAAATGACATGCGAGTTGTCTATTGCTTCATAACAAAATTCTTTTACGGTATATCTTCTCTGTAATCTGACTCCACTCTACTTGAACACTTTTTAAAGTGTCACATACTCTCAGTAGACATTGTTCAATTGAATTACGAATTGCTGATGGGGAAATAGCAATTTGCAGTTCAGCTGAAAAATCTTAGATGTAGTAGTCCACAGCGTGTCAATGCCAGCTCTGCTGGGCAGAGTTCCTCACAATGGCCAGACCCACAGGCCGGTGCTGCTGCCTTCTTCACCTCTACATGTTCCATTCCTCACTAACTTCAATAGGCTTTGAACCTCAACTACAGATGAAAGTTAATAATGATGACTTCTTATCTAAGGGAATTTTGACGCTGTAAAGCTATTATAAATTCTCAAAATGTATGTCACCAAAATCAGGAGAAATGAATGTATTATAATAATTAAAAAGTAAATTTTATTGTTTCTTTCTTCCTTTCTTTTACCATCTTAACCCTTTTTAAGCACACAGTTCCAGTTCAGCAGTGTCAAGTATATTCACACTCTTGTACGACAGAACTTTTTCATCTTGCAGAACGGCCACACATATTAAACACCAACTTCCTCTTCTTCCTCTCCTGTTCCTTGGCAACCACCTTTCCACTTTCTGTTTCTATGATGTTGACTACTTTAGATACTTCATATGAATGGGATCATACAGTATATGTCCTTTTATGGCTGGTTCATTTCACTAAGCATAATGTCCTTGACATCCATTCATGTGTACCAAGTGTTAGAACTTCCTTCTTTTTAAACACTATATAATATTCCATTGTTTGGTTAGCACTTCCATTGATTTTTAAAAAAGGAAAAAACCAAAAATATTCCATTGTGAGTATACACACCACATTCTGTTTACCTGTTTGTGGGTGAACATTTGGGCTCCTTTTACTACTTGGCTATTGTGAGTAATGTGCTACTATCTTTTTGAGACCCTGCTTACAACTCTTTAGCATACTTGATCAAATGGTAGTTCTAGTTTTAATTTTTGGAGGACTCTCCATACTGTTTTCCACATGGCTGCATCATTTCACATTCCCACCAACAGTGCGCAACAGTTCCAATTTCTCCACATTCTCACCAACCGTAGTTTCTTTTGTTGAAAAAATTGGTGTGGAAAAAACATTTTTTGGGGGAGGGGTGAGGGACAAGGTCTTGCTCTGTCGCCCAGGCTGGAGTGCTGTGGCGCGATCTCAGCTCACTGCAGCCTTTGCCTCCAGGGTTCCAGAGATTCTCCTGCCTAAGACTACCGAGTAGCTGAGATTACAGGTGCGTGCCATCACATCCAGCTAATTTTTGTATTTTTAGTAGAGATGGGGTTTCGCCATGTTGGCCAGGCTGGTCTCAAACTCCTGACCTCAGGTGATCCACCTGCCTTGGCTTCCCAAAGTGCTGGGATTACAGGCGTGAGCCACTGCACCTTGCCCAAAAAGCCATTTTTGGAAACGATCTTGTAAACAAGAAGCAAAGACTGCTCCAAATTGAAATCAGTTTTAAAACCCCAAATGCCTACATACAATCAATATGAGAGCAGACAGAGCAGGCTCTTTCTACAACACTTCCCGCAGCTTCAGTCAGGTAGAAGGAGCACACCCTTGGTCATCAAAACTGCGTGCTGACCATCAGCGCCTCTCTGACTGGGGACAATTCCAAGAGAACACATCTGTTCCACAGAGTACTATCAATTCCAAAAATGTAATAAAGTGAATTTATAATGCTCTTGTTCAATAACCATGGTTAACCATCACTCCTAGAAACACTGCCCTCTGGGGGCCCCTGATTCCTGGGGCTGCATTGGTCCTTCCCCAGTCCATCCCTTACACAAATGTCTCATTTTCCTCCCCCTCTCTGCTTTCCTCCTGGCTGCAGCTGTCAGTGAGTAGAATGCCCCAGTCCCCATTTTCAGCCCTGGCCACTTTTAGCTTTAGGAACTACTACAGAGAACAATGTGGTAGCCATAGAGGAGGTGTCATTTTTTTAAATTGGAAGGATTGTTACAAATACAGTTAGAGAAGACATCAGGAAAAAAAAAGCCCCTGACTGATAAGTGGGGGAGGGTAGTCCTGGTGAGGGTGTGATAACAGGGTGGAGGTTGAGGTGTTCTGTTAAATGAAAGGGAGGTGAGATCTAACACAGCCCTTAAACATCAGGCACTTGACAACAAGGAGACATAGATTTAGCTATTTTCATGAGGCACTCTCCAACACTGCCTAGCTAATGAGCAGCTGGTTCCCGACCAGCATCTCCCACCCAGCATCACTCCTTGGTGGGGAATTTCCCCTCCCTTGACTTCAGGGAAATTCCCCCACCCTTAAAATAATCTGCTAAAATCATGTATTTGAGAAAACCTCTTGCTGATGGCTCAGACTTCCTCAGAGTTGAGATAAGCCATTCTGACTTCCCATCTTAAAAACAGAAATGGCAAGCCCAGGCGGGCAGCTCGTGTTCACAGCTGGGAGCAGCTGTCACGGGCTGCTGCTCTGTGGGCTGAAACTATGGGTGAACCCCAAGAGCTCAGGCCACGGAGATGCACACAGAGGGAAAGAGCTGGGTCACAGGAACTGACAACGTCAAAACATGATGCACAATTTCCAGGGTCCATCCCCCTTCAGTGGTTCCCAAACACCCAGGGCCTGTGGCATCTAATCACATGGAAAATGTTTAGAAAAATAAAGATCCTCCCCTGCCCTGGGCCACTGAGTCAGGTTGGGTGGTGGTAGTGGGGAAGGATGTTGGCTGAGAATTTATTTTGAAAAGCTCCTCAAATGATTCTGACACCTGGAAAAATTTGGGAACCACTGGACCTTCAGGTTAAGCTTACTTAAACCACACCACATGCTCAGGTTGTTCTAGGACATATGCCTTTTGTTGCCTGTCCATGCAGCAAGCCACAAGTTGCAGGCAATGGATTCTGATTGCATTGGCTGGAAACCTCTGCGTTAGCCAATGTGTACCACTGAATGTTCCTTATTCCAACGAATAGGACAAAATCCTTCCATCCGTCCACGCTGACCTCTCCGCCTGGAGCAACTTTCCCACCCAAAACAGCCCATCAAATTCTGGCTCATCCCTCAAAAGTTTAACCATTGGCCGGGCGCAGTGGCTCATGCCTGTAATCTCAGCACTTTAGGAGGCTGAGGCAGGAGGATTGCTTGAGGCCAGGAGTTCAAGACCAGCCTGGGCAACATAGCAAGATCCCATCTCTATTTAAAAATAAACTTAAGGAAACAAAAACCAACCAAACAACAAACAAAAGTTGTAACCATCATTGCTTGGTGACGGTTCCATGACTTATTTTTCAGTTCCCTGATCCTCTGCCATAACAATATCTGCCTTTGATGTTCTATAAACATGTTAGACTAACCTCTTTTAAAATATGTATCGCATTTACATTATAGTTATTATTAAGTTTATATCTGTCCCTTTATATCCTGTCCCTACTCTTATCCTAGCTATGACTTTCTCAAGGACAAGGAACATGCTTAATAGTCAGTGTTGGGTGACTGAATTAAAGTATGAAATATGTTTCATGTTCCAGAATGTAAACTGTTAGTGTTGGAAAAGTCACTAGTATATCTAATCTAGACTTTCAAGCCATTCTTCACAAATAGTATTTTTCAATCTTTTAAACATGTGGACAACAATAAGATCAAAAGGAATCCTAGAAACTGACATATTAACTCTCACTAATAATCTGTTATTAATGTCTAAGGAGCTTTGAAGAATCATTCTCTTAATGTATAGCTTCACATCAGTATTCAACTTAGGGCCCTGCACCCTGGGCAGCCAACACCCCATTGGCTCCAGACCCCACAACCAAGCCAGCAGCTCCACTCCCTCCTGCTCTCAAAACTCAGCCTCTGTCCCGTCTCCAGTTCAGAGCTGGGGCGTCGTTGGCTCTGGGCTTCTTTGTATCTTGCGGTGAGCTCTTAGGTTTTACCTTTGACTTGTCCCACAGTGCCTGTCTTCTGTTCCTAGCCAGGAGCTGCTCGTCCTGGGGCTGCTGGCTCTGAGCACGGCTCCTCCCGTCCATCCTGGCTGACACCTGCCGATCCATCCTGGGCCCTCTCCTCTGCTCTGCCGCTCCCTGACAGCTCTCTGGGCTGGTGTCTCGTCAGCCCTCCCAGTTTCTGACGGCTGCCCAACTGGCTGGACAGACCTGAGCAATCACCCATCCGGCTTCCTGGCATCTTAATGTGCGCCAGGCACTGCGCTCAGCGCTGGAATAAATCCTCTTGAGAGCCTCACAAGCATCTTGGAGTGTTGCTGTCTGGTTATGAAGGAGGAAACCGTGGCTCAAAGATGTTAAGTAACTTTCCCCAAGTTGCGGGGCTGGATTCAAAGCCAGGTGTGTCTGCCAGCAAAGCGATCCTGCTATGAGCCTGTCTCAGGCTCGGCTTCAACTCACACTGACAGGAGAACAGGACAGGACAGCATAAGATGGCAGACAACCCATAAACCCGCCCTCCCTGACATGGCGTCCTCCTGGGAGCCACTAGGCAGTCCCTCAGGGTCTTTCAGAGCCCCACAACCCCTCCCCTGCCCCCTGCCCTCTCAGAGCTCTCAAAGGAAAGAAAACCCACCATAGGCAAGCTTTATTATTTGTTTTAAATATGGTGCTTGTTGTCATTTTATTACATGTATTCACTCAGTATAGCGCATATAGGAGTGGCAACAGTTTCCGCAGTGCACTGACCCAGGCCCCTCTCAGAGAGGCAGGTGAGGGACTGCTGTAGAGGGTCAAGGCCGCAGAGGGCAGATTCTGGCATGCTGTTTCTCCAGCAGCACCGAGGGAGCACCGCTCAGAGCTGGAGGCTGGGTCGGGCTTCCCTCGGCCTCCCCTGTGTGGAAGGCGGTGGAGGAATGCTGGAGGAGAGCCAGGGGCCACCTGCCCCCCACCCCTGCCCGTTCGTGCTGGCTGCACTCCCGGTGGGAATGAACACGCCCCTGCTCAAGGCCATGGGTGCAGGAACCCTGGGAGGGAGCACCCGCACGTCCGCTTCCTCCACCCAGGTCTTGCCAGTGCCGTCTCGCTAGCATTACCGAGCCCTCTCACTCATGTGGTCTGTGTTCTCAATATAGAAATCGCCAGGCAACTTTTTTTTTCCTTTTTCTAAATTTTGGCTCGTAAAATGGAGTACACACCAGTCTTGTTTTGATAATCCACCAGACACAGAAGCCGTAACCACATCCCTGCTTTCTGTCTGTCAGCAGCACAGAAACCAATCAAAACAAGGAAGAAAGCACAGACTACAAACTGTACTGCTCTGACAGGGCCCCAGGCTGCCTCGAGCTGCCATCTACGGTTCCCATTCATTTCAGGCGAGGCGCTGGCATCTATTTAGGGCAAAAACAGAGACAAGATCTGTTTCTAAAGCATCCTATTGTATCCATGTAGTGCAGCCAGGGAAAAGCCTGTCTGTGAAGTCTTGTTTTTTCTTACTTCCTTTTCAGAATGTGAGGATTAGAGTTTATGGCTTCCTAGTGTGAGAGTACAAAGTTTCTTTCACATTTAAATAGTCCAAATAGTCCAATACTCACAGAATAGACAAATAGACAATACTCACAGAAATACTAAAAAGAAAGCGGGAGATAAGGCACAAAGCAGTAAGCAAATACTGGGTAATGTCACTTTAGAAACAGGAAACTATTTTTCAAAGATCAGCTCACAGCCTTAAACCTCACACATCCTCAATTAGCAAGAAACATTCTTATACACACCACCAATAATCTATTGAATAAAGGAATTTCATGTAATAGAAGCAAAAACCAGTAACAATATCAGCAGCAAAACTAGTAACAATATCAGCAGCAAAACCCAGACCCCTTCCTCAGGAAGGATGGTTCAGGCTTGATTCTTATGATTTTCTACTCCAAACAAGCAACTGTGCCATAAACAAAACCAATTTCTTCAACTGACTATGTCCACAACTAAAACTATCCTCAGCACCCTTTACTAGAAGAGTGAGCTTTTCCCCACAGGCTCACACCTGACAAGCAGCAGAGAAAGAGAGAGAGTGAGAGAGAGAGAGAGAGTGAGAGAGAGAGAGAGAGAGTGAGAGAGAGTGGAGAGAGAGAGAGAGAGGGGAAGAACTGCAACTTGGGAAGGAAAGAGCTGAATCGGCAACATGTCACAGTACAACAATCCATTCTTTGCACACATACCCAAGTGAAGGCTTTCCAGACTCCAGAATCTTGCTATCTCCCCTCTAGCTACCATCCTTCTGTTTGGAAAACGGCAACCTTCAGAGCAGGACTGGGGTGTGACCGAGGAGCCGGTCCCCAAGCATCACAGAGGACTGCACAGGCTGGCAGCTACGGGAACTGCAGAAATCGCTTATTCACTGCTTTGACGTTGTATGCGTTCCCGGCCAGAGCCTGCCCAGAAACTGACAGCTGGCTCCACACTCCGTGTGACCAAGGGTTAGTGGCTACAGTGACATTGCGGGGGACTTCAGGAGAGAATTCTAAACTAAGGCAAAACCTATATACACCAAAGACAAACACACTCACAAGCCATCAGGTGCTGCCGAGAGCCTTCAGTGAAGGTAGGAGAAATGGTGTGTGCTGCTTTTAACTACAAAACCAAAACCTGAGTTAAACTTTCAGAGAGCTTTTCAAAAGGTATTTATTTCACAAGAGAAAAGCACAGGGGTCACTTAGTTCAAAAATACAGTTAGGATTTCACACTGTGGTATGACAAAAATTTGAGTTATGAGATTACATTAAGTTAGCTATAAATTTATGAAATCACTTTAAAAGAGTGATTTTGTTCAAAAGGTATACATGTAAAGGCATACATGTAAAGGTATACATGTAAGTTCTCTCCAGGTAATATATTCTGGGTTGTTTTTATTTCCTCTATACTCTTCTATACTTTCCAAATTATCTACAATGAGCAAGTCTTTCATATTGTAAAATGACTGTTAACAAAGAGTGAGCTTCCTTCCATTTCCCCATAAGCAGAAGACACGGCCTTTTTAACTTTATGAACAATGAGGTAATATATACGCAAAGTAGTGACCTCACAGTCATCTCTTAGTAAATGTGGGTTTAAGCTGGGCCCGCTGGCTCATGCCTGTAATCCCAACTACTCAGGAGGATGACGCAGGAGGATTGCTTAAAACCAGGAATTCATGACCAGTCTGGGCAACATAGCAAGACCCTATCTCTAAAAAAAAAAAATTAGGTCTGGGCAAGGTAGCTCACACCTGTAATCCCAACACTTTGGGAGGCCAAGGTGGGAGGATCAATTGAGCCCAGGAGTTTGAGACAAGCCTGGGCAACATAGCAAGGTCCTGTCTCTACTAAAAAAAAAAAAAAAAAAAAAAAAAAATTTATATTAGCCATGCATAGTGGCATGTGCCTGTGGTCCCAGCTACTCAGGAGGCTGAGGTGGGAGGATTGCTTGAGCCCAGAAGGTGGAGGCTGCAGTAAGCTATGATCGTACCACTGTACTCCAGCCTCGGTGACAGAATAAGATCCTGTCTCTAAAAATAAAAATAAAAAATTAGCTGGGCAGAGTGGCACATGCCTGTCATCCTAGTTACTCAGGAGTCTGAGATGGGAGGATCACTTGAGCCCAGGAGTTCGAGGTTGCAGTAAACTATAATCACACCACTGCACTCCAGTGTTGTGAGTTACAGAGCTAGATCCTGTCTCTAAAATAGATACATACATACATACACACATACATACATACACACATACATACATACATGTTAAACAAGTGATAGTGCCAATTAGTAAAATGCATGCTTTATAGTGATGAGCTTTGGAGTCAGACTGCCTGTGTTCAAAAGCTGCTTTCCCATAACAAAATTAGGGAAAGTTTCCAAGTCTCTAGGCAGCTCTCTTTCCACATCTGCGGAGTGGGGATAACTGCAGCACCAATCAATAATCCTCACAGAATTACTCGAGAACATATTGCAGTGTTTAGAGAAGCACTGGCTCTTCATTGGGGGTTAATAAATGTTAGCCGTCACGCTGCTGCTGTCGCTCCAAAAAACCTGAGGTCCCTTAATAACATGCTAGTTCCCAGAGAAATCACAGCATGAACTCAGAATGGAAAGCTGTATGATTAGTAATAACACACATGTTGACTATATACTATATCGTAGGCTTCTCTTATCTTCAAATATCTGTGGCTATTTCTATTGATCTGGAGCATCCCACCCTCAAATCCAGGTAAGGACAGTTTTCTGGGAAACTCATAGCCTTAGTAACCCGCACTACAAGTGAAAAACACACACGATCACACAAACTCTTATGACCAGTTCAGCTGAAAATCTTTCTCTTACAGAAATTTTATTTCATTTTGAGATGGAGTCTTGCTCTGTCACTCAGGCTGGAGTGCAGTGGCACGATCTTGGCTCACTGCAACCTCCACCTCCTGGGTTCAAGTGATTCTCCTGCCTCAGCCTCCCGAGTAGCTGGGATTACAGGCGCACACCACCATGCCCGGCTAATTTTTGTATTTGTAGTAGAGATGAGGTTTCACCATGTTGGTCAGGCTGGTCTCAAACTCCTGACCTCAGGTGGTCTGCCCACCTCGGCCTCCCAAAGTGCTGGGACTACAGGCATGAGCCACTGCGCCCAGCCTCTTACAGGAATTTAAAAAGATGATTTAAAAGAGGCAAATACTTAAGATGTTTAATAGACAATTCATTCAATACAGGCATATTCTCAATAAAGGTGGTAGTTTATTAAATTATAGGCTCAAAAGACTCCTCGATACTGTTTTTCACAGCAGACTACTCTCTCTCTCGTGTAAAGTCTCCTAAGTATATCTCATGGAATACTAGTGGCATAATACGCTCCAAGAAAAGAGTTTGAAAACCACTGTATATTGTATCTACCTTTTGGATATCCTACAGGATTCATCAGTAATCACAGGCTCTAAAAAGTTCCCACTGACAGCTGTGCCATCTTCTTTAACATAGAATTTAACAATCGTATTTGGCTATGACGCTCTTTTTTTATGACAACACATATTACTACACCAAAAGAAAGTATCCTCTGGCCTTGCTACTCACAGTAGGGCCCATGGACCAGCAGTATCAGCATGACTGGGAGCTGGTGAGAAATTCAGATTCCTGGGCCCTGCCCCAGGTCTGCAGAATCAGAATCAACATTTTAACAACATCCCAGGTTATTCAAATGCACATTCAGGTTTCAGAAGTGTTGTTCTAGACAACTCAAGAAACTATACAACATACTTGGAGAAGCACTGCCATGAGGCAAAATCTTCAATATCAGTATCTTTTCTAACTAGTGAAGACCATGGAATGAATGGGTGGGCTTGAGTTTAGTCAGAATGAAAAGGTAAAATGCATAATACTCAGACACAAAGCAGCAGAAAGTAGGAATTAATTCTCAAGGTTATCCATTCCAACAAAGCCTAAATTCCAGAAGGAGGCAAATAAAATCCAGTGTTTTCATTTTCTACAAAAATTTTTTTTTTGGTTAAAATCATTAGTTTTCAAAAAGCAAAAGCTCTCTTGGCCTCATTTTCTTAGAACTTGGTAGGCTGTTTGCTCACTTTCACTTTTCATCGGCATCCGGTACAAGAGGATAGTTTCTGTTTCCCAAGCACTTTTTCTCAATCCAGAGACGGGGTCAGGGCACTAGACTAACATCCTTGGGATTACAGGATCTTAAGCCAGAGGCATTCACTAGAGATTATTGTGTAGGCAAAACAAAATAAAAAGAAGGAAAACAAGTAAATAAACAAAGACTGCCTTGAAATCAGGCATCTTCTCAAAGGATGTGACCCAACAACCCCTTTATGTCCCCACCAGCTTGGATATGGCCCCATTACCAAGCACTACAGGACAGGTGCTAGATGGAAGAGTCCCAGGGAAGAGAGTCACACTATTCTGTGGCAAAGGACTACCATCAACTTTAGGAAATGGGCTCAAGGATGGGCACATCTGCCAGCCACCCTTCTAAGATAGTTTTGGAAGAAGCCACTACTAATGTAGAAAGGGGCATGATAGAACAAGGAGATAGGACTTTCAGCTTAATTTTTTTTTTTAGTGATCAGAGCCTACATTTACCAGATCAGTAAGAATCCTACAACGAAAACCTAAACCATAGTTCAAAGAAGTCTTAAAATCCTGGCTGGGCATTGGTGGCTCACACCTATAATCCCAGCACTTTGGGAGGCTGAGGAGGAAGGATCACTTGAGACTGAGAGGTTGAGGCTGCGGAGAGCTGAGATTGTACCACTGCACACCAGCCTGGGTGACAGAGGGAAGCCCTGACTTGGAAAAAAAAAAAGAAAAAAGAAAAATCCAACCCCCAAATTAATCTCTTCTCTTTGGATAAGATACCACTACCTCACTGGAACTGGGAAATGACCATCATTGATTATTGGCAACACTGTAAAAGGATTAAGCACAGGGATCAGATCCGTAGGTAGGAGTGGAGATATCCAACTTACATATTAATATTAAATGTTGAGAAATCAGAGAGGACAAAATAAACACTGAAGATTGTGTGTGGTGGCTCATGCCTTGATCCCAGCACTTTGGGAGGCCAAGGTGGGAGGATCACTTGAGGCTAGGAGTTTGAGACCAGCCAGAGCAACATAGGCAGACCCCATCTCTACAAAAAATAAAAAAATTAGCCCAGCTTGGTGACACATGCCTTGAGTCCCAGTTGCTCAGGAGGCTAAGGTGAGAGAATCCCTTGAGCCCAGGAGATCGAGGCTGCAGTGAGCTATGATTGGGCCAGTGCCCTCCAGCCTGGGTGACAGAGCAAGACATTATCTCTATAAAAATTAAAATTAATTTTTAAAAATAGATGTTGAAAACACATAGGATGTTATGATCAATTTTATTCTATAGATACAGAAAGTTATTTTTGGTAAGCTGGTCCCAAAACCCATATATATTTACATACCTATGGGAAAGAAATGTCATAAAATTCTTGGAGAGGCAAGTTAATAGCAGTATCTCAAACTCACAACAGTAGTCAGCACTTGACCTCTCTAGGAGGATTTCTGGAGACTGAGTAGGTTCATTAAGGTTCTTGAGATTGAGTGGCCATTAAGGTTCCTTTGAGCTCCACATTTCTGATATCTTCTTATTTTAAGTATGACATGGTAGATATTTTCTTCTATGATCACCTCCGAATTAAGTGCAGAGAGATGACCAGCACCAAAGTTTCCCACCTGCTGCAGCTTCCCTGTTGTTTCTGCAAAGCAGCTGCCTCCCTTCATGGTACAGACATATCCAGAACCCAGGAACATCCTTGGAACTTTATGTCCCCACTAACTTTGATATGGCCCCATTACCAAGAACTACAGGACAGGTGCTAGGCAGAGAGGCAGGCCCCAGGGGAGAGTCATGCTGTCCCCTGGGAAAGCATGGCCATCAGCTTTAGGACATGGGCGGAAGGATGGGCACATCAGCCAAGAACCAAGGCTGCCACGGGCTGGAATGACCCATAATCCCAACTCCCATATGGACAATGACTACACAGAATCAGGAGTGACACAGCCAGGACCTGTGGACATCACTGGCCATCTCCCACAGCTGAGACGGGGCTGCACTTTCTAAAGTTGGGATGGGAGAGTCCTTCACAGGAAATAATTTGCTACATTTGCTATCAGTTATTCAGGCCAATGTCCATTCCCCTAAATCATCGAGTGCCGAGAGTGACCTCTTCATTCTAAATGGATTAAAGACAAACATGATTATTAATCTACAGGTCACAGTGATGCTACTTTCCAGAGGAACCTGAAAGGCATTGAACGTAACACAGGGCATGGCATGTCCTAGCACAAACTGATGAGCCGGGTAGATGCTGCCTCAGCAGGCCGACTCCTGTTGGGCAAAGGCAGGCTCAGTTCAGGTCTGACTGAAATGCCACTCAGCAGCCACAGACTCTTCACCACAGGAGGGGCGGGCCCCATCATACACAGCTCAGGAAATGGAGCCTGAAGTACAAGGGCAAACTCTGTGAGACTCGCCCCGGCCTGCTTCAAGACAGCTATGAAGAAAAAGTGCCTCTCTTCATGCCTTCAAAGCAACTGCTTTCACCTTGGAGCAATGTGGACCTGAACACACAAAACCAGCGAATATGTGCTCTCAGCGGCTTCAATGAACCCCTTCATCATTCACCCCTACTCAATATCCCACCCTCTCCAAACACAGCTCCAAACAAGATACTTTGGACCTGGGCACTGACTAGAACTTTGATTAATGCAGAAATAAATATAAAATTGTCCTTTAAAAGGTGCCAGCTTCAGCTGAAGGCCATTGTTTTCCTGTTCTCTGTAAGCACACGTGGATTTTTCATCCTTCAGGGCCTAGTACAGATTTCACTTCTTTTCTGTATTTACCTGGTTATTTTCAGATCCTTAGGACCAAGCACATTTCAAACATAACAAGAACACAACAGGGATTGGAGGAATATAACTTTTTTCTTTGTCTTAATAGAAGGCAATTATTGGGACATGGTCTTTAAAACTGCCAACAGGCATATCTTTGTGCAAATCAATTAGACAATATTGTGTTTTGTGATGGAGAAAACATACGGGAAACTGAATAGAATGGAAAGCAATCTGTGTTTTTCAGTTTGATCTCATTTGAATGCTAGCTCCACTATCTACTCATTACATCTTGCTTAGCCAAGCTAGGAAAAGTTACCGAATATTTCTAAGGCCTGACCTTGTCTGTAAGATCAGGCCAGGAATACGTACAGAGTGCTACTGGCTCTTGGTGGTGGTTCGCTAGACATTTAGCTGTCTTGCTCTCCTTCCTCTGACTTTTAATATTCTTTCTTCTTCTTTTAAAATCCAATTTCTGAAGCTTAGTAATAAGACAGACGATATTTTCAATAACTTTTACTTTTTAACTCTAGCTGTTGAGAACTGAGAATGTTTTAACTGCTAGAAGATGAAATTTCATGAGCTTGCTAAAAAAAAAGTTTAATACTTTATGTTTTTCTGAGACAAGAAATAGAACACTATATTCCTTCTAAAAAATCTCGATGATAGGCAACAATGAGGCATGAAACAACAGCTAAGATAACTGCTATGGAGCTAATACAATCTCCAAGACTTGCAGACAATATGGTTTTGGGCACTAAAGGCCATATTTGTAGTCCTTGTTCTGCACACAGAAGCCTTTCATAATTTCTAAATTCCTTCGGACTCTGTGGAATCCAGGCTGTCTCACAGCAGTCAGAAGACAGGGATTTTACCATAGGCAGTCTTAGCAGTCAGGAAAACACTTGCTGCGAGTACTGATAAGTGAATTGATTCATCTCGTTTTGTAAGTAAACACAGTTGGTCCTCCGTATCTGTGGGTTACACATCTGTGGACTCAACCAACTGCAGATTGAAAACATTTAAAAAACTGTGACTGTACTGAATATGTACAGACTTTTTTTCTTGTAACTATTCCCTAAACAATGCAGCATAACAACTATTTACATAGCATTTACATTGCATTAATATTAGGTCTTTAAGTAATCTAGAGGTGATTTAAAGTATATGGAGGATGGGCATGGGTTATATGCAATTATTAGGCCATTTTATATCAGGGACTTTTGCACAGCCTTGGAGTCTGATGCCTGAAGAGTCCTGGAACCAATCCCCCTCAGACAACCAGGGATGACTGTATAATCAACAGCCAATATTCCTTGGCATGAGTATAAAGTGAGATGTAGGGGGAGAAGGGAACGTGGCAAGGCTCACGGCATCCCCACCTAACAATCCAAGTGCTCCATCACCAATTCTCCAACCAGCTTTCCTGAGAGCTCCGCTGCTATCACGCAACAGGCACTAAGCAAGTAAATCCCAAGTTCCTATTTTCCCTCTGATTCTTTATTGAAAGAAAATATTTGAAAATCGATTTGAGTAAAATGCAGAAGCAGCAAGAGATAATTCAAAAAACAAGAGAACAAAAAGATGTTATGGGATGCTTAAAGTCATTTCAAAGGTATCACACACACCTCAACACCTGCTACGGCTTTTCTTTTTTTCCTTCCTTTTAACAAAAAATTCAGTGGAGTCTCTGGGTGATACAACGAAAAATCATTAGATAATACCTAAAATTTGCAGCCCAGAGAATCTATAAAAAAGACCCAGTCAAGTTTCTTTTTTTTTAAAATAACCTGAACGTATGTATTTTAAATTTGCTTAACTTATATTTGGATAATAAACAGTATATTATTCCATATAGACTCCAAGTGCTCTGGGACTTTACTAAGTAGACTAAATGACTTGTCTAAGCTAAGTCACTGATTAGTGCAGTTAAATCAGTAACTCAGAACTCTGGATGTAAACAGTTTCCTGCTCATCATTGCCTTTGTCCCCTGTATAGTTAATGCTTCCCTAATTAATTAGTAATAGTTACTGCACACTTACTGTGTGCCAGGTCATTCTTCCACATCTGTGGGACAGATCATATTAGTTTCTCCCATTACAGATAAAGACATGAAGACTTTGAGATTAAGTGACTTGCCCAAGGATTGGGATTACACTCTCACTTTTTGACCCAAAGGTCTGTTAATAAGAAAATTAACTTTCATAATAATTAGGACAGAATAAGGCCAGAATAACTGTATGAGTAACCTCCCTTTTGTGATGCACTTAGGCTATGAATCAAGAATTCTTACTGCCTTATTTTATTGACAGTCCTAAGAAAAAACAGAAACGTGGTGTGATCTGATCAAACTATCAGTGCATAAATTTGTTATTCCAACAAATTAGAAGTAGGATTTTAACAACCACAAAAGAGCTAAAAAAAAAAAAAGAAAAAAAACTTTGTTTTAAACAAACAAAAAAAATACAAAGAATTTGAATAAATTTCTTTACTACAAGACTTTTCAAAGAAATAAGTTTCAGTAATTTCTCATAATTCAATTAATTTTATTTAAAAAATCAAATTTGAAACAACATAAGCACTTCCTATGATTAAATTCCCCTACTTCCTAAATGTTGGGGATTAATATCAATTCTAAATCAAGAAACGGAATTTTCTGATGTGTAATCTTCCCATCTCTTTGAAAAACATTCAGTGAGAATAAACGCTGACACATTCATACTAACAAGCTTTCAGATACTGGTAATACATAGACAAAATAATTGTTAATATCATAGCCTAATAAATTGTTTTTCATTAGTCCTGAGCCTTTATGGGGTATTTTGAACTATAAAATGAGAAAACCATCAACACAGCTTAAGCAAAATAGATAAAATACCTCAATTTTAAGACAACTCCCCCAACATCCTCCCATGGCATTCTGCCCTAGCACTGAACTGCTGAACTGAAACCGGTTTTTTTTTTTAAGGGCACGAAGCTCCTCCCTGCCACTGGATCCAGTGGGTATTTTTCTCTCTACACTTTGGTGCATTTGACAGTGTGAACCACTCTCACACCTGGAAGCCCTGGCTTCCTTTGACATCTGGGACACCGCTTACCTGCCTGGCTACTTTTTTTCTATTTTCTTTGTGAATTTCTCTGCCTTCACTGGTCCCCAAATGTTGGTCCTCAGAGCATGGTTCAAGATCCTCTTCTCATTTTTACCCCCACTCATATCACACTCCTTCCTAGAGTTTTAAGAACCACTTTGCTGATGACTCCCAAATCTTCATCTCTAACTTTGGGTCCCCTTCCTCAAAATCAGAGCTTCACAATCAAGGATATGGTGATGTCATCTTCATCGAGCTGCCCATAGGTCGCTCTGACTTGACCTGCCTGGAATGGAGTAAGCTCCCCAATTGACCAACATGCTCTTCTCCTAGGCTCCTTGTCAGCCAGGCATCAGAGGCAGCACGGATGGCTGCTCCCTGGCCCCAAACATCCAGACAATTACCTCGACCTCTCGGTTCTTCATATCTCCAGTGCCACTATCATTTTCCGAGGCAACAGACTCCCGAGGTCTCCAGTCCTCCACGATCCAGCCAATGATCTCTCTGAATGCACATCTGATCATCTCATGGCCCTCAAAAGCCCTCAGTGGCTCCCAGTTGCCCAGGCTCTGTCCTCCCAGGCAGCCTGAACTTAGTGGAGGCCCACCTCTCAGCCTCCTCCTCTGCATCCTGCTATAGCCTTGACCTGGAGCTGAGGTCCTCTGACTTGTAGCAATCGGGCTGCCTAAAAGCCCTAAGCCAAAAAAAAGTGCCCCATGCACGCATGCCATGAACATAACTTAAGGCATACATAGGTGCAATCATTCACCTTTGTCATGATGTAGGACAAGGCTCCCTGTGTACGATCAACTGACTAGAATTCTGCATTGTCTCTTGTACAATCCACACCCATATGCATCCGCTATGATTTCCAGTTCTGGCTTCTTTAACGTTGAGCAATAAAACCAGAGACACTGGCGAAACAATCTGAATATAGACTCCTCGATTTTTCCATTTTTTCCAAGCTGTCAATTCTCACCTAATTTGATAGAATTTTCTTTAACAATTCACTTTTATTGAGTTTCATTGGGTTTCTCCAAAGTATTCTATTTCATTGTCAGAGATGCCAAGTCCCCTTTCAGTCTCATATTCACATTTTATTTGCTTACATAATATCTAAATCAGTTCCATATCATCATAATAAAGCAACTGCCATAAACAGGCTTGGTGGGGTCATGCTCTTGACTCCCGGTGAGGATACAACTCTACTTGTGGGACCAGTGAAGAGGAGCCAGGAAGGCAAGCGCAGGCCACACTGTGGGATCTGCCAGCTCCTTACAGAGGCCTGGAGGACACTGTGACCTGACCAGTGTAATTTTCTCTTAGGCTACCCTACTCTCAACTTCTCAGATGTGCTCTCCTTTCTCTGGCCTCCACTTTTTGCCTGGAACACACTACCCCTAACAACAAACTTAATCTAACTCCCTTCATCCCTAAAGCCTCATTTGAGGTCATTTCCTCCATGAGGGCTTGGGACAGCCCAGATCCGACTGACATGCTCCCCGTTTCTACTCAGCGTGAGTGCAGTTGTGGTGGTTTTTCCCATTCATCCACCACACTGGCAGCTCTGTAGGAACACTCTCTAGCTTCCTCAGAACTGCCCAGCCTCTGGTACTGTGCCTCATTTATAATAGGGACATATGTATTTGTTAAATGGATCGAAATCAAGGAAGTATCTTCAAAACCAAAAGCACATTTAAAATCCAACTCAGGCCGGGTGTGGTGGCTCACACCTCTAATCCCAGTACTTTGTAAAGCCAAGGTGGGAGGCCAGGAGTTTGAGACCAGTCTGGGCAACAGAGTGAGACTCTGTCTCTAAAGAAAATCTAAAATAATAATAATAATACAATAAAATAAAATCCAATTCAGAAAGGTTTCGGAGCACCCTGGACATTTCCTGAGACAATACTGGTTGATTAAGCCCTGCTGGCCCCTCCTATAGCATTTCCCAATAATTTTAAGCTCATCAAAGTATCATAATGTTGAGCTGATGAGGTTTTACAACCAATACTAATCCCTAAATAGAGAAAAGTAAATAAATACATAAATAAGTAAATCTTTTCCATTTCTAAGGGGATGTATACATTCAGTACAAAATCAAACAGAAAAAACCAGAGCAGTAGACAGGGAAAGAATGTCACCCCCTGAATGATAATCCCCAATTGTACTTTGAAACCACTGAGCCTTAAACTCACTGGAAAATGTCTTGGTACGTTTTTGTTTTTTCTTTATTCAGACCAGCCTCAATCCTGTGCAGAAAACATCTACCAGAGTAAGAAAGCAAGTGAGGCTCTGGGGGCTGTTTTGGGGATGGCAGGTGGGGATGGCTCCACTTGGCGGCCACGTGGGTGGAAGCCCCTTGCTCTGCCCCCTCCCTGCAGACAGCAGCAGAAAGATGCACTGATCTGTTCACAAGAAGAGCCCCCATAAGACTCCCTAAGACCTTTGGGAGCTGTGGTCTTCCCCGTTCTCTTGGGCTTAGCAAGGAGGTAGCAGCATTCCTGCAGGGTCACTTGCACGTGCCTGTTGGGCCCCAGGGGTTCTTGGGAGGCCCAGCACCCAGCTCAGAGTGCACAAGGCCAGGCATGAGACGAGATGCTCACGGGCAGCCTGCAGATTCTTATCAAAACTACAGCTTACCCATATGGATGGTCCACCCCAAGGATGCTAACCTTGCTCCCCAGTGGCTAGCTAGGATATGCTCTCCTTTTATGAATTTCCTGCCCTGACAAAGCTCCTGACGTGGACCTGAGTAGTGGAAGAGCAGTAACCTTGATCGTACGGGGAAGAGGACCTGTTTCTGTGGTAGAAAGTGTTCTGTTTAGAACTCAGCATTTCTTTTAAAATAGTCCTTTGTTTGTTCTTGTGGTAAAAGGGGAAATGTAGCATGCTGGATTTATCACTAAGACATTTATTTTCAAAATTTAAGTATCTTATTCCTCACTCATATCTCTAACTTTTCAGTCTCTCTTTTTTTTTAGCGGAGAGGAGGTCTCACTCTGTTGCCCAGGCTGGGTGCAGTGGTGCGATCTTGGCCCGCTGCAACCTCTGCCTCCCAGGCTCAAGCAATCCTCCCATCTCAGCCTCCTGAGTAGCTGGTACTACAGGAACGCACGACAACTCTTGGCTAATTTTTTTGTATTTTTAGTAGAGATGGGGTTTTGCCATGTTGGCCAGGCTGGTCTCAAACTTGTGGGCTCAAGTGATCTGCCGACCTCAGCCTCCCAAAGTGCTGGGATTACAGACATGAGCCACCGTGCCTGGCCTTTTTTTTTTTTTTTTTTTTGAGATGAACTCTTCATTCTCATGGTAAACTCCGGTATAAACAAGGACCAATTTCACACATCTGTGACACTTTTTACTTGCTTTCTTATTGACAGGCAGAATCCAGAGTTCTTTTTATTTTTTTTTTTTTGAGATAGAGTTTCACTCTTGTTGCCCAGGCTGGAGTGCCATGGCGCAATGTAGGCTCACTGCAACCTCTATCTTCCGTGTTCAAGCAATTCTCCTGCCTCAGCCTCCCAGGTAGCTGGGATTACAGGCATGCGCCACCACACCCAGCTAATTTTGTATTTTTAGTAGAGAAAGAGATGAGGTTTCACCATGTTGGTTAGGCTAGTTTTGAACTCCTAACCTCAGGTGATCCACCACACCTGCCCAGAATCCAGAATTCTTATCGTTTCAGAGCACGTTTTCAAAAGCACTCCTCTCTTCACCACTCACTGGCCAGCTCAGATGGGCTTCTCAGACAGGCTGGTTGGCATAAAATTTGGGTCATGCTGTCCCCTTCACAGATCAAGATGTTATTTATTTATAACCTGCCTTTAAAGGACTCAATTTTTGGTTGTTTCCTAATGAAAAATGTGGATAGGTGGTTATGATTTAGTTTTACAACCTGCCTGCTAGCAATTCGTATTACTGTATCACTCTGATAAAGAATGAGTGACTCAGCCTAGCTCACTAGAGTGCTAGACTGGGTCAATTTGCTTCTCTTTTCTAGCTTGCAAAAAAAGAACTATATTTGCCAAAAAAAAAAAAAGTAAAAATTTAAAAAATCAAATTGAGCAATTACTTCAGTAAGTTAGAAACATTTTTTAAAGCAAGTCAACTTGCCAAGTTTGTGTCCCCTCAAAAAGGGCATTTTCTCTAGTTTTTATATCTAGCTATTATTGTACCTCATCTTGACTTTCCTCTTTTATTATCTGGCAGTATTACTAAATGCTCTAATACGGTGTACTTACTGGTTAACTAAAGGGCTTTCAAGAAATGTAACAGACCAGGTATCTTTTTTTGAAAGGGGTCTACCCATATCGACTGACTTTGGTGCACGGGTGTGCATTCGTCCTTTGCTTGTCTCTGTGAAGTTCCCACTCAAGTCTAACAGCGAAGTAAACTGGACACTCTCCTCTCTGGAAGATAAGAAAAGCAAGCTAATCTGAACTCTGGACAAGATACGTAGAAAGAGAAGGGGAATGGATAATAGAGACAAAGGGAAATTCAAAGTAAGAATTCTGAAAAGCACTCGAATTTGACTTCTGATCAACATAAACAGACCGGTTAAAGGAAGAAGTATGGTTGGAACCCAATGTTAAGTACAAAAAAATTAGGAGCTTAGGTAGGCTGTGATGGAGTAAGTTGTCTCAAATGAAAGAGAAAAGCTTCACTGAAAGCAAAGCAAAGGCGGCAAAGATAATTCCCCAGGAAAATCTTCTAGCAGTGTGGGCATCCTTCCTGAAACCCAAGGAAGGTGAAGCCACAAACACCATCCCCAACAATGCAGTGGTGTTTACAGGTTGTCACTCTTCCCTCCGATAAGGCTCCAATAAGTGCCACTGAAATTCATTATCCCAACTCTATTATCCCAAATAACACACCCAGTAGCCTACAAACATGACTCAGGCCTGTCCCACATGACCTGCCTTCGCAGGCTGTGTGGCTGGCAAGAGGTAAGACAGGTGCTACAAACAGGGCCAGAGAAAAGTGGTGAGAGAAAGGAAGAGCACAGCACGGCGCTGCCAAGTTCTCGGAAGGGAGGGCTCCATTCACCTAGAAAGACTCTGCCTTCATTTCTTTAAAAAAAAAAAAATTAAATGCAATGTTCAATTTTCTATATTTTGAGAAAAATTTAGTTGTGGATACTACTTAATTTGGAGAGTTTTTTATATTATTATTTTAAACTCACATAATAATTGTACAATATTTATGGGGTACAGTGTGATATTTCAATATATGTATACAATGTGGAATGAGCAAATCAGGGTAATTAGCATATCATCACCCCAAGCACTTATCATTTATTTGTATTAAGAACATTTGAATCCTCTCTTCTAGCTATTTTGAACTATACAATACATTGTCATTAACTGTGGCACAGTAGGACTTATTCTTCCTGTCTAGCTCTATTTTTATATCCATTTACCAACCTTTGGTTATCAAGATTTTGAGAATACTTGACCAGGGAGGAGAAATATACTTTCATTATTATTTAAAAGTTGATACTACAGAAAATTTCAAATACACACAAAAGCAGATAATACCATGAACCCACGATTATCAGTCTTTTGCCAATATTGTTTCAACTATTTCCCACCAACTTTTTTGGAGTATTTTAAAACAAATCTCACATATCATATTTTATGCAGAAAGTATTTCACTATCTGTGTATAACAAACAAGGACTTAAAAATAACTGCACTATCTTATCCCAACTAACAAAATTAAAAATAATTCCTTCATGTTGCCAAATATTCAGTTCATCTGAAAATCTCCCCAACGTGTCTCAAAATGATGCTTTTACAGCTGGTTTGCTGAGCTCAATTTGTGGGCTTACTGAGCTGGATGCCATTCTAGCACTTCGTTGGTATATAAACCTAAAACCCTCAGTGCATAGAAAGGAAGGAGTTCCAGGACTGGGATGGAAATGCTAGAGATGGTCTATCATGTGAGTCTCACCACCCCTTGGGCTGCATCTCCCATGTGACAGCAGCTTTTATAATTAATGTACTGCTAATCTCTCTAGGCCAGAGATGCTGCTGAGAGATGGTTCCACTGCAATGCAAACCTGGTCCTCCATGGGGGTGGGACATCTGTCATGGGAAAAAGGTGGGCATAGTTACTATACCACACAGCAGGGCCAGCTTGGTCATCTGAATGGTTTGACCTGTGAAATCTCTGGTTGTGCTGTTAACTGATCTCGGGGTCCCCAGGAACAAAACAGATGAGTGATTCCACAAAGGTACCACAACATTGTGTAGGAGGAACTCTCCAGGGCTGGCAAGCAGAGCCCGACCTGAGCCACCATGACAGAGAAGACAAGGGAGGGCCCTCACTCAACTCCCAGACTCAGGCCTCTTGATGGAGCAGAGCCAGGGAGCCTCAGGGTAGGCATCCTACTACAAGTCTTCTTCCTAGCTTCTCAAAGAGAACTCCTACCATCAGCCTGGTGACTGTGTCCTCAGGACAGGGAAACTCCCGGCGGCAAATGTAAGCAATACTCTTCCCAAGCCTTTCTGAGTAGGAGAGATGGCTTTGGCAAGGCAAGGATTTAGCTCGTGCGCACTCCTGGTTAGGAGCTAATGGCCTGGCTGAATGGCCTGGAGGAATGTGGAAAGAACAAGATGGGCTGAGGATGGGTTTGGGGAAGGAGTATAACTGGCTACCTCAGAATACCCGCAGAGCATGAGATGATGTCCATCCTACATGAATCCTTATTGCAAGAGAGGCTAATCAATCATCATGTGGACATGCTGTCCCAATGTGCAGCTAGATGCCAGTCTTCCTTCCTAGTCATCTTGATACTTGCTCAGTGGGTTCATAAAAAGGAAAAAAAAAAAGAAGCAAGCAAGAAAAAGGCCATGGTGGCAAAAATGGATGCCAAGCCTGGGCTAAACCACAGGAAGTCTGGGCCTTCCCCTCAACAAAGCTGATGATACGGTTCCCCGCAGGAACCAGACAGCCCCTTGCGGAAAGCTGATTGCAGTGGGGCCTTTTCATAATAGAGGGGGTGGTGATTTGTCCCTACTGGAAGGGCCACTTATGCTGGGCTTGGATTTGTTTTCCTGCACTCTGTGGATCCTCTAGAAGGCCCCTATCCTGTCGCAGCATCTCACACGCCATCCAGGCCCAGAACGTCACAGAGAAGGAAGCACATGACCCCATCACACCCAATAACAACCAAATAAAAATGAAGTTACAGAGGCAGCTGGGAGACACACCCAGAAGTTGCCATACTGCCCTGGATGGGACGCAAGCTCTGAAGCAGTGACTAATTTGGAGAGGCTGGCCCACAGCAGAAGATGCAGGGCCGGAAACCAAGGGTAAACATAGAAGCGGCTTCTTAGGATTACTTAATAATATACTTGCAAAATGTTTTCTTCCCACCTAGGAACTCTGCTCTGTTGAAACTGAATTTAGTGCCCAAGGGAGAAGTACTTCCTCCAGAGTTCACAGTCCTGGCCACAGTGAATCAGAACCAAGGCTGGCCATTTTTGCCTCTTCGTACCACTGGGAAAATGAGCACCCACGGAAAATGGGGATGGCTTTTGTGGTCACTGCTACCATATTTCTCAAATGGACTAATGCAATCGCCTTCAAATCAATCTCCATTCCTCTTCCTTTCCCCCCACAAACTGCCCTCCCTCTCTAAGCATAAACCGGAACATAATATGCTCCTGCTGCCAATGGCTTCACACCACACTTAGAACAAGCTCAGCCTCCTCATGACCTGCAGAGCCCTTTCCAGCCTCAGCCCACCTCCCAGCCTGCAACATCCTCGTCTGCCTCTTGCTCCCTGAGCTCCTGTCACTGTGGCCTCCTTGCTGAACCTCAGACACATCATGTTTCCTGCCTGTCTTTGGGCTTCTGGTGCTCCTTCGGCTAGGACTTCTCCTCCCTCGGATCTCTGCCTCACTGCCTCCTACTCACCTGTCCCCAGCGTCACCTCCTTGGAGAGGAGGCTATCTCCCCCACCTGCTCCTACTCCTCACATTACCCAAAGTCATCTTCTGCAGGGCCGTCACTGGTGCCTTGGTGCATCCTACATATTGACTTATGGAATCTGTTCAAATGCTGAAATGTAAACTTTGCATGACGTTTTATTCTCCACAGCATCCCAAATTCTCTATTTCCTTCCTTTCCCTGCCTTGCCATTCTGGTAGGGATGTGTTGCTTAAATCTGCCTCTAGTTAATCAACGCTGAAGAGGCACTGCATGGAACTGGAGGACTAGTTATCCTAAGAGGTCCTAGACTTGGAGGTGTCTGCTGCCACTGATGAGGATCTGGGTGTCTCCTTCTAGGGAAGAGAGAGAGGGTTCATGGAACAGGTGCATCCTGTTCATTAGAGTGTCATTAGAATAACACTCTTTGGAAATGAATGCTCTCTATCCTGTTTTATTTTTCTTTATAGTACTGTCTGCTCTGTTAAATACTTACTTGGCCTGTCTTCACATATAGAAGGCAAGGGTCCCTGGAGACAGACACCCCACCCTTCTTCCTGTTCCAGTACCACCAGGTGGTGGACATATCACCTAAGCTCGGACAGCTGAATCTTCCATCCTGGGACCTGAACCCCTGGGTGAGTGACAGAAAGACAGTCACTAACTCCTAATAAGTTAACTCCTTATTATAACTCCTCCCCAAATAAGTATACACTTCTTCAAGATAGGGTCTTTAATTAAATGTTTTGTATTTTCAAAGCGCTCACTGGATACCCAGATAAAGTGCTCACTGGATACCTCACTAGCTCCTGGGACAGTGCCATGGCCAGTCTCCCATCACACACCTTCCGGTGGCTCCTCCACTCCCAGGAGTGAGCCTGGATGCCATCCCTTCCCTAGCCTGGTTCCCCAGCCATCCCATCAATTCTGGGCACACCTGGCCCCCTTCCAATAAATTCCCTTTTTGCTTAAGACAGCCAGAGTTAGGTTTTGTTGCTTTTCGACAAAAGAACGCTAAAATTAAAACATTTTTAACATAACAACAAAAACCAGTGTTACAGAAAGCAGGGAAAGGCTGTGTGTACACAGGTACGGGGTGGGAGGAGAAGTGCTCTACATTCCTACCACCCTAACAATGCTACTGTTATTTCTGCCTGTTCTTTCAAAATCTTCTGCCATATGGGTACACGTTGCATATTGTTACAAACATGGTATACGTTTTTGATTGAATTGTGTCCCCCCAAAAGATGGTGAAGTCCTAACCCCCAGTACCCATGAGTGTGACCTTATTTGGAAATAGTCTTAGGTAGATAATCACATTAAGATGAGGTCACTAAGTTGGGCCCACATGCAGTAAGCCTGGTGTCTTTATAAAAAGGGGAAATCTGAACACAGACAGACACAGGGGAGAATGCCATGTGAACATGAAGGCAGAGATGAGGCAATGCTCCTACAGGCCAAGGAACACTGAGGGCACCAGACGCAAGGAAAGCAGCCTGGAGCAGACCCTCCCTCACAGCCCTCAGAAGAAACTGACCCTGCTGACGTGTTGATCTCGGATTTCTAGCCTGGGTCTCGGTTCTTTAGGGATCTCCACATGCAGGAATGTATGTACACGGACACCACAGGAGGGGCAAACTTCTCAAACTTAGAGCCACCAGCCTGGCACACAGAGCATCTACCCCAGACAGCAAATGATGCACCATTCTCCTGAGATGAGCCGTCCTCACTCCCAGACAAACGCGCCCTGGCCCAAGGGAGGCGCGAAGGTGCAGAACCTGCTGCCTCAGGTTAGCTGGAAACGGTCAGATGGGCCCATAGCAGCTCTGAAAGGAAAGGGACTCTGAGACTCACCGTTGGATGCTCTCATCTGCCGCCGGCGTCCCACACGGTCCAACCCAATGGGGGTGCTCTGGGAGAATGTGAAGGGCCGGAACCGGGCCGACACAGCCTTGTAGGGTGGCACCTGGTGAGCAGGCATGGGCGGCCTGGAAGCCGGCTGCAAAAAGAAAGCAAAATCTGTGAGGAGGTACCAGGAAGTGGCAGCTCTTGCAAGCACCTCACACGCATAGCGCTCTCACCTCGAAGCCACTCACAGACGTGAAATGGTTTCTCCAATCCTGCCACGAGTTGCAGGCTGCACCGAAGCCCAGTGGCAACTCATGATGCTACAGTTTTTAACAATCCTGATCAGCTTACTGGCCCGCACCCTGCAGCCTCATGTTTCATCTCACTTGTCTGCAACATGCCAATAGGTCACACTAAGGAAAAAGAAGCTTCTGAGAAGATGAAGGCACATTTAGGAAGCAGTGGAGTTGTCACACAGATGCAGGGTCACAAGGGTAAGAAGATGCTTTCCCAGGGGTGGCCTCTGGAGGAAGCCAGGACAAGGCCACAAACCCGGCCAGGGTGGCCATCTGTGATCCTCACATCCTTCTTCAGCCTCATTTACTCCTCCCCACCGACACAGAGCCTGGCATAGATGAGCCCTCAGTAAGGATTTGTGGAGCTGAAGGCAAGCCTTGCTTACCCAAACTCACACGGCAGTGGAGCTTTAGTTGAAAGAAGTGGTTTTCCATGTAGTTGCCCAGGTCTCTCTTATAATGCCCTTCTGGTTTTCTATAATAGCGATCCCTAAAACTATTAATCAAAGGCCCAGTTGCTTTATACGTTCCTTAGATTTCTTTTTTTCTTCTTTTGTTTATTACATGCATATCCTGCTTATGTAATTCCTTAGGTTTTCTTACAATTTTCCCACTCAATTCCCTACATTAGGTTATAGTACAGAAAATTACTTCGCACATTCCTTTTGGCTGCTCTGAAGTGAAACCCTTTCTAAGGCTGTGGAGCATCCTGGACTATTGTTCTGAGTTAAAATGCGTGACAATTTGCTTCAGTACAGAATCATTTCCCAACAGCGGAGCACCTTCAGACAAAAGGTTCTTAACATTTTCATGATATTCTGCAACTTAATTTTTTAACCTTAAGAAATCAATTCAATTTATTTAAGCAAGAGTTTTTGAGTGCTTGTTATAGACAAGGCATTGTGTGGGGCTTTACAGGAAAAATGTAGACGTATACAATCCAGTACTAGTACTCCATAGGAGTTCCCTTTTAAGATAATTTTATGGGTTACTTACGACATCAGCTACCAGGTTTTAAAAATGAAAGTGGGCATATATATTACTCATATATTGTTCTGTGAATGTTTACCATGGCCAAGGTATTAGCCTCCACAAATAAGTATACACTTCTCCAAGATAGGGTCTTTAATTAAATGTTTTGTATTTTCAAAGTGCTCACTGGATACCCGGATAAATATTTGTTGAATTACTAAACTATACTAAGAAACCAGTACTAAGTGTTTAATCCATTGTCAAACTATTAATAGTTGCAAAGTTGCAACTCAAAAAAAAAATAAGAAAATGGTGGAAAACAAAATACTTTCTCATCTCCTAAAAAACTATTTCTTCTTTACATTTTATTTATTTCTTCTTTACATTTTATCTTTACATTTTAACAATGAACAATACTGTCTTTTTCAACAATTACTTCTTTCAGGAGTCTTACTAAATATGCCCTGCTACCTTTCCCTGGTTAGAATCTCAGGTTATTCAGAAACAAACAGCAAATGAGTCTCATGTATTATTTGAGATCCCAGGAAAGAAAGATTAGCAAAAGGCATCCAAACGTCAGGTGGTTAGTTTGAATTCATGCATGTTTTCACACAGTCAGGAAGAAAAGGTGGTTAAGTACATGGTGCCGCCCTTGAGAACGGGAGAGAAAAAGCAGATCCAGTTTAGTGTGCAGACAGAATAGAGGCAGGAAGCTGGAGGGCCTCTGCTGGCTTGGGGAAGTGCACACCAGATCTTACTTGGGTCAGAAGATTGTCCAGTTCCTCCGTCTGGTTGGTCCCATACAAGCTGACCCCACCTATCACGGAAATGGGGCGCCTTCTCCGGGCTCCTTTGGGGCAGCCCACTGGAGCATTCTGGTCTTCAGGGCTGGCAGAAGTCATGCTTGCCTGGGGGTCCTCGTCCACACGGTCTTCCTTCTGGGGGTCTGCAGCAACCGAGTCTTCAGGAATAGACAAACTGCGGCTGGCCAGCTGGCCGTAGTCAGAGAATGGCCGAGGCCTTGGCCGTCTCCCAGAGCCCCATCTCCTCTTGGGGGTTCTCTGTGCCTCTGTCCTTTCCTCATCCTGTGATGAGCTTCGCCTCCAGGGGCCATCAGGGACGACCTTTCAAATGCGAACAGGTCAGGTGAGCTCAATATCCAGGAAGGTATTAAAGAAAGAACAAGCCATACATTCCCTCTCACCACCACAGCCGTGCCTCGGGTTTTCTTGATTTACTTGTTTATTAAAACAGTTATTTGTGTACTAGAACATGAAGACACAACCAAACCTTAATCAAAATAACCAAATCTATTCTTATAGGCTGATTCAATAGGCTGATTCTAGGCTGATATTTCAATAACCATAATTGAAATAGTGGTTTGGTGACCAATGATGAGCTATGATAAAAGGCATTAAGAAAATCAGCACTGGCCGGATGCGGTGGCTCATGCCTGTAATCCTAGCACTCTGGGAGGCCGAGGCAGGCAGATCACTTGAGGTCAGGAGTTCAAGACCAGCCTGGGCAACATGCAGAAACCCCATCTCTACCAAAAATATAAAAATTAGCGGGGCGCGGTGGCGCGTGTCTGTAGTCCCACCTACTTGGGAGGCTGAGACAGGAGAATTGCTTGATCCTGGGAGGCAAAAGTTGCAGTTGCACCACCACACTCCAGCCTGGGTGAAAGAGCACGGCTCTTTCTCAAAAAAAAAAAAAAGAAAATCAGCACCATCGTGAATTAGTAAAATGAACTTTATAACTATCATAGGTGTCCCCCAAAGACCTGCCAGGAGAAGAAATGAATGGGTAATGCCATCCACTGCTGTTCTACCCACTTCTTTCAATAACGTGCACTACTTAAAAATAGAAGGTGCTTTAAGAGGACTAAGTCCAGGGCTGTCAGGACCCAACACTCGAGCAGCCTCTGGCTCCCACCAACAGCCTCCAGGCAGCAGTCTGATGGGGCGAGCACTGAACGAGGATTCAAAGAACTAGACTAGGCTACTCACTAGTGGTGTGAGCTGGGACAAGTCACAACTGACCTTTCTGGATCTCAGATTTTGGACTGGACAATCCCACAGCTCAAGAGTCTATGATCCTAAATGAGGCATCACCTTCTAATTTTTTCAGATAATTTTTCAGAGGCAACACAATGTACCAGAAAAGCACATGATGCTGGGAATCGAGCAGACATGTTCAGTCACTGTGTCTGGCCCAAGACCTAGTGCAATCTCAGGCAAGTCACCTAACTTCTGTGATCTGGCTCTGCAGCCATTCCCTGGGAAACAGCAGGTCCTTAGAAGGATGAGACGCAACAATGGTGAGACAGCTCTTATGGCAGGAGTTCTTTGCTGCTCTGAAAAAGCTGGGCCATGGAGTAACCATTCCCAGGGATCAGGCCTGATGAGAGAGCAGTTGTCTGAGCAGACCCCTCAAAGCCTGGCCAGAGAGGAGGGCTGCGTCAGAGACCTGCAGGAGTGGAGGCCTGTAAGCCCTGCCTGCATGCCCTCCGTCTTCCACCCCTGAACCTTACCTACAGATATAAACAAAAAGGGCTGTCAGTCAGGCCATGGGCCCAGGGAGGACAACCAGAACCACCAGAGAAGGCAGACTATGACTGCAGGAGTCCCTGGGAGCTCACAGAGCTTGTGCCGCAGCCCACCGGCTCCCTCCTTGAGAAACCAAAATGGTGGCTGGTAGAGGCAAAGGAGGCACACCTCCAGCCAGTGACAAGAGACCCCGGGCCCCAGGCTCGCCATTTCCAGCCTGAGGGTCTGAATGCTCACTGAGGCCACGTGCCATGAAGAAGTGGATGCAGAGCCCGGGCGGGTGGCTCACGTCCGTAATCCCAGCACTTTGGGAGGCCAAGATGGGCAGATCACTTGAGATCAGGAGTTTGAGACCAGCTGGCCAACATGGTGAAACCCTGTCTCTACTAAAATACAAAAAAATTAGCCAGGTGTGGTGACAGGTGCCTGTAATCCCAGCTACTTGGGGGGCTGAGGCGGCAGGAGAGTCACTTGAACACGGGAGGTGGAAGTTGCAGTGGGCTGAAATTGCACCACTGCACTCCAGCCCGGGTGACAGAAGGAGACTCTGTCTCAAAAAAAAAAAAAAAAAAAGTGAATGTGGAGCAAAGAGCACAGTGTGGGGTTTATAGATACTTTACTCCAACCACTCATTTTTCAAATCAGGAAAACTGGGACCTAAAGAAGTGACGTGACTTGCCCAGGGCCACACAGTTAATCAGTGGCAACAAAGACACAAAACAATGGGCTTCGTGAGTTCTTTTCCAAAAGTTTTCCTGCAATGCCACGTCACCTCTGCTCAAAAGACAATCCCGTGCAGGTTCCAGCAACTTCCCCTTTGCTGCTGTCCACAGATCCCTCCTGCTGGGCTGCCACCTTTAATTCTCTCTCCACTGACGGCACCCAGAATAGCATACAAATGATTTTGAGCTGAAGGCTTTAGAGAGTGACCTCTGTTATCTGCCTAAAAGCAGAGCCTCTCAAAAGAACTGAACTGTCACAAATCCCCTCCTGGGAGTTGCCTGCTACCAGGGTAAAGAGGGGAATCCACACCCAAACAGACACTGTCACAAAACTCACGTATTTTCCTGAAAGCCTATTTATCTTTCCTAAAAGTCACTTGTTTTCCCTTAAGTTCTCTTCTCCCGGCCTAGTAAGATGCCACATACTGCTTAAATTCTAACCACCTCCTTGAGTCACTTTTTTTTTTTGAGATGGAGTCGTACTCTGTCACCAGGCTGGAGTGCAGTGGTGTGATCTCGGCTCACCGCAACCTCCACCTCCCAGGTTCAAGTGATTATCCTGTCTCAGCCTCTTGAGTAGCTGGGATTACAGGCACCTACCACCACGCCCAGCTAATTTAGATATACATTTTTTAGCAGAGACACGGTTTCACCATGTTGGCCAGAATGGTCTCGAACTCCTGACCTCATGATCCACCCACTGCAGCTTCCCAAAGTGCTGGGATTACAGGCGTGAGCCACCACACCCGGCCTGAGTCACATTTTTCTATGAACTCTGTCTCTCACACACAGAGACACGCACAAACGCAGGCATGTGAATAAACATGTCTTTTCTTTTGCTAATCTGTCTTCTGTCAATTTAATTCACAGGCCTTAAAATTCACAGGACTTAAGAACAGAGTCAAAGAGTGTAGAGGAAACGTTTTTTTCCTCCCCAACACCACTACAGGAAAATATGAGAGAAATCATGAAAAGGTTAATATTATTTTCTCTATTACACATGAAAAACAAAGATAGTTTAAATTACCGAATCAAATGGCACAGACAACTTAAGTACATAGTGAGAATAAACCCAATTACATTATTGCCCTGTAATAAAAAGGTTCAGGAACAACACGCTAGAAAAACAGAAGTACAAGAAGACCACAGGCAGGGAACTGTCCACCTGCTCACAAATGGACGTGCAGCCCTTTGTTCTGTTCTATTTTTAGTTAGTTTTTTGGGGTCTGGTTTGTTTTGGTTTTACACTTACGTGACACGCACCCTGCCTTTTCTCAGTAATGCCAAAAGTAAGGAACTACTCCAGGCAGTGACAGATGCTGGGTACAGGCAGGTGAGCTCCAAGCAGGTCAGTAGACAGCAGCGGGCAGGACTCGGGATCATTCTTTTAATACATCATGCCTCAGAGTCAGCACAGTAGAGCACACAAAACCAACTGTTGGCCGGAGCACAGTGGTTCACACCGCTAATCCCAGCACTTTGGGAGGCTCAGGCAGGAGGATTGCTTGAGCCCAGGAATTCAAGACCAGCGTGGGCAACACAGTGAAACTTCATCTAAAAATAAATAAATAATAGCAGGGCACGGTTTTATGTGCCTGTCGTCCCAGCTACTTGGGAGGCCGAGGCAGGAGGATTGCTTGAGCCTAGGAGGTGGAGGCTGCAGTGAGCCATGATTGCACTACTGCAATCCAGCCTGGGCAACAAAGCAAGACCTGTTGTCTAAAAAAAAAAAAAAAAAAAAAAAAGAAACAACTGTAATTCTACGTTCAGTATTTATACAGTTCCAATGAAGATATAAAAGGAGAAAACATTCCCTCTAAAAGGTACCACATATTCTAAAAATAGCAAAACTTAGTTACAGTATAATATACAAAATTGAAATGTCCATTTTACTCCCAGCAAAAGTACAAAGAGAAGGATAGAGGAAAACTCTCAGATTTAAGCTCACATTCAAACATTGATTATTCGCCAAAAGACGGTTAAATTCCTTATGAAACAAATTTGAACTTTGATGGATATTCTAAAATGGAATCTTTTTTTTTTTTTAAGCAAAGTTTATGTACTTCTGAAATACCACCCAGGTTCATTCCAGGGAATGTAGTTTGGTTGCGATTCTACTTGGAACTGTAGACACACATGTCCCATCAAACAACCTTCTCAAACAAGTGAGAGCCTAACTCAGACTCCGGCGTGGGCTGCCGGGGCCCACGGATGCACCAAAGAAACATGCAGCTGGGCATAGCCATGTCCTCTAAAGAGTCTTTCTTGACTTTAAAACACCATCATAGAGACCTGCCCTCTCCCACGGCCATGCCAGAGCTCTGCCCTAGTCCAAACAATCCAGCCAGAGCTCTATCAGCTCCAAAATGGGCAATTCAGACCCAAGTCATAAACCTCTGTAAACAGACTTTTCAGTGGAATTGCTGCCCTTTTAACTCTTGCTTCTCTGCATATATTTTATTTTATTTATTTATTTTGCGACAGTCTCACTCTGTTGCCCAGGCAGTGGTACAATCACAGCTCACTGCAGCCTCCACCTCCTGGGCTCAGGTGATCCTCCCGTGTCAGCTTCCCAGGAAGCTGGGACTACAGGTGCATACCACCACACCAGCTAATTTATTTATTTTTTGTACAGCCAGGGATTCACCACATTGCCCAGGCTGGTCTCAAACTCCTGGGCTCAAGCAATTCACCTGCCTTGGCTGAGATTACAAAGGGCTCAGATTACAGGTGTGAACCACAGTGCCTGGCCACTCCGCATACATTTTAAAGTGCTTTGCTTAGTATTAAATGTTTTCTTCCTATAAGATTTCATATTTTACTCTGCAAAAGTAAAAAGCCAATATAGGCTATGTTACCTCCAGTGAGACATTTTAAAATGTTTTCTGAAACCACAGTGAAAGCAAACTATTAACCAGAGGAAAAATGAAAGATTCAGACAAAATAACTTGATTTCTCTTATATCCATTCAGAGGCCTAACCTAAAGGAAGTATAGTCAAATAGCAAGTGTCCCAGTACCTGTGAGATTTTATTTAGAGATTAGATCTTTGCAGATATAATAAAGTTAAAATGAGGTCAACCTGGGTTAGGTGGGCCGTAATCCAGTGGCTGGTGTCCTTATGATGCAGAGGGAAATTTGGACACAGACAAACACGAAAGGGAGGAAGTCATGGGAGGACAGAGGCAGAGACTGGAGTGATGCATCCACAGGCCAAGGGCACCAAGGAAGGCCAGTTGCCACTGCAAGCTGGAAGAGGCTAAGAAGCCCCCTTCGCACCTTGGAGTGATTGTGGACTTGGCAACACTTTGATCTCAAACTTCTGGCCTCCAGAATGGTGAGAGAACAGATGTCCACTGTTTTAAGCCACCTAGTTTGTGGTGATTTGTTACAGCAACCCTGGGAAACTCATACAGCAAGGTAATTCAGAAGAAAATTAAAGCATAGGGACTCTGGGCATACCAAAAGTTTTTTGAAGATGTATATAAATACAATAAGCTAACCCCCCAGTTTTCTCCTAGGGTACCAACATCCTGGCTACCAAAAGAATTCACATACAGGGGTCAAGGTGAGAAGGAATACACCTTGGCAGTTGATGCCACAGAGGACTGCAATGAAAACTGCAATTTTTGAATGCCTACGAGGTGCCAGACCTATGCCAGGCACATTTTACCTTGCTTAATCTTCACAGCCACCCTGTGAGACAGGTACTCTTCACAGAATTTTACTGATTAAGACACCAGGGCTAAAATAAATGAAATGATTTGCTCACGTTAATAGAGCCAGAAAAGGGAAGGGCCTATTTCACAACCCAGTCTGTCTGGCTTCAAAACCTCTGCCTCTCCTCTGGAAAGCCTGCATACTTAGCATGTACTTTTACAGAAGGAAAACAGAACTTTGCAGATGTTCCTTCCCTTAGATGTAGAACTGCTGGAGGGAGGGGACAGGGAATGACAGTTATCAGAGGCTCTGGTAACCTGTGCCCTGGGCAATCTGGTAAAACCTACAGACCCCAGAATCATATGTTCACATGCATAAAAGAAAATGAGAGAGGACTGTAAAGTAAGATGATTTAAAAGAGCCGTAACGTAGTAACATATGTCACATATCAATTAAGAGGATGAGTGTGAGGTATTGATTCTGAAGTATGGATGAGTGACGTGAATATATTTCAAGACATCAGAAAAACCCATTGTATAATGTGAAAAAGGTCTGTAATCAGACAATATCACAAATATCTAAAACTCCCGGGTTAGATAACAACACTTAACAGTATCCTAGGGTATCAGTCTTGTGCTTCAATTCTTAAAAAATGAAATTTTAGGCCTTACAACTTAAGAAGTCAAAAAAGTAGCATCTCACTATCCCAGAACTATATCTCATTACCCAATGTCCCTTAAATGAAAATTAATGTGTCATAACCAAAAATACCCTGCATAGGCCTGTTTTTATGTGTTACAACTATCTGTCCTAGGATTTTAAGTGGGTGAGGGGAACGCATAGGATCCCAGATGAATGACCATATTTTGAGGAGTTGAAAGCAGGAACAAGGAAATATTTACATATGCAGAAAGAGATAAGTTTGAGCCTTAATGACATTTTTTCTTGTGGGAGGGGGTGGTATTTTTAACGCCAAAGGAATAACATGTTACATTCACTTACAAATCTTAGATTTTCAAATTGCTTTCCCATCTAACTATAATTATATTTTCAAAGAAGCAAAGAAGACGTAATTACCCCCATTTTACGATGAGAAGACAATGGATTTACTGAAAGATAAGAGCAAGCGAGATAGTTAAGACACTTTAATTTCATCTTTGGAAGGCCAGCACTAGACATGACCCCTCCATTTATAGCAGTAGGTAAGAAAGATGCAAAATGGCTTTATAGGTTATAGCAAAAACCCTTGGCAGCAATTGATACTGCTCCCCAAAAAGCCTCCATGAGCTTATCACACACGCAGTCTGCACTGCTGGCTTCTGCTCTATGTATTTCTCTGGGCTATTTCTCCATTCATCCATGTGTGTGTAGACATAGTCATGCGCATGCATCCGGCTTGGACTCTTCTGTGTTGGTTCCTCCCACAGCCCTCACCTTCACCTCTCTCCAATGTTCTCTTCCTCTCTCTCTCCTTGCCTAGGCCCTCTTCCCCTAACTGGCCGTCTATGGAACCAAGTGTCGATTTTGTTTCATGGAGTAAATTCATATTTGGTTTCTTATCCTTAATTTTTACAACAATTAGGTGGAATAATCTTTCTTTTCTTTTTTCATTTTTTTTTTTGAGACAGTCTCACTCTGTCATTCAGATTGAAGTAAGTAGCGCGATCTGTGCTCACTGCAGCCTTGAACTCCCAGGCTCAAGTGACCCTCCCACCTTGGCTTCCTGAGTAGCTGAGACTACAGGCATGCACCATCAGGTCCAGCTAATTTTTAAATTTTCTGTAGAGATAGGGGTCTCACTATGTTGCTCAGGCTAGTCTCAAACTCCTGGGCTCAGGCAGTCCTCCCGCCTCGGCCTCTCAAAGTGCTGGGATTACAGGAGTGAGCTGCCATGCCTGGCCTGGTGGAATAATCTTTCTGTCTAAAGCTGCCTTTTGCTTTCATAGCCCTCAATGGGGTGTGTGTGTTGCAAGGGAGGTGAATTATCCCGGCACGCGGGGAGGTGCCCCATAAACGGGGCCAACCACCAGGTGGGCTTCCTGGTCCTCCACTCCCTGGCTCTTTCCACCTGTCCAGGCATCACTCCGTGCATCACTTAGGCAAGCTGAGGAACAACCACTGTGAGGGGAGGGGCTCCTATAAAAGCCCGTTACCCATGCAAAGTGGAGGACAGGAGGGATGGCCTCTGACCCAGTTCAAAACTAAGTAAATGGCAAAACACTCTGCGTTTCGCTGAGTAATGCCGTCTCACAAATGCGCCTGTTCAAGATGGCTCTGCTGCACCCCTCACAGTTTCTGCTACTTTAGGGACCATCTTGGGAAGGGGCAGACAGGGTCATTAAGTTGTCCCTTCTTTTCTCAGGCCTGGCTCTTAGGACAGGGCCTGGGCCAGAAACAGACCAGGCACAATACTGGAAGTAGAAACATCATTTACTGGGTTACTCTTTCTATGGCTTGTAGGTAAAAATAAATAATAACTCTGGGCTACACTCTTACAAATGTGCTGCATTTTTTACTAGGATCTTAGGTTTTAACCTGTAAGAATCTTCAGTGGTTGGTGGAATTCTGACAGCAAATGAAGCACAAGTGACTAAGCTAACCTTTTCTAATTACTACGGAATGGGGTGACATGCATGTCAGTAATCGTGACATCATTTTTAAAGAGTCTCCAAAAAACAAAAAAAGAAGCAACTATCATAACCCAGAAAACTGTGGCCTTGTCCCTTGGATTCAGGAAGCAGTTTGGTCATTTGTTAAACATTTTAAAACAATGAATGTTTATCTCCCTTGAAGTAGGAGAGGAGCATGGTGGTGATATTAGATACAATTGTCCTTGAATGTGTTACGTGGATGATAAAAGATGCGAAAAACACAGCTGGTGACCCTATGGCCTTGTATGTAACCTGTTTTATAGACTGATATGGTAGTTCATTTAAAAATGCAAATATACTGAAGTTCATGGAGAACACTTACTTTAATACTATTAGCCCAGTTCCATGAGCATAAAAACACTAGTACTTCAGAAAAATGTAATCACTAGTGAAGTCTTAGAATACAAGATGGAGAAATCAGTGTAGCTGAGCTCTTCTTCAGTTTAAAAAAAGGAATGAACTCCGCATGACGGTGACAAACTCCATCCCAGCCCGTGACCATGTCCTGTGCCCCTCACCTCACCTGCCTCCCTCACATCATAGACACGTGTCACCACCGTGACCCCAAAACCAACACTCCCAGGCTAATAGGTTTTTCCCCCTTAGCCTTCATGATAATTGTTCAAGGGGGTTCCGTTTTCTAGGCTCAAGAAAAACATCCAGACCATCCTGCCATCTCAAAATCAATAGTAACACGACACTGAGATTGACATCCAGGTAGAGAAAACAAAATTGGTAGGTTGTAATTTTTTTTTTTTTTAAAGACAGGTTCTCACTCTGTCATCAGGCTGCAGTGCAGTGGTGCAATCACGGCTCATTGCAGCCTCAACCTTCAGGGTTCAAGTGATCCTTCTGCTTGGCTAATTTTTGTATTTTTAGCAGGGACAGGGTTTTGCCATGTTGGCCAGGCTGGTCTTGAGCTCCTGAGCTCAAGGGATCCACCTGCTTCAGACTCCCAAAATGCTGAGATTACAGGCGTGAGCCACCACACCCGGTCGTAGGTTGCAATTTTATGCCTGGACTAATTAAGAGTAAAGAGACAGTTTAAAGTCATCATATTATGAAATAAATGCACATAATGACCACATCTTAAAACATGTTTCATCTCTGAAACACATGCTAAAGAATATAGAGGTCTACTTTCAAACTTATTATTTTCAATGAGTGAAAAAACATGATTTTATAAAAATGAACTTACTTTCCTCTTTGGAAATTAAACTTATTGATTGAGGAGAACTTAATATTTCAAAAGTGATAACCATATTTTAGCTCTGAATATGTTAGCAACCTGCTTTCTCTATTTTTTTTTTTTTTTTTTTTTTTTTTAGATATGGTCTCTATCCGACACCCAGGCTGGAGTGCAGTGACGAAATCTCGGCTCACTGCAGCCTCCACCTCCTAGGCTCAGGTGATTCTCCTACCTCAGCCTCCCAAGTAGCTGGGACTAGAGGTGCACACCACCACGCCTGGCTAATTTGTCTAGTTTTAGCAGAGACAGAGTTTCGCCATGTTGCCCAAGCTGGTCTTAAACTCCTGGGTTCAAGGGATCCACCCGCCTCAGCATCCCAAAGTGTTAGGATTACAGGTGTGAGCCACCATACCCAGACTGTTGTTTATCTTTCTTTACATTTTCATACTCTCCTGTCCCTGGCCTCCATCCCACAATGTAAATAAACTTACTTTCAACTTTTGAAATTAGTGATAGAGGACCACTAAGTATTTCAAAATCAGTGACCACGTTTCAGATAAGGAAGTCAGCCATCCCGTCCCTATTTCCTCCATCATCTCCTGAAATCCTACGCCATTCTACAAACAAAATAATTGCAATTTCCCTTCCCCCATGATCAACAATCCTATTCTGAAAGTGTTTTACTTAGTCTCAGATACATGAGGAACAAGGTAATGGGTCCTTGCCAACAATAAGCTTCTATACTTTTATTAATTACACATGATTGTATCACACCTGCTTTAAACTCCTAAAGGTCCAGGGCCTCCCTGAGCAGGTAAACATCCACCTCTGATGTGCTGTGCACCACAGACACTCGGGCCACATGGACTGCCCGCACAGGAGCCATCACAAAGGAAAGGCAAGATCGCAAGGAGCACCCGTAGTGCTTCTTTTTTATTTTCACTGAGGAATACAAGAATCTAATGTGTTCTGCTGCCAAATATTTCCAGTAGGTTTAACTCAAAACTTGGCAGTTAAAGAATTACAGATGAAAAATTTATATCACAAAGAGTAAAAGTACAAAGCCAAATGTACAAGGTATTCTCACTGTGAGTAAACGTGAAAAACATATACATTAAGGAGTGAGGCTGTAATCCTTTGCCTGGTCACAAACTGTATGCAAGACTTCAGCCGCCTGTCCCCTACCTGTGGCACTGACCTACTAAACATGGCACCGCTCTGGCCCTGGAGTCACCCTGGAGTCCAAGGTGGCTTTCTTTCCTGTGTCACCCAGTGAATTCCCAAAACAAATGGCCAGAAAAGGGACTGAAGCACCTTAGCAGAACTAGCCCATCCCAACCAGCCAAAACATTCCCACCTAAAACATCAAGGAGAGGCCGGGGGCAGTGGCTCACGCCTGTAATCCCAGCACTCTGGGAGGCCGAGATGGGTGAATCACTTGAGGTCAGGAGTTTGAGACCAGCCTGGCCAACATGGCAAAACCCTGTCCCTACTAAAAATATAAAAATTAGCCGGGCATGGTGGTGCACACTTGTAATCCCAGCTGCTTGAGAGGCTGAGGCACAAGAATCGCTTGAACCCGGGAGGCGAAGACTGCAGTGAGCCGAGATTATGCCACTGCACTCCAGTCTGGGAGACAGAGCAAGAGTCTGGGAGATAGAGCAAGAGTCTGTCTCAAAAAAAAAAAAAAAAAAAAAAGTCAAGAAGAACTGGTTTGGGCTGGAAAGTGGAATGCAAATTTATCAACCATGATACCAGCATTTGAAACATGCCCTTAACCTACAGCACATCACTTAATTTTGTGTGTGTGGTAAAATATATATATTTATATATATATATTATACATGTTTATATATTGCATATTTAAACATGTATGTTTATATATTGCATATTTAAACATGTATGTTTATATATTGCATATTTAAACATGTATGTTTATATATTATAAATGATATATATTATATAATATATGTGATATATTTTATATATACATATATAATGTCTACTACTTTGACTACTTTTTAAAATTTATAAGATGGGGTCTGGTTATGTTGCCCAGGCTGGTCTCAGACTCTTGGCCTCAAGTGATCTTCCCATCTTGGCTTCCTGAGTAGCTTGAGATTACAGGTATGTGCCACTGCACCCACCTCCATTTTAATTATTTTTAGGTGTATGAGTCAGTGGGATTAAGTACATTCACACTGTTATGTAATTATCACCACCATCCATCTTCAGAACTTTTTCATCTCTCCCAAATGTATCTCTGAACCCATTAAATACTCTCTTCCCCCACAGCCCCTGGCAATGACTACTCTACTTTCTGTCTCTATGAATTTGACTACTCTACGGATCTCATGTGAGTGGAATCATACAGTATTTATTCTTTTGTAACTGGCTGATTTCACTTAGCACAATGTCCTCAAGGTTCAGCCATGCTGCAGCATGTTTTTTTTGTTTTGTTTTGTTTTAAGATGGAATCTGACTCTGCCGCCAGCATTGGAGTGCAGTGGTGCAATCTCGGCTCACTGCAACCTCCACCCCCTGGGTTCAAGAGATTCTCCTGCCTCAGCCTCCACCTCCTGAGTAGCTGGGACTACAGGCACCCACCATTATGCCCAACTAATTTTTTGTATTTTTAGTAGAGATGGGGTTTCACCATGTTGGCCAGGCTGGTCTCGAACTCCTGACCTCATGATTCACCCACCTCGGCCTCAGAAAGTGCTGGGATTACAGACGTGAGCCCTGCGCCCAGCCTGCAGCATGTTTGTTAAGGCATAAATAATATTCCGCAGTATATGTACACACTATACTTTTTATCCATTTGTCCATCAACAGACACTTGGGTTGTTTCCTTCTTTTGCCTCTTATGAATAGTGCTGCTATGAACATGGGTGTCTAAATACCTGTTTGAGTCCTGTTTTCAATTCTTTTGGACATATACCCAGAAACGGAATTGCTGGATCATACAGTAATTCTATGTTTAACTTTGGAGGAATCAGCACACTGTTTTTCACAGCAGCCGTACCATCATTTTATTTTCCCACCAGCAATGCACAAGGGTTCCAATGTCTCCCTATCTTTGTGAACACTTGTTATTTTTTTTATAGTAGCCATTCTAATGGGTGTGAAGTAGTATCTCACCATGGTTTTAATTTGCATTTCCCTAATGATTAGTGACACTGAAGATGTTTTCATATACTTTATCATTTGCATATCTTTTTTTTTTTTTTTTTTTGAGATGGAGTCTCCCTCTGTCACCCAGGCTGGAGTGCAGTGGCGCAATATTGGCTCACTGCAACCTCCGCCGCCTGGGTTCAAGTGATTCTCCTGCCTCAGCCTCCCCGAGTAGCTGGGACTACAGGTGCGTGCCACCACGCCCAGCTAATTTTTTTTTATATTTTTAGTAGAGACAAGGTTTCACCATGTTGTCCAGGCTGGTCTCAAACTCTTGACCTCAGGTGATCCACCCGCTCACCTGCATATCTTCTTTAGAGAAATGTCTATTCAAGTCCTCTGCCCATTTTTTAAATGGGGCTGTGTTTTTTGTTGTTGTTGAAGATATCATTTATGTCATTTAATTTAAAAACTCTCTGAAGTAGATGCATTTAATTCTACTTTACAGATAAGAAAGATTAAGTGATTCCTCAAGAGATGAGGAGGCTAATAAATGGTGAGCATGTCTGCAAGCCACATCCCAAAGCAGATGCTGATTCTAGGCCTCCTTCCCCATTTGGAAACCCAGCTGCAGGCCCGACCCCACCCCTCACTACTTATGTGACAGTCCTTGAACTTTTCCAAGCCTCAGTTTACTCATCTGTTAAAGCAAATACAAAAATCACCTATGTCACAAGTGGCTGTGAAAACTGAATGCAACAGTGTTGCATGATGGAACTTCATCCACTGAAAAGGCATATCAATTTGAGCTGTTATTATTTATATTCTTATTTTCAAGAAACAGTTACTTTTTTAAAATCCCAAATGAGTTGGTAAAAATTCTAGTTCTCAGTAGTGGATGGAGCAATTGCTAGACTTACACTGCTCAACATATTTTAGACCAAATTCTTTATTTTATTTAAGACAGGGTTTCACTCTGTCAGCCAGGCTGAAGTGAAGTGGTGCAATCATAACTCACTGTGGCCTCGATCTCCTAGGCTCCAGCAATCCTCCCACCTTGGCTTCCTAAGTAGCTGGGGCCACAGGCTTGCACCACCACACCTGGCTTTTTATTTTTTTTTAAGAGACAAGGTCTCACTATGCTGTCCAGGCTGGTCTCGAGCTCCTGAGCTCAAGTGGTCCTCCAGCCTTGACCTCCCAAAGTGCTGGGATTATAGGCATGAGCCACCACGTCAGCCAGACCAATTCTTTATCACACCATTTCTTGCTTGAAAAGTTTTTACAAGCAATCTTTCTCTCTTTCCGGCATGCCTCCCTGGCTTCAATCACTCTATTCTGGAGAAGTACAGGACACTTTATACCTAGAGGAGCCTCAGCCTGGACAGCGAATCTCAAAGTTTGCATTGACAAAAGTCATTTTCCCGAGTTGATTGCTGATAGTCCAAATTTCTGGGTCTAAACCTCAGGGACTCTAATTCAGTAGCTTTGGGTGAGGTTCAGGAATCTGTAGCTTTGGTTTGTAACTCAGGGCGAGGTCTTTGCTCCGGCTATAACTTAGAAGTACATAATTTGCAAAGTTTAACTGGTCTGTACTGAAATGTTTGACCAAAGGAAATAATTTCAATCATAACAATGATTTCTGTTATAAAAGCTACTATTAACCCGATTTACCATGTTCCAAGGCACTGTGGTAAGTACCATACATGCATTATTTCATTTAATTCAGGCAGTACTATAATCCCAATTTTTTAAGAAGTTGAGGCTTAAGTAGGTCAAGTGTCTTTCTTAAGAACATACTGCTAGTTAGCAATAAAACTAGGACAGAACTCAGCAGAACAAGGCCCAACTACCTTACACCATCCAGCTTCCTGACCACTCAAATTGGGAATGGCTGGCTGGCAGCCATATGGATCCTGGTATCCTAGAAAGTTACTAGATCAGTGCAGGGCAGCAAGCAGCTGTGAGTGCTATATCCTCTCCAATCCACAGGGCCCCTCTCTCTATTCCTGCACCAGTTGACTCCCTGAAGTCTGCCCCAGAGCACTGCAAGTGGTGGTTTTGTCCCCAGACTGTCAGAAGTAGAAGAAACAGGTAATGTTATTTATATAGTGACTTCTGGCAATGTGTACTCTGGCCCCCACCAACAAAACGTACGGCATTCCTTCTAATCATCACCATCATGGCAGACACAGCCAAATCAATCGGTGTCACCAAGCCGGGTTGAAAGCAATTCCACCCTGGGTGGCCTTTGATCTTAATTGTTATAGAGAAGTTCAAGAAGAGAAATATAGAAGAGGAGAAAAACGTATACTGAAATCAGTTTCTTAGTCATCAAGCTAAAATTCCCCCTCTGAAGAATATGGAAGTGTACCTTTCTGTATTTAGTACTTCACTAAGGTCTAATTATGCCCTCCTATCCACAAATTAAAATGAGGTGCTAATTAAGATAAAATAAGAAAACACTGAAGAATATATTATGATATTGCTTCCTATCATTTCTTAAACTTCAGGAAGCTTAACATGCATAGCATTAATAAGATGCAGTACATCATGACAAGTTGATTACAAATGGTTACTGTGGTAATTTCTATAAGAGTTGGCATTTAGTCTCTTGTGCAGGTATAGGGGTATGATTCCATCTACCTCCCCCCTTATTTTTAATGAGAAAATCCTATTTAATGGTATCTCACTAGAGAAACTATTCTAGAAATGAGCCACTGGAAAGTTCAAAACTACAGGTATACGATAATTTTATTTAGATTCTGCATTTGTAGAAATAATCTTATCAGTGTGTGTGTGTGTGTGTGTGTGTGTGTGTGTGTGTGTGTGTTTAAGTGTATAAAGTTCTGTAGCCTGTCAGCAGTGCTGGAGGAGACTCGGGATTCCGCAGCTTTGGCTTGCATCCCAGGGGGTCCTCACTCTGGCTAGAACTTCACAAGTACATAATTTGCCGGTTTAACTAGTCTGTACTGAAATGCCTGACTCAAATGTTGAGCACCCTTTCAGAAATACTTTGAAACTTTCCGTTGAAAAAGAATTAGGTAATAATGAGCATAAACCTTTTCAGAGCAAATGGAAACTTTTTTTTTTAAACTGACTTAGAAAATGATTCCATTGTTAAAGTAAAAAGCTACTTTCACATTTAGACTCATGATGTGAATTTCTATGATTTAGTATTTCTGGAATAGATCCTTTTTCACATTTTTCTCCAGCAAAAGGAAAAGAAACAAAAACAAGCTAAAAACATTCTAGGAGAAACTGAACATAAACTAGCACAAAGATGACTCATAGAAGGCACATTAATTCTCTTCAGATCACATTAAAAAGCCCTCTGTAAGAGAAGATATCTGTTGCATGTCTACCCCAAGCATACTATTTAGGAAATATCATAAAACACTAACTGTCATATCAGGGCAAATGTCCCTGCAACAACATGTTCAATTCATTAGAAAAACATTTTTTGAAAGCACACATAATATTATATTTAAAAATTATCTTTCTAACTCTAATTTTTGTGATTCAAATTCTGTAATGTTTTTGTCAGAAAAAAAATGAATGAGAACCCAGAGGAATATGGAAACTTACATTCTCTGCAGTACAAAAACCATAGGCGGCTGAATAAATGGAGGCTGGATAAACAGATGTTCATATATTAAAAAATGAACCTTCATATTACACACAAAAACAACTAAACATGGGGCATATACCTAAATGTAAGAGCTAAAATGATAAAACTTCCAGAAAATAACACAGAAGAAAATCTTTGTAATCTTAGAGTTCTCAGATCTACAGAAAACTACAAAAATTTGGTAACTGTATTTTCATCAAAACTAAGAATTTTGACTCTTTAAAAAATATTATAAAACTGGGCTGAGAGTGGTGGCTCATGCCTGTAATCTCAGCACTCCGGGAGGCCGAGGCAGGCAGACCACTTGAGCTCAGGAGCTCGAGACCAGCCTGGGGAGCATGGCAAAACCCCACCTCTACAAAAAATACAAAAAGTAACCAGGTGTGGTGCTGTGTGTCTGTAGTCCCAGCTACTGGGTGGGGGTGGTGCTGAGGCAGGAGGATTGCTTGACCTTGGGAGGTTGAGGCTGCAGTAAGCTGTGATTGCACCATTGTACTCCAGCCTGGGCAAGAGAGTGAGACCCTGTCTCAAAAAAGAAAAATATTAAAAAATTTAAAAGACAAGCCAGACTGTGAGAAAATATTTGTAATTCCTATTAATTTGATGTGTCAACTTGATTGGGTGAAAGAATCCCCAGAAGGCTGATAAAGCATTATTTCTGGGTGCGTTTGTGAGGGTGTTTCCAGAAAAGACTGGCATTGGAATCAGTAATCAGTAAAGTAAAGAAGACTTGCCCTCAAGGATGTGGGCAGGCATCTGCAATCCCTTGAGGTGTCAAATAGGACAAAAGTCCAGGATTCCCCTCCTCTCCTGGCAGACATCCACCTTCTCCTGCCCAGGAACACTGAAGCTCCTGGTTCTTGGGCCTTCGGACTCCATGACTTACACCAGCACTCCACCCCATCACCTTGTCCTCAGGCTTCCAGGCTCACGCTGAACTACACATCTGGCTTCCTGGTTCTCCAGGCTGCAGATGGCAGATCTTGGTACTTGGCCTTAATCACACCAGCCGATTTTCATATGTATCCTATTGGTTCTCGTCCTCTGGAGAACCCTGAATAATCATATTATCTGATAAAGGACAGGTGGCCAGGAAATATAAAGAAACCTTAACTGCTCAATAAAAGGATGACAAAGAATGCAATGAAATGATGAGCAAAAGATCTGAATCGGCACTTCACTAAATCAGATCACTTGAATGGCTAATAACCACATGAAACGACGTTCAACATCATTAGTCATTAGGGAAATACTAATTAAAGCCAAAATGAAATACCACTCTACACCCGCTGGAATAGCTAGAGTCCAGAATACTGACAATACCAAGTCCTGGCAAGGATGAGGAGAAATTGGAACCCTTATACAATGCTGGTGAGAATCTAAAATGGTACAGCCATTTTGGAAAGCAGCTTGGCAGCTCCTCGAATAATTAAACATAGAAATGTCACAAGACCTAGCAATTCCACCCCTAGGTATCCACCCAAGAGAAAGGAAGCATATTTCCACCCAAGGACTTGTATGTAAGTATTCATAGCAGCATTACTCATAATAGCAAAAAGGCAGAAACAACCCATCTCCATCAACAGATGAACAGATAACAAAGTGCGGTATAGATAGCCATGCACTGAAATATTACGCAGCCTTAACAAGGAAGGAAGCACTGATCATGCTCTATGGACAAACCTTGAAAACAAGGTTTTGCTCAGTGAAAGAAGCCAGTCACAAAAGACCACGTATTACAGGATTCCATTTCTATGAAATGTCCAGAAAAGTAAAATAATAGACACAAAAAATAGCTCTGAGGCTGGGGCTAGGAACAGAAAGTGACTGCAAATGGCGCGAGGCTTCTTTCTGGGGTGGTGAAAACGTGCTAAAATTAGTCTGTGGTGATGGCTGCAGAGCTCCATAAACATATAAAAATCACTGAATTGTTCGCTTAATAAAAGGTGTAGACACAAAGCCCATCAGCTGTGGCCTAGTCTTGGGTGGGAACAGGGATTGGTAAAAGGCGTGGGGAAGCCTTCTGGGGGGAGCCAAGTGTTCTTTAGCTGGACGGTGGTAGTGGCTGCACACACTACATTTCCCAAAAATCATCAAACTGCATACCTACAACCGGTGAGTTGATGTTATGCAAATTAGACCTCTCTACAGAGCTGGTCTGATCAACCCCAGCCACGGAATGTCCCTCTGAGTCCCTGCCCTGACAATGTCACTGACTTTCCACCACTTACAGAGTAAAGTCCAAATTCACAGCTGTAAGCGAGGCCCTTCCTAATGATGTCCAGACCTAACTGCTTAACCTGATCTCCCTCCTCTCCACCCAGCCACCCTGTACAGAAGTTCTGCAAGCCGTCTGCAGCTCCCTGAGCACAATAGATGCATCACTTTGCTAGAAACTTATATACAAAGCCCCATGTTAAGTCCACACATCACCTCAGCTAATCTGCACAACGATCCTATGTGGTCGGGACACTTATCACCCACAGTTTACAGGCAAGGAAAATGAGGTTTAGCAAAGGTCGAGAACTGGTAAGCAGCAGAGCTGAGCTCAGATGTGGGCATCTGCCTCCTGTTCTACACTCTTCCCGCCAGCCTGGAAGTCCAGTGCCCTTCTGCAACCGCCGCCCGGGGCACTAAAGACCCCACTCCACTGTCCCTCCCCAATTCTGCCACTTTCCAGCCAGAGTTCTTCATTCTGCCGCCTTTGGGGCTCCTGCGGCACTTACTGCATTCTCATGAGGAGCCCTTACCACTACATCATAATGACCTGCACACATTCCTCTCACCAGCTAGGCTCTGAACCCATGAGAGTACAGACAGCTTCTTTTTGTTTCAACCCCTTCTGTTCACATAGCAGGTGTTGAGTGGTGAGGTACATGACAATTCCTTATGCACTGTTTGACTTCTGCTTAATGATTCCATCTTAACTTGGATTATTCCTCTATATCAAACCAAATTACATTACTTCCTGTTCTCTCCAATCACAGAATATCTCTGCACACATGCCCAACCTACTCTACACCTCACTGAAATGCCCCTGTCCTCTCCATAACCATCTGTAGAAATCCTCCTTCTTCAAATCAGATTCAGTCACCCTTATGAAGCCTTCCTTGATTTGGTACATGGGTGAGAACTGCAAGTCCTCTGAAACCCATAGCATTTTGCTTTTACCACTTTTATGGAATTGAATCCATCAAGTTCTCCTATGTTTTAAGTGTATCTGGGCACAGGTACAACTTCATTGGCATCACCACATTCCCTATAGAGTCATACCTAACTGGTCTCTTGTATCTGACATGTGTTCAACAAATTTGGTTGGGGACATGGTTTCATGAAAATATAAATGTTGGATTATGCAGGAACTTAACTCTTATGCTTTTTTTTTAAGTAGCATGATGTCAAACTAACTGTTTGAAGAACTTCTCCATCCCCTGTAAGACTGTAACAGTGTTATATTGAAAAAGAGTTCTGGAAAGAACCGACCTTAACGTCCCTGTCTTAAAAAGCCATGTCAATCTAGGATGGAAAAATCATCTAAACAGTGATAACCACACAGTGGGCAGTCAGTGTCAAAGGGCGGGCTAAGTGTTTGACATCCATAATTTCACTGGCTCTTACCATCCCCAGGGGCAGATGAAGTTACTCCATATCCTACCCTTGAGAAGACCCACGGCAGGAGAAGTTCAACAGTTTGCCCCGGTTGCCAGGGATCTTTTAATAATAGAGCCAGGGTCCCAACTCAACTAGAAACATGTGCCAAGAGACTGCAGCTTACCATAGCTCCCTGGAGAGGGGTCCAATTGGTTGTCATCATTTAAGAGTTTTTTCCATGGCATATTTAGCACTACCTGAACCACTGACTCTGCTGCCTGAGTTTCCACTCACTAAAGAGGGGGTTTCTCCTTGTGAGCTGGTAGGAGAAGCAGCATGAATGCTCCAGACTCCTAGGCAACACCTCCATAAGGCAACAGACAGCACTGTCAACAAGTAAATGCAACCTGTAACTTAAAACAGGTCACAAGCTTAAGTACTTGTTCAACAAACCACTGCTCTTAAAGCTTACCACTAGGTGGCAGGAGCATGGCATGCTTTGTAAATTAAAGCGGCAGGACATTTTCCCAGCTCTTTTTCACAGCAATACACAATCTTGTTAGACTGCTTAAAATTTTTCAACGATTATTTTGTTATTTTTAGGACAGTATGATATAAATAAGTGATTCTAAATAAAAATTATTCTCCCTATTGAAAGTACATTATAATATTTATTTTAAATAACACCATAATATATGTTGATTACAACTTTTCATATTCAACAATAAGTTTAAATTTGCTTTAATCCTGTAAGTAGAACCTTACTGTTAATGAGCTGAATAAAAAAACTGTATATTGAAAAATAGTAAAGACTGAAATTTAATTTTGTAATGCTACAAAATAGACAAAAATTGCTTTTAACTCATGAAGGCTGGAATCCTTGCGTGTCACCCTTTTCCTGTTTGTTTCCCTTAGTTTGTATTTTGTTTCCCAAAGCCAAAATAAAAAAGGTTTCAGGTTCTACTTCACAAGCACTTCTCTACAAGTAACACCGAACATTCCCAGTGTATAAGATGCAATGTATAAGTTATGGGTAAAGCCATAACTATATTTTCTCTTTTTGACATATATGTTAAGAGTACAGGCTCGGCGCGGTGGCTCACGCCTGTAATCCCAGCACTTTGGGAAGCTGAGGCAGGCAGATCACGAGGTCAGGAGATCGACACCATCCTGGCTAACATGGTAAAACTCCGTCTCTACTAAAAAAATAGAAAACATGAGCCGGGCATGGTGGCAGGTGCCTGTAGTCCCAGCTACTCAGGAGGCTGAGGCAGGAGAATGGCGTGAACCCGGGAGGTGGAGCTTGCAGTGAGCCGAGATTACGCCACTGCACTCCAGCCTAGGCGACACAGTTAGACTCCGTCTCAAAAAAAAAAAAAAAAAAAAAAAGAGTACAAGAGGGGAGAAACCCTATTTTTACAAAAAATTAGCTGGGCATGCTGGCAGGTGCCTGTAATCCTAGCTAATCGGGAGGCTGAGGCGGAAGAATCGCTTGAACCCGGGAGATAGAGGTTGCAGTGAGCTGGGATGCACCATTGCACTCCAGCCTGGTGACAGAGTGAGTGAAATTCCATCTCAAGAAAACAAAAGTACAAGAGGAAGCCTGATGTGCTATATAAGAATTCTGAGGCCGGGCGTGGTGGCTCACACCTATAATCCTAGCACTTTGGAAGGCTGAGGTAGGCGAATCACTTGAGGCCAGGAGTTTGAGACCACCTGACCAACACGGCAAAACCCTGTCTCTACTAAAAATACAAAAATTAAGCTGGCATGTTAGTACACGCTTGTAATCTCAGCTACTTGGGAGGCTGAGACATGAGAACTGCTTAAACTTGTGAGGCAAAGGTTGCAGTGAGCCAAGATCGCACCACTGCATTCCAGCCTGGGTAACTGAATGAGACTGTCTCAATAAAAAAAAAAGAATTTTGAAGAAATGACTGCAACTGAAAAATGTGATGAATATCTGGAGGCAAATTCGTAGAATTATCAACATGTGCACGCACCTTTAATAAACTGAATTTCAATATAATTGTTGTTCTGCTTTCTATCTTTGGTGATCTTTTGTGGGTAGAAATTAAATTTGATATAACTAACAATAGCAAATATACATATAAAACCATAAAATGGTCAAAATCACCCTGGCAAATAACTACACACTAGTTCATATATATTCACTTAACAGGTTCTCAGGAATAAAATATTTCAATGATTTTTAAAAAAATAATTCTGTTAAGCAGAAAATAAAATCCAATCTTTAACATAAAAAAACCCTCCAGACATATACAAATCCTTTTTTAGGGAGGGGAGGTTACAAACTACGAGTGGCGCAGGTAGGGTGTTTAGTGGAAGGAATGTTACCCTTCATCCTTCATCTCACCCAGGAATTAGTGAAGTTTGGTCAGTTGTACAAACAGGAGCCAACAGAACTGGAACTCCTTCCTAAGTCTGGTAACTACTCCTGTGTCCTTACAACTGCTCCACAGGCTCAAATATGCAAATGAGCAGACGGTTCTCAATAGTCAAGACCTCTCAAACTGGTGAGCTCTCCACGGGAACCTCAGGTAACAGACAATATGCAGTCTCACTTCTCTGGCTGCCCAGGGGACCTTGAGACTAATCTCAATCTGAAAGTACTCTGCGATAGTCCTACTTTCTAGGTCTTTCTACAAAGGTTCTACTAACCAGGTCTGTCTGTACAGCAAAGGTCAAGATGGACAGTGCAGAGGCTGTCCTGGCTTCTGAGTCTGCAAACTTGCTGTGCAATCATTCATCTGTAGGTGCTAAGACAAAACTGAGGTCCTCCCCAGGGATGGGTGGGAAGGAGCATTTGCTAGGGGATTATTCTCTATGGCAAGCACCATCTATACCTGCAAATCAATCTAGAAATGTATGTGAAGAATAATCTGCAATATATACACATGAATGCATTTCCCCATCTTCCAGCTATGTAAGGTAATATTACTCAGTGTTTATAAAGTGAAAATTATAAAGATGTTTGATAGAATATGAAAAAAACTGCTGTTGTAACCTTGACAGCTATTAGCTTAGTCAATTAATGAGGTGCTTATGATCTACTCTAAAATAAGTACAATAACCCATCATAAAAATCTCTTTAAACAAGCATCATTCAAAGGCCGACAGGTACCAAACTGCATGTTCCTAATTCATTCCTAGGAAATTAAACAGACTTAGTGATGGTGGTGGGAGGTGGACAGGTACCTAGGTGGGAAGGGGCGGGTCCGCAGTGAAACCCCACCTTCAAGCCAGGGACAGCCTGAAGCCTCAGGGCACAGATGCCAATTTCGTGTGAAGTCAGCGACCTGGAGTGAGAACTTCCTTGATGCCTTTCAACCAATCAAATGGTGCTTTTTCCAGGCCTGCCCATGGACCAATCAGCATGCACTTCCTCCATTCTGAGCCTATAAAAACCCCCAGACTCCGCCACTCATTGGGACTACCTGCCTGCAGAGAGGAGCAACACATTCCAGGTCTCCTATGGGCTGAGAGTTGTTCAGTCACCCAATAAAGCTCTTCTCAGCCTTGCTCACCCTCCGTTTGTCCACGTAACTTCATTTTTCCTGGATGTGGAACCTGCCCAATGGTGGGAGCGAAAGGAGCTGTAACACTTTCCCGGATGGCTCGCCCAGCTGCAGGTGGGAGTTAAAGGGGCTGCAACAAATTCCTGGCCAGCTCACCGAGCTACAGACAGTGACATGCCCCTGGACTGCAGGCGTGAAGAGTGGCAACCCTTCTGGGGGCCCAAACCTTGGGATTCCCTCAACTAAAGTTGTAACACTATAACCCTCCCAATTTCCACCAGCACCAGGCAGCTGCAACATGCAACAGGAAGCAGTGGTGGGGCTAGACCAGCCCAAGAGCTGCATGCTGGAGTGGGGCAGTGGGACTGAAGGAGATATAACACAAATGGGGTGAAACATACTCCCAGAAACAAGCCCCCCTGCTTGCTGTAATGCAGGTGATGAGAAGAAGAGAGCTGTGGCCCTTCTGGGAGCCCAGATGAGAACCAGGCTGTGACAGGCCGTAACACCCTCTTTGGGGCTCTGTGATTCCTGGTATCTCTGAGCTTTCACTCGTCACCACGTTCCCCTCGTCCACACGCTGGTGCCTGCAGCGGAAGCCAGCTACAGTGCATCTGGTCCAGCCACAGCCTTGCATGGAGCCAGCACCTGTGCCGGCACCTGGAGCTGCCTGCCCTGCTGCAACAGCTGACATGCCTGGCTGTGTGCAGAGGCTGGACTCCATGCTCACTCACTCACACACCCCTCGCTGCTCCATTCCTGGTTTGCCCTTGGCAGGCATGGGATCTGGGCTGGCAGTGCAAGCCGAATGCAGCCTGCTGGGCAGAATGGGTGGAACGAGGCTAGTGGGCACGAGCAAAACTCAAGCAGAGGCACTGCCAGCCCACAGAGGTTTCCAGCTGGTCAAGTGACACCCACAGGTGCTGTGACATTAGGACAGGTAATAGTCTCTTAACAGAAAGAATTTCACTTATATGTACTTTGTGGGAAAGGTTACAGAAACAGCTTAAAATACAAAGAAGAAAGATATGAGTCAGAGCTGCATGGAGCAGAAGACAGTTTGTTTACAACTTATTTTTTTCCCCCAGAATCTAGTACCTGGTACATGTTCAATAAACATCTTTTGAATGAAAGGTGTGGCAAATGTCATCTCAATGAATCTCGTACATTGTCAATTTATTTCAAAGGAGATAGAGATTACTTCTGAACTTGGTAAACAGCAACTTGACAACTCCCATTCCCACTAATACTGTAAGGGCAACAAGGTCAGCAGAGGGCCACTGACCTTGACAGGTTAGGGACCAAGGGCAACACCTGTGCAAGCTCCCTTCCCGCAGGAGGGTCGCCCACATGAGGGACCTCGCCGCTGCCCTTACCTCCTCCTTCTCCTTTTCTTCTGGGCCGGCTGCCACACCAATGTTCACCAGAAGGTCCTTGCTGCCCTCATCACCATGTGTGGCTTCCAGGGGATCCTGCAAGGACACAGGCCCTGGCTCTCTCTGAGCAGGCTCTTCTGCCCTTCCTTCACTTTCCTCTGAATTCGCGGACAGGGCACTGTGATTGCTGTGACAGCTGGCACTTCCTGCCCCGGGGCTCTGGGGGCTCTGAGGGCTCTGGGGCTTGGGTGTGGTGGGCCTTAGAGGGGTGGGAGGCTGCTCAGGGTCAAATGTCAACTGGCTGCCAGCGTTTGGGTCACAGGAGTCTTTGCTCAACACATCCTGGACAATCGGGCTTGGCAAAGAGCTGCAAGTGCAGGAACTGTCGCTTTCCACCGCCCAGGAACTTTTGGTTTCAAGAGGAAATACGGCAGTGTCAGCGTCTAGGTGGGGCCCCTTAGAGGTGGCTGAGCCGAAACCGGGGGCCACGGTGCAGGTTGCAGTGGTCCCATGCATGACCGCCCCGCCCCGCCTGCTGTCCTGCTCAGTGCTCCTGGAGACGCGGCGGGAGTAGTCGTCATGCAGCCGGCTGTGTGCCTGAAGTCTCAGGCTGGCCTCTCCAGGGGATGGGGCCCCACTCCTAGGACTCTCCCTCCTCCAGGCAGCCTCAGTCACATTGCTCACAAGTTTGAAGACTCTGTCAAAGTCCTTGGCCCTTATCGGGCTCCTCCAGCGTTTGGTCCTTCCTGACCCAAGCTTTTGGGAGTCAGTGGAGGAACTGCTCAGGGTCCTCTGTGGTACCCGTGCGTCATGGGCCGTCCTGAGGTCTGCAAGATTGGAGGTGGACTTCCGCTTAAAGGAGCTCTTCTTCAGAAAGGCAAGATTGTCCGTGCTCTTGCTCCTCCTGTAGCCCATGCTGTTGTTTTCAGGGTCCCTCACGAGAATCTCACACACGGCGGGCACCTGGCCAGTGGCTATCGTGGGTGTCGCATGGTTCTGGGGCGCATCCAGCAGGCAGATGCGGCCCAGGCCGTAGGCTCTGCGGAGGCTGCGGGAGCGGTGTGTGCTCCGCTGGAAGGCATCGTCCGTGTCCTCGAGGTCGGAGCCATCCAATGTGCCCCACTCTGCTGGCCTGAGGGCACCACATGCTGGTCCCGGTGCTAAGGGGGAGCCCCTGCTTGCCTGGGCTCCTGGGACAGCGCCATTTGGGATGGACTTTCCCAGGCCATGCTCCGAAGCCTCTCCCTTTGAACAGGCATTTGACCCCTCTCGGCTCTGAATTCCTTTCAGGACTGAGGACTTCAGTTTCTTAAAGGATCCCATTTTCCGGAAGGAGGCGAGGGTGTTCCATGTGGAGGAGTTCCCCACCAGGACCATGGAGTGGGGCCGCTCGGGGTGGGCACCCGTCCTCTTCCGACTGGTGGAAAAGAGGCGCACAAGCTTGGCTGGGCTGAGTTTGGCTTCCTGGGTGTCCGTGTCGCCACCAGGGCTGCAGCCACAGACTCCATTTCCACACGCAAGGGAGGTCACCATCTTGGCGTCTTTCAGGTCCGAGCCTGCACAGGGGGCTGCGGGGCCTGGCCCGAGGCCGTTTGGGGCAGTGGTCATGTTCTCCAGGCAGGGTGCCCAGGGCCGCACGGCAGCCTGGGTCATGGCCACGGGCACTGCCGAGTCCGCAGACCGCAGCTCCAGGCCTTCATCTCCAGGAATGCCGTCCTGGCACTCACACCTGCCTTGCACATCGGGCTCCTGGGTGGCCACGGGCTGCAGTGAAAGACAAAGCAGGCGGTTTAGCCATTTCCCACGCAGTAGCCCCTCTGCTCACAGAAGAAGAGGCACGCTCCAGCACAGGGCTGGTCAGATGAAAGCTACTTCAAACTCAATTAAAACTGTACATTTCCCCTCCATTCACTTCATAAGTTGAAGGAAAGATGCAAATATACATCCCTGGACAGAGAAGGGTAATTATGGGCTGTGCCACGGACATGAAGGTAAACTCCTGAGCTCACTGGAACCTGTGTAGGTGAGACTAGGAAAAAAACCGCTGGAATGAAAATATCTAGGTATCATTCAACACTATCTTTTCTTCTTATTTGAAATGGAAAAAAAAATAATTAGGAAATACCAAAAGAAAACCTCACAACGATTTCAAAAGCATGACATTAAAATGGCAGCCTGTGTTGAATCCAACATACCGAATACTCAAACCAAGTGCTGGCACACGCAGGAATAAGCATGAGGAGCAGAGATGGAGCCCCACATGCTGGCAGCTGCCTCCTGTCCAGGAGGGCTGAGACGCCCAAACACTAACTGAGAGCCTCACAGGGCCACCTAGACACAGGCGGGAAGGACTCAGCAAGGACATGCCAGGGCAGCCTCTGAGAAGGAAACACATTGGTGGGGGTCTTTTTCCAACTGGCCATACAGCAGAGAGAAGTGAGGATGCTGCTGAAGTATATTAGAAATTCAGGGTTGGGTGCAGTGGCTCACGCCTGTAATCCTAACACTTTGGGAGTCCGAGGCACGTGGATCACCTGAGGTCAGACGTTCGAGACCAGCCTGGCCAATATCATGAAACCTCATCTCTACTAAAAATTCAAAAATTAGCCAGGCGTGGTGATGTGCACCTATAATCCTAGCTACTCGGGAGGCTGAAGCAGGAGAATCGCTTGAACCTGGGAGACAGAAGTTGCAGTGAGCCAAGATTGCGCCACTGCACTCCAAACTGGGCGACAGAGTGAGTGAGACTCCGTCTCAAAAAAAAAAAAAAAAAAAATTCAGAGGTAAGAATTCAAATTAAACAAATTCGGCATCTTTTTCCTCTTCCCACGTGCCCTGACAACCACACACTACTGCACCCATGCCCATCCCACACATCCACTTCCACACCTTCCCCCAATACCTGTATCCATATCTTTACTGCACACACCTGTATACATACTTTCCCACACACCTGTGTCCATGCCTTCCCCACACACCTGTGTCCATCCCTTCCCCTCAGATCTTGTCCATGCTTTCCCCATCATGCACATCTGTGTCCAAACCCTTCAACCCCACACCTGGGTCCATGGCCCTCCCCTGAAAAATGAAAATCCTGCTCCCCCTTAACCTTTCCCATCAGGCCAAGACCTGCTTAGCCTTCAAGTGATAGCCTACATGTCTCAGCCCCCCGTTCTCAATAAATAGTTACTGGATGAATGAATGATAGATTATGATAATAACCATAAAAGACTACCAACTTTTAAGTACTTACTATATGTCAGGCCTCTGCCCTAAGGTCTTGGAAAACATAACGTCACTGAGTACACACAGAAACCTAAGAGGTCACAGAATGACTTGCATTTTTCAGACAACCAGATGGATACTCAGGCAGGTTAGGTCATTTGCCTGGGAGTCCTGCAGCTGTCCCCACAAAGCCCACACTCTTCTCCACTGCAGTAAACTAATGAACAGAGAAGCACAATGGGCATCTGTACCCCAGGCATCTGACTCCAATTCCTGGGCCTCACGACCCTGACTGTAAATAAATCCCAAAAATCTTTAGACATCAGTCAATGCCATTACCTCCAAGGCCACAGAGGCCAAAGGCAAGAGAGGAACAAGAGGAGGACATTTTTTAAAGATCTTGAGATCAGATCCCAATTTAGCGTATCCCTATCAAGTGCAGAATCTGACCCCATGCAAACAGAAACATCTCTCTTCTGCTCCTACGCCCCATGTTCTTGATGGGTTCTATTTTTATTTGCCCCTACATCATTTCCAGTGAGAAGGGATTCCCACAGACAGCCATAGGTAAAGGGTCAAAGAGTTGATTCCACCCGGGACAAGGGAGGCTACGATGACTTAGACCATCAGCCAATTCCATTCATCAGAAGACTGATGGGCTACCACACGCCCTCTGCAGTTTAATGTTCTAATGGAGGAATTAGGGGGCCAGAGGAGCTGGGGGTTACATTTGGATGAGCCACATAAGCAGAGGCTTGAATCATCTCTGCGATGAGACTGGATATGAAGCCTGTAACCAGTTGCAAAGTAAGTTCAACATTTGATATCACCTATCCAACCTCATGTGCTCTAGAAGGGATAGGGAATTTCATTGTTTCAGCATCTCAGAATCATGAAATGAATGAGATTGTTTAATCAAAAGGTCAAGTCCAGTTCACAGGCACTGACATTAGTAGTAATGGTCTTCTTATGACTCGCACTGAATACAGAAGAGAAGGCATGATTTCTGCCTTGTAATTCAGGGGATTAGACAGCTTCCTGACACCACCAGAGGGCACTATAAGACCTTTTATAACCAAGAAGGAAACAAGGGCCCAAGACATGGGAATCGGCCTAACCTTGGTGCTGTCATATGGCTCTTGAGTCAGTCATTTCAGTGATCTGTATTTCAGTGCTGTCTACAGAGGAAGAGGTACCAACATTTATGCATATACCCACTTCATGAGCATCTACTGGGTACAAGCGTCTGTGCGGGTCCCATGAGGAATTCAAGGCAATGATAAGGTAATCGCTCATTCTAGATAAGAAACTGGCAAGAGCAAAGCAACAGTCAACGACACACAGTACAACTGGGAGGCAGTACATTTGGGGGACCAGGTGTCTGACTGACCCAGGAATGAAGGGTATCTCAGGATATGGGACTTTCAGGGTTGAAACCAGCAAAGTTCCTTGCAAATGGGGTAACTGATCACTCTACAGTAAGTAGAACAGTATCATTGGAAGGAAAGCTCAGTGCGATAAATTAGTAAAATTAAGGTGAAAGTGGGTTTAGAAAAGCCTACACATCCTTAATCTAATACCTCATCATTCTTTGAGACGAACTGCAGGTGTCTCCTTCCCCAGGAATTCCTTCCTGAGCCCCCTGCAATGAATGAAATCCCTTACTCTGTGCTTCCACAGGCCTTCAGGCATCTCATCAAATTGTTTTTACCAAAATGGATTATAATGATAGCTTTATATGGCTGCCTTCAAACAAGACTGTGCACTCTCTGAGGGTAAGAATGCTGTGCTTTGCACACTTAGATTTAACTTCGATGTGAAGTCGTATCAGTTATCCTGCCTTGTCTAATCCGTACCAAGGTAAGAAGTTGTTACAACCCACTATGTTTTTATAGAGTGAAGAAGTTGAAATTTTCTAACACTCAGAACTTAATTTCTAGGATTCAGATTTCATAAAACACATGCAAAAAATTGGGGTTTCTAATTGGGACAATATGCTTTTTAAACGACCAGTGACTTAGTATTTTGTTCCTGAGCTGAACAACGTGATTGTTGTGTGCTGCTAAGAATGAAACTGAAAATTATGGAAAAAAAGCCTTTTCCTGGAATTTCTGAGTAACATACCAAGTTGCATTATTTAGAACTAATAATTTGACCTCAATTAACTAACCAAGGGTTGCAATTCAATTAGTGGTTTTGTAGCAAGTCTTATAAATTGTGGGAACTCTGCCAGAGATAGGAAGAGAACAGAACTAAGAAAGAATTTCAGATAGGAATATTGTGAAATCCACTGTCTACAAGCTGGATTCTAGGGTGTATGAACTTTAGAATGAAACTTTTTTTTTTTTTTTTTTGGTGATAATGAGAATTTGCACCAAAAACAAACAAACAAAAAAATGAAACAAACAAACAAAAAAGCTTCTGACCAGTAATTTTTAAATAAAAACTTAAATTTGAAATTCAGGAATATAGAACAGATTAAATGTACAAAAAAGCAGGAAGGTTTTTGTAATATACTCATCATGTACATCAGGAGTGTCTAACCTTCTGGCTTTCCTGGGTCACATTGAAAGAATTGTCTTGGGCCACACATAAAACACACTAACACAACTGCTGATGAGATTAAAAAAAAAATCGCAAAAAAAAAAACCCCTCATAATGTTTTACCAAAGTTTACGAATTTGTGTTGGGCCACATTCAAAGCTTCCCTGGGCCACATGCAGCCTGCGGCCCACTGGTTAGAGAAGCTTGATTTACATGATAACAAAGTGACACTGAAAGAAAACATATTGAAATCCAAAATGCTGAAGGAGTGAGTGCAGACCCTTAAATCACAGCTGCACAGAATGTTGCCCTAGGGAACATGTGACCCCTATTCATGCCAGTGAGGATGCTAGGGCCCAGTGAGGCTGAGTAGCTTACTACCATTGCTGTAGTGACAGCCCAGCAGGGTGGAAATCAGAGGGTCCACCCCAGCACTGCTACCTCCTGGCCAGAACCTGGGGGTCATGCTAGACCCTCTTCCTTCCCTACAGATTACACCAGGTCTAAGCGACTCTACTGCATGCCCACCAGCCCTTTGTCGGCATGGTGGCTGGTGCCTCATTCCCAGCCTGCATTACCTTCCACCTGGATGACCATGGTCTGGCTCACTGCCCACCCATCCTTCACTCTGCTGCCAGAGTCCATTCCACACTGCAGATGGGTGTGTCACTGAACCAGGGTCACTGGCTGCCTGTGGACTTTGAGGAGATGTTGAATGTCCTGTGCCTAATACAGGACGCCTTTCCCTCCAGCAGGGCTGAGCTATTTGTCATGATCCTCACACCACCATGCCTTTGCGAGTTTTGTCTGCTCTCAGGCTCTTTCTCCAGCCATTGTTATCTCTCTGTTTTGGGAACCACAATTCCCAGATTCCTGACAAATGGCTTCTGTCCAGGTTTGGCAGTGGGCAGTGGTGGTGGGAGGTGACTTGAGGGTTGGGGGAAGGGAGTTGCCACAGTATTTTGTGGGCACGTGCAGCAGCTGTGGTGTCTCTGTGGCTCCAGCCCTGCTGGGAAGCTCCTCCCTCCCAGGTCCGAGGTCCTGTGGGCAGCACCAACTCCCAGCTCAAGCAACACGCCCTCTTGTTTACCACTCCAGCCCAGGGGCTGGTAGCAACTTCCTGCTATTGCACTGTCTTCTGTTTCTCAGCTGTATAAAAATAACCCCTGTATTAGATTCTCTGTTTGAAATACCTAGAAACAGTTCTCTAATGTTTCCCACACTGCCCGGTCATTCTGCTTTCCTTGTCTGCCTTCTCCACTAACCTCTCTGAGGAGCATGGAAAGTTCTCTATAGGCAGAAGCCTTGTCTTATTTCACTGTGTTCTCAGCATGTGTCTGTTGAATGACTGGCTGAAGGGGCTGCTGGCTTTGCACATCTCAGGTCTGATACCCCAACATCTGGGCCAGATGGTTCTTTGTTGTGGGAGCAGACCTGTGCTTTGTAGGATGTCTAGCAGCAACTGTGGCCACTGATGCTATTAGGAAGAAGAATTGTAATAAAAAGAGAGAGAGTGCTGAAAACCATGAATGTGCTACCAATTAGTTTCAGAATAGTTTTTCTGAAATTACTGGAAAAAAGTTTTAAGAGACTCAATCTTGCTATGTTGCCCGGGGTGGCCTCAAATTCTTAGACTCAAGTGATCCTCTCACCTCATCCTCCAAGTAGCTGGGATAACAGGTACATACCATGGCCAGTTAAAACCACTGAAATTTATCATTTCCTTTTTTTTGTTTTTGTTTTTGTTTGTTTGTTTTGTTTTGAGACAGAGTCTTGCTCTGTCATCCAGGCTGGAGTACACAGTGGCACAATTTCAGCACACTGCAACCTCGCCTCCCACACTCAAGTGATCCTCCCACCTCAGCCTCCCAAGTATCTGAGATTGCAGGCACATGCCACTATGCCCCACTAATTTTTGTATTTTTAGTAGAGACAGGGTTTCACTATGTTGGCCAGGTTGGTCTCAAACTCCTGACCTCAAATCGTCCTCCCACCTTGGCCTCCCAAAGTATTGGGATTACAGGCATGAGCCACCATGCCCAGCCATAATTTACAACATTCATAAAGAGAAAGCATCCAAGGTCCTAATTTCAGAGATGAAGTTATTCCCCAGGCCTAATGCCAGACACCGTCCTTCCTCTTCCTAGCCCCAATATACATACCTTAGTAAAAGAAAGAAGCCCCCTTACCCTTTGATCTGGTACCTTCAGGGTCTCTCTGTGTAAGGAGTAGGTAAGATGCTTCAAAAGAGCATCTGTAGCTCTGGCGTCACTTAAGTATTCAATCACTGAAGTTCAATGTTTGTGAATTGAAAGTATATGGACAAATGCAACTAGAATAAGCGTATCTTTTGGAAAGGTGTCAATTTCATACAAGCGTGTGATTGTCTTGGCTTGCCTTATGGGGGTTACTGGGCTAAAACACATTCCTGTGGGTGAGAATGGTGTTTCCCCAATAGGGATTCATATTTGCTTTGTCAATCCTCTGGGGTGATGGGGTGCAGAAAACAAGGATTTGCAAAGGCAGGTCTTAGACCACAAAGGAAAATCTTCCTTCTGTGTCTAAAGTTGCAGGTCAGGCTGGTGTAGTGAGAGATGAAAGGGCAGGTAGGTCTGAGCTTGTGCGAAAGATGCTGGCATCCTCCATAATGCCCCTCCCTGCCTGCGTCCCCAACCTCTGCACAGTGACAGCCTCTGAGCTCCTCTTCCTCCAATCTCACAGCAACCTTGGAAGGCTCCAGGGGAGCTGTTGCCAGTCACAGCCCTCAGCCCTGAAGACTGCCCTGCGTCTTGACTTCCTACAGCCATGGCCTGTCCACCACCTTTCTGGTGGTAAACAAGATTGCAGCAGTAACAATGAAGTTCCCGGTTAGGACTACCTCATGCCTGCAACCCATGCCAAAACTGATGTCACCACAAGACTGCACCTCCCCCACATTTACCATTCAGGGCAATGAAAATTTTCCAGATGGATGGCCCTAATCCTGAAGGCACTGTGATGGTCACTGGAGCAAAAACAATGTCTCTGCTTGGCAGAGGCAGACTGGCCCAAATCTGGAGCTGTGTTCACTGAGTTCACAGGCTAAGTCACCCAACAGTGCAGTCAGCACAGAATACCCCTAAAGGGAATGATGTAGCTTTTACATCCACAGCTTAATTAGACATACTTAATAACTGTGTGTAAGAGCATATATGTGTGTTGCATTTTATTTTTGCTGCATTTATTTTAGTGTTCAATTTTTTTGTCTTTGCATAAAATGTGTTTCCAGGCAGAGCCCCAATTTATAGCTTTGCATTCTGAGGAAATGAGATTAATTTTCAACTCAGCTTCCACCCAGCAGCCTATCAGGTCTTAAGGTAGGGGATGTCCCCACAGACCATTTTGCCACTGTTGAGGACAGAGGCCCAGAAGAGGCCCTTTCCCTGTGCTGTGCAATCAAGTGTCTCATCCTCTCAAATTAGTTTTACACATTAAAGCAGTTGCTGAAATGCCTTCTGCTTCTAATTTAAACTGTCTTCTAATTGAACTGAGATTTGCATATTGTTTTCTTGCAAGCCCTCCCTGCCTCTTGGCACACATCTCCTCATTTAGGACATGCACGACAGTCATGTGACATGATGCCACCAATGAACCAAGCCAGAGGTGACCAGCTACTCCTCCTGAACAGGGGTCCCTGGAGCACACACCCCATCTCTCAGAGGCGATCTGTGAGACTTTGTTAGAGGTGGAGGTTCTCATTGCCAGCGCGTCCTCAGGGAGACGCTGTGCTCGAACATAACCAACACACAGAATTCAGGAATACTCTGGTATAATATCCCAGGGACATGGCTCCTTTGACACAGCTTAATAATGTTTTAAATATGTCAGATGCTCAGTGGGGACTGAAATGAAAGCAAGTACTATATTCTGACTTTTGCGAGAAGTTCAAAACCAGCTGAGTTTAGTTGCTAGGAAAACTAAAGAATCACTAATACTTAAATATGTTGAATCTCAAAAAGGAAAGCGGAGATGCAAGATGAGACAAGGTTATGTTACCCTTTACAAGGCAGAAGCAAATGGGAAGTGAGAGTCCCCATGCAACTAAGGAGGGAAACAGATGTGCTGCTGACAACACAGATGCAGGGAACCCAGTGATGACTGGACAACACCAGGGAGCATCCCTCTCAGCAAGACTGAGGGACAGGTGAAGGGGAGGAAGGGCAGCAGCTGAGGCTAAGAATTTGGGGTCAGGGTTCTTTGCTTTGAATTGCTTTGTTATGTGACCTGTGCTAGTCACACAACATCCCTGAACCCAGCTTTCTCCATGGGATCCTAAAATTTCTTTTAGAGCAGTTTCTTTTACTTTTAGAGAAGCACATGCATTGTAAAGAGAAAATTCTCATCAAAATATTAATTATTCTCATGGCGTGACACCTTTCTTGGTAACATGTAAAGTTGATAGTTATAGGTCATTGCTAATAGGGAATGGTATTCTGGGTCAAAATTTCCAGATCCAAAGACGTGAAGCAATCTGTTGAAAAGTCAATGGATTTAAGTTTATTGTACATGCATCTGGCCTTAGGTAAAAGTGTCTATGGAGGTGCAGAAGATGTACCACATGTGCAGGTGGCTGCTTTGGGGTTGATCTGCTTTGTGATTCACAGATGGAAGCACTGCCTACTCCCTGCAGTCATCCTGCTGCCTCAAAGGTCAAGGCCAGATAGAAGTGATGTGCCACCAGGCTCAGTCAGAGATTGGCAAAGATCACCTGAATGCGGATCTGGAGAAGGTGATCGCTTTTCCCAAAGGATGCCTCTGAAACCAAACATATATAAAATGCCATTATTTCATTTCAAAATTAGCTGTATCTTTTCTCCATGAGTATGGATCATACATGCCTTCAGATTCCTTCAACCCTGACTCAGATAATAAATACCAGAAGGTAAAATGTTCTGTAAACTGTTGAACAAGTAGTATTCTAAATATCAATTTTTAAGTCACTTGTTCAGACTTGAAGACACATTTTTTCCTATAAGATTCTCGTATCATCTTCCCCTTCCCACTTAATTTATAATGTAAACAAATTATGTTAAAAATATTAATAGGATCGCTATATTAAAGTTGTTCATTAGTAATATACTAAAATAAATGAAGTCATACTTCTATGAAAAGATGAACTGGATCTTTGACTTAGAAGCTTGAATGGTAGCAGAATGAGAAAAAGGACAGGGAGAAGGGTGTTGTCCTCTTTCTAGGATAAGAAAGACCCTGGCCGGGCATGGTGGCTCACATCTCTAATCCCAGCACTTTGGGAGGCCGAGGCAGATGGATCATGAGGTCGGGAGTTTGAGAGCAGCCTGGCCAATATGGCGAAACCCTGTCTCTACTAAAAATATAAAAATTAGCCGGGCATGGTGGCCCACACCTGTAGTCCCAGCTACTCGTGAGGCTGAGGCAAAAGAATTGCTTGAACCCAGGAGGTGGAGGTTACAGTGAGCCAAGATTATGCCACTGCACTCCAGCCTGGGTTTCAGAGCCAGACTCCATCTCAAAACAAAAACAAACAAAAAAAGACCCTTTGCAGTGTTCCGAAGTGGGTACTGTGTCTCTGGCATCCTGTGACTCTCCTCCCTATGATCATCATCTCTGAGCTGCTCTCATCACCCTCTCACCCCCACAATGTTCCTTAATACAAGCAGTCACTTCAGCCTCCTGACCATCTTCCTCCTCCAACTTCTCCGTGCAGGAGTCTGTCCTTGGTGCTGTGGAGACGGGCCGACCCAAGCAGGGCAGCACACAGGTGTCATCACTGTAACTTCCTCTGCTGCGATGTGCTATTGCACCTAAGGTCAGACCCGCTCCAAGGTCAGCTCCTCTAAACCACCGGCCACATGCCTATCCTCATGGTACATCTACCACATGGTGAGCTGGTTTTGTTTGACTGTTGTTTACTGTGGTTTCTCCCAACGGCAGCAACTTCAGGGGTCAATAACACAAGTGGCTCAGCAAGAGCCCTTACCTATGAAGTAAGCAAGATTCAGGAGGCTGAGCCTGCCTATCCACCAAACAAAGCCAGCCTTTCTTTTTTTCAATATCTGGCAAAGTGACTGCGCAGGCATGTGTTTCAGTGTGACCCACTTAACTGTGTTTAAACTTAATTTAAAAATCAATGCTGGCTTCACCCTTTCCCTCTCCTCTCCTCCCCACAAAACCTGTCAAAGTCTGCTGGTTCATTTCTTTTCCGATTAGAATGTCAGAACTTTAACGATATGGAATCAACTCTCTAAGTCCCAATAGTTCTTCTTAGGCCAAGTATCCTGATGCAACAGAGTCAGGTGGTTTGGCAATAACCAATGCCTCAGTTGCCCCTGGGGTGGTTACATAAGCACTTCAGGACCACATGAAGCAAGGAACGCAGGCAAAGCTACCTACGACTGTCATCATCTGAGTGAACATAGCTTAGAAAGGAACACTGATGTCCTCCATTTAAATGAGGTACCTGTGGTTTGTTTCCCTCGACCTTTTTTTTTTTTTTTTTCTTAAACAGGGTCTCACTCTGTCACCCAGGTTGGAGTGCAGCCTGGTGCGGGCTGGAGTGGCCCAATCACAGCTCCCCACAGCCCTGAACTCCTGGCCTCAAGCAATCCTCCCTCCTTGGCCTCCCAAAGTACTGGGACTACAGGCAAGAGCCACCGCACCTGGCCTCCTTCATCTCTGAACAAGAAAGAACTTCCTATGAGACTTGATTCATTCATTCATTCAGTAAATATTTCCTTGGTCCCTCGTGTCTGAGTGGAACTGGGGTAGACACACTAGTAGGGGAATGGCGAACAGCTGATGAGGTTCAGCCATCAGAGAGCTCCAGCCACGTGGGGAGCACTGGTGTTGTTATGAAGCCTGAAGTGGCCTCCTTCAGCCGACACACGGATGCTCTAATGCCAGAGAAAGGACGGATGTTGGGGTGCAGGGAGCTTAAGACAGAGACCCCAGCTGGAGGACGACAGGCAGGGACAGGGTGGGGGAGCCTAGGCCTTTGATTGGGGTTTACTCTAAAGGTCATGGGAGCCGGCAGCAGAAGTTCTGGCAGCAGAGGCCATCATCGTCAGTGCCACCGGATGAGATAATCCTGGCCGTGGGCTGGGGAGAGGTGATGGGGAGAGAGTCAACATGGCCTGCTGACCAGCTGGACAACATGGAGAGAGGGGAGAGACAGGTGATTCCCACCATCAGGCTGGGTCCAACGGAGATGCACCTTACTAAATAAATACACAATATTTACTAAATAAATAAAAATCCTCAACAAAATCAAGGCTAAAAATCATAGGACTATCTCAACAGATACAGAAAAAGCCTTTGACAAAATTCAACAGTCTTTCATGATAAAAACTCTCAACAAATATGGCATACAGGAATGTTCTTCAACATAGTAAGACCATATATGACAAGTCCACAGCTAATATCATACCCAATAGTGCAAACCTGAAAGCTTTTCCTCTAGCATCAGAAATAAGATAAGGATGTCCACTCTCACCACTTCCATTCAACATAATCCTGGAAGTCCTAGAAAGAGCAAATGGGCAAGAGAAAGAAAGAAAGGCAACCGAATCAGAAAGGAAGAAGTTAAATAGTCTGTTTGAAAATGATGTTATCTAATATACAGAAAACCCTAAAGACTACCATAAAACTGTTAGAACTAATAAACAAATTCAGTAAAATTGCAGGATAAATATCAACATGGAAAAATCAGTTGAATTTATTTTCTTCAGTTGCATTTCTAGACACTAACAATGTACTATCTGAAAAGAAATCAAGAAAACAATCAAATTTGCAAAAGCATCGAAAAGAATAAAATACTTAGGAATAACTTTAATCAAGGAGGTGAAAGATCTGTACACTGAAACCTATAAAACATTGATGAAAGAAACTGAAGAAGACACAAATAAATGGAAAGATATCCTATAAACATGAATTAGGAGAATATCATTAAAATGTCCATACTACTGAAAGTCATCTACAGATTCAATGCCATGGCTATTGAAATTCCAATGAAATACAAAAAAAAAAAAAACCCTAAAATTCATATAGAACCATAAAAGATTCCAGACGGACAAAGCAATCTTGAAAAAAAAGAATAAAGCTGGAGACATCACACTACCTGATTTCAAACTATATTACAAACTTATGGTAATCAAAACCACATATTACTGGTATAAAAACAGACACATAGACCAACAGAATAGAATATGAAGCCCAGAAATAAACCCATGCATACACGGTCAACTTAACTTCAACAAAGGCACCAAGAATGGGGAAAGGATAGTCTCTTAATAAATGGTACTGGGAAAACTGAATATCCACATGCAAAATAATAAAATTGGCCTCCTACTCCAAAAATCAACTCAGAATGAATTAAAGACTTAAACTTAAGACCTGGAACCATAAAAACCGTAGAACAAAACATATGAGAAAAGCTCCTTGACACTGGTCTTGGCAATAAGTTCTTGGATATAACACTAAAAGCGTAGGCAACAAAAGCAAAAATAGACACGAGACTGTATCAAGCTAAAAGGCTTTTCATAGCAAAAGAAACAACAAAATAAGGTAACCCATGGAATAGGAGAAAACATGTGCAAGTCATATAACAAGTAAAGGACTAATACCCATAATAGATGAGGATCTCAAACAACTCATTAGCAAAAACAAACAAAGCCCTCAATAAACAAATAACTCAATCACAAAATGTACAAAGGAACTGAACATTTTTTCAAAGAAGACACACAAATGGCCAAGAGATATATGAAAAAGGTGCTCAACATCAAAATTCTCAGGGAAATGCAAATCAAACTCACAGTGAGATACCACCTCACACCTGTTAGGATGGTTATTATCAAAAAGACCAGAGGTTACAAGCGGTGGTAAGGATGTGCAAGAAAGGAGACCCTCACACACTACTGGCAGGATTGTGAATTAGTACAGCCCCTGTGGAAAACAGCATGGAGGCGCCTCAGAAAACTAAATATAGAACTACCATATGATACAGCAATCCCAATACTGGGTATATATCCAAAAAAACGAAATCAACACCTCAAAAAGACGTCTACACCCCCTTGTTCATGGCAGCACTATTCACAGTAGCCAAGATACGCAATTGACCTAAGTGTCCCTGAATGGATGAATGGATAAAGAAAATGTGGTGTATACACACACAACGGAGTACTATTCAGTCATGAAAAGGATGTCCTGTCATTTGCAGCAACACTGATAAAGCTGGAGGATATTATGCTGAGTGAAATGAGCCAGGCACAGAGAGACAAATACCACATGATCTCACTTAACACGCAGAACTGAAAGCAGAGACCAGAACAGTGCTGTCCTCTCACCTCCTCTGGTGGCCTCCTTTTATTTCATCAAATAACCTTGGCAAGAGCTGTCTTTTCATCTCTTAATTCCCTTACCCCATACTTTTAAGTGCAGCAATCTAGTTTCAACAAAAACGCTGACCTTTTAAAATTAAAAATGAAATGAAATTAAAGTCTTACACCTCTATCTGAGACAACTAAAAGCCTAACTGAGGTTTAATAGAGAAACGGGGATAGCACCTTTAAAATATCTACTCTTGATACCACTGTGATCACATCTGTGTTCAAGTCGAATTCCTGAAATCGGCTTGTCCTGAGTACAGTTCTTGGGCACCTAAGCCAGAGGCTCATGATGTCTATCTCTGCACCTCCGTTAGAATGACCCCTGCATCAGTGCTGAGAGCTCATCAACAGTGGCAGGAACCAGGAAGCCACAGCTGACCCTGACATGCTCCCCTGGAGATTAGACTCTTGTCCAGAAGACAACAAAAACATAGCAATCTCTATTTTCTAGGAACTTTGTGTTTTCCACCCAGTTTTGGTAAAATTCAGATTATAAAGGAAAACACCAATATCCGATCTTCAGTATAAGAGTGAATACAGTATTCACCTCTTGAGACTCTCACTTGACTTCAAATTAAACCAAGTGCGGTAATTTCTGAAGAAGCTGAAACTTTTCTGAACTTTCTCCTTGTTTCTCTCCACACTTAGCAATATCCCTTTCCAGCCAGCTGATTAAAACTACTTAATAAATGGAACTGTCAGGGATTTCTTTTGGCCTATGGGCTCCCTAAAAGTCTTAATGAGAAACCAGGGTGCATGAACTGAGAATGTCTGGGAACCCTCTGGACAAGAAGGTGACACCTATCTGCAACTAAAGATCAGTCTGGAAAGTCCCCACCAGTCTTCTTGATCTGCATGACTAACCGATCCACTGGAGAAAAGCCAATGTGAGCTGTCATCCACATGGGAAGGGAAAATCACTCTTGGAGAACTCAGACTCCACCTATATTCACTCACTGGAGTGCTAGGAGCACTGGGGATTATGAATTACACTGTTTCACTTCAATATTCCTCAGGCACAATCTATATTCTGTATTTTATTCCACAGTGGTGCAACTTGGAATTGGAACCACTTTGCATCTAATTAACAGGAATATGGAACACAGGTTATTATCAGCCTTTTTGGCAACAAAGCCCTCAATTACAGGGAATTTCTGGAAGAAAGCTGATCACTCCCCAGTTCCGTCACTATTCTGGGAGGCCACCAGGTCCTTGATTCTGAACACATTCAATAACTCTGAGCCTCACCTGACACTAATTACCTTCCTCCAGCCTGCTGACAAAAGAATTTCAGCCTCAGATTTGTTGAGCCCATTTTGACAAGAACAAGGCTCGTCCCTTCCCTGCCGAAAGCTCTTTCAGCGGCTCCCATCAGGCAGTGCGGCTCCAACTTCCCTAAATTACTCCTAATTACACATGAGGTGGAGGAGGAGAGAGAATGTCTATACGCCAGATATTCTCAACACAACTACCCTCTATTATCACATCCATTTCACAGATGCAAGAATCTGAGGTTAGGTCCTAAGATCACACCATAGAAAGTGACAGGGCCACCACCTACACCAGGTAGTCTGGCCACAGCATCTGTGTTCCTAATCCACTGCGACTGCCTCCCTGATGGCTCAGGATAGCCAGTCTGCATCTTGGGTGATGCGCAGAGGTAGCAGGTTACTGAACGCTGAACATTTCTTTACAGTTGCATAGTTTATCTTTACAAGTCACACAAATACTGCATTCTTTTCCTAAGATTTGTCTTGATAAAAAACAACACTAGCCACTTCACATCTATTTAGAAGCCTGTTACCTTAAAAAAACAGAAAATAACAAGTGCTGGTAGGGATGTGGAGAAACGAACCCGGGTGTACTGTTGGTGGAAATGTGAAATAGTGCAGCCACTGTGGAAAACATTATGGTGGTTCCCCAAAAACTCAAACACAGAACTATTACATGCTCTAGCAATTCCACTTCTGGAGATATACCCAAAAGAACTGAAACTGGGGACTGGAACAGATTTTATTTTCTTTCCGATTTTTATTTTAAGTTCAGGGGTACATGTGCGGGATGTGCAGATTTGTTACCTAGGTAAACGTATGCCATGGTGGTTTGCTGCACGTATCATCCTATCACCTCGGTATTAAGCCCAGCATCCATTAGATATTCTTTCTAATGCTGTCCCTCCTTGCATCCCCAACCCTCAGACAGACCCCACCGTGTGTTGTTCCCCACCATGTGTCCATGTGTTCTCATCATTCAGCTCCCACTTACAAGTGAGAACATGCTGTATTTGGTTTTCTATTCCTGCTTTAGTTTGCTGAGGATAATGGCTTCCAACTCCATCCATATAACTGCAAAGGACATGATCTTGTTCCTTTTATGGCTGCATAGTATTCCATGGTGTATACATACCACTTTTCTTTATCCAGTCTATTACTGATGAGCATTTAGGTTGGTTCCATATCTTTGCTATTGTGAATAGTGCTGCAAAGAACATATGCATGCATGTATCTTTTTTTTTTTTTTTTGAGACAGAGTTTCACTCGTTGCCCAGGCTGGAGTGCAATAGCACAATCTCAGCTTACTGCAACCTTTGCCCCCTGGGTTCAAGTGATTCTCCTGCCTCAGCCTCCTGAGTAGCTGGGATTACAGGCACATCCCAACACGTCTGGCTAATTTTTGTATTTTTAGTAGAGACAGGGTTTTACCACGTTAGCCAGGCTGGTCTTGAACTCCTGACCTCAGGTGATCCACCCACCTCGGCCTCCCAAAGTGCTAGGATTACAGGCATGAGCCACCGTGCCTGGCCCGCATGTATCTTTATAATAGAATGATTTATATTCCTTTGGGTATATACCCAGTAATGGGATTGTTGGGTCAAGTGATATTTCTGGTTCTAGATCACTGAGGAATCACCACACTGTTTTCCACAAGGGCTGAACTAATTTATACTCCCACCAACAGTGTAAAAGCATTCCTTTTCCTTTACAACCTGGCCAGCATCTGTTGTTTTTTGACTTTTTGATAACAGTCATTCTGACTGGTGTGAGATGGTATCTCATTCTGGTTTTGATTTGCATTTCTCTAATGATCAGTGATATTGAGCTTTTTTTCATGTTTTGTGGCCACATGTGTCTTCTTTAGTGTCTGTTCATATCCTTTTCCCACTTTTTAATGGTGTTGTTTTTTTCTTGTAAATTTGTTTAAGTTCCTTGTAGATGTTGGATGTTAGACCTTTGTCAGATGGATAGATTGGAAAAATTTTCTCTCACTCTGTAGATTGTCTCTTCACACTGTTGGTTTCTTTTGCTGTGCAGAGCTCTTTAGTGTAATTAGATCCCATTTGTCAATTTTTGCTTTTGTTGTGATTGCTTTTGGCATCTTCACCATGAAATCTTTGCTCATTCCTATGCCCTGAATGGTATTGCCTAGATTTTCTTCTAGGGTTTTTAAGGTTTGGGGTTTTACATTTAAGCCTTTAATTTATCTTGAGTTGATTTTTGTATATGGTGTAAGGAAGGTTTCCAGTTTCAATTTTCTGCTAGCTTGTTCTCCGAGCACCATTTATTAAATAGGGTATCCTTTCTCCATTGCTTGTTTTTGGTCAGGTTTGTCAAAGGTCAGATAGTTGTAGGTGTGTGATCTTATTTCTGGGTTCTCTATTCTGTTCCATTTGTCTATTTGTCTGTTCTTGTACCAGTACCATGTGATTTTGGTTACTGTCACCCTGTAGTATAGTTTGAAGTTGGGTAAAGTGATGCCTCCAGCTTTCTTCTTTTTGCTTAGAATTGTCTTCACTATTCAGGCTCTTTTTTGGTCCACATGAATTTTAAAATAGTTTTTTTCTAATTCTGTGAAGAATGTTAATGGTAATTTAATCAGAATAGCATTGAATTGATAAATTGCTTTGAGCAGTATGGCCATTTTTATGATATTGATTCCTCCTATCCATAGCATGGAGTGTTTTTCCATTTGCATCTCTGATTTCTTTGAGCAGTGGTTTGTAATTCTCCTTGAAGAGGTCCTTCACTTCTCTTGTTAGCTGTATTCCTAGGTATTTTATTGTTTTGGTGGCAATTGTAAATGGAAATTCTTTCATGGCTTGGCTTTCTGCTTGCCCACTGTTGGTATACAGGAATGCTAGCAATTTTGCACATTGGTTTTGTATTCTGAGAATTTGCTGAAGTTGTTTATCAGCTGAAGGAGCTTTGGGGGCGAGACTTTGGGGTTTTCAGGATACAGAATCATGTCATCTGCAAACAGGGATAGTTTGACTTCCTCTCTTCCTATTTGGATGTCATTTATTTCTTTCTCTTGCCTGACTGCTTTGGCCAGAACTTCTAAAACTATGTTGAATAGGAATGGTGAGAGAGAGGCCATTCTTGTCTTGTGTCGGTTTTCAAGGGGAATCCTTCCGGCTTTTACCCATTAGGTATGATATTGGCTGTGGGTTTGTCATACATGGCTCTTATTATTTTGATGTATGCAGAACAGATATTTATACACTGATGTTCACAGCAGCATTACTCACAACAGCCAACAGGCAGAAACAACCCAAATGTTCACTGATTGATAAATGGATAAGGAAAATGTGGTATATACATATAATAGAATATTATTTAGCCTTAAAAAGAAAAGAAATTCTGACTCATGCTACAGCAGGGATGAACCTGGAGGACATTATGCTAACTGAAATATGACAGTCACAAAAGAGCAAATAGCATATGATTCCAATTATTTGAAGTACCTAGAGAAGTCAAATTTGTAGAGAAAGAAAGTAGAACAGTAATTTCTGGGGTCTGGGAGGAGGAGGAGAAATGGGAGCTGTTGCTTAATGAGTATGGACATTCAGTTTGGGAGATGGAACAGTTCTCGAGATGAATGGTAGTAATAGTTGCACAACCATATTAATATCATGAACTTAACACAACTGAATTTTATGCCTAAAAATGGTTAAAGTCGTCATCAATGTTACGTTATACCTATTTTACTAAAATTTAAAAAAAAAGCTCTGTCTGCCAACAAAAACAATGCTTTTAAAACAATTTACCAGTTAAATTAAGCATTTCCAAAATATATTTGATTCAGGAAGATTCACAATTTTCCTATCGTTTTCTGAACACAGTGTTTCTTCAGATTTTTCATCTGCAAAATGAAAAATGTGGATAACAGTAACAGAGACTCTGGAGGACGGCAGTGAGAATTAAATGGTATTATTCCTGTAACTGTATCTAACACATAACAGGCATTCGGGTTAGCCTCTGGCTGTGAGTACATGCAATAAGAACCTGCCTATGAGCTTCAGTGCAGGAACTGTCTCTCTCAGGAAGCCACACTCCCCCTGTGGCTTCCTGACACTTACAATTACTATATTAAACCAAGCAGCTGTGCAGAAATTCATCTAACACACACCACATTACATTAAGTTACATTTTTGCATGACTGAGGCACCCTCACTAGACCATAAACTCCTTAAAGACATGACCTTAATCATCCAGAGCCACAGCATATACACACAGTACAGTGTCTGGCACCTAATGGCAGCTCATTAAATATTTGTTGAAACATTCAGAGCTTCTTTGTAAACATTAGGTTTGGATGTCTGCAAAGTAAATTTATCCTTCTGTGGGAGAGACTACAAAAATTCTTCTCATCAATTGTCTGTATTTAATAATATAAAAAAGTGTCTTTCCAGCTCTTTCTCCCAAATACCTACCAACAAAAAAGAGAAACGAGTTTGAGAATTGAAGAACCCGTGAAATTTAAGCCCCAGAAATTACCCTATCCTGATTCTTGCCTGCAGGAATCCACCATTAAATGACTGCAAGGCACTGCATTGCTGTGTCCACCTAGACATAACAGAGAGAGCCTTACATGTCACATCCAATCCTCAACAGCAAAGTTTAAGGAAACAATGCAAACAGCCACAGAAGTGCTGTCCCCTTTCAGTCACAAAAACAGACTTTACAAAATGTAGCTAGCGCTTTTGAGGCTTTCTTAGGGGCTCAGACACAGGAAGATCAAGTTTAGGAAAAAGCTACTTAAAAAGTTGAGTGCTATATTATCAGTATTTCTTCCCCTTCTTCCCCTTCCCCTAAATTACCGTCAGGGTAATTGGTGATTACCCTGACACTAATTTACATCCTCTACAGAATGGTTCTTTATACTTTTACAAAGAGGGCACTGGGGAAGAGACAACTTCAACTTCAGAAAGCTTGACAGTAAAAATCCCATCATTTCACATGGAGGGGAACAACACACACTGGGGCCTGTGGGGAGGGAGGGGATGGGGGAAGGAGAGCATCAGGAAGAATAGCTAATGGATGCTGGGCTTAATACCTAGGGATGGGATGATCTGCAGCCAACCACCATGGCACACGTTTACCTATGTAACAAACCTGCACATCCTACACACGTACCCAGGAACTTAAAATAAAACTTGAGGGAAAAAAAAAATCTCACCATAATTCCAGGAATTACATACTGTTTCCTAAGTTAGGGTTTTCCTGTTTGCTTGTCGACTTCTCCACTCCTAAATTGGGCAAGTAAGTGGAATGCTTCCGTATGATGCCATTTTTATTTCCCAAACTAAGCCGTGTTCATAACGTAATTCCAGGCTCCTGGGAGTGTTTCACTACCTTTGCTTAATGAAAATTTCTTATCTCAAATAATAAATGCAAAAACAGATGAAGAACAAAAGAAAAAAACTATCTAATAAGACAGTTCTCACTCTCTTCCGTCTGTATTTTGCAAGATTCCCTCCTCCCGCTCCCTTCAGGCTTTTTAATTCCATTTTTATCCCAAATCTACAAATACAAAAAAAAAAAAAGTCACAGGAACATTCTAATATTGTACCTTAAAGTACAAGTGAAGCTAAAAAAAAAAAAAAAAAAAAAAAGGGAAAGAAAGAAAGCAAACAGGTCTCTGAGGCCAACACTGGCATCCAACCTGGAGAAAGCGCCCAAGCACACACTCGTTCCAGGAGAGGCTCAGGAACGGGCCGTTCCCTGCAGAATCAACTGTCCTTTACGACTGTGGGCACCACATTTACTGCTGCTGGGCCATCTACTCGGTGTGGCTGTTTAGCTCTGCAAACAAAAGAGGGTTCTGGGGCTCAGAGGCAGGAAGATCAAGCTCTTCCATAGCCCAGGATTCTTAACGTCCTTTTGCACTTAAATCCTAGGATAAAAAGTAAACTCACAACACACAACAAGGTAATATATCCTTACCTATTATCTTTTAAAAGGCAAGGATAAACTTAGATGTATCAACGAATATAGGAGTCAAATATGTCAGAGTCACTTTTTATTTATTTATTTATTTATTTATTTATTTATTTATTTATTTAGACAGAGTCTTGCTCTGTCCCCCAGGCTGGAGAAATGAGCTACTAAGCCAGAAAAAGACACAGAGGAAACTTAAATGCATACTGTGAATGTAAGAAGCCAAGCTGAGGAGGCTGCATACTACATGATTCCAACTACATGACATTCTGGAAAAGGCAAAACTATGGAGACTAAAAAGATCAGTGGTTGCCAAAGGCTGGGTGGGGAAAGAGAAGTGAACAGGTGAAGCACAGGGGATTTTAACATATGTACTATTTGTACAACATCATAATGGTAAATACATTGCATTATGTATTTGTACAAACCATAGAATGTACATCAAGAGTGAACTCTAGGCCAGGCATGGTGGCTCACACCTGTCATCTCAGCATTTTGGGAGGCCAAGGTGGGCGAACCATGAGCTCAAGAGATCAAGACCATTTTGGCCAACATGGTGAAACCCTGTCTCTACTAAAAACACAAAAATTAGCTGAGTGTGGTGGCACGCACCTGTAATCCCAGTTACTCAGGAGGCTGAGGCAGGAGAATCGCTTGAACCTGGGAGGCGGAGGTTGCAGTGAGTCAAGATTGCACCACTGCACTCCAGCCTGGTGACAGAGCAAGCCTCTGTCTCAAAAAAAAGAGTGAACTCTAATGTCAACCATGGACTTTAGTTAATAGTAAATCAATATTGACCCATCAATTGTAAGAAATATATCTCACTAATGCAAAATGATAATAATAAAAGAAACAGTGAACAGGGGAGAGGGGGTAGTTTTTCTATAAACCTAAAAGTGCTCTAAAAAATAGACTATTATCTTAAAAAAACAAACAGCTGATGATGAGTGGCACAGTCAGGCCAACAAGAGCTTTGTACACATGACAGGGGGTCACAGCTTGTCTAGGTAAATGCTTGGAAACCCGCCCCTTGTGCTAATAAGCATGATAACCTCACTAAGGCAAGGGAACAAATAACACCATTACAATGTCCAGATTCAAAAATACCTCCAATCAAAATCCAAACTCTGTGTGTGTGTGTGTGTGTGTGTGTGTGTGTGTGTGACTGACTAGCTGAATTTAAAATTCACATGAGCGTGCAAAGCCCTTAGAATAGCTGCAACATTCCTGTGAGGGGGAAAAAAAAGAACAAGGACGTAATCAGACACATTCTGTCAATATCAAGAGCCTCAATTTTAAAGCAAGATTATTTTGACTATTACGTGAAACTGTGTATTTTCATTGTGGGAGTGAGTGGGGTTTTTTGGTTTGTTTTATTTGTTTTAAACTTGATGTGATTGTGAGATTTTTATGACCCGGAGGTGACCAACAGTCATGAGGCTGCTTGATTTTTCATCTCGGGCACAAGAGAAACTAATCACACGTGTAATTTAAGGGGACCACCGAGAGCAAAAAACATAAAGTTGCTTTATATTCACATCTCGTATGTTATGCTATTCTACTAAACAGCTACATAAAGAAAAATATTGTTTAGGAATATTTTATGTGTTGAAAACCAATAAAGAAGAGTTAAGTGGTGATAATCCCCGAAGTCAGAATGATGTCACCTCTTGGGTGGGAGACTTGGGGCTGAGAACGAGGTGGGACATTCAAGGAAAATGGTAGCATTTCACGTTTCAGGTTGCGCAGTGCATACATGGTGTTTACTTGTCTTTGTCCTTACATGCTGTACTCTTTGTATGAATTAAGTATTTAATAAAACAGCTAAGATACACAATTGTTAGAAGGCTGGGTTAGAAAATACTGCTCTATGAAACATACAACAGGGCTAACCAGGTGTGCCAACCACTAAAGCATCAGATAGGCCCATGTTCAAATCCTTCTGCGCCACCCAGGAGTGCCACATCCCTGAACAAATTACCTAGCTACTCTGAGCTCGGTTCCCACATCTAAACAAAGGCAGAATAACAATAGTATTCATCAAACTGTAGTTGGGTTAAATTAAGAAAATGCCCGTTGAAGGGGTTTGTACAAGTCTGGCAAAGAGAATAATAGCTCTCATTTGTTGATCACTGACCAACCAAGAGCCATGGGAAGGGACCTTCCAGGCATCAACACATTTAACCATCTCAATGTCAGACTGTAATAAAGGAGATAGGATTGGAACCCAGATGGTCCGATTCCAGTGCTAAACTCTTAACTACCATGCTAGTCTATCTCTCTTATAAGACATATATTATTATTATAATAAGTATTCACAGCTAAGGTTTTAAAAAATTGGATTACAATTACTTACATATGGCTTAGTGGGAACACTTGACAAACAAAAGCAATTTATTTGAATAAGAACCCAAAGATGTGGTGACCTGGATGGCCAATGTGATCTGACACTGTTATGCGCCTATTGAAAATTCCAATACATTGCCGCAGGTCTAGGCAAACAACAGAAGTAGAGCTTAGATCACAAGACGCAAGTTTTTCCCATCCCTCTCCTAAACCTACACATTGGCCAATTAAAAGTAGTACGTTCAGTTCTAAGGAACACATCTTAAAAGAAACACAGACAAACCACAGATAAATTTACACAATAATCTGCCATCCATATTATTTCACAAATCAGCAGAAAGATTCTGAGACATTCAGCTTCAAAAACACAACTTTTAGGGAAGACATCATAGTGCTTTTCCTATGGAAGAAGGATCAGAAGTTTATTCAGATGCACACTTTCTGGTAGAATCAGTATGTAGAATGAGATTGTTTTTCATTCTGTGACAGATTCCCTAACAATCAAAGCTGTTTACAGAGAACAGGCCATCTAGCAAGATTCAGTCTTCCCAGCTTCCCACCTTCCGAAGAGCTCAGCGGCTGGCAAACATGGATTGCAGCTGGCGTGGGTGCTGGATTCCAAACCTCTGAGATTTCCTTCAACTTTAAGATTTTATGGTTCTGGCGGGCGCAGTGGCTCAGGCCTGTAATCCCAGAACTTTGGAAGGCCAAGACGGGCGGATCGCTTGAGCTCAGGAGTTCGAGACCAGCCTGAGCAACATGATAAAATCCTGTCTCTGTAAAAAATACAAAAATTAGCTGAGAGTGGTGGTGTGTGCCTGAAAAGAGAACAAAGAATGAACCACTGCACTCCAGACTGGGTGACAGAGTAAGACCCTGCCTTAAAAAAAAAAAAAAAGATTTTATAGTTCTAAGAATATGTAATATATATTCTAAAAATACAATCCTTTAATCAACAGCAGAAAAGGTCCTGCATCACCCCTGAGGAAGAGGTACCAGTCTGAAATGCCCTCTGCTTATTAGCTGACACCTGCTGCTGGTGGTACTCATCTAACTTTGCTGACCTGCAGAAACTTTACTAGTTTCCATGTCCTCGTGGCAGCACGTGGGATAGCCCTCACAGGACGACCCAGACTTGGCAGAAAGAACAAGGACAAAGAAAAAGAGACTACCAAACAAAACTCACCTCCTTGCTTGAACATACATAGAGTTTTAAATTCCAATCAACATTTATCTAGAAACTGATGTAAACTGCCACAAGAATGAAGATTAATAATCATACCTCTATAGTAATCCCAAGCCAAACTCAACAACGCCTCTGTGGGAGATTCCTATGGATTTTATTAACTGCGTCTGAAGGATTTAATGGCAAAGGGTTTTGGAGACCTCTAGACTCTTTTTCACCTTCCTAGAACATCCAGCAAAACACATGTGTACCTGAAATAGGCTTGCTGCTTTATTATAAAGAGACTTCCTATGATTCTGTTTGTACAGGAGTGGGCAGGAGGCTGGGAGGACCTGACATTTAGTCCAGTGAGTCTGGAAACAAAACAAGGTGGCTCGGTGCGGTGGCTCACGCCTGTAATCTCAGCACTTTGGGAGGCCAAGGGGGGCAGATCACAAGGTCAGGAGTTCAAGACCAGCCTGGCCAACACAGTGAAACCCCGTCTCTACTAAAAATATAGAAATTAGCTGGCATGGTGGCGGGCGCCTGTAATCCCAGCTACTCGGGAGGCTGAGGCAGGAGAATCGCTTGAATCCGGGAGGTGGAGGTTGCAGTAAGCAGAGATCATGCCACTGCACTCCAGCCTGGGCGACAGAACTAGACTCCATCTCAAACAAACAAACAAACAAACACGAGGTAACAGGGGAGGAAACATGGGAAAGTGAGGAGTTGGAAGAACAACAGTTCTGTTTTTGAGAAGCAAATGCATGTTTCTTGGGGGACTTCATCCTAGGAGAAAAATCAGCCTCCAGGAAACCCCATGCCCACTGAGAGAGCCAGGGAACACAATGGAAGTCTAAGGCATCCTAGTAATTTCTGGTGGTATTAATGGCCCCTCACTAATCCTTATACATATTTTTTAAAATTAGTCAGAACATGGAAATAAGGCCAAGGATGGCACATGTACTTTCAATATCACACCAAAGCCAGTCTAACTGATTTCATTCTCTAGGACGTACTTTATTTTGACCTGCTATTTACTACTAATTAGAGGTAAGTTATAGGTTAATCTTCAGATTTCTTTTTTTCTCATTAGAGATGCAAATTATTTCTATCTTTCAGAAAAGGTAACTATAAAGGTTACAGTTTTACTGCCCTATAGGACATTAACCAGTGTTGTCTAATTTAGCAAACATCTCAGCACGCCTTTCCTGACAGACTAAGTCAGTGGCAACATCCTGCTGGTTCCCTCATTGATGAGCTAAATAAATTTCTGACACATATTCATGATACATTTAAGAGATAGTTACGTTTTAACAATTTGAAAGTTGTACTTTGATACACTTATTCTGTAGTTAATCACTATTGCACTGTTTACTCTTTCCAGCTTTACAATTTCTTCCTACTGAGTCTCTGTTGTGTCAAAATTTTTATCTCAATATTATTTTATACTTGACTATTCCATCACATAAATATTATAGCTACTGTAGCAGTTATGGAGGACCTGGAGAGTAAATTAAAGATATATGTCTTCCTCTAAAGATGGGTCTTTTCTCAAGACTGAAACATAATAAAAACTGGAACAGTAAGATCATACCCATCTCAGGTGCCCTCTGGTTGTTATTTGGCCACCTGCTGTTGCTGGTAACTTTTATCACGAAGTTAAGATTTCTACAGAACTAAGTTCCTCTTTTCCAGTATATGTAATCACTACTCACCCCGTACTCAGCAGCTTGCTCATTTCACATTCATCTCTTTCTCCTCTTCAAACTGTTTTTTTTTCTAGCCAATCCAATATTCTAGAGTGTTAGAAATCATGCTTCTCCTTATCTCTTGAAATGTACTACTCTCCATTAATTGGCCATTTTCTTCAGGAAAGTAAATAATATTACTGAACACTAAGTGCCCGACATGTACTAGGCTGCTCATGTGTTTTGTTTTGTTTTGACATAGGGTCTCACTCTGTTGTCCAGGCTACAATGCAGTGGTGCAATAATCACAGCTCACTGCAGCCTCAACCTTTTGGGCTCCAGTGATCCTCCCACCTCATCCTCCCAAGTAGCTAGGACTACAGGCCCACGCCACCATGCCCAGGTAATTTTTTTGGTTTTTGTAGAGACAAGGGTCTCACTATATTTCCCAGGCTGGTCTCAAACTCCTGGGCTCAAGTGATCTTCCCACCAGGAATGAAAAGAAGAGTAAAAGTCAGTTCTACACAAATTGGAACATTTTCTAGTACACTGTGGAAAGGTACAGGTATTTTTATTGAATGTTATATAATTTAAGGCTTTATTACATACTAAAAATAGGTATTACCTATTATGTAACATTAAAAAACACTGTAAATTCATGTGAATCTTTTTAAAATTGAAGTGTGATACTTCCAGGTAATGTGTGAAGGGTTTATGCCAAGCCTCACTCTTAGGGAACACACCTTCCTTCCCACCATCATTATGAGGGCTTTACTTGAAAACTCCACAGGAGTACTGACTATGATACTCCTCATCAAATTTGGGTAACATATGAAGCTTCTAGAAAAATTTTTCCAGGCCCTTTAAGATATTTTGAAAACTCTGCAGTAAGTTAATTGCTGCCATGTTAGTTGAATTTCTTGGCACCAAAGAATTAAAATCAAATGCAAATTAAGGCACAAAAATCAAGTTACAGTTTTCCCCATACCATGGTCATCCAGATAATATGAAACATGCTTAAATTTTTAATTTTTTCATAAATAAAAACATAAATTATTATAGTACCTAAGAATACATCCCCAGTCCTACAGAGGTTGCTATTAATCCAAACATCACTTGAGCTAATTAAATCATCTTTCCCCCTTAAACCTTTCTAGTCAACTTGTTAACAGGTGTTAATATTTAGCTATATTAACCAATTTAAGTTCTCCCACATTCTCCTCACCTTCCTCTCTTCGGGAAAGCAAAATCAGATATTACAGTGAAATCAACAAATCAGTAACTTGGGGACAGAGAAAGGGAAACAAAATCCTAGAAAACCCCCTTGTAGATAATCAATGCCTAAATAATTAAGAGTCTTATATAATATTATACTGTCCTTTAGCAGTGTTGGCAAAGATGTGGAAAAATCAGAACACTCTTATATTGCTGGTGGGCTGTAAAATGGGGCAGCCACTTTGGAAATAATTTGGCAGTTCCTAAAAATATGAAACATAGAGTTATATGACCCATCAATTCCACTCCTGGGTATATACCCAAGAGAACTGAAAACAGGTGCCCACACAAAAACTTGTACATGAGTGTTCACAGCAGCATTATTCATAATGGTCAAAGGGGGAAACGAACCAAATACCCATCAACCGATGCACGGATAAACAAAATTTGATATCCACATAATTGAATATTATTCAGCTATAAAACAGAAGTACTGACACATGCTATGCTACAACATGAATGCACACTGAAAATATTATCTAAGTAAAAGAAGCCAGTCACAAAAGGCCACATATTGTATAATTCCATTGATAGGAAATGTCCAGAATAGGCAAATCCATAGAGACAGGAGGCAGGTCAGTGGTTGCCAGAGCCTGGAGCAGGAGGAAATGGGGAATGACTGCTAACAGGAATTGGGGTTTCTTTGCGGGGTGCTAAAAAGGTCCTGGAATCAGTGGCAACAGCTGTACAACTCTTCCTATATGTGCTAAAAGCCATTTAGTTGAATTAGAAATCATTGGTGAACTGGTATTTAAATTGTATCTTAATAAAGCTTAAAAAGTTGTATCGTCCACTTCCCATGAATTTAGTCATAATTCATCCTTACAAGATTCACTATTTTACTCCTGTCCCAATTAACAAACATTCTGCAACTATCCTTTGGATAAGAAAACCATTGTGAGCTGCTTAGACAGGTAGAGATTAAATCATTGATTAAATTCCGACAAGTGAGGTCAAGATTCCACATATCGTAAAGCACGTAGAATTTTTAATAGTGTACAAATGATTCAGCCATAGAATAAACAGTGTTAGAAGAAGAAATCCTAGTCCTTCCAGTGGAAAGCGGCAGACCAGTCGGTGAGTGGTGAATCAATGAGGACCTACCGGGCTCATTATGCAGCTATTAGCAGGATCACTGACTACCAAATCCTCAAACTGTTACGGATTCAGAAGTTGTAAAATAAGGATTGTTAAGTACTCAGAGCATGCATCCTACCTCTCCAGCTAGTTGGTTTCTCCTATTTCACAGAGCTGGATGGTTCGCTCTGTCAGTGATTCTCAACATTTCCAGTAATGTGCACCTCAGCCTGCAAAGAGCCTGGACATTTTCCTCTCCACTTCCTGTCCTACTCTTGCAAGTCCCAGGCAAAGGAGCAATCTCAGGATGATTGAACGGCGCTAACTTTTCTTTTCTTCTTTTGTAAGTCATATATTTGAAATGATGCAACAACATTCAGGACGATTTTAGCTGCACATTTAAATAACTATACGTATTGGCATCATCTTATATAATGTGTGATCTGGCCACTGCCTGTACCACTGCAGTCTTGCCTAGGTTCTACAAGGTGTCTCAATGTCTGCAGGGGAAGCTGCTAGAGTTCATAAAACCATAAAGCAGCAAAGATCAATGAGGTGCCCACCACAGACTCGGCTACTGAACCATGGATGCAAAGTTGGGAAGATGGGCTATGAACTTGAATGGTTGAGAAGGTAAGAAACCTCTACAAACTCTTTTCCAGTTTCTGCCTTTTTGTGTCTCTATAGTCCTCAAAGCTTCCACCCTTCTAAACTCATCACAATGTGTTAAAATCCCAATTACTGATCTTCTGGGCACCACCCAGCAACTCTCCACATCCATCTTCCTCATTGTGACCACTTCATCACCTGGCACAACGTCTGACATGTAGCAGGATTCAGCCAACAATTGCTCACTGAGGAATAGCTACGTTTCCACACTAACCCTACTTCTTCCTCCAGAAGAAGACCTGCTCCTCTGATATTTGCTAAAGCATAGCTAAGTGCCAAATCGAAGGGACTCTTTTCAGAGAATCCAGTGCCTCTGATGCCACTGATTCCTCTCCAGGCTTCCTCCCACCTGAGTGCCCCTTCTCCATCCTTCCTCCTGTTCCTGCCCCTTCCCAAGGTTCCAGACTCAACTGGTTTCTCCAGCAACTCCATGTGCCTGAGCGACCACCACATCACCCATTCTCGGCTCCAGGTGAAGCTATCCTGGCACCAACTGGGGAGCACCCCCCGCAGGCCTCACTCCTCACACTCAGATTCAACCACGCTGAGGCATCTGCTCACCAGGCCCCCAGTACAAACAACATGGCCACCGCCTGTGTCAACAATGCCTCCGTTCTCCCAGTTCCTCCAACACTGGCCTTTGTCATCTCTCTCCCCCACCCTCACCTACTTTCCCTTGTGCCCCCAGCTCACTGGAGTCATTCCCTCCTGTCCATTTCCCCTGCAACTCCCCTTCCTCAGAGCTCCGTCACTTCCCCCTCAGTGTACTCACTTGTCCACTTTTCTACTCTCCTATCCATCCAGCGCCCACATGCCAGACAAAGCTTCCTGAAGGTCCTCCCCAGTCAGTCACTGCCCTCCTCAACAATGCTCAGTGGCTCCTGTCCCTTCCTGGATTATGTGTCAAGCTCCTCAGCCTGGCCCCCCAGGGCTCTCAGCCCACACACCTTGACTTTCAACTTCTCTCAAAACCTTAAAGAGCACTTATAATGTGCCGGTTACAGTGCTTGGTGTTTTGAGAACAGCAGGGGGAGGAAAGAATCCTTTTCCTCCTGTCCATCTCTACCAGTGCTCCCAGGACCACCTGCTGGGCTCTGGAAGTGCCTCCTGTTGCCTAACCTAGTTTTAGGCAGTTCCACCCATGCAGAAGGCCTTTTTTTCCCATGTCACCCTCTCAAAATCCTTGAGATCTTCAAGATCTGTCTCCATGGCACCCCTTCCACAACAAATCTTCTCTCTGCTTCTCCAACAGCCTGACCCAATCACACCGTAGAAGCGGGTAAGCCTATCTGTGTGCTCTGGGGCCAGGGCAGGTGTGCAGACCTAGTGAGAGGAAGGTGCCTGAGTTTTCATTCAATACTCAAGTGCCTACCACATTAAATATGTACTAACAGACAGGACTTCAGGTCTTGACTCTCAAGATGTCTGGAGTGAGTGCAGATGAGGTGATAGGTGAGGCCATGGGAACTGCTGGAAACAGTATTCTGAGGAAGACGCTGTTTCAGCGGGTAGGAGGAGGAAGAGGAACTGGCACAGAGACTGAAGGGGCAGGAGGAGAACTAGAGTAGCAGGCATCACAGTCACCAAGCAGAGCTGCAAGGAGGAGGAGACGAACACCTCAAAACACAAGCAGAGAACTACAGGAAAAAGCCCCTGAATTGGAAATTAACAGGTCATTGTTTAACTTAGAATGTGCTTTTGAGATAGCCAAATGCTTAGGCAGATAAGGTGTGGGGGGAGGGGGGTCCCTGGTGAATCTCCTTGCCTGCCCAACAAGAGTTTACAACAGCTGCTTTTGTGCCCCCTATGAGGCAACCTGCCCAGGGCCTTGTCTGAGCATGGCCACAATGGACTGGGGGAACCAGGGTGGAGCCACAGATCGGGGTAGAAGCCTGACCTCTTCAGCTCCTGTGTGGTGGCCTGGGTGAGGTGGGGGCTTGTTAGCAGGACTCCATCTCACTTTGCCGTGTATTTTTCTTTTTTGTTCCCTTTTCGCCCTGTAATAATCCTGCACTGTTCACCCTTCAATGTGTACGCAGGCCTAAATTTTCCTGCTTGTGTGACAAGAACCCGGTTTTAGCTGAACTAAGGAGCAAAATTCTGCAACATTTTCATTACTCTGATGAGGTATGCAGGAGATGCAAGGGCTTTAGAAAGCAATGTAGCTGGTCGCAGTGGCTCACGCCTGTAATCCCAGCACTTTGGGAGACTGAGGCGGGCGGATCACAAGGTCAGGAGATCAAGACCATCCTGGCTAACACAGTGAAACCCTGTCTCTACTAAAAATACAAAAAAATTAGCAGGGTGTGGTGGCGGGCGCCTGTAGTCCCAGCTACTCGGGAGGCTGAGGCAGGAGAATGGCGTGAACCCAGGTGGCAGAGCTTGCAGTGAGCCAAGATCACGCCACTGCACTCCAGCCTGAGTGACAGAGCAAGACTCCATCTCAAAAAAAAAAAAAAAAAAAAAAAAAAGAAAGCAATGTATAGTGAGAAAGAGGAGATACAGCCATGCCTTGGGAGATATTGCAGGTTTGGTTCCAGACCACAGCAATAAAACAAATATCGAAATAAAGCAGGTCACACAAAGTTTTTGGTTTCCCAATGCATGTAAAAGTTATGTGTACATTATACTGTAGTCTACCATGTGTGTAATAGCATTATGTTTGAAAAAAATGTACATACATTAATTTTAAAATATGGCTGGGCAAGATGGCTCATGTCTATAATCCCAACATTTTGGGAGGCCGAGGCAGGAGGATTGTTTGAGGCCAGGTGATCGAGACCAGCCTAGGCAATATCGAGAGATGCTGTCTCTACAAACATAAAATAATAATTAATTAATTTAATTAATAAATTTAAAAAGACTTCATTGTTAAAAAATGTTAACAATCATCCAAGCATTCAGCAAGTCCTAATCTTTTTTCTGGTGGAGGGTCTTGCCTCAATGGTAGTGGCTGCTGACTGATCTGGGTGGTGGTTACTGAAGGCTGCAGTGGCAATTTCTTAAAATGAGAAGACAGTGAGGTTTGCTGCATTTGTTGACTCTTCCTTCATATAGGATTTCTCTACAGGATGCGATACTGTTTGATAGCATTTTACCCACAGCAGAACCTTCAAAACTGGAATCTTTCCTCTGAAATCCTGCTACTGCTTTATCAATTAAATTTATGTAATATTCTAAATCCTTTGTTGTCATTTCAACCGTGTTCACAGCATCTTCACCAGAGGTAGTTTCCGTCACAAGAAACCACTCTCTTTGCTCCTCCACAAGAAGCAACTCCTCATTCCATTTTTATCATGAGATTGCAGCACTTCCATCAAATCTTCAGCCTCCACTTCTAATTCCAGTTCTCTTGCTGTTTCCACCACATCTGCAGTTACATCCTCCACTGAAGTCTCGAACCCCTCAAAGTCATCCATGAGGGGTGGAATCCACTTCTTCCAAATTCCTGTTAAGGGTGGTATTTTTACCTCCTCCTGTTCTTTATGGCATCTAGAATGGTGAATCAGTTCCAGAAGGTTTTCACTTTACTTTGCCCAGATCCATCAGAGGAATCACCATCCATGGTAACTACAGCCTTATTATATATATAATATTATATATTATATATAATAATATATAATATTATATATTATATATAATAATATATAATATTATATATTATATATAATAATATATAATATTATATATTATATATAATAATATATATTATGTATATTATATATGATATGTTATATAATAATATATATTATATATGATATGTTATATAATAATATATATTATATATGATATGTTATATAATAATATATATTATATATATGTTATATAATAATATATATTGTATATTATTATGTTATATAATAATATATATTGTATATCATTATATGTTATATAATAATATATATAGTATATCATTATATGTTATATAATAATATATATTGTATATCATTATGTTATATAATAATATATTATTATATGTTATATAATTATTTATATAATATATATTTTATAATTATATAATATATTATGTAATATATTATATAATTATATAATATATATTATGTAATATAATTATATAATATATATTATGATATATAATTATATTATATATGATATATTAATATAATATATTAAATATCATTTTATATATATTTATAATATATTATATAAATATATATTTATTATATTATAAATATATTTATAATATATTATATATTATATATGCTTTTATATATAATATATTATATATTATATATGCTTTTATATATAATATATTATATATTATATATAAATATATATAATATATAAATATATAATATATAATATATATATAAATATATATATTTATATAATAAATTAAATATAATTTTATATTTATATTTGTATTACATACATAGTATGTATGTAATATTAAATATACTATATATTTAAATATAAATATGTATGCAATATTAAATATATTATATATATATATACACGTATATATATAGAGAGAGAGAGAGATGGAGTCTCGCTCTGTCACCCAGGCTGGAGTGCAGTGGCGTGATCTCAGCTCACTGCAAGCTCCGCCCCCTGGGTTCATGCCATTCTCCTGCCTCAGCCTCCAGAGTTGCTGGCACTATTATAGGCACCCGCCACCATGCCTGGCTAACTTTTAGTATTTCTAGTAGAGACGGGGTTTCACTGTGTTAGCCAGGATGGTCTCCATCTCCTGACGTCGTGATCCACCGGCCTCGGCCTCCCAAAGTGCTGGGATTACAGGCATGAGCCACCACGCCTGGCCTGAAATATATTTCTTAAATGATAAGACATCAGAGTCAAAATTACTCCTTGATCCATGGGCTGCAAAATGGATGCTGTATTAGCAGGCAGGAAAACAATATTCATCTCGTTGTACTTCTCCATTAGAGCTCTTGGGTGACTGGCACATTGTCAATGAGCAGTAATATTTCAAAAAGAATCCTTTTTCTAAACAGTAGGTCTCAACAGTGGGCTAAAAATATCCAGATGTACTGTCATCTAGGCTTTGTTCCATTTATGGAACACAGGCAGAGTAGATTTAGCATAATTCTACAGGCCTAGGATTTTCAGAATGGTAAATGAGCACATGCTTTAAGTCACCAGCTGCATTAGCCCCTAACCGGAGAATCATTGTGTCCTTTGAAGCTCTGAAACCAGACACTGACTTCTCCTCTCTAGCTAGAAAAATCCTAGAATGGCATCTTCTTCCTCTAGAAGGCTGTTTTGTCTACACTGAAAATCTGTTGTTTGGTGTCATCATCTTCATCAATTATCTTAGCTAGATCTTCTGAAGAACTTGCTTCAGCTTCTACATCAGCACTTGCTGCTTCACCCTGCACTTATGTTACAGAGATGGCTTCTTTCCTTAAACCTCAAGAACCCGCATCTACTAGCTTCAAACCTTTCTTCACCTCTCTCAGTCTTCACAGAATTAAAGAGAGTTAGAGACTTGCTTTGGATTAGACTTTGGATTAGCCTTTGGCTTAAGGAAATATTATGGCCAGTTTGATCTCTATCTGGACCACTAAAACTTTCTCAATATCAGCGATAAGGCTGTTTCACTTTCTTAATATTTGTGTGTTCACTGGAGTATCACTTTTTTTTTTTATTATTTTTTTTGGAGATGGAGTCTCGCTCTGTTGCCCAGGCTGGAGTGCAGTGACATGATCTCGACTCACTGCCTCCCAGGTTCAACTGATTCTCCTGCCTCAGCCTCCCGAGTAGCTGGGACTACAGGTGCATGTTGCCACGCCCAGCTAATTTTTTGTATTTCAGTAGAGATGGGGTTTCACCATGTTGCCCAGGCTGGTCTCGAACTCCTGAGCTCAGGCAATCTGCCCGCCTTGGCCTCCCAAAGAGCTAGGGTTACAGGCATGAGCCACCACGCCTGGCCTGGAGTATCACTTTTAATTTCCTTCAAGAACTTTTCCTTTGCATTCATGACTTAGCTAACCATGTGGCACAAGAGGCCAAGCTTTGAGCCTATCTTGGCTTTCAACATGCCTTCCTCACTAAGCTTAATCATTCCTAGCTTTGGATTTAAAATAGAGATGGGCGACTCTTCCTTTCACTTGAACACTTAGAGGTTATTGTAGAGTTATTAATTGGCCTACTTTCAATATTGTTCTGTCTCAGGAAATAAGAAGGCCTGAGAAGAGGCAGAGAGACTGGGAGTGGCCAGCAGTGAAGCAGTCAAAACATATACAACATTTATTGATCAAGTTTACCATCTTATATAGGTGTAGTTCATGAAGCCCAAAACAATTACAATAGTAACATCAAAGATCTCTGATCATAGATTACCATAACAGATATAATAATTTAAATGCTTGAAATGTTTTGAGAATTATCAAAAAGTAACAGACAAGATGTACGCACATGCTATTGTAACAATGAATGGCGCCAATAGACTTGCTCCACACAGGGTTGCCACAAACCCTCAGTTTGTAAAAGGTGCAATTTCCGCAAAATGCAATAAAGCTAGGCAGAATAAAACGTAAGCCGGTCGCTGTTTTCCACATCCCTGTCAAACTTCTATAAATAGAAGGGTGGAGAGAAAGAGGGCAATGATTGTGTGTTAACAAAGCCACTGAGAACTGAAGATAGCTAGGACTACTCAGAAAAGAGGCCAGACAACCAGAAGCGTAGTTTCTTCATCTACCTCCAGTCATGACTCATGTGTCACTCTGAGGCAGGGATGACTGCAACAGAAAAGCAGATCTTGCTGTGACTATTTCTTTCTCCTTTCTTTGGATAGCTAAAGAATTTTGGTAGCCAAAATTCATGGGTTCTGAAATTCCTAGAATTATACAAGCAGTGAGAGTAGAGCATCTGAAAACAGACGACATTGCTTTGAAAAAGGTAGTTTTGTGCTAGGCTGTCATAACATGCAACCTGGTGTTTGCTGGAACATCCTCCTCAAGGAAAAGGATTAAGAGAAGTCTCTTTGTTGGTTCTTCTCAGTTTGCATAAATCAACACCTACACATCTGACCCATAATGAGGCTCTTTTTAACTAAACAGCATGTTAAGTGTGACTTTACAGAAATGAAATCAACTTCTTAATAAATTCACCAATTGGAATTTCATGAGAATATGCAAAAGCCAAACACACTAGGATTTCCAATCCTATTTCCAGCTCTTCCTTCCCTTTTCTCTTCAACTTGATCAACCGCCTCAATAGCGTTGTTGCCCATTTCAAACAAGTTGCCCTGTGGAGCACTTCCCTCTCAAACCTGTATTTTCTGTGCAGAAAATTAATGTTCCCGTAACAATGTTATGCTTTGCTTTGGCCTCCTGACACTGAAGGTTAAGAAACTCTGAAAGGGAACTAACTTCTCTTTAGCTCTTGGGCCTAGCACAGTGGCATTACTTAGACCCTGGGGACAACCTAAAATAATTTCAGCTTTAATCTTGACTCGTAGAACATTGTTGATGTCCTATTTTTATTCGTTTCTGGGATTTAGGAAACTCTGTCATCAGTTTTTCTGGACTATGGCTGATGTTCCCTCTTGGTTTGAAGACTATTATCAGTCGCCAGCAAACATACAACACGTGAGTTTGTGTATCCCTGACATATCGTAAACCTCTGACCTTAGTCATACTATTAATCCCTAATTGCTGGTGTAGCATCCAATTTTCCTGTAGCTATTCCCAAACCTTCTAATTTTCTACTTTTGCTTTGCAATTAACCCTACATCATGTAAGCAGGTGAAGCAAAGAGGACTTCTTCTTTAGGTTCCCCTGTGAACCGTAACATTCCCGTTTCCTCACTGGTAGTTGTGATGGTTCATCTTATGTGTCAGCGTGGCTAGGACTGTGATGCCCAGTTATTTGGCCAAACACCAGTCTGGATGTTGCTGTGAAGATCTTTTCTAGATGTGATTGACAGTTAAATCAGTAGATTTTGAGTGAGGCAGATGATGTGGATGGGCCTCCTCTAATCAGTTGAAGGCCTTAAAAGACTGAAGTCTCCAGAAAAGAAAGAAATTTGGCCTTAAGATTGCCATAAGATTCAAGCCTAAAACATCAACGCCTGCCAGACACTCCAGCCTACTGACCTACCCTGCTTATTTTGAACTTGCCAGGCTTCACAATCACATGAGCCAATTCCTTAATCTCTCTCTCTCTCTCTGTCTCTTGATGTATGTGTGTGCGCACACACACACATTCTTTTAGTTCTTTCTCTGGAGAACCCTGACTAACACAGGGCTCATGAAAAAAAAAAACTGCATCTATTTGTATGTGTTCTAAGTTAAATCCAGGAATTGAGAAACCTTCAATTATGATGTTTCATATGATGTTTAAAACACGATGCCTATTACGTTAACACCAATTATTTCCTTAAGATTTCTGAAATGAGACCATATAAAGGACTTATCAATAGTCATTATGTCAAAATTACAGAAGGCTATTAATGGATTTAAAATTAAACGAGTAGTTATTTCCAGAGGTGATATAAAAGCCTTAATTTGGCCATTTAAAATCTTGGTTCTTTCAGCCCTCTTAAAAGGTTTATTTCTCATTAAGTGGATCTCCAGATAGCTTAAGAATAAATTACAGTCTTGAATCAGGAAAATCTAAATTATAGGGCCCTAAAAATCATCCTCATGGCAGTACTTCACTAAGAAATAAAATCCCTTGTGGAAAAAATTTCTTTATAAAGCAAGCAGTAAAACTTCACTGAGTGCCTATCATGTGTGATGGGCACTATTACACACAAAAGCATTTATTGTATGGTCTTTTGTAACAAACTAGCATCTACTCAGCAGCACAAAAATACGTCACAGGGGAACTTCAGGGCTTATGATTAGGAAAGGTGGCACACAAGGAGCTACAGAAAGCGGGGGAAATGCCCGAACTGGCAACAAATGCAGTGACAGAGCAGGTCCCCTGGAGAAGCAAAACACAATGCTCGATACACGTGCCTTTCAAAGACGGCCCCAGTGCCCACTTTCAAAGGCACCCGCACTTTCCTGAGGAATGACCCATACGGCTGCTAGGACTCTGGAAGAGTAAAGAAGTGGTCATTTTCCGTAGACTCCGTCGCTTGACTCAACTCAGAACAACAGGAAAACAATGGATTTTCCTTTTACACTGCCTTTCATCAAAATAACTAAAGAAGTATTTTATTAAAAAAAAAATCTGGACCCATCCTGCCTTTTCAAGTCTTCATAATGTCACCAGAGAGGTCATACCATGGTGGACACGATTTTATATTAGGTCCAGTCACTTGGACCTTCACAACTGAGATCATGAAATTAGCAGAGCGTTGAACTTTGTCCTGCACAGAAAACAAAACTCCTCACTGTGATTAGTGAGTTCATGCTGTTGCCCAGCATTAAGTTAATGGATAACAACAATTACACATCAGAGAGAAAAAAAATCAACAAGTTAAACAGACACTCTAGAAAAATCAAAACTGGCAACACTACCACCAAAAAAGTGATAATCTTTGTGATTTGGTTGGCTCCATTGTACGCTTTTCTCTTCACTTTCCATCCAAATGAGGGTATCTGCTGGTGACCAAATGGTTCTGGGCTGGTGGCTGCTTGGCCCAGCTGGGACCCGCACAGCAGGTGCAGGTTCTGTTGAGCTCAGCAGTTTTGGGTACAATAAGTAAGTAATTATTGGGTACAATAAGGAAAGTAATCTGGCTCCTTGGGTTCAGGGCAAAACCAAACATTTTTCCCAGAGAATTTTCTGTATGGAATTTCCACATCCAAATGATTTTAACACTGACCTTCCAAAATAAGTCATTCTCAGCAAGCGCCAGCACCAGGTACCCATTCACTCAAAACTTATTCAGACACAGTCGTCAACAGATGCCACAGGTAAGGAAGCCCTCATAGCTCTGTTACTGTCCCTTGGCGCTCTCCTCCACACTTCTCAAGACTGTCCTGTGAAGGCAGCTGGCTTTTCTGGGTGACCTTGAGCGCGCCACTTCCTGTGTGTTTCAGTTTTCTCCTGGGTAGAGGGGGGAGTAATGTCTGCTCAATGTGCTGTGTGTGGGAAGTGACCCAATACATGGAAAACACCATGTGACGCTGTGTCTGAGGAAGCGCCCGTGATTATTTTAAAAGTCACATGGAGCAAAACCAGGATGAGAGTGAGTGCCTCTAAGCCTCTACTCCCAGCACAGAGAAGAGTCCTGCTCACCCCGCCCCCTTCTCACCCCAGGAGTGCTGACAGGTACGGCCACCATTAGCCCATAGAGAACATTATAAAGCAGGGGTGTCCAATCTTTTGGCTTCCCTGGGCCACTCTGGAAGAAGAAGAATTGTCTTGGGCCACGCATAAAATACACTAACACTAATGATAGCTGCTGAGCTAAAAAAAAAAAAAAAATGTAAAGAAATCTCATAATGTTTTGAGAAAGTTTACGAATTTGTGTTGGGCCCCATTCAAAGCCATCTTGGGCTGCATGTGGCCCGTGAGCCGTGGGCTGGACAAGCTTGTATAAAGTAGTGAAAGCCTTGACTTGTACCTCTTGGAAAACTTACAACATAGAAAGCGTTTCAACCCTTAAACACAACGCTATTTTGTGTACTAAGCTTAAGGCATGATGATGCCGTTGTTAAATGTTTCTAGTTCTGTCATTCAGTCTTGGTTGGGTTTGATGGTGGTTTTACAGAGGGAAGTGATAAAGGATGATGTCTATCCTCAAGAAAATGTGTGTTTATTATATTTGACTTGTATTGAAAAATGTTTCATATATGTTTTTATATGTGAAAAATTCAGCCCTCTGCCAAATGCACCTCAACATGCAAACAAAAGAAAATTAGATGAAAAAGTTTAGACTCAGTGAGAGAGTGTGTTGGAAATTATAACCCCTCAAAAGTTATAGCTTTACTACCTTGAAGTCATCCAGGTATGCAGCAATCTCTCTATATCTTTTCTGGCAAGTTATGTGAATGAGGAATATATGTAAGCAGATATCCTCAGAAGCCCTGATTCCAAGTGTACTGATAAAAACAATGGTGCCCCTGAATGCACTAAGCCACCCTGGGCACCAAGGCCCTGCTGTGAGCCCTCGGTGAGCTGCCTTTGCCTTCTTTGGGTTTGGTGTAATGGACTAGCTTTGTTTACCTGGCCCGACTGATGTGGCGCAACATGCTGAGTTTTTCTAACACTGATAAAATCTGCACAGCCAAATATATTTAACCCCAGCAGAACAAAATTACTAGAAATGACAGTTTTAAAAAATTAAAGGAAATGTCTTCAAAAAAGACAGCCATTGATATGGTCTAGATGTTTGTCCTCTCCAAATCTCACATTGAAATGTGATCCCCAGTGTTGAAGCGGGGCCTGGGGGAGGTGTTTGGGTCATGGGGATGGCTCCTTCAGGACTGGCCTGGTGCCCTCACCAGGGTAATGGGTGTGTTCTCACTCTGTAAGTTCACTTCGAGCTGGCTGTTTAAAGGGCCCATCCTCTTTCCTGCGCTCTCTCTCTCTCTCTGTCTCTCTCTCACTTCCTCTCTCATCATGTGACACACCTACTTCCCCTTCACCTCCCACTGTGACTGGAAGCTTCCTGAGGCCTCACTGGAGGCAGATACTGGCACTATGTTTCCTGTACAGCCTGCAGAACCGTGAGCCAATTTAACCTCTTTTCTTTATAAATGACCCAGGCTCAGGTATTCCTTTATAGCAAAACAAAAAAGACAAACACAGTCATACATGCCTCAAAGTTTAGTGTTACAACACTGCTAATCCCATCCATAAACTGAGGCTGGTGGAAAGGACCTTTCCTGCTTCTAAGCCTCAGCCTAACTGGAAACAGATTTTTATCTCATCTGGCCAGGCCTCTTTCCCCATGCAAGGATCCTTCCTAAAGAGGAAAACAAAACCAAAACAAATACCCCAAACAAGAGTTTTCCACAAGTAGTTTAATAATTCCAACACAACTTTTTATTCAAACATTTATTACATGTCAGACACTATATGAGGTGCTGGGATTTTAGGAGAGTGCCACCACATCCGGCTAATTTTTGTATTTTTAGTAGAGATGGGGTTTCACCATGTTGACCAGGCTGGTCTCGAACTCCTGACCTCAGGTGATCCACCCGTCTTGGCCTCCCAAAGTGCTGGGATTATAGGTGTAAGCCACCACACCCGGCCTATACTATACTTTTTATAGTTCATGTAAAGTGTATGCTTTCTACTTACTTACTTTAACAAAAAAAAAAAAAGTCAACTGTAAAACAGCCTCAGGCAGGTCCTTCAGGACAGAGTCCAGAAGAAGGCGTTATTATTATAGCAGATGACAGCTCTATGCGTGTTACTTCCCCTGAAGACCTTCTAGTGGGACAAGATGTGGATGGAGGTGGTAGACAGTGATATGGATGATGCTGACCCTATGTAGACCTAGGCTAATGTGTACGTTTCTGTCTTCATTTTTAACAAAAAAGCTTAAAAAGTACAAAACAAAAAAGCTTAAGAAGTGCAAAACAAATTTTAATAAAAAAAAGATTATGGAATAGGGACAGTAGAGAAGAATAAGGCTATAAAGAAATTATATTTGTACAGCTGTATAATATATTTGTGTTTTAAGCTAGGTGTTATCACAAAACAGTAAAAGATTTTAAAAATTAAAATTTATAAAGTAACAAGCTTATAGTAACTAAGGTCAATTTATTATGAAAAAAGTTTCAATAAATTTAGAGTGCTTGCTTCAGCAGCACATATATTAAATACATTTAGAGTGGACTAAGTGGACAGTATTTCTAAAGTTTAGAGCAGCGAACAGCAATGTCCTAGGCCTTCGCATTCATTCCTCACTCACTGACTCACCCAGAGCAACTTCCAGTCCTGGAAACTCCATTCATAAGTGCCCTACATAGACAAGTCATTTAAAAAAAAAACTTTTATACCGTATTTTTCTGTACCTTTTCCATGTTTAGACACAGAAACACTTACCATTGTGTTACAGCTGCCTACAGTATTCAGTACAGTCACATGCTGTATAGGATTGTAGCCTAGAAGCAACAGGCTACACTAGAGAGCCTGGGTGTGTTGTAGGCTGTACCATCTAGCTTTGTGTAAGTACACTCTGACAATGTTCGCACAGAGATGAAATTGCCTAGCAATGCATTTATCAGAACGTATCCCTGTCATTAAGTGATGCATGGCTGCATAGAAAAAAAAATCCATCACATGTCTATAGACTTGCAATCAATAATCAAAAAAAAATTATGAAAACTATCCCATCTATAATAGCATCAGAAAGAACAAAATATTTAGGCCTAAATTTAACAGGAGAAGTATAAAACATATACTCTGTAAGCTAGAAAACATTTTTGAAAGATATTTAAGACCTCAGTAAATGGATTCATAAATTGGAGAGACTTGGTATTGTTAAAATGGCAATGCATCCCAAATTCAGCTACAGATTCAGTACAATCCTATCAAAATCCTGGCTGACGACTTTGCATGATTTGCAAGCTGATCCTATAATTAATAAGAAAATTCAAGGGAATCAGAATAGCCTAAACAATCTTGAAAAGAAAACAAATTTTGAGATTTTAGACTTCCTAATTTCAAAGCTTACTATAAAGCCACAGGAATCAAGACAGTGTGGTACTAGCACAAGGATAGACATATAGATCAATGAAAATAGAACTAAAGGTTCAGAAATAAAATTTTATAGTCATGCTCAATTCATTTTCAACAAGAATACTAAGACCATTCAATGGTGAAAGAATCATCCTTTCAACAAATGACACTGGGACAAATGCATTTCTACATGCAAAAGAATGAAATGAGATCTTCCCTTACACCATATGCAAAATAGAGCACAGGCCTAAATCTAAGAGCTGAAACTATAAAACTCTTAGACAAAAATAGGGAGAAAATCTTCACGGCCTTGGATTAGGCAATAGTTTCTCAAATACAACACTATGAGCACAGCCAACCAAAAAACAAATAGCTAAATGATTTCATCAAAATTTAAAACTTTAATGCAAAGAACACCACTAAGTAAGAAAGTAAAAAGAAAAGCTGTAGAATGGAAGATACTTGTAAATTACATATCTGATAGGAGTCTGCTATCCAGGATATATAAAAAACCCTTACAACTCAACAACAAAATGGCAAGCAACCCAATTAAAAAATGAGCAAAGACTTGAAGAGGCATTTCTTTGAAGATATCCAAATAGCCAATAAGCACATGAAAAGGTGTTCAACATCATCATGCATCAGAGAAATGCAACTCAAATCCAAATAAGATGCCACTTCAGACACATTAGTTAAGCTGGCTAGAATCAATAAAGCAGATGGGAAAAAGTGTTGGTGACACGGAAACAGAAAGTAAAATAGAGGTTGCCAGGGGCTGGGAGTGGGATAAATAGGGACTTGCATTTAATCTGTACAGAGTTTCAGTTTTGCAAGATAAAAAGATTCTGGAGATTGGTTGCATAACAATGAATGTACTTACTATGGCTGAACTGTACACTGAAACTGGTTAAAATGGTAAAGTTTATGTTTTATACATTTTACCACAATTTTTAAATTTTTAAATAGCACACATCAGTTTAAAAACTGGAGCCCCCATACATAGCTGATGGAAATGTAAAATGGTGCATGCCTGCTTGAGAAATAGTCTGGCAATTCTTCCAAAATTTCAACACTGAGTTACCATTTGACTCAGCAATGCCACGCATAGGTATATGCCCAAGAGAAATGAAAACAGATGTCCACATAAAAACTTGTACACAAATGTTCATAGCATATTATTCCTAACAGCTAAAAAGTACAAACAACCCAAATGTCCATCAACTGATGAATGAATACATACAATGAGGTACATACATACAATGAAGTATCATTCAGCAATGAAAAGAAAGGAAATACTGATTCATGCTACCACAGGGATCAACCTTGAAACATTAAGCTGTGAAAGAAGCCAGACCTAAAAGGCCACATGTTGTATGAATCATTTATTGAAATGTCTAGAATAGTCAAATGTAGAGGGACAGACTATAGATGAGTGGTTGTCTAGGGCTGGGGACTTGAGGGAAAATGAGGACTGCTAATGGGTCCAGGGTTTCCTTTCGGAGGGGATGAAAATGTCTTCAAATTGACTATGGTAATTGATGAGTGCATGACTCCGTGGATACACTAAAAACAACTGAATTATATACTTTAAATGGATGCGTTACATATCAATTAGATCTCAATAAAGCTGTTAAAAAAAAGAAACAAAGAGGCCAGTTGCTGTGCTGTGGTGTCAATTTTTAACCTAGACAGAAGGTGGTAACAGGCAGAAATGGCACAGTACAAAATGCTGGGTATAATCCCAGCTCAGCCATTAGATAGACTGGGTCTACTTGGTTCACTAAGTTTTTTGATCCTCTATTTGTTCTTATACAGATAATAATACCTTCCTAGCAATGCATGGCACAGAGTAAGCTCATTTATTAGGGTACTTATTACTACTACTGTAAATAACTATACTTGATCATAGCCAAAAGGCCAAGAAGCAATTAGTACTATTAATAACTGTATACAAGTGATGTCATAAGATAATGGTCAAAAAAGCTCTTACAGTTAAAAAAAAATGCATGTTCCTCAGAAGTATCAAAATGATGTCTACTCATTCCTTGCAGCCGTATCATAATGCAGTTCAATACATTTCTGCTAATTCCACAAGTATTTTTCAAGAGCATGCTCACAGGTGGCAGAGGTGGCAAGCAGTGGCTTCTGGAGTGAATGGTAGGAGCTGTTATTATTGGAACGTTTGCGCCTTCTGGAAATTTTTATGTTGATCTGGTGCAGATATTCCCAGTTTAAAAAACAATCAAGCCGGGTATGGTGGTTCACATCTGTAATCCCAGCACTTTGGGAGGCCAAGGTGGGAGGATCATTGGAATCTAGGAGTTCAAGACCAGCATGGGCAAGATGATAAGACCCCATCTCTACAAAAAACGAAATTTGCCAGGCATAGTGGCGCACACCCATAGTCCCAGCTACTTGGGAGGCTGAGGCAGGAGGATCTCTTGGGCCCAGGAATTTGATGCAGCAGTGAGCCATGATTGTACCACCATACTCCAGCCTGGGTGACAAAGTGAGGCCCAATTAAAAAAAAATTCATATGTTGAAATCCTATCCCCAAAGTGATTATATTGAAAGATAGGGCCTTTAGAAGGTGATTAGATCATGGTGGCAGAGCCCTCCTGAATGGGATTAGAGCCCTTATTAAAAAGGCCCAATGGCCAGGCTCATGCCTGTAACCCCAACACTTTGGGAGGCCAAGGTGGAAGGATCACTTAAGTTCAAGACCAGCCTGGGCAACACAGGAGACCCTGTCTCTACAGAAAATTTAAAAAATTAGCTAGGCATGGTGGCATGCAACTGTAGTCCCAGCTACTGGGGAGGCTGAGGCAGGAGAATCACTTGAGCCCAGGAGTTTGAGGCTCCAGTGAACTACGATTGCAGAGTAAGACTGTGTCTAAAAAAATAAAAATTAAATTAAAAAGGCCTAAGAGAGACACCCTTGCCCCCTTCACCATATGAAGACACAGTAAGAAGGCACCATTTATAAACCAGAAAGCAGGCATTCACGCCGACAGTGAATTTGCTGGCACCTCTGTCTTAGGCTTCCTAGCCTCCAGAGCTGTAAGAAATAAATTTATAATTTCTGGCCAGGCACAGCCAGACACACTGACATATGCCTAAATTATTATGAAAGTATCTGATCTCTTTTTTTCACATATCTATTAAAAATTTCTTAATTGTTAAAAGTAACTGAGTCAGAGAAGTAAAGCAACGTTTGTGTCCACTATTCTTTGATTAATTAAGGAATAATTAAGAAACAGAATTGACAAGGTAATTTTCAACTCCTTTTTGTACTAGAGAGAAAGGAGGCTCACTAACAAAAGTATATACTACAGGCTGGGTGCGGCAGCTCGTGCCTGTAATCCCAGCACTTTGGGAGGCCAAGGCTGGTGGATTACCTGAGGTCAGGAGTTTGAGACTTAGCCTGGCCAACATGACGAAACCCTGTCTCCACTAAAAATACAAAAATAAGCTGCGCGTGGTGGCACACGTCTGTGGTCCCAGCTACTCAGAAAGCTGAGGCACAAGAAGCCCTTGAACCCAGGAGGCGGAGGTTGCAGTGAGCCTGGGTGACACAGCAAGACACCATCTCAAAAGAAAAAAAAATTATATACTACAGCATGAACTTGTGATCTATTAATAATTAATAGCTAATCAATCATTTCATTATCATTTAGATATGTGAACTTCTTTAGAGAAATTACCAAGCTCCATTTTCACAGAAAACACAGTAAATTCAATGAAACAGGTCCAAGGTGAGAGAAAGAAGGCTGACTGAGGGTCATTTCTGGGATTCCTGCCAGGACCCAGCGTGCTTAATCTGTCCTTGGACTTGCCTGGTCCCATTAATCAAAGGATCTAGTTTGCTGGGAAAATAACATGTTTTTGTGATCTGAAAAGCAGAAATTAAAAGGAAACTGTGACATCATGGGGAAAAAGAGAGCAAATACTATGATTTATTTGGCTGTATTTTCCAACTTTTCTGTAAAGATTACATGAAAAGTAATAGACCAAGGTCTTTGCTGCCCTTCCAAAGTTGTAACTGGTAAATAAAATGGGTTAAACTAATGGGGTGTTTACAAAACATAAACAACTTTAGTACTGACACCAGATCTGTTTAAGTTCAACATGACTTATGTAGATAGTCCTTATAAAATTGTGTTATGGAAAAGACAGGCATAAGTAACTTTTTGCAGTGTATATGGAGGCTTCAATTTCTCAAGAAATAAAACAAAAAATGGATATAAAGCCTGAGAAATTTACACTTGGACTCTACCTTTGTAACAATCACACTTAAGAAAGAAGCATACACCAGGAGCTGAGCAAGCTCAGATCCCCCACGCCTGCTCCAGTACCCAGCAGACAGGAGACACGCAGAGGATGCTGTGTTTTGAGTTGAAGGTGACTCTGTTAGCATGTCATAAAACATGCAGTAGTTTTCCTGCAGAGTATTTTAACTATCGCTTTTCAAATTTAAGCTGCATTATTTGCAACTAAAATAATCTTCAAGGAGAAATTTATTTATGTTTTCTAGTAATCGCTCTGCATAGAAGCCACTGGGATTTCTAAAGTTTCTCTCCTGTGGGAGAAGAAAAATGACACCTAGATCCGTGTCTCTCTAGTTTATTTTTATATCCTCAGGGACTAGCACTATGTCTGGAACAGATGAGGTAGTCAACAAACTGTTTAGAAGAGATGAATAACCTAGCTTTTATAGTAATGATCCATTTCCCTGTTCTAAGTCTAATTAAACTGGTAATTAAATAAATACTTGGTAAACATTAAGGTAGTTACTCATAAACATTACTCAACAAGAAATCTAGATAGACAACTCTGAAACACATCCCTTTCTTCTAGCCCTAACTGGCAAGTTTAGCTGTCTGGACTCTGATTCTGAGATCAAGCTGGGTTTTCTTCAGAGTTTCTAATTCTAAAACAATGGTGCGATGAAATGGCCCCTCTTTGGTACCTAAATTATCAATAGAGAACACTAACTCCTCTCTCTCCTTGTCAAAGTTGCCCTAAATTGGCAATGTAGACTTTTAGCCTCCCTATGTTTGCTAGGCACTATGATTTCAAGTTATCTGCTATCCAAACTTCACTTTCCTTTTTTCTGCCAAAGAAACAAAACAAAACAACAACAACAACAAAAACAAATTAAAAAAAACAAAAAAACAAGCATCACTACTGAGTCTGTAGCAAAACAGTCCACTGCAGGATTAATGCCCTCGACCAAAAGGATTAGAGAGCTACAGAACTCCGCCCTAGGACATCAGAATACACATTCTTTTCCAGTGCCCAGGGAACATATATCAAGATGGACCAATACCCCGGGCCATACAAACCTCAACAAATTTAAAAGAATTGAAATCATATAGAGTGTGTTCTCTAACCGTAATGGAATTAAACTAGAAATCAGTAACAGAAAGTTAACAAAAAAATCTCCAAACATCTGGATATGAAACAACGCATTTCTAAATAATCCACAAGTCAAGGGGGAACTCTAAAGGGAAACTTTTAGGCTGGGTGCAGGGGCTCACGCCTGTAATCCCAGCACTTTGGGAGGCCAAGGCAGGTGGATCACCTGAGGTCAGGAATTCAAGACCAGCCTGGCCAACATGGTGAAACCCTGTCTCTACTAAAAAAATTCAAATATTAGCCAGGCGTGGTGACACACACCTGTAGTCCCAGCTACTTGGGAGACTGAGGCAGGAGAATAGCTTGAACCTGGGAGGCGGAGGTTGCAGTGAGCCAAGATTGCGCCACTATACTCCAGTCTGGGTGACAGAGCAAGACTTCGTCTCAAAAAAGTGATAATAAAAAATAAAATAAAGGGAAATTTTTAATCATATATTTAACTGAATGAAAATGAAAATGCAACACATAAAAATGTGTGGAATATAGCGAAAGCAGTGCTGTGAGGGAAACTGATAGCACGAAATGCTCATATAAGAAAAGAAGAACCATCTCAAATCAATCTAATCTCCCACTTCAAAAATCTAGAAAAAAAAAGCAAACTAAGCCTAAAGCAAGCAGAAGAAAGAAAGAATTAAGGTAAGAGCAGATATAAAAGAAATTAAAAACAAATATCAATAGAAAAAATCAATTAAACAAAGAGCTGTTCTTTGAAAAGACTGATAATACGAGCAACTCTACACACACCAACTTGACAACTTCAACAAAATGGACCGCTTTCTTTAAAAACACAAACTACCACAACTCACACAATGTGAAAAGATAACTTCAACAGCCCTTAACCATTAAGGAAAGTGAATCTGTAATTTCAAAACCCTCAAAAGAGAAATCTTTATGCCCAGGTGGTTTTGCTGGAGAATTCTACCAAATGCTTAAAAAGAATTAACACCAATTCTACACTACCTCTTCCGGGAAATGAAAGAGGAACATTTCCTGACTCATTTTATGAAGGTGATATTTCCCTGGTACCAAAACCTGATCAAAACAGTACAAAAAAAGAAAACTACAAACCAGTATCACTCATGAATACAACACAAAAATGCTTAACAAAACAGAATTCAGCAATACATATAAAATAATTATTCATACGACCAAATGGGCTTCATTCCATTTGGGTTTATTCCAGGGATCCAAGACTGATTCAGTATTTGAAAATTAATCAGTGTAATCCAGCATATTAACAGGCTGAAGAAGAAAAACCACACAATCACATCAACTGATACAGAAAAAGCATTTGATGAAATTCAACACCCATTCTTCACAGTTTAAAACCTTTTTAGAGAGACAGGAATAGAAGGGAATATCCTCAACTTGATAATGAACATCTATAGAAAACCCTAAAGCTAACATTATGCTTCATGGTGAAGGACAGGATGCCATAGCCAATGCAATAAGGCCAAAAAAAAAAAAAAGTTGGGGGACGGGGGGGAATAAAAGGCGTATGGATGGGAAAGAAAGAAATAAAGCCATTCCATTTGTACATGACATGATTGCCCACATAGAAAATCTCAAGAAATCTACCACACACACACACACACACACACACACACACACACACACAACTAAGAACTAATGAGTGAGTTCCACAAGGTTGCAGGATACAAGCCAAACATTTTAAAAATCAATTGTCTATCCCGGCTAACATGGCAAAACCCCATCTCTACTAAAAATACAAAAAATTAGCCACGCCTGGTGACACATGCCTATAGTCCCAGCTACTCAGGAGGCTGAGGCAGGAGAATCGCTTGAACCCGGGAGGCGGAGGGTGCAGTGAGCCAAGATCGCACCACTGCACTCCAGCCTGGATGACGGAGCAAGACTGTGTCTCAAAAAGTATATATTTACATAATACCACTTTGTAATGACTCAAAAAAAATGAACTACTTAGGTGTTAATCTAACAAAATGTGTATGAAACCTGTGTGCTGAAAGCCGTACAATGCTGATGAAACTAATCAAAAAAGATAAAATAAATGAAGAGACACACTGTGTTAACTGATCAGAAACTTAACATAGTAAAGATGTCAATTCTACCCAAAATCACTATCAGATCCCAGCAAGATTTTATGTTGATGGAGAGACGACTATTCTAACATTAATACAGAAAGGGAAGGGAGCTAGCTAAAACAATTTTAAAATCAGGTCTATCCAATTTCAAGATGTATGCAGCTGTGATAATCAAGACTGTGATACTGGCTGAGGTATAGACATATAGATCAAAAGAACAGAGTAAATAAGCCAGAAGCAGATCCACACAAATAAAACCAACTAATTTTTGATAAAGAAGCAAAACCAACTGAATGCAAGAAGGATGTTTTTTCAACAAACAGTGCTAGAGCAATTAGACATCTACAGGCCAAGAAAAAAACACTGACCTAAATCTCATGCCTGCTACAAAAATTAACTTGAATGGATCATGGACTTAACTGTAAAATGAAAAACCACGAACGTTTTAGAAAAAAACACAAAAGAAAACCTTCAGGATCTAGGACTACGACGGAGTTCTTAGACTTGGTACCAAAAGCATCATCCATTAAAGGAAAAACTGATAAACTGGACCTCATCAAAATGAAAAACTCTCATTCTACAAAAGACCTTGCTAAGTGGCTGAAAAGCCAAGCCACTGATTCAGAAAACATTTGCAAACCACATGTCTGAAAGAGTATTAGTATCATCGGAGAATAACACTGAGTGAAAAAAGCCAATCCCAAACATTCCGATTTCATAATATTTTTGAAAGGATAAAATTATATAGAGAATAAAGTAGTGGCTCTCAGGGAGAAAGGCAGGGTGGGACAGAGGAAACTAGGTGTGGCTTTAGTGAGTGTGCATGGACAAGCAGGAGGGATCCTGTGGTGATGGGAAAGTTCTGCATCTTGACCATATCCACGTCAAGATCCTTAGTTCCACCATTGTAGTACAGTCTTGCAAGATGTCATCATTCGGAGAATCTGAGTAACCCCTCCGAATGATCTAAAAATGAAAAGTTAAATTTAAAACACTGATAAATAAGAATTTTGAGGTATTTGCTGATACAATTATATACTGCCTTAACTTTCAAATCCCTATGCTTTTCTTAGGCCAACCAGTTCTGCCTCTTCTGTGTCAGATGTTGACTTTCCCAACGTTCCTCCAGCTGAGGAAACTCATCTATGCACCAAAACTTTGTTATTCACGTAACCAATCACCAGGTTTGGGTATGCCATTAATCTGCAAGTTCAAAATTATCTTACAGGCTTTTTCTTGAATAGCCAAACCTCACCACTGATACAAGGACAAATGCAGAAGTCTGTCTGAACATGTGGAAGTCAGCACAGCTGACCCAGTGGGGCACCAGCAAGCACACGTGGCCACCTCCTTGTTGGGCCATTTGTAATTATCAGCCCTGTATGCTGCTCCATTCACCCATCCTTGTGGCACTCCCACTGTCATCTGCAGGACACTGTAGGTGGGAGAGAAGTAGGACATGGCTACTGTCATTCAACAGGAAACCATACGTGAGACACGTGTGATGGCATCAGCATTCCCAGCACCAGTTCTCCTCACTCCACCCTCCCCATGGAAGCAGCAGGTGTTGTCAGATCTGACCCGCATGTTCTGAGACAAGGGTCACGACTTCACCATCTTCCTTCGTCTCTTGAAAAATGACAGCGCTGAACACATGAGGCAGTGATGGGCACTGCTTTCCAAGTGCCTCATGCTCAGATGGCACGACAGCCATTTCCTGGGGATCTAAAACCACCCAGCTCTAGTGAGCAGTCAGCGGCTGTTGAACGTCTCACTCGTTTGATGTTGTAGGGTCCTTCGAATGGGAAAATGTATTTCCAACTAAAATTCCATGCAAATTGTCTTCCTTCTGTAAACTCATCACTGCAGGATTCAGAAAGAAGGGGCATGGAGGAATGTGTTCCATGCTTGTTCTTTCTGAATCCCGCACTGATGAGTTTACAGAGGGAAGAGAATAACCATGCAAGTGTAACTGGCCACTGGACATTCCAGTTCTTTTAAAACAATCCCATCAAAGAACACTCTTCTGTTCCCAACAACGAATCATATAAACCTATACTTTTCGGAGTTGCTGTTGTTTGTAAATTGTCTCTCAATGACTAAAAGGGTGCTTCCAGGTCTTTCAGTGGATCTGAAAGTACACCCAGAGAGGGTGGCTGTCCCAGTTCTGGGGAACAAGGGCCCAGGAATCCTCTTGCTAAACCAGTCTCTTTGCATAATGATCTTTTTACGCCAGACTGATTGGCACAGATACCCATTATCTTCATCTCAGGAGACAGGTGTTCCAATTCACACAGAGTGTTCTTCAAAAGCCTCAATCTGAGGACAACAGAGATGTACTCTGCAGAGGGGATGGCGCTTCCACAGGAGACTTTCCACGAAAGCCTAGAAATAGAAAGTAGCACCTCTTGCTGACGACAGACAATTCCTTCTTCATTTAGAGATTCCTCATCCCAGAATGAGAGAGAAACTGAAGGAGATGAGTAGTGTCCACCCACAAAAATTTTAAAAGGCTACTAGACTCCTATGGTAGGACATCAACAAAAATGTAGTCATCCATTTGGACGATTCCAGCCCAGCAGTTGGGCATGCACTGAAACTGAATAAGCCACTATGCTTTAGAATAATTGTTGTGTGGGGTTTGATTTCATTAATCACAGCAGGCTTAAAAGTAGCCCTCAGGAAGTCAATGTGATCAAGTTACTTCAGAGATGCTAGTGTGGAAATTTAAGGAACTATGCTACCAAATCAGACATACTGAGGCAGTGGCTGGAGCATGATTTGACCTATCCCCCTGCAGATATTTGAGGCCTAATGTGGTAAACTGAAGATGGGACCTTGTACTGTCAAACCATTCTCACTTCTGTGTACTGCCTAAAGCTATCTGGTTTGGAACTCTCTAGGGATAAGAACTTTGTATGAAGACGTCACATTTAAAATAAGGATGAGAAAAAGCAGGGAGAGTTCTTGCTTTCTCCTCCAAGACAATCTCCGTATCAGAAGGCAGGTGTTCATGGCACAGAAGTGCTCATGCCCTGAGTATTTTTCCTAATGCCGAGTGGAGTCTGCAGGCAGAGCAGCCAGGCAGGAGAGGAGAGTGGGGACTCACTGAGCCACCTGAAACCTCTGGAAGCAGAAGACTCTAGACTGAGAAGAAAGGTCTGCAGGAGGTTACCTTCTTCCCTCACCTCCCATTCTGCAGAGAGCTTGAGTGAGAGGAGAGAGACTAGAAGAGGAGGAAAGAATTGAGTTCCCGCTGAGAAGCGACACTGGGCACCTGTGCCAGACCCCCATCTTGATGCTCCCGGAGCCACATGACCTCGGGAAGGGAAGTTATAGGACAGGCTGCAGGTCCCAACTCATTTCCAGGGCAGAGTCTGGAGAAGGTGTCTGCTTTCGAGCTGTTTATCTCAATGCCGGTCAGTGAGGACAGCAGTCAGAAATACAACAAATAGAACCCAGACTGATTTTGAAACCAGTCTACTCACGCCTTACGACTTGTCATGAAAAAATAAAATGGTCGGAAGAAGCTGCCACTTTTGCTTACCCAGAATCCCACTGTTTAATCTACAGTGAGGCCAGGAGTCTAAGACTCAACTCAAGGGGAGCTTTCCAGGGTTAGCACCTCACTCCACATCAGCCTGGTATAACAAGCACACCATTCGTGTTCCATCACATTCCAACCACAGGCCACAGCCAAGAGCTGGAATTCAGGCAACCACCGAGTAAAGAGCCCAAGCCTTTTCTAGGAAGGGCAGGAAACCAAAGTTCTGACAGCGTGGCCCAAGGACACGCAGAGATCCCAATGCCAGGCTAATCCTAACTTGGCAACACAAGCAGGCTCTTTAGTAAGCCGAGCCTAGCAGGCCACTCTGGGGATTTTAGATTTGTTTTAGAAAAGTAAAATGTATTGAATCTGATAGAAAATCTAAAAAAGAAGAAAAGAAAACAACAAAAAAGAAAAGTCAAAGGTAGAAAGCAGGTCTGGTAGATGGTAAAACATACCATTTAAAGAATACTGTGTGGGCTTTTTATTTTTTAGTATATTTTGAATTATTTAACTTCAAATTTTTAAAATTAAAATGGATTTTAACTTTCCTTATTTAAATATATAATACTTTTGAATATCACTGAAGTTGCAGATATTAATATATGCCCTTCCTTCTTTCTTGTTTTGAATGAGGGCTGGAGGGATGTTATTTCAGAAGCAGCCATGGAACATTTAAGCAACGGCAATTCCTTTGAAGGCCTGTATTTCTAAACCCTATTCAGTCCGTGGGTAACGCGAGTGACAATGGTAAGACCACACAATGGAGGTTGGTCTTTACCATCATACTGGGCTGCTTGTGTGCTGCGATACAAAAGTTTCCCCAGCGGTAGAGTTTTGCTTAGTGATTCAGCAGCAGAAAAAAATATAGTGAATCAATTCTTTCCATTTGCAACAAACACTGAAGTGTACTGGGGCCAATTTAACAGTAAGTGGTTACTTGGAAGCTGGCAGGGCAAAACAAAACCAAAAACATAATCTATCTTTTTCACAGAAAGAGAGCAAATCATAAACTCGAGACATGAATTCACATATTTTTCATGTATGTCATTAATTCAACCACCTTACCAGGACTGATTCTGCACTAAAAGAAATTAGAAACTGACAGAAATTAAACTGGATCCCAGGCTTCATTCCAAGGGCACCGGCTATGGGTCACTTACTCAAGTCTTACAGTCCTGGGTAAACTCAGTTTTAATAACTTGTCGGGATATTTTAGGATAATTGCTGCATGGAGTTTGATTTAATTAATCTCAGCAGGGTTCACAGAAGGCTCATGAAGTCGACATGAAAAATGTCCTTCAGATGTTGTATTATTAAAAGTTGAATAATTACGTCATCAAGAGGCAGAAATAGAGAAGGCTACCATTATAAATTAAGACCAAAAAAACCCTACTTTGTCCATGCTGACAGAGAGAGAAACATGTTTATGTCTCCACAGTAGGAAAAGGGATAAAACTGTGAGCTCAGTGTCAGGGCCGATGCAGTTGCTCAACATTTGCTGAATGAATAAAACAATGAATGAAGGAAGAATGAATATTCATGATGGGACAAGAAATACAAAAAGATTATACACTCTTTCCAATAATGTTTAGAAATACATGGTTTATAACAATGAAATTTAGACCCTAGAAGACAGATCACTTGCCACAGAAGGCCAAGTCTAGAGATGGAGTGAGTGAGTGAGTGTGTGTGTGTGTAAACTGGCACTTGGGTACAACTGATTGGTTGGAGAAGGTACAAAATCCTAGGGCACCCAATTCACATAACATTCCCATTCACACTATTCACACAGAAGTATTGGTACTTCACGATTTTAGAACCTGGCTGTTCAGAATTCAAGCTTGTACTGTTGAGAGGTGAGGAAAATGGTGCCAGGTTGCTGGGGAGGCTGGCCTGTGGGCCCCGTGTTCTCTGTTGGCAGCATCATCTTCTGTATCTTTGCCTGGGATTAGCTTACAGAATTAGCTGTGCAGATCCACCACACTGGAGCTGTTTTACTTCCCAACTCTCAGACCAAAGGAGAGGACCACGACCATGTCCAAACTGGCACATGTTCAACACTGAACGAGCATTCATTACACAACAGACGTGGTGCCACCACCACCTCCTCCTATCACAGAACCATCACAGCCTCCACCACCAGAGAGACACACACACAAAGCACTTCCTGCGTGATGGCCAGGACACTCTGGCATTTTACAAGGATCAATTCATGGAATCCTCACCTATGACAGTGGTTCCCAAACTTGACTACGCTTGGGAAGCTTTCAAAAATTTCAACACATAGGTCATACCCCAAACCAATCATAACATTTGAAGGTAAGAGTAGGCACCAATGTATTTAAAGGCACCCTGGTAATTCAAACATGCAGCAAAGGTTTTGAAACTCTGAGAGATGGGAACTGCTACGGTCTGAATGTATGTGTCCCTCCAAAATTTTGATGTTGAAATTTAAACCCCAAGGTGATGATGTGAAGAAGTGGGTCCTTTTGGAACTGATTAAATCATGAGGGCTCCCCTCTCGTGAAGGAGATTAATGCCCTCATAAAAGAGGATTACCATTCTCTGCAAATACTATGAGGCAGACATGGAGAGTAGCTGTTCAGAGCCTCCAGGAAGCATATGCTCTAAAACAGTGGCTTTCAAATATTTCTGTGGTTGAAAAACATGTAGAAGGCATGTTAAAAAACAGATTGCTGGGCCCCACTCACAGAACTAATTTATAGGTCTGGTGGGAGCCCTAGAATTTACTTTCCTAACAAACCCCCAAGTGTTGCTGATGCTAGAACCATGCCCTAGGCACACAGACTCAGTCATGACTGATGTGCTTGGGGCTATAGTGATACAGATGTTCAAGGGTCCCTCAAGTCACCAAGCTGGAGCCCATCTCCTCACCTCTGTTTACGCCGTCCCCCAGGGCTAGAAGGTTTTCCTTTGTCAGCTCCTTCCCTAATTGCTCACTCCTCTGTTAGGATTCAGCCCACACTGGACTCAGCTCCTCCTCCAGGAAGCCTTCCTGGATCTTTGAACTCTCATCTTCTCCCCTAACTGACTGCCACACTCACTACTTTTCACTGCTTTGCTTTTACATATGGGCCTCTCCCTCTAGACAAGAATATGAGTCTCTTCATGAAAATGGGACTGTCTCTGATCAATCTCTCCATCTTCAGCATCTAGTACACAAAAGATACACAGTAAGTATTACATATACATTTATGCTTACAAACCAGCATGAAGTATCATCGGTATTACACTTGTGATAGCAGAATCTGCAAATCCACATAAATCCCTAAATAGGCCATTCCTGATGAATGAGAAAGACTTTTATACGTTACAGAAGAGCACTCCACCCCCCAGGAAGGGTGGAAGTGGAGCACATTTCTGAACCAGAGGCTATTTTTCTTTTAGCTATAGAGTCACAACACACAACCCGGATGTGTTTAAAAGTACATGTGCAAGTTGTTTAGGACTCAGGGCACATTTACCAATCTCTACATCACCCATGGTGACTAAGAGCTAGGGCCTGACCTAAGAATCCTGTGTAATGAGACTGAATTGTCGCATTAACACTCAAGTACAATGGACTGTTCCTATCACACAGAGCAACATTTTCTGCAAAAGATGTGATCAACGTTCTGATCAGCAATACCACAACACATCTCATTGCCAGCCTCCTGCCCCCATTGGAATAAGACAATAAAAGCCTGCCCTCCCCGTGCATCTGTCCCAGACAGTGAGTAAAGATGTCCCCTTTCCTGCTGCTAAAGTTGGAGTTGGGGTGGGTGGGGGGTGCAACCGGGAAGGGCTGAGAGAGGAGAAGAGGGCAGGAGACTGGGTGGCCCAGGAACCCAGGAAGGCAGCTTGCCTCCCTCCATTGAAACTCTCCAGTCTGGCCATTTCGGACCTGTGCTCTACTTCTCTCTAAGGAGAGCTTGCCAGTGTTAAGAAACAAAGCCTGCTCTGGTATGAATGGGGGTGGAGGGGAAAGGCTGGCCCTTCCCCTCTCCTGGATTGGACAGGTAGAGTCCTCTTGGAGGGTGCAGATGGATGCTGGTGGGTCTTCAGGGCAGACCTGGCATGCTGGGGTGGGAGACAGTCTGAGGCAGGCACAGAATCCCTCAAGTGACAATGTCTGCGCTCTCGTGATTCCACAAAGACTAGGGCAGTCCCGCTTCAGGGAAATGGGTGGAAGTGATTGCTCACCAAGAAGTCAGGTCCTTTAAGGTCCTGGTTCACTGAAGCAACAGCCCCATTTCCGAGATGCTGGAACATGATGACCACAGGACAGCCATTACCTGTGTCCACCGAAGCTGACATCCTGACCACAGCACATGGCCACAACCACATACATATACAGGAAACACAGACGCCATTCTCCTTGCATTCTGCGGTGTTGCCACAGCTCCCCAGGGTTCTTGCAGGCACAGAGGGCATCGTCCACAACCCCGAAGTTAGCGCGACGGCTGGACTGGGAACTCCTCTGAGCCCTCAGGCTCTTGTCCCCTGGTCCCCTGGTCTCTCCTCTCCAGCTTCACCTTCAGCTCAGCACACAGGAGCTATCGATGTTGTGAAAGGTTCTGTGGTGCCGTTTCTGCCTCAGGGAGTTACAGGTTAGAGGGAAGACAGACACACCGAGGGATGCAGGTGGATCTCCTAAGCCAGGCAGCCCGGGGTCCAGTCTCAGTCTTGCCACTTACTATGGGGCTCTGGCCACGACAGCTTCCCTGAACCTCCATCTCATTTAGGGAGCAATGAAACTTGACTTGCTCCTCAGTTATAACCATCCTCACCTAAACCACAGAACACAGAGGATACCTCACGCAAATGCTTCCTCCCTTCTCCCCAGGATGGTACCTGATCACCCATCTCATCCTAGGAGGGAGTGATGAAGCCATCACATAGGATGCCTGCCTCAGGGCATCAGGGTTTCATTCTGTCAAGACAGGCTGGTATGGAGGAGGTGAGCATCACAATTCAACAATACCCTGCAGGTTCCCTGGGGAGCCAAAAGAGGCATTAAACATGGAGGGAGCAGAGGCAGGAGCAAGGGGGCTCAGTGGGAGTCCAGAGAAGGATGTGGGTACAGCAGAGGCCAACAGAAAAACAGCAACCTACTCTATGCTCCCCCTTTACTGCTCTTTCATTTGTGATGCAAAGATGAGGAAAATCAGGTAAGCACTTTGTACCAATGCATTTCTCTCCACAAATGTAAAATACAATTAAACATTCCAGGTACTGATTTTCAAATTGCCATGTATTATATAGTTTCCCTCAAGAAAACCATGTACATTTGGTGTTCATTCCTGGTGTTTTAGAAATAACAATGATAGTTCTTTCTAAAACATTTGAATTTATACCACTGTGATGTTATGATCCCATTTATGCTATTACATGTCTCATAGGCAAACATTTCTTAAATGTTTAGTTTTCAGACAAAAAAGAAAGGAAAGCACTGATGAGTTCCCCTTCTAAGTGAAACCTTCCAATGCCTCTTAGCTCAAGGGAAAGGAAGGGGAAAGAAACTTTGTTGCTTCCAGCAGCAAACAGAGAGGTCAACCTACCAAGCTATAGGGCCAGGCATTGAGCCCTGAACCAGAGAAGCCTTAGAGCCAACTTTGTCCTGCTGCTTTCCCTTGAATATGCCATTTTATTTCCCTGGACCACGGTTTCCTCATCTGTAGAATATAAAGTCCCTTTCAGCTATCAAGGTGCATGCTCTGCTTCAGTATCTGTAAAGTAGAAATACTACTTGCCTCCAACTCTTAGGAAGATAAAGACTAAAAAAGAAATGTTTGGACAAGGCTTTAAGATTACATAATGAAATGGATATAAATAAGACTCATACAGTCACACAGCTAACAGAGACCATAAAGATCTGTCCAGCTAAAGTGAAACGGAACTCTCAATGCACGGGAGGAGACAGCTGGCAGTAGTCTTCTTTTTTAATTTAACTTAATTTTTTTAGAGACAGAGTCTCTCGTTCTGTCACCCAGGCTGCAGTGTAGTGGCAAAATCATAGCTCACTGCAGTCTCAACCTCCCAGGCTCAAGAGATCCTCTCACCTCAGCCTCCTGAGCACCTTGGACTACAGGTGAGTGCGCCATCACAACCAGCTGATTTCTTATTTTTATTTTTTAGAGATGGGGTCTTGCTATGCTGCCTAAGCTGGTCTTGAACTCCTGGGCTCAAGCAATCCTCCTACCTCGGCCTCCCAAAGTGCTGGGATTACAGGCATGAGCCACTGTGCCCAGCCAGGTCATTTTTATGCCACTTTCTTCAGGGCTTCCTGTGGCTAAGAGGGAAAGTAGACTGATAGCATGGATGAGGTGACAGCCCAGGCACTGGCCCCAGGCTTTCTGAGGGACAGCCGGCATTAGGTTTTTCTCCATGCACTGTCCTACAGGTATAGAATTCATGTCCTCCACTGGTGTACATTGCAGACTAAATAAAACATGTCATATAACAACCTCCTTTCCAAAGCTAAACTCCAGGCATGCCTGAGTTCAAGAGGTCACCCAGCAGGGAAGCTCCACTGTCTGGTGAGAAGAGGGCCTCCACTGCTAGGCAGTGGCAAGAAGCCATGCCGGTTACCTCCTCTGAGCCTTCCTTTTCTCATCTGTCAAATGGGGACAGTAGTAGATCCTACATTATAGGGATGTGTGGAGGATTTTAAATGAGTACTGATGCACGTTAAGCCCTCAGAACAGTGCTTGGCACACACCCAGAGTTTGGTAGATGCTACCTAACATCAATATTGACATTAATTCTAGAACTATGTAGAGGATACGACTTCAATAAGAAAACAATCAGTCAGAAGCAGTGGCAGAAGGGAGGGTCCTGAAATCCAGAGTCCTCCTGCAGAGATGCAGCTGCCACTCCTCGCCTCTGACACTTGCAGACATTCGGAGAGAAAGCCGTCTGCAAGGTGACAGAGGGCGGACTGGAAGAACACAAGGAACCCAGGGATGCTGATGGAGCATGGAAAACCGCAGCAGAAGGCACTGAGGCAAGGTGTGCCCTCCAGGCGGGGCAGGCTGTGGCTGGGCAGAGCGCCTGCCAGGGAGAAGTAGGGCAAAGGGAAGAAAGCACCTGTGGGAGAAACATGGGGAAACAAGGAAGAAACCTGCATATGCACGGGAGCACAAATAAGGAAGGAGATGGGAGAACTGGGTGGAGGCAGATGGCAAACGTGGGGGCCAAGGGAGGTAGATGAGAATTAGGATATGGGATAATAAGACAAAGCCACATGAAACTCTAAAGTGCGGGAGGAGGGCAGAGAACAGGGAGGGTGCATGACAGGCACCCCGAGAATAATGCAGTGAGGAAGTTTGCAAGACGGGGGAGGGGGACATTAGGAAAAAAGGAGAATTTGTTGGGAAAGGTGGAAAAAGAAAAGGAGTGAGATTTCTCCGCCTGTTAGCAAGGGGAATAAAGGAGAGCAAATCGCTGGGTGACCAGGAAAGGTTCACAGAGAAGAAAACACGAGGCAGCAAAAACCGAAGGTGGGGACAGAGAAAATGCTGGCAGGGGGAGGTGCATAATATAAGGCTATGGGAAGCCATGGGAACAAGAGCTGAATAAATTCACAGTATTATTCTATTTATCCACATCCCTATGCAATGCTGGGAAGCAAATGACCCACAGGGTTTTGTTTGCTTGCTTTGGTTTGGTTTTCCTGCACTTGGAGGGAGGGGAAATTTGCTCAAGCTCTGTAACCTTGCAGTCAGATGGGTGGCCCAGCCCAAGTCACCCGAGCTCCCCCTGACGCTGGCAGCAGCGCGGGCTTCTACCTGCCTGGGGCTGGAGTACCAATTCCCCCACCTCCTGCACAGAATGGGACCAAACCAACTCCGCCAATGCATTCCCTGCAGTCCACAGACGATGGGCACCGGGTCCCAAAATCTTTCCCCTGGGACGAGACTCCGCTGGTACCAAGAGAAACTTGCTTTCTAAACTAAGCTCTCCAACCGCATCGCTCCGGGTCCCCGGAGGCACCAGCCACGCCACCCGATGGAGCAGAGCGTTACAGGGCTCCGCCGCGCCAGGCTCCCCAGACTCTGCCACCCCCACGGCCGCCCCTGTAGGCCAGGCCCCGCGAGCTGGGAGCGCGGGTGAAGTTACAAGGCGACCTCCCTGCAGGCTTCCGGCTGGAAACGGCCTTTTGCGAGAACACCACGTGCATGTCCTCCCAAAAGCGATGGTGCCGGGTGGCCCAGAGGGCGCAGAGCCACCGCCGGGCAGGGAGCGGGCGCACGGACCTAACAGGTGAGCACCCGGTAGCCTCCACCGGCGGGGGAAGCAGAGGCCAAGCAGCTGGGAGCTGGACATCCCGAAGCCCCGAGGCAGTCCACTGGGACTCAAATCCTCCCGATATTCTACCTAACAGCCCATGCCCGCGCCCGCCCGGCAGAGCCGCGCGCCCGAAGCCGTCTTACCTCCTGCGGCGCCTCTTGGCGGAGCCTACAAAGTCAGCGTGTCCAACACGTCCCTGCCCTCAGAGCCACCTCCGGTGCCGGCGGAGCCCCGAGGTCGCCGCACTCTCGGAGGAGCCTGGGATCCAGTGCGCGCCCTCGGAGCTAGCGACCGGCAGGGCGATCGCGGGAGAAAGCGCAACGCACACTCTCCTCCCGCGCCGCGGCAGCACACTCAGCCAAGCCACGCCCCAGCCCCGCTCCCCACCAGGCCACGCCCCCAGCCCGGCTCTTCCCCCCGCCCCATATCAGGCCACGCCCCCGGTTAGCTCACTCCCTCAGGCCACACCCTCGGCCACGCCCCCACACTACCAACCACAGCCGGGGACCCCACCCATCAAAAACAGTTCCCCGGCCAGGCGCAGTGGCTCTTGCCTGTAATCCTAGCACTTTTGGAGGCCGAGGTGGGCGGATCACCTGAGGTCAGGAATTTGAGAGCAGCTTGGCCAACATGGTGAAACCCCGTCTCTAATAAAAATAAAAATTAACCGGGCGTGGTGACAGGCGCCTGTGATCCCAGCTACTCAGGAGGCTAAGGCAGGAGAATCACTTGAACCCGAGAGGCGGAGGTTGCAGTGTGCCGAGATCGCGCCACTGCACTCCAACCTGGAGGACACAGCCAGACTCCGTTTTTTAAAAAAAGAAACAAACAAAAATAGTTCCCTCAGCCACCAGCCAGCCCCCACCCCCCAGGGCGGGAAGAGGAGTCTCATCTCCGGGGCAACCGTGCCCCACTGCCCACTGCCTGGGCCAGAAGTTCACTCCCTGTGAAAGGAAAACGCAGGGTAGGGATTTTTAAACCTACATGTTTCCCAGGGCCTGGGGCAAGTCTTGAGTAGACTGTTGCAGTAAACCGACTCAAAGGCCTATCACCTTTCTTGTGAGGCTCAAGGCCTAATCATTAATTGACATGAAAACCACAGAAGAGAAGCAAACCCTTCTGTGCTGGGATCTGTGCCCCAGTGCTCCATGTTCCCTGATAGGCAGCTAATGGAATTCATAAAATAAATGCATGCTTTCTACCAGTGTAGTTTTTTAGATGATTCATTTAGTGGCCAGCACTATTATTTATAAATGTCTATTGTCTTTTATAATCAAAGAACAATACCCACAATCTGTAAAATAAAAAACAAAAATTATATTACCCAATGAAAAGTGAAAATTAATTTTATGTATGTTTTTTAAAATATTGAAAAAACTCTGTATGACATTATAATGGTGGCTTCATGTCATTATGCATTTCTCAAAACTCACAGAATGAACAGCATGCGGCGTGAGCCTCCTGTAAGTAATGGACTTAGTTCATCTTAATGTAACAACATGGGCCCATCAATCATAACACATGTGCCACTCGAATGTAAGATGTCAGTACAAGCAGCTGTGTGTGGAGGGAGGGGCGTGAGGGAGTACATCAGAACTCCGTGTACTTTCCATTCCTGTTTTCTAAACCTAAAACTGCTCTAAAAATAGTCTATTAATTAAAGCACACTCCAAGATTAATGATAATTATCTGTGGGTGGTGGAAATATGGGCAAATTTTATTTAATTCTTTGAATTGTTATTGAAATTACCCCAAGTTTTAACAATGACCATGTATTTTTAAAGCTGAAAAAATATAAAAACCAAACCTTGGAAAATTTTAGAAACATAGTATGTGAGGCTAATATCATTGACTGTTCCATTTTATTTCTACTCTATAAAAAATCTGCACAAAGCACTCACAAATGCTAAAATGAAATCTATGTTAGTATTATTTAAAAAAAAATATCACGGTCTAAATTGAGGGTTTTTTTATTATCTCTTTAGAATTAGCACAAATCTGAGGAGCAGATTTTGATTTTTCTTTTAAAAAAATTGTGTTTCAAAAGGTTATTTCTGCCTACTTGGAAACCACTATTAACATTTACATGCAATACTTTTTATAGTGAAGAAAGCACTATATTTGAAACTATGTCCTTGGGAAACAGGCCTGGCCCTCAGATGAATGGATTTCTGTGGAGTGATACCAACTAGACCTGAAGACCCCCGCATCCTTGAGGCCCTGTACAAGCCCTGGGCGAGTGCTGGACCTTGCTGAATCTCAGCTTCCTCGTCAGTGAGCCGGTGACAGTGGGACCTCACTCTGCATTGGGTGGAGAATTAAAACTTTAGCCCATGTAAGACTCTTACTATCTATCAACTTAGCACATACAGGTGCTTGCTGATTGTTTGTTTGTGAGTTTTAAAAAATATTTTTTTCAGGGTTTCAGTGAAAACCTTTTGAGCGCCTGGGATAAAAGATATGTCTGGGTTCAGATTACAAATCTATTAGAGGAAGGCAGGATGGCTCAAGAGAAAATTCACTGATCTGACATGAAGAGGCGGCGCAGTCCAACCTGGCTCTAACCAGCTGTGTTCATCACGGGAGTACATCACCAGCCGACGCTTATTCTTGCTTTTCCATTCTGTTAAGTCAGAGATTAGGACGAGCAATAGCTAAATTTCCTTCCATTTCTACCATTCCTGCGGGAATCACAATGTGGCCTCTGTGTAAAAGCCTAGGTCTCCCGCAGTGGCTTTCTGTCAACATGGCTCTCTATCCACATGGCCGCCATCACTCACAGCCTCGCAGACAAGGCCGGCATCTGCATTCTGTTGTTTCCTGCAAGTGGGAACCTCCAAAGGTCGGTGACCTCTTTTCTTCTCTGCTGATCTTTTGGTACTCAAGACTCTAACTGGAGCCTGAATATTCAAAACTTTCACCCAAGTTCGTCCTAACAACACTGATGCTTTCTGCAGGAGAGTGTCTAAGGATAGAAACTACCACCTCTCACTAAGTCTAACGCGCTTTTTTTGTTGTTGTTCCACATAACATCTCCAAAACTAGAATGTGTCTTTCCCTTAATATTTGTTGGACACTTATGCCACGTTGTTTACATTCATCATTTTCTTAAATCCTCAAGACAATCCTTGAGGTACAGTTATCCTTCTCATTTTATATATGGGGCAAATGAAGTTAGAAGGGTTGAACGAATCATCTGAGGTCACACAGCTGGTGAGCAGTGGAGCCAGGATTTGATCTCATGCTCCTGTTTGAAAATGCTCTGAACAAAGCAGTGCTGTGAGCTCCCCCAGGGTTGGGGAGAAGCAATGCTGTATTCCATCTGCTGAAAGTTCCATTCAGCAGGGGTTTCTCAAGAGGTACAGGGCAGAAAGGAAACTCCTTTCTCCTCATTTCAGTTTTTTTTCTTTGAGGAGCTCCTATAAAGTAACCCGTATGGCTTCCGCCCCACCCTCTACTGCAGAAAAAGGAGTTACCAGCCGGGCACGTGGCTCACGCCTGTAATCCCAGCACTTTGGGAGGCCAAGACGGGCAGATCACGAGGTCAGGAGATCGAGACCATCCTGGCTAACACGGTGAAACCCCGTCTCTACTAAAAATACAAAAAAAATTAGCCGGGCGTGGTGGCGGGCGCCTGTAGTCCCAGCTACTCCGGAGGCTAAGGCAGAAGAATGGCGTGAACCCGGGAGGCGGAGCTTGCAGTGAGCCGCGATCGCGCCCCTGCACTCCAGCCTGGGTGACAGAGCGAGACTCCATCTCAAAAAAATATATTAAAAAGAAAAAAAAGAAAAAGGAGTTACCTGACTGGTTGGAGAAATCCATTGGTAGACTCCCTTGATAGAATAACCTGATTTATTAATTTATTAACAGCACAGAGTATTCACTCTTTTTTAACCTTTCCGCCCAGACTACGGCTGGGAGAAATCTGCGGTCAGTGTCTGGATGCCACAGACCAGACTTTCACCTGGAGGAAGTAACTTAAGGTCTAGACCGGGTTAGGGAAGCAGAGGCAAAGGAGCTGGGAGGTCACTCAGAGATCATTAGCAACAATTGTGCACTCATTCTCCAGATGATTTTGTCAGTAATATCACTGACATTTTTATCTTCATCTAGCAGCCTCCAGCATCTTGTTGGTTGTGAAGGTGGCAGGGGACAAAAGGGGGTTGGTTGAACCACAGATGCCTCTGGCACATAAGGCAAGACCCAAGAGAGCAGGAGAGAACCTGAGCCTCTTCTGCTCTCTGTCCATGTGGGTTCTAGGAAAACTTCATAACCTCACTTTGACCGGCTCCTTATCTGTGATATCTTATGGTGAAAATTAAGTGTAATAATGTATGTAAAGTCCCAGCTCACTGCCTGGCACGTGGTCAAATGCTCAATAACTGGTGGCTATCATTGATTAGAATGGATAAGGTGCGTTTGCTATATTTTATTCTACAGTTTACTAGAGCAGATCTCTCTCTAATTTGAAGCTTCCTAGGATGACAGAATAATGTTTGGCATTTATCACATTATCTTAGCACATAAGTATCTATTTGGCTATTGGGGTGCTGGGAAACCCAATTAATTGAGGCACAGAGAGGAAAGCATTTTGCCTCCAGGAATGGGTCATCAAGGCCAAAGGACTAGAGTACAGATGGGGTGGGCCAGGAGCCAGATCCAGTGTGCCATCTACGGTGCCTCCCTGTCTGCTCGGAGACAGGGCCCCCATCACACCTGGGTTTGGAGGGGGGAATACGAATGGGCAGGGCAGCTACAGGCAAAAGAGGAGAATAAACGGTCTCACGCTGTCCTCACAGTTGCTGTGGACAACAGGTATGGCAATTCCTCAAAAATCAAAAAACTAGAATTACCGTATCATCCAGCAATCCCTCTTCTGGGATATACCCAAAAGAACTGAAAGCAGGGACTCGAACAGATATTTGTACACCCACTTTCATAGCAGCAGTATTCACACAGCCACAAGGTGACAGCAACCCAAGTATTCATCAATGGATGGATGAATAAACAAGATGTAGTAAATACATACAATGGAATATCACTCAGCCTTAAAGAGGAACAAAATTCCGACACACGCTGCAACACAGGTGGACCCTGAGGACATTACATTAAATGCATAAGCCCATCACAAAAGGACAGATACTGTAGGATTTCACTTATATGAGGTATCTGGAGTAGGCAAATTCACAGACAGAAAGTAGAATGGTGATTGCCAGAGGCTGCAGTGGGAAAGTGGGGAGTTACTGCTTAATGGGGACAGAATGTCAGTTTTGCAAGATGAGAAATGTTCTGTGGATGGATGATGGTGACGGTTGCATAACAATATGAATGTACTTAATGTACTGAATTGCACACTTAAAATTGTTAAAATGGTAAGTCTTATGTGTATTTTACCACAGTTTTTAAAAATGTCCCATTTTCTAATCTGCAGGCCAGAATCTGCAGAAAGCCATTGGGATTTTGCAGTAAAGAGCTGTCTCTGCCACTCACTGACTCTGGCTTGGTTCTGAAAGCCCTGTAAGCTTCCACTCCATCCCACTGCCCATCAGTCCCACTTTAAATAATGAATCTAGGCACCGAGAGTGTGTGTGGACTAGCACTGATGCAGACCACTTTACCAGAGCCATCCTTCACAAGCAGTATTCTCTTTGATTTAATTGAGTAACTCCTGAAAAACCTGTCTTCTTTATTAAATTTTCATGATTGATAGCTTCATCTGTCAATTTTTGGTTTATCACTTGGACTCCATCATTACACAGTAGGCCCTAAAGTTCTTCCGTGACAGATCTCTGTCACTGGGGATGGAGCACCACAGAGGCACATAGACCTTTCATAGAATCCCCCTTTCATCTTTCACTAGCTGGGTGCTTTGGGCAAACTGCTTGGAACCTTAGTTTCTTCATCTGTAATATAGAAATAATAATAACCAACCGGGCAAGGTGGCTCACGCCTGTAATCCCAGCACTTTGGGAGGCTGAGGCAGGTGGATCAGGAGTTTGAGCCCAGCCTAGCCAACATGGTGAAACCCTGGCTCTAGTAAAAACACAAAAACCAGCTGGGCATGGTGGCACACACCTGTAATCCCAGCTACAAGGGAGGCTGAGGCATGAGAATCACTTGAACCTGGGAGTTGGAGTTTGCACTGAGCCAAGATCATGCTATTGCACTCCAGCCTGGGCAACAAGAGCAAAACTCCGTCTCAAAACAAACAAACAAAACTGGTCTATCAGTCACACAGCTCCAAAGAAGTGAATTCTGTCGACACTAAGAATGAGCTTGGGAGCAAATTCTCCCCCAGTCAAGCTTCTCTATGAGAACACAGCCCAGCCCAACTGTGGCAGCAGCCTCATGAGGCCCTGAGCTGAGGAGCCAGCTAAGCTGTGCCCAGACTCCTCACCCCTGGAAACTCGCTTAAAAGTGTGAAAATAAATGTGCATAGTTTTTAACACACTGTGGTGCTTTGTTCCACATCATAGAAAACTAATACAACATGAAAATACTGAAAATTTCTAGCGCCTCAAAAGACTCCCTTATGTGCCCCTCCCCCCCGTTAGCAATGCCCAGTACCCCAAAGGTAAACATTAATGTTTATTGCCATAAATTACTTCTGTTTTTGAACTTCATATAAATGGAGTCATGCAGGATGTATACTTTTGTGTCTGACTTCCTTAACAGTATGTCTGAGATTCATCCATGTTGCTCTGTGTAACACTTGTTCATTTTTTTCATTGCTGTGTAGTATTCTGCTGTTTGAATATACTATGTCCTATTCTATTGTTGATGGACAATTAGATTGTTTTACTTTTGGTTACTATGTGGCCAGGACATGAACATGCTTTTAGTGGAAAAAAAATCACACTCTTGTTGGGTATTTACCCAGGAGTGGTACTGCCAGACTATCAGGTGTGCATATGTTTACCTTCTGTAGCTACGGCCAAGCTTTTTTTTTCAAAATGCTTGTATCAGTTTACACTCCCACAAGTGGTAGAAGAGAGTTCTACATGGTCCCCCACCTTCACTAAAACTTGGTATTGTCTTAGCCTCAGTTTTCTAATCATAAAAATAGGGATAACAATAGTTCCCACCGCTCAGAGTTGATGTGAACATTAGGTGAGAACATACATAAATGTCCTCATAAGATAACACTTGTTTGATAAAGGGTGGATATTTATTTCCACTAAGCAGCTCAGTCACATTGTTAGAAGTGGCTGGGCTAGGATTCCAACCCCAAGGGATGAATTCCAAACTCCACTCTCTCACTATACCTCACCAGCCCACTTCCCAGTAATTTTTAGTGGTCATCAATCTCCATGGATATTTCAAAATGACCTCCTCTTTTAGACTCTGTTCTCCTGTGTAGATCCACATAAAGTATGTGCTCTTCATACATATGGCTTCAGAGATAAATGGAATTGCAATTGACATGGGTAGGGGATCTGTGATTATTTTACCCTAGACCTACAGTTTTCCTTGCAGCGTACCGTGGATCATTCTCTCTACCACGTGTCCTCTGTTGAAAGTGGCCTTGGCTGCCTTCACTGATTTTGTCATCTGAAGGGTGTACTTTACACATGCTGAGTCCTAAATTGTCAATGTCTTCACTTCTCTGTCATGTACTAGCAGAACCCTAGCTCTATTATTTATTCCTTGTCTACCTGACAAGAACAAGTTCCTTTTTAGGCAATGAAATGGAGTGTGAGAAGAGTGTGCTGGTGGCAGTGAGGAGGAAGTGCACAGAGTGAAGGCCAGCCACGTGGGCCACACAGCCCAAAGACAGGACTGCAGGTGGAAAATGGGGCACCCACATCAGAGGTGCCAGGACCACCAGGGCCTATTGGAAACCCTAAACATACATGAGACAGACCAGCATGACAGCTCCTTTGCCAGGCAGCTAATGTGTCTGTATGTGGACGTAATGTTTATGATGGGGAGATGCAGATGATAAAATCAGAGTAAAGAGACACCATCCACAGAGGATGCCCAAGTCCCAACTCAGAGGTCCTAAGTAGACATGAGCACAGACGTAACATAGACATTTTTCTCACACACACGCACAACACTGCTTTTGTTTTGCATGTTGACCTTTGTCACATTCAGCTACGCTGTGTATTGGGTGTACTTAAAGGTTACACGGAGGTGAAAGTCTCAATGTAAAATGTAAAAGTGAGAAAGAAAAGAAATAATCATCATTTGAGTTCTGAACATTTGAGGGAGGAGAGGAAGAGAAAGAGAGAGAGAGAGAAAGCTGCTTCAAGACCTGTCAATTCCTCCATGATAAGGACTTGGAGTGGCTCTGCATTTTGTCTCTGGCGCCTTGCTCAGAGTGACCATCCAACACAAGCCTGATGAATGAGCAGCTCATATTTGAAGAACGGGTGATGGTGAGTGACAGAGAGAGACATCTTCCACAGCAGGACTTTGAAAAGGCCATGGGCATCATTTTGCTGTGATTGAAAGCACTGGTCACACAGACGGGGATGTGGGAGCTGTGGGGCTGGAATGCTTTCATGATTTTATTCCCTCACTGGCATAGAACACCCGCTGTGCAAGACCTCACTGGGGAGGACCTCCCTGGTGGAGCTTATCAAAGAGGCGGAAGAGGAGGTCGTTACACACAATGTGACAGGATGGGTGTCAGACAGAGCTGTGAAGTAGGCACAGAGGAAAGTGGCCATGTCCTTGAGCAGGAACCACTGAGTCCCATGGCACCTGGCCTGTGCCTTGTTTGGGGCTGTGCCTTGTGCTAGAGTCAGAAAGCTTGTGTCCACCCTCATGAATGGGAGGAGTGCCCTTATAAAAGGGGCAGAGGGAGTCCCCGTGCCCCTCCCACAAAGTGAGGGCACATACAAGGCATTATCCATGCAAAAGGGTCTTCACCAGACACTGAATCTACAGGTGCCTTGATCTTGGACTTCCCAGCCTCTAAAACTGTGGGAAAATAAATATCTGCTGTCCATAAATTACTGAGTCTAAGGTATTTTGTTACAGCAGCCTGAACAGACTAAGACTGTTCAGTGTGTTCACGTATCACACTCTGCCTGTGTCTGCTGCTCCTGGAAGGCCCTGCCACCTTTAGAAAACCAGGCATTCCCTGAGAACTGAACCACATCTTCACAGCTTTATGCCTTTCTCTCCCTTTGCAGCCCTCATCCTGGGCAATATCAATTCACTAGTGTTAGCTAAATTAATCAAGCATCTATACTGCTTAGTACTGTTAAAGACTATGCAGCTGGTAAAAATGGTAAAGTCTATTAAATACCTAGTATGTGCCAGGTTCTGTTCTAAGCATTTTACATGTTTTACTCATTTAATCCTCACAATAACCCTAAATGGTAGGAACTGCTAATATTACCATTTTACAGATAAGGAAGCTGAGCCCTCTCTGGTAGGTTGGTGATGTACCCACAGCTGGTGTTTGAACTTGGACAGTTGAGTTCCAGACCCAACACTCTTAAAAAAAAGGAAAAAAAACTCCAGTAATGGACATCTATTCATAATTTGAAATGTTTATTACAAAACCCTGACAGAGACAGGACTTTCATGTATATAACTGGGTATTTTCATTCTCTGTCAAATAAGTTGGTTGTAAATGATGAAACATTCAATATTACAGCCATTATTATTGTCTAGTGCATGGTTACTAACAGCCAGGCACTGTGTTGCATATTTCACTTCATCATTAAAACCAGGGAGAGTTTATCATTATTTTCATTTTACAAATGGGGAAACTGAGCCAGGAGTTAAACAAATGGTTCCGGGTCCTCAGCCCCATGTGTTTGACAGAGCAAGGATTCAGACCAAGATCTGCCTGTCTTTCAAAGTCCTGATGTAACCTGAATGCTGAAGGACGCATGCCCACAATCACAGCACAGATAGCTCAGCACTGCGGGAGGAAGCATCTGGGTCTGAGGGCCATCTCCTGGATTCTGTCTCCAGAACTGTGTGATTTGGGGCAAGCCTCTTAATCTGTGTGAATCTCAATGTTATCATCTGTAAAATTATGAGGATTATGAATCTTCGCAGGATTCCTGTAGGAATGGATTAAAATATGCAAAGACCCCAGACAGGGACTTGTCAACTCTTTAGTGGGGGTTTTGTAATGCCTAACTTTATGCATCAATTTGGCTGGGCCATGGCGCCCAGTCAAACAGCATCTAGACAGCAAACACATCTAAACAGCAGTCTCCGTGTGGCTGTGAAGGTATTTTTAGGTGATACTAACAGCTAAGTCACTAGACTTGAGTAAAGGAGAGAGTCCTCTGCCATGTGGGTGGGCCTTGTCCAATCAGGGGACAGTCATAGGAGAGAAGATGTGGGTTCCCTGAGGAAGAAGGACTTCGGCCTCAAGACTGCAACACAAAAGCCTGCCTGAATCCCCAGCCTGCTGTGGCCTGCCTTGCCCTGTGGATTCTGGACCCAAGACTTCAACATCAACTTTTACCTGAGTCTCCAGCCTACTGGCCTACTTACAAATTTTGGACTTGCCAGCCCTCAAATTTGTGTGCAATTCCTTAAAAAAAAAAATCAATCAATATTTATCTCTCTATACTTCCTATAGGTTTTATTTCTCTGGAGAACACTGACTAATTCAGGATGGATGGGAAGTTAGAAACAGCCTTAAAAAGGAGGTCCTGCCTGAACCAGGTCTCCCCAGAGGGCACCCATGCCAGTCGGTGACATCTCATAGGATTGGAACTCCCAGTGCTGAGATGCACTGCCATGCCACTGAGGCTGCAGGCTGCTCTCTAGGGGACTGGCAGGAGCTGTGCAGCAGTGATGCCACTTGAGAGCACTGAGGACATGCGGTGGGTGCACTGGTGCTGGGCAGGGAGAAACCCAGGGTGTTTGGAGAAGTGGAGGCTGTGGGAGGAGAGCACGGGAGACGGGCACTGTAGAGCCAATGTGTCTCAGGACAGAGGGTCTGGCCCACCATGTTCTAATGTGACTGTCCCCCATCAGTCCACCTAAGAATCTCAGCATTGCCCAGCTCCGTCTCCTCCAGGCTGCACACCTGGCCACCAGTCAGGCAGATACCAGCTTTCTGTGGGACAGTCCCCCGACTCTCCCATGCCCCACACTCTCCCTTCCCTCCCCACAGCCACCCTGTGGCACAGCAGCTCTCTCCCTCCCCGACAGCCCCTGGATGCAGGCCTTCCCATCTCTGTGTTCCTCCCCAACCACCTCCTGCTGCCCAAGAGCTCTTTCTGAAACACCCCCAACTCCTGTCAGGCCTCAGCACCCACACAACCGAGTTCAAGTTTCTTTGCATGTCATGCAAGGCCTGTGACAACCTGACCCGCAGCTCTCCAGCTCTATCCGCCCCGCAGGGCCTTTGTACAAGCCGCTCTCCCTCTGGGTTCTTCCCCACATGGGTGGGAGCTTTCCCGCCCCCATCAGCCATTTCCAGTGATTCAAATCCAAGCTTTTAGCTCCAAATTCAGGACGCTGCACTACACCACAGTGACAGAAGATCTAGGAGTGTTAGGTGGCCTCAGGGCATCTCTGATTCCTGAAAAAGTGGCAGCAGAACTCCTCTAATGAACACTAGAGTCAACCAGGGATTGTCTCTTCAGAGTCCACCCTTGGCCAGATTTGGACACAAAATTCTCACCAACAGAAAGGGAAGGTCCAGGAACAGAAGACAGGCAAAATGCCAGGGTGTTTTTCAAACTTCCGACCACAGCCCACAGTGAGATGCGTATTTCACCCCCACGATCTCACATATGAGAACATAAAGAGAATGACAAACGATGCCAACCTTTACTTCATGGGGTGTGTTCGGTGTTCTCTCTTCTCTCTTGGGTTGTTGTATTTAATTCTGGTGGAAATTTGCTAAATTCATTTCAGGACTCACTAATGAGATAAAGCCCATCACTGGAACACACTGCAGTGATCAGCAATGTGGAAAACGACCCAGTGTGATGGCAACAGGCAGGGGGCAGACAGGACGCCTCTTTCATCTGCCCCATGGCTTCTTCCTGCCCCCCTTTTGCCCACTACCTCCTTAGTCACAAATAAGTTTACCGTGACATTCAAATCCTCATTCTCCTTTGTTTGTGGACGGAGCCTACATTCCTCCAAGCCCAGTCACCAACCCTGAGTCACAGAGCCCTGCTCTCATGTGGCATGCATAGGAGAGCATTTCCTGGTATAAACAAACACTCATGGAAACCATGAATAATAAACAAGCCGCTCTACCAGAATGAACAGCAGCTCCTGTGTCCTTACTTCCCTTGTTCTACCCCTCCCTGCCTTCCTCAAGCTTTCCAGATCTCTCTGGACACACACTCATTGCTAGGACAGAATGCTCCTGTTTAGGTGTTTTACTTGTCTGATGTGTTTGGTCCATTAAGCCTTGTGTACAATGCCAACAGTTGTAGGCATAAGAAAAAGACTGAGCCAGTTCCTTGCAGAGATTCTCAACTCTTCAACCAAGTTCTCCCTCTGACTAAAAGCCTCTGGTCAACCATATTAAACTCCTAACGTATCACACTGGTTATGTGTACACCAAGGGCTTGTGTTTGATGCTTCAGGTCAGAAACTCCTGCAGGTACCCTGGGAGGCAGTGTTAAGGAGCAGAAAACTGAGATGGTTTCATTTTTCTGAGGTAATTAGGTAATACAGCACAGGGTTATACCCCAGCCTATTTATTCCAACCCTATGGCCATTTCTGCTCTGATGGGATGTATGCATTTCAGGAAAAAAAAATAAAAAAACAAAAAAGCCTTGTGTTCTGTGAAATTGTGCACAAAAGACAACGGGGCTCATGAAAGTAGGACTGAGACCCCTTGAACCCTGAGGACTTCATCACCAGAGCCCTAACAATAGTAACGATCGTAATCAAAAGACATAGGCAGTTGAAAAGGCACATTAGATTCCTAGCAAGGAACTACAACTGCAAATGCTGTGCAGGAATGTCTTTTAAAAATATGGGAAATGATATGATTCAACAATTTTACCCCTGGGTGTATGCGGAAAAGAACTGAAAGCAGGATCTTTAACAGATATTTGTACGCAACATAGTCATGGCAGCATTATTCACAAAAGCCAAAAGACAGAAACAACCCAGGTGTCCAGTGGTGGATGAATGGATTAAAAAAATGTGGTGTATACATACAATAGAATATTAGCCTTAAAAGGAAGGAGATTCAGACACATGCTACAACATGGATGAACCTTGAGGACCTTACGCTAAATGAAATGAACCAATCACAAAAAGACCAATCCCGTACGATTCCACTGATATGAGGTATCTAGAGCGGTCAAGCTCAGAAAAGGAAAGTAGAATGGTGTCTGCCAGGGGCTAGGGGTGTGGAGGGAACGGGGAGTTAATGTTTAATGGGTACAGGGTTTCAGTTTCAGCTCTGGAGATGGATGGTGGTGTTGGTTGCACAGCAATATAAATGTACTTAATAGACTTAAACATGGTTAAGATGGTACGTTTTGTTCTGTATATTTACTACAAGTTTTTTTAAAAGGTGTGGGTGGCTTCCTGGAAGGGGCTTAACAGCTTGAGAGTTGACCCTGCTGAGATATGAAGACAAGGGCAAAATGCTCCCAGATTGAGAGCACCGAGCAATCACCACTTCCAACGGAGAAGGGAGCACACAGAAGAGAGTGGATAGACAAGCTTGGCCAGCATTAACGTGTAGGGCAGAAATTGCTATGAATCAGCACAACTTTCACATGATGGTGACACTCTGCCCCTATTTACCAGTCACCTACAAGCTAAATTACAGAAACTCACATTTAGCAAAGCAGACTACACTCACTGTCATGGCCCAGTTACTCAATACGGTCATCATTCTATCTCCTTTCCACCTTCTCTGCATCCTGTTCTGCCTAAAGTACGAGACATGCATCACACATACCACCAGGCCAATTAATCAGAGTAGTCTTCTTGAAACAATTTTAATTATAAGTGGAAAAAGCATTCCATTCTTGATGGTAAGAAAAAAATTATCTGAACAATCAGATATCATCTTCCATCCAATGCATGCTTGGAGTTATGGGCAGCGGAAAATAATAAACTCATCCAGAGGCCTATTGGGCAATGAATTTATTGACATATTTCAAGACTCGCCAAGATGTTTTCTTCTCTTTATTTCTAAGTGAAAGGCATAGTTTTTCTAGGAAAAAAAAATCATGCCTGAATGAGATTTTTTAAAAGACTGGAGCTTGTAAAATGTTCAAAATTGGTGGGGGAGGGGTGGGGCGGGGACGGATGCGGTGGTAAAGAAATCTCAGTCCATCTGGGAGATAGGATATTCCGTAGTGTGTAGAGGGCATTTGAGACTGCAGGAAGCATAGCCGACCACGATGGAAAATGCTTTAGACACAAAGGTATATACTAATTAAATGTATAACATAATCATGGCATTCACATATCTCTAACCTGTGACAAGTAAGAGAAGTATTGGCATTTTTTTTAAATTGCTGTGCATTTCCATTTCCTTAGTGCCCTGTAAAAGAACATTTTAGAGGTTATTTATAGCCTACTTTCCTCTGTGTTAATTATCATACAGGTTTATGTATTATTTCTTATCTATGTAGATAAGATTATAGAGTACTTAGTTATGTATCGCCCTAGCAATTTTAGTTACCAATTCCTATCTTTAAATGAAAGCCAACGAATTTCTTGCAGGCCTGCCTGCATGGAAGCAGCTAACGATCACAAGGGTACTCGGTGATCTGGCCTGGCCGCAGGGAGAGGAGTTGAAATTGGAGGACTAACTGTATCTGGCTTACAGAGTCTGACCTCCCTTTCACAATGGGAACAGCCTTGTCAGTGAAGCTGGAGTGCCCCGATTTAATTGGCTTCAGTCCCTGAAGCTGATCTATGAATTAGGCTGGCTTTGCCAATGGGATCAAGATACTCAAAGTCTGTTGACTGAGACTCCCTCTATCCTAAATAGAAAGTGGATAGGTGCTGCCTAAAATACCATTTCTCCTGTGTATCATCCTCCCCTCCTGCTTAATCAGCAAAGATTCCCAAATCCAAATTCTTCCTGGCTGCCAAAGCTCTCCAGAGAGGGACCTTGTGCTACCTGTTCAGTCCAAGTGTCTGCCACTCCTCACCACATTCAGCTGCAGACAGATTGGCCCCCGCAGTCTATGCCTGTTGACTTGGTCGGGAGTGCTCGTCCCCCTTCTTTCTCACATATGGAATAGGCTCCTTCCCTCCATCAGCATAGAGCTCTCTCTCCTCCAAGCCCCAGCTGTGCTCTGTCTCCGCCGTGAAGTCTTGGCCAATGCTGTCCACAAGGATGTTTTTCCTGTCTTAGTCTCCTTCACGCCCTCCTAGCAGCATCACCAATTTGAAAATTAGCCGTTCTCTATTTATTGATCATGCACAATTCTCTCCACCTGAGCTATGTTTCCACTGCCTCAGCCTCACCTCAGTTACTAATACCTTCATTCCCCAAACTGTAAGTTGAGAATTGCAGGAAGAGTTCCCCAGTCCCTGCTTTGTTCTAATCTAGCTACACAAATGCTGTTATTCAGGCACCAATGCCACCCCTCTGACTCTTCTTACTGAGGCCTGGAGTACTTTCATTACATCTGTTACCAGCTCACTCGGTTTATGTCCTCTGTGGACTCACATGAACTGAGAACAATCAGAGGAACGTGCTGGTAGGGATGCTACAGACAGCTTCCTTTCCCCTGCAGGGACATACTTTAAACCTTGTTCAAAGCCCCTGAAAAGTCCTGTTTGGCTGGAATCCTCTGACTCTTTCACAATGCCACCACTGTTAGTAACAGCCCTAATTAATACCTTCAATAGAAAAATGAAGTTAGACCTTTGCCTCTGTCTACTTAGTATTTTGTGGCTGTTGTAAAAAATCAGATTCTTTCAGGGCAGTAGGATTTACACATTTTAATCAAGTGCCTTTCACACTGTCTCTTTCTGACACCCCCAGCATCTAAATTACAAAGTGATGTCAGTATTGCCAGGAAGTTGAAAAGAAGGTGGCTACGACAGTCTCCTTTGACTTGCCCACTTCAGAAATAGTGTACCAGCTCATTCTAACTATATTCACAATGTCCCTTTCCTCTACCTGCCTCCCACCTTATCACTACCCAAGGGACCTCTGTGTCCTCACCCTCCATTTGATCATAGGTCTAATGAAATATTCATCCAAATTTGGAAGTAATGAAGGATTTATTGGAAAGTGGGCAGCATCTTAGGCCAAGGGGAAAGCTTTGAGCAGAAACTGGAAGACAAAGGCAAGGAGGTGGATGGCCAGGAGGGTGCAAGGATTTGCTCAGCATACCGTACTGCACGAGGCTGCCACCAGAACCTGGAACCCTAGTCTCTGCCTCTTCCGACCCTGGTCAAGAAAACACCAACTACGCCACGCTGGCCAAAGTCTGAAAGGTGGGATCCTCTCTCGGTGGCTGCTGCAGCGGGGCTGGTGTGCTGCAACCCGGACGGAGCTGAGTGAGGGGCACAATGGCAGCAACCTGCAGGCACCAAAGAGCCCCCAAGAGCTGCTCAGCGGTGCCTGATCAAAGTTTGTCTGGGCCAGTGCTTGTGCATTGTGTACGCTGTGCGACAACCAGGAAGGAGAGCTGGGTTTTGCCATCCTCCAACGCTTCTTAAATAGGAAACTTTTTGGGTAGCACCTGGCCTAGTTCCTGGAACACAGAAGGTGCTGAGTGATGTTAGTTTCATTCGCTCATCTTGTCTCTTGGGCATGGAAAAGAGTTTACAAGTGCTCTTTCATTATCCATCTTGATGTGGGAAGGTGGGGCAGGGGAAGATGAGTACCCGCTCTCGCCCTTTGGTGTGATGTTTGTGACGTACACGAGGCATGTGGGAGAGTGGATCACAGCATTGGACAGACTGGATCCAAGTCCTGACTCGCCCACCTACAGTTACATCCCAAGAGGCAGGGGCTTAGCATCTTTGGGAACTGAGTTTCTGCTCTGAGAAGTGGGATCACAATAATGACCTTGCAGATCCCACTGGGGCCACTGAGTTAGTGCACATTCAGCTCATGAACATTCACAGTCGGGGGTGTGGTGGGAGGCTCTCTGTTCTCCCCACTCTACGTGCTTTGAGTGTTTCTGGCCAACCCTGGGCGGCCTTTCTCACCTGTGACCTCTCATCATATGCCCTGTGGTTTCAGGGCAACCACATGAGATAGGTGTTCTTTTTCCCATTTTGCAGATGAGGACATTAGAAGAATAACTTGGCTAAGGTCATCTGGCCAGAGAGAAAGTGTCACATGTTCCTCCAAGTAAGTCCTTTCTCCTAGTCTTAGAGGTCACATCTCAGAACCTCTGGGACTATCTATAGCAAGACATGGCATCAAGTAGCCAGACAGTTTCTGAAAAGGGCTCAGCCCCCACTGTTAGATGTTCTGTGGTTCCCCTGGAGGACGTTTCGGGTTCCCTGTGGGTGGTATCAGGACGTCCCCCAGAGCTCAGGTCACTCATCTCTCTCCATAACTGGCAGCAGAGTCGGAAAGCCTGGGAAAAAAAGACTTCTACTTGGAAAGGAGCAACTTTTTAAGTTAGAAAACACATTTTTCTTTTCTGCTTTCGGTCACTCATCTTTGCAAAAATAGAAGTAACTATCAATTTATCCAAAATATAAAAGAACATAGGAATGAGAGCACTGCCAGCAGCTGCGGATTTTTATCAACACAAAACCTCTATTCTAATGCCTTCCCCTTGCAACCCTGCTCCAGGTACTACTTAGGATTTTTACTTTAATATTGGGGAAAAATGGGAGAAGTAAAATGAGAAAGGGGGAAGGGGCAACGTAGGTTCCCTCCCATATTTCTGGGCACTTGCAGTTGCCTTAAACACCAGGGGCTTCCGTCTAGACTTCCTGCTTCCTGCCCACTGACTCCTTGTCTGCAGGCTTTCTCTGGTTTGGACCAGGCCAAAATGCCAGAAAAGGAATGCCCTGGGGAGCACCCTCACCCAGTGGTGGATGGAGACTGAAGATGAGGCACCAGCCTTCCCTCCCTTCCTGCCTCTCGCCTGCTGCCCGGCAGGTGCTTCCTGGGATCACCTCCTAAAGAAACAACTTGGACTCAAGCCATTGTCTCAGGGTCAGCTTCTGTGTGAACCCAACCTCCGAAGCAGTTTGTAACCAGTGAGAGGCCAGGCATGGATGGAGAGCTGCTTCAGCCCTGCAAGAAAGGAGAAGGCCCTGACTGACATGAGGATGACCAGCCCAGTCTTTCCTCGGGCTCCCCAGGGGAAGGGAAACACTCTTCCAAGGGAATCCTGGCCCATGAATTATGATTCCAAATGCCTAAGCTTTTTGAGTGACCTACCAAATGCCTGAGAAAGAAAAAGAATATAAAACGCCAGGAGAAGGAGAAGGAGAAAAAGGAGGAGAAGAAGAAGGGAGGAAAAAGAAGGAAGAGGAAGAGGAAGAGGAAGAAGGATGAGGAAGAGGAAAGGGGGAGGAGGAAAAAAGTTGTTGAAGAGTAGTAATTACCTCTTAAAGAAAAGCTCCAATATACACACAAAAAAGTCAAGGAAAAACACTTCCCATGCACTGGGAAGGTGCAGCATCTGTTCTGTGATATTTCTGCCCCCAAATGCATAACCTCAATCTAACAGGAGAAAACATCAGACAATCCAAAACTGAGGGGGGAGAAATGGGCTGGTGCTGTTCAAAAGTGTCAAGGTCATGAAAGACAAAGAAAAACTAAAGAACTATAACATTTGGAGAAAACAGTTTAGTTTGACAACTGACTGGAATGTGGGATCCTGGACTGTAACCTGAACCAGCAAAAGGATGTAAGTGGGAAAATCAGCAGATTCTGAATAAGGCCTGTAGACTAGTAGATAGTCTTTGTATGCATGTTAATATCCTGGTTTTAATCAGTGCACTGTGGTTATGTCAGATGTTAATATTGGCGGGGGAGGGGGGCACTGGGAGAAGGATACATAAGACCCCTCTGTCCTATTTGTAGCATAAAAAAGCTAAAAAAAAAAAACCTTTCCCTACAAATGATTAATACTGTCCAAGATTGCTCTAATATCAGGACCGTAAACCACAATTATTGAAAGCTTGATGGATTGTTTCTGGAAAAAAGGAAAAAGTAGACTGTGCAGTCTACTTCAAGGTTCATCTGAGAGGCCCTACTGAGGTGAGTAAACAGCAACATGAAGACCTGACTCCATTTGCACGCCCAGTTAAATGGCAGCAGTGAAGAAAAGGAGAATACCAGACTGGCCTAAAGTAATGGTTAGCCTGCTCTGAGACAGCACATTATTACCCTTGAAGTGATGCATGAATTAGAAAAAATAACAACGTTCACTTAATGATAGCTCTCGATCTTTCTTAGCCACGGGAGGCTCCCTAGCTATAAAGCAGCAATGTTTATGGGTAGCCCCATTTGTTACTTAACTAACAACCATTCCATACCCCCTGCGTGGCAGGCGCTGGGCTGCAAGGATGAACATGACTCGTGCCCTTCCCTCATGAAGTACTCATGTTATCACAGGGACTGCCCTAGTGATTGTTATCTGGATAAGCTCTATAACAGAGGAATATGCAGAAGGTTTTGGGATCACAGGAGAGAGAAGGATTAGAGCTCAGCTGGAGGAGTCAAGGAAGGCTTTGAGGAGTAAGTAGGACCCTGTCAGGCACAGCAGGTGGGAGGGAAGCAGGAAAAGGCAGAAGATTCAAATGCATTAGCAAGGCCCAACGTCAACAAGTGACCTTCACTAGAATTCCTCAGAGCACTCAGTATGTTAATTAATTAATTATCTGTAGGGTTAATTAATTAATTATCTGGGTCTCACTATGTTGCCCAGGCTGGTCTGGAACTCCTGGTCCCAAGTGATCCTCCCACCTTGACCTCCTAAACTGTTGGAATTACAGGCTTGAACCACCATGTAGAACCTAATTTCTTTTTCTTTTTTTTTTTTGAGCCAGAGTCTCACTCTGCCACCGAAGCTGGAGTGCAGTGGTATGATCTTGCTCAGTGCAACTTCTGCCTCCCGGGTTCAAGCAATTCTCCTGCCTCAGCCTCCTGAGTAGCTGGGATTACAGGTGCTCGCTACCATGCCTGGCTAATTTTTGTATTTTTAGTAGAGACAGGGTTTCACCTTGTTGGCCAAGCTGGTCTCGAACTCCTGACCTCAGGTGATTTGCCCACCTGTAATCCCAAAGTGCTGGCGTTACAGGCGTGAGCCACAGTGGCCAGCCAGGCTTAATTTTTAAAATATTCTCCTTTACGATTATATGAAACAGGTAAGCTTTACTGGTTTTAATGTTAAAAACAAGGCAGACATTCATCAAAGAAGTGAATCCTGGTGTCCATCACTAATGAAGTTAGAAAACCCAGAATTCATGGGTTCACTTCATTATATAATACTAACATTCTTGGCTCTTTGACTTAAATACGCTGCAGTTTCACAAATAATCCCCACATTAGTTGCAGTCCCGTGTGCTTAATAAAGCTTGAGAGCTGTCTCAGAAGGACACGCACAAGAGCAGGGGCACACATGAGACTGAGCTTTGAAGAGGAACGTTTGACTCTGTAGGGAGAGGCTGAATTTGGATCCAAACAGCTCTGCTTCTGCACGTGACCCTTGTGTTTGGGGTTCCAGAATCGCTTAACCCAGGTTCCACTAAATTTCTTGTTTATAAAGGTTTTTGAAAATGAAAACTCTATAGATGAATTACTAGTTCCACTTCCAGCTTCAATGAACCTTTTATATTTTGAAAATATCCTCTCTGTCTGCTGGGGCAACAAACTATGAACTGATTTCCTGAGCATCTCAGCATGCATCAGAGCTCTTGACCTCCCCAGAACCCACCGTGGTGTTCACAGATTACAATGATTTGAATATAAATGAACTTTAACCTAAACGACTAGGCTTGCATTTATAAACACAACATGGAAGAACTGTGTACCCCTACAATGGATTTAACTTATTATGGCATTTGCAGTCCTAGGTTATTAGCATTGGCAGGAGCCTTAGAGATGGGTATACTTTGCATGTTACAGACTTTTTTTTTTTTTTTTTTGAGACGGAGTCTCACTCTGTCACCCAGGCTGGCGTGCAGTGGCACGACCTTGGCTCACTGCCAAGCTCCGCCTCCCGGGTTCACACCATTCTCCTGCCTCAGCCTCCCGAGTAGCTGGGACTACAGGTGCCCGCCACCACGTCCAGCTAATGTTTTGAATTTTTTAGTAGAGACAGGGTTTCACCATGTTAGGCAGGATGGTCTAGATCTCCTGACCTCGTTATCCGCCCTCCTTGGCCTCCCAAAGTGCTGGGATTACAGACGTGAGCCACCGCGCCCGGCCTGCATGTTACAGATTTTAAAACAAAAACAGGTACATCAATTAAGCAGATCGTTCTACATCATGTAGCTAAGCAGTGCCATGGCGAGAAATAAACCCAGAGCACCTTCCTAACTTACCAAGCTCAGAGAGGGTTTCTGTAGTTCCAGTTGGTGTTTAGTAACTAGTGTTCTGAAATCTTAACAACCAATGTACATGTTTTTAAAATCCAAGTAGTTAAAAATTTGGAGGACACGGCTTTCTGCAGCACCTTAATATAACAGATGGTAATAAACCTACAAAGATTCTCCTCTGCAATTGTACCAGTCACCTGCCAGTGATACAATCCCAGAGGAGAATTGGTGTGGGTTTTTGCTTCTTCTCTGTCAGAACGTCCTGTTTGTATTTTCTTTTTAAGTGTTGTTGTGGGCTGAACAGTGCCCCCACTACGAGGTAAGCTGGAGTCTCAATCTCTGTGAATGGGACCTTATTTGGAAATGGGTCCCTGCAGATGTAGTCCAGTTAAGAGGGGTCATACTGGAGTAGGGTGGACCCGAAACTGACTGGTGTCCTTATAAGAGGAGGGGAATTTGGACTCAGAGACACATGGGAAAAAGCTGTGTGAAGACAGAGGCAGAGACTGGAATGATGCGTGTGTAGACCCAGGAACAGCAAGGATTCCTAGCAACCAGTGGAAGCTGGAAGAGGCGAGGAAGGATGCACCCCCGGAGCTGTCAGAGCACAACTCTGCTGACACGTCCCAAAGTGTGAGAGAATTCATTTATGTTGCTTTAAGCATTCATTTATGTTGCTTTATAATAATTTGTTTTAGCAGCCCTAGGAAATAACATGTTTATTAAATAAGATGTTAAAATTGAATAATACTCCACTAGATGAAGGATATGAAAAGATATTTTAGGCTTGGCATGGTGTCTCATGCCTGTGTTCCCAGCACTTTGGGAGGCCAAGGCAGGAGGATTACTTGAACCCAGCAGTTTGAGGCCAGCCTGAGCAACATAGCGAGAGCCCATCTCTAAAAAAAAAAAAAAAAAAAAAAAATTAGCCAGGGGTGGTGGCACAAGCCTGTAGTCCCAGTTACTCAGGAGGCTGAGGTGGGAGAATCACTTGAGCCCAGGAGTTCAAGGCTGCAGTGAGCTGTGATAGCGCCACTGTACTCCAGCCTAGCTGACACAGTGAAAATCCATCTCTAAAATAAATTAAAAAACAAAAAAAGATCTTTTCCAACAAAAAATTATAACTATTAAATTAACATAAGAAAAGGATATTTGCTAATTATTAAAGAAATGTATTTTATAAAACCAACGCAGCAGTTCCTTTATTAAAGTAGCAAAAATTCAACATCACATCAATGTTCAATAGCAGTTCCAGTCCTAGGAAAACTGACGCACTAAACCCCTACTGGAGGAAATACAGAATTTGTACAAGCTTCACAAGAAACAATTTAATAATACTAATTCAGTAAAACTGTTTTTTTTTTTTTTTTCAGACGGAGTCTTGCTCTGTCCCCTGGGCTGGACTGGAATGGTGCATCCCAGCTTACTGCAACCTCTGCCTTCTGGGTTCAAGCAATTCTCTTGCCTCAGCCTCCCGAGTAGCTGGGATTACAGGCACACGTCACCACGCCCAGCTAATTTTTGTATTTTTTTTTTTTAGAAGAGATGGGGTTTCACCATGTTGGCCAGGCTGGTCTCGAATTCCTGACCTCAGGTGATCCACCTGCCTGGCCTCCCAAACTGCTGGGATTACATGCGCGAGCCACTACGCCTGGCCCAGTAAAACTTTTATAATCATCTCCAGGCAACTGACCAGATTCAAAAGATGCAGAGTAAAATTTCAAGAACACACAATAACAACCAGTCATCAAACATCACTGGGGGTCAGGCTTTATCAAGTAGAGCTGTTTAGTTACCCATCTCTCTGACTCTCCTTGGTCTTATGTCCTAACCTCTGATGACGCACATAAAATAGTCAAAGAGCACAGTACTTCTTGACCATACTTAATGTTACTTTTGGGTTTTTTTGGAGAGACAGTCTCACTCTGTTGAAGTCACTCCCAGGCTGGAGTGCATTAGCATGATCTTGGCTCACTGCAACCTCCGCCCCCCAGGCTCAAGCAGTTTTCCTGTCTCAGCCGCACAAGTAGCTGGGATTAGAGGCATGCGTACCACGCTTGCCTAATTTTTGTATTTTTTGTAGTGGTGGGGTTTCACCATGTTGGCCGGACTGGCCTCAAACTCCTGGCCTCAAGTGATCCTCCCGCCTCAGCCTCCCAAAGTGCTGGATCACATGGGTGTGAGCCACTGCCCATGGACTTAGTTACTTCTTGATATTATGTAAGCAGAATGTAAAGAAGGTTGTAAGTATTTTTAGTTTTCTGTATATTATGGTGTTTTGACATCTTAAAAATCCTTTCTGGCTGAAGAGAGACTGCCCCTTTCTGGACTAGTAAATTCTTAGAGACAGCAAAGGCCCAGCCAGGAGCAGGCCCCTGGCAAACCCAGGGCTGGAGCCCATGTCTTCTTCTTTCAGTTCAGTGGCCTTTCACCCCAACTGAAGCCCAAAGGGGTGAAATAATTTTGCCAAGTTCACACAGTGACTACCAGATGTCAACACCTGTCTCTAATGCATGTGACCTTATCTCTCATAAAAATAAAGAACAGGCCGGGCGCGGTGGCTCACGCCTGTAATCCCAGCACTTTGGGAGGCCGAGGCGGGCGGATCACGAGGTCAGGAGATTGAGACCATCCCGGCTAAAACGGTGAAACCCCGTCTCTACTAAAAATACAAAAAAATTAGCCGGGCGTAGTGGCGGGCGCCTGTAGTCCCAGCTACTCGGGAGGCTGAGGCAGGAGAATGGCGTGAACCTGGGAGGCGGAGCTTGCAGTGAGCCGAGATCCCGCCACTGCACTCCAGCCTGGGCGACAGAGCGAGACTCCGTCTCAAAAAAAAAATAAATAAATAAAATAAAGAACATATTTAATCAAATTTGCATCCACAATTCAGACTTGTTGCATCCAAATCCATTTATCCATTCACACTCCTTAAATATTTCCTGTGGGCCTACTATGTGCCAGTCTTGTGCTGGGGCCTATCTCTCAGAGCCCAATAGGCCCAGAGAATCCACAACGTTGGTGAACATCGTGGCCCCAAAGCTGAGCCCATCAAATTAGCTTTGGAAAGTCTATATACAGAATTCATCTGACAGTTTTTTCTGAGCATTTCCTAGTTCTCTTTCTTTCCTTTCTTTCCCTCCCTCCCTCTCTTTTTCTCTCTCCCTCTCTCTCACTTTCTTTCTTTCTTCTCTTTCTTTTTTTGACTAAGTTTCACTCTTGTTACCCAGGCTGGAGTGCAATGGCACGATCTCAGCTCACTACAACCTCTGCCTCCTGGGTTCAAGCAGTTCTCCTGCCCCAGCCTCCCGAGTAGCTGGGATTACAGGCATGCGCCACCACACCCGGCTAATTTTGTATTTTTAGTAGAGATGGAGTTTCTCCATGTTGCTCAGGCTGGTCTCAAACTCCCGACCTCAGGTGATCCACCCACCTCACCTCGGCCTCCCAAAGTGCTAGGATTACAGGCATAAGCCACATGATTGTTTATTTAAAAATAAGGAATTTTTGTGGCCTGGCAATGAAAGACCATTCAGAAACTCAGATGAATTATTTCCTGTTAATAATCTTCTTAGGAAAACTTCTCTCCCACACCAGCCCAACTGAGCTTCATGCTCTCTGAGCAAATTCTGAGGCTGCTGCTGGTTCAAGGCAACCAAGAGCTTAATTCTGCTCAGGAAAGTGAACACTTTGTTTCCAGGAGATCAAAAGATTCACTTAAAAATAAATATCCCAGCCCTCCTTTTCTTTCACATTATGCTGAATTTGCAAACTTTTGTGAGGCTAATATGCCTGCCTCAGGTCGGGCTGAGGAATCACTCCAGATGATCCTAAGCTTGCAAGCATTTACTTTCAGTAAATACACTGGCATTTCCTTACAGTTCCCCTCACCCAGCAGTAATTCTAAGGATTAGCAAAAAGCTTATAGTTGGAGAAAATAAACTCTATCTAAAAATACTCTTTTTTTTTTTTTTTTTTTTTGAGACGGATTCTTGCTCTGTCGCCCAGGCAGGAGTGCAGTGGTGGGATCTCAGCTCACTGCAAGCTCCGCCTCCCGGGTTCACGCCATTCTCCTGCCTCAGCCTCCCGAGTAGCTGGGACTACAGGCGCCTGCCACCATGCCCGGCTAATTTTTTGTATTTCTTAGTAGAGATGGGGTTTCACTGTGTTAGCCAGGATGGTCTTGATCTCCTGACCTCGTGATCTGCCCGCCTCAGTCTCCCAAAATGCTGGGATTACAGGCGTGAGCCACTGCACCTGGACCTAAAAATACTCTTAAAGAGTGAAAGTGAGGCACATTATATAATTTTCAATCTTGCTGTGAACAAATATGATTTTAGAGGATACCCAGCTTTCAAACTTCTATCAAAAATACATATGTTCAAAATTGTTGTACTGTCTCTTTCCTAATTATTGCACATCAGAGGAAAAGATGAGAGAAGAAAAAGTATTTTTTTTTTCGAATAATGAGTGTATTCATTTGTTAGGGTTGCCTTAACAAAGTATCACGAGCTAGGTGGCTTATACAATAGAAATTTATTTTCCTGCGGCTCTGGAGTTGAGAAGTTCGAGATCAAGGCATTGGCAGGGCTGTTTCTTTCTGAAGGCTATGAGGGAGAATCTATCCCTGTCTTTTCTTTCTGGCTTGTAGATGGCCATCTCGTCCCTGCATCTCATGACATCATCTTCCTTCTATGCATAACTTTGTGTCTAAGTCTCCACTTTTTTAAGGACACCAGTCATGTTGGATTGGAGCCCGCCTTAATGACTTCATCTTAACTAATTACCTCTGCAATGATCTTATTGTCAAATAAGGTCACATCCTGACGTTCTGGAAATTAGGACTTCAACATGCAAAATTTTGGGGGACACATTCTGTCCATAACAACGAGTGAAGCTCTCCTGAGGCCATAAAATCACTGAACAAAGCCTTCATGTTTTCTAGGCTCAGGGAGCAATGTTGGTACTGGTGAGGGCTGGAACAGTGGGTCACGACCAGCTGCTCTTACAAGTCAGTGGTTCTTAAATGAGTAAAAGCCATTCTGGTCTATCAAGATGGCATATCCAGGGTCTCTACTGATGTTCCCCTGCTACTCCCCGTGCTAAAAAAACAAACCAATTTTCCTCTCTCCTGGAAGCATTTCCCATTGGGATGCTTTGCTAATCCAGGCCTGGCTTAAGCTGCCAAAAAGAGATGTGCTGCTCTCGGCATCCATACGACCTCTATGTAGCAGGCGCACCCCCACCCATCTGCCTCTGTGATAAACAACAGCAAGAAGTCAGCCGGGGGCTTGTTCGATGCCCTGAGCAGCGCACCAGAATCTTCCAGAGGATAACTACTCACTGGGAAGGGGGCCAGGGCTTACACTTTTCATGGTGTGGTTTTAGGGTACTTGGAAAAGCCCCAGAAACCAACATATCAAATCTACTAGGCACTGTCTACCATTACTCCCTGCATAAAGGCAGCGAAGTCCTCATGCTGGGGAGAGAAATTCATTGGCCCAAACCCACAGCCAAGGACACAGCTTTTGCAGCTCTCTTGGCATTTCTCACCTGGCAGAGTTCTATCTGGGTACCATTCTACCTTGTCACTCCGTTTGGACCATTTGCTACATCTTCCTACCTGCTCCCCACCTCCCGCCAGCAACCACACTTAGCACAACCTCTGGAAGGCATGCAGAAAGAGCCTTCCCCCAGGGGCTCGACCCAGCCCCCTCCTCAGACAGGATACATGAAGCGTTGCTCACGAAACCCCCACTCTGGATGCGCTGTCTGATTCTACGCAGGCTGTCACTTCTTCTGGAGGCCACATCCTGGGGACTCGCTCTAGTGCCGATGATTGTTTGCCCTGTCCCCTTGCCCCTTTGGACCATAACTCTGTGTTCTCTTGCTATTTCCTTTTTGTGGCCCCGGCACTATTCTGCCTCTCCTCCCCTGTGCTCTGGTTCTGTAGGTATGGCCAGCTTCCCCCACAGCTGTCTGCTAATATCTCTGCTGGGCTCAGCTCAGCTGGGCCTCCCTGTGCTGCACTCCACCTCCTCACATGTTATGGTCCATCCCACACACACCTTTACGCCTACCTACCACCTGTTGCCTGTCTCTAGCTATTGTGTTTTACCTGCATGACTTGCTTTTTTTCCCTCATCTTCAGGCATCCCTAGCACCTGCCCGAGCTCAGCAGGGGTATCTAGTTCCAGGGCCGACCCTGTCTGTCCTTCCTGTGCCCACTGACATTAAGCTTTCTGTAGCTATGGGCAAAGGCACTGAAATTTACAACGTTTAAATACACAGAGAAATATAACTTTATTTTCTATAATAGATCTCAAATGTCCCAGGAGCCACTATTTCCAACTGGGCTTACACAATCTCTACCAGATGAACTTAATCTCACTGGGCTAAGTACTTAGTGTTTCACATTTCTCTTTCCCTTCAACCTGTGCAGAGAGGAAGTTCTGTGGTGGGGCAGTTTGATCTCTGTGCTATCATCTGGTCTGTATAGGCTGCACAGTCTAATCCCACTGGGCCTTTGGGTACCAGGATCTCTGGCTACATCTGCTGCTGGACCCACCTGCCCGCTGGAAATACGTGGGAATCCATTGCTAATGTTGGCTCCTTCCCTGGCCTCAACTGTCATATCATCTCCAGGTGTGCTATGTATGAAGTTTCCTTTCCTAGACTTGTTTTTGTTTGTTTGTTTGTTTTTGAGACAGAGTCTCACTCTGTTGCCCAGGCTGGAAGTACAGTGGTACAATCTTGGCCCATTGCAATCTCCACCCCCCAGGTTCAAGTGATTCTCGTGCCCTCATCATACTGAGTAGCTGGAACTACAGACGTGTGCCACCACGACTGGCTAATTTTTGTAGTTTTAGTAGAAATGGGGTTTCATCATGTTGGCCAGGCTGGTCTCGAACTCTTGACCTCAGGTGATCCACCTGCCTTGGCCTCCCAAAGTGCTGCAATTACAGATGTGAGCCACCATGCCCGGCCATCCTTTCCTAGACTTTGAATTCCAAACACCACATTTTCTTAATGTCTTCTCTTAAGCCTGGCCTTACTGAATTAACCCCTTTCTTTACCTTCCTAATAATGTTAATACTTTTCAAATACTTTTAAATAATTTTAGTTTCAACACAGTCTGTGAGATGTTGTTTTGGCAGTTAGTTTACCCCCAATTTGAGGCTTGGGGTCCTAGGTGGTTTGCCTAAGTCACACACTCATAAATAAGGACAGCCAGGACAGAGCCAGGACTGAAACTCTGGCCTCTTGGCCTTCTGTCCAGGGTCTGATATATTGGAGTACAGCATAAATTAGGACTTGGTCCAGATGGCCCTATGAAACTGAAGCCTGAGCATGATGGCTCAACTGAATAGAGGTTCACTGTTCTCCTATAACAGAAGATTTTTTGGGGGAAGTCATTCAAGGCTGCATGGCAGCTCTGCAGTGTGATCAGTTTCCAGGCTTGTTCTAGATTTCTCTTCTGTTACACTTAGCATGTGGCATTTATCCTGTAGCATTAAGATGGTTCCTACTTCTGCATTCCAGCTCTGTGCCCAGGGAGAAGGGAGAAGGGCAAAGGGAAACAATCCAAGTAACACATGTCAGCTACTTCTCCTTCAAAAAGCATTCTCAGAAGCCTCAGTCTGTCACTCAAGCGCATCTCATTGGCTGACCTTGGTCACACAGTCAACCCTAGCTGCAAGGGAGTCAGGGAAGCTGTGTGTTCTAAGCTGAGCACATTGGTACCCTGAGGGGATATGTGAGCTGTTATGAGGGAAATATGGTTGGCTGTGTCTGCCACAGCTGCCTACCTCTCTAATCTGCCTTCCCTTGTTTTATGTTGCTATTTAACACCCTGCCTTCTCATGTCCTCATCCTCTCTCTTCCCAGTTGCCACCCCAAAAGTGTTACAATTTCCCAAGACAGCCAGGGTCCACATTGGTTGTCCCTATCCTTCAGCAAAACTCCTATTTCCTCAGATAGATGTTAGAGCAATAATCTAGTCATTTGTACAGCTGTATGAAAGCTGTGGCTTTCCAGATTTTCTGTTATATTTTCCACTTCAAGTACATGGTTCTGTTGTTCTCATAAGCCACTGAAATGTCTTGTAAATCTTGACATTTCAGCATCCAAACTTTACCTCCTGGACACCTGGAAGTAGCACAAAATCCTTTTATCTGACTTGTCTTGATTTCTAGTGATTTCCATGCCCTTGGAGGATTCTGAGGTAAACAAGATAAGGCGCTTCAGTGCCCAGGTCAGGTAAGTAGAGATGCTTCGGGTAGATGGTTTTGTGAGTCAGCCCTGTGAGAAGTCAGCTGGTCCTTGGCCCTGGGGTAAGGAGGGGCAATGCTTTCTGCACAAGTCCAAGAAGCATCATAGGAAAGAGGACTAGCTGGTCAAGACAAGATATGCCCATACGTGATGGAAATTCCTTTATCTCTCTCCTATAAACAAATGCACAAGAACTTAAAAACCCCAATAAACATTTGTCTCTTCAAAGCAGCCACCTAATAAGTGGACTTAAATAATACAGCTACTGTTCAAAGCATTTTTATAATTCCTTTTCTGGATTACTTTCAAGCTTATATGAAAATCTCTTGAATTTCCTTACTGAACAATCCTTGTCCTTTAGGATGGGTTTTATTTCAGAAAAGGAGGAGACTCACACGAAGGCAAGTAAGTGAATCACGATGAAGCCAGAAAGCGTCCCCCGCTCCACCCCTGTGTAAGAACTCTGTCTCATTCCTCCGTAGCTCATCAGAGCTTTCTTTTCAGCAGTTTAACCTGCAGAGATTCCCGGCTCCTTACATTACATATGTTAAGCCTATAGAGAGAAAAATAAAGGTTTTAAAAAGCAGTCACCATCTGAATGGGCACTTATTTAGGTCCAGGAAAATAGCGTGTTTGCAGGTTCTGTTGATTTCTGTCTTCACAGTCATCTGGTAAGTGGTTACTTCTTCACATGTGGTCTGTGCTCTTTCTAAACCACCGTTAAACCGTCAGCATGTTATCAGCACAAAGAACTATTCACTTCACTTAGGGAACATGGACATGGAGTTATTAACCCCATAAAGCTGGCCACCTTTAAACTTCTGATCTTGTCTGATAAACGCCTTGTTCCCATGACGCTAAACAATGAGTTGAAAGGTAGTCAATAAATCAGAACACTGACCCCTCCCACGTACTTCTGCAGTTCTCATCAACCACGCTTTGCCTTTATCTCTGACCTCTTCCCATTTTCTCTCTTCTCTGATTCATGCCTTCTCTCTAATCGGCTGGGTCCTAGACTGTGCTTTGATTTGTATTTGCCAAACAGTCCCCTTTTGATCCAGTTACAGGGAGGTGCCTGTACATCAGCTCACACTGGGAACGAGAAGAACTGGGCTCTGCTCACTTAGTCCTAGTCCCACTGGCCGTGTGTGTGAAGCCATGGGCCAGCCCCTGGCTTCCAGGGTGGACTCCCGGGTGCAGGGGCTTGTGACTGCCCTGAATGATTCCCTTCACACGAAGTGCTGAGCACCCAGGCAGGGTGCAAACCTGCCTCAGCCAGGACAGACCCTGCAAAAGAGGGATGATATCAGCCTGTGTGTTCACCACCACTCTGGGCAGAAAGAAAACATCCTGAAGGAAAGGGCTGTGTGGAGTAGCCTCCTGGCTACCTCACCCACCTCTTTGCACTTCCCTAATCCACAGAGGACCTGGAGGGACTCCCAGGTGAATTTCTCCACCCGGGAGCAGTACAGGCAACCAAAGGCTGGGACCCCAGGGTCCTGCGAGGTCCTAAGGTTATTAATCCCCCACCCTTGTCCCAGAGCTGTGGCATGGGGCTTCAGCCCAGGGGACACGGACAACAGGCACAACAGCACTCACCATACAGGGACTGAGGCAGGCTTTGGCCACATGGTAAGCTGATGCCAGGCAAAAGTTTGTCTTATGTCCTGAATAATAACTATGTGTCCATCACACAGCCTTTGGGTGTACACAGCCTATTTAAAGCAGAAACAGACAGAAATCTGGCCAGGAACCAGAAGCCACTAGCTCTTCCTTTGATTCCATACATAGGGTGGCCCTGCCCGTCTCCTCTGACTTCAGGCAGGCACCAGCCAGGTGATTCAGCCAAATAACAAACCTGTCCCTACTAATTTCAGGGTTAGGCCTCCAGCAATCCTCCGGTCTGCAAATCACCCTCTCCCCTCCTCTAACTCCAGAAGGTTGAGGGCCATAAGAACTTTAAGTTTAAACTTTTTCTCACATCCTCAACGATTCTCTGGACAAGCCTTGTTCTGTGTGTTTTGGCAATTTTTTTCCATCCTGAAACATGGAAGTTAAAAATAATTGAGCATGGGAATTGAAGGATGAAAGTCAGATCTGGGATTCCCTTTCCCTCATGCTCACATGGGACAGACGCTGTACTCAGACTTTGATGGTTGGCTGCTCCTCTGACCCCCAGCATTCAGCGTGGACTGTGGAAACCCACCCGACACTAGCACCAGAGTCTGGACAGTTCCTTTTTTCAGCCCACACCACCTGGACTTTGGATTGAAAGCCCATGCTGCAGAAGCCACTTCTTTAAAGTATAGGATCATTAGAAGTCAGCCTATCAGAGGAATTCAACAAACAGATGGTGCGGTGCCACAGGGTGACAACAACAGAAAGGGTCACTTACCCCGGTGTAGAGTTTGTCACCCACTTTTGCAGCAGTCACACAGATGGGCTGTTCTACTAAGCCTTTAGTGGAACCAATCATTACTTGATCTTGGGTGAGAAAAAAAAGTATAAAAAGGTTTTAGCTCACTTGTTTTCTTGCCAGATCAATTGGTAATAAAATGACATTTTGCTTGCAAGAAATGTAAGCACAATGCGATTATTCTACAAATAAGTGCAAGTGGCTAACCTTAGGTACGTATTTTTTAAGGGAAGTAAGCAGTTTTTTTTTTTTTTTTAAATAAGGTAGGACTTTTTTTATGTTTAAATTCTCCTGAAATATACTTTTTGGTTCTCTTGCTCCCGGGAGTCCTGTTTCCACAACAAGGCCTGTCCACATCAGCGAGGAGTGTTAGAATGCAGATTTCTGGGGCCCGGCGTGGCTGTGGAGGCCTTAGTTTGGGATGCCGAAAGACAGGCTATTCTCAGAAAGCTACCTGAGGCCTGAGAAGCATGACCTGGACCCATGCACTTTCCTAATGGCTCTGCCCCACCATTTAATTACCTCTGAGCAACACCCTTCTCTTCACCTAGCTAGCCAGAAGCCAGAAAAATCTGACCGTACATTGGGGTTTGAATAAATTAAAGTGGATGCATTAGAACATCTTGAAACCTTTGCAGAGCAGGTTAGGCAAGTTCCAGAAGGACAGACCTGGCAGAGCATTTCTGGTGATGAAGCCACAATGTCCTTTCCTGTCCCACGTGTAGGTCACCCCTCCGGGCACAAGGACAATGTCCAACTGGCCATTGTGGAGTCCAATTCTCAGGGCAGTGGGCTCGATTCTGGGACAGTCCACTCTACTGCTGCCTGTAGAAGGTGCTTTCTTCCTCCGAATAAAGCCCCAGGACTCCAGGATTTACAGTTGATATGTCAGAGGCTCAGTCCATCCAGAGCCTTCCCTACAAGCAAAAAGCTTCCCCACCCACCTTGAAGAAATTCACAGACATCAAAAGATCATTGTGTGGCACATGGGTTAGCCCTTGAATTACAGAGCAATTTGCTGTCATTTACTGTAAATGCTGTTCGTTCATTACATCATCATTCTGCCAACGGAGGCATGAGGAGTACCTGGATGCAAACTCAATTCGGTAGGAAGAGTAAGAAATAAATGAAGCTGTACCAGACTTGATGCCTGTCTTGTTTTTATTCCTTGCTGTGCAATTTAAATTTATGATACCATTGTCTTTGAACTTCAAATGTTAAACTTGCTCACAAGTCAGTATTTTTTGCTTTTTTTCAGAACCTGATCACTGTTCAGCAACCATTGATGGGCGCATATTATCTGTATGGAGATTTACCAATGCTTTGTGAGAAAACAAAAATGCCTGTTCTCAAGAAACTTACCAGCTATGGGCTGGAAGGCTCTAAACTGAACTTGAATGACTCATCACAGTCATCTCATTTCTTGAGCTCTTGCTGTGCTGGAGATCTTCTGTCTCCTTGGTTCACTCTATGGTTCACCCTTCTCCAGCTGCTGTCCCCAGAGGCTGTTCTCAGTAGACTACCTACGGGGGCTCCCCTACCCTCTGGCCTCTGGTTGGATTTCAGCAATGGGGAGGGAGCCCAGGCAGGGAACTGGAGGGAGAGAGAAGGAAATGACGCTGGTTGTCAACTCCTCCCTGCTGGTGTCATTGTGGGATGGCTTTGTCTCTTGACTAAAGGTCACACAGTACCTGCAAGGCAGGTTCTGGCAATGCCCTACTCCCACCCCCTCAGAGCTGGAGAGGGTGGCCTCACTGCTACCAGCCTGGGTAAGCTCTGTCCCTGTTGCTTCCTACCCTGGCCACACCTTTGTAAATAACTCCCTTATTAAACAGTCCTCTAGTCATCCCCCTTCCTGCCAGGATTGACTGGCATTTCTACCTCAACACTGGTATTCTCCACTTAAATCCTCAATGCTTTAAGGAGGTAATATTACTAACTTCATTATACAAACCTCGGAACTGGTCTCAGAGAGATGAGATAAGACCACACATTAGATAACAAATGTGAAAGGATTTAAACCCATTTTTGTTTGATTTCACAATCTCCAGTCTTCCCATTATGATCTCTAGAGAGAGAAAACGTTTAGGGTAAAGATTCCTAGAGCTGCTAAGTTAATAATAAAAATAATGGACTGAGTGCAGTGGCTCATGCCTGTAACCAAATCCCCAAGCTGACAGGCCAAGGCAGGTGGATCTCTTGAGCCCAGGAGTTTGAGACCAGCCTGGGCAACATAGTGAGACTGCATCTCTACAAAAAAATATAAAATTAGCTGGGCATGGTGGCACACACCTGTAGTTGCAGCTACTCAGTAGGCTAAGGTGGGATGATCCCTTGAGCCCAGGAGCTCTAGGCTGCAGTGAGCCATATTCATACCACTGCACTCCAGCCTGAGTGACAGAACCTGTCTCTGTCCTGCGCCCTGGGAGTCTGTCTCTCTCTCTCACACACACACAAATATATATACGTAAATGCTTATTTTTCGCTCACTTTCTCTTGCCAGGGAAACTCCAGAATAGACACAATTGTCGTGGGTTTTAAGGGACATGAAGGAGAAAGTTACCCAAGTCCAACATCTACTGAGGAGCAATCTGTCAGCCCCACAGGTCAGAGCAGAGTGTGGCAGTCATAAGTCCAAGATCTGCTTGTGAGTCCCTCCATTTCCCATTAAGTTAATGCTGTGAAAAACTGTTTCATTGGCCTTAGGCTGTACCCCACCTCCAGCTACCCCTCCCCCAGACTCAATCATGGGTCACAGCCGCAAAGGCTCCCCATGGCTCCTGCCCCCATGACTTCATCCTGGAGAGGAAGTCCCTGTAGCAAGTGAGGGCAGAGAAGTGAGTGGAATTCCAGCAGGATCTTGCAACAGACTGGGAGTGGAGGAAGATGCTTTCTCATCACTTCTAGAATGCATCAGAAAGGAAGATGCAAGACTCTCGCCTGTTTGATACAGGGCTCCTGGCTCCCCTGCTCTATTCGTACCTCCCCAAGAACCACAGGGCCCAAGCCAGGAGCAGAGCCAAAGGCAGCTGCTCTCAGCTGCAGGGAAAAGCATAGGCAATAGGGAACATTTGAAATCCACATTCCAGAGTGGGCCCCCTTTTGCCTTCCATTCGTCTTTTCCTTACTCTTCCAGTTAATTGACCAGAAGTTTAATGAGCACCTATTGTCAACAACAGCACTAGGCTTCCTGTGTCCTTCTGCCTCCTGGTTCCTTTTTGCTCCTTCAAAGCGCAACTTTCCTTGGGCTGCCCTCCTCCTTATTCCTCACCTCCAAAATGAACTCTTGCCTCCTTCCTGCTCCTGAGCAACAAAAACGTCCATCCCTTGAATCTTGACAATCTCACCTAAGTCAAGGAAGAATTCCTTGGCTAGTAATTCTCACTAGGTGAACTGAGAACTCTGCTTAATTCTCCCTCGCTCCTTAAACCACTTGGTTGGTGAATTTTAGAAACTGTGCTGGGGGTGGTTTAGGTTGGTCCATACGACCCCTGAAGGGATCATGTGTATTCTGTATGCTGAAGGAGGTGTGGAAAAGGAGAAACCTGCAGTACATACCCTCCATGCCCCCTGGTTCCTGCCTTTGCTTTGCCTCTTGCCTACACTCTGAGGCTTGAAATGTCCTAAGTTTCTTTTCCCAAGACAATAAGGTGAGTCTCATTAGGAATGACAGGAAGTTTCCCTACTCTAAGTCAAGGGGCTCCTCCCTCTCCCGCCGTGTTAGGAGATGCAACTCCCAGGCTCCTCTGCTGAAGAAAGCAAGAGACGTGAGCCCTGAGCCACTAAGCACCGATTCCAGAGCCAGTGTAGCGGCCTCTCCACGCAAGCTGATGTTATGCGGGAGCAGAAACTAAGAGCCTCACAGAGGGTATGGGTCCAGGGGTTGGAGAGAAAGGAAACAAATGGCAGAGAGGAGAGACAATGGGGCCATTGGGAGAAATACCGGGGAGAGCCCCTGCCTTGCCTGACATTCTCTAATGTTTCCTGTCTGCCACCACCCGCTCTGACCCTATGAATGAGTTTCAGTTCCTTTCAAGCACTTGATCCTTGACCTGAATGAGACTTGGTTCTACAGATCTAGGCAGGCAGGCAGGCTGTGATAGAAAAAAAATAAGACAAAAAATCTGACAATATGCTAGTAACATCTGATCCCACTGCAAACATTCAGACTAGTCTATGTGGAATGTAAGAAACTAACAAAATGGACCAACAATTGATGATGTAAAAGTAGTGTACACATTAAAAAAAGAACAAACCTTGGAGTAATTATAACTCCTGTTCATTACAACAGACAAAAGCAGTATCTATACAATATAGAATTGCTAAACCAAACTTGGAAACTTCTGTCAAGTGGGCTGTTTAGCTTTTGAAGAGGTAGAATGCCATGTCCAATTAGACTTGTTTGATGGACTATGACTAAATTCACCTCCAGGACTGCCATTCTCACCAGAATCTAGATGAGAGCACTGCGTCCCACCAGGCCATCCACCTTCCTTCGAGAAAGTCTGATACTCTGCAGCTGCCCTGGAAAGGCACCTTGCCCTTCTATCCACCTTGTCCTTCTGTTATGTTAGACACTGACGGGGCTCTACACCTCGACTGTGTCCTGAAAGAGCTTTCAGCAACCTGCTCCCTGGGAGTCTGTAACTTAAGAGAAAGAAGTGTGGCTGTTACCTTCCTCATCTTATAGATGAGAAATGAATGAGAGAGATTCTAAGGTGGTGTCAATAGACTACTAAAGACAACAAAAACACATTTTAATACACCAAACAAATCTTTAAAAACCGAAAATCAGTTTATCATCAGCTCCTTTCTCTGTATGAACTCTAATAACTGCTTTCTTTGGTGAATTTGTATGTTGCTGGGTGCTTAGAAGACTCTGCTGCCCAGGCTTAGAGGAAGCTGGTGACGATTCTGACAAATCCCATTGCTTTCTGTGTGTCCAGGACCCCAGGCCCAATCTTTCCTAGCTGGAGCCAAGCTGGACGGCACCAGCATCTCACAGGGCCCCTGAGCCTTCCTTTCCCATGGCCAGAGTCTGCCCAGGTTATCTCAAAAGCCTGAAAGAGGAAATGAGTTAGGGAATTAACAATGATCTCTGGGTGGAGGAGTTTTATTTTCTGCTTTAAACATTCCTGTATATTCCCCAATGGGCCTTCACTGCCTTTGTAATTTTTATTAATCAAGGAGTTTCTCATGCTCTCACCTGGAAGAATCCAAAGCCCCATATACAAGGCATTATCCAAGATGTTATTTTTCCACTGATGTGCTATACAGATGCTGATGAGGAACTTTGGCAAGAAGACCCTTACGAATATATATGCATGAAGTTTGATGTGTTTGAAGATTTCATTTCTCCTACCACTGCTGCCCAGACACTTTTGTTTACAGCCTGTAGTAAGAGGAAAGAGGTACTGCAAAAGACTATAGGATTTTGTTACCAGATTCTTACAGAACCAAATGCTGACCCTCGAAAAAAAGATGGAGCCCTGCATATGATTGGCTCTTTCGCTGAAATACTTCTGAAGAAAAAGATCTATAACGATCAGATGGAATGCATGTTGCAGAATCATGTACTCCCCCTCTTCAGCAGTGAACTAGGCTACATGAGAGCAAGGGCTTGCTGGGTAATTCACTATTTCTGTGAAGTGAAGTTCGAAAGTGATCAGAACCTTCAAACAGCCTTAGAGCTGACAAGAAGATGTCTGATTGATGATAGAGAAATGCCTGTGAAAGTGGAAGCTGCCATTGCCCTTCAAGTATTGATCAGCAATCAAGAAAAAGCTAAAGAATATATCACACCATTCATCAGACCTGTAATGCAGGCTCTTCTTCATATTATCAGAGAAACAGAAAATGATGACCTTACCCATGCAATTCAGAAAATGATCTGTGAATATAGTGAAGAATTTACTCCTATTGCAGTAGAAATGACACAACATTTGGCAATGACATTTAACCAAGTAATCCAGATGGGGCCAGATGAAGAAGGTAGTGATGACAAAGCAGTTACTGCTATGGGAATTCTGAATACACCTGACACGCTTCTTAGTGTAGCTGAAGATCATTAAGAGATAACCCAACAGCTCGAGGGAATCTGCTTACAGGTCGTTCCTACTGTTTTACAACAGCATGTCTTAGAATTCTATGAGGAGATCTTCTCTTTAGTGCACAGTTTGACATGACAACGAGAGTCTCCACAGATGTGGCAGCTACTTCCCCTTGTATTTGAAGTCTTCCAGCAAGATGGCTTTGATTACTTTACAGATATGATGCTCCTCCTTCGTAATTATGTAACAGTTGATACAGACACACTTCTGTCTGTCACCAAGTATCTTGAAGTGATATACAGTATGTGCAAAAAGGTTCTTACAGGAGTTGCAGGAGAAGATGCAGAGTGTCATGCAACAAAATTGTTAGAGGTCATCGCTCTGCAGTGCAAAGGGCGTGGCACTGACCAGAGGAACCGGGGAGTGATGAAGATGATATTGATGAAGATGGGCAAGAATATTTGGAGATTCTGGCTAAGCAGGCTGGTGAAGATGGAGACGATGAAGACTGGTAAGAAGATGATGCGGAAGAGACTGCTCTGGAAGGCTATTCCACAATCATTGATGATGAAGATAACCCTGTTGATGTGTATCAGATATTTAAAGCTATCTTTCAAACTATTCAAATCGATAGTTTGAATAGTTTCAAACTATCTTTCAAACTATTCAAAATCGTAATCCTGTGTGGTATCAGGCTCTGACTCACCATCTTTCTGAAGAACAAAGAAAACAGTTACAGTATATAGCAATGCTGGCTGATCAAAGAAGAGCAGCCCATGAATCCAAAATGATTGAGAAGCATGGAGGATACAAATTCAGTGCTCCAGTTGTGCCAAGTTCTTTCAATTTTGGAGGCCCAGCACCAGGGATGAATTGAGTTATCTCTTTCTTTCCTGCTGTGTGATTGTAGTGAAGAGCTTGTGTTCGTCCTAGCAGTGGTTCCAGAAGTGGTTCATGTTATCTACTCTAAACTAATGATGAATAGATGGACAAAAGAAACAACAACCCCAGGAGATGGGACCCGATCATGCAACCTGGCACTGGAAAAGAAACCAGCGGGATTTTGGGGGATCGAGGGGGATGGGAGGTACCTTAGGGGGCATATTTCTTTATTTTTTGAAGAAAGGAAGATCCTGACTGTGAAGCTTCAAAGTGACACTGTGGAAATCTGAAACACGAGGGGATGTCATGAAGGCAGCTTTTCTTTTTCTGAGGAAAGAATAGGCAAGGGCTACAGGACTATTTAAAATGTCTCATTTGCAGTATAAAACTCAAAGGTAGATGTAATTTTTACACCTATGAGCATTTGTCCAATTTCTGTCTCTTCCTCACCATTGGGTATCTATTCTTTATATGTCAATAAGATAAGGTAATCTGATAGCTTTATTCAATCTTCATCATTTTCATTCATCATTGTTCCTATGTAGATTATTGGTCATTTATTGTAGCACTACATAACTGATTATAAAAATCAGGAAATGAATTGGCACTTTCATATTGAAACAAGCCTGCTAGCCTATGTATAAAATAGCAAAATGTTTGCTGTTTATAAAAAGATGTAATGGGGTGTGAGGCAAGGGTAATTTCAAGTTATTAATTGAAAAACGAACTAGCAATTTTGTACCTGCTGACTTTGTGGTGCGCTCACCTCTGATAGTGACTTGAATTCGGTATGTAAAAAGGGTTTAGTGGTATTTCATTGCTGCTAAAAATGACAGCTCCCTCTGTGTCCTCTTTTCTTAAAGCTGTCAGTGTACAAGTGGGTATTTGAATACCAGACCTTACTGTAAAAAATAAGAAAGGTGGTATCTAGAGCATTTAATTGGATATAAAGTTCTACTCTTAAGAGTTGATCTAAGGGTATGGCTGAACATCTATATATGCAATCTATTAAAAGAACTTAATTCAGAAAAAAAAAGAAAAGAAAAGCAAGCAAGCACTCCTACTTCCTCGTTATCGTTTGTTATCTTGCAGTTTTATTCCTCAGACCTAGACCCCAGGAAGCTTCCCACAGTCAGTACCATCCACTCTTTCGTGACAGCGCAGTACCTGAGTTCACCTTTGTGAATAGAACTCAGTGTACTTTTCCCTCCAACCATGTTTAGCCCCATTTCTTCTTTTAAACTGTAAGTACCTGGTAGGCAATGAAAACACCTGGCAGCCTCACCAGCTTCTAAACATGTGCAAGGACTTTTTAAAGAGGATACCTTAATTTTGATTTTAAGCTTTTGTAATAACAACAACCCTTTATGGAGCATTACTTTGTGCCAATTCATAAGCATTAATATTTCACCTTCATGGAACCCAGGAACTGGATAATACTACTGTCCCCCCTTTTCACATGAGAAAACAGAGGCAGAGGGTGGTATAGTGGCTCACCCAAGGCCAGGCAGCTAGTGAGTGGTGTAGCCAGAGTTTGAATCCAGGTAATCTGACCCTGAAGACCATGCTCCTGATGTGCAAAAGGTGGAGAAATTTAACTCCTTTTACTTAACTCCTACTGCTGCTGCGCCTGATAGGGACACAGGCAAGTAAAGACAGCTTAGCCATACATCTTCCCCAAAGAAAAGCAACACAGCCAAAGTGTCAAAGTTAGTGACCCAGGCGACTTGCCCAGAGCGTCTGCTTGGCAAAGACGTGGGTCTTTCACAGTCTGCAGTGTTTCCCTGTAGTTACACTCCAATTTCTCAATAACCATTTACTAGGAAATTAAACAGTAGTAGTAGAATCCTGATTTTTTTTTCAGAGGCGGAAACAGAATCCCAAGAGTTTCCGGGGAGGGAGGAAGGAACAGAGGGAGACAGGGCTGAGGACTGCCTAAGTGCCTGATACAAACCACAGCAGGCCTGCACCTGATCCATCTGCCCCAAAGACAGAGAAATAAACAGATCAATGGAACAACGGCCATTTGGTGATTGTTTCTTGTCACTCTGTGGGGGTGGGGCTGGGGATGGCTGAGAAACTGCAAGCTATCTGAAGAAAACTTCTGCATTTGCTCCCTCATGGAAAAGCTAATGGGAATTCTGTTTAAACAGCATGGTGTTTACTATCAGGACATTGTCCCAAAGCATTCTCCTAGCATGCATAGACTGACGGAGAATTAGCTCTGCCTGCCATGCACGGTGGGGGCTGGCCGGGTCTTGGGCCTTGGGAAGCTCTCCCAGGCTTCCTTCCTTGGCAGCTACTGCAGGAATCCTGAATTGTTTACAGTGAAGCCAGGAGATAAGACCCTCACCGCAAGGAGTTCAGATTCTTTTGCTAAGTTAGAAGACACAGATGAGACAAAGCTTGCAAAGGGGCTCTGCTGTTCTAAGCAAGTCATGGGCTGCCTTTGAGGACCCTTTAGAGAGCTGTGGACACCATGCAGAGGTTCTCACAGATGTTTACCTCAGTTGGAGCAAAAGCATTCTCCAGAAGAAGCTCTGAGAGATGCCCATGAAGGTGGTATCCTACATGTCTGGACCCACTGAAAAACATCTAGCAGCTGCTGAGTAAAAATATGGCTTGCAAAGTCAAGTTTGGTCAATGATTTTTTCTCCCTCAATATCAATTTGAAAACTTTTCTGTTGAATTTGTATACAATTTTTTTCTTTTAAAATATTCCTGGGAACATGGCTCAAGTACCCTTTTTTTTCCTGGGCCCACCACAAACTGGCCATGTTATTCTGAGCCAGGTGCTTAACCTCTCTAAGGCTCCATTTTTCCCTCTATAAAATGGGAACATAAGTTAGTGTCAGCCGGGCGCGGTGGCTCACGCCTGTAATCCCAGCTCTTTGGGAGGCCGAGGCGGGCAGATCACAAGGTCAGGAGATCGAGACCATCCTGGCTAACATGGTAAAACCTTGTCTCTACTAAAAATACAAAAAAAATTAGCAGGGAGCGGTGGCAGGCGCCTGCAGGCCCAACTACTCAGGAGGCTGAGGAAGGAGAATCACTTGAACCCAGGAGGTGGAGGTTGCAGTAAGCCGAGATCACACCACTGCACTCCAGCCCGGGCAACAGAACAAGACTCCATCTCAAAAAAAAAAAAGAAAAGAAAAGAAAAATGTAGCGTCTACCTGACAGAGTTGGAATCTTTGTAAAGTTCTTACTGAACACGGGAACCAGCGTGTGGTTAGCCAAATAACAGTTAGTTCTTCTTCCTGTTGCTGTTATTTGCTATTGAGAGGTGATTATGTGCTAGGCACCACACCAGGGCTGCAGATGGGTAAGACTATCATGTGGTCCCTCTCCCTAAGAAACACAGTGATGCAGTCCTGCTTGGGGTGTGCTTCCTGAAGCTACTGCACCAGCATCACCAGGAACTTGGTGAAAATGCAGATTCTCAGACCCTACCCCAGACCCACTGGGTCAGAAATTCAGGGGGTGGGGCTTAAGTCATCTGTGTTTTAATAAACCACCTAGGAGACTGATGCAGGCTACAAGCTTGGAATGAATGAGCCACATCTGACATGTGCTTTGTAATGATTCTACATTTCAGTGAATTGAGCTTCTGGTGCTTAGGAATTCCTTGTTTCCTGAATATATCAGGTATAAATAATCCACACGTGCCAGGAGTAACTAGTAAGAGTAGTTTTGTAATTTTCAGCAATGCATAAGCAATTTTGTACATGTGGCATTTTTCTGTTGTAAATTAGAAATAACTTATCTATAAATTAGGGATTAGACCCCTGTTGGTAAAAAGAGACCATGATGGGGAGTGAGTGCTCTGAGGCACAGAGCAATGTCAGGTGGTGGAACACAGAGTGCTTTTTCCCAGCACCTGGCTTCTGCAGTGGTGGTCTACGCTCAGGTTTGGAGTTACGTGCTGTTCCAGATTTCCTCATAATATTGGGGCTTGTGGTTTTCTGTTTTAGAGTTTTGATCAACCAATTTATAATCTGTAGTTGGTTGTAACAAATGGAGCTGACAGCCAGAAAAACATAGTACACACTTCTTTAAGATAACTAACATCATTCAAGTTTTTCTAATGCCATTTTTTTTGAAAAGTGAAATAATCGTTACAATGTGAGTTTGATGATGTGTGGTTTTTATAAACAACCCAATTATATTCTCGAAGCTGAATAAGATATACATTACTGGTACTATTAAAGAATATAAACAAAAAATATTTCTTTACATAATGACATTCCAGCTCTAGGCAGAATTTACATAGCCCAAACATAAGTGAATGAAATTAACAGCAAAACTCAGGCCACTGCAGTGTCCTGGGAGGACTGTCACATCAGAGTAAAGGAATGAGTTTGGGGTTTTTTTTCTCTTAATTTCTCTTTCTCTTTTTAAAGGCACTTAAAGACTATTTTAGGAAGGCTCCTTTTGGGACAAGAAAGCTCAGAGAAAAATGTCATAAGCAGTTCCAGAGAACTGGATGGTGAATACACCTCCTAAGGTCTACAATTTGCCCAGATCTATGCAGGAATGAATCAAAAACTGACATCACTAAAGTCATACAGAAATATATTTGATGAAGTATTGTCTAAATGGTGAGAAACAGTAAACCCAAACTGCATCATCTGTAGTGGCATAATAGTCCTGATACAATAGTTGGTTATGGGTTAGCAAAGACAAGGATAACTAGGTTACAGAGCCAGGACAAGGGAGAAGAATACCTGGACAAGGCCCAATCAGTGACGGCTAATTCCTAAAATTAACATCAGACCACAGACACTATGTCTTTATTAGATACACTATGTTCTATATCTACATAGAGATTACTAAATCTGTATGTAGATTTGTTATTCCATCTACAATGTAGGTACAGTTGTTATAGAGCAGCAAATCTCTTGTTTTGTTTTTATAAATGTAAAAATTACATTTATAGAAAGTGCAGCATACTGATTATCTTAGTAAGCTTGGGTTGGCTCTAACAAAATTCCATAGACTGCGTGGCTTAAATAATAGACATTAACTTTTCAGAGTTCTGGAGGCTGGGAAGTCCAAGATCAAGATGCCCTCTGATTAAGTTCCTGGTCAGTACTCTCTTCCCAGCTTGCAGACAGCTGCCTTCTCACTGTGTCCTCACATTGCAGAGAGAGAGGACACAAGGTCTCTGGTATCTCTTCACCTGATGGCATTAATGCCATTATGAGAGTCCCACCCTCATGATCTCATCTAAACCTAATTACCTCCCAAAGGCCCTTTCTCCAAACATCAGCACATTGGGGGGGGGGGGCTGGTAGGGCTTCAACATACAAATTTTGGGGGACACAGTTAAGTCTATGGCAATGGTGAACCCCTAATGCTGCAGAGATGATTGGACCTAGGTTGAAATCCTACCTCAGTGACTTTGCATTTGTGAGACACTGGGCAAGCACATTACCCTCTGAGACGTTTCATCTGTAAAATGAGGGTAAAATGAACTCCTAGATACAGTCGTTGTGGGGACTGCCTGAGATAATGAAGATCAAGTGCAGGAGATGAGTGCAAGGCAGAAAGCATGGGCTCAGGAAATGCTACTGCGGCAGCCACCCTCCAAGATGCCCCCACGATCCCCACCTGCTGCTGTCCAGGCCTTTCAGATCTCAATGTATATGTCCCCCAATTCTGTGTCTCCCGTCTTGGAGGATGGCAGCTGCAGTTAGCAGCTGTCTTCTGATGGAGGTGGGCCTTTGCGGAGTGATGAGTCATGAAAGCAGAGTCCTCATGGCTGGGACTAGTGCCTGAGAGCTCATTTGCTCTGTCCATCACGTGAGGACACAGTGAGAAGATGCAATCCATGAAAAGCAGGAGCTTAGCAGACGCTGAACCTGCTGCCACCTTGATCTTGGATTTCCCAGCCTACAGAACTGTGGGAAATTTCTGTTGTTCATGAGCCACTCAGTTCATGGTGTTCTGTCATAGCAGCCTGAATGGTCTAGGACATCTATATACTCACCTCCCACAGTGATACAGCTGACCTGGAACCCCAAAATGACATTGCAGAAATGATGGCGTGTGACTTCTGAGACTAGATCATAAGGTTCTGTGGCTCTCACCTTGTCCTCTCCTGAGTCACCTGCTCTGGAGAAGCCAGCTACCAGGTTGTAAGGACAGGAAAACTGTGCTCAGGAGAGATCCATGAGGTGAGGAGCTGAGGCTGCCTGCCAGCCACCAGCACTGACCTGCTGGCATCTGAGTGAGCCACCCATGAAGTGGCTCTTCTATTCCTGGTCAAGCTTGCAGATGAATACGGCCTCCGCTGATACCTTGATCACAACCCACTGAGAAATCTGGAACCGGAAGCACACAGGCAGGGCACCCGTGTTCCCGACCCTCTGACACTGTGTGGGATGATGAATGTTCATTGCGGTTGTAAACCAGCAGTCTCCAACCTTTTTGGCACCACGGACTGGTTTTGTAGAAGACAATTTTTCCATGGACATGAAGGGAGAGAGATGGTTTGGGGATGAAACTGTTCCACCTCAAATCATCAGGCATTAGTTAGATTCTCATAAGGAGCACGCAACGTACATCCTTCGCATGCGCGGTTTGCAATAGGGTTCACGCTCCTATGAGAATCTAATGCCCCTGATGATCTGACAGGTGGCAGAGCTCAGGCAGTAATGCTCACTCACCTTCTGCTGCGCAGTCAGGTTCCTAACAAGCCATGGACCAGTGCCAGTCTGTGGGCTGGGGACCCTGTTGTAAGCTGCTGAGTCTCGGGGCTATTTGTTATGCAGCAGTTGGTCATGGACATGGCTAGAGTCACTGCTGCCATGACTGCTGCTGTGAGAGGCACCTGGAAGACCCAACTAATACTTGCAGTCCAAATTGGGTTGTTCCAGGGTACTTTCTTGCTCAAAGGTCTTCTGATTGCATTCATTAATTTTGCCATATCAAAACACAGGGCCAGATGGCCTCCACGGTCACTTCCTCTTCTCTGCAGGAGCATATACGGCAAACAAGAAACCTTGTCTCCTCCCCTAAAACAATGTTTCTGGAAATTCCTCCTGTCAGAGTCACCAGGACTCAACCTGGGCTGGGCTCAAAACAAAGCCAAGGGGCTGGGTGTAGTGGCTCATGCCTGTAATCCCGGCACTTTGGGAGGCCGAGGTGGGCGGATCACCAGAGGTCAGGAGTTCGAGACCAGCCTGACCAACATGGAGAAACCCCAACTCTACTAAAAATACAAAATTAGCCAGGCGTGGTGGTGCATGCTTGTATTTTCAGCTACTCGGGAGGCTGAGACAAGAGAATCACTTGAACCCGGGAGGTGGAAGTTGTGGTGAGCCAAGATCGTGCCATTGCACTCCAGCCTAGGCAACAGGAGCAAAACTCCATCTCAAAACAACAAAAACAACAACAAAAAACAACAACAAAAAAAAAACTAAGGAGAGTTTGACCTTGAGCTCCTTCGAAAATAAAAAATCAAAAATGGAAGAAATCATCTAAAAACAAAAAAAAATGACAGCCTTGAATCAATGTGGCAGCCAGTTGACAGCCTGAGATGCCAAGAGAAACAGTGGAGGCAGCACCAGGCCAAGTGTGTGCTGGCCAGCTCTCTTTCCTGCTCACCAAGTAGTCTGCTGTGGTAAGGCACTAGGACAGGCTCTACATGTGTGCACACATGCACACACACGCGCATGTGCACACATGCAGGCACACACGTGCACACTGAATTAGCTTCTATATGCTCGCATATTGGTTTTCAATCAATTCTAACTCTCAGAAAGCAATGAGAAAGATTCACAATCTGATTGGACAGACCCCCACAAAGAGGAATATCAATTGTTCTTTTGTAGGCTTTCAAAAAACTGGCGGGCAGTCTCTCCAAAAGCTGTTTCTGGAAAGCTTCTGTTGCACCTTGTAGCACATCTGAATTATACAATCTAACCAAAGTCTACACTTGTCCTTCTACACTGCATATGAATGTCTTGCACCTCTTAGATAAGCACTAATAAGAAACTGAATTACTCTTCCACATTCAGACTTGTAGAAAACATTTTCATCCCTCAAGTAATCTGTATGAAAGATCAAACCCATAACCACGGAGAACACTTTGCAAATCTGCAAACTTGTAACACATCCTTGATACTTCTGTTGGTGTTTATATAACTATATTTTCTTTCTTTCTTTTTTTTTTTTTTTTTTTTTTGAGATCGAGTCTCACTCTGTCGCCAGACTGGAGTGTAGTGGTGCAATCTCGGCTCACTGTACCCTCCAACTCCCTGGTTCAAGCGATTCTCCTGCCTCAGCCTCCCGAGTAGGTGGGATTATAGGCATGCACCACCATGTCCAGCTAATGTTTGTATTTTTAGTAGAGATGGGGTTTCACCATGTTGGCCAGGATGGTCTGGATCTCCTGACCTCGTGATCTGCCTGCCTCATCCTCCCAAAGTGCTGGGATTACAGGCTTAAGCCACCTCGCCCAGCCTTATTTTCTTGCTTCATTTAAAAAGATAATATGCTTGTTTTACAGAAGTAGCTTTCTTTACTTATCTTAGCGATTCTCATGCCTCAGCCTCCCGAGCAGCTGGGACTACAGGCACATGCCACCACGCTTGGCTAATTTTTTGTATTGTCAGTAGAGATGGGGTTTCTCCATGTTGGCCAGGCTGGTCTTGAACTCCTGACCTCAAGTGATCCACCCGCCTTGGCCTCCCAAAGTGCTGGGATTACAAGCGTGAGCCACTGCACCTGGTCCCAGAAGTAGCTTTATGAAACATCCAATTCAAGAGAATTGGTGTCACTACTAAGGATGATTTGAACCAAAGTAACTTTTGCCTAGGATATTAAATAACTGATGTAAAAATATGTTTTCCTTTGGCACGTGCAGATATAGTGGTTTGCACATAGTGGTTTACAAAACTAAAACTTAAAGTGGACATTGTCCGGTTAGCCTTTCAAGTAGCATTTCAGGAAACTTTAGGAAAGAGAGCCGAGAAGTCCCTCAGTGACAGCATTTGTTCTAGTTTCTGGGGGAGGCTATGCCTGGGAACCTAGGCTTCCAGGAAGCCAGACTTTCTTGGCTGTGACTCATTACAGTAAGTAGCCCCTCCTGTTGAGTCTGCTAGAATGAATTATAAATCAGTAGAATTCTAGAAAACGCTCAAGGAAATCTGAACCATAGAAAGGAGGCCTTAGCAACAGAGCAATGGAAATAGAATAAGAGAGTGAATGCGTGGGTAAGAATCTGAAGCAATGACAGCAAAGACCAAATCATACTACTACGAGACATGGAAGGTCTTACAGAAGAAGGATGAGTGCCCAGCCCATGAAGGCAGAGAACAGAGAACTGTGGATCAAGACTGAGAAAGTAGATGAAGACTGAGACATCAGCACCTCCTGTTACACAGTGATAATATAACAAACAAACAGCTGTAATGAGCTGTTTGTGTTTAGCTGATAAGAACATTTTGTTCATTTATCCAACAAACATTTACTGGGTTTGTGTGTGTGTGTGTGTGTGTATGCCTGGCACAAGAAATGGGATGCAAAAATGGATTGCATCCTTGCTACTTCCGTGGCTGAGCATGAGAATTCAACTCTTCAGCATGGGAAGTACAAGGATGAACAAAGCACAGTGTATACTGAGCTCAAGTTCTGGTTGGAGATAAAACACGTGTAGGATTGATTGTCATACAATGTGGGGAGCACTACAGAGTGGCACAGAAGGTGCTGTAGGGGCAACAAGAGCAGAGTAGCAAACTGACCCAGTGAGTTAAGGGTAGATTTTTATTGTAAATGGAAAATGTTTAGGTCAAACCAAACAGCTTTGCTACAATGCCAGAGGAGAGAACAATCTGTTTTAATTGGTGTCTGGCCAATAACTCAGCTTTGCAAGAAGGAATGGGGGGCAGAAGTGCAGAAAGGAAAGGACATTTCCACTGTAAGTGAGACTGAAGGACAGCCTAGAGAGTGTCCTGTGGGCCAACTAGAGAAGATGCATCAACTGTATAAAAATGCTGCTTTTAGAAGATGAGGCCAAAGAACTACCATTTGCCAACTGTCAAGAACAAGAGTCTTTATCCAATTCAAAACGATCTAGAGAATATAAGAATGAGAAAGTGCTTCCGCTGATTGGACAGAGGCAGTATAACCTCAATACCAACATCAAACAAGGAAACATAAATGGGGAGATTATGAGTTAGTCTGCATTATAAGCCCGGAGGCAAAATAGTGAAACAAGACATTAGCAAAGAAATTCTAACAATCTATTTTAAAATAGCTATCATGACCAAGTAGGAAATGCAAGGATGGTTTCACATTAGAAAACAGGAAAAAATGATCAATTTGATTACATTAAAATATGGACGCAGGCCGGGCATGGCGGCTCATGTCTATAATTCCAGCACTTTGGGAGGCCAAGGCAGGCGGGTCGCTTGAGCCCTGGAGTTTGAGACCAGCCTGTGCAACACGGTGAAAACCCATCTCTACAAAAAATACAAGTTAGCCAGGTGTGGTGGTGTGTACCTGTGGTCCCAACTACTCAGGAGGCTGAGGTGGGAGGATTACTTGAGCTGGGAAGGTTGAGGCTGCAGTGAGCCGTGATTGCACCACTGCACTTCAGCCTCGGTGACAGAGCAAGACTCTGTTTCTGGGGTGGGGGTGGCGGGGCAGGACAGAGAGGATGCAATCAAAGTCCCCCTGGAAGGATAGATTCCAGGAGGCAAGATTCATGTTAGAGAGATAAAATAATGAGTATCTGAATTAAGGTACTAGCAACGGAGATGGAGAGGATGGAAGATATTATAGTTTGTTAGAATTTTTTTTTCACTAGCCTCTTTTATTATTTTTATTAATAAAGAGGGAGTTGGCTGTGTGTGGTGGCTCATGCATGTATCTGGCCTCTTTGGGAGGTCAAGGTGGGAGGATCACTTGAAACCAGGGGTTCAAGACCAGCCTGGGCAACATAGCAAGACCCCATTTCTAGAAGAATACAAAAAAAATCAGCCATACATGGTGTCAAGTATCTGTAGTCCCAGCTACTTGGGAGACTGAGGTAGGAGGATCACTGGAGTTCAGGAGTTCGAGGCTAGGACTGCATCACTGAAGTCCAGCCTGGTCAAGAGCAAGACTCCACCTCAAAAAATAAAAAATAAAAAGAGATAATCAAGAATATGCTATGCGCAGAGATGGTGCAAACATATTTCAGTCTTTAGCAGGGGTCCAAAAACCTTGGTGTTTATTCTTAACTTCCTTATCTCAAGTTGGTTATTGGGTGGAAAGATCTGCCCTTTCCCATGTGTAATCTGCTTTACAGTTTCTACAATTATTGCTCAGTTATCCTAGGTTACATATGTATTCCCCAAATAGCTTCTAAGAACCTCATCAGCGGGGGCATGTTTGTTTCCTTTCTGTGTCCGCAGGATCTAGCCCAGTGTCTGGCCCATGGCAAGTGTTTGCTCAAGGTTTGATGAATGAATAACAAATGGTTATTTACCCACAAACCCTGCTTCTCCACCGCCTTAGGAGGCAGTAAAGATTAGGCTTAGACTGGGGGCTGATGCAGATTCAAGTGAAGCAATTCATCTCTACAGCAGCCGGCAGAGTCAAGGGGTTTGGAGTTGACCCATGGACATATTACAATATTAAGTGAGTCTGGATCTGTTTCCATCAATCCTAGTCCTAAAATGCAGTCCCCTCCCAAGGTTTGTCCTCATTTTCCCCTTATTCCCTGTAGAATTCATTGCACAAGGGAGAATGAGGTCTGAGGTAGAGCCATCCTCCCCTCCCTTCCTCACTCCTTGACCAATGCTCTTGAGGCTGGCAGAGCTGAGCTGGTTCTGGGAGAGCCGGCTCAGCGAGCAGAACACAGCTGCATTGATTCTGTGTGCTCCAGTTTTTACTGCTCCCACTTCCTCTGGAAAGCCAGAGAAGGTAAAGAAACAAAGTGCCATTATTTACCCTATAGCTGGAGTGATGTAGTTAACAATAAAGTCAGCCAAAAATGGAAACAAAATGACATGTCCCGCTGCCAAATTTGCAATTCTAAAAGCATAAGAGCATCCGAGATAGAAAGAAAATTAGTTCTCACATGGAATGGGAGTGAAAACTTGATACAAACTTTCTGTAAGGCAATTTGGCAATGTGTATGGAAAGCCTTAAAAAGGTGCCACCTTTGATTCAACAATTTCACTTCTAGAAATATATCCCAAGGAAACAGGTGGTGATGGGCACAGGTGATATTATTCATGCAACTATATTCATTGCAGATGTATTTACCAGAGTAAAATGTACAAACAACCTCCTAGTGGTGCTGGTTAAGGGAATTACAGTCTATCCATGTAATCTGGGGGGCAAAAAAGGCTCCAAAAGGATAGGGTTAGTATCAGGTCATTTTTAAAGAGTTTCCGTAGGTTCTAGTTCTGATTCAATATGGCTGCCTCAGGACAAGGAGAAAACCCCTGAGTGTCTCTATCTACCTCTACCTCTGCCTCTATCTCTATCTTGTCACCCTTTTAAGACCTCCAAATGACAGTAAGGGAAAACAGAAGAGAATGAATGGCCAACATTAAAGAGAGCTGGAGTGTGGAAGCAATCTCATTACTGGGTATATACCCAAAGAATTATAAATCATGCACTATAAAGACACATTGACACGTATGTTTATTGCAGCACTATTCACCATAGTAAAGACTTGGAACCAACCCAAATGCCCATCAATGATAGACCGGATTAAGAAAATGTGGCACATATCCACCATGGAATACTATGTAGCCATAAAAAAGGATGAGTTCATGTCCTTTGCAGGGACATGGATGCAGCTGGAAACCATCATTCTCAGGAAACTATCACAAGAACAGAAAACCAAACACCGCATGTTTTCACTCATAGGTGGGAACTGAACAATGAGAACACTTGGACAGAGGGCGGGAACATCACACATCAGGGCCTGTTGTGGGGTGCGGGAAAAGGAGAGGGATAGCATTAGGAGAAATACCTAATGTAAATGAGTTAATGGCTGCAGCAAACCAACGTGGCACATGTATACATATGTAACAAACCTGCACATTGAGCACATGTACCCTAGAACTTAAAGTATAATTTAAAAAAATAAAATAAAATAAAAGAGAGAGCTGGAGTGTGGGCTACAAGCAGGGAAGAGAGATTTTTAAACATTTCTGGAAGACAAAGCAAATACAAATGTGTTACTAGGTGAAACCCAGGAGAGTAAACTGCAGCCCAGAGTAGTCACAGAAGAGGTTGGGGGCGGGAACGTGGGCGCCAATCTTTCCGAAAAATCCCAAGGAACTGTGGGCTCGGGGCCTCCAGGCTTGAAAGGTGAGATGAGGAAAGGTGCGGAGCTGCAGGAGCTCACTGGATGCAGCCTAGGGGTCCCAGCATCAGGCTTCCCCCCCCCTACCATGAAAAGCAGCCGGCATTTACTCCCAGGCTCCAAACTGGAAGGTTCTTCCAAAAAGAAATTAAATAAACTGCCTCAGGAGAATCCTGGCTGCAAGGGTGAGTGTCCTGGCACAAGCCCTCCCTAAAGCAGTTTCCTTCAGTAGGCAGGTCCCGTTTCACAAGAGTCCCAGGCAGGCTCCCATCCTAGGGCTGCACTCCTCAAAGCCCACGCACCCACAGTGAGTCACAGAGGCCTTTATTGTAAAATATAAACAGGCACACGTCCCACTAGGGGTTAAGTTCAACACTGAGAGAACAAGAAACGGAGGTTTAAGCCTCGGTGCAAAGGTGCGAAGGGAATCAGAGGAAGCACTGCTGTGGTCTGAATGTGTCTCCCGAATTCACGTGTTGAAATGTAATCAACAATATGTTGGCATTAAGAGGTGGAGCCTTTAGGCGGTGATTAAATCACGAGGGTGGAGCTCTCATGGATTAGTAACCCTATAAAAGGGCTTGAGGGGCGTGTCCCCCCTTCCCCCTGCAGCCGGGCGATGGCACAGCATTCACCCCTCCAGAGGGCACAGCAGCAAGGCCCCTCTTGGAAGCCAGGATCAGGCCCTATCCAGACACCGAGCCTACCAGTGCCCTGATCTTGGTCTCCCAGACTCCAGAACTGAGAAATCAATTTCGTTCTTTATAAATAACCCAGTTTGTGATATCGTACTATAGCAGCACAAATGGACTAAGATAAGAACTAAGCATAATAATTAAAATTGTGAGAAGCACCAGAATAGTGCGAGTGAGCATCTTCCATAACAGGACTTAAAAATTACCACCTAGATTTAACGTGCCGATAGAGCAGTACACATCTTATTAGAGTTCTGTGAGAGTTCCCACCAAAGTCTAAAACAGAAAGAGGAGAAGAGGCTGCTCTGGGATCTGGGAACTCCCATTTCTTTCTTACCAAGTCTATAGTTTCAATAAAAACTGAAAATGCAGGGAAGAAAAGCTGACGTAGGCGCTGTCATTGGGCTGTTCTATTTCCTATGTGGAATTCACAGACATATAAATATAAGAGTGCTAAGAGTTGGCATGGAGGTACCTTTGGTGAGGAGGTGATTTTTCTCTATGAATGTCCATAAACTCAGAATTGACACTATTTGCTTTTCATATCTTCTGAGAGAAACAGCTGAAGTCGAAAGCAAGTACATTTGCTTTTATTCCTTCCTAGGGCCTTGGGTATTTCTTTTTAACATTTGGCAACCATTTTTCGGGCTCCTTGGGACAACATAGTAGAGACTGTGATGAGGAGTGCTCGTTTCTCTGGGGACAGTTTCCACTGTGCCTGCATACATACAGCATTTTCACTGCCATGGCCACATAACTGACTGAGTGGAGAACCAGGCTTGAGCTTTTTTTTTTTTTTTTTTTTTTTTTTTGCCTCTTGTTCAAAAGGGCACTTGAGTACCCAGCCACTGTGTGATCATCTTGCATTTCACTTTCCTCCTAGACTTAATATCTGCTTTAATTTCTAGTATTTCCTTCACCTGATAGAGCTGTAAAAGCTCTATTTATTCCCTCCACTATTCTGGCAAGCATAAATTTCTTCCTTTTTTTTTTCCCCGTCCTTATCATCTTTTCATGTTGTACTTAATCTGAAGGTTCCCAGAAATATAGTTTTCAGAGAGCAAATGCACTAGAATCCTATCAGTCAATTCCCCAAGTGTTCGGAATAGTGCACAGACTTCACTACATGGCTACCTTTTGAATCCCTGACCCCATATTTGCTGAAACTCACTCGATCTGCTTTATCTAGAATCTTCAGTGAACTTAGGAACAAGATTTTTCTTTTGTTGTCTCTTTCTCTACAGGACTACCTATTATTCACGTGTCTTTTGGCAGGTTCTTGGTTTTATAGCTCTCATGTGGGACCTCTGTAAAGTGCACATGGCCCTCACCTTGAACTTGTTTGTTAAGTTTGCCCTGGAACGAGAGCCAGCTCTGTCGGCCCCAGAACCAGGGGATTCCACATTGGAAACAAACAATCACCGAATTGTCAGTACTTAGACCCAGTGAGACACAAAGCGAGTGCTGTTCTGTACATGTGGCTGGTGACCCACTGCTGAGCAATGCACCTACAGGCTTGGCCACTGCTGCACAACTGCTCAACTGAAGTGAGGGGACAGGAAACCAAAACACCTGCCAGGATTCCCACCCATGTCAATGGTGGAATGGTTTCCATTTTCATATACAAGGAAAAGTTGAGTGTGGAGAAAAATAACTTTTGGTTTCTAACAGATGAGAAATAAAAGATGGGGAAGATTTCTTTTAATTAGAAATCTTAGGCCAGGTAAGGTAGCTCACAACTGTAATCTCAATGTTTTGGGAGGCCAAGGCAGAAAGATCACTGAGGCCAGGAGTATGAGGCCAGCCTAAGCAACACAGAGAAGCCCTGTCTGTACAAAACAGTAAAAAGTCAGCCAGGCATAGTGGTGTACACCTGGTGTCCAAGCTACTTGGGAGGCTGGGGCAGGAGGGTTGCAAGAGTCCAGGAGCTCAAGGCTGCAGTGAGCCATGATTGTGCCACTGCACTCCAGCCTGAGTGACAGAGAAAAGAAAATAAAAGAAATCTTCTTTGGGCTGCTGTAATAAAGTACCACAGATTGGGTAGCTTAAACGACAGAAACGTATTTCTCACAGTTCTAGAAGCTGGAAGTTCAAGATTAAGGTGTCAGCAGGCTTGGTTTCTTCTGAGGCCTCCCTCCTTGGCTTACAGGTGGCCGTCTTCACCCTGTGTCTTCACAAGGTCTACCCTCTGTGTGTGTCTGTGTCCTAATTTCTTAAGAGACACCAGCTGATTGGATTAAGGCCCACCATAAGGGCCTCATTTTTCCTTAATCAGCTCTGTAAAGGCCCTGTCTCCAAATACAGTCACATGTGGAGGTACTGGGGATTAGGGCTTTGACCTATGAATGTTAGGGGGGACACAATTCGGCCCTTAACAGAGAGCTTTTATGTGCTTTCCATTTCTATCCTTTCCTCCATTTCTATTCTAAAGCACATCCTCCGTAGGCCTATTTTAGCTGCTTCAAATCTCACCCTTTTCTTTTTCCACTCATTCAACATCTATTTATCAAGTTTATTTATCAGGCTCTCTCATTGTGCTTGGTGCTGGCAATCCCAGAATGACTCCTGCCACTGAGAAGAAATTGATATGTCAAAAAAAAAAAAAGTAAGAAGTCAGGCGCAGTGGCTCACACCTGTAATCCCAGCACTTTGGGAGGCTGAGGCAGGCGGATCACTTGAGCCCAGGAGTTTGAGACCAGCCTGGACAACACGGCAGATCCCCGTCTCTACCCCCCAAAATACAAAAAATAAAAATAAAAATTAGCCTGGCATGATGGTGTGCACCTGTAGTCCCAGCTACTCTGGAGGCTGAGGTGGGAAAATCCATCGAGCCTGAGAGATGGAGGTTGCAGTGAGCCATGATCATGCCACTGCACTCCAGCCTGGGCAACAGAGTGAAACTCTGTCTCACAGAAACAAAACAAAACAAAACAAAACGATTGTAAGAAGCCAAGAGGTACCATAGTGGAGGTAAGAATAAAATGTGTGGAGTTCAGAAGACCAAGTGACTTCTTCTCCCTGGAAGCAGGCAGGTCTGAGAAGAGAAGATGACAAGTAGCTCCTAAAAGGATGGACATGAGACTGTCAGGCAGAGAAAATGGAGATGACACCATTCTAGAAAAGAGGAACAAAAAATCACAAAGCACAGGTGTGTGAAAGGGTTTGGCATGGCCTCTGGCGAGGAGCTGGGGGAGTGAGCATGAATAAAACTGGAGAGGAGGCTGCAGCCAGGCTAAGAAAATTAGGACTTTATCCAGAGTTTAAAACATTAACTAACAAGTTATTATATCAAAATCTATGGCACTTACTATGTGCAAAGCACTGTTTTTAGATTATTTAGATAGATCCTCAGTTAATTGTGCCTTATTAATTAGACTCTTAGCTCATCAAAGATGGGAACTTCCCCTAATACTTTATTTGCATTCCACATGCCCCTCTCATTGTCACTATGAGTGAAGGAGTAAATGAAAAGGAATCGGCTTCTTTCCGAGGAGCTCTTGTCTCTAAGGGATGCCTTGTATCTATCCACGAAGATGAAGATACCTGCATATGTGGGTATATACAAAATACTTTCCCTTAACTGCATATTTGAATAAATGGTTAAGGGAAAGTGTTTTAAGGATTAGCGGATTTATGCCTGCCTTGAGAATTGTAAAACCAAACCTCTCTAAAAATTGAGTGGGCTAAATTGCTTTTTCATTTTATAGACTGATGGAACCAGGATCCCTTTAAATTAAGATGAAGTAAAATCCTTTTTGTCAAAACACCAAACATTCTTTCCAAAAAAACCCAAAAAACAAAAAAAAAAAACCCATTCTAGCTTTACATTGTTCAACAAATCCAAACGGTTCACCCCACCGTGACCTTTCCTTACTGGGATTTTCTCAGCACGTACACATGTGGTGAGCAGACTGACACGGACATTCTCAAACGTGTCATCTACAGCTCTCTAACAGTTTTATATAAGTAATTTCATTTATAAAATCATTAAAATCACAACGTTCCTATGTCCCCATCAATGAGAAAGGCTGCAGGAAAAGAGTAAGTAAGCATTGAAAGTGCTGGAATCGGCCCTACTTAGAGTCACTCCTAATCAGCTAATCACAGAGAAAGTGACATGTCTGAGCAGCGCTGGTGTGAGGACACTCCCTTTAAGATTTTCCCCCTCAGGAATAGTGGCACGGCAGCTCTGGACACCACCCTGTAACTCTGAAAGGGATGAAAATTCTCTGGAAAGGGATGTAGATGCTTGAGTGTGGGCTTCTCTACAGGGAAACCTTATCTCACTACCCTCTTATCCTTCCTCCCTTCTTTCCCTGCCACTGGAAAATAGCACCTTCTGCCAATTTTGTAGTTACAATATATAGAAATACATATAGATACATCTAGTGCACCTATATGTGTGTAATTATATATAGACAGTTATACAAGCTATATGTTTAAGTAACATTTTGGTGCTCTGGCAGGCATTTTTTACCATATGTATTTTCTTCTCTCTCTCTCTCTTCTCTCTCTCTCTCTCTCCTCCCCTGCTCTTTTCTTTCTTGTTTTTTTTTTTTTTTTTTGAGACAGGGTCTTGCTCTGTTGCCCAGGCTGGAGTACAGTGGTGTAATCACAGCTCAGTGTAACCTCAAACTCTTGGTTCCAAGCCATCCTCCCACCTCAGTCTCTTCAAGTGCTGAGATTAAGGTGCAAGCCACCGCACCCAGCCTATACTGTACATGATAGGACAAACAGCAACACTATTTGCATTTTCAAATTATAAGTGTGTAAAGACTAGACATAGGTAAAGAAAATAAACTGGTAATAACCTGGTTTAGCATCTGTGGAATATGTAGGGAGGTCAATAACTACTCTGTATTTGTTCATTTCCCATTTTGACGTATTCAGAACTATTTTTAAAGTGAAGTTCATGAGATTCTTCTGCCCTCATTATGCCTGACAATGAAACCCAAGAATGACTTAACATATCTGATTTATTATTTTTCATTTTACCTCGTAAAAAATTGTTTAACTCATCTCTTCAACAAAAGGTGCTGGGAAAACGGGATAGCCACATGCAAAGGAATAAAGTTGAGTCCTGATTTTACACCATATAATCAGCTCAAAATGGGTTAAAGACCTGAAACTAAAATTCCTAGAAGGAAAACATAGGGAAAAGTCTCCACGATGTTGGTTTTGGCAAAGATTTCTTGGGTATAACACCAAAACCATCGGCAACAAAAGCAAAAATAAACTAATGGAATTATGTGGAACTTAAAAAATTTCTGTGAAGTGGCTGGGCGTGGTGGCTCATGCCTGTAATCCCAGTAGTTTGGGAGGCTGAGGTGGGTGGATCACCTGAGGTCAGGAGTTTGAGACCAGCCTGGCCCACGTGGTGAAACCCCATCTCTACTAAAAATACAAAAATAGCCAGGCTTAGTGGTGGGCACCTATAATCCCAGCTACTCAGGAGGCTGAGGAAGGAGAATCACCTAATCCCGGGAGAAGGAGGTTGCAGTGTGCCAAGATTGCGCCACTGCACTCCAGCTTGGATGATAGAGTGAGACTCCATCTCAAAAAAAAAAAAAAAAAGAAATTCTGTGAAGCAAATGAAAAAACCAACAATCTAAAGAGGACATTTATAGAGTAGGAGAAAATATTTGCAAACCATGTATTTGATGAAGAGTTAATATCCAGAATATATAAAGAACTCCCACAACTCAACAACAACAAAAACAAATAACCCAATTTAAAAATGGATAAAGGACTTGGATAGGCATTTCTCTAAAGAAGATACGCAAGTAGACAATAGGCACATGGAAAGATGTTCAACGTCATTATAAATTAGCAAAACGCAAATCAAAACCACAATGAAATACACTCACACCTGTTAGAGTGGCTACGATCAAGAAAAACAGAAAATAACAACTGCTGCTAAGGATGTGAAGAAATTGGAACCCTACGCGCTGTTAGTGGGAATGTAAAATGGTGCAGCTGCTATGGAAAAAATATAGAAATTTCTCAAAACATTAAAAATAAAATCACCATATGATCCAACAATCCTACTTCTGGGTATATATCCAAAAGAACTAAAAGCAAGGTCTTGAGCAGATATTCGCCCACCCATGTGTGTTGCAGCATTATAAACAATAGCCAAAAGACGGAAGCAACCCAAGTGTCCATCAATGGACCAATGGGCAAAGAACATGTGGTAAACACACACAACAGAATATGATTCTGCCCTAAGAAAGAAGACAATTTTGTCATATACCACAGCACAGATGACATTTGAGGACATTAAGCTACATGAAATATGTCAGTGGCAAGAGATAAATACTGAACAATTCCACTTATATAGGTGCGTGATTCCACTTCTACGGATTAGTAGAGACAGAAACTGTAATGTTACCAGGAGCTGAGAAAAGGGGGAAATGAGTTGTTCAGTGAATATAGAGTTACAAGTTTTCCAACATAAAACACTCTGGGGATCTTCTGCATGAGAATGTGCATAGGGTTAACACTACTATACTGTACACTTAAAAATGGTTAAGGTGGTAAGTTTTATGTGTTGTTTTTTTTCACCACAATTTAAAAAATAGTTAAATTGAATACACAGCAGTATTAAATGGGTTACAAGAAAAAAGTATCCAAGCTGGATGACAAATAAGCAAACCATGGGCTAGCATTAAACCATGAAAAAAAATCAAGTACAACAGTGGTCATAATGCTGTTGAACTGAGGATAAACTGTTTATCCAACATAGCGAATGTTCATGGTGCATCTGTATGATGAAATGGTATACGGACTTTAAGAAAAGTTTTGAAAATTATATGTGTTTGAGTGTGTGGCGAGAAAGAGAAGAGAGGATAAGAAGTAAATAGATGAGAACAGTAGAGGAGCAACAGGGGCCAGGGCCATCAGGAGGAGTGGAGGCACCAAAAGTCACTTAACCTACAGCACAGCTTCCCCTGCACACTCAAGTGTATGCGAATTTCCCCTTGAGAGTGTCCACCAGGTTGCTGTTGCCTATTTATCATGCACTCTCAGGATGGTCATAATTCCCAGGAATAATGCTGTGCTACTGTCAGTCACATGAAATAGAAGTTTTTCTTTCCCTTTTCAATGCCCTAAAACCCAGTGAAGATTTATATCAAGAGAACGCATGAATGCATTATTGCAATTATTTTCAAAATACTTACTCAAGGCAAGAGTTCACCAGAAGGAGGGTGGGAAGCTTGGATGAAGATGTGCAGTGAAATGCATCTTGCAACAGTGGGGAAAGTTACAGGCAGCACGGGAGTGAGGAGCTCAGGTAAGAGCAAAATCTGCTAGTGTCTCCATACAGGCTTTTGAAGAGAAACAGAACTGGTGAGTAGAAGATCAAAATTCTAGCCCCAACTTTGCTCAAATTAGTTTTGTGACCTTTGGAAAATAGCTTCCTCCTTCTATGGGCTTCAGCTCTCATAAGGGAATATTAAAGGGGAGAGACTCAAATCAAATCAATCATCTTCATGTGTCAGAACATTCCATCACTACAAGATGAAGGAAAAAGGCCACATGTGCTACTGGAAATAGCTGAGAGAGGGAGACAGGGAGTGAGAGCGAGAGTGAGAGACAGGGAGAGAGGGAGAAGGACAAGTCTCAATAAACACATTTATTACAGCTGTTAAGAAGTAAACTCATCTGCAAACTAAATGCATAAGCTGACAGCAGGAGAAAGTGGAAAGTATTTCCTCCTCCTCTAGAGAGCCAGGCAGTACCTCTGAGCCAGCAGAGTATGAGCGTCTTCAATGCAGTGCGGCAATATAGGTGCCACTTGGTAAAAAGGTTCAGTAAACACATTGAAAGACCATAAATCATAGAAATTAACTTGTCAGGGGCTTGCCCCAGTGATGTACTCCTTGGTTTGATTCTTTTTTTTTTTTAAACTATTTAAAAATTATAAAATAAATCATTGATAGAGAAAGCCACGGAAAAGAATAATATAGCTTAATGAGTTATTATAAGGTGAATACTGTTGTCACCAGCACTCTGGTCAGCAAAGAGAACTGTGCCGGCCACACCAGAAGCCCCTCCGTGGACCCTGGGCCAGTCACGGTTCTTCCTCCACTAAAAATCATTGCCCTGCTTTTAGAGAAATGGCGTCTTTGCATTTCTTCGTAGCTTTTCATCCAAGTGTTCATTCACAGACATGACAGTTTAGTCTTGACAGTTTAAAATTTCTAAGCCCCTGTGAAGCTGCATCCTCCTTATCCCTTTCTTTTTCTTATGGTTTATCTGTTTAAAAAAACCCAGACCATGTGATCTGCACATTCCCTGAATCTGGAGTTTTTGAACTGCATATTCATGACACTGATCACATGGCGCTCATCCTCTGTGCTTCCTGTAAGGTGACAGCTACATCCAGGGGCCTGGTCCGCCTCTTGGTAGGTCTCTGGAAACACCACCCGGGGGGCTGTGGGCCCTCCCCGGGACACCTGTCTGTTTCCCACGCTGTGAGGCCAGTGCTTGTGGATGCATGGGGTCTGAAGCACACCCTCTGACAGAACTTTCCATGGTCAAGAAAATGCCCCATGTCTGCACTGCCCCACAGGGCGGCCACTAGTGTGCGTGGCCACTGACGACTTGGAATGTGGCCACTGAGACTGAGGAACTAACATTTTTATTTGATTTTACTTAAACTTTAGGTGGCCAGTGACTAACTTGTTGGACAGGACAGGATACTTTAATTTCATTGGGATTTGCAAAATGGTGATCTTTTAATTCCATCTTTTTTGTCCATTTATTAGATAGAATGATATTATAAAGAGATGCTCATCCTCATTTGTTGTACCAGTTGGTATCACCTGTAGAGATAAAGCAGGATAAATGCATGCTTTTCTCCACTATTCACAGATTTTCAAGAGAATGGATTGGTTCCCCCATCACCCTCTGAGGATGACCATTTAGTTTTTAAAGATTCTTTTTATTTTTAAATTTCTTAGAGACAGGATCTCACTCTGTCACCTAGGCAGGAGTGAAGCGGTATGATCATAGCTCACTGCAGCCTCAAACTCCTCAGCTCAACCCTCCTGAGAAGCTGGGATTATAGGCACATGACATTACGCTTGGCTAATTCTTTTTTCTTTTTTTTTTTTTTTTTGAGATGGAGTCTCGCTCTGTTGCCAGGCTGGAGTGCAGTGGTGCGATCGCAGCTCACTGCAACCTCCACCTCCTGGGCTCAAGCAATTCTCCTGCCTCAGCCTCCCAAGTAGCTAGGACTACATGCACGCACCAAAATGCCCAGCTAATTTTTGTGTTTTTAGTAAAGACGGGGTTTCACCATGTTGACCAGGATGGTCTCGATCTCTTGACCTCGTGATCCACCTGCCTCAGCCTTCCAAAGTGCTGGGATTACAGTCATAAACCACCACATCCGGCCCTTTCTTTTTTCTTTCTTTCTTTCTTTTCTTCTTCTTCTTTTTTTTTTTTTTAAGACAGTCTCACTCTATCTCCTAGGCAGGACTGCAGTGGTGTGATCACAGCTCAGTGCGGCCTCAAACGTCCAGGCTCAGGTGATCCTCCCACTTTAGCCTCCCAAGTAGCTGGGACTACAGGCTTGCACCACCACACCTGGCTAACTTTCTTCTGTATTTTTTGTGGAGACAGGGTTTTGCCACGTTTAAGTCTTAATTATTTTTTTAATAGAAGGGGTCTTGCCCGGGCTGACTTTGAATTCCTGGGTTCAAGAGATTCTCCTGCCTCAGCCTCCCAAAGTGTTGGGATTACAGGTATCAGCCACTGTGCCTGGTCTGTTCTTCATTTCTGAAATTACTTTTTATTTTATTTCTGTTTATTTTCTGTGTTTTGCTACTTCACTTCTGTATTTTTCCATTTTGAGTTTTATTCTTTCATGTCTTTTATCAGTCTCTTAATTTTTTAAAGATTGCTTTGAGATAAAAACTCCCTTTTTAGTGAATGTAACTTTCATTTGTTTTTCTCTGGGGCCTGGTCTTTAATAGCCTTCTAGGGCCATTTTCATGTGAAATAATTAGCTTTCCTGCACTGTGAGGAGGATGCAGAGTCAAGGCAGTCTGAACCTCATGGAGGTCCTTCTGTTTTCATGTAGTATTCAAAACCACAGTGGCTTATTCTGAAACTTCCTGACTCTGTCATCTCCCATGGTTGTCTGTCCCTTTCATGTTTAATTTGATTCTGTTCTCCGCGGTTTCTCCTGAGTGTGGGGCCCTCGCCTGCGTTTGGATTGTACAGTTTCATCTCCAGCTGCTGTTCTCAAATTGTACCATGCTTTCCGGTGCATACCTTTGGCTATGTTGGGGGGTCCCTCTCCTTACATGATCCAGGTACCCGGTTGGTTCCCTCTCTTTTCTCTTGCACAGACACTGAAACTATGCCTGGCTTGTTTTTGTTGGTAGTTTGGCTCCTCTTGTTTGAAATCATTGGCTATCTTGCACCTAGTTTTGCTGTAAGTGTCGTCCATGAGTTGTTCTAGTTGCTTTATCAGTTTTCATGTTAGGATTCAAAGGACTTAGAAACTAGGCTGTGTGGTTGCTGCAGTCTCCCCAGAATCTAGTATTTTTGCCTTTGAGCTAGGAAAAAGTGGTCATCACCCACACACTCAAAACTGAGGTTTAGCTCTTTTCTGCCAATTTTGTTTTCTGGTCTTCCCCTGAACTTTGGGTCCTGGAGTGAGTAGACCAGGCTGCGAATTTCCTGAGTCACCTACTAGTTGCATGACCTTGGGGAAATTATTTAGCTTCTCATTTGTAAGCACCCAGCCCACAGGCTGACTGAGAGGACTAAATGGATGATGCAACATGTTTAGCACAAAGCCTGGCATATAGTGAACTGTCAGTGCATGAGAACTATTAAATACCTCACACACCCACCCAGCCACCCATGCCGGGTGCACTGACAGCTCCCTCTCTGCATTTAATCCCTCCAGGAAGCCCTATTAATTCTATCTCCATTTCACTTCAACTCCACTGGCACCGTTTCAGCCGGGGCCAACGCTGTTTCTCCTCGAATTTCTGCATTCACCTCTAACTAGGCTCCTTGTCTCCTCTTTTGTCCCCTTTTAATCCATTCTACATAAGGGGCCTGAGTGATCTTTTAAAAGGAAAATCTAGCTATGTCATGCTCTTGCTTCAAATCCTCAGCAGCATCTCCTTACACCTGGGCAAGAGGTCACAGTCCTCTGTGTGGCCTCCACAGCCTGAAATGATCTGGCCTGCATGATTCTTCCGGCTCTGCACCTCCACTTCCTACCCAGGCTGGGCCCACTGAGCTCTCTTCTGCAGGGCTCTGCCCTGGGGCAGCCTCTGCTTGGGATGCTCTTTTCCAGTCCCCCCTCTGTTCTTAGGTGACTCCCCCTCATGTCTAATTTCTCAGTTGAATTTCTCACTTCATCCTAGTGGCTTTCTATGGCTTCTCCATACCTGTCCAAATTAGGTCCCCCTTGTTATTATTATTTTTTTTAGACAGAGTCTCACTCTGCTGCCCAGGCTGTGGTGCGATCTTGGCTCACTGCAACCTCTGCCTTCTGGGTTCAAGTGATTCTCCTGCCTCAGCCTCCCGAGTAGCTTGGATTACAGGTGCCTGCCACCACGCCCAGCTATTTTTTTTTGTATTTTTAATAGAGACAGGGTTTTGCCATGTTGGCCAGGCTGGTCTCGAACCCCTGACCTCAGGTGATCCACCTGCATCTGCCTCTCAAAGTGCTAGGATTACAGGCGTGAGCCACGGCACCCAGGCCTCCTTGTTATTTTCTATTATAACACTCTTTTTTCTTTACAGCACTAACCATAACTTTATATATTTATTTAATGTTGATATCCTCCCGAGACTATAAGCTCCACGTGAACATGGGCTATGTCTGTTTTGTTCTTTGGTTTAGCTCCAGAACAAGTCAGGCACCAGGCAGGTGGTAGGATCCCAATGAAAAGTCACTGAAAAAAGCATCACAACAAGGCATGGCCTGATGCACGGAGGCAGCAGATAGTGAGGGCTCTGGGAGATAAAGGACGCCACCAGGCTTAGCTGGGAAGTGACCCAGGCAGCCTCTCAGAGGCAGGTGTAGGTACCTTGCTGTATTTCTTCTGGAATAAAGGGCTCTGGATTTAGCCCCAACATCTAGGTTCTCGTCTGAAGGAACCTGGGTGTGATAAAGGAAGTCTGAGAGATGCACTGTTATTGGTATGGCACCAGAAACAAGACCCATTTCATAGATAGAAATGACGGTTTTTACAGCTGAACCAATCCAAAGCACTTCGCTGGGATTGCAACACTTGTTTGGGACAGGATGGTTGGGAAAGTTAACCCAGGGAACCAAATTTGTAGGGAAACGAGGGTAGATTGCAAGTCCACTGTTTTGAGTTTTGCATCCACATAGAAGAGAAGTCTGTAGATTCATTCAATACCCAGTCTCATTTTACTGTTATCTAAGGTGGTTTTTCTTTTTAAAAATATTTATTTTTAACTGTGGCAAAATATACATATTTACCATCATAACCATTTCTAAACGTATAGCTCCGTGGCATCAGGTGCATTCCCACTTTCATGTAACCAGCACTTCTATCCACTTCTAGTACCTTTTCACCTTCCCTAACTAAAACTCTGTACCCGTTAAATTTAACTCCCCTATTCTGCACCCCCTACCCCAGCCCTGGGTAACCACCCTTCTATTTCCTATCTCTATGATTTTGACTACTCTAAGTACTTCATATAAGTGGAATCATACCGTACTTGTCCTTTTGTGACTGGCTTATTTCACTTAGTGTAATGTCCTTGACATTCATCTGTGTTATAGCATGTAACAGGCTTTTCTTCTTTTTGTGAAATTATGCAATAAATAATATTTCATTGCCTATGTGTACCACATTTTGTTTATCCATTTATCCACTGATGGACACTTGGGTTGTTTCCGCCTCTTGGCTGTTGGGAATAACACTGCTGTGAACATGGGTGTGCACATGCCTCTTTGAGACTCTGCTTTTCATTCTTTTACATAGATACCCAGAAGTGGGATTGCTGGATCACATGGCGATTCTATTTTTAACTTTCTGAGAAATCTCCATGTTTTACATAGTGGCTACATCATTTTACAAATTCCCACCAATAGCACACAAGGGTTCCAATTTCCCACATCCTCACCAACACTTAGTATTTTCTTTTCTTTTAGTAGCCATCCTAATGGGTATAAGGTGGTAAGGAGGTTTTTACTTAATGAGCTTGAAAAGGCTGTCACCAATGTAGATTTTATTTATTTATTCTGAAATATTTTACATATTAATTTTTAGACACAGGGTCTTGCTATATTGCCCAGGCTGGAGTGCAGTGGCTATTTGCAGGGTATGATCATAGTTTACTGTAACCTCAAACTCCTGGGCTCAGGCAATCTTCCTGCCTCAGCCTCCCCAACAGCTGAAACTACAGGTGTGCACCACCACACACAGCTAACTTCAATTAGGCTTTTAAATTTTAAAACATTTTTAAAAACATTTTAAGCATAAAGAAAGAATAAGGTCTATAGAGCAAATATCTGTGCACCCACCTCCTAGCTTTGTCCCGTCACAGTATTTGGCAGATGCCATTCTGCCTTCCTTGCCCTGCTGTGTGCTGGCATTCTGAGATATCTTGCGATGGGACAGTTTTCGAGTTATCTAATCCTCCCCTACAATGTTGATCCGTTTTTCACAACCCTGAGCAAGCAGAAATCCTTATTCAGAATCACTAAATGTACCCGTGGAAAGCTGCAGTCAAAACCTGGTTTTTCTATGTTAACCCTGAGTTCCCATTTGTGAGGCCACGATGTTCTCGCCAAAGTCCTCAGGATCACACTCCCTACGGGTGCACAGGCATTTTTGTGCTGCCAAGCTGCATCAAATAGTACTTTGGGACATGTTGAAATAATGGCTTTACACCCAAAATGTGCCCCCCACAAACCTGTTCATGCTCTTCTCCCAAATCTTATAGCCCAGGTCTGCTCCAGAGCTGTTCAGGACATTCCGGTATAGAAGGCAGGCACCAGAGACTCATTCATGCTGACATCTACTGTTTACATCCATTCTTCCAGGCATGGCCTACAGCATCATTACTGCACAATGACATCTAACCTCCGGGACGGGGAGAGGCCTGAGGTATATAGTCTGATTACAGTTGAGGCTGCATCAGGTCCCCCCACCCAGAAGGCACATTTTCAACAAGCATCCAAGATGATTCTTACAGTTCCATGACCCAGGCTTTGACACACAGTCCTCTAAGTATTATGACCACAGCCTAGATCTTTTCCCCTGTACCCTTCCTGCCTTTTGGTTCTTAAAGCAACCAAGCTTTTCATAAAATTGTAACATTAAAATAAATAGAAAATATTTAAAATAAACCTATCTAGCAGTTTCCTCACAGCCACCAAGCCAAGCTTCTATTTCCTTTATGTGACTTTGCCTCTCCCCACAATTGGTCCATTTAGCACAGAAGAAACAAACCAATCAGATTTCAATGGAGCATTTTGGGCCTGATCTTTCCAGCTGTTTTTGGGGTGTATCAGAAACGTGCCTGAACTTTGCATCTGTATTGGGACCATTTAATAGGCCATTTCTACCTAAGGCCCATCTCAATTTTCAGGAAGTCATTTTACCTTCGGAAAACCTAGATCACTAACCATACGTCCTCTTTTAAAAATGGCAAATGGTGATAGAGTGTTTGCAAGCTTAATGGCACAGAACAGTGGGATACTGGTGCCTGGAAAAGGAATTTCAGCATTTCCTGACTTGTATTCTATTCAGGAAGGATGAACAGCTTGAGTGAACTCAAAGACATTTGTTTTCACCCTTTATAAAACGTGCTTGAAACCAGGCACAAAGAGACACAGCAGATTCCCACTGATGTCTCTCAGGCAGCCTGACCTTTTAACCTTATGAAATATAGGGCCTGTTTATTAGGGTCAGGTGGAAAATGGATGGATTGTTTATTGGCTTTGGAAAACAATTCAAGTAAAATGTGACCTTACTAACAAAATGTGATCGTGCCCATTGTTTTACCAGGATGCTCTGGAAAATAAGATTAATCATCACGGCCTTTGGTGATCCTCTCAGATTCTCTGTGTAAGAAAATAGTCATCTGCAACGTTAATGAGAAGATGCCAAACACCAAAACATTCAACTTAATGTCAGTGTTTCAGGCTTACTCGGGCAATCTTCTAGTTGTTACCAGCCTTTTCAGTAAGTCCACACAGTGGAGTCTATGGAGTATAAAAGCTCCACATACAGATGCCCAAATATGACTGCTAAGAAATCTACTTTTTTTATAAGCTACAACTTTAAAACATGTAGAAATAGCAAGCTGCCAAATGTGGCAGTTTGAAAGGGAATAAACAGTACATCAATAGTACAATATGTTTTTAGAGGCAAAGGGCAGCAGAAAATATTCTCTTGTATAGAGTTTCTACATAGTCCATCTCTAAGAGACCCTAAAATGGGCTTTCTGATTGCCTTTGAGTACTCTTAGGTTTCAACTGTTTTTCTTATAAACTCTTACTCTTAATTGGTTTCCATGTGACTTCATTATCACCATTATCTTAAAACTCCTGGCTCCTATTAACTCTTCTGCTTCTAAAATATAAACCATTATCTCTTTTTATTCCAGTTATACCAATTGCAGTCATTCACTAACTATGCAAGAGCAAGGCAGTAATAAAGGCCTACTATGGGGTATGAGAAATAAGTAAAATAAATATCTAGTGTTTTATCTGATCACACCCTTCCTAAAATTGTCTTCCTTAGAGAGCTGCCGGAATGTCCAGAAAACATCACATGATCATTGTTTCCTAACTTGGGTTAAAACACAATCTCAAAAGCACTTTTAAAAGATCAACATTGGAGAAGTTATTGCCAGAATAGAAGAATAAGTACCTCCCTAAACCTGTTCTTCCATAAAAGCAATGAGAAAACTGGCAAAAATGGCCAAAACAAGTTTTTCAAAATACTGCAAATTCACCAAAGGCTTGTAACAATCCAAGGAGTAAAGTGTTTAGTCAAAGACTATGACTAACCGTCAGGAAGAACGGTGATTTTGTGGCATTTCAACCTGCCCTGCTCCCATCTCCCCTCTCTCCAGCTCCATGGTAGCCTTAGACCTGTGAAAGCCTGAGAACAGCAGCCTAGCAGCCATGAGAGGGGCAGAATAAGCCTAGAGCTCCCCTAAAGCCATCCCCAGAAAACTGCCCTTATTTAACTTGCCTGGCTGTTCCCCAAAATACTCAATTCTTTTTTTGAGATGGAGTCTCCCTCTGTCACCCAAGGGCATGATCTCCACTCACTGCAGCCTCCGCCTCCCAGGTTCAAGCGATTCTCCTGCCTCAGCCTCCTTAGTACCTGGGATTACAGGTGCACACCACCACGCTTAGCTACTTTGTGTATTTTTAGTAGAAACGAGGTTTCACCATGTTGGCCAAACTGGTCTCAGACTCCTGACCATTAAGTGATCCACCTGCCTTGGCCTCCCAAAGGGTTAGGATTACAGGCATGAGCCATTGCATCCAGCCTGAAAAGCTCAATTCTTAGAGCTTGTCTTCATTTGACCTTACTCAGAGAATATTCTGTTCTAACAGCCGTATCTCAAAGGCATTTGTCAAACACTATTAATGGCAATTGTTTAACACAGCAGCGTTTTGAAGTGGTGATACCAGATGGGGCTAACAAGAGGCTGACCAAAAAGCTTAAAAGGAAATACTAGGGAATGAGATGTCCATAAGGGGTTTGTAAAGCTATGACATATTATTGAGAACCAGGAAGGCCACACCCATGTGCACGGCTGTGTGTATGCCCAAGCAAGATCTTAGAAGGATTTAGTCTCTCGCCTCTTGCTGACCTTAAGGCCCATTCCTAGCAGAGAGGTCAGGGTAAGGCAGAGATGTGAACTGTGTGCTAGAGTACTGAAGGTCTGCCCCAACACACACACAGAGCCCCTCAGCAAAGGCTGAAAAACTGACCAGTTCAATGCATGTAAGGAAGTCTCTCTCCCATCATTAGGCAACCACTAGGCTAACTAAGCAGAGACTTCGGGAGCTACAAATGACAAAAAAGGCAGACTTTATAGAATCAGACCAGAAGTCACTAAACAGGCAAACAGCATCATCAGCAACAAAAATCCGAGAGAGGAGGGAATCTGGATATTTAATATTTGAAACATCCAGTTTTCAACAGAAGATGTGAGACATGAAAAGAAACAGGAAAGTTTAGTTCCATGCACACAGGAAATAAAGCAGTCAATAGAAACTGTCCAAGGGGCCCAGATGTTGGATTTAAGTTTTTAAGTCAGCTATTATAAATATGTTCAAATCACTGGAGGAGGTCATGTCTAAAGAATTAGAAGAAAGTGAAAGGATGATGTCTTATCAAATAGGGAACATCAGTAAGTTGGGGCAGTCCAGTCAAGAAGCTGTGGTAACTCTAAGTGGGGTAGGGACAGTGGGATGGGAGAAACAGAATGGAAAGAACCATGCTCAGTAGTCTGTAGGACGTGGTGGATTGGATGGGGGAGCATGGGAAAAAAGAGGGCGAGGTCAAAGCTCAGGTGAGGACACCGTTCGGTGAGGGGACGGTCAGGAGGAGCTCATGTTTGTGGGGAAGATAGTTAACCTTAGATGGTTGTGTTTGAGGTGTTTGCGGGGCATCTAGAAGGAGATGCCAAGTAAGTGGTTAAATGTACAGGTTGGATGGACAGGGATGGGCTGGAGCTATGAAAGGGGAAGCTCCATTAACACCAAACCCTGTTCACAGCAAGCAGCATGAGTAAGACCCTGGCCACAGCAGAGCAGAGAAGTCAACACATGTGAGTTTATCATGCAAAGCAGAGGAAAGTCCATAAGGGGGATGTCCAAGTGCAGAGAACTGGGGGGAAATCTGACCAATGTCAGAAGAATTACACTTGCCAGATTTAGAAGAAAAAAAAATAAAGGAAGTCCAGTGCTATAGTCTGAAGCTTTCCCAAAATTCTTGTGTTGAAACTTAATCACCAACTTGATATGGTATTCAGGGGTGGGGCCTTTAGGAGGTGATTAGGTCCTGAAGGCAGAGCCCTCATAAACAGGATGAGAGACCTTATAAAAGGGTTTGAGGGGACAAGTCCATGCCATGTGAAAACACAGCGTTTGGCCCCTCCAGAGGACAGAGCGGCAGGACATCATCTTGGAAGTGGAGACTGGGCCCTCACCAAACACCAAACCTGCTGGTGCTCTGATCTTGGACTTCCAATCTCGAGAACCACAAGAAACACATTTCTGTTGTTTATAAGTTACCCCCTCAGTCTGTGGATTTTGTTATGGCAGCAGAAATGGGTAAAGCACCCAGTGAAATTTGAATTTCAGATAAATGACAAATACTTCCTGTAGGACAACTATATTCAAATATCGCATGGACTGCACTGATATTAAAAATTATTTGGCGTTTTGGTGATTTGTGGTTATTTCATTAAAAGGTACATTTATACTATGCAAATTCTACCACAACACTAACTGATTGCCCTAGCCCAGAGGGGTTTTGTAATATTGCATATTGTATAGAGACTCCATCAGATACAGAACCGGGAGAACTGTCTTTCAGTCTAGACTCTTCTGCCTACTAAAAGACAATAATAGACCAATCTTGTGCCCCTCTGGTCCTTAGCGTCCACAGCAGTGAAAACGGAAATATCTTTATCTCCTTTTTGTTTTTGCCACAACCGAGCTGTTGTGAGAATGTGGTCCGAGTGGTGTGTGGGGGGGTCCCATGCAAATATGGTCATAGCACTGCTCATGGGTTATGACCATACGAACAGCAAACCATGAAGCAGAGGCTGGCCGGCATGGGCATTCAAAAATCATGTGAGACACAGGGGAAATGCAAGACACCAGGAAGGCACTAGAAACTCTTCCTACGTGTGCTTCCGTTATTCCCTGTGGAACTGTTTTTAGTTAAAAGGTTGTGTCCCCTGACACACTGGTGTCCTCATCTATGAAAACTGCCAATTGAGTTGTCTTGAGATACTTTTCAAAGCCACCTGTGAACGTGTCCCATCCTCATCAGCATTTGTGCAGGTTTCTTTTGTCATAAACCCAGAGCTGTCGATGACCGCATCCCTGTCTCCAGACCCAGATCATTCCCTTCCACCTCTTTTGCCTGCTGCACAGGAACCAGTGGACCCAGGAGCCCTTGCTTGCGCTTTCCTGGAGCCAGCCTTGGGGACACTCCTCAGCCAGCACTGACGGAAGCTGGGGTCACACATTTCTGGCCTTTGGTGTTAATTGATTAAATGATGGCAGATTGGCTCTCAGAACTGGCTCAGCACCTGGCCCTGGAAACGCAGCTCTCAGTGAGAAGCAGGGCCCGAGTGCCACTGAGTTTCTACTATACACCTTCTGGAAGGCAGTGATTCTGAGCTTTGATTTTTTTATTCCATTTTGGGAAAGAGAAAATTGAGGTTAAAGAGATGTGTTTATTATGTCATTTTAAAAATGAGTGCAGTTGCCACCTGCTGGGACAGTATTGAGATTCTGCCAGTCTTTGGGCTGTGGACCCAACGATCAACACATGGTGCCCAGTGTTTCCCTAAGAGAAGTGTCAATGTCCAGGGTGATGGGCTTGGGTTCTCATGTGTCTTCATCTCAAGAGGAAGAAAGGAAACTGCGGCTCCACACTGGAGCATGGAGTGCAGGGTTCAGAACTTGAAGTCAGCTGGGTTTATGTTCTAATCCCAATTCAGATGCTTTAATAGTCATGTGACTGCGGGCCAATTCCTTACCGCTCTGAGCCTCGGTGTGCTCATCTGTAGAATGCAAACAATCCCTACCTCAAACACTGTGGGCATCCAGTGCTGCCTAGGGAGCATTAACACGCCAGTTCCCTGTCTGCCAGGACACACCTCAGCCCAAGTTTTCATATGACAGTCCACCATCGTTTAATGAGTGAGGACCACAAGTCCAGAAGTGTGTGACCCCAGGACTTTCATCTCAGCTAGGCATTTGGCTGATTCACAAATTAGAGGGTAAAAAGCAGCTGTTGAGACATTATAAAATTGTTACTAAATACAGCTGGACAAAGGCAGCTGGAGGAGATGCTGGAGGAAGGCCCAAAGCTGGAAGAGCTGGGCTGGCTGACCTCAGGGGCTGCAGCCAGTGAGCAATGGGCAAGACTACCGGTGGGACCAGGAGTGTCTGGTCACCAGCCCTCTTGGGTCCTTATCAGGCAGCTCCACCTAGGCTGTGTCCAGCAGCTCTGGGGAGGAGCAGGAGCCCCGTGGCCACCCAGAACACGGGCTTCCTGGAACACTTGCCAAGTTGTAGATCAAAGAGCTTCCCAGGGTGCCAGAGGCCTCCCCATAGCTTCTGTGACCTAGAGAAGCGTGTGTGTAGAGAGGGGATGAAAGATGCCATGGCAGGGGTATTTCAGCAATTCCATCTTCATTCCTGTAATGCCTGAGTTCGCCCCACTGTTCACTGACTTTAAACTGGAATCATTCATCGATATGCAGCTGGAAATCCAAAGATTTTCACCTGCATAGGTGCCTGAAACCTTTAGGTTCTATTAACGTTGCAGTAAAATTCAGCTATTTTTAAGTCTCTGGATGCTGTCCATAGCTAAGGGTCACAATCTACTTTCTCCCGGTGTCTTCGACTAAAAGGAAACATAAGTGTTTGATTCTTCTCTTGTGTCTAATCCTGCCCCTGGGGGAGGGAGGGCAAGGGGCTGATCAACAGTTTGCTGTGACAGAAATGCTTTGCAGAGTGTGCAGGGGGTGGGTAGCAGGCTTTGCTCAGGAACTCAGGCAAGACTGGGGAGGTCCCAGGCCCCTTGTCTTGGGGCCTCACCCCTGCCCCTCTCTTCACTCCAGACCCTGGGCTGGCAGGCTCTGGGAGTGGTGACATTGCCAGGTTTCCCTGTGATCTTTTGGGATGGGAGTATGAGGCTGGAGAGAAAGCCTTGCTGGGCACAAGTGAGGTCCAAGCCCACTGTGACTGGGGGAGGGACCCCATGAGAGCAACTGCCACTGTTTCTCCACAATTGCTGTTCTGCTTTATTAAAAAAAGAAAACGTTCCTAATACTTTGGGCCACAGGGAAACCAGATTCACTTCTTAGCCCAGATTAGAGACCGGGTCTGTTTGCCAAGCAGCAGCCTTCTCCTGGTTCCCTCCTGGGCTGCTCCTCTGACCTCGCTGCTCCACTCTGACCCTGGAGGGAGGCATCTGCTTCATTGCTGGCTTCAGCTGCTGCCACTACCCAGGGCCATGTCAACAGCTCCCACCCCTCTCCCTCCTGGAATTCCGCTCTGCACCCGCTTCTGCTGGCTGGCCCTTCCCACTCAGTGTCTACTATGAAAAGGTTTTCAAGAGAACTCGGGAGTCTGCCTTCTTTCCTTGTGCAGCCACTCTTCCTCTGAACTGTGTCTTCTGTGGCATTCCCAGCTATGGGTCCTGCCCTTGAACTCATCCTTGCTGCCTCTGCCTCCTCTATTCCACCTTCTCGCCAGTCCCCAAGGCTACAGACCCAGCCATCGAACTTGTCTTTTGAATTCATCCTTTCTTTCATATTTTTCCCATAATTCAGGTCCTTGTGGTCATGCCAGGATGACTGCCCACGTTTCCCTATGAGCAGCCCTCTCCCTGGTGTCTTCTTCGACCGCAGCTGTCACCCAAGCAGATGGGTCCTCCTAAGAGGACCCTGCGATCACAAAACTTCAGTGACTTCCCCTTGCCTGGGCTGCCAGATAAAGCACAGGACACCCAGTGAAAGCTAAATTTCAGATCCCTTTTTTTAGCAAGACTATGTACCATGCAATATGAATGATACACTTACACTAAAAGATATTTGTTGTTTATCTGAAATTCAAACGTAGCCGGGCCTGTTATATTTTTATTTGCCAAATCTGATGGTGCTATGTCTTGCCTTCATAAGGAAAGTCAAACTCACCGGGTGGCATTTATGGCTATCTGCCATTTGACCGTTTCTCCAGCTTTCTCCTGCTACTCCCACAGTGAAACTTCTCTGCTACTCACCTTGGCAACAGATGTCCTCTAACCCAGAGTTTCCTTCATCCTCTCTCCACTTGCTTCAGTCTGATTCTCCATTTAACTCCCTCTCTCCCTGGAAACCCTCTCTGGCTTCTCTGCCTTCTAAAGAACCTGTAGTGTTTGTTTACTCTGTGGCTGCGCCCTGGTTCCGGTGCTTTGCACTATTAATAGCACCCTGGGGCTAGGTAACACCAAAGAGCCAGGAAATACACTGGACCCTAAATGAAACTCTGGGTCTCGCCTGGCAGAAGCAAGAGGCTGGCATTCCCACAGAGGCTGGCTGAGTGGGCCATGCCAGCACCCAGCAAGCAGTTCCCTCTTCACTGCCCAGCACGGGAGGTAAACCCTCCCTGGAAAGGGAGTCGGGCCACATGGAAGTGAGTAAAGTCAGGTAAAGGCAAAGTCAACATGCAGAGAAGGCACGTGGTGGCAGAAGGAGCACCTTCCTCTGGATCTAGGGTCCCTCGGACGTCCTCCTTTGAGCTGATTTCTGCACCCCAGTTCCTGCAGCTGTCCCCACAGGGCAGGGCTTCCAGACGGCACTGCCCCTCTGGACGTTTCTAAGTTGGCCAATGTTGCTTATTAAAAAGCAGGCAGAAGCTGGACGCGGTGGCTCACACCTGTAATCCCAGCACTTTTGGAGGCTGAGGTGGGCGGATCACCTGAAGTAAGGAATCAGAGACTAGCCAGGCTAACATGGCGAAACCCTGTCTCTACTAAAAATACAAAAATTTGTCAGGTGTGGTGGCAGGCACCTGCCTGTAGTCCCAGCTACTTGGGAGGCTGAGGCAGGAGAATCACTTGATCCCGGGAGGCAGAGGTTGCAGTGAGCCCAGATTGCACCGCTGCACTCCAGCCTAGGTGACAGAGCAAGAATCTGTCTCAACAAAACAAGGGAAAAAGCACAGAACAGGGCCCTACATGCCACACTACACACTCCAGATCAACATCGCCACGAAGGCACCGCCTCCCCAACCCAGAATCCCAGGCGACTGCGAACACACAGGCGGCTGACTTAGGGGGGTTTATTGCCCCTAGCATCTTATGATTAGTTGGTAATTCAACATCAGTCCTCAGATATGTTTCTTATAAATTGCTGTCAAGGCAGGTTTCCTCTAATCTATACTCAAATTTATAAATATATATACATAGTTATATATATTTTTGTAGAGACCGGGTCTTGCTATGTTGCCCAGGCTGGTCTCGAACTTCTGGGCTCAAGCGATCCTGCTGCCTCTTGGCTTCTCACAGTGTTGGGATTACAGATGTGAGCCACTGCACTGCGCCACTTCATTGATTTAAAGTCAGCATTCCAAACCACTGAAGACAGGCCCTGCTAACTACTCAAATGGCCATGGTGTGCCCCCTGAACACCTGGTAAGTGAGCTCTGTGGTCCTCCACCAGAGACCCTCAGGACAGAACTGAGCAGTCAGCACAAATTCATCTCCAGCTGAAGAACTGTGTAGTGTTGCTTTTTTTTAAGAAAAACCAGAAAGCCAGGTTTCCCTGACATTTTGAAAGGAAACCCAGGTGGTGCTAAGAGGGCTGAAGTGAGTCAGGGTGCAAAAAGTGTCCTGTGTACCTCGCACGTCCAGAACACACCATGAAGAACCCAGATTTCTTCCCCGGGCATCCTGCCCATCTTAAGGGAGCATCATAAGTAGCATCTCCATCATGCGCGGGCTCAGCTCCTCCTTCCTTTCTCAAAAGAAGCAGAACTGCAAGCACAGAGACCCTTTTCCCCACCAGCGAATGCCTCCTTCGACTGCACCTGGGGCCCTTTTCCCCTCTTTCCACCCACATCTCCCCAACGCATTTAAATTGTTCAGCTGCTTTCTTCTCTCGTCTCGCTTGTTGCTAAGTTACGGAAGATAATTAGGATCAGGCTTGGGAGCTCATTACAATTCTAGTCACGGCTCTCTCTTTCTCCCCCTTTCTCTTTCTGAGAAGAAGGAGTAAAAACGCTTGTTAAACTATAATCCAGAAAACCTTCCACTTTCAGAATAGGCAACAGAAATGCTGGGCATGGTGTGGTGACTCTTGCAAACGGCACACCTAAAATCCATGCATATTGCAGAAATTCATGAGATGCTTCATTGGATTCCTGCCCTGCTGTAAGGAAAATGTCAGAAGAGCACCTGCATCTCCAGACGGGGGTTTTTTCCCCCAGTGACAAGGGAAGGAGCAGCCGGGAAATGAGCAGTTAGAGCTTTATCATTCTAAAGTAGCAAAGGGAATTGCTCTTATCTCCATGTGGCTGAGCGCAGTGTGTTTCAAACCAGCAAGTGCAGTCTTTCTGTCTGAAAAGTGACTCCCCTTGATTTGCCAAGCAATCCTCTCAGGGCAAATCAGAAGAAAGTAACCTTTTAATCCACTCTGATTAATGTTACAAAACCAGCTCTCCCAACACCTGTAATATTATTCTCTGAGCAAATGATGGAGGAGAACAGGCTTGGAAACTTAGGGAAACCCAACAAACCTCCAACCACCTTCAACTCCACAGAGAGCTAGCCATTCTCCCCGCAAGCTCCGCCTGGACTTCAACTCAAGTTCCTGGTTAATGTGGTCTGATCTGCAGCACCTGTGGCCAAGGTCAGGCCTGCCCTCCTTGACTCTGCTGACTTGTTTGTGACTTGCAGAGCCCAGTTTCCTTACCTGCCCATGGGGTAGAGTTGAAATGGACTCCTGTGGGCGGGGCAGGGTTTGGTGTCTGTGCCCTTTGTCAGGTGGCAAGAGCTGGTGTCACTCACGGCCTGCAAGAGGACTGCATTTGCAAAAAGGTGCCTTTCTATTCTATTGCCCTAGGGGGTCTCCACTGGCTGATAGAGAACTTACTCGGCTCCCAAGTTACTGGTTGATGCTGTTCTGATCAGCTGGTGAGCACCTCAAGGCTGGAATGAATGCCTGTCCACCTTTGCATCCAGAAAAGTTTTTATTAAGCAAATGAATTTTCACCCTCAACTGTAGGCTATCATTTCTAGTCCAGCATAGAAGGCTTGGGCTATTCCAACCATTAAACATTTAGATTTATAGTCAGAAGCACTTGGCAAAATTACACAAAAAATACTACTCTTATAAAATTACAAAGTAAAGAAGACAGCCCTTCCATACTGAGACGATTTAGAAGTTTTTCTTATTGTATGTAAGTGGGAATAATGCAAAGATCTTATTTTTTTTTTTTTTTTTTTTTTTTTTTTGAGACGGAGTCTCGCTCTGTCGCCCAGGCCGGACTGCGGACTGCAGTGGCGCAATCTCGGCTCACTGCAAGCTCCGCTTCCCGGGTTCACGCCATTCTCCTGCCTCAGCCTCCCGAGTAGCTGGGACTACAGGCGCCCGCCACCGCGCCCGGCTAATTTTTTGTATTTTTAGTAGAGACGGGGTTTCACCTTGTTAGCCAGGATGGTCTCGATCTCCTGACCTCATGATCCACCCGCCTCGGCCTCCCAAAGTGCTGGGATTACAGGCGTGAGCCACCGCGCCCGGCCAAAGATCTTATTTTTATTTTGGCTGTAGTTGAGTATAGAAAAGGCCACAGCTTCCTGTGTATCCCACTGTGGTGGACAAAACTCTCCAAAGAGCAACTCAATCATCTCAAGGTGAATTCTCCATCAGTGTTACCCTCCCCGCCACAGACATCACAGCTAGTTATGCTGTTTTAATAAAGCTAACCTGGTGCATTTGTTAATATATGCCTTTCAAATCACTCCGAGCTCAGCACCAGTGACTGACATCAGGTCAAGCCTGCCCCTGCCACAGAACACTTACGTGCTTATGAGAGAGTAGCTCACTCTTTCTGAACCTCAGCGTCCTCCCCTGTTGAAGAGATATTGCTATCCTTGCAAAGATGTATTTTGGATCCTGCATGTCAAGCAACTAGCAACTAGCATAGAGGTTGGCACACAGTAGATTGCAGTAAGTGGCAGCGGACATCATCCTTGCTATGATTCCAGGTTCCATCCTGATAAAATGAAGTATAAGTCTGCTGGCATGAGTGCAAATGGTGCAGCCATTCGAGACCAATACAGCAGCACTCAGTGAAATAAATAGATATGCATATGACCTATGGCTCATCAATCCCACTCCTGGGAATAGACTCCCAGAGAGCACCAGCACCAGGGAACAGGGCCCAGGTAACTTATTCCAGCATTGTCTGTGGGCGTGGAAAGTGAAAGGCAACCTGGGGTTTAACCCAGGGGGACAGAAGAGAAAAATGGTGAAAAATGGCTGTGAAGCCGACAGGGGAATGAGCTCCAGGACTGCCAGCAACATCCAGTGGTCTTTAAAACATAGTGTGCAATTTTTAATTTTTTTTAAATTTATGCTTACTTTTTATTTATTTATTTTTTAAGAGACAGAGAGTCTTGTGCTGTCACCCAGGCTGCAGTGCAGTTGTGCAATCATAGCTCACTACAGCCTTGAACTCCTGCGCTCAAGCAATCCTTCTGCCTTGACCTCCCAAAGTGCTGCGATTACATGCATGAGTCATCACACTGGGCCAGCTTTTTTTTTTAGTAAGAAATAGAATGAGACCTACAGCCTCATACTATTGATGTGAGTTTATGATACTTACAGACATGCTACAACACTATATTTCACAGATGCATACATATCCAAGGACATAAGTGCTTAGGCTGGGAGGAGAAGAGTGAATGACAGTGGGGAGTATAAAGAAGTGGGAAAAAAAGATAATAAAATAAAATAAAATAAGAGAAGGGCCTCATATAGATTACCGGTGAACTTTGTATGATTAACTCAACTCTTCACTTTTTGTCCCCTCCAAAAACCAAAAAAGTGGTGGTCTCTCATGCATGACTTGGACAGATCTACCTGAAAGGAGTCAAATTATTGCATCAATTAGGCCAACAGCAAGGACAAAATGGAGGTCTTTGACAGTAACACTATGTGTTCACTCATCTTTACATCCACAGCACCAAGCATATAATAGACAGGAAATAAATGCTTAGATGAATGAATAGAACAAAACTTGTTGATATTCATGCAGGTATTTTCCTCCTTTCCTTACCAGAGGATGACAGAACCCTCGGAATGACAAAAGGGAGCATTGGGAACTTATTAGGAGGTACGTGTGTTTCCAGGAGGTGAGGGGACAGAAGACAGGTGCACTGGAAGTGGTTTCCCAAATGTCAAGAGAGTTGCCTAACTCTTTGGAGGAAGATAAGACTCCAAGAAACAAAATGATTAAAGAACAGCCCACGAGGCATACAGTAATGCACAACATTAACATGTGCGATGGACGTTCCACATGCCATAGGGCACAGAAGATGAGTCTGTGCCCTACACTGTTACCTACAGGCTGAGGTGTACAATATGTCATACAGTGTCACTGATACTCTGTGACATCAAGGCCACCGATGAAATCTCAGATCTACCTGTAAATTTAAGGGGAAGTTACCTTCTTAGGTGGTGTGCGGCCTGTCCACACTAATGGGTCCCAGAGTCCAGCCTGACTGGCTTGACTTCCCACCTGCTGTGTGTGCGCAGTGATCCCCATCCTCCCTTCCCACCAATTCTGTATTTATGTGGCAAGATTGTAGCTTTTGAGTGTTTTATTCATTTTGAGTGATGATGCATGTGATGGTGTCAAGGTGACTTGGGCCCAAGCCGCCAAAGCTTTTGTTCTCATTTCTAGTAAGTCGTTGGTTCCTGCTTATTCTCTTCACAGCCCATTCATTCCATAGCAGGGAATGTTCCCACTTGCTGTGATGTCCTGAGCCATTTGTTTACAGCAGTAAACCTTACTGGGGTGTGTTTCAGGAATTTGATTCTAGGCGCTGCTGTTTTGACATACGGTCATGTGAAGGAGAAGAATCCTTTTATGGCAAAGAAGAACACTGGGGTTAAAAGGCTTTGAGATTTAGATTTGCCTGTTTTAGATAAAAGACCCAAGAAGTAATTTCTTCATAATTCACAGTTCACTTTCTCACTTCTCCAGCTGGGTGATGTTGAATATTTTAATATAAAATTCCTTCTAATTTTGGTTTCATTTCCATTTTGAGGCACTGGAGTTTAAAACTACAAATCAATTCCTAAGCAAGAAATGCTGTTAGACCTTAACTTGAAAGTCAGCATCTTCAGATATGCTGGTTGGGACACGGGTTGACTTTGTGACTTACTGTAGACAGTGTATGAGTATCCCCATCCTCACGGGAGAGTCAAGTAAGGCCCAAAAGGTGAGAGGCGAAATGGGGAGATGTAATCAGAAAGTACAAAATTGCAATTCTATAAGATGAGTCCAGAGACCTAATGTAGGCAGGAGGCTGTAACTAATGATATATAATTGCACACTAGCACTGTGCCAAGGGAGATTTTAGATAAAAAAGAAGAAAGAAAGAAAATAAAGTAGAGCCCAGGAAAGAACTGGACCCCATACTTGGCAGGAAAAGTCTCTCCCTCAAGCCGTCAGGACCCCCCTGTATTACTAGCATTTGCCCATCCTGCCTAGTCTCAGGTCGGGATCATCAGCTGAAACTTCTAGACAAGACTCTGAAAGCAATCTGCAACCAGGTAGCAGGGAAAGTTCAGCCAGAGTCTTTCAAATGGAAAAGCCCAGACCGGGAGTCCTCTGCTCTGCTCCATCTCTGACTTCTCTGCAATCCATTCTGCAGCAAGAAACCAGGGTGATCTTTTCAGAGTAGCGTGGATCATGTCACCCCCTCAGCTCTGTTTCACCTCATTCAACAGTTTCCCAGTGTTCTTGGTTTACCAATAAAACTGCACCGTAGCGGACAAGGCCCTGGATGGCTGGATCCTGTTTACATCTCCAGTTCTACTTCACACCCAAAGTCTCTCCTGCAGCCATGTGGGCCATCTACATCCCGTGTTCCCACATGCCTCAGGGCCTAGGCACCCGCTGCCCTCCCCCGAACTGCTCCCCCTCTTCCCTTCTGCCACTGCCTCCTACTCATCCTCCGTTATCAGATCAGTACCACCTCCTCCAAGAAGCCCTCTCCAATTTTCTGGTTAGGCCAAATCCGGTGAACTGTGCCCTACATCTTCCTTTAGAACAATTCCCAGTTGGAATTTCATATATTGGGTGATGATACAGTTGTCTGTTTTTCCACTGAATGGTAATTACCAAGAAGCTGTGCCCATCTCCCAAACTGTTGGGTCCACAGTACCCAGCATGGTAAATGAGGATACAGGATGTCTATTTAGTCATTGACTGAATGGGGGGATGAATGAATAAATGAATGAGCAAGCCAGGGCTGAACCCCATCACACAACTGGGATAACAGCCTTGGCATGGAATGGGAAGGTGAATGTACACTGATGGGCTATTGACAGCAGAGTTATGCACTTAAGAGTATGACTTTATGGACTAGGGCGACAACTGCTTCCTAAACACACCTACTGGGAAATGGAGATCTAGACTGAGAGTAACAACAAATAACAACTGCCCAGGCCTGCTGCTGTCAGCACCATGCTGGGACCCTCACTCACATTATTTCTAGAGGTTAAGTGAGCATACTTAAAGTCACATTATGTCAGAAACTTGGCTCCACTAGTCACTAAAAGTATGTCTTAATTAGTGAAGTGCCCCAGGCCTGTTTTCTCATTTGTAAATGAGACAGTAACAGCATATACTTCAGACTGTTACTGTGAGTCTTCAATGAGCTACCATCTGTAAAGCCCTTACCATGGTATTTGGCAAACACCAAAAATATCAAAACTACTATCATGCCCATTTCAAACACAGGAAAACTAGTAAATGGTTGGGTCAGAACTCAAACAGAGGCGTGTCTGGCTCCAAAGTTTTGCCTCTCTTGATCCTGCTTGGTATGAGGGTGGGCAGCACCAAGTCTCTTGGCTGAAGGTCTTTGGTATTTGCAGGTGAGCTAGGCTGGCACTGCTGTGGGGGCGAGCAGGTGGCAGGCAGGCAGCTGTGCAGAGCTCTGACACACGTGCAGGAGGAGAGCAGGCATCAAGTGGTGGGACTGGGAAACTCCATGAAAACTCATGGACGCTGGGACCGGTTTGCAAAGTTAGTGTGGGGTGAGCAAGAAGCTGACAATCGCAGGCCAAGCCTTGAAGGTCCTCAGATCAAGGCTGAGATCAAGCCTGGGGTGGGACAGGGCCTGCAAGAGAGAAGGATGTGGGACCAACCAAGGGAACAAAGAGTTGTGGGCCCCAGAGCAGACCAGTTCTCACAACAGCAGTGGGACCACCTCCCGAGGTTTCAAGCCATGGGGTTGGACAGCAAGAGGAGGAATGTAACCTGCACCTAATATTGGAGATGGGCATGCATTTTCCTGTAGAAGTATGGATTATACACGGTCCTGGGGCCTACAGCATAGTGTGTGCCGCTCTATAATACACTGTGACCTGAATCTTCCAATATGAATCCAAATTCCATATTCTGTTTTGTCTTTTTTTTTTAAATTTTATTTTAGATCCAGCAGATCCCTGTGCATGTTTGTTACGGGGTATCTTGTGTACTGGTGGGGACTGGGCTTCCAGTGTCCATTCTCCAAATGGTGATTGTACCTGATAGGAAATTTTTCTTCCCTCACCCACTCCCTTCTTCCCCCATTTTGGATTCCTGAGCATCTATTATTTCCATCTTTATGTCCGTGTGTACTATATCTGTTCTTTCGTTCCAGTATGATCACATGTACTTGTCAACTCATGGATCCCAATTTTGGGTTCAGAGAACATGGCTCCTGTAACTATAGTTAACCTCTACTGTGAATTAAACCAGCTCTTGTGGACTGGGCTCTTTTTTTTTTTTTTTTTTTTTTTTGACATGGAGTCTCGCTCTGTCGCCAGGACTGGGGCTATTTCTCGTAGGAAAATTTGTTCCATGTTCCAGATAACTTATGGAATGGAACCCTAAGGCATGGCCTGCATGGTAGAAACAGCTATTTGCTATTAAGTTCAACTGTGATGTGTGGTGCCCTTCCCAGACATTCTTTTATTTTCTTCTAAGCCACCAGAGATCGTATTTTAACAAAAATAATAATAATGAAAACTGGCTCGTTAAGAAACCCAGGGTCCCCTCAACAACATATGAATCAAAGGGAAGGACTTTGCCGTATCCCCCTGGAAAGCCTGTCTTAGGAATAAGGCGAGGTTGAAGAGCCGATCTGCTGCAATGACTGTGTCAGCCCATCTGGCCGTGAATCCAAGAGGACTAGGGGACTCCTGTCCACCCTGCATGTAAGAGGACCTTGCTGGAACACGCCCCCTGGGACTGCCTTCTGCTTGACTTCCACCTGCTTTTCTGGGGGTAACTTCCTTTTACATAAGAGTGACTCTCTTTTGTCTCTAGGTGTTTTCTCTTCTTGTGAGCGGATCCTTCCTTCCTTCCCTGTCCTTGCACCTCCCTGTGTCCCCATTGTCTTCGTTTCTGCATTTTGCATCCCCCACAGCACCACCCCAGACCCCGGGTCACCAGAGCCACAAGACCCTCAGTGGCCTGGTTTCCTGTCCCGGGGTCTGCTGCTTCGTTCATATTCACTCTTCTCAGTTAACGAGGAGCTTTGTTTCACTTTTGGCACAAATAATATCAAAACAACAATTGAGAAGCAAAACATCAAAAACAAATCCAGGCACTTGGCCATCCTTTGGGACAGCTGTTTTCATTGTCTGTTCCCCTCGTCCTTGCCCAGTTGCAGATGTGCTTTCCCATTGATTTATTTCATCATCCCTTAGTCTGTCACTCAGGGACGGAGAGTCTGCCAGGCACGGGGCTATAACCTGGCACACAAAGATAAACCACTCATTTCCCAGGAGTTCAGGCTGCATAGTTAATAATCAACTTTTAAGAACTGCACCTGTGGCAGTTCTTAAATGATAAAAGCATGTACACTGCTGTTTCTGTTGTTTTCCTCAAGAATTTCTAAGAACTTCTCAGTCAAGAATGCACATCAGTGGTGCTTATTACCTTAATGAATTTCAAAGTCCTCTTTTCTCTGTTTTACAAGTGGGGAAACGTGTTTCCGTGTGAGAGGAAAACAAAATGGTCAGCTTAGTTTGGGCAGCACATTCTTAAGATATCAATGGAAACAGAAGGTGTTTCCACCGCATGATTTGCTAGATTTAGTTTTTTCCCCCATTCTAGACTATTTTTGGTCCTAATTCTTCTGCAGAAATTATTTCTTCTATAGAAATCTCTCTTCTCCCAGGAGAGAGACATCAATAAAGGGAGACAGCGTGGCGGCAAATGCTTTCAGGCCCAGCTCTCCTTTCCACCCACAGGCTGCTGCAAGACCAGCGGCAGAAAGAACAGTGCTTCCCGTCCACTTTTTTTGCACTCCAGAATTGGAGGTCAAGGTGAAAAACTGTCACTCATTTTACCTCCAGCTGAAATTACAGACAACAGTCATGTTTCTTTGAACTAAATACTTAACTTTTAAAAAGCGGGATAAGCAACGTTGTCATAACTTTTCCAGTTCTGTGAAGTAGAAACAGTGCCAGCATTATGACTAATCTCATCAGCAAACCCAGCTAGCTGGTATCAAAATGTCATGGGGTCATTTGAAAAAAATAGGACATTTTAGCAATTCTAATTAAGTCTTGAGTTTATTTAAACCCTTGGCTTAATGAAAAGATTTTTCCCCTTTATTAACATTTGTTTTATTTTTACTTTTATTATTACAAGACTTTCTGTTGCCCAGGCTTATTCATTATTTCAGCCAACAAATATTTACTGAGTGACTACTATTTGCCAAACCGAGATCCAGGCTCTGGAGATATAATTATGTAAAATAAGCATGAGGTCTGTGCTTTCATAGAACTGATATTTTAGTGGGAGATTAACTATGAAGAAAAACTAAATTAATACTAAAATGTTAGAGAGTAATAGTAGCTACATACAGATTTAAAATAGTGCTGTGATGAAGAGTAACTGGGTGGTCAAGAAAGGCCTCTAGCAGAGCAGGACTGGGGCACAGGACCTGGGTCTACCATGTTCAGTTAAGTATGGCCTAAAGGTGCCTCCTCACATATTCTAACCTTGGCCTAAGGGTTTTTCCATACAGAGGAAAACATAACCAAACTGCAGGTGTAAACAGACTGTAACTTACTTTGCATCAATCACAGAGTTTCGCCAATCACAGGCAGCCAACTGTTCAAATAAGGCAAATGCCAAACTGCACCCAGCCTAGCTGTGTCTGTGCCTTACTTCCCTTTCCTGTATGTCTCCTTCCTTTTTCTGTCTAGAAATCCTCTCTGACCACGTGGCAGCATGGAGTTGCTCCAAACCTATTCTGGCTGGCTAACAGGAGGTTGTGCTGCCCAATTCAAGAATCTTCCTCTGCTCAATTAAACTCTGCTAAATCCAATTGTCTGAAGTTTTTCTTTCAATGGCCACCAGGATTCAGTTATTTGAGCAAGTTCCCTAATTCCTACAAGGGTTTTTTTTTTAATCACTTTACTCCTCATTGGTAAAATTTAGATAATAATAACTCCTAACTCACAGGATTGGTGCAAGATTTAAGGAGTTAATGTGTGTTAGAGCAGTGCCTGATACATAGTAAGTGCTGCATAAGGGACAGTCATCATGAGTACAATTAAATGTGCTAAGCATATACACCCAGGTTCATAGCCATACTATTCACAATAGCCAAAAGGTGGAAGCAACCCAAGTGTCCATCAATGGATGAATGGTAAAAAAAAAATGTGGTCTATTCATACAACAGAATATTATTCAGCCTTAAAAAAGGAAGGAAATCCTAGCACATGCTACCACGTGGATGAATCTTGAGTTAAATAAACCTGTTACAAAAGGACAAATACTGTGTGATTCCACTTATATGAGGTACCTAGAGTAGGCAAATTCATAGAGACAGGAAGTAGAAGGATGGTTGCCAGGGGCTGGGGAGAAACGGGCATAGACAATAGTGGTTTAATGAAGACAGTTTCAGATCTTCAAGATGTCCTGAAGATTGGATGTACAAATGTGAATGCACTTAACATTACTAAACTGTATGCTTAAAAATAATTAAGATCGAAAATGTATGTGCATCTTACCACAAATTTTTAAGAAGTGCTAAGTGTAAATTACAATGTGAAATAAGAATCAGGGTAGAGACAGGGAGTAGCAGCTGTACAGCAGCAAAGTTTATTGTGGTGTGCAAGGCTGCACATCTCCAAGAATTTCCATTTATGTCTTGGTCTACGTAACTGGCACACCAGAGGTGCTCAGTTCACAGCCTTCCTGAATATTCATGGTGTTTCAGACTATTTCTCCCTCCCACATCTCCCTGAGGTGTTAGTCAAGGTTCTTGTTGCAAGCAACAGAAACTAGCAGGAGAGAAGTTTATTTAAAAGATATTAGATGGCTTGAGAACTAGGCTCAAGGCCAAACTTCCAGGAAAGACCCAAAATCATGCTGCAGTAAAGGCCTGATGAGAAAACCATGCCATTGACCTCACTAAGTCCTAAAAGCTTTAAGGACTGGCCTAAAGTCCACTTACTCAAATGTGGCAGTAGCTGCTATGGCCACCGGCACCAATGTCACCTGTGTGTGAGGACAGACTGCCACTCCCAAGAACTGCATGCCTCAGCTGCCACTGTCACAGGCAAAAATGAATTCCATGTGGAACTTCCTCCTTCAAATTTCTAACATATGACAGATAGGTATAGACAGATATTTATATTGTATCAAATAGAAAACAAGTAACAAAATTACATGCAGGTGAGTCTGACTGATGGCGCATAAGCCACTTGCCTGGGCCCTAGTTGATGAAGAGGCTGGCATGGTGAGTTTTCTCAGTTCTATCTTGGGGTAGTGGGATTCACAAACCTAGAAATTTTTTTTAAATTGCAAGGTGAACAGTACAGAGCAGCTGAAACCTTGACAAATGTCCACTACAGTCCCCCACTTGGCCTTCCAACACCAACATACAATCTTCTACACTTCAACCTAATGATCATGACGTTATCCAGAAAATGGTCAAATAACTCACCATTGCCTTGGATTAAAAAAACTGGACATTATCAAAATATCGGTGATCCCTATGAAAATCTATAAATTCATAGAGACAAGATCTACGGGATCAATGTTGGACAGGTTCAGCTTAAAATGCTAAAGGAACCCCACATATAGAGTTTGCGAGTTTACCTGGTTTTCACATATGGGCTGGAGTCATCTGTGCATTAGGTTTAGTTTTGGATGAGATGACCAAGGATTCAACTTAGACTACACTTAAGGGGATGTAAAAAAAAAAAAAAAAAAGGAGCCAACAGTAGACACTGAGGAGGAGCCATTGCAACTCAGAGGAACCAGGAAAAAGCGATGCCGAGGGAGGAGAGGCTCCAAGGGCATCGTAGGTGCACAGAAGTGATGAGATTGAAGAGGAAAATCATCTCTGGTTTGGCAAGCAGGTCACTGGTGATGGCCCAGAAGGCAGATTCAATGAAATCCAGAAGGCAGATTCAATGAAATCATGGGAATGGAAGCCAGGATTCTGGGGACTGAGCTGTGTGTGAGCAGGAGGGGCTGGAGAGGCAGTGAGTCTAAACAACCGTGTCAGGAGGCTCATCTCTAAAGTGAAGTAGGTGCATCAGAAGCCCTGATAGAACAGGATGGCCCATGTCCAGCCCTGCCACGAGCACATACTGTGAAGATCCACCTGCCTCAGGCTCAATGCGAACATTAATCATCTATATTCCCAGTTCATACAAATGCTTGATTTCCCATTTATCTTTCTGCAAAGTCCATTGAGTTTATCCAGGTAGAAAGATTTTAAAGACAGTTTCTCTTCTGCTGTACGGTACTTAAAGAGAGACAACAGTTTTGGCAATGACTTGAGGGCTTTTAAAAATTAATTTTCAGCATTGATTCTACATTGTTTGTTCTGTATGTCTAGGGTTAGTTACAAGCCATTTTACATTCTAAGAACACATTTAGCCTTTGAGAGAGAACAGCTTTTCTCTCATGTACTTGTGTGTTCAATTTTGTACTTTCTCCAATTCACTCTTCCTTAATATTCTTGATTGGACATGTGCACTTCTTTTATCTTCTACAAAAATGAGAAGACGGCATATGGATTGAATTATTAATACAGCAAGCACATGTTACATCTTTATGCCAACACCACCACCAATACCTTGCCATAACCAGCCACAAATTCTTAAGAGCTCTAGCTGTTAGAGCACTCGAGTCAGCTGTTTTAAAGTGCACACGGGGAGAATCATCTTGCTCAAAAATTCCTTAAAGTCTTACAAAGTTAAAACTTTGCTTAACATAAAAACAGAGCTTCCAGGCATCCAGAAAAACAGCAAAGTGAGTGACAATGCCAAGAGCCTCCTCCTCACTAAATGCCCTTACTTAGAATACAATGAAAAATGTTTATCAACAACAATGCCAGCAAGGAACATTAAATCTGATGTGATTCAATGCAGGGTGTGCCTGTTTGTATGTACGGTCAGACACCAAAGGAACAAGCTCCATACTACAGAGGGCTGAGTCAGACCAGAGGTCACATCTCTGCGTGCTGGTTTTCCCTAGTTCCACCAGACAGAAGCGATTGAGGATACAGGGTGAGGTACTTTATTTCTAAGCCTTGGCCTTCTCATCTGTAAATTACAATCAGACCCACTTCACAGAGTTGTTATGAGAGTTAAAGACAACAATGCAGATAAAGGTTCACTCTAATGCCTTGCACCAATAATGGTGGTGGTGGTGATGTTATTATTCCACTTAAACACAGTTTCCTGAAGTTCAGCATAGCAGGCTAAGCTCCAACTAGCTTCTGGATCACTTCAGACAATGTCTGGCTTCCCACCCTTTGGTCTTGCTGCCCTCCATTCCAATGTGTCTACTATGAGTCCTAGGGCTCAGGTGACTCCACTGAGATGCAGCTGTCTCCTCTACAAAGGAATCATATCTCATCATTCAAGCAGTTTATGACTGGGCTTAAGCACTAGTTTTCTACGCATCCCTAGTTCCTCTGGTCATACTAAAGTCCTCCCTGAACCATGAGTGCATTCATCATGGTTCTCCAGGGAAACAAAACCAACAGAATATATACACAGATATAGACATTAACACAGACGTAGACATATACATAAAGGGAAGGACCTGACGCCTACAATTGTGGAGGTCAGCACGTCCTAAGATCTGCAGCACGAGTTGGCAGCCTGGAAACCTGGGAGAGCTGAGGACATAGTTCCAGTCTGAAGGCCGGCAGTTCTGAGATCCAGGAAGAGCTGCTATTTTGGTTTGAGTCGGAAGGCAGAAAAAAACCAGACGTGCCAGTTTGAAGACAGTCAGGGAGGGGGAATTCTTCATTACTTGGGGGAGGGTCAGCCTTCCGTTCTATTGAGGCCTTTAACTGATTGGAAGAGACCCACCCAAATTAGGGAGGAAAGTTGACTTCACTCAGTCTACTGATTTAAATGTTAATCTCATCCAAAATCATTCTGACAGAAACACACAGAATAATGTTCAACCAAATATCAGCACCCTGTGGCCCAGTCAAGTTGACACATAAATTTAATCATCACAATAAACACATAGTCCCAAAGTAAGGCCGAAGCTAATCAATCAGTAAAGTTCTATTGGCTCAGAGTAGACACAACCCAAACCACGACCAAAACACACCAGAGACGCCAAGTACATGGACTTCTGGAAAGAGATATCTCCTCTCTCTCTTCCTTTCAATTGGGGGGCCATCCCTACCCTGAGGGAAGTGAGCATATGGTAGGGGGGCGGCAGAGGAGGCAAGGAGAATCCCAGAGAAATGCTGCAGCCCTGGTCAGCCACGCATCAGGGCTAATTTCCTCGGACATTTCTGTTGCCCAAGCAGACCCATCATGTTTACCGTGCAAACCAATTTGGATGGGTTTTCTGTCACCTGCAAGATGAAGTCTAACTGCTCTACTCTGACACTGGAACCGTTTTAGTCCACAATCTGCCCCTGCTCCTGAACTCTGTACTCCAAGCAAGCAGTCAGTATGTGAAACACCGTCCAAGCTAAACTATGTTCTTGGAGCTGAGAAGATGTTCCTCAAATGTCCATGCTGCCTAGCCTTACCTCTATCCAATGAGTTACTTGCCAGAGACCCCTCTACCGCACTCCCACATCTCAGATAGGAATGCCCTCCCAGAGTGAACTCACATTGGGGACCTTCCTTTGGCCTCTGAGATTTGCAGTGTTGGTCACCTTTTGGGGTCAAGCCCTCAATCCTGCCATTTCCCAACTTTCTCACTGTCACAACGGTCAGTGCCATTTGGTCTTAGATTATGTACAAATGATAGAATTATTGAACTGGTAATATTACATGAATAACAGAATAAATGATCAAACAAAGAACAGTTGTTGGCAGGATAAATGCTGTACGTGTTCAAACAAAAATAATGCATGTTAGGCATGCACCCCTGGAATGTAAAATTAAGAAAAATAAAAACAAAGTTAAGTCCTGGCCAGGGCAATCGGGCAAGATAAATAAATAAAGGGCATCCACATAGGGAGAGAGGATGGCAAATTATCGCTGTTTGTAGACACATGATCCTATATCTAGGAAACCCAATCTCAGACCAAAAGCTTCTTAACCTGATAAACAACTTCAACAATGTCTCAGGATGCAAAATCAATGTGCAGAAATCACTAGCATTTTTACATACCAAAACAGTGAAGCCAAGAGCCAAATTACGAATGAATTCCCATTCACAATTGGCAAAAAGAGAACAAAATACCTAGAAATACAGCTAACCAGGGAGGTGAAAGATCTTTACAAGGAGAACTACAAACCACTACTCAAATAAATCAGAGATGACACAAACAAATGAAAAACATTCCATGCTCATGGATGGGAAGAATCAACATTGTAAAAATGGCCATACTGCTCAAAGCAATTTATAGATTTAATGCTATTCCTATTGAACTACCATTGAGATTTTTCATGGAACTAGAAAAAAATATTTTAAAATTCATATGAAATCAAAAAAGAGCCCAAACAGCCAAGGCAATCCTAAGCAAAAAGAAGAAAAGTGGAGGTATACGCTACCTGACTATACTACGCAAGAATATACTACAGGGCTACAGTAACCAAAACAGCTTCTGCACAGAAAAATAAACTATCAACAGAGTGAACAAACAACCTACGGAATGGGAGAAAATATTCACAAATATGCATCCAACAAAGGTCTAATATCCAGCATCTATAAGGAACTTAAACACATTTACAAGAAAAAACTTCATTAAAAAGTGGGAAAAGGACATGAACAGACACTGTTCAAAAGAAGACATACATGCGGCCAACAAACATATGAAAAAGAGCTCAATACCACTGATCATTAGAGAAATGCAAGTCAAAACCACCATGAGATACCATCTCATGCCAGTCAGAATGGCTATTACTAAGGCTCTCACTGCATAAGAATGCAAGTCAAAATAGTCCAAAAATAACAGATGCTGGTGGAAATAACAGGTTGTGGAGAAAAAGGGATGCTTATACACTGTCAGTGAAAGCGTAAATTAGTTCAACCACTGTGTAAGACAGTGTGGTGATTCTTCAAAGACCTAATGACAGAAATATCATTTGACAAAGCAATTTCATTACTGGGCACATACCCAAAGGAATATAAATTGTTCTATTATAAAGACACAAGCACGTGTATGTTCAGCACAGCACTAATTAACAATAGCAAAGACATGGAATCAACCTAGACAGATTGGATAAAAAAAGTATGGTACATATATACCATGGAATACTATGCAACCACAAAAAAGAACAAGATCATGTCTTCTGTAGGGAGGTCATTATCCTTAGCAAACTAGCAGGAACAGAAAACCAAATACCACATGTTCTCACTTATAAGGGGGAGCTAAATCAGGAGAACTCATGGACACATAGAGGAGAACAAAACACCCTGGGGCCTATTGGAGAGTGGAGGGTGAGAGGCAAAGAGGATCAGGCAAAGTAACTAATGGCCACTTGGCTTAATGCTTGGGTGATGAAATAATCTGTACAACAAACCCCCATGATACAAGTTTACCTATCTAATGAACATACACATGTACCCCTGAACTTAAAATAAAAGATAAAAAACAATTTTAATTAAAAACAAAACAACTATAATCCTAGCACTTTGGGAGGCCAAGGCATGCAGATCACCTGAGGTCAGGAGTTCGAGACCAACCTTGCCAACATGGTGAAACCCCATGTCTACTAAAAATACAAAAATAGCCAGATGTGATGGCAGGCACCTGTAGTCCCAGCTATTTGGGAGGCTGAGGCAGGAGAATCACTTGATCCTGGGAGGCAGAGGTTGCAGTGACCCGAGATCATGTCACTGCACTCCAGCCTAGGCGACAGAGTGAGACTCCATCTCAAAAACAAAACAAAACAAAAAGAAATCATGCATATTAGGTCAAATCAGCAGCTTTTTCTACCCCAAGATTCTGTTCCTGAGGTGACACAGCATAGAGCCTTCCACGCTGTTAACTTCAAAAGAAATATTAGTTTCAATTTTCCATCTCAATGGATTTTAAATTTGATATTTATTACAGCTCTATCACTGTGAATTTACTTATATAACTTTCTTGAATCTACTTGTATTTTTGATGTATACAAAAACGTGGGCTTGGTATTTGATGGAAAAGTAGTTCTTTATGTCTTGCTTTTTATGAAGACACCCAGTTTTGATGCTCTTAAGTTTAATGACTAAATCCCTATTTGACCTAATTATGATCCTTGACTTACAAAGGGTACATACATATAGCTCAGGAAGCATAGAACAAGAGGCAGGGACATGGGATTAGTAGGATTTCCAGCTATTTGCTATCTGGATTCTGGTGTTTATTCATGGAAGTCATAACTGAGTGGAGTTCCAATCAGGGATGGGGAAAGTGTGAAGACTGAGACTGAAGTGTAAAGATTGGGCAGGCAGCAGTGCCTGGGCTGAGAAGTCTATGCAGCTTGGTGGGGTGTGGGGCAGCATGGAGCTAGAGGGTGCTGGATCCTAGCCAAGAGGGAACAGAAAGAAATGCAACCAACTTCATCTGCTTCCAGTTTAGCTCTGAACTGGGTATACTGAGGATGGCACAAGAGAAAGGCACTGGGCTCTAAAACTGTGAGGTTAACAGAAGCTGCTTTAGCTATTATCTTGCAAATGGCAACCCCAGGCCTCTGCTTGGTTTGGTTTGCCCCTCCCTAGGTTGCAGTTCTATGGCTGTCTACCAGTCTGCCAGATCTGGCCGGAGTCTCTGAATCTGGCTGCCACAGAGGGCGGATGCCTGCTGGAGTTTGAAGGTTGACTGTGCAGTTGGCATTGTCAACCTGAGCCTGCTCCCTGTTTTTAAGCCATGGTGTGTGCCAAGCAGCAGAGTCTTGTTTGAAAGAGTGAGGAGGGGAATGAAGGTGGGGGGCCTGAGGGGTGAAAACAGACCCCTCCTGGCCCATGAAGGCAGGGGCTGGCATGAAAGGAGCCATTGTGAGCACAGTGAGCACCTGCTGTCCCCTCCATGGGTGAGGCACTCCCGCCTTTGAGAAATGCCTCTGCTTTGATGCACAGCTCAAAGACAGGTTTGTCCCAGGGTGGTAAAATGGTGGCCTGTTTGGCAGCTGGTCTACCATGGCAAGAGTCCTAGGCTTGAAGCTGGGAAAAGAAGGTGCAAGCTCTGGGAGTCTCACCTCCGGGCCGTATGACTTTGGGCAAATCCTTTAAACTCTGAGTCTCAGTTTCCCCATCTGCAAACTGGGAGAAAAAATGCTTGTTTCAAAGAATTGTGATGAGGGTCAGGTGAAATGAGGTATGTGTGAAATTCAGGTGGGGCATATCTGGAAAGGAATGAACCCTGCTTAAGCCACCATCCTCTGGTGGGGCTTGGCATTTTGGGGTGAGCAGATGGATTTCCTCACCTGGTCTTACCCATTCTGGTCACAGACTGATTAATTCAACTATTACCTTGGTCCACGTGTAACCTAAAGGTACAATATAGGTATGTACCTTTAACAATTCATAATCAATTATAATGGTAATAGATTATATTTGTTTCACACATACTATGTACTTGGCATTATTAGGCAAATGCTTCAGGCGTGCTATCTCATTTAACCTTTACAACAGCCCTAGAAAGGCCAGACCAATCTCAGGTTTCCCTGTGACAACATGTAGCTCAGATTACTTAAGGGGTCCAAGACAAGTCAAATTGTTAAGTGGCAGAGCTGAGATTCAAACCCAAGTATTTGGACTTCAGAGCCCATGCTTTAGAACTTAGAAATATTTTTAAAAACTTAGTTGAGAATGACAGAACTCACAGCATTGTCGAAAGAACTATTTATGGTTGACCAAACTTAGCTTTATCATAAATATCTATGAAACTATCATAAATATCTATGAAACAAATACAATACCATGTGATTCTAGTATTAATTCCATCTATTCATCAATAATAAATTGTTGATATATTTAGTCAGGTGTGGCTTAGGGGACGTCTCTCTCTGTCTTGTGAGGAGCTTATATTTTTGTTATCCAATTCCATGTTACTTGCTAATATTCATATATGCCACGCTGTCTTGAATGGTCAGTGAGTTCTCAGCGTTGGCTGGGGTAAGACTTGCTCAAAAGTAAGACTGAGATTCAGAGCTACAGGTGGCTGTATTTCCAGAGCATCTATGACTGCTTCCTGGAATCTGTTACTACACAGAATTGTGCAGTGGAGGAACATAAGCAGGCTCACAGCCCTCCCACACATGCTCTGCCTCCCATCTGCTACCCCTCATACAACCTTCTCCACCACACACATCAAAACCCCCACTCTGAAGCTCAGCACATGGGGGAAGTTTAAGAATCACCTTAAACTAAGTAGACAGCTCTTGGTGGCCCAATGACCACCTGAAAAGTTTCTTTCCTATACAGTTGTCGCTGATATATTTTATGTTCCATGTGCATTATTAGACATCCCCCTGACAGGTAAACATCTTAGAGTTTTGCTACCGTAAGTTATAAAGATTTAAAGTTTCTGACATTGAGACTATAAATGTTGTAAAGTTACATAATGTTAATATAAACGCAAGGTCCCATCCAGGATGTCACGTTGCATTTCATTATCCTGGCTCCTGTGGCCTGTGACAGTTTCTCAGGCTTTCCATGTTTTTCATGGAAGCTTTGAGGAGTATTGATCAGGTATTTTACAGAATTTTCTTCAATTTGGGTTTGTCTGATGTTTTTCTTATAATTAGACTGGACATGAGGCTTTTTGAAAAAAATACCTACCCCACAGGTGAAGTCACATCCTTCTGGGGGTACATGACATGCTCATGACATCAGTGGTGGTATTGACCTTCATCGCTGATTAAGAAGGCACCCAGCAGCATTTTAGTTTGGCTGCTGTAACAAAGTACCATAGACTGGGTAGCTTAGAGCCAACAGAAATTTGTCTTTCACAATTCTGCAAGCTGGCAAATCCAAGGTCAAAGTACCAGAAGATTCAGTGTCTGGTGAGGGCCTACTTCCTGGTTTGTAGATGTCTGTCTTCTTGCTATGTTCTCACATGGCAATAAGGGCGTGGGAGTTCTCTGGGGGCTCTTTTATAAAAACACAAATCCCATTCATGAGGGCCCTACCCTCATGACCCAATGACCTCCCAAGCGCCTCACCTCCTAACAGCCTCTTACTAGGGGTTAGGATTTCAACATATAAACTTCAGGGAGACAAAAACATTTAGTCCATTGCAGCCAGGTTTCTCCACTGTGAGGTTACTGCTCTCCCATTGATTTAATTGTACTTCATTTAAATGTAATCTGAATGTGGTCTAGTCACTAACTCATAAAATGTGGGCTTGACGAAACGGAGACTGTAGCCATTCTAGTAGCTTTGTTGTCTGTTGTTACACTGACGTACTGTGAGCTTTAGAACGCATTAAGTGATCTGTGACAGGCTGGTCCATTCACAGGGAAAATAATCTGGAGTGGCCTGATGAGGCAGGAGAACAGGTGCAGTGAACACTGACAAGAGAAAGTGCTGGAAGGGTAGGCAGGCATGGTCAAAGAGAGAAATGGCTGACTTGAAGAAGATGGCAGAGATGGAGCAGATCCAGGGCACGTTTGCTCCAGAGGCACCCACTGGAGGCGGTGAGGCCACACAGTGAAGAAGCAGCCCCTCAGAAAGGAGGCAGGCAGGGAACGAAGACCTCAGGTCATTAAGGAAGTCATCTCTGGGGTCTCCTGGAATAATGCTGGGATGGTGAGTGGAGTGCCCTCATCCCTGTGAGTGAGGCAGGAAACGACACAAATTCAGGACAGCGACTAAGAGAAGAAAGCTGGATGACATGTGCCGTAGAGAGCAGGTTTCTGTTTTGTTTTCTTTGATTTTGTTTTATAAAGGGTGAAACATCAGCAACGAGAAGGCTGCCCCCTCCTCCTGACCCTGAGCTGAAGAGGATGTGGGAGAAGGAGCCGCCCCCACTTGAGTGGGCTCAGGGAAGCTGTGTAATTGGATGGCAGCCAGGGTTCAGTTCAGCAAGGACATGGAGGAACATTTAGTGATGATGTGGGGGAGTTTGGTTTCCTGCAGGGAGGGTTCTGGAGAATCTGGCAGGCATGTTTGGGAGGAAAGGCCACCGAGGGATGTGGGCCAGGGGAGAGGATGGCAGTCAGAGTCCAGAGGCGCTTACACAGATCAAGCACTGTGATAACTCAATAAGTACAGGAAGGAATATGTATGTTAAGTAGCTCGATTTAGCCATCCCACAATGTGTACAAATTTCAAAACCTGCTGTACATGATAAACACATACAATTTTTATTTGTCAATTAAAAAATCAGATATCCTTCACTCCTCCTATGAATCCCTAGTGAGTGCTCTCTTTGTGCCCATGGTGGTTTGGCAAGGAGGAGGCAGACGCGAATAAAACCAGGTTCTGGCTGTGGAGCTCACCCTCACGTGGGGCAGACCTGGGGCCAGTGCATGGTGAGCACTGGGAGAAGGAGCCTGGTCCAGGCTGGCTGAGGACAGAGGGCAGGGCTGGGTCTCAGGCAGGTGACCCCGAGGCCAATCCCAGGGAGTACATCTGAGCAGGGAACCTCTGAGGAGGTGCTGGGAAGTGTGTCCCTTGTCCTGAGTCTCCCCCACAAACCCCCAGGGGCACTTTGGCTGTGCGAACTTGGAGGCCCTGGCACTGTCAGATGGCAGGATCATGACCACAGAATGCCATCCACAAGCATGCAGTTTGCAACAGTTTCCAAAGTAATTTCCTGGCAAAACCCACTCCAAATTGAAGTTTGGAAATCCCGATACTTCTCTCAATCTTCAAGAAGGGCTATGAAGGATGGAAGATAACAAATGCATGTGGACACATGCAGACACGGTGCACATACACACACACAAACACACATACACACACACAACCCCTTATTCAGTACAGCTCAGGTGCAGTCATGAGGATACTTCACTGGGTCTTCCTTACACAGTTCCAGACACACCGAAGCCCGACTTCTATAAGAAAACGGAAAATTAGAACTGGATGGAGGCTCCTTCGTCACCGGATCCCCACCCTCTGTTTTGCAAATAAGAAGTGTGGCTCCATGGAGGTGAGGTGACCCAGGTTCACAGAGCCCTGGAGCGGCAGGGCTGGTGGGAAGGCAGAGCCCCTTGGCTCCCAGCACCGTGCACCCTGGCGCCATTGGAGAAGAATTTCATCCTGACTGTGTGCCCTCAGCTCTCTTCGTCCTGATCAGCCCCCAGTCAGTCCCTGGCCTCCTGCCCCCAGCCCTTTAGTCCTTCCTCCAAAGATGACAGCCTCACCCATATCCACAGGATTTTGCATTGTGCTCCGCCAACAGCACTTTGAACCATGAGAAGTTAACATGGGGCTAAGAAGCCCTAGAGCTCTTCCCGGAATAGCATCACTAGTAAACAGCCACACTGTACCAGAGGTCACAGTAGAGCATCTGAGATGCAAACAGACCTGTTAGAATTCACACAGGCAACTGAGTGTGTTCCTCAAGATACCCCCATGGGTGGGTCATGTCTCCATCCAGTGACGCTTCCATCGCACATAACACCTCTGGACCTCTGTCTCAAGGCAGCAACAGCAGTGAAAAGTAGGCTTTGAGTCAAAGATACTTAAGTTAAAGCTTAGTTCTAAAACATACCAGCTAGCTGTGTGGCTTTGGGTGAGGTACTTAACTTCTCTGAGCCTCAGTTTTTTTCTTTTTTTTTTTTAATTTTTAATTTTTTTTAAAAACTTTTATGTTAGGTTTGGGGTACATTTGAAGTCTGTTATATAAATAAACTCAGGAGTTTGTTGTAAAGATTATTTCATCACCCAGGTATGAAGCCTGGTAGTATCCATGATTTTTTTCTGTGATTCTCCCTCCTCCCACACTCCACTCTCAATTAGACCCCAGTGTTGTTGTTCCCCTCCTGGTCTTCACGAGTTCTCATCACTAAGCTCCTATTTATAAGTAAGAACATATAGTATTTGGTTTTCTGTTCCTGCATTAGTTTGCTAAGGATAATGGCTTCCAGCTCCATCCATGTCCCTATAAAAGACACAATCTCATTCTTTGTTATGGCTGCATAGTATTCCATGGTGCATATGTTCCACATTTTTTTTAATCCAGTCTACCATGGATGGGCATTTAGATTGATTCCATGTCTCTGCTATTGTTGAACAGCACTACAATGAGCATTCGTATGCATGTGGCTTTATGGTAGAATGATTTATATTCCTCTGGGGATATAACCAGTAATGGGATTATTGGGTCAAATGGCAGTTGTTTTTAGCTCTTTGAAGAATTGCTACATTACTTTCTACAATGGCTAAACCAATGTATGATCTCACCAATAGTATATAAGCATTTTTTCTCTACAACCTTGCAAGAAGCTGTTATTTTTGACAGTTCGGTAACAGTCATTCTGACTGGTGTGAGATAGTATCTCACTGTGGTTTTAATTTGCATTTCTCTAATATTAGTGATATTGAGCTTTCTTTCATGTGCCTGTTAGCCACATGTATGTCCTCTTTTGAAAAGTGTCTGTTCATGTCATTTGCCCACTTTTTGGGGGGTGCGGGGCAGAGTCTTGCTTTGTTGCCCCAGCTGGAGTGCAGTGGTGTGCTCTCAGCTCACTGCAACCTCCGCCTCCAAGGTTCAAGTGATTCTCCGGTCTTAGCCTCTGGAGTAGCTGAGATTACAGGCATGCACTAGCATGCCCAGCTAATTTTTGTATTTTTAGTAGAGGCGGGGTTTTGCCATGTTGGCCACGCTGATTTCAAACTCCTGACCTCCCAAAGTACTGGGATTACAGGCATGAGCCAGCGTGCCCAGCCGCATTTGTCCATTTTTAATGGAGTTGTTTGCTTTTCTCTTCTAAATTTGCTTAAGTTCCTTACAGATGCTGGATTTGGATATTAGACCTTTGTCAGAGGCATAGTTTGCACATATTTTCTCCCATTCTGTAGGTTTTCTGTTCATTCTGTTGATAGTTTCTTTTGCTGTGCAGAAGCTCTTAAGTTTAATTAGATCCTATTTGTCAATTTTTGCTTTTGTTGCAATTGCTTTTGGCATCTTTGTCATGAAATCTTTCCCTATGCCTATGTCCAGTATGGTATTGCCTAGGTTGTCTTTCAGGGTTTAGATAGCTTTGGGTTTTACATTTAAGTTTTTAATCCCTCTTGAGTTACATTTTTACATGGTGTAAGGAAGGGATCCAACTTCAGTCTCCTTCATACGGTTAGCTAGTTATCCCAGTACCATTTATTGAATAGAGAATTCTTTCCCATTGCTTGTTTCTGTCAGCTTTGTCAAAGATCAGATAGTAAGTGTGCAGGTTGTAAGTATTTCTGGGCTCTCTATTCTGTTCCACTGGCCTGTGTGCCTGTTTTTGTACCAGTACCATGCTGTTTTGGTTACTCTAGCCAAAAAATGTAGTATAGTTTTAAGTCAGGTAATATGATGCCTCCAGCTTTGTCCTTTTTGCTTAGGATTGCCTTGGCTATTTGGGCTCATTTTGATTCCACATGAATTTTGAAATAGTTTTTTCTAGTTCAGTGAAGAATGTCATTGGAACTTCTCAATAAACCAGGTATTGAAGGAACATACCTCAAAATAAAAGAGCCATATACAACAAAACCACAGCCAACATAATACTGAAAAGACAAAAGCTGGAAGCATTCCCCTTGAAAACTGGCACAAGACAAGGATGCCCCTCTTACCACTCCTATTCAACATAGTATTAGAAGTCCTGGTCAGAGCAGTCAGGCAAGAGAAGAAAATGAAGGCATCCAAATAGGAAAAGAGGAAGTTAAACTATCTCTGTATGCAGACGACATGATCTTATCCAGGAAACGCCATAGTCTCAGGCCCAAAGCTCTTCACCTGGTAAACAACTTCAGCAAAGTTCCAGCATACAAAATCAGTGTGCAAGAATCACTAGGTTTTTCAATTATAAAATGGACACACTTATACTTACTTGAAAGCACTAATGACAGGATTAAATGAGATAATGGAAATGAAAGTATCTGTCCTCAGCATATAATAGCCTCTCCAAAATGTTTTGTTTTTGTCTTCCTCCTTTGGGGATTCCACCTCAGAAACAAAAGCGTTAGTGTAAGTGACTTGGCAGTGCCAAATCTCTGTCTTTTCAATACAGCCAAAGCCTATTTGGATTCAAGTGTAGCCAGTGAGACTGGAAATCAAGTGGAAAACACAAGGCACTCCCTCTACATTAGTACTGAGAACAATCTTCTGAGAGATCAAAGACAAGCCTTTTTTTTTTGTGACATTCACCAAGTCCCAAGAGTTGTGCTGGGTGGTGAGGTTACAACAGTACACAGGCCAGGCCGGATGCAGTGGGCCACACCTGTAATCCCAGCACTTTAGGAGGCCGAGGGGGGTGGATTACGAGGTCAGGAGATCGAGACCATCCTGGCTAACACGGTGAAACCCCGTCTCTACTAAAAATACAAAAAATTAGCAGGACATGGTGGTGGGCGACTGTAGTCCCAGCTACTCGGAAGGCTGAGGCAGGAGAATGGCGTAAACCCAGGAGGCAGAGCTTGTAGTGAGTGGAGATTCCGCCACTGCACTCCAGCCTGGGTGACAGAGCAAGACTCCGTCTCAAAACAAAACAAAACAAAACAAAAAACAATACACAGACCATGGCTCTTGTCCTGGAGCTTACAGGTCTACATGAGACAGAGTTGGCATCATTACTGGGGTAAACAAATGCACAGCTGTCCAAGAAAGGTGATGTTCAAAGACAACTTCCGTGGGGTTGAAGACACTCTGGAAAGTTTGTGTAAACATAAATCTTGCTACCTGACAGGTTAACCAGTGAATCTATAGCTCCCAACATAAATCATAAGAAAGAACAATTAGATAATGCCTCCAATAGTTAGCGATTATTCACTGATCTGTCAAGTTTTATCAAACTTAAAAATAAGCAACTAATAAATTATCTGAATTTCATAATTATGTAGACCGTTTTGAAGCCATGAGTTTCACACCAAGAAAGTTATGAAGTTAGTAATTTCCTCTGCTAGAATCTCCAATCAGGTAATCAATTATTCTAAGTAATGTGTAGCCCTATGACATACAGATGAGTCTCACATGTGTGAGCTGTTCCTTTGTCCCGTATACAGTAATCACCCAAGGCAAAAACTCTAAAGCTTTTCCATTTTGCCTCAATTTTCTCAGTCATAAAATGGAGATATCAGAATTCCCTGCTGAAGGGATTACGGTGAGCATTAAATGAGTTGATATAATTAAGGGGGTTTAAACAGTGACTGAATCAGGTGAGTGAGTTTTCTATTACCATTGTTAATCTAATCTGATACCCAGATAACAATATCACGTAGAGAGTTTTCAACACTAGAATCCTTCCTTCCACTTACGATCAAAAGACGTCATCCTATGTAAGCTTTCTGGGTTTGGTTTCATGGCCAGCAATAACTAAATTTATGTAGCCTCATAATTATGTAAAGGTAAATAAATACAAAGACATAACACTCCAATGTGGGATCAGGTGTGGGGCCACAGCATGGCCAGATGGGAGCTCATCTTGCGTTGGGTGTATTAAGCAGGAATGACACTGCCAGGCTTGAATTTGGCCATGAACATCTCCTTTCTGCATCCCATGGTCCACTGCCACAGCATCCTTGGAGTGAAGATATAATAACGTGGAGTTAGGGCAGCGTGGGGAGGAGTTTCCACACCAGCTGCTGAAATCAAAAGAGAGGAGGGGAATCTGGAGTCTCTCTTAGCCTGACCTCCTCTCACTAGTCCTCCCTGGACCTCCAAGGGGAAGGCTGGGCTCTGTACCTCCCCTCCCACCTGACTGCAGTGTTGGTTTAGGGTCAAGGTGCTCAGAGACCAGAGAAAAGATCACACATATATACGGTGTGGCAATTCCAAAAGGCCAGGCTTGCCCGTCTTCAGGAAGTAACATTTCTTATGACGGTTGGAGGTTGGGGATAGGGGTAGGGTGGAGAGAAAACAAAGAAGTAGAGTTTATGCCCCAACAAGGTAAATCAAATTCCCAGCCCTGCACCAGTCCTTTCAGTGCCTTTGGTCATAAGACATTCATGCAGAACATCCCACATCACCCAGTCCCATATGGATGCAGTCACAGGACTCAGAAAATGCCCTGTCAACACTGGCTTCCCTGAGGGGCTCCATTTAATAGCATCAGAAAACCACCTCACTAGAAGTGAACTGAAGAGACCCCTCTGCAGATAGAGGGGGAAAATTCAGGACTTTGTCAAGAGGACCGACAGCTGCAGTGGGAGTGCAAAGCGCCACAGGCCGAGAAGTGGCCGAGATTAAGAAGTTCCATTTCCCAACATCACACTCCGGGGACTGTTGTGGGGTTGGGGGGAGGGGGGAGGGATAGCTTTAGGAGATATACTTAATGTTAAATGGCGAGTTAGTGGGTGCAGCGCACCAGCATGGCACATGTATACATATGTAACAAACCTGCACATTGTGCACATGTACCCTAAAACTTAAAGTGTAATAATAATAAAATTTTTTAAAAAAAGAAAAAAAAAAAAGAAAGAGCCAGACGCTATGAAAGAAAGAGAGAGAGAGAGAGAGAGAGAGAGAAAGAAAACAGCCACAGATGTGTCTGTGGCTCGAGTTTTTCCCAGAAACGCCCTAAAGCTGGCCTAATAAATCTCCATTCATTGAAAAAAAAAAAAAAAGAAGTTCCATTTCCCCTTGCCCTGTCAAGGATAAGGAAGGCCACTCCCTTTTTATGTGCAGGACGATGTGAGGGGCAGAATTGGACCTGTGGCCCGATCAGCTTGGAAATCTTATCAGACACGCACAGCAACGTACTTGTCTTTTCTTCATTCCTCTCCCAAAAAACAAAGCCACCAAAAGAGACAGCCTTCTATGTATCATGTATTCACAGCTAAGAAGGCAGGGCCATCCGAAGAAGCCATCCCTTCCATTCACTCAACATATATCCATGCATATATATTCCCTCCTATGTGCTAGACACTGTGCTGGGCTCTGTGGGTGCAGCAGTAGGCAATTCACACAACATGGAATTTACATTGCAGAAGAGAAGAAACAGTCAAACATATAATTAACAGTGACACTTAGGACAGAAGGACAGAGGTCCATGGGAGCATGTAAGGTGAGCATCTAATCCATCATATGTCTTGTATGGAAATGGAATAACAAGCCTAAAGGTAAGTTTATCCTTTTGCTACTTGAAAAGCCGAAATGCAGATCTACGTGGTTAACCAGATGTGTAACCTTTGCCTGTCCACCCCTTTCCAAAACTTCCAAAGCATCTCTAAATGGGTCCTAATGCACTTGAAGGTGGACATATAGTAGATATTCACTGAGGCTGTTCTGGACACTTTGTTCTATTCCTTCATCACTTCTAGTTTTAACTTTTCCTATTTATTCATTTGATACAAACTGACTCACTTCCTCTATTCAACTGTTTCAACATCTGTGAAATTCTGAGGGGTGCCCTTCATCCCATCTTTCTATCATAACCATGAGCTCTACCATTTTAGAGGACTTTTCATGGAGAAATGTGTTGGCTCCTTCCATCCATAAAGCCTGTTGTTAACATACTCTCCAAGTCACTTGAACCACTGATGCTAATATGGAATATCCTCATGTCTCCTTGCATCACAAACATCCAAAACCACTTTCCATAAAAAGGCACGGCATTGCCAACGCCATTTGTCTAATGTAGCGTGGTCACTTTATTCTGGACCCGTGCGGTGGTGGATTGGACTCCTCGGCCAATGAGAGCAGATTTCCACAGAGCCCACTTGGCTTAGAATTAGGACATCCAAGAATATTCAGAGTTGGAAAGTAATTTTGAGATTGTCTATTCCATCTTTATTATTGGTCAAGGAGAACACTGAGGACCTAGGAAAGTGGGTGGCTTAGCCAAAGGCACCTGGCGAGTAAAGTCCCACAGCACCTGAGAGCTGGTATTGGAACCCTTGTTCTCGAATACTTCTGTTTCCTGCCACCATCCCAGAATCCCTGCAGCCTAGCACTGTGCCTGGTAGAGCAACACACAAAACATGGTTTCTCAGTGAATGCATGGTTACTAAAGGTGCTTCGGGCACTGTTCTAAGACCTCTGCATGTTTTAACTCATTTACTCTCCCTACCAGTTCAGTAAGGTAGGTCCTGTTACCATCCTCCATCTCCCTAGGCAGACAGAAATTAAGATATTTGCCTAAGAAAACACAGATAGAAAAGGACAAGGTCGAGATTTGAACCCAGGCATGCTGATTGCATCTGGGATCTTACACGATGCACTGTACCCGCAATGAAAGGATGAATACATAACATCTATAACACTGAAGGAGAAGGAGAGGACTGGGGAAGCAATTTAAGAACAACAACAAGATAGAAACTGATGTCATTTAAGTGTATAAGATTTTCACAAAGACACATGCTTTGTAACAAATATGCACATGAATTGCAGGCTGATCGCTCTGTGCCATATATGTAAAGCGTACAACCTTCAGGCTGCTGGAGGCTGTAGGCTTGCTCAGAATGTAAAATATGACAGGGCACAACATTGGCATATAAAGTTTGAATTACAGCAGCTGGCATTATATTGTTTATAAAAATTGAATTATGAGTGTAAAATAATAGTCATAATAACCAGCTTCTGAAAGGTAGCTAGCTAAATTGACTTAATGTTTAAATGCTGGGACATATGATCACAAGAAGTGAGCGCTGTTATTGTATGATCTGTCACACAATTTTTTTTTAGAAGAGGTTACACTTCATAAGTGACTGAATTCATTTTTCCAGTTTAAAAAATGAATATTCTCCATTTTATATACAAGTGAAAAATGCATATCCTCCTTAACCTTTTCTCCTGTGAGGTAGTATTAAACCTGTACACACTGGTTAAGAACCATCATAAATTAACGGTGCGCTACTATTATTATATTTCACATATTTTCTCTTCTGTACTCTTTAGAGTTCTATTAAATGCATTTTAAAAGTTCTTAGAGTTTGTGTTTTGGGGGTAACTATGAATTGCTGCTACATGTCAAAGTTAATTTAAACTAAAAATGCGTATCTGGTTTGCACATTAGACAGCTAAGCTTACAATATGGTCCTTGCAGTGTCATACAATTTCCCCTAACACTAAATTGGAAAGTTATCTCTGGGCATGCTGCTATTTCTAATGCCACCACTGCCACTGCCAGTAGTAGCCTTAGTGATGGCTTCTTGGAAATCTCCCACTTGGATACTTGGACAGAGCTAATTTCGTTAAACTTCACATTCATCTATCTAAGATGGCTGCAGATGGATTTGCAGTTCTCTTTAAATCCACCCTGAAAGATTTCTTCCCTTTTCCTGGCTAAATGAACCAGTGGTCTCACACTGCATAGTTGCTGTGGGGTGTGATGGGAACTCCGGGCTTCTGGCCTTGGAAGTGGCAGACGAGGGATCTCTCATGGTGTCCTTGACCTGACTCCTCTTTGTGGGCTTCTTCACCTCCTCCTCCATGCTGCCCTCTCCATGGTTCACGGTGGCCCTGAGCACAGGGTGCCTGTTCTTCAGAGTGTCCCCGCAGGGCAGAGCTGTCCAGGAGCCTCCGTCACCCCAACGACACAGAGGCAGCTGTGGCTCTCTCATTTTTACAGACTCTCTATGCCTCAAGCACATAGACACCCCATAATAACACTTCCTTTGTGAGTTCACTAATGTTTGGAAAATCCCTTGTGAATTCCTACTTCATGGCATTAACAAGAATCCATTCCTGAAAATGTGAATGGTTCTGTTGGTTTCAAACAGCCATCAAGAAAACTAAGGGGTTGTTTTGGTGTCTTAAAATTCTTGTCTGAGTCTCAGTGGCTGAGACAGCAGCCCCAAAATCATACAGAAGTGAAACCCAAACATTGCCTTCCTCACGTCAGCAGATTCCAAGGACGACAGGATGGAGCCCCAGGTGTCTTAGACAGCTCAGCCCCAAAGTGGGTGCTCCTGGGACATCTAGTGGCCATAGAGAAAAATACTCCCACCGTGGGCCCAGGTGGCAAGGGAAGTCTATAAGGGTGCTTAGATACCAAGTGCATTCAACCTCCCCACTTCTAGCCAGGTAAGAAAGCTGAGATCCCAGGTAAGAACGGCTTGCTCAATTTCACATCTCCAATAGGAGGTGTTGGTACTTACTTCTCGTAGATCATTTCTACCCGAATTTTGTTATGCAGGAACTCCACGTGAATCAGCCATGGAATGAGTGGTTGAGAAGTTTTAGCGGCCTAGAGTTCACTAGATATTTGCATCAAATGCAGTGATTTTCCGAATTCTATTACACATTCCTTTGTGGATCACAGCACTGAGGCCGAATCCTAGCTCTGAAACTCTATGCTAACTTACCTCCTGCAAGACCTTTCCTGAATTCCACGATTATAAAATGCAAGTACACAAAAATGTTCTTGCTGCTCAGATACTTGATGCTTTATATCTAAAACAAGAATGTCACGGAGAAAAACAAGTTTGTGTTCTAGGTACGGATAGGTCTCAGAAAATTGAAACAAAACAATAAAAGAGAATTCCTATTTTTCAGCCCAAAGAGCAGCAGGAGAGAAGAGAAAATCCAAGAGAATTGGGAATTAGAGCTGTTATGCAAGGTAGAGAAAGGAAAAATCAAAAGCCAAGGTTCCCAGTCCCAAAATATCCCTGCAGGAAGCTAAGTGAAACAATTTTCCACAGAAAGCATGAGACATGTAGTATAAATAATGTGGTGGGCAGGGCACAGTGGCGGGGAGGATCCCCTGGCGGCAGGGGGAAGTGCTGCACGGGCCCCTGAGCTGCTGGCTGCCTCCCGCCACAGGAACGCAGTCGTGGGTCCAAGGCCAGGATGCTGAATATTTATATTCTGTTTATAAAATATGCCTTTTATTGAGAAATTTAGACACACTCTACTGTGTCCAAAGAGTCCTTAAACTCACATCCTTTCCATTTTCCATGTTCTCTTGTCACCAGGCCAGTATCCACAGCCTGGCTTTCATCTGGAAACGGGAGGGTGAGGAGAGGTGCTGTGGTGGAGATTCCTCACAACTGCCCAGAACATTAATGTCTCACATCATGGGTTTAAAAGAAAAAAAAAAACATATATTTCTTTTTATCAATAGTTAGAACCCTGAATGAAAGTGTTGGTCATTCTGAATTTTCTAAAATTTATTTTTATTTTTTAAATAATAGTTTGTTGTTGTTGTTCTTGTTTGTAGCGATGGGATCTCGTTAACGCTGCTCAGCCTGACCTCAAACTCCTGGCCTCAAGCAATCCTCTGGCCTCAGCCTCTCAAATTGCTGGGATTATAATCCTGAGCCACTGCACCAGGCCTATTCAGAATTCTAATATGCAACTGATTCTTAGTGATAACCAAGAAATAAAGACTTGGAGCTCAAATTGTGCCCGAGGCCTGCGATTCTTGAGAACCGTGCTTCCTCCTCCCTTTCTTCCATTTGGAATTGCGTTAAGCACAGAGACCCGAGGAGCCTGGACACAGCACAGGATGCTGGTGTAAGAAGCCAAACCCTGCGTCCAAACACAGGGACTCCTCACCAGCTGGTAGGGCTTCAGTGCACGCAGAGGAAGCCAAAGGACTGGCAAGGTGCACAGATGAGGTGGGAGGACCAGAGCCAGGACGTCTGAACCTGGTGAGGAGCTGCAGGGGTGGGCCGGGGCTGAGGAGGAGGAACAGGTGCCGGGGAACTCCTAGGACCCCAGGCTGGCGGCCACTGCCTCCTCTGTCCCTTGGGCATCTCCCTCTGCCCTGCCCTGGAGAACATAACTCTTAGCAGGCTCTTGCAGCCTAGACTTTTGATAGCACTGCTGCCTCTGACTCCAATCGCTACCACTTCCCCCCTAAAGCTCCCACCTCTGAAGATTCGCCTCATATCATCTCCTCTGTGTAATCTCTTCTCAGCTTCCCCTTGCCCCTAAGTCCCCACCCCTCCATCCCCAAACAGGGAGCATTGTCTCCGCTGGCTCCACTCTACTAGACCAGCAGGGAGACGGAGGAAGCATTTACTCCCTGGCTTCCTTCTATGGACCACCCACTGGGCATAATCTCCTCCCCTAAGGGTTGGGTGTGCATGAGTATGTCCCAAGTGCCATCGCCCAGGCAGGTGCAAGGATGTGTGAAACTGGAGGCGAGAGCCTGGCAGGCTGTACCTGGTGTGGCTGAAAGGAGATAGGGAGGGATGCCAGGCAGTCCTTAAGAGGACCTGGGGAAGATTCATCTTCAACCCCAGACAAGGGTCATTCACCTGAAATGCCAGGACCAGGAAGTCCTGCCGGCTGCAGGCACAGCATGTCCAACGTGATTGGAAATCACTTCCTGCTGTTCATGTCCTCTTGGAAGGTCAGGTGGCCACTGCAACAAGGTATGTGCTGCGTGGAGACTGGGGAGCAGAACTAGGGTCTCCAAAAACTTCAGGAGGCTAGCCCCAGCAGTGCTCACTTGGAGTTCATTTGCTCAGTGACATTCATAAAAGGTGGGGGAAATCCGGAGAAGGAAAGAGGTGCTCCCACAGCTACCCAGCTGGTGGATGGCAGATATGGGTCTATAGCCTGCTTAGCTCACAGTACACTCACCTGCAAAAACAGCTGGAAAACCCTCAGGTAACACAACTCAGATATTTTAGTACTGAAGTCAGCAAATAGCACATTCTTTTGAGAAGTGGGTAAGGCCTCCCAGGACAGTAAAGCTGCACCAGTTTAGGATGCTTGCCCCTTTATTTGGGTGTCTGAGTGTTACACAAATGACTGCCACTACCACACGTGGTGGGTGGCATGAGGCACCTTGGCCATAAAGTCCTGCCAGCGCGGGAGTCACAGACCATGCTCGTCAGCATTATGCATGGTGCCTGCACTTGGAGCAAGACAAAGGCAAGTTTTAGAAAATGCCTCCACATCCCTGCATTGGAACTTCTGGCTGAGGCACAGCACAGAAAATGCCTTCGCCTCTTGTGGATTCTTGTCCAGGGCTGAGACCTGGCCAGCTGCCATGCTGTGTCCTGGGTGCTGCTCCAGCCACATGCCAGCTGGGTCCCTCCTCCTTTCCTGTCTGTGTGCCTGACCAGGGACAGTGGCCCCTAAGCTATGGCTCCTGGGTCTCGAATCCTATACAGCATGAGGCAGCCCATCCGTGCTGTTTTTGTTTTGTGTTGATGCTCTCCTCTTATAACAAGGATATCTGATTTCTTGTGAGGATGAGTCAAGCGGGGAAATTTGGCTCCGGAAACTGACTCGTCAGCATTATCAGATTTCAAGGAACTAGAGTGCATTAAAGATTTTAGTCTTTTGTTACCAACTAAAAATCAACTTTCTATTTTTTAATATCTATTATACTTAACAGTTTCTCATAAATTCATGGCCATTATCAATACTGTGACTTCCCCAGATGGTTCAGAAAGAATCTGAAAGGCCTGGCATGGTGGCTCACACTTGTAATCCCAGCACTTTGGGAGGCCAAGGTGGGTGGATCACAAGGTCAGGAGTTCGAGACCAGCCTGGCCACACAGTGAAACCCTATCTCTACTAAAAATACAAAAATTAGCTGGGCGTGGTGGTGGGCACCTGTAATCCCAGCTACTTGAGAGGCTGAGGCAGGAGAATTGCTTGAACCGGGGAGGCAGAGGGTGCAGTGAGCTGAGATTGTGCTACTGCACTCCAGCCTGGGCGACAGAGCAAGACTCTGTCTCAAAAAAGAAAGAAAGAACGAGTCTGAAAATGTCTGCAAATGGAAAGAATCCGATTTCCCTCTTCCTGGTTTGTAAAGGGCCCTGCAGATACTGTCTGTTGGCTGCATGACAGACACTTGAGGTACTTTCTTCAGGATATTTACACATGTGGTGCACATGCCTTGCTGACAAACAGATCATCCACTCCCTTCACAGCCCATCAGTTTCGTGTTTTTAGTAGCCTGAGGTTGGTATCATTGCATGTATATTACAGACTCCCTATACAGGCCTCCTAGATATTGCATGTACTGCTTAAGTTGCATTACAGCATGTTACATTTTAAACGTTACTGTGACCACCAACACCTTCTTAGGTCTAGTCATGCATTTCTTACTAATGGGGCTACATTCTGAGAAATGTAGGCGATGTTGTTGCTGTGTGAACAACACGGAGCGTACTCACACAAACCTAGATAATGTAGCCCACCAAACAGCGAGGCTGCACGTTGTAGCCTATTGCTCCCAGGCAACAAACCTGCACACGTTACTGTACTGAGTACTGTAGGCAGCTGTAACACAATGGTAAGTATTCGTGCATCTAAACACACCCAAATGTAGAAAAGGCATAGAAATGTGGTATTATAATGTCATGGGGCTGCTGTCCTGTAGGCGAGGCATCAGTGACTAAAATGTTGTCATGCTGGGCACAACGGTATTGCTGTTGTTACTGCTGCTGTTGTTCATATTTTACAGCAAAGGAGATAAAACAACTGGAGAATCAATACACTTGTTCTAGGCTCCTCATCATGTCCAGGGTTAGAAGACTTTAGACATTTCTTATCTTTTTAACCTTAATCCTGAATTTAAGTAACCATTTGGTAGCCCCTGTGTCTACTTCATTAATATCAGTTCCTATCCCAATTAATTTCCTTTTCATAGGTCCTTTTGTTTTGTTTTGTCATTTTTTTCTTTGAGTTTCCTAACATGAATTCTAACTTGTAGTTTTAATTTTCTTCTATAATAAAGAAGTTATCTGAAGCTATTTCCTCTAAATACAACTTTTCCTGGATGCGATAAATTTGCTACAAGGTCTTCTAGTTTGAATTACTATTTCTTTAACTTGGAATTTCAGCCTTGACTTCTCCTTTGCTTTAGGGACACTTTATGAGAGTGCACTCTGATATTAAACGGTTCAGCTTGGGTCTTTATACAATTTATTTATCTTTTTTTTAATTTTGATCAGAGACTGATGACTCTAAAATCTCTACTTTCCTGAACTATCTGAAATGTTTTCATCATCAAGAACCTAACTGAATTTTAGAAATTTTATAAAGTACAAAGGAGAAAAAAATAAGAGAAAGTTATATATTCCATATTTGTAGGATGTAAATTTTATATGTATTATTACACGAAATTATGAATGTAAGATCCTCTTCATCCTTGATTAGTTTACTAGATCTACTAAATTATTAAATGAAAATATTTAAAATCATTCATTATATTTGTGCTTTACCAAGTTCTGTTTATATATTTTTATTAGCTTTTGCTTTATATGTTTAGTTACATGTTGCTTTGTATATTATATTGTATCTTATTTTCTAAACAATATAACGTAATGCTAAAAATGCAACAGTCATCTGGGAAATGCAAATTAAAAGCATAGTGAGACAACACTACACCATAATGTGTGATAGTGAATTTTATGTGTCCACTTGACTGGGCTGAGTGATACCCAGGTGGCAGGTAAAATATTATTTCTGGGGTGTGTTGAGGGTATTTCTGGGAGAGATTAGCATTTGAATCACCTGGCTGAGTAAAGACTCACTCTCCCTAATGTGGGAGGCGTTGGCCAATCCTTTGAGGGTAGGAATAGAACAGAAAGGCATCAGGGAGAGTGACCTTGGCAAAAAGGACATCTGTCTCCTACCCTGGGATGTCAGACATTGACGCACCTGGTTCTTGGGCCTTTGGGCTTGGACCAGGACCTATACCACTGGCTTCCCTGTTTCTCAGGCCTTTGGGTTTAGACAGGAACTACACCAGCTCTCCCACATCTCCAGGTTACAGACAGCAGATCCTGTGCTTCTCAGCCTCCATGATCACGTGGGTGAGTCCCTCATCATAAGTCTCTTTCCATATATCTATACAGATTCTATTGGTTCCGTTTCTCTGGAGAGCCCTTGCTGATACAAGTGAAAAAGCCAACATGAAAAAGAGATAAAATACTAAGGATTGATAATGATAAAGAAGAACTCCCACACTATATTGGGAGTATAAATTGGCACAGCCACTTTGGAAAACTAATAGGATTTACTAAAGCTGATGAAACTGCCTTTGCAAAATTTGTAACAGTAAGAGAAATTTAACCTAACTAATTCCATCTTGCTTCTATTCTCACAAGCTAATTGCCTTTGTTAACTTTAAAACAAAGACGGTAACAGTCCCTTCCTGAAACTAACTCCCTCCTTGCTCAGGGACCGAAACTGCCTTTGTAAAATGAATGCAGGGCCACAAGATTAGGATTTTGGGAGAGGTCTGAATTCTACTAACATGTAGGCTTAAATGATAACCAGCCACTGTTCTCTGGCTTGCTTTTCTATAATTCCTTGCCTCTTAGGAGATGTGGCCAGAGGTCACAGGATTGGTGACTTTTCCAATTGTTCCTATAGATAACACTACTTTTATATTGCCTAAGATTGTTATTCTGAGATGTTTTTCAGACTTCTGCATTCTGGCAAATGAATGACTGCACCTGACCCGTGACTCATGACTCAACTAGTCCTGTGGACCCCGCCTTGAGGTGGACTCAGTGCACCAGGACCATTTTCCACACCCCTACAATTTCATCCCCAACCAATCAGCAGCACTCATTCCCTAGCCTGCTGTTCACCAAATTAGCCATGAAACCCCTACCTAGACTAGCCTCTGAGTTCTGAGAGAGGCTGATTTGAGTAATAAAGTAATAAACTCCTGTTCTGCTTGGCTAGCCCTGTTTATTAAACTTGTTCTCTACTGCAATACCGCTGTCTCAGTGAACTGATTTTATCTCTGCAGTGGTCAAGAAGGATCTGGTGATTACACTGATCAATATGCATACCTTCAAAGCAATTACATCTCTAGGTATATATCCAATAGAAATGGGTGTATGTTTACCAAAGATGTACAAGAATGTTCATATAAGCTTTATTCATAAAGTCCTCAAACAGGAAACCCAAATTTCTATCAATAGTACAATTAATAAATTTCGGTATTATACATTGGACATCTATACAGCTACAGGAACTAATAACAAACTCTTGCTACCCACACATCATGGATGAATCTTGCAAACATATTGAGTGAAAGAGGCCAGACACAAAAGAGTACACACCATATGACTCCATTTATGTAAAGCACAAAAACAGGCAAGACACTAGCCTGGGCAACATAGCAAGACTCCATCCCTACAATAAATTTAAACATTAGCTGGTTGTGGCAGTGTGTCCTAGCTACTGTGGAGGCTGAGATAGGAGGATCATTTGAACCCCAGGAGTCAGAGGTGTCAGTGAGCTATAATCACACCACTGCACTCCAGCCTGGTGACAGAGCGACACTCTGACTCTTAAAAAAAAAAAGGCAAAAGAAATCTATGGTGTTAGAAGTCAGGATAGTGGGTAACTTCCTAGGATGGGAAATTGACTAGGAGGTGACAGGAGGAGGATTTCTGAGGCTGTTTCTTAACCTAAATGCTAGTACATGAGTGTTCACTGTAAAAATCCAGGCGGCTACACACTTGACTTAGACGCTTTTCTGCATATGTGATACACTCCAGCAAGACTTAAAAAAAAATCTAACGCATGGTTCTGCACAGCATTTATTATGAAACAGAACATGCAATGCTTTGTATTTTTTACAAGGTAGTAGAATTCAAATATGAAGGAAAATTGTGCCAGGCACTGTGCTAATCCCTTCTCACAAATCACTTTAATTGTTCACATTGCCCATTGAGGTGGGTACTATGATCCCATTCTCCAGATTAGGGAAATGAGGCTCAGAATGGAATCAGTTCATCTGAGACCACACACCTGCTACCTGACCATGAGGAGGTGAGGAAGGCAGCCTGGTAGGCCGAGAGCCTGCAGTTGGAACAAATCCCAGCAACCCTGTGGCTCAGCCTGTGTCTCTCTGCAGGGCAAACATGATCTTTTCCCATGTATTTTATAGGACTTGCTTGGCGATTCTTCACAACAAAAATGAAGCCTTAGCATTCTTCCGTTGAACTTCTCGACTTCCCTTGAGGACTGATTTTATTTCATGACCCTTTGTCATGAGCCTGGTATTGTTTACAGTGTCATTTTACATACTAAATTTCTTCCATAACAACATTTACTCTACAATGTTTGTAACAATTTAAAAAACGTGTATTATGTGACCTACCTAATTGAATTTAATAATCTTAGCTTGTTTAGGGCATTTGATGTTTTCATGTCGCAGCAATTTAAACTGAGAGAAAAAAATGTTTATGCAAAATGCCTGTTTCCAAAAACTTTGGCTCATACTAAAAGGTGTGTATAAAATAAGGCTAAAATGCAGACCTTTTTAAAACCTCATAGAAAGGGAAGAAACATAATACAAAGGTCATGGTCGAATATTAAATTTAGCTCTAAGCTTTCTGGAAGACAAGAAGAACATAAATCTTATCTGATAAAAGGAAATAGATCAGTTATTCAAAGAAGACAATCTTTCAGGTACAAATTTCCAAGAATGCCACAGAAACATACAACTTTGTCAGAAGGATTGGCAATGAGTGATATAAATTATACATAGGGTGATTTTCAAAAATGTCATTGTAAGAGGAAAATCTTACAAACTCCGCCGCCCTGGATTTTATTTTTAGAGAGGGAGTTCAAGGGAAACACGAAAGAATAAAGGAAGAAAGGGAGGGTTTGAATTTTAAAAGGCTCACAACTTATTTCTCCTATCTAACTGTAACTTTGTACCCACTGACCAACCTCTCTTCACTCTGCCTACCCCCACCCCCACCCCCTCCTCTGGAAACCACCGTTCTATTTACTGTCTCCAGGAGATGGATATTTTCAGATTCCACATATGAGTGGGATCACGCAGTATTTGTCCTTCTGTGCCTGTCTTATTTCACTTAACATAATGTCCTCTAGGTTCATCCACATTGCAAATGACTATAGTTAACAATAATGTACTGTATATTTCAAAATAACTAGAAGAATGAATTTTGAATGTTCTTATCACAAAGAAATGGCAAGTATGAGATGATGGATATGCTAATTACCCCGATTCGATCATTAAACAATGTAAACATGTATTGAAACATCACACTGTACCCTGTACGTTATCATGTGTCAACTGAAAATTAAATCAAAAACAGGACAGGAGCAGTGGCTAATGCCTGTAATCCCAACACTTTGGGAGGCCGAGGTGGGCGGATCATGAGGTCAAAAGATCGAGATCATCTTGGCCAACACGGTGAAACCCCGTCTCTACTAAAAATACAAAAATTAGCTGGGCGCAGTGGCAGGTGCCTGTAGTCCCAGCTACTTGGGAGGCTGAGGCAGGAGAATCGCTTGAACCCAGGAGGTGGAGATTGCAGTGAGCCATGATAGCGCTGCTGCACTCCAGCCTGGAAAGAGAGCAAGACTACGTCTCAAAAAAAAAAAAAAAAAAGAAAGAAAGAAAAACAAATTAAATCAAACAAACAAAGGCAGCAGAGGCCCACCAGGCCATCACTGTGGTGTGGCTTGCAGCACAGCAGCCCCGGGCCAGGCTCAGGCAGCCACTCCCCAGCCAGGGCAGGAGCCCTCCACCTTCCGGGCTTTAGCTTCTCAACATGGAAGAAACAGAATTAGTACTTTCCCTGACCGCCTCCTGCTCAGAGCACCCTGTGAAAAGCAAAATGCTCCACCAGTGTAAATCCATCATCTTACCTCCAAGCAGCACCATCAAAATGGAAAAAAACTAACCCCACTTCCCAAGGTTGGGGAGCAGTTAAAGTTGCCACCTACCCCTCCCCTGGCAGTCCTTATTTTGAGGGTGACTTCATTTGTTCCACTTACAGTCATTTCCAATAGAGTCAGGAAGGGTATTTAATAGAAAATCTCAGTGTGTGATGAATCAGCACAGAATCGGGAAAACATGCTGCAGAATGTGACCTTTCACGACCAGCAGGCCATGCCCAATATTTCATCCTTTCCCTTTGGCATAAGGCTGTCAACAACAAAAAAAAATTCCCTCAAAGTTACGAGAGACATACAATTTGGGGACAGATTCACTGAGGCCTTTACTCTCCAGAAAAGCATGTTGTTTTCTCCAAGCTGACAATGGTGAATTCTAAGCTGGAGATTACCAGTGAGCTCAAGACTCTGGGTGTGCAAGATGCATGTGCACAGAGGTGTGTGTTCATGGGTGTGTGTGTGTGTGTAATATCAATCAAGGTCCAGAACCTGGGAGGTGCAATGTTCTCAGTGTTCTTTTCCTGAGTATCCCCATGGTTGCTACAAATGATTTCCCAATCCATCAAGCTGCAGGGACCAGTGCTGCTGAGATGGGAGAAGTGGACGTGGTGTTTGACCACAAAAAAGGGTAGCATCCACCACATAAGTACCTGGACTCCTAGGCTCCAACCCACTACTCTTGGCCACGCAATCCCTTGCATGTTTGTCATAGCCAAGACGCATGTCCAAGGCGAGGCAGCTAAGGGAGAGGAGTGATAAACCACCAAGCCAGAGAGGCGGTGCGGAGAACACCGAGGCCACCCGCTGCTGATGTTCCTCTATGTGACCTAAGCTGAAGGAGAGATGTGACCTCGCCAACACCTGAAACGAACACTTGAAATTTAATGAGTTTGTGTGTGTTCCACTCAACTGAGCCAATACTGGCATTATTCACTAAGACACACATTGCGAAAGGGTTCATTCTCAACCCAGGCCACTTGAGGATATATTTACGGAGGTATTTTTATACATTTGCATCATTCTATCAACTGTAAATCTAAACAGACAGTAGGCGTCTGAGGAACTATTTTTAAACGCACGTTTCCCCTGGTGTTTCTCAACATGCGATTCTCAGACCACATGTGTTAGAATGAACTGGGAGAGCTTGGTAAGATGCAGATTCTTGGGCTCCACCGCTGACCAAGTGAGGCAGCCTCTCTGGGATTCACACTTAGGGATTTCTGTCTTTATCAAGCTCTCCCAATTATATGCATGCACAATGCATTTTGAGAAGCTCTCCCCTTTGAGTTAGTTCAGTAAGGTTTACCCCCTGGTAATGAATACACCAGCTGACCGCCCATGAGCCAGTGCTCTGAGAAGTGAGTTCGCGCACGGGCATAGATGTGCGCTTGTGTCTCTGAGATGTGAGTTAGTCCACGGTGGTGGACGTGCACTTGTGTCTCTGATCTCAGTGACTCGTGAGGATCGGCACCAATGGCTTCACACAGCAGCCTGGTTTGCTTTGGAAACAGAAGCACTGTGAACACGCAACATCTCAGAAAGCGGCCTATGGATCTTTCCACAAAGGCTAGAACTGCATCATTGGCTTTCCAACTTGAACTTTTACATTTTATGTTAATTTTTCCTGTGTCTCCCATTCAGCTAGGGTTGAACATTTCCATTGAAACCAATGGAGCTTATCTATCAGCCTCAGGGCAAATAGTATCTCCCTAAGATTTAGGAGTAAGAAAAGAGACACAGAACGACCTTCTGGACCCTGCTTTCTCTCTCACAACCCACACTAGGTGGTCATAGCCAACGCTCCCGTGACACAGAGGACACCGCGCTTTCTCAGCAAATGTGCCTGAAGGGAGCTTGCGCTGCCCCTAGAGTTGGTCCACCTGCCTTGAAATGTGACACACGTGGCTGCCTCTGTGCCCCACACAAACCAAGAGCAAGGAATTCCCTGGTACACTTTCTAAACAGGCTTTAGGCAACATTTTTCGAACAGCATGAGGAAAAGGCGAGGACTGTGTGTCAGATACATTCCAATTGACCGTTACGCCTCACTCTGATTCCACCTGCTCTTTGCAAAGCTTCCATTGGTGGCCAAGTCTTCTCTGCCCTTTGCTCGGCTGAGGCCAGCCTTCCCTTACCTGTCTCACGCTTTCCCACCTTCCTTCTAGACATGGCTTGTGTGTGACCTTCTCCTGGGTTGAGTGAGAATAAATGGGATGCCCTGATCCACTACTCATCCTGACAACTGCCTTTCCCCAGCCCAGCCCTCACCTCCCTTCTTTTCTACTTTCTGATAGATATTTTCCCACTAAGAAGAAAAAGAATGAAAAGAAAACATTTCCTTAACATCACCATGGTTCCTGACACAACTGCATGTTTATCTGTGCTTCCAACATCGTTTAACCTTTGACCTACAAGGTATTTGATAAAACTGATACTGACATTTTGTTTAGCTTTATCTGTTATATGACGATATCTTTCACACCCTGTGAGATTTCTATTTACATGTGAGATTCTGATTCTGAGTCATTTAATTTGGACATAGGCATCATGGATTATGCTACTCTGACCTGGGTCAAAATTTGTCAATAGGGAAAATGAGCTTGAAAGAGAGAGAAACAAAAACCCTTTATCTGTAAAATTCAGGTTGAAACGTCCTTTGTTAAAAATCCAAATAACTTATATAACAATTAAATTGCCAGGAGATTCTTCAAAACATGTCACCACCTTTTATTTAACAAACAAGCTTCTCCCATTTTCCAGTGTGGTTCTGAGCTACTGTGGGTTGAATCAAGCTAAGTGGATAGGGCTGCACCATTTCAGCCACATCCTACCCCCATCCCACAATGTTCCTATAGATAAGAGCACAGGCAGGCATTGTGATTTTGCTGTATTTGTTGTTTCACAGTAAAACTGCCTTAATTGTGCTTGTCCACATGCAGCTGTAACCATGTGACCCACCAGCACCTGGCCTCATTGTTCGTTCCCCCTGAGTCTCCGAGTCTCCCCCAGGGGCTTCCCAGTGGGCAGCAACTGCAGTATTTGAGTTCGTGGTGCTCTAACCTGAGCAAAAGCTGCTTGTGTTGGGCCAACCACAATCTGTATCCTCAAAAACTGGGAAGAGTTTTATAAAGGAACGACAGCAAACAATCAGCAAAAGCTGAAGAGAAGAGCCTCAGACTACTAAAAAATCTAAAGTTGGGGTGCCTTGAAGCGACCCTTTTCCCCCTTTCAATTGGTACAATTTGGATCCACAGGAGAGGAGGCCTAGTTGGATTCTCCTCAAGTCATTTCTCCTCATTAAAACTGAACTTTACAAAATTGGTGCTTGGCAGGCTTTGTGTCCTGGACCCCTGTGTCTCCCCGGGACCCCAAGACTCTATTTACCCTTGCCTTCCAATGTCCACAGTGTCCTGGTGGTAGCCTCCTCTCCAACCCCATCTGTGTGTCTGTAGAACACAAAAGTGTAGTTACACCTGGTTTCCTGTCAAGGGCGGTGCTGTGAATTTCTACACTCCATACTCTAATGACTACTTGTCATGCTCTTAAAAACATATAGACAGATGCTGTTGGTTGAGCCATGTACCACCTGGGAGGCCTCAGGACTTTAAACTTCTCAAGCCACTGATTTCCTGATTTGAAAAACCAGGTTTGTGAGACACACGGGGCCTTTGTCCAGAGCTGGATGCATAGAGAGCACTCAGTGGAGGTCATCTCCCTCCTCCCCAGGCCAGAACCCTGACTTAACGCTCTCTCTGGTTTTGCTGGCATAGGGCACTCGCCATTTGGTTTGGCCACCCAGCATCTCAAGCCTGTCTGTGTTTGGGGGATTTCTGCTGAATGGCCTTTAGTGGAAGTTTTAGAGGAACTGCTACTTAAAATGATCATCTGAATATGCTCACCTCACCAAACGGTGCTTGTGATTGGCCAAACATTGCCCGGCTTCAGTCTTCCTTGCTTCTAGAGCAGCTGCATGCAGCTTGGGCTCCACCACTCAGAAAGGCCCTCACCATACACAGGAGTGAGTGGCCCAAGAAGGGAAGATCAGAGCTCAGCCTGTCTTTGGTGGGGACGGTGCTAGAGGTAACTGAAAGTGTGCTTTCCTGGAGCAAATGTGGTATCATTATGACAGCATTGATAGCTGTTCTTAAACCAAGTTCTGGTACACAAAACAATGCACAAAGCCAACTACAGAATTCCCCCAACCCCAGTCACATGCAGGATTGGGAGAACAAATGGCAACTTACAAAAGGCAGAAAAAGAAACTCACAACCTATGGACCCCTCCAGTCCACAGAACAGCAAGAGACAAAAGGAAGAACAACCAGAGCAAGAACTAAGAAACGACCCCTCGAGGCCCAAGAATTCCTATTGAGAGTGAGAAAGAAAAATGCCCTTTTATGAACTTGATAATAAAAGAAACCTAAATAAGTCAAAGCGCTTGCCAACTTTTAAATTCTGATTTGCCAGATGCAGAATTCTGATTCTGCACATTCTAAAGATTAAACTTGTGAGAAGCTGCGAATCTGCTTCCACTATATTTGTGCTCTCTTAGGAAGGAGGCCACTGAGGCTCTCCCTACCATGTCCATTCCCACCAGGCTTTCTTCCTGCCACGAAAGTCTGCAAGGTAGAGCTGTCAACACCAGGTTGGTAAATTGAGTAGTAGCTGGTAGAGGGATGACCAGCAGCTGCAGCCACAGCCAGGCGCAAAGGCAGAATTAAAAGTGGAACAATCAAGACAGTGTTTCTAGCACTGTGGTGACATCATACACCATGAACGTTTTATTCATTGTGTGCACAGAGCAGAGAAGAAAGGTTCACTAATTATAGAGAGGCAGATCAGGGAGCAATCCAGATTTTCTAACAAGCCTGCACTCTGGTTTGTGGTGGTGTAAACAATAACTTTTTTAATCGTCTCTGATAGAAGGTATGTGAGCACTGGAGCAATGACCACAAAACTGCCCCTATTTCCCTGCCTGTGTCACAGGGCTGCCTGTCTGGCCCATTGCCTGGGATGAGCAGGTTTCTCTGGATTTGTGTGCTCCCTTTTAGCCAAGACTAGAATTACCTATGATTGGTGGAATGCAAAGTCCTAAGAGTCCCCAGGATTCCACCCAATTTTTTGATGTTGTGCTTCCTTATTACAACTATAACTCCTGCGTCCTAGTGAGCTGTGAATTAGATCAGAGGTTCAAGAACTCCAGCCCATGGGCCAAATGCAGCCCCTGCTTGTTTCTGTAAATAGAGTTGTTTGGATGCGAGGGGCCAACTCACTTTCCTGTTTGTGGCTGCATTCGCGCAGCAATGGCAGAGCTGAGTCATCACCACAGAGAACATAAGACCTGCAGAGCCTAAAATCCTTACTCTCGGCACTTTACCGAAGACGTCTGCTGACCCTGAGTTGGATGCTATCTTGCTTCTGAGCACAAAGAGAGGTTCCCTCCTGAAGTGCTGCAGTGATTTGTCCTGCTTCCCTGGTACTAACCGCTGCGTGCATGGGAGGAAACAGAATAAGAACTCCCTTCCCAACACAGACTATGTTGGAATATCAAAAATAACCAGATGGTTGGGACTCCAATGTAAACATAGAACAGAGGGAACTAAAGCCCCCTGGCACAATCGAGGAAGGATTTGCTTTTATAGATGTGGCCTTTTCTGATCCCATTATAGCAGATATTGGGTTTAAAAACTGTAAAAAAGACCACAGTATATATTTGTTAAAAATCTAGCCTAGTTGGCCGGGCGCGGTGGCTCATGCCTGTAATCCCAGCACTTTCGGAGGTCGAGGCAGGCGGATCACGAGGTCAGGAGATCGAGACCATCCTGGCTAACACGGTGAAACCCCGTCTCTACTAAAAAAATACAAAAAATTAGCTGGGCATGGTGGCAGGCGCCTATAATCCCAGCTACTCGGGAGGCTGAGGCAGGAGAATGGCGTGAACCCGGGAGGTAGAGCTTGCAGTGAGCCAAGATTGTGCCACTGCAATGCAGCCTGGGTGACAGAGCGAGACTCCATTTCAAAAAAAAAAATCTAGTCTAGTTGTTACTAACCTTTTACTGGGGGGAAAGGAGGAGTAAAATTTCTGAAGAATGATATATATACACAGACATCCACAATTTCACTTACAAGTTCTGGGGGTTTCATGGGCCCCCAATAAGCTAATCCACGAACCCCAGATTAAGAAACTCCGATCAATTTTTCTGCTTGCTGTAGGAAAAACAAACTTTAAAAGTGTTAGCCGGCTGGGCACGGTGGCTCATGCCTGTAATCTCAGCTCTTTGGAAGGCCGAGGCAGGTGGATCACGAGGTCAGGAGATTGAGACCACCGTGGCCAACATGGTGAAACTCCATCTCTACTAAAAATACAAAAATTAGCCAGGTGTGGTGGTGTGCACACCTGTAGTCCCAGCTACTCAGGAGGCTGAGGCAGGAGAATCGCTTGAACCCAGAAGACAGAGGTTGCAGTGAGCTGAGATCATGCCATTGCACTCCAGCCTGGGCAACAGAGCGAGACTCTATCTCAAATAGATAAATAAATAAATAAAGTATTAGTCGAGAACCTGTTTTCTTTTCTTTTTTTTTTAATTTTTTTAAAATTATACTTTAAGTTCTAGGGTACATGTGCACAACGTGCAGGTTTGTTACATATGTATACATGTGCCATGTTGGTGTGCTGCACCCATTAACTCGTCATTTACATTAGGTATATCTCCTAATGCCATCCCTCCCCCCTCCCCCCACCCTATGACAGGCCCCGATGTGTGATGTTCCCCTTCCTGTGTCCAAGTGTTCTCATTGAAGAACCTGTTTTCAATTAGCTTAATTAAAAATTAGCAAGTGGTTATCTGCCAATTAATTTAAAATTGACAGCATCAGCCAGGCACGATGGCTCATGCCTGTAATCCCAGCACTTTGGGAGACTGAAGTGGGCAGATCAGGAGGTCAAAAGATTGAGACCATCCTGGCCAACATGGTCAAACCCCGTCTCTACTAAAAATACAAAAATTAGCTGGGCATGGTGGTGCACGCCTGTAGTCTCAGCTACTCGGGAGGCTGAGGTCGGAGAATCGCTTGAACCCAGGAGGTGGAGGTTGCAGTGAGCCGAGATTGTGCCATCTCAATCAATCAATCAATAAAAATTGACAGCATTTACTAAGGGCCAAATGAGTGGTACCGACAATAACGTTATTTGAATTGAGAAAAGTAAGAGATAATTGTTGTTTAGTAAGGTGAGAGCAGCCTTCACAGAAGAGATGCAATTTGTCTATGATCTCACAGAATTGCGAAGTTTTAGACAAGCAGGAAGGAGCAGGGAGGGCTGGGCTGCAAATGTCTTCAAGGCTCAGAGAGATCTCGTCCCTGGGTGTCTCCCTGTGGGCCCCAGGTGGCAGGGGAGCTAAAACATCCCTAAAAGTCACCTAAAGAACGTTCAGGTGTCTGTTCCAGATTCTACAGTGCACCTAACCAGTAAGAAACCACACTTGTCAAGAAACTCAAGCTAACCTGCTATTATCTAAAAAGTCTGCTTACATACTCCTCCTTTTTACACTTCCATACTTCTGTGAGGCCAGACATTCTTCCTCTACTTCAGCCATGGCAACACATTGTAACAAATTCAGCCTAAATGTAAGAACAGATAAGGACAGCCCAGCTGTCTTCCATTAACCCTGACGCCAGGGAGATTTGCAAAACACCAAAACACTGTCGTTCCTACTCATTGTCTTTGGGGCTTTGGAAAATATAGATACTTTCATAACAATATGGAATTTATGTAATGGAATTTTTATTGTGCTTTTAAAGTGAATATGTATTTTTGAAACTTCTCAATTTTAATTTCTAGTATTGTAAATATTAGTAGAACTAGTCCATCAGAAACAAAAGCTGCATAGGATCCTCAGGTTTTTTCTTTCTTTCTTTTTTTTTTTTTTTTTTTTGAGACAGGGTCTTACTCTGTCACCCAGGATGGAGTGCAGTGGCGTAATCTTGGCTCAGTGTGGCCTCAACCTCCGGGCTCAAGCGATTCTCCAGCCTTAGCTTCCTGAGTAGCTGGGACTACAGGCGTGAGCCATGATCACCCTGCTAATTTTCGTATTTATAGTAGAGATGGTTTTTTGCCATGTTAGCCAGGCTGGTCTCAAACTCCAGACCTCAAGTGATCCACCCGCCTTGGCCTCCTAAAGTGCTGGGAGAACAGGTGTGCGCCACCTCGCTCAGCCAGATCCTCAGTTTTTGAGAACATAAAGGAGTCCTGAGACTAAGAGTTTGAAGAGAACCATTGCTTTATATAAACTAAGTACAACTCAGTGACACGCCTCCTGTGAATCAGGTTTTTCTGGCTTGTTTTTCTCATGTTTGTTTCTTATTTTCTTCTGAGTTAGGCTGTGTGCCCAGGAACCCAGAAAACCAACCTGTCCTTGTGGCCTGTAAAGCTCCTAACATTCTGTTCCAAGTCTCCATGGCCAAAGCTCAACCAAGGGGTTTAAGAATACCATATAGGCCAGGCACAGTGGTTCACACCTGTAATCCCAGTACTTCGGGTGGCCGAGACAGCAGATCACTTAACCCCAGAAGTTCAAGACCAGCCTGGCCCACATGGCAAAACCTGTCTCTATTAAAAATATAAAAATTAGCTGGGTGTGTTGGTGCACACCTGTAATCCCAGCTACTCGGGAGGCTGAGGCACGAGAATTGCCTGAATGTGGGAGGTGGAGGTAGCAATGAGCTGAGATTGCACCTCTGCATTCCAGCCTGGGCGACAAGAGTGAGACTGTCTCAAAAAACAAAACAAAAACATATAGAAAGTAAACAATGCCCAATAAGTATAGGATGTTAATTTCTTAGACTTTTACTATGAATGTGATATTATTTGCCAGTTAACTCATGTCTTTTGAGATAAATGTTAAATAAATGAAAGTTGATGTGTCATGTAGAGCTTTATTTCTTGGCAAGAAAGCTGATGGGGTAAAGATGGCCACAGTTGCTTTGAACTCTCTCCATTGAGAGGTGGAGTTTATCTTCCGACAGCCTGAATTTAGCCTGGCCCTGTGAATGCTTAAGCCATAGATGATGGCAGAGTGGTGCTGTGCCCATTGTCAGCTCAGCCTCTTAGAAGACTGATGAGAGCTTTTGCTTCTGCTCTCTGGGGACAATCACTCCTAGGACTCTGCCTCTCAGCCCCTGCTGCTGTGCTGTGAAAATCCCAGGCCATACAAGCAGCCACGTGTAGGTGCCGTACCCACTGGCAGCTATGGGATTGAGCTGTCATGGAGGCTTCCACCTGGTGAACCTCCCAATGACTGTGGTCCAAGTGACATCACAAGACTAGGGCCCAAGTGACCTTGGTCCACGCATAGAACTCTGGGGAATAATAAAACGGTTGCCTTAAACTATTAAGCGTTGTCTGGTTTGTTATGCAGCAATATCTGTTATATATATATAGAATTTGGGAAGACACTGCTTGAATTGATCACTTTCTCTATTAAGACCTGTTAGGTACATTGATCAACAAGTGCTACAGACCCTGAAGTAAGCATTTTGCATTAAGTGATTGGACCCAACCAGTTTGATGGAAAATTTGGTCTCCTACCTCATTTTTGATCCAGAGCACAAGGGATTATTAACTTTCTTTTCCATTACACTCCTTCACTCAGCAAGCACTGTGTTGAGCGAAGGAGATTATCAGGTTATACAAAGAAGGTTCCCTGAGGTTTGAAATTTAGATTGCTGACTTTCCTACTTGAGTTCCCTTCTTGCCCAAGACCATAATTCCAGGAATTCCCCATCATCATCCCAGGAGTCTAAACAGTCTTTTAAACAGCTGCTAAATGTCGACGGTCTCATGATTCCTTAGAGGAATTTTTCTGTGGGTGGAGGAAGCCACCCTTATGGCTCTTAATCAAATGTTGAAAGTGTGCCCACAACAATGACTGGAACAAAGTGGAATCTTCAGAATTGCGATGCAGATAAAGGGTCTCCTCTTCCATAAATAGTGACTTGCTACAGAAAAACACCATTGCCTTCTTCTTTTCTGTTTAGTAAAAAGATGATTGTTGATACATGATAAAAGCCAAATAAGCTCTAATAGCCAAAAAGTTGCTCCAGTCTCCTGATTTCCCTTTCCCACGTTTCCCCTGGCACTGACTTCCTGAGGAAGTCACAGGCTGGATGGCAGGGCTCACCTGTCACATGACGGAGGGACACGCAGCCAGGTGGAGGCAACTGCTCCATCAGCACACTACGCAATCTCCCCCTACTTCGCTGTGCTTAGCATGAGATGGGGGACACTGAGCACTCACAGCCACTCAATGCCACACCAGGTCCCCACTGCAGGCTGGGCAAGGATCCACAACCTTCGTGAGCCCCCTTGAAGCTGAGGACTGGAATGGCTGCTGTGTGCCCGGGTTCTCCTCAGGGTCTTCTTCCAGGTCAGTCCGAGCTGAAACCAAGAGGATAGCAGAATATTCTGGGTGGGGGAAGGTACCAGAGAGACCTCTCTGCACAGCCAGCATTCCCATAGTCATTAATAGAAAAGGAGAGTTCATCTCTGATGCCACGAGGGTCTGGCCATCAAGAACAGAGGGAAATGCAATGAGCCCCTCTGGCCCTATCAGAAACAAATAGAAAGGAGCCTCTCCATGCCTGCCTCTTGACTTGATTGCTTTTTTTCTTCTATACTTGACTGCTTTCGTTTCATTTTTATTAGATTTTTGAAATTCTATGTTTTGAGCAGTTCTGTCCAATTTGGTGGCTTCACACAGAGTGGGAGTTTAGCTAAGTGGTCTTGCTTTCAAATGATACTCAAACCTTGCAGGTCTGGGGACTTTCACCTGCTACCTAACATCAAAGGACTTAGTGCAGGCCTCTGAGAGACAGATCTTTTTAAAAAATTAAATTAATGCTTTATGTATCTAGAAAAAAATCTGAATTTTTATTGTCTCCATGAAAAGTATTGTATTACACAAACCTTTCCAATCTACCCAAAATGAGTGAGACAAATGAGTCATTCTCCCTGGCCAGGACTTTATCAAACGCCCCAGTATTCCCAGTGTTGGTGACCAATTAATAGAAAACAAATATTAAGTCTCAGACCTACTTACTCAACTAAACTGAACTGTAAGAATAAAAACTGGACCTTGGACTCTGGCAAGCCACTAGGGTAAGGCCACCCCAATGTAGTGAGCACATTTAGGTTTACTCATATTTAAAAGTTCAGTCACATTTTAGGGCAAACTTAACTCTCAAATATAAAGTTATTTTGAAGTTATTCTGCTCGTGCCCTGGATTTTCCCATGTTTCTGAAACTCTAATGCCTTATTTTCAACCAAAATCTTCTATACTCTCCATTACTGCAGAAACGACAGGGAAGGAACCTTTCCTTGCAGTCAGTTACCCTGTGAACAAGTATAAAGGAAACCCAACATATTTGTAACGACTCCTTATGAAATCTCTGGCAGAGACAGAGCTGAACTGATTCCAACAACATTCCATTTATTCCTAATGCCATATGAGTGGTTGTTAAGAATAATACCATGTGGACTGTTTAAGAAGAAATATTCCCATGACACTTGTTACATCACAGTGAGAAAGAATGTATTCAGGACCATTGCAATGGGTATAGGGACCACTGCTATGTGGTATTGCCATAGGGGAGAGAGAGCAGGCTCAGTGTTGAATACAGCATGGGCAAGTGGGAATTTATAGCCAAGGAGCAGGGTGGGAGTCAGTGGACAGAAAATCACTAAGAGGGAACGTCAGGGTGAGGTGGGGTTGTAGCTGAACCAGCCTACCAGAATTCTTGCTGAAGAGAAGCCGGGTGATCAGACGTCACCTGGGGGATGGTGGAGGATAATCAGACACCAAGCATGGGTGTTCTTACTAAACTGACTTACCAGGGTTCTTGCAAAAACTGAATTTTTGCAAGATGGGCATAGCAGAAGATTCAGAAGCTTGACTAAAGTTTGGCCAAGCAAAAGAATCATTGTCAGAACTTAGAACACAGAGGACAACTGTGGGTGAAGAATTATCCAAAAATGAAGGAAAACCTTGACCCAAAGAAGGAACTCACCTAATGTGATAGCTTGTAAATATGGTACACAGAATATCTTGGAAATCCAGAGGGTGTCCAGAGTAGATATCCACTGCTCTGAAATTAACTGCAGAATGCTGGATGTAGATATAAGAAAGATAATTTTCTAGTGTTGACTGAGGATTGTTTAAGGGAGAGAGAAGGTCCAAGATTATAAATTCCCCAAGGGCAGGTCATATGAGGTCTTAGCTATTTTTGCATCTACAGTGCCTGACATAAGCTCAATGTATGTTCATTGTTTGACCTATTCTGTGGTAGAAATCTCAGTTATTAAAAATGTTCATTTCACCAGATTTTTCATGGCTCAAAGGCCATTTAATTTCTTTAAGTTACTTAAATCTTGGCAGTAATTCCTGCCAAGCATATGTCTAGTCATAGATGTGTTTTCCCCATTGTCTTGGTATCTGGAAAGATCTGGGAAAGTGGACACAAGTTACCGAAAAGGACTCTCTCTCATTGTGAACTAATACATTGGAAGTCTGGCTTAGGAGATGTGCTAGCATGAATTGGTGTGCTAGAGTCAGATCAAATCCAAAGAAACCAATGGAAGGGAGTCTCCCAACCAGTTATGCTATGGACCAGACCTTGGTCTGTGCTAAATGCCCTAAGAAACTGCCACAGACTGAGGTCCTGCCTAACCTACAGGCCAGTCCCAATGCTGGCATCCATGCCATCCATGAAAGGGCCTCCCCTCCGCAGCAGTTCTAAGCATGGTATCAATCAATCAATGAATAAATCAGCCACAACTAAATAAATTAAAATAAGCTTTAAAACCATTTGCTACTTTGAATGGGAGAAGATATTGAGAAATGGAAGAAAATGCGGTAAACTGGGTGAAAACATAGGCTTTGGAGACTAGAAGAGCTAGAATTGAACGGTTATTCAATTATTATTCTAAGATTGGTTGTTACTTTGTGGACTTAAGCAAATTATTTAACCTTTTAAAATCTCAGGGTTCTCTGTAAAATTAGAAAAATAGTATCCATTTCATTGGGCTGTGAGGATTAAATGAGATTACCTACATAAAGGTCTTTTCCACTGCTGGCAATATGGTAGACTGGAGATTCTAAAAATCCTCCCACTACAGAACACCTAAGAATATTAGAGTCAATATATTTTTTTAAAGGAACAAAACCCTTAAACATGTATGGTTGTAGTAGCAAGATAAAAGAATTCCCCTGAAATCAGGAATGAAGTCATAAGATAAATCCAGGGAAATAAGAGATTGTTGAATACTCAGACAGCCTGGGGCATCTTCCAGTTCTAGGGCGCTGGGGACATCTAAAGCTCTAGGCTCTGGGGCTGGGGCTTTAATATTAATGGAAACATGGGTGGGCAGGAGATTAGGGAAAAGAAGAACCAGAGAGCACCACAGGAAGACAAGACACATCAAGGCTGTGCCCTCAGAGAAATGTCAAATAAGGAGAGCATAAGCACCCTACTGAAACCATTGACAGGAAAGTGACCTATCTTGGTCTTGGCTCTTAAGGAAAGTCTCCTATGGGTAGGGTTTTCAGTTTTACCAAATAAAATATGAAGTACAGGAGTTTATAGAGCAGTGAAACTCTTCCATCTGATACTATAATGGTGAACACATGCCATTACACCTATGTCTAACACCAGTGAATGTACAACACCAAGTGTGAACCCTAATGTCAACTAGGGACTCTGGGTGACAATGATGTGTCAGTGTTGGTTCATCAGCTCTAACAAATGCACCACGCTGTGGGGGATGTGGATGATAGGGGAGGGTATATGTATGTATGTATGTATGTGTGTGTGTGTGTGTGTGTGTGCGTGTGTGTGTGTGTGTGTTAGGAGAAGGTAGGGCATATATGAGAACTCTACTTTCCACTCAATTTTGCTATGAATTCCCATGGAATACTATGCAGCCGTAAAAAAGAATTAGATCATGTCCTTTGCATGAACATGGATGGAGCTGGAGGCCATTATCCTTAGCAAACTAACTTAGGAAGAGATAACCAAATACCGCATGTTCTCACTTATAAGTGAGAGCTAAATGATGAGAACATATAGACACCTAGAGGGGAACAACACACACTGGGGCCTATCGGAGGGTGGAGGGTGGGAGGAGGGAGAGGACTCAAAAAATTAACTAATGGGTACCAGGCTTTAATACCTGGGTGATGAAATAATCTGTACAACAAACCCCCATGACACAAGTGTGTGTATTTAACAAAGCTGCACTTGTACCCCTGAAATTAAAATATCAAAATCTAAATTTAAAAAATTTGCTGTGATTCCAAAAATGCTCTACAGAACAGTCTATATGTTAATATATATTTAAAAATACAGGGTCCCCAGTTTATTTGAATTTTATGTAAATAACATACAAAATTTTTTTATTGTTTAATTGAAATTCAAATTTAACTGAACATTCTGTATTTTTTATGGCAACCCTACTCCTGAGAATCTGTGGCTATCAGCCAGCCCTAACATGGATTTGGGTCTTGATTTCACACTATTTGTCTAAAAAAATGTAAGCTAAAATGTTTATATTAAATAGATCCAAATTTGTACTGTCCTGACGCATCTGGTAAAAGCAAACAAAAATTATTTCTGTAAAAGATGCATCTTTGCCCCAGACTTTAAAGTATTCCCACGAAAAGATTTTCAGAGGCCGGCTGTGTTGGCACATGCCTGTAAGTTCCAGCTACTTGGGAGGCTAGGTGACAGGATCACTTGAGCCCAGGAGTTTAAGTTCAGCTTGGACAACACAGTGAGACCCCGTTACTAACAAAAACTATTAAAAATAAATTCGATAATTAAAAATAAAGGTTTTGAATAAATATAAGCTTATAACAACAAAAAAACCACATACGAGGAAACAAAAGAGAGCAGAAAGAAAAAAATACTGGCCCAGGCTCACCAGGACTTTAGGAAGTAAAATTATTAGATGTAGATTATAAAACATTTTCATGTTTAAAAAAACAGGGGAAATTGAAGCCATGAGCAAGGATATTTTTAGAAATGACCAGAAACATAAAAAACACAAATCTTTAAAATAGAGAAATATAATTATTGAAATGAAAAACTCAAAGCAACAGTTAAATAGCAGATTACACACAGTTGAGTAAAGAAAGTGACAGAAAGATGTGAGTAAAAGCTTGAAGCGTAAGAACGGACAAACATTCAATTGGAATTCTATACAAAGATAGTAAGGTGAATAAAAGAGAGGCAATTAGAATTTTCCAAAACTGATAGTAGTTATCAATGTTCAGAATTAGGAAGCATAAAGAATATAATGCCAGATCTCTCCTAGACACATCACTAAAAAACTGAAGAATGCCAAAGTCAAAAAAAGATTTCAAAGCAACCAAAGAGAAAAGATAGGACCTTGTATTTAATTAGACACCAGCTGACATCACAACTGCAACCAAGGGAGTCAGGAGAATATTATCTGTAAAGTACTAGGAGAAACTAACAACCAACCCAGAATTATGTACCCAGCAAAACTGTTTCAAGAATGATGGCAAAATATAGACACCTGCACATGAACTGATACATTCAGATAAGTTGGGAGCAGTATACCAACAAGATATCCTCTCTAAAAGACTTTTGGAAGAGTGTACTATGGAAGAAAATAAATTAGCTCAAATGCAAAAAGGAATGATGAGCAAAGAAAATGGTAAGTATGTGTGTGTATCTGAACAAGCCTAAGTAGAAGATAATAATAATAGGGTAACTTGTGGATTTAAAAAAGATTAAGTGTATTAGCCCATAAATTTTAACAGTCCTGACTCCATGTTAGAGAAGAGTTTGCTTATGGCTATATGTTTGGAAATTAAAAATTATAAAAACATCTAAATTTATGAATCAAAGAAAAATATAATAGAAATTAAAAACTACTAAAACAGAATTATAACAAAAACAATTTCATCACAGTTTTTCTGGTGTTACATGGCTAATGATGTTTAAGCAGATGCTGGAGCAGAGCTGAGGAAGAGTAAAGAGCATAAAGGGGTGGAAGAGGAACAAGCAGGCAGGAAGGGCACTCCTGAAGGGTTTAATCTACACCACGTGTTCTTCTAAGATCCGTGCATATACTAATTTCCTCGGTTTTCACAACTATGCTATGATACTGGTGTTACCCAATTTCGAGTATATGAAACTAAGGCACAGAGAAGTTAAGTTACCTGACCAAGGTCACACAGCCAGAAAAGAGGCTTATTTGCTTATACTAGAAAAGAAGAACTGAACATTAATGAACTAAGAACTAATACATAAAGATAAAAAACAGCAACTCAAAAAACCCAAGAATGTAGAAGAAAGGAAATAATAAAGAGCTAAAATCAGTGAAATTAGAGATCAAGTATACAACACAGAAATTAGGAAGTAAAAAGTTTATTCTTTGGAAATATTAATAAAATCACTAAACCTCTGGCAAGTTTGAAAAAAAAAGAAAAGGCAGCCAGGCATGGTGGCTCACGCCTGTAATCCCAGCACTTTGGGAGGCCGAGGCGGGTGGATCATGAGGTCAGGAGTTCAAGACTAGCCTGATCAACATGGTGAAACGCCGTCTCTACTAAAAATACAAAAATTAGCTGGGTGTGGTGGCGCACGCCTGTAATCCCAGCTACCTGGGAGGCTGAGGCAGGAGAATTGCATGAACCTGGGAGGTGGAGGTTGCAGTGAGCTGAGATTGTGCCACTGCACTCCAGCCTGGACGACCGAGCTAGACTCCGTCTCAAAAAAAAAAAAAAAAAACGGCTAAACAAAAAATATCAGGAACAAAAAGGTAATATGACAGGGATATAAGAGAGAAAAGACTGAACTATACTATAATCAACTTTCTTACATATATACTATATATTTAAAAATACAAAATGTACACATTTCTAGAATAATAGAAAATTGACTTATAAAGAAACAGAGTACCCTCAAAAACTAAAGATAGTGAGTCAGTCATTTTAAATCTTCCTATAAAATAAACAGCAGTTGGCCAGGTGTGGTGGCTCACGCCTGTAATCCCAACACTTTGGGAGGCGGAGGCAAAGGTCACAAGGTCAGGATCACAAGGGCGGATCACGAGGTCAGGAGATCCAGACCATCCTGGCTAACACGGTGAAAACCCGTCTCCACTAAAAATACAAAAAATTAGCTGGACGTGGTGGCGGGCACCTGTAGTCCCAGCTACTTGGGAGGTTGAGGCAGAAGAATGGCGTGAACCCGGGAGGCGGAGCTTGCAGTGAGCTGAGATCACACCACTGCACTCCGGCCTGGGTGACAGAGCGAGACTCTGTCTCAAAAAATAAAAATAAAAAATAAACAAATAAATAAACAGCAGTTTGTATCCAATTCCTACATACAATTTTGTAAACAGTATCTACCAAACATAAAGGGCCAAATAATTCCATCTTACCCAAACTGAACCACGAACACTCCCCATCACTAAGGCTAGTAAATAATTAATACTGAAACCAGATCTGGAACACAAGAGAGGATCTCTACTTTGCTTCACACCTCCCTCCCCAGTGCACCCCCAAAATAAATAATAATTCATCTGCTCTTCATGTGAAGAACACAAAACTCCAAAATCAGCAGAAAACAGAGGAGGGTAGCTATGTGACTTTTAAATAGGAAAGGATTTCTTAACTCACAAGAAGCATTAATCATAAAAGGAAAAAGACGGAATACATTAAGAACTTCTGTTCATCATGATACCATAAAACGACATGAAAAATCATACTTTGAGGGGAATATATTTGCAACCAATGTAACCAACAAAGTAGTAGCCAAGATATATGAACTAGCAACCCAGTAAAAAGAAAAGGTATTTAGAAGGCCGAGGCAGGTGGATCACGAGGTCCAGAGTTCGAGACCAGCCAGACCAACATGGTGAAACCCCATCTCTATTAAAAATACAAAAATTAGCCAGGCGTGGTGCTATATGCCTGTAATCCCAGCTACTCAGGAGGCTGATGCAGGAGAATCCTTTGAACCTGGGAGGCGGAGGTTGTAGTGAGATCGCGCCATTGCACTCCAGCCCAGGCGATAGAGTGAGACTCCGTCTCAAAAAAAAAAAAAAGAAAGAAAGAAAGAAAGAAAAGGTAAAAGATGTGATTAGATATTTCATAGAAAAAAATGTGAATGGCTAACAGCTCTATGAAAAGATGCTCAAATTCTTTGAAAGTCACAAAAAGGAAAATTTAAACCGTAATAAAATCCATTTTATATTCACCAAATTGGCAGAAATTTGAAAACCAGGAATACCAGATTTTAGTAAGGATTTAGAGCAAAGGGAAGTTGTATATGCCACTGTTTTACATATAAATTGGAACAACTACTTTGGAGAAGCGTTTGGATTATTTTTTAAAGCTGAACATATAATTACACTATGACCCAGCAAATCCTAAATATATGTCCTAAGGAAATTTGCACATGGTTACTGGGAGACACATAGAATGTTCATTGGAAAGTATTTTTGTAATAGTTACAACTGGAAATTAATGTCCATCCATAGAAGAATGTACATACACATGTATTATTATTATATATATTTTTTGGTATATAAGTACACAGAAATACTTCAGAGCAGTGAAAATGAATAAAATCTAATTTAAGTATCAGCATGGTTAACTTAAAAAAGCATTTAGAAGGAGAATGCATACAAATTTGATTCATTTTAATAAAAATTTTAGGAAATAAACAAAAATAGGAAAATATTCCTTAAGGACATAAACATGGTAAAATAATAAAGAAGGAAAGAGAATTAAACATAATATTTGCAACAGTGGCTACCTCTAGAAAGAAGACAGGACTGTGCAACCATGGATTTAATAAGCAGGGAACTTTAGATTTTTATAATAGTCTGTTTCTTAAGATGTATGGGGGGTCTGGATATTCACTTTATTATTATGCTTCATCTGTGTTTATATATATATTTATATATATATTTATATATATATGAATTTGAATGTTTTTAAAATTAAAAAACAATTTTTAGAGAAATGGGGGTTCTCGCTATGTTACCCAGGGCTGGAATCTAACTTCTGAGCTCAAGCGATCCTCCCATCTGAGCCTGCCAAGTAACTGGGGCCACAGGCATGTGCCACTGCACCCGGCAGGCAAATATAGCTGAATTTCAATTTTTATTTATTTTTCTAGAGAGGGAGTTTTACTATATATATAACATATATATAATATATAACATTTTTATGTCATCAAATATTAACAAAATGTTTAAGAAAAACTTCCTGTGTGACATCTAGTAAGCACTGGATGCATCATAGCGGGATCAGCAGCAGCGTGCCAGCTGCTCTGTAGAACCGTGCTGTGTGGCCACCAGCAGGGCCCTGGTGGCATGGGACTCAGAGGGAGAGGGTTTCTAACACTCCAGATAGCACTCTCCTTTCTTCTTGCATGTGGTTGGTCTTGTCACTAGACAACCCAAGAGAATGAGGGGTGTTTCTTCTTCTTTAGTCAGCAGCCTGGTTCATCATTCCTTCATTCCATCTATCCATCCATCCATCCATCCATCCATCCGTCCATCCATTCATCCATCCATCCAATAAATAGTTAAGCACCCACCATGGTCTGGGAATCTCTATACTTCATCTTTCATTCAAAGTCCTATAGTCTGAAGAATCTTAGAGCGCATACAACCATGGATCAGGAAACTGTGGATGTGGATGGGGCCAGTTCACAGTGTGACTGGTCACCTCCCTTAGCCATCCTTCTACCAATGTCTGTGTAGAAATGGATTGCTCTGAATGAAACCCAACTCTGACACACTGACCTCCGCAGCACATGACTCAGAGCCTCTTCAGCACAGTGGCAATTCTGATCCCCTCAAATCTGTATTGAAGCTGACAACTTATTCACCACCGTCATGGACTATTGCAGTACAGGTGACCAGGATTTTGCTGTGAACTGACTATGATATTAGCGTCCACATGCATTTGTTTCCTGCTGCTGCTGAACAAATCCCCACCCATGCTGTGGCCTGAAACATTGCAGATCACCGTCTCACACTGCTGCAGGGTGGAAGTTCAACAGGGGTCTCGCAGGTTAAAACCAAGGTGCTGGCAGAACTGATTCTCTTCTGGAGGCTTCTCAGGGAGTATCAATTTCCCAGCTTTGAGAGGCGCCCACATTCCTTGGCTCATGGCCTCCACCTTCAAAGCCAGCAATGTCAGATCGGGTTCTCACACTGCATCTCTCTGGCCTCCTGTCCAGCCTCCCTCTTCCACTTTTAAGGACCCTTGTTATTACACTGGGCTTTCTAGATAATCTAGGATCATCTCCTTATTTTAGGATCAGCTGATTAGCAACCTTAAGTCCATCTGCAACCTAATTCTTCTTTACCATTGAAAGTAACACATTCACAAATGCCAGGGAATAGGACATGGACATCTTCCAGGGACTATTATTCTGCTTGCCACACTATGAAACAACCTGCATTATTCCCTACTTTTCTATTGAAATTAGAAGATAAAAAGCAAAGTATCCAAATCAGTTATATCTTCACTCCAGAGAAATGAATTTACTGAGCTATGCCTTAATGTCTACAGCTTTCACAGAAGATTCATGTGTATTTGCATACACACCATGGAATACTATACAGCCATAAAAAAGGATGAGTTCATGTCCTTTGCAGGGACATGGATGAAGTTGGAAATCATGATTCTGAGCAACCTATCACAAAGACAGAAAACCAAACACCGAATGTTCTCACTGATAGGTGGGAATTGAACAATGAGACACAGGCTGGGGAACATAACACACAGGGGCCTGTCATGGGGTGGGAGGTGAGGGGAGGGATAGCATTGGGAGAAATACCTAATGTAAATGACGGGTTGAAGGATGCAGCGGGCCAGCATGGTACATGTATACCTATGTAACGAGCTTGCACGCTGTGCACATGTACCCTAGAACTTAAAGTATAATAATAATAAAAAAAAAGAAGATTCAAGTGTATTTGAACAACCTCTATATAGTTTTTTTAGAAAATGGTAACTAAAGTTTTTGTCCAGCTCATGATTCAATGTTTCTTTTTCTACAAGAGCCTGCCTTGTACATTTTGCTTGAGTCTAATTCCAGGAAAACTTATGTTCCTGCAGAAGTAGTCATCAGTGAAAACAACATGGCCCACAATGGTGACCCCAAATCCTCCCACATGCTGCCAGAAAACATAAGAGCTAAATTCATTCCACTTCCTGTAGATGGTTTCTTCTTGTTTTAGCCCCAAAAAATTCTTATTTTAGTTTTCAAAAATTGTGGTGGAAAACATATAACTTAAAATTCACCATCTTAACCATTTTCAAGTGTGCAGCTCAGTAAAGTACATTTTCACACTATTTTGTAAGAGATCAGAAGGTTTTTGTCTTGCAAAACTGAAACTCTGTACTCATTAAACATTACTTTAAAATTTTAAAGTTACCTCTAGTATGCTAAGAAGTACTCATTTCTATCTTAAAAAGAAAATGGCTTTAAATTATTTTGAAAGTTTTACAAGTGCTTTATCAGTTTCAGAATACTGCAATTAAGAAACATTAAGATTTTTCGCCAGGCGCAGTGGCTCACGCCTATAATCCCAGCACTTTGGGAGGCTAAGGCTGGGTGGATCACCTGAGGTCAGGAGTTCGAGACCAGCCTGGCCAACATGGTGAAACCCCATCTCTACACAAAAATTAGCCAGGCATGGTGGCAGGTGCCTGTAGTCCCAGCTACTCGGGAGGCTGAGACAGGAGAATTGCTTGAATCTGGGAGGTGGAAGCTGCAGTGAGATGAGATTGCACTCCAGCCTTCAAGAGATAGAGCAAGACTCCATTTGAAAAAAAAAAAAAAAGAAAGAAAAGAGAAAAGAAACATTAAGATTTTCCAACAACTGGCCGGGCGCAGTGGCTCACGCCTGTAATCCCAGCACTTTGGGAGGCCGAGGCAGGCAGATTACGAGGTCAGGAGATCGAGACCATCCTGCCTAATACGGTGAAACCCCATCTCTACTAAAAATATAAAAAATTAGTCAGGCGTGGTGGCGGGCGCCTGTAGTCCCAGCTACTCGGGAGGCTGAGGCAGGAGAATGGTGTGAACCCGGGAGGTGGAGCTTGCAGTGAGCCAAGATCATGCCGCTGCACTCCAGCCTGGGCGACAGAGTGAGACTCCATCTCAAAAAAAAAAAAAGATTTTCCAACAACCTTCACAGAGTATGACTTCAATTAACATCTGGTGAATAATGCCCAATGCACGGCGTATACAGTCACAGATTAAGAGATCATTTGGTCAAATTTTGACGTTCAAAACAATTAGAGACAAGTCAGTCCTTGGGCATTTATGTTTGAGTACAATGCAGCCCAACCTAGCTTTTCAGCCTGATACTGGTTTTTAATTTTTATATTTTTTGTTAAGAGACAAGGTCTCGTTCTGTCACCCAGACTGGAGTAGAGTGGTACAATCATAGCTCACTGTAGCCTCAAACTCCTGGGCTCAAGTGATCCTCCTGACTCAGCTTCCAAAGTAGCTGGGACTACAGGTGCAACTCACTGTCTGCCCTATGCCTGATATTCTCTTAATCATCTTTATGCAAGCTATGCTTTGAGCAAACAGGCATCTTCAGGATTCTCCAAACTTTCTTTCCTTATGCTGTGCTCCGCACTTGGAATACTCCCCATTCTCTGTCAACTCCCAGAAATGCTCCAGCCCTTCTTAGAGGCCAGCTCCTCTCTCCTGCCTCTCCTAATACCTTCCTTTCTGTGGAAACTCAATATACCTTCCTTATATATTGTGTTCTACTTTATAATGCAGGTGTGCACACACAGACATGCACATGTTTATGAGCCACTCCAATTATTTATTTATTGAGATGGAGTCTCAATCTGTCACACAGGCTGGAGTGCAGTGTCTCGATCTAGGCCCTGTGCAACCACCGCCTCCTGGGTTCAAGCAATTATCTGCCTCAGCCTCCTGAGTAGCTGGGATTATAGGCACCCACCACCATGCCCAGCTAATTTTTGTATTTTTAGTAGAGACCGGTTTTCACCATCTCGGCCAGGCTGGTCTTGAACTCGTGACCTTGTGATCCACCCACCTCAGCCTTCCAAAGTGCTGGAATTATAGGCATGAGTCATCTCGCCCGGCCCAAATTATTTATTTTTATGCCCACTTTTAGCATAAAGTGCCTTGTAAATAACATGTACTAAAAAGTATTCATTGAATTTAACTGAAATGTCTCTTAATTAACTGCATAACTTCTGCTTTAATAGAAATGAAAATCATACTACTGCTTATTACAATGTAAGTTAAATTTTATAGATGGATTATCTGAATAGTTTAGCCTGATGGACTGTTAAAGGTTAAATACAATTCGTTTAAGGTTCAACAGCTCCCTCTCACGGCCTCTGAGGGAAACTGGGTTTGTGGGCCAAGAATGGTTTCCAACTCAAATGGATTGTGAATCTGCTTTTAAAATACTAATATATTCTACTTAAGCATTAATGAAAAATTTGATTAAGGTTAAAAAACAAAAAAGTTTTCATAAAGTCACATGTACACAGCACTATATTTTTGCCTTTTTCATAACTTAGAACAATGTCAACTGCATATTGGTTAGAAGTTCAAGCACTCTAACTATAAAATGAAATGCTTAAGTTTGAAATGGAACAGTTTAAAACAAGGAACTAAGTAAAATACCAAAACATTAAAACACACAGATCTCAAAAAAATCCAAATTCCTCAAGTCATCATCCCAAATGTTGGTGTGTTTCATGCCAACAGGGAGAAGCTGTATGCAGCTGGTTAAGTCTGGCTGTCGGTGAGGCTTGGTGCTCTGAGGTGGACTTCCTAAGATAGAAGCTGGAGTCCGCACCTCACACAATGAGTGCAATAAAGATAGAGCTTAAAGGTAAGCTTCAATAAACGTAGATGTCTGAATTCTGACATGGGGGCAAAGAGGTGTGGCTGGCCTGAAAACCACAGAAAGACTCCAGGGCGAGAGAGATGAGACTCCTAACCCTACCAGTCTTCACTGGCATGTTGAAATCTATGCCTGTGAACGCTAATGTGACCTCACTGATAATAGAAGCTTTTCCTAAACACCAAATGATTCTCTACCCTTGGACTCCCATTGCTCTACAGAGCCCTAAGCTGCCTAGGATTCCAACGAGTATTTCAAAATGTCATTTTTTTTTTAGCAGTCCTATTTTATTTTTTAAATAAAATCTGACCTCAGAGAAGCATTATCATTAATGATATTTATTCTAATTATAAAGTACACACAAGAGGAAGAAAGAGAATGCACTAGTAATATTCTGCTCAAGAAAAGTTTCCTAGCTATTTAGCATGTGATATTAAAAATGCTTTAAAATACACATAAATATTTGGCTAGGTAATGGATCTGTAAGTTCACAAACAAAACATAATTACAAAAGTATGCAGAAATTTTAACTAGCTCCACTGCTATCAAACCATACAGTATAAAACTATATACTGTTTTTCTTTTATAAATAAGAATCATGGCCGGGTGTGGTGGCTCACGCCTGTAATCCCAGCACTTTGGGAGGCCGAGGCGGGCGGATCACGAGGTCAGGAGATCGAGACCATCCCGGCTAAAACGGTGAAACCCCGTCTCTACTAAAAATACAAAAAATTAGCTGGGCGTAGTGGCGGGCGCCTGTAGTCCCAGCTACTTGGGAGGCTGAGGCAGGAGAATGGCGTGAACCCGGGAGGCGGAGCTTACAGTGAGCCGAGATCCCGCCACTGCACTCCAGCCTGGGCGACAGAGCGAGACTCCGTCTCAAAAAAAAAAAAATAATAATAATAATAATAAGAATCATATAACTTAGGAGCCCCTTCTTTAGACACGTTCACTTTCCCTGAATATCAACCAAATTCTAATATGTCTGTTGAGATCCACTCAATCAGATATGCCTCAGTATTCTTCTGCATCTTAAATATTTGAAATGTCCTAAAACAGACAAATTAAGTTTTTCATACTTTGTCATAATTATTTCTCGAGTGTACACCAAATGCTTTTGAAGTAACACACAAAGATATGTGACTGATAATCCACTCGTATGATACACAAAACGTTGGAACCTAAATGCTGTAATGTAATTCTTCTCACAAACAAATGTGAATAGTTAAAAATTTCAAAAAAAATGCATCAGTTAAGTAAAACACAGGACAAATAGCAAATGAAAAGTCAATGTTAGGTGAGGCCTATGGTGCAGATCAATAAGTAACCCTCTGCTAAAACATCAAACAAGCAGCGCTCACCTCGCCAATTAGCTGTGCCTCTGTGTCATCATTGGCTATTAATGCGTAGACCTCTCAGGTTTTCTGAGACCTAAACATAATCTCAAATTAAATTATCTAAATTTTGTATTGTCTAGCTCGTTAAAGATTTTCAGAAGCTGCGTTCCACTTTAATTGGAGAAAAAGGAATTTAAAAAGATATTTCATTTATTACCTAAAAGACCTTCCTCAGATTCTTTACTTGTTAGTCTTTAGTTGGGTCCAACAGGTAAATCACAGTTACAAATAATGCTAAGATGGAAAAAACGATCTTTTGCAACATTTCTATTTGTCCATCAAAAAAGACATTTTGACCTTACAACTATGAAGTGGTTTGTAATACAGTTTAATCTACAACAGGACTTAAGTATGTCATATTTATGAACACGTGCACATTTCTATTAAAATGTGTTCAACTCTAAGGTTATATTCATCCAGTAACAAACATACAAAACCCAAAACACTCCCAGGTTTTTATCACAGTAAAGTATCTTAAAATGTAAGACTCGTGATTGGTTTTCCACGGGTGTAAGGTGATTCATTTGTATTTGCTTTCAAAACAAAATCATTCCCAAGTTTGCCTATAAATGGATTGGCCACACTAGCAGAACATTTAGTAGCAATAGTGCATATTAATGAAATCCATGTAGGGTCTAAAATTTTGCTAAGAGGAGGCCTCACTTCACAAAGGAAGAAGTCATCTCAAATACCTTGACAGATGATATGTTTTGAAAGTCAAGAAAAGTGTGAAACTATCAAATTTGTGGTGATTTTAACAGTATGTTACAGAGGTAACATATGGATTACGGAGTTAACATACAGATTATACAATCTGCAAATGGAGGTAGGATTTAAAGGAGAAAGAAGGAGGAAGGAGAGGGAAGAACGGACTCGAGGCCCTTCTTACCGAGTTTCTGCACCAGCTACTCTTGAAGACAAGCTCTGGAAAGGAAAAAAATGAGTTGTTTTAGTGCACAGATGTGTGAAAACAGGTTAGCTGAGGTTAAATCGGAATGCCAGACAGGGTCTATCTGATCTAAAAAATATATGTAAACAAAAATGTATATATACATATGTGTGTATATCTTACATATACATATATACACATACAAACACAGACACACATACATCTCTCACATGGCCTTAAGAGCAGAATTTTAGAGCATGGAGAAAAGCTCTGCCCAAGAGATTTAGATTTAGATCACACTGTGCGTTTTCAAGCTCTAAGCCCTGGGTTTCCAATCCTCTGAATTCAGGTCAAGCACGTGGGCTTACGTAGGTTCTGGTTCGGGTCCACCACTCACTTGCTGCACGCCCAGGCAAATTATTCTATTTCTCGGATGAGGATAAGAGAATTGTGAGCATTAACTGAGTTATCGTCTCAGAGCAGTGCCTGGCACGTGTGAGCATGTGTAAATGCATGCTGTTATTTTGGCGATTTGTTCTCTATTCGTAACTCAGGAGTGCTCACTCATCTACTGATGTTACCTCAACTCTCTGCCCTGGCCCAGGGCTGGGCCCCATGGGAAGGATGTCTGCCCCCTGACCCTGTCACCTCCTCCCACACTTCGGGCGCTCCTCACTACCTCCTGCCTTCCTGAGGCTGCCGAGTCTGTGTCAGGCCCCACTTGGTGTTCATCACACCCTCCATGGGCTCCACCATCCACTGTCATTCAGTAACTAAAACTGTATTCATTGAAGGCTGGGCATGAGCCTGGGCGGGGGCAGCGCCATCCTGCACCAGCCCTGGATTCTCTGCACCCTGGGATTTGTCAGGCTCATGTTATCGTGCAGCAGCCAGGCCTTGGGGTGCAGAGCCACCACCCTAGTGCTGAACTGGGGCACAATGCACGTCCCAGAGTGCCTTCCAGGGGCTTTTCTCTGCACAAGGACAATGAAACTTCTGGAAGAGAACACTGGGGACACGCAGCTCAGGAAACTGAGAGCCAGGAAGGAGAGGGAGCGGGGAGGTACCCCCACAGCCCTGCAGGCCATGCCCGGGCCCTGGACACTGAGCCTGCTTAGGAAGAGTCAGTGGAGGTCAAGGTGAACCCAGCGGCCCTGCTTGGCTGTGGGCAAAGAAGGGCACCTTTGAGCCTAGCATTGTGGTTGTGGCCTGCATCATAGCTGCCCAGGCACCAAAGGACGCTCCCAATTCTTCCAGCAAGAATTTGAGAAACGTGAGAAGTCAATTAAAGAAAACTGATGTGACATCCAGGGTGATGTCAGAAATGGGAAGATGTCACATCTGGATCCAAATGGAAATGGTAGCTACTGGGAAACAGCTCTCCCAGCCTCAGGAAGAGCCGCAGCTGCTTCCTGGAGGGCCCAGGGCCACGTCCTGGAGGATGGAGCACTCCAGGGGTGGGCAGGGATGGACCCCACTGGCCTCCACCCCTCACAGGAGGAGCCAGGAGTGGGGTTGAAGGACAAGCCACAAACACAATTCCGGGCAGGTCTCAGGGGTGTCTGAGAAAGACATACGCAGAGTCCCGAGTCCTGCCAGGGACTTGGAACGGGGCTCTGCCATTTTCCTTGTGGAGCTCAGAACCATGCCACGTGTCACTGTGGCTCACACTATTGCAGCCAACACATACACACCGCGTACCCTCCAAGTCACTGTGGAGCCAAGGAGCCGCGACATCCGAGGGCAGAAGGACGAAGGACAGAAGCGTGTCTTTGATGCTCAAATCCCACTGCCTGAGGAAATGCCTCTGTGTTTTAAATTATTTCTAAGAACCAACAACTTCATTTTGCTGATTTAGGTGGGGTCATGAGGGGACTATGACGTGTCACCAGCCGAGGCTCACCTTGGCATGGTTTGGCTGGAAAGACCCCAGAAACGGTGGACCTAGGAATTGGGGGGGGGCCTGCCAGGGGTCGCCCCAAAGGGGAAGGATCAGGAAGGCCGGGGGTGTCCTGGCTGGTCTGACCTTCTAGGGGATGGCAGGGAAAAACCTTCTGGGATGAACCATGAGCAGAAAAGAAGCCCCATGAGTGGGCAATGGTGAGAGTGAAGCAGAGGGGCCAGGTGGCCCCTGGCTCAGGGTCAGGCCTGACTCAGCTCACAACAGGGTCATATTCAGGTTTTTTATTAAATTACTGCTAACAGAGAGGGGATGCCACAGGAGAAACAAGCTTGGAAGCAGGGCTGTCCCCGAAATTAGTTTTTCCTCACATGTACTTTGAAGAAAGGATTTTCTTAAAATGTACAGTCCAGCTAGTTCCTCTCAGCAAAAGGTAAATTGCTAAGGCTTTTACTTAGGTTCTCTATTTGGGAAAAAAATTAAATAATGTCATGTGTCTATTTTGCAGTAAACTCTGGCTTTCAGCGATGTTTTTGCTTATAAGACTTTTTGTATCTATTCATCTCTCGTTAAGAGTCACAGAGGTCATTGTTTACTATAAAAATCCAGTGGCCAGGCACGGTGGCTCACATCTGTAATCCCAGCACTTTGGGAGGCCAAGGCAGGCAGATCATGAGGTCAGGAAATCAAGACCATCCTGCCTAACACGGTGAAACCCTGTTATCTACTAAAAACACAAAAAAATTAGCCAGGCGTGGTGGCGGGTACCTGTAGTCCCAGCTACTTGGGAGGCTGAGGCAGGAGAATGGCATCAACCCAGGAAGTGGAGCTTGCAGTGAGCCCAGATAGCGCCACTGCACTCCAGCCTGGGCGACACAGCGAGACTCTGTCTCAAAAAAAAAAAAAAAAAAAAAAAAAAAAATCCAGAAAGTGCCAAAAAGGGAACCTGGATCTCAGAACTACAGCAATCCTGTGGAAATCTTAACCAAAAGGGAGAAGACAGGAACTGAAATAACTTGTGTGAATAACACCCTTAATTCACAATTGAAATCAGGATTTGTTTCCTCTCATCAGTTTCACTAAACCACTTACCTTCCTTTTAAAGGAAGTTGTTAAATAACAATAGTAAATTTTAGGAGAAGACATACACTATTTTGTTACAAACTAACAGACCACAGGATGAAGGCCTTTACCTGGATGATCCACTTGCACTTAATGAATAAATATATTTTCTCTTTCTTATGATTTTCAAATATTATTTTCTCTAGCTTACTTTATTGTAAGACTACAGTATACAGTACATATAACATGCAAAATATGTGTTCATCCACTGACACATTATCGGTAAGGCTTCTGGTCAATAGCAGGCTATTAGTAGTTAAGTTTTGGGGGAGTCAAAGGTTACATGCAGGTTTTGAAAGGCCCCAGAAACAGTGGGGCCATTTCTGCATGGGGGAAGGGGGGTGTGTTGGTGCCCCCGAGTTGTCAACTTTAGTTATGATGAGGTCATTAGGGTGAGAGCCTAATCCAATATGACTTGTGTCCTAATGGAAAGGGAGACTCTGGACACAGACATGCACACAGGGAGAATGCAATGTGGAGACTGGAGTTAAGCTACCAAGAACTGGGAGAAGGGCTGGGCCCCGACCTTCCCTGGCACCTGCAAAAGGAGCATGGCCCTGCTGACCCTGTGGCCTCCAGCCTCCAGGACAGCGAGGCAAACCATTTCTGTTGTCAAAGCCACTCAACTGTGGCACAGCAGCCCTAGCAAGCGTATACAGCCCCTTTGCGTGACGGGTTTGGAGGCTCTGACTCTAGCACACTCCAGACTTGCACATCGAGTCAGTACAGCACAACAGCTTAAAACAGGCTCTGCAGTCAGAAAGGCCTACAGTCCATTACCTGCTCCCAATAACCTCATGAACAACATGACCAGGCTGAGCTCTGATTTTCTCATGGGTCAAACGGCTATTGACTGTATGCAGCACCCAAGCCTTCGAGGTTTTTAGAGGACAAAATAAATGAACACATGTGGCACTCCTAACACTGCAGACTGTTGACAGCCTGGTCTTCTGGGGCAAAAAAAAAAAAAAAAGTGGAAAAAAAAAAGACTGTAAGGGACAAGGAGCAAGTGGGTGGTAAGGAATGAAAGCGATGGGTGTAGGTTACTCTTTCAAAACATTTTCTCACAAAAGGCAAATTAGAGATCAATAAGATCTTGGAAGAATTCACAAGGTCAGGAAAAAAGTACCTTTTTAGGATAAGGGCGACTTAAGCTTGTGTGTAGATTTCTTGTCCCCATTCTCAGAGTAGGTAGAATCCTGGGCACTGTCCCCAAGCAGTGTCCCAGGTATGGGGGGCAAGGCACAAGGGTGAGGGGGCTGCCCATGGGCCCCAGAGCTGGGACAAACCAGGAGGGAAACTGAGCAGCAAGTGGGAGAGGATCGTCAGCCCAGTGGGTGAGGGAGGGGAGGAACGGGCTGGCAGTGGGCATGCAATGCTGTGGAAGCCAGGGTGCTCAGATGAAATCAGAGTTCCACTTACAGAGCGGGAGCTGAGCTGAGGAGAAGTTCCTTGGGAGAAAGAGCATGAAACAGTGCAGCACGCGTGGGGAGACAGGAAGAGCTCTAAGCCCGTTTCAGTGGGAGAAGAGGAGGCTGAGGTTTTTCCATGTCTGCACAGGTTGCCATGTACCCCCCACCCTGGCTCTGGGCTCAGCCACATGGGCTGCAGCCAGTGGGGTATTAGCAAAGGGGTGACAATGGGCCCTTGGAAAGCTCACACAGTGTGGCTTTGCTTGCTCCCCACTCTGCCGTCACGGTGAGAAGGTGTCGGGCTGGCCTGCTGGATGAGGGAGAGTTGTGGCCTAGGTGTGCCCTGTCCCCAGCCACAGCTGGGGAGTGCCAGCCACAGGAGGGAGCCCAGCCCAAGCCCGTGAAAGCCCCGACCTGCAGACGCATAAACCAAACAGATGCCACTGTCTGCAGCCACGGGGCTCAGGGTGGTGTTCTGGGCATTGCTGTGGCAACACTGACTGTTGCAGTGGGCATGACTGCTCCTATGCCCGTGCCATTCCCAGCAAGGCAGGTGCTGTAATCACAGGCTTGCAGCCTGCACCCCGCCCACCACACACTTGGGGGTTGGCTGCGGAAGACGGGGAGGGAACAGACTCCAGGAGCTTGTCAGGGCAGAAAAAGATCAACCAGGGGAGCCCCTGAGAGGGGAAGACCATGAACTTGATCAACATGGCCAACTCGAAGGGCCAAGTGAGAAGCCTATCAAAATTGCCATATGCTTGTCCTCTCCCACTCCTTGGAGACAGTAGGCACAGCCTTTGTCTCTGTCCTGTTGTACTAGAGGACACCCTAATGGTGTACCTGGGTGGTGTGTACTTCTCAAGATACTGACCAACCACGAGCATCTGCTGGTGATGTCCCCCTGCCTGGGGGCAACCTTGACCAAGATAGAAGAGAGTTTCATCTGTGAGCTGCCCTATGCCTCAGAGGCTAAAAGTATTTTGGTCCTTAAGTAGAAAGTAGTTATCTCTTCTGGAGGAGTCCCTAGACCCTTCTACCAGTGATGGAGGGTCTGGCTGTGACGCAGGTGAAAAGATTCCCCAGGAAAGAGACTGATACCTCTGCAGGCTTTCATCATAGGCTGGTTACACACCTGGCTTCTTGACAGTGTGTTTGCCAGTGACACAGGTCCCTCACATCCTTGCTGGGGCCCATGGTCAGACACAATGGCTGCAAGAAACCACTGCCTTCATCTTCTCAGTAAGTCATCAGCAAGTTTTGTTTAGGGTGGTGGGCAAGCCCCGGTCCCTGTGCCTGTGAGTTTTACAATCCGTAGGGGGAGGCGGAGGTGCACATTGAAGCCTCCGCTGCAAGTTTAAAGAAGAAGGCTGAGCATTCTGGGTCTGTGGGATCATCCCTCATGGTCCCCCAAGTTTGCCTGTGCAGGTGGGCTCTGCCCCTAAGTTCCAGGCCATCTACCCAGGCTAGCACCAGCAGGCTGGACAGATGGCTGCTTGGCCAGAGCTGAAGACTATGTTCTCTGCATGCCCCCTGCCAGGAAGGATGTTGGAGACTCCCAGGCTCCTGCTTAACTAGTAGAGTTAGAGCCTGGTGTTTTCAGCCACACCAAGAGAAGAAAGCAAGACAGGGCCAGTGCCTTGTTGGTGGATCTGAGGGTCCTGGTGCATGGGACATGCTAGTCTGTATCCATATCAGGCCCATCAGGAGCATGGCCAGCCCACAGCTGGAGGGCATCAGCCAGCCAGGACAGGGAGCGTGGCAACAGAATTCCAGGTTCTGTCCTCACCAGCAGGGACACTCTCAACCACCTGCTGCTGGGTCGCCACATTCTCCAGGGGAGGGCAGCAAGCCAGACCTGCCCAGAACGGTCTCAGGGATCCCTGAGTCCTCAGCACTTGGGCCCAGACCAGCTGCGGAACGTGAGACAGCATGAGATGGCCAAGCCGGCCGGCACTGCCTCAGAAATGAAAGGAAGGGAAATTCCTAGAACCAGGTGCTCAGGGTGGATGCCCACTCCCCTGGGAGGCAGGTGGGAGCTCCGAGTGCTGATCCAGGCTGGGAGGTGGCACCCAGGCAAGATGGGTCTCGCTGGGCTGAAGCAGCCTTGTTTTCCTGCAGTGTGGCTCTACAGGGAGGGGCCCACGGCCAGGTGGTCAGGACCTGGGGAGAAACCAAAGCCAAGGTTGCAGAGGAGTCAGCAAACTGCAGAGTGCAGGCATATCCCAGCAGTATGGGTGCAGAGGGAAAGACAGAAGAAAGCAGTAAGGCAGAGAGGGAACATTCCTCTAGGACAATCCGAGGGGTCTCCATCCCCTGGGACCTCAGTCACCAGTGGGGCAAAGCATTTAGCAACCATTTGACATGCTGGAATGGCAAACCATTCCTAGAACCAGGTGCTCAGGGTGGATTCTAGGAATGGTTTGCCAACCAGCACGTCCCATGCACCAGGGCCCTCAGATCCACCAACAAGGCACTGGCCCTGCCTTGCTTGCCAAGACACCATCCAGGCCTTGGGTGAATTGCCCCATGGAGGAGCAGGAGGGAGGGAGGAGTGGGGAGGAAGATTCATGGGAGGAAGAAAGGATGGAGGAAGGAAGTAGACTGCTGGGAGGAGAAGCAGATCCAACTCAGGCCACAGGTGGAGGAGCTTCCAGGCACGAGGGATCAAGGGACTGTGAAAGGAAAATAAATCTTGGGACCCCGAAATCACTAAGCCCAAGGGAAAAGTCAAGCTGGGGTTAGGCAAACCTGCCTCCCATTCTATTCCTAAATAACGTAGCTACAAAGATGAAAAAAAAAAAAAAAAGCTACATACCTCCCTCACAATATGCCCACAAGGAAACTCCTCAAGATCTTTACCCTAAAACAATTCTGCTGAATTTCACTTTGGTGATGTAAAGTGATGGCTTATCTTCACAGATGCGGAACAAAGAAGAGAACTCAAAGTCATCTGTCTGCTCATCTAAGGCAAATGCATATCTGATTGCTTCCTCTGCCCCACTGTTTATATAAAAATGCAGATTCGCTGAGCCAGACTAAGAAGCGACTACTATCCCCTCTCACATATAAATTGTTTAATTCAGTGAAAGGCTGATCATAGATCCAAAAAGAATGCAACCATTTATCTCTTATCTACCTATGACCTGGAAGCCCCCTCCCCACTTCGAGTGGTCCCACCTTTCAGGACAAAACCAGTGTACATCTTACATGTATTTGATTGATGTCTCATATCTCCCTAAAATGTGTAAAACCAAGCTTTACCCTAACTGCCTTGTGCACATGTTGTCAGGACTGCCTGTAAACCAAAAATAAAATTGTAAGCCCCCCAACCATCTGAATGGATGTCTCCTCTTGGCCAAGGGCATTCCAAAGTTAACCTGAAAAAGTTATTTAGGCCAGGATGGAAGGGAGGTAAGACATGCCTCATTATACCCTCCTCCTTTTTGGAATTCAAAAAAAGCCGACCAGAGTTAACATCAACAGACCTTAAGTCTGATAAGAAACATTTACAATCTGTTTTCTCTGAAGCCTGCTACCTGGAGGCTTCATCTATATGATAAAACTTTGGTCTCCACCACCCCTTATCATCCTAACCCAAACATTCCTTTCTATTGATTCTAGGTCTTTAGATAGTAACCTAACTCTTTCAATCAATTGCCATTCAGAAAATTTTAAAATCTACCTATGACCTGGAACAATCCCACACCCTGCTTCAAGTTGTCCCATCTTTCCAGACCAAACCAATGTACATCTTTACATGTCTTTGACTGAAGTCTCATGTCTCCCTAAAATGTATAAAACTAGGCTGTAGCCCAACCACCTAGGGCACATGTTCTCAGGATCTCCTAATGGCTGTGTCATAGCTCATGGGTCACTCATATTTGGCTCAGAATGAATCCCTTCAAATATTTTACAGAGTGTGATTCTTTTCATTGACAGTAACCTTGGCAAAATAAACTTTCTAAATTAATGGAGACGTATCTCAGATACTTTTGGTTCACAGGACCATGGGAGAAGGGTGGCCCTCCTTGCTGGACCAGCTGAGCCTCTCACTTCCACATGGTGATGTCTGGGATGCACTGAACTAAATGTGTCAGCTCCAGGAAGAACCAGAGCAGAGTTTAGGTGGGGATAGCAGGCTGGCTGAGGTTTTCAGGGCACCCTCAGCAGGGCCTGGCAGAGTTCTTGGGTACCCACAGCAAAGAGACCTACCCCACGTGATGGATGGCATGCCCCTGGCAGCAGAGAGCCCGCTGGCTGAGGCCACTGCTCAGCACCTCTTGTGCTGCTCCTTGTTCCTGATTCTGTTTGGCAAGAGCAGCCCCCACCTCCCGCACTTGGTCCCAGAGCTATGCTTTCCCCCCTCTTCCCTCCTCCTTGGCTGAATGGCTGTCTGGGGCCTGTGGGTCATTCCATCAGTGAGTCATTTTCATGGACAGGAGCTGCAGAAGATAGGCCTGAGAGCCATCAGGGGATGGGGGCAGTGAGGTAGGAGTACATGGGGGTGGACAGGGAGCTGGGGGCCAAAGGTTTCCAGGTCTCTGCCAGGTGACTCACAGCAGATTCACCTCTGCCTTCCTCAGCTGGCCCAGGCCTGCTGCCTCCTCCAGTGTTCCCCTTCTCTTCATATTAAACACAGCTTCAGTCCACACTCTAGATTGCTCTTTTCTTTCTTGATCTCTCTCTCTCTCTCTCTCCCCTCCCCTTCTCCTGCTCTCCTGCTCCCTACCTCTTATCTGAAGTCACCACCAACAAGACCGTCCACCTGGAGAGCTGTGGAGGGGCTGGGGGCACCGCCCTCTTTCATGGTGGCCCATGACGAAGGCACTAAGAGCTGCCGGCTATGGAGCATCAGCGTCAAGATCAGCCAGCCCCAGGGACAGGGCCTGGCCATTCCAGCTGGACAAGGAGTCAAGGCTTTGCAGGTGTTCTCTTTCTCTGAGATGAAGGAAAACTGAAAGAAGAGCCCCTCAGCCCACAACCTTCAGGAGTGAATTCAGGTGCATTTTCTCCTGAAATTTACAGATAACCTGGTCTGATCATCAAGAGCTTTAGGTGACTGAAATCTCTTTATGTGTTGTGCAATAAATGACCCGAGGGCACACAGTGTGTGGCTGTGGTCACAAGCTCTCCCTCAGCACACCAGCTTGAACCTCCTTCCTTAACCTTCACAGGGACACACACCTGGGTGGTTCGGCTCCCATGAGTGGGGCTGCTGCAGACAGGAATCATTCACACACTTTGCAGCCTGGTCTGCAGAGCAGCCTTTGGGCCGCGCCTGCCTCCATTTCCCCCCAGGACTTCTGGGTTATGCTTGAGGTAGAGCTAATTTCTGTCCTTTCTTGGGGTGGCATGTGCACCCAGATCATGATGACAATAAATACTGTTTATTAAGTCTCACCATGCATTGAGTATATGTAATATTTCATTTAATCTTCACAGTGAATGCATGAGCTGAGTAGTACTGTTACTCTTAAATTTAAAATGAAAAAACCCTGGCTGGGCTTGGTGGCTCACACCTGTGATCCCAGCACTTTGGGAGGCCAAGATGGATGGATCACTTGAGACCAGAAGTTCAAGACCAGCCTGGCCACCATAGCCATTTTTAGTAGAAAAGCTGTCTCTACTAAAAATACAAAAAATTATCCAGGTGTGGTGGTGCCACCTATAATCCCAGCTATTCAGGAGGCTGAGGCATGAGAACTACTTGAACCTGGGAAGCAGAGGTCGCAGTGGGCCAAGTTCGCACCACTACACTTCAGCCTGGGCTGACAGAGGGAGACTGCACCTCTAAAGAAAAAAGAAAAAGCCCCAAGCCTTGCAACTTAAACATCACCCAGCTTGTCCCTGGTGCAGCAGGATTTTGAACCCAGCAGTCAGTCGCCCCAGGGGCCAGCTACTGACCACAGACATGACACCCACTCACTGAGCCCAGTCCCCTCCACAGGCAAGCCTCACCCCTCAAAGATGCAAGCAGTGGCCTAGCCTGGCCTTTCCTCTGACCAGAGGCTGGCCCTAAACATGTCACTCAGCAGAAGGGTATTAAACTCTGCAGAGGGCTCAGAGCCTCAGGGCCACCAGGCAACCGGCACAGGCCCTTGCAATGCTTGGCAATCAGGAGAGGCACTGACAGAGGTGACTACAGTGCCAGAGGGCAGCTAAGGGCCAGCAGGAAGGTCACACTCAGCTGAGGGGACACTGGACGGGAGGCCTTGTGCACAAGCTGGCCTTCAGACTGCATCCTAGAGGAAAGGGGGCTCCACACGGAAGGAAGGAGGGGTGCACAGGATGGGGGAGGCTGGCCCAGAATGACAAAACTGTGACAAAGCCCAGGCAATGCCACAGCATCCTCCTTCCAGAGAGGGGCTTCGTGTTAATTGCCGAGCGGGGGCATCCTCTCCCCCTACACCATCGACGTGGCTTCCCTGCGCTCTTAGAGTAAAATCCCAGAACAGCAGCCCTTGTCAGAAGCTGGCACATGAATGCAAGGGCACCAGGAGCTTGGGCTGCGTGTCCCGGTGCTCTCCCAGCTCCACCATGTGTAGGCTGGCCTCATTGCAACTCAGCTCCCCAGCTCTTAAAATGGGACCATAGCCGTGCAGGCCCCTAAGACAACTGTGGTGACCAAATCAGCCGGCACCTCCCAGAGTTAGGGTCCAGTCAACCACACCTGCAACTGTGATGAATTAGTACTTGGGCCGGCCTGGCCTGGCCTCTATTCGCTCCTCTGCCGCACCTCGTGCCCTGAGCCTCCCAGTTTGCTGTGTTCCTTTTTCAGTTCTTTCGCACATCACATTAGATGAAATGGGGACATGCTGGAAACATGTTTGTCTTGTCGTTGTCTGACACCGTTGCTCATTTATACTGTGTACAGATTTTATTCTATCACATTTGCAATCTCAAGGAACCTCATGTTATGAAATGCTTGAGGTGCCACGAAGGCCCTGTGTGTTTACCTGCTGATGAGTTAGTTGATCTCATGAACACTCAAGAGTGACATCTTATGAATACTGGGAATAAGAAAACTTGTAATACAAAAAACCACTAATGAACACTGACATTTAGACTTACCCTCTATACCCTCCCGGATATGCTTTAACATGTCAATTATTAACCTCTCACCTAATAATAGAATTATGGTGGTTACTCACAAAGTGGCTGTCTCTCCTCTGCAGCTCACACTGGAAACTGCAGGAACACAGCAGGCACCTCCGGCTGCTTGCAGCCCAGCCAGTCTGACCCTGGCCTTCTCAGGGGATGTCTCCTATCCCGAAGCATGGGTCCAAACAGAGCAATTGTGTAGCAGAACAGGTGATGATTATGCAAGAAACAGTACGGTCTTTTAGAAGATCAGCTCTAAAGGTCAAGGGGGTGGATGTCTTTATTAAGAAGGGAAAAAAATGTCAGCTATGCTGCTGTGTGCAGAAAAAGGAATCCACTCCTCCATTGACAAAAATGCCCATGCTGCATCTTGCTGAGCCTCAGATCTAGCTTTCAGGGTTGTGGCAAATCTAAAAGCACATGCATTCCTCAGAAAATGCCCCTCTACAGCTCGTGTGTTCTCTGACCCTTTACATGACACATACCAGCTGTTCTTCACATTATTTGAAAGACACTTTTATGAACTCAGATCTCCCCCATCCCTCTCCCACCCCCTGTCCCCACACCTAAAATTCAGGAGTTCATCCCTTTACCAGGGAAGAAAGCTGTATAATGGCCCTTTTTCACCAAGGATTCCATATTCCCCAAAGCATCCTTAAAACTGTAGTTTCCATTTTCTCCCTGCATACACTCCATTTCTCGTACTTAAATATGAGCTCCTGTCCTGGGCTTACCCTGCTAGGCACCAGGTGAGCACTATATTCCTGAGCTGCTTCTGTGGTCTAAGAAGCAAGGCAACCCTCCAATTCATTGAAGATCTCCAATTCTCGCCTCTAAACATACAAGTATCTTTTAGGAATGTGACTTCATAATCTATCCAGATTTAGCAAACACGGTAAAAATTTAAGAATCAAAACAGTTTTCAAATGTGAGCACAATAGCCAGGCTACCAGAAAACAGAACTGATTTGCAATTAAATGCTGATGTCATCTTTCAGCATCTGTTAACTTCTCCCCTAGCGACTCAGAGAAAGCAGAGTTCTTCCAAATTAAGGACTCTCAGAAAAGTACTTACTTTGAGAAACTCTTAGCTCTTTTAAAATGGAAAGCAATGTGGCAAAGATAACCTATATGTCATGAAAAAGTAGCCATGTAAAAGGGAATGTAGATTCATTTTCAGATGTGCACAATGAATTCATTTGATTTATTCTCACAGACAGTAAATAGATTGTGATGATAATAGGACAGCTAAAGCCAAGATGTGCAATTTAAGCTTTCACTGCAAATTTGATAATGGGAAGGGTTTGTGGTTTAATGTGGGGGTCTCAGGTGGCTGGCATTTTGCTGAGTATCCTTTTGCATCTTACTATTATTAGCCTACTGTCACTGTAGACTCTCCCACAGCTTTCACGGATACTGTGACTGAACATAATTTGGGAAGATAAATCGTATGGAATGTAAATTTTCAGCCCTGTGTGTATGGAGCAGTCTCGGAATTGATTTAATTGATGCACTGTGCTGACCACACCTGCGTCTTCCTGGGGCAGGGTCTGTTGCCCACAGCCAGCTCCAGGACACCCAGGAGAACTCCCAAGGAAGGAGCACCTTCATAAGGGGGCAGCCCTACCCTCCCTGAGTCCCGTCTGCGCCCCTGTGAGGAGCCCCTCACCCCTGGATGGCCACAGAGCTAAGAAAACCCCTTGGTTTTCCTAGAGAACTAGAGAGCCGGGAAATAAACAAATATACTGTGGTCCATCCAACCTGGATGAGAGAAATCTAACAATAAGTAAGCACAGTTGCCACACTAACTGTCAACACTGCCGTAAATGGTATCTGTTCAAAGTGCGCAGATAGGTGTTGGTACAAGAACCGGGATTTCACTCCTGACTCTTTATTGACTGATGACTGCAGAGCAAAATTGTGTATCTGCTTTTCAATTTCATCTTCTAATAATTCATCTTTCTTTATGAAATTTACAAACTCGGGGTTCATGATGCTTTGGAGATTTTTTAAAGCCGTGTTTCACCAAAGACAGAGACATGCTACCCTAGGAAGGAACCCAAGTCCCTGAACGACCTTGAGGACAGACCAAAGCCCAGGAGTGCCCACCAGGAACTATGCAAGGAGACAAGAGTCAACTTCTATATTTAAAAGACAATAGTAATAAGTGCTGTTTCTGTGTGTATGTATATGAAGCAAGTGTACAAAACAATGCTGCAGGAGGAGGGGGAGTGTGGCTGAAAAGGGACTTCTGCTGTATTGGTTCTTGTTTAATGGGTTCTGTATTTGCTGATGTATATTGTGTTTTTTCCCACGTCTCTAATATTGTATTAAATATGTGAGTCAAATCAAGTATAGAACAAAAAGGAAGTATTTTAAAATCATTACTATAATGGATAATGGCTGATGTATAACGTAAAGACAAATACTTTTGCAAATATTTTGCATTAGTTAAAAAATGGACTTTCTACAGTCATAATACTCTGCTTCAATCTAAAATTGCTTGAAATGCATTATATGCAATTAAATCTGTATTCATTACTACTAATATAATACGAAAAGAACTGAATACACGATGAAGGTTCTAATCTTAGTTCTGTTTCTTTTAAAATCCTAGGTTTTCTTAAGAGAAACTTGTTATCTTAAAGCCTTTACATGCTTCCAAAGAAAAAATTACGCATTACTTGCTTTGTGGCACAGCAGCCTTAATTCAGGTTCCTCATGAAGACATGCACAGTACCCTTTCCTGTGTGCACTCCATTCATTATTTGAATTCTCAATCTTTTTACCACCTTCTCTTGTAAACCTGCTGTTATCTCATGGCTCAGTAATGAAATTGTTACTGGTGTCAGAGAAGCTGTGCTTAGTTTAGGATTTCTGTAATGGAAACATCAAAATGGCTTAATCCAACACCTTCTCTGAGTGATCTGGCCTAGGCACTCCCCTTTCTATCTATAGGTACATCTAAGCATCCATACACACACACACACACCCCTGCATTTATAGACCAGCGTGGGGAAAATGCTACAGACAGAACCATTGAAAACCAGACAGATGGGATTTTGAATAAAAGGGCAAATGCTGTAGTTCGGAAGACTGAGTCAATGGCCACAGGGAACTGTCTGCCCATACACTCCTGGCCTGAGATCATAGGGAGAATTAACAGAAGAAGAACAAATGATGGCAATTTTCTCTGTTCACCCCCCACATTCAGAAAAAGAAAAATATTTCATTGAGCCACTTCTAAGGACATCAGAAGCGAAGGTTCCAATAGGGCCCAATCACCCAGGGATGACCAATGAGTTTGATTTTACAACACTGTGTATGGGGAAAGACAGAGCTGGATGGGTTCTACGTCCGTGCCTGCCAAGTAAGGACTGCAGAGCAGCAGCGGGTAGGAAACCTGTTTCCATCAGAGGGTACAGCCAGTGCTTGTGCTCGGGGGGTCACAGGTGCACTGGATGCTCTTCCTTCCTCAAGGAGCCGGACGAGGCTTGCGGCAGTCCTATTCCAAGGAGACTCCAGGAACTGGTGAATTCGTGAAGCTCCTGCAGTCTAGTCAGTCCAACCAGGAGGGATGGGGAGACTCAAAGACCAACACACTCACCCCCCTGACCAGGCCTCAGGCCACTGAGGCCGATCTGGTGTTTCCCTAAGCCAACCGTGCTTTCAGACACAACCACCACCAGCTCCTCTACTCCTTCCCCCAGAGTGTGTCACTCTGTCCCCTCTCTATGGAATGCAGAGCGACTGTGACATTTCCCTCCTACTCGAATTCGTTTGTCAATGCTTCTGACTCTGAACACTCCAAGACGACAGAACGTTTTCATCTACCTCCTGCCTGCAAGCCCAACATGGAGACTGGTAGATACCTGTCATTCAACATGTTCACCAACACGGTTTTTCAATCACAGGCATAGTGTTACAGTGAGCTATTGAATAGGTGGATGGACACATACATGACCATCATCTTAGACCTCTGCTTGTAAATGACCTCATGTGACAGAGGTCAAAAGCTATGACACTGCTTTTTTGAAGCCCATGCCTCAAACATGTACCTGACCCCACCTCTGCCACTGCACAGTGACCTCTCGTCACTCCCTCTCGGCCATGTAAGATGTTGACATGTGGCTCACAGTGCACCATCCACCTCTGCTCCCACCCGCCCCCTGGGTGACTTCAATGTCTACATGAGTGACATTGTGGCCATGCAGTCTCCTCCTCACCTCCCATGTCCCCTTTATCTCACCATCCTTCCCACAGCCACACTCCAGCCTCATCTTCTGAAATCACTGTTTGAATCTCTGGGGTCAGTGCCGGAGCCTCTCCCCACAGATCACCTGCTCAGTCCTCACCCCTGCTCCCTCACCTCCCGGCCCCCACCCAGTGCTGACTCTTTTTACTTCTTCAACCCATCAGGTTCTCTTTCTTCATTTCCCTCCATATCCACGGCCATCATTGAACATCCCTGCCAGTATCCAAAACTCCTCACCCCTCCTGCTTCCCACCCAAGTCACTGGGATGAGTGTGGTGCCCTGGTGGGTCTCTGCTAGGGTCTCCTGGGAAGCATCACCATCAGGACACAGGGGCATTCATGGGATTGACCCTAACAGACACGGCAGCCAGCCCGGCCACCCTCCTGCCTTTCCCCGCCAGCTCATTCTCCCCTCTCCACCGCCACTCCTTAACGCAATCTCCACTCTCCTCAAACTTCCAGCCCCACCGAACCCCACCCTCTCTCACACCTCACCTCTCTCACACCCTCCTTCTCAGAAGAAGCAGGTGTCCCCAGACACTCCCCCAACCTCCACTCCTGCAGCCTTCCCACGAGACACATTATCCCCGGCATCCTGACCTTAGCGCAGAGGCGTCACCTCCTCTCATGCCACTCACCTGCTCACCCTCCACCTCAGCGATGTAACACTGTTACTTTCCCCCGTGTTCTTGTATATGTGACTACTTCTGCTCTACTGTAACCTTAAAATGTAATGTGGCTGTGAGCCTGGATGACATTACCTGGAGAGAGTAGGGGGTGAGAGTAGAAGAGGCCACTCGGCCAGCCTGGAAGAACTGTGTCAGATCATAATAATAGTAGCCAAGGAGGACAGGGGGTGAGGGGAGTGAACAAGGGGGAAACACAGAGCACAGCAGCCAAGAACTCGGAGTGGGGAGAAGCTGAAAAACAGTGGTGCTATGTTACAGCAGCCTAGGAAGTAAACACTGTCCAGTCCCAAATTCACACCTCTGACCCAGGGAATCTCCCGAATTCACACCTCACCCAAGGCTCTGCCGAATTTACACTTCTCATCCAGGGCTCTCCCAAATTCACACCTCTCACCCAGGGTTCTCCCGAATTCAAACCTCTGACCCACAGCTCTCCAGAATTCAAATGTCTAGCCCAGGGCTCTCCCAAATTCATGCCTCTGACCCAGAGCTCTCCCAAATTCACACCTCTAACCCAAGGCTTTCCTGAATTCCCTTTCTTGAACACAAGCCTCTTTCCCCACAGGGCTTCTGCATGTCCTGTTGCCCTTTCCTGAGAATCCTTCTTGGGCCGTCTTCTCCACCACTTCATAGACTGGATCACATTAGCAAACATCTTATGTTGTTGCCGTGTGCTTGGTTTGTGGCCTGTCTTCCCCCTAGAAGGCAGGTTTGGGGATGGCAAGGGCTCTATCTGCCCTGAAAGTCATTCCTTGTGTGGTGTCTGGAAGGTTCCTCCCCACCAAGAGCTGTCTGGCTTAGACACCTCACCGCCCAGCACTGTCTTTCACTGGGCTCCCCACGCCTTCCATATTCTCCATCACTGGACTTTGTCGCCTGCTGCTCCCTTTGAAACCTTTTCTATCTTTGTATCAGCCTGGTTAAACTCTTACTCATGCCTCAGCTGCCCCAAGACCTACACTTCCTCAGTGAAGGCTTCCCAGCCCCTAGGCCAGGTCAAGCCCTCTGTTGTTCTCTTTCAGGGCACAATGTCCTTCTCCTTTCTAGACCACCACAGCTGACATTCTGTATTTGATTTTGTGCTCATTTGATCAACATCTAACCCTCCCACTAGGTTTCTTACCTCACCATCCTCGGTGTGAAATGCCATCTTTGTGTGGTTTTAATATGCATATTGGTGATAACTAATGAGGGCAAGCACTATTTTTCATGTTTATAGGCCAGATCGTTTTTGACTATATTCTACTACACTGCTTGTCTTTCAGGCCTGGCAAGTTAACCATCAGCTTTGCTGCAATTCAGGTATTTGGCCAGTAATATTAACAATAACAGAGCTACTTTGCATTTGCTTTGCATAAGTATCTAAATAGGGGAAGTCTGCTATAAAGAGTGAAAAAGAGGATTTCTGATTCTTAAAAAAATGAAGTAATAGGAACCATATTTACCCTCTCACTGAAAATAAAAGCAACCTAAATATAAGAAACACCAGTTTTCAAACATTAGATGCCAGGCCAGACTTGAGAGTAATCTCTGAGAGGCAGAAACAAATACCCTGAGCCTTTGGCTTCCCCAGTTATTGCCTGGAGGTTTCCAGGCTGCAGCTCAGGCAGAAGAATCCACCCTGAGCCTGGAGATCTCCCTGACTCCAGATGGAGTTGGGAGTCCCACAAGGTCAAGGTCTGTACACTTAAAACTATCACCTGCTGTTCAGGCAAAATAAAATGAGAGATAGACTGTATGATGGGTTGGAAGATTCAATATTGTTAATATGCCAAATCTTCTCAAATTGGTCTAAATATTCTACACAATGCTAATCAATATCCGAACAGGCTTTTTTTTTTTTTTTTTTTTTGGTAGAAAATGAGGATCTGTTTCTAAAACACATGGAAATGCAAAGTGCCTAGAATGACCAAAACAGACTTGGAAAAAAATGGAGGACCTATAGCACTTGATTTTGAGACTTATAAAACCAGTTATCAAGAAAATCAACATTAGGCTGGGTGCAGTGGCTCATGCCTGTAATCCCAGCACTTTGGGAGGCCGAGGCAGGTGGATCACTTGAAGTCAGGAGTTCGAGACCAGCCTGGCCAACATGGCAAAACCCCATCTCTACTAACAATACAAAAAGTTAGCCTGAAATGGTGGCATGTGCCTGTAATCCCAGCTACTTGGGAGGCTGAGGCGTAAGAATTGCTTGAACATGGGAGGCAGAGGTTGCAGTAAACAGAGACTGTGCCACTTCACTCCAGCCTGGGTGACACAGCAAGACTCCATCTCAAAAAAAAAAAAAAACCAAAGTTAGTGAAAAGATGGAAAATTGATCACTGAACACAAATATAAAGCCAATTGATTTTTAATGAAAATGCAAAGATAATTCAATGGACAAGAATCATTTTTTCACCAAATGATGCTGGAACAGATGGATGTTCATGTGCAAGAAAAATGAACCTGAATCCATATCTCAGGCCACATATAAAAATTAACTGAAAATGAATCATAGACCTAAATGTAAAACCTAGCTATACAAAACTTCTGTAAGAACACATAGAAGAAAAACATTGTAACCATGTGTTAGGAAAAGATTTCACAAATACAGCAAAAAATCACGATCCCTAAAAGAAAACAACTGACAAACTGGATTTCATCAAAATTTAAAACTTCTGTTTTTCAAAAGACACTGTTAAGAAAATTAAATGATAAGCCACAGTCAGGGAGAAAACATTTGTAAACCACATATCTGATAAAGATCTTTTATCCAGAGCATGTTTATAAAACACTCTCAACTGCAATAACATGAAAACAACCTGATAAAAATGGACAAAAGATTTGGATAGACATTTCATGAAAGAAGATAAAGATGGAAAATAAGAACAAGAAAAAAGCTCAATGTCATTAGTCATTAAGAAAATGCAAATTAAAACTACTCCAAGATACCACTACATACCTTTAGAATGGCTAAAATATTTTAAACTGATGATTCCAAGTGCTGTTGAGAATGTAAAGTAACTGGAACATCCTAGGGTGGGAACATTCACTGCTGTTGAGAAAGTGAAATGGTGCAAAGACTTCAGAAAACAGTTTGGTAGTTTCTAAAAAAGTTAAACGTACATATCACATGACCTAGTCATTTGTACCTAGATACTACCCTGGAAGAAAAGAGTACATTTGTCCACACAAAGACCTGAAACTGAATTCCTGTAGCAGCTTTACTCATCATAGCCCAAGACCAGAAACAATCCAATGTTCATTCCCAACTGGCTGCATGAACAATGGAATACTATCAATATAGTTTGTCCCCTCCAAGACTGATATTCAAATATGATCCCTAGTGTTGGAGATGGGGCCTAGTGGGAAGTGTTTGGCTCATGAGGGTGGATCCCTCATGAGTGGCTTGGTACCCTCTCATGGTAATGAGTGAGCTCTCCTCTATTAGTTCAGAAGAGAGCTGGTTGTTTATAGAGGCTGGCACCTCCCCCTCACTCCCTTGTTCCCTCTCTTGCCATGTGACACGCCTGCTCCCCCTTCACCTTCCACTGTAATTAGAAGCTTCCTGAGGCCTCAACAGAAGCAGATGCGGGTCTGATGCTTCCTGTATAACCTGCAGAAGCATGAGCCAAATAAACCTCCTCTTTATAAATTACCCAGTCTCAGGTATTTCTCTATAGCAATGCAAAATGGACTAATATAACTACTAAGCAATGAAAAGCCATGAACTAGTGATACATGGAAAGACATGGATAAATCTCAAATTATGCTGAATGAAGTAAAAAGATTTCATAGTATATGATTTCTTTTGTATAAAATTCTAGAAAATGTAACTAACTTATAGTGATAGGAAGCATCGGAGTTTGCCTGGGAATGTGGGTATGGGGACGGTCGGATCACAGGGGACATGCGTGTTCTACTTTTGGTGGTGATGAATATGGACATGGTTTTGATTGTGGTGAGTATACACATATGTACCACAGTGTACACTTTCAATATGTGCATTCTATGCCCATTATACCTTAACAAATGAAGAAAAGATAAAAATGGAAACCATTTCTGCTCACAGTATTTTCAGTTGAAACTGATGGTTGTTTAAGCAGAAAAGTCATCATATTCAAGAGCCCAGATATTTCTATCAATCGTGACTGACCCTTACAAGAGTGATTAGAAGCCCAGGATGAAAACTTGTTATTCCATTATTAGCTGTTCTTAAGAGAAATGGGGCACTGGGAAGAGCAATGGGCTCTCTCAGCCACATTCTCCTGCTTATAAGTTGGGAAAAGCAGCCCCTGCCTCCAAGATGATCTGAGAGGGCCACTGTGAGCACAAGGATCCTTATAAGGGAAAGAGAGTGGCTGGGGAGCCTGAGAAGGAGACTGACAATAAAAGCAGAGGTCAGAGGGAGGCGACTGCTGGCTCTGGAGATGGAGGAGGGGCCACAAGCCAAGGAACGCTGGCAGCCTCTTGTTAAATTATGTGTGGCCTAAAGCTGCCTCCTCACATATTTTAAGTTTGGCCTCAAGGCTTCTTGTGCATAGTGAACTGTAACCTCATTGATGTGTAAACATCCTCCTGTAAGCTACTCTTTTAATCAGTAGCCAAATCTCAGCCAATCAGCCAAGCACAGGTGGCCAACCATTAAAACTTGTTCAGATAAGGCAAGAGCCCAGCTGTGACCAACCCAGCTGTTTCTGCACATCACTTCATTTTCTTAGGTGACTTTCTTTCCTCTGTCCATAAATATTATCTGACCATGTGACAGCCCCAGTTCAGTCACTCTGAACCTCTTCTGGTTCTGGAGACTGATTTGCAGATCGTTTTTTGCCCAATTGAACTCTGCTGAATTTAATTTGCTGAAAGCCTTTCTTCTCTGGCTTATCTGAATTTTATGCCCTTCTCACCATTCTCTACACTTTTCGAAGAGTTAGATCTTTTCTTCTCATTTGCAAACTCTAGTGTTAAAACTCTAGAAGGTGGAAAGGCAAGGCGGCGGACTCTCCCTCATGGCCTCAGAAGGAAAGCAATCCTTGAGTCAGCCCAGTGAAGCCCACTTTGGACTCCTGACCCCTGAAATATGAGATAATAATCCCATTAGGTTCCTGGGAACTTGTTACAGCAGCAAGAGAAAACTAATTCGTAACCTACCAAAAACCCTTCATTTCCTCAGAGACTCCAACACACTGTTAGGGTCTGTTCTCTTCTGGAATGAGCAACCTGAGTTCTCTGTGTCTCACAGGTCCCATATCTATCTGCTCGGTTGTCTCTCTAGCTCTTCAAGTCTTTCCTTAAACAGGAAGCTCAGGCAGAGACAAAACACATGCTATCAGGGTCCAATTAGTACTCAGAATAAAAGATGACCACTTCCTCCACGCAGTTCAAGGCAGCCTCACCCTTCCCCAGTTCTCAGGAAACATGGCTTATCTGAATTTTTATGCCCTTCTCACCATTCTCTACACGTTTCAAAGAGTTAGATCTTTTGCTCTCATTTGCAAATCAATACATTAATTAACACAACCCCCTCTATTTCTCTGCCTAATTTTTTCAGGAGATTTTGGTAAGAAGAATCAAAACTTTCCAGATTACAAAATTAGATTTGATTATAGATATGAAAATGCATATCAGATACAGATGAAATTCCATGACCTCACATTTTTATCTCAAAGGGAAAACCTCAGTCGATATGGAGATTTCATCTGTTTTGAGCTAAAAACGGCTGCCAATTAGGGCCCCTGCCAGACCTGACCTCTGTTATTTCCTTCCCATCTGGGCTGCATTCATTTTAAGTTATCAGCATAATCAGTTATTTAAAAATAAGTCAGAAATAATAACAAGTTCAAAAACCAAGGCCCAGTGATATTGATGTTAATGTCAAATCCCGTTCAATGGGATTCATCACTTGGATTTGATTAAGCCAAACAGGAAAAACAAAATTGTCTTTGATTTACCTGTGTTCAAAGATCACACCTTTGTCTTTCTAGGGATAAAATCAGAAGATCAGCTAAGTATGATAAATAATTTTAACATGCAATTTTTTTTGTAGTGTTACATAAGCAAATGAGATTGGCATGTATCTTCAGGCTCTTAAGGATGTCAGGGTTCCCGAACCTTGGCACTACTGACATTTTTGGACATTGTGTTTGGGGGCTGTCCTGTGTATGGTGAGATGTTTAGCTGCATCCCTGGCCTCTACCCACTAGACGTCAGGAACAGCATCACACACACAGTCACGACACTCAAAACCATCTCCAGACACTGCCAGATGTCCCCTGGGAGGTAAAATCACCCCTAGTTCAGAATGCTGAGCTACACCAATTCACCTGTTTACAGCAAATGCTTCATAACAGTGTGCTGATATGCTTTTAACTTTTAATCTGCCTTTTGGCCTAAAATGTAGGGCTTGGTTACAAGCCATTTTCTTGATGACTCTAAGGGAGGAAGAATCTACTGCCTACTGACTATTAGAATTCTACTCTTCTGTTTCCAAAACTGAGTGCTCTTTATTCCTCTACACAGACCCCAATATTGCAGAGGTTAAAAAAACAGCACTCTATACTCATTTTAGTCTTTTCTCACCTTCATTACTCAATGATGAACAGAAAACTTCAACATGTCCCACGTGTGGTCATTAAAGACAGGCTCCTAGTTGTGGATAATTAGCGGGACCTACCCAACACTTAGAGGATCTCAGCATCCAGGGCCTGAAAGGCACCTGCAGTCATGCCGGCCAGTCCCACACACGAACCTCCTCCCCAACACCTCTGCTTCTATTCTAACAGAAAGTTCTGCCCTTGTTAAGGATGATACCTCATCCTCCAGCTTCCACCCTCATTGTGCTCTCTGAAGCCATGGCAAGATTGTCTCATTCCACCCTCTATACAATAGCTGAAGCTCCATCTGAGAACTGAAGCTCCATTCATACTACATGAGATATGTTTCAAATTCTTACCAATGAACATGACCCTACACAATATCTTTTTAATTATAGTTTTGCCATAGGTTTGGTCAAAGGTACTTTTATGGAGCAGTCTAAGTCCCTAATCCTTTCACAGTAGTGTTTCCTTTAGAACATTTTTCTGAGTTGGAATTTAGAAGGCCAGGAGTACATTTCCTTTACCCCAAAACTGTAAGAATGACAAGAATATCCGTCACTGGCAAGAACAGGCTGTGACGCCAATGCGTGGCAATCACTTCATAATTGAGAAGGACATTTCATTGTAACTCCTTGTTACTTGTCAAAAAAAAAAAAGAAAAAAAAAAAAAAACACCACCACCATCACCCACCACTTCCCAGACTTCAGGGAATCATCGCTCACCCCAGCTGGCTGCACCCTCACACATACCTTGAACATAAGCAAATTTAATTTCCCAGACAAATCTGTTGTTGGAATATGCAATGACCTCACCCTCAGCCTGCATAAATACTGCCTGCTGTGAGCAGGGGTGGTTTACAGCTGGATGGGGAGTTTTATGGGAAAGTACCTAGAGATCCCCTTAAAAAGCAAGCCTGGATGCTTCCTCTCCCTCTAGCCAAAGGATGGGCTTTCCTAGGTAAATTCTCACTTATCCTAGCCTGTGGGTTTGAATCCATGGTCCAACAATGTCACGCAGGGGTCTGTGGGAAGGGCTGGGGCATGGACAGGCCACATGCACATGGTATCAGGTGCTGGGCCGAGAACGTCCTTGGCAGAAACTGGCATCAAGCATTTGACATCTGTGAAACAACATCACTCTTCTGAGAGGTGCATGCTTTCTCTTATTTGCAGAGAAGCCTTATTGCCGTAAATGTGCAGACAAGGGAAATATGTTTGATGATGTGGGTAGTACACTGCTAGGAAGAACAGCACTTTAACACCACTTACTTCAGTCACACACTAGTTAGTGGCAGATCAACTAAAACCATTAATTAAAATGTCATGGTCTATGGAAAAGAAACAGTTGAAAGCCACTGCCTTGGACTACAGATGTAACTGGGCTGATCAGCGATGCTCTGAGGCAGCAGCTGTGATTCTGCAGTTGCAAAGTGCCAGGCTTAGGAACCCCAGCTGCCACAGTGGGCCAAGCCTTGGGACACTCTGTCCACGACCTTCGCCACAGCAGGTTCATTGCTCCTTATGTAGCGACTTAGACTGTGGACTTTTAAACCCATCTCTGCTGATGCTTCCAGGCTTTTCTGAAAGCACAGCAGCCTGGACCGAGCCCAGGCACATAATATGATGCCCAGAGCATGTTGGTGAAAATATGACAGGCAGCTCTCAGGGCACAGCTGGCTTGATGGAAATTCCCATGCTGCATTGTAAACAGAAGAATAGTAGCTGACACTTCTTAGCTCTTGCCGTGCCAGGCACTGTTAGAAGCACTTTACACACATGGCAGCAGCTGCCAGCAGTCATCTATTTCGGACAGTCTAGACAGTGTTTCCCAGCATTGTGGAGCCAAACGTGGCCATGTCCCCAAGTTCCATCCAACTATGGATGTGAGTTTGCCAGGAAGCTAATGAATCCTAGGCTTGCAGGATCCCTCTCCTGCAGGGCCCCTTTCAAGCTCAGGGAGGGGCTGTAGCACATGGACCACTTTGTGTTCATTTCTTAAAGAGAGTCCCGGAAATTGACCCTTCAGACCTCATCATACATGGGACTACCCCTGCCAACATTCTTCTCTGGTCTGTGGGTGTAATGGTCCTGGAAATCACACATCAAAGATACAAAGCCTTCATTAGCCTAGATCCCTGAAGACTTCGTGGAGCAGAGCCATCCACCACCACCAGCACCTGCCACCGATCAGACACACCTGCAATGGTCTGTATCCAGGCGGTAAATTTTTATTGTGGCAAGCCACCAAAATGTTGGGCTTTACTACAGGACTTAGTATCACCCTAACTAATACATGCCTTATTTTATATAATTTTCACAACAACCTTATATACCTCATGCTGCTCTGAAGCACAGAGACCTAAGTACACAAGGTCACACAGCTATTAGGAACAAAGCTAGACTCAGACCTCCTGGACACTGATGGAGGCAGCAGGTCCCTGGGTTGACAGCACATGGTTGGACTGCAGTTCTCCACTTTCTACCAAGAACCCAGACTTGAGGAGTGTCAGGGAGGGTGGTTCTGGATCTCAGAAATCTCACTGCAAATGGGCCTCACTATTCTAACTCACTTCCTAGGTTTTGTGAGGGTTACATAAAATAATCCATGTGAAATATTTAGCAGAGGGCTTGGCTTGTAGTAACCACTCAACAATGGCAGTGCCAATCATTACAATAACCCCATGATCTTCATCACCGTGTCCTCTTCCCATTTGGGGTGGCTTTCCACATTGCACTATACCAAAGCCTGAGTGAACAGTCTCATTCACCACTGCTTGGCATGGAAGATTTTTCTTCTCAGAAACAATACAGAAAGCAACCCACTCACCCACCTCCCAACCCCAGCCCACCTGCCCCCAACTCAGAGTCTCCCTAATCTGATTGTCTACAAATGAAGGTCACTGTGGGATGATTACTCTGTTGTCCTCTTGGTGTTAGGGGCTGAGAAGTATATTTACTTCTTGAACAATTTTTCACAAATGTGCACAATATGCACGGTGCTGGACTTGCTATGAACATGAGTCTTATCAATGCATTGGAGAAAAGAAGGCAGTAATAGCAAAGACAGCTGGACACTGCGGGCCGGGGCTCGCTAACTTTGCAGCATGAAGCCCAGTGAGGGAGAAGTTCCTTATGACCACAACATTCCCTGTAAATTTTCAAGGAGAAAAGAGGAGCAAGAAAAGAAGTCATCTGAGAGTGTCTTCAGCTGAAAGTTTGCTTACTTCAGACAGAGTGCAGTAAAATATGACCTTTGCTATTTTTACTGGACTGCATACTGATTAGACCCTAAGTCCCAAATCAGTGACTACATTCTGCAAACACAGGATTTATTGCCCTGAATCAGCCCCAAACCACACTTACATCTCAGAGAGGGACACGAATGTATTACAAAGAAAAGACAGCACAGGTTCTTAGACGGGCTGCCCTTGAAGGCAATTTGAGTGATGCTGCATTCCGAATCCATCCCTTCCTCACCAGCCCTGACCAGGATCTCTGCCTTAAGTTTGTGTGCCCCTTCTCCACTCAGGGAGCTGCCGCCCTGCCTGGGACTCTGCCAGGACAGTTAAGCAGGTGTCTGTTTCTCCTCTGCCTGATCTTAACCTTGAGCGGGCTTCATCTTCTTTCACTGTCTTTCTCACAAGGCCAGGGGTACACCAGGCAAATAAAACTTCAGCCAACTCAGCTTTCTCTTCTTGCCACACAGGTTTCAGGATTTGTGGGGAAGACACTCAGGGTCTCATCCCAAGACTCTGAATGTGTGATACTATCACAAGCCACTGGCACCCAGTCACATCCCATTTCCAGAAGGCATTCTCCTTTAGTTCTCCAGCCATCTGTCAACAGTCATCCATCAACAGATGTTTATGAGCAATCAATATGTTAGGTTCTGGGTGATCACGGGAAACAAGGTAGATGTGATCCTGCTCCCTGGGCATTTACAGCTTCGTGGGGTGCACCCTTTTATACAAGGAAGTAGACAATTATAGCATAGGGCAATTTGCAAGCTAAGGGACATGCTGGATCTGAGAAGAATCCACTAAACCAGGCTGGGGAGTGTTGGGCAAGACTTGCTAGAGGAAGAAGGAATAGAGCTGCTCAGGTTGGTGAAGACTGGGAAGTGGAACAAGGGAGAACATTCCAGAAAAAGGAGCAGATTCAAAGGTGCTGAAACAAGGGAGCACCCTGAGTTTAAGGAATTGAGAAATCACTATTGGGAACAGTGGAGTGTAGGAAGGAGGGGGCAATGAGCAAGGAAACAGAGGGAGTGAGCCAGGGCATGCCAGTCCAGAGGCCATGCTAATAAGTTTGAGCTTTATTCTGGGGGAGTGGTGGCCATCAAAGGGTTTTGGCCAGGGATATGGTTTTACAAAACCAGAGAGTTGCATTTCATAAACTCCTCTTGGTGACAGATCATAAAACTGCTGAATGTGGAAAAGTCTGAAGGCAACAACACAGCTGGAGGTGGCTGAGGGAATCCAGCAGGGATTGGGTGGCATCTCAACAAGATGGTGGTGACCAGGTGCAGGGTGGTGGACACACTGGACACTGGAGAGACTGTTTAGGTGGAACTGGTTGGCAGTTGTCTTACTCTGTTTGGGCTGCTGTAACAAAATACCATAACCTGGGTGGCTTATAAACAACAGATATTTATCTCTGACAGTTCTGGAGGCTGGGAAGTCAAAGATCAAAGTATCCACAGATTCAATGTCTGGTGGGTGCCCACTTTCTGGCTCACAGATGGTACCATCTCACTGCATCCTCACATAGTGGAAGTGGCAAGACAGCTCTCTGGGGCCTCTTTTCTGAGGGCACCAACCCTGTTCATCAGGCTTCTGTCCTCATGATCTAATCACTTCCCAAGGCCTCACTTCTGATACCATCACATTGGGGGTTAGATTTCAGCATAGAATTTTAGGGGGACACAAACTTTCCGCCCATGGCAATAATGTAGAGAATAATACAGAAAAGAGTAGATAGGTATGTGGAGAAGCAAGACAGCAAACTCAGGAACTGGGACGTTACTCTGTGGGTCAGAGGGATGAGTTCAGAGTGGGGCATGTTGAGTTTGAGTTTTCCAGTATGCAGTTAGCTGCATGAGCTTAGCAAATGATATTTAATAATACGCTATTTTGGGTTGTTTTTTTCAGTTCATACCAAGCTACTTACGTTTATGTATTCAACTTTTAAAAGATAACTTGAGTAAATCTTTTTTTTTTTTGAGATGAAATCTCACTCTGTCACCCAGGCTGGAGTGCAGTGGCGTGATCTCGGCTCATTGCAACCTCTACCTCCCAGGTTGAAGCAATTCTCCTTCCTCAGCCTCCTGAGTAGCTGGGACTACAGGCGCATGCTACTACTCCTGGCTACTTTTTGTATTTTTAGTAGAGACGGGGTTTCACCATGTTGGTCAGGCTAGTCTCGAAATCCTGACCTCATGATCCACCTGCCTCGGCCTCCCAAAGTGCTGGGATTACAGGCATGAGCCACCGCGCCCAGCCAAGTAAATCTTAACATTAAAACACATTGTGAGACTAGAAATTTTTATAACTTTCTCACAAAGATATTCTTTCTTCAGCATATGAACCATTTCAGTAAATGGACTACTGCACTGGACTCTCCCCTTAATAAAACCTACTGTCACCGAGCCAGTATTTGATCAATGGTGTTGAAAAGCAGGTTTTACTAATTCTCAGACAAAGCTCCTGTTTCATAGGAGAGCCCCCAAAGACTCCCACAGGCTGCACACTAGGGATGCCAAACAAAAGGACATTTTTCAACAACAGCCAATATAAAGAAGAGGGGGGAGAAAAACCCAACAGCCCGACTGACAAATGAACAAAGGAAATGAACAGATAGTTGCAGTAAAAGAAATACAATGTCCCTGAAACATTCAGAGTTCATTCAAAATAGGAGAAATGTAAACTAAAACCACACTGAGACACCATTTTCCATCATGAGATGAGCAAAGATGAAGGAATTTTTTGCTTCGTTGGTGAGGGCTTGGGAGACAGATTCTTTATAAAGGACACATGAATTGGTACAATCTCCACAGAAGGAAATTCATCAGCATCCAAAATTTAATGTGCCCAAAACGTTCTTCTCAGCAAATCAATATCAATAATTCTGATTGACCAACATGCTTGCACATGTGTGAAATGGTTTAAGTTCACAGTTATTCATAGAAGCATGGAAAAAACTGAAAGCCTATCCACAGAGAACTGGTTTATGTAATATGTTATCACCATAGCACAGAATACCATGAGGCCAGAATACCACTGAAAAGATTTAAAACAGTGAAGACCACCCAAATTTCCATCAGCAGGTGAATGAATAAACAAAATGTGGTATATACACATTATGGAATATTACTCAGCCTTAAAAAGGAACAAAATTGGCTGGGCGCAGTGGCTCACGCCTGTAATCCCAGCACTTCAGGAGGCCAAGGCAGGCAGATCACCTGAGGGGTCAGGAGTTCAAGACCAGCCTGGCCAACACAGTGAAACCCCGTCTCTACTAAAAAACACAAAAATTAACCAGACGTGGTGGTAGGTGCCTGTAATCCCAGCTACTCAGGAGGCTGAGGCAGGAGAATTGCCTGAACTCAGCAGACACAGGTTGCAGTAAACTGTGACAGTGCCACTGCACTCCAGCCTGGGTGACAGAGTGAGGCTCTGTCTCAAAAAAAAAAAAAAAGAGAAACAAAATTCTGACATATGCCACAACATACCTGGGCCTTAAGAACGTTGCGTTATGTGAAATAAGCCAGATACTAAAGGGCAAATACTATAGAATCCGCTTGTAAGAGGTACCTAGAGTAGCCAAATTCATAGAGACAGAAAGTAGAATGGTGGTTGCCAGGGGTTGGAGAGGGGAGTGGGAATTCCAATTGTGTAAAATAAAAAGAGTTCTGCAGATGGATGGAGGTGAAGGTTGCACAATAATGTGAATGTGCTGAATGCCGCTGAACTGCACACTTAAAAATGGTAAATAAAACACCAAACTTTTCAAATCCGGGGCTTTTACCTTCTAATTAGTCAACACATAATTGCATAACCAAATTCTTATTGGCAAAATCAGGTCTTTTGGAGAAAAAAATGCTTAATTCAGTGGCTGACTGCCTATGTTGGCTAAATATAAACAAGGCTGCAAAAATAATTTTGGCAGATTCCCAGAGCTAAGAGTAATGAACATAATATTTAACCTTAGAAGTACTTAAACTTTTCTCCAAAGAATATAACTCCACCATCATGGGAACTATTGATTTTTACATTATTCAAGCTATCTTTTATCCACTGAAAATGTAAGTATTTTACAAGCAGTGTGGCTCCTCATTTCCCGGTCATAGACATATTCTAATAGCTAGCCATGAAAATATTTTCTGAAATACCACATTAGCTATCTAAATAGAGACACAACCACTGAAAGAAAACCTGCTAAATAAGACCCCAAGATTATCCATCCCATAAACTAAGAGATCTGCTTTCATTATAAATGAATGTCTCATTTTACTAACAGGTTCAGTGTAGGTTTCAATCCTCTAGTTCATTTAAAATATCAATCCACTGCCTATGGGGTAGGCCTGCCCCATGTGGAGTAGTAACACACACACACACACACACACACACACACACACACACAGATATATCCATTCACCTCTAAAATAACAAGATTTGAAACTTGTCAAATTTCCCATAATGTAAAATGGTAGGTGATTGTGCTTCACTCTCAATATGCTGAACTCCTTGCACAACGAGATCCCATGATGTTTCCAATCTGAGGAAACTGCAGACATCTGGGTCTGAGATGGAATACAACAGCAAAAACAGCCTGACGTGACTGAAATTCCTGTGGCCAAATGACTGCTGTATGGCCCCGATGCTCTTTCTCAAGGCTAAGATCTTACAGCTAAGACATCATAGCCAAGAGCAGCTGAAGACAATGCTATCTCACAAAGGAGCAAACCAAAAAGATAAATTAAAGGTGAGAAATCCACACCTCTAAACATTTTCCCAGGCAGACTTTCCCAACCTTGTGTGTAAAAATGGAGATACCATCATCCTTGCAGCTTCCTAGAGACACTAGGGGACTCCTGGATAAAAGGCCAAGGGGTTGATCCTTGAGAGGCATTTGGGATTCTTAGAGAAGACATGTTCCATTTTAGGCTGGTTTTTAGAAGGAGCAGAAGGGACCTTAAAAACTAATCAAAACCCTCTTCCTGCAGATAACACATGTAAATCTCTGGGAATTTGGCTCGATAAGCATTTATGCAAGACTTGCACCCAGGTCTCCTGACGCTCCTCTGGCCCATTCTGATCTCTGTCTTGTTATCTAAATAAAATTCTTAGATGCCCCAATTTTCAAGATACAAAGGCTTTGCACAAGAAAAATAACATTTTGCTTGTTTGGAATTTGGCATATAGTTTCCTTAGAAAGAGGTTATACAATGACTAGGTCCCTGGGCGAGCCGAAATACCTAATGTGTACATGCGAGACCATGGTATGCTAAAAACACTTGCAAACCTAACACACCAGAACTGCATTTATTATTCCAACTTGAAATGCCAGGAAGGGTGGAATGAGCGACAGCTGCACTCCCTTCTCCCTGGGGACTCCTCCAGCTCCAGATCACTGCTGATATCATGAAGGGAAGAGCTGAGGTCCGCGGGTGAGGAGAAGCGCACTTGCAGCTAATCCAGGGGATACTTAGTACCCAGGCTGGCTTCCTCGTCCCTGTGTGTCTCTTCTCCCATCCGTCTCAGCGTATGGACCGCTGGCTGTTGTCCTCTCTTCAGTCACCATCTAGGGTTGTGACCAGCACTTTTCTCCTTTGCCCTGCTGTTGCCCTCAACACAGTCTTATATTCTTATGTTGCCTGTGTATCCTTCTGTCCTGGAAATGAACACTCAGGCAGTCTTTTAGGACTTTCCAATGATTTACGACTACTATCAATAATGAAGAAAGACAGCCTTCTCTTCCTCTTCTTCAGCCCAGTCCCTCTTATATTTCCTTCAGACCCTGATGAAATTCCTCCAGGAAGATAAGGCTTGAAACCCCACAGCCAGACTCACACTGGGGCAGACACAACCAGAGCTAGGATTTCCTGAACCACTCTCACCGGACTGGAGGAAGACCCTGAGCTGAAAAATGGGACAGAGCCTGGATTGGGGATGGGGTGATGTGAACATGCAGGAGACCCAGGTAAGAGGAAAGAAGCCACAGCAGGGGAGGATCTGGGCCTCTGGCCACTGAGCCCCCACATCAGCCGTTCCTGGGGTGGCCACGCCATGACACAACCTTTCCCATGATTCCCTGTGTGTGCTCACCCTCAGCAGGATCATAAACTACTCAGGAAGAAAGGTCGTGACACATTTCATGCCCCTGTCAGCACTGAGTATACAGGGAGTGACTGGTCAATACTTGTTGAGTGGTTTGAATTTCCAAGCCACTCAACGTCATTGCCATCTTCGGTAGCAGACGGGAAGAAAGGGCATTTCACTATGCCCACGCCTGAGGAAGTCATCAACAGCCAGAACAACTGTTTTCCCTCACTCTTTACACATCTGTGTTTGGTTATTCTGTTCCTTAATTTGAGGAGGGTGCGTCTGAGGTGAGCATTTTGATTAAAAGCTGCTATAAAAGCAGCAACTGAAGAGACCAGCTCACCTCCTGAATCTGTGCCATGTGATGTGCACGCCGGCCGGTTACACAGATTTCTGGCTCAAATAAGGAGAAACAGACCATTCTACCTTGCAGGGACTTGCATTCATGTTCAAAGCTGACTTTTCAAACTCCAAGTGCTGGCACCAATCCCTGTTCTAATTAAGTATGCACAGCTCTCAGAAATAGGCAGTCTTTTTTGGCTGGGATACCCGTAGCTGTTCTACACAAGAACCTGTTTCTGAAAGCACCGATCAAGGAAAGCTGCTGGATCTTGTCCAAGCAGTGCATTCCGAACACTTTCCGTGTTCCTTGGAAAAGCTCCACCAGGTGCATTGGAGCCCTGCTCTTCAGCAGGGATACTGCAGAATTTCATCCGGGGCCTCACACTTAAAAGTAAAGGGGTATGACTGGGGTTGGAAATGCGAGGATGACACAGACCACAGCTCCACCACTCACGGTGGGAAGGACAGGTGCTGCGCGGGGCCATGATAGAAACAGATTCCTAGAACAATGCACACGGTTTCTATTCAACTTACAGAGAAGAGCCAAGAAGCAACCTCATATAATTCTTTCAGCAAATGATGGATAAAATAGAAGACTACTCTCCCTCCCTTTGAAGGCAGAATATAAAGTAATGAAGGAAGTTAAGGAGACAAACACAAGTACTTTGAGACTCTGATGACTGGTGAATACCGAAACTTCTGTGGCAGAAGACTCTGGAACCTTCTTCTTTAGCTGACTTGAAACACAGTATTGATTTCTACCTTTACAAAACAGACACTATGTAGTCCAGCCAAGGGCAAGATACTGACCACAAGACCTGCAGGCTTCGCCCTAGACCCTATCATTTTATGACCACATATTTTAACAATTGGAGTTCTTGCCACACGTTCCAATTACACCCTTGTTAGTTGCTCAATGCCTCAGTGAAAACCTTCAAATTCTACTGGCTGCCCTTCACAAACAGCCTGAAATACTCTGCCATAGGTATCTTGTTAGAAATAAGCATGGATAATGCCATGCAGGCAGAAAGTTGCTCAACTTACCTTCACGGCCAGGATGTTTGTGAGGCCTACGCTTTGCCATCTGCACGGTGTTGCCATTTCATTTTCATCAGGCCTGTGGTGCTGCACAGGCAGCGAATATGACTCCCATCACTCTGCAGCTCAAAAAATGCAGATAGACAGGTCACCCCTAGCTGGAACTAGGCTTCATCTTCCCTTGTCAGAGCTTGACAAGGTTTGAAGCTGGCCCTGCAGAGATGAGAGTGAAAATAAATTATGAAGCAAGCTAGATATAGAATTCAGTTCTGGATGTTTTTTAAAAAAAAAAAACAACCAACAGAATATACTAGTGTAAAAATAAATGGCCACTATTTGCTCAACCATTTATTTGTGCTAAGAGAAAATACTAATGAGAATAACAAAGCAATTGAAACAGGTCAACAGGTTTTGTCTTCAAAGTCACAGATCAGTGTCCACTTTTTAAAAATTCTCTGCTCTGGGCTCAAAATTCACAGGATGAAGTCCTGACTCCAGTACCTCAGAATGGGACTGTGTTTGGAGATAGGGCCTTCATAGCGGTAATTGAGGTATAATGAGGTCATATGGGTGGGCTCTAATCCAGTATGACTGGTGTCCTTATAAGCAGAGATTAGGACACAGACAATATAGAAGGATGACCACGTGAAGACGCAGTAAGAAGGCAGTTGTTTGTGAGCCAAGGAGCGCGGCGTCAGAAAAAACCATCCCTGCAGACTCCTTGATCTCGGACTACCAGCCCCCAGCACTGGGACAATCAAGGTCTGTCACTTAAGCCCCCAGGCTGTGGTGTTTTGTGATGGCAGCCCGAACAAAGACACTCTCTCCCAACCCCTCACTCCCATTTTTGAACAGTGGCTGGTTTTCGATCAACTTCACTTGACTCTTCCTTCTCAATCTCACTTCATTTTGCTCCAGGGAGCCCCTCTCCAGCTCCTCCTTTCACTGGCCCTGCCCCTTTGTCTTTTGAAAGAGTTTCTCTCACCTTCTTCCCAGACGGCAGAGCAGCCTTGAGGAGGTGAGGGAGAGAAGGGATCTTGCACCTAGCACTCCAGGGCTGGTGGGAGACCCAGCCTCCCGAAGCTCACACGTGTACCTGGTTTGCAATGGCAGAATAAAAATCATGTGACACGGTCAGAAGATGCACCTCTTCCTTTCTGGGTGACCCTGTCTGACTCGTTCAACTTCTCTGAGCTTCTGTTTTCTCACATATTTAAAAAATGGTGATGTGAATTCCTGAGTGGTTGTTGTAAGGCTCAATGAAGATAATGCATTGAAAAATATTTCATATGCTAATCACTACAACTCAGTTTTTCTACCTATGAAATAGGTACTCCCTAGCATTTCACAGTAGAGTTTAATGAAAAAAAAATCAGCAAATAAGCAAAACTTCTGTGACTCAGGATAGTATCTATAAAAGTATTAGTTCTACTCTAGTTTTCATCAGTCCGGTAAAGTTTATTTTTGCTTTTTCTGCCAGTTAATATTTATGAAGAGTGTTGTATTTAGTATTATGAAGAGAATTCTAAAGACACAGAAGACCTGGTCCTTGCCTTCAGGGATTCTGCAATCTATTTGAAAAAATAAAATTTTAACAGTAAAATAGCTTATAAAATTAGTTCAAAGAGGTTTCCCAGGCTGCAGTGGAAAATGCATAGCAAAGTCTTCATGCAGGACCAGCCAGGTCCATACCTGAACTTTCTAGGTAGAAATTTTTCCTATGACCTCTCTAATGTGGCTGCAAGTGGAAAGTAAGAAATCTGACAAAAAATTTAAAAAGTTAATAAAAACTTAAATGATAACTAGTGTATTTTGCTTTAAACAAATCTAATGCTATAGCGATTTATTAAACACAGTACTTTAAAACACACACATCTTTACATGTTTTAAAATCATGAATAACCAAATTTAAATTTTCTCATTTACTTCCCAGGAACCCCTGGAAAAAGTATTATTGACAATGACAACATTCCAGTTGGAAGAACACATCTTCAGAATGCAATTGGTATCTGATTTTAGAAATACGTGACTTCAGATCTCAACCAAAAAGAAAATTGCATCACAGTTATTGTTTTTAAGAAATTCACTTACCATTATGAATGATCAAAAAATATAGTCATTCAGGTAGTGAGGATTTAATGATCAAAGGGCGAATGTTCCAAAATATATGTCATAGCAGTGGCTTTTGGATCTTGAGCCTGACTGGCCGTGAGACATGAGGCTTATCACCGCACTTCTCTGAGTGCTGGACTCCTTCTATTTTAAATGGGTCCAAAAATGCCTGCCTTGAAAGAGCAAAACCCACAACGCAAATGAAGTTCCAAGCTCAGCTGTGGTCTGTGTACCTGAGGCCCTGGCCAGTAGCAGGGGCTGTCCTGGTGGCATCTCACAATGAGAATGTACCACAGTGGTTTACAACTGCTTCCTAGCATTTCCGGCTCCCGAAACTGTGAATTTTTCTAATTCAGTTTTGTATGTTCTTCTCACCACTTATCTCTCTGCTCTCAAGTCTAGCACTGTACACAGCACATAGTAGAGCCTCAGTAAATGTTTGATGAATGAGTATCTGAGTAAACAAATAACATAATTTGTAAAATAGAAGTACTATTGTAGCTACAAAAAAACTGCTCTAAAAAAGATCATTCGAACCCCTTGACATTTTTTTTTTCCTATGGTATATGGCTAAAACAAGTAATCTTTGACATAGTAAGACAAAATCACCTAGCACATCTCCATGTATGAAAATACCCATAGAAATAAAATGAGGCTGATGCTCTCTAGTCCTTTGTGAAAGTCGCCATCTTTCCAACAGTAGAACTGTCTGCATTTTTAGTGCTGGGCCTAATATTTAGTACTGCTACCGGCTTTATATATTTTTCTTTTGCAAATGTTTTTGGTTAGTATGTTTGAAAAGCTGAGGAACAATTCGTTTCGTGGATCCAAATCTGGTTCTGTACTTTACTTTTTAAATGATAATTAAGGAACTCCCATCAGTAGATGCTACCTTAAAAACGAGGAAATACAACGTATTTTTTAAAAAACTTTGTTGGCCAGGCGCAGTGGCTCAAGCTTCTAATCCCAGCACTTAGGGAGGCCGAGGCGGGCGGATCACCTGAGGTCAGGAGTTTGAGACCAGCCTGGCCATTATGGTGAAACCCTTTCTCTATTAAAAATACAAAAATTAGCCTTGTGTAGCGACGGCCGCCTGTAATCCCAGCTACTCGGGAGGGTGAGGCAGGAGAATCGCTTGAACCCGGGAGGCAGAGGTTTCAGTGAGCTAAGATCCGCCACTGCCCTCCAACCTGGGCGACAAAGTAAGACTGTCTCAAAACGAACAAAACAAAACAAAACTTCGTTAAGTAGGAGTACTATTCTTGTTCATGTCTTCCATAACACCACAATCCAAATATTTTCAAAAGCAGAGCATTAAGGTATTAAGTAGGTGATAGTTTATTCCCTAACCAAGTGACAGAGGCTGCCAGCGGACTGTGGATTGACACCGACAGACACACACACCAACGAAGCATCAGAGTGGGGGCTCACGCAGTGACGCTGAGCACCGGGAGATTTCGGCCTCCCCCGCGGCTCCTCCGTCGCCCGGCAACACAGCCACGCTGCGGCTCGGCCCCTCCCCCGCTGCCATGGCAACGCGACCGCCAGGCTGGCTTTGTGCAACTACTGCCCCGGCGCCCCTATGCGCTCACCCCTTGAGCCTGCTGGGGCCGCGGCAACTTTTCTTTTCTTCTTTTTTTTTTGAGACGGAGTCTCGCTCTGTCGCCGAGGATGGAGTGGCGCGATCTCGGCTCACTGCAAGCTCGGCCATGACAACTTCTCTAACCTCACCGCACCTATAGCTCTATCCCTTCTCCTACCCGGAGCCGCTGATCATCAACTTTCACCCCCCACTTCAGGAAAAAAATGTTCCACGGGCACAGGATTTCGGCCAAATGCTGCTTGGCTCTACCTTCTCCAAAAGTGCGGGCGAGGTGACAATATGTAGAGAAATCCCACTTGCCTGTCTCAGCATCCCTCCTACGTCCTCAGAGGGTCCTTGGAGGGATCCCAGCATCCCGCTCCGAGCTGGAAGGGGGAGGAAGGTCACGGAGAAGCCGACTGGAAACTGTCCCGGGTGCGCGCCGCCCCCATGCCCTGCGCCCTCTTCATTTCCTCGGCCAGGGCGGGACCTCCCAGCCGCTGGGCCCAGGACCGCAGCGAATCAGTCTCTGGCTCCCCGCCCAGCAGAACTCAGACAGGCTCTGGACGGCTGTCCGAATGCCGCGTTTCCCTGGCGATGAGCAGTTCCGCATCACCCTCTGCGGCTAGCTCGGCTTCCAGGGCCGGGGCTGTGCTATTGTTTGCTGTTCTTCGTGGGTAGGACGGTGGGGGGCCCGGGCTGAGCCCGGAGCAGGAGGACCTGGGGTGAATTTCTTGCAGGCCTTTTCTCTCCCTTCTCCCAACCCCTTACTGTTGCATATTCATAAGAAGGCGGGGTCGTTTCCCATCTCCTTTAAAATTTCCCAGGCTTGAGGATCAGCGGAAAAGAATTGGGGTATAATTCTTTTCCCCTGACACAGACAAGCAAATACAGGATTCCTGTTCACAATTTCTTCCTCCACCCTCAGGCAGCAAGGACACACACACACACACACACACACTCACACACACACTTCTTAATTTCAAAGAGATCCTGACTGAAGTGGGAATCAAGTTTCCAACACGTGAACTTTAGCAGATACATTCAAACCATAGCAGGTGGTAAAATTATCATGACTGGAAGATGATATAATTATATCCCAAGATAATCAATTGTTAAACTATTAGATACAAAGGAAATTAGAAAGTAACAATATATAAAAGATCACTATGTGGGCTCAGTAGCAGAATGTAGGTGACAGAATTCATTGGTGAACTTGAAGATAGACCAATAGAAAGTATTCAATTGAAAAACAGAGGGCTGGCATGGTGCCTCATGCCTATAATCCCAGCATTTTGGGAGGCCAAGGTGAGGCCAGGAGTTCAAGAGCAGCTGGGAGACATAGCAAGACCGCCATCTCTACCAAAAAAAAAAATTTTTTTAATTAGTTGGGTGTGGTGCTGCATGCTTGTACTCCAGCTGCTCCAGTGGTTGAGGAGGGAAGATCGCTTGAGCCCAGGAGGTTGAGGTTGCAGCGAGCTGTGACTGTACCACTGCACTCCACAAAATGAGACCCTGTCTCAAAAACAAACAAAAAAAGACAAATAGAGAATGTTAGGAGACCTGTGAACAGCACTCCAGCCTGGGCAACAGAGAAACTCCATCCCTGAAAAAAAAGTAAATATAAATAGATGAAACAGTCGAACCAAAAGACAGAGATTAGCAGGTGGAATATATTAATAAAAACAAGAACGTATGTGCTGTCTACAAAAGATGCTATTTAAATGCAAAAGTACAAATGAGTCGAAAGTAAAAGAATGAAAAAACGCATACCATGGAAACATAAGAAAGCATCAGAAAGCTGAAGTAGCTGCATTACCACAAAGAGATTTTAAGAAAAAAGTGGTGCTAGAGATAAACAAGATCATCTCATAATGATATAAACCCAAAGTAAGTAGAAGGAAAGAAATAATAAAGGTAACAGTGGAAATCAATGAAACAGAAAACGGACACACTCAAAAGTCAATGGAATCAAAAGCTTGCTCTCTGAAAATTGATAAACTTTTAGCCAACCTGGTCAATTAAAAATCAATGGCCACAGGCCAGGTGCCCAGTAGCTCACGCTTGTAATCCCAGCACTTTGGGAGGCCGAGACAGGTGGATCACTTGAAGTTAGGAGTTTGAGACCAGCCTGACCAACATGGTAAACCCCATCTCTACTAAAAATACAAAAATTAGCCGGGTGTGGTGATGCGTGCCTGTAATCCCAGCTACTCCAGAGTCGGAGGCAGGAGGATTGCTTGAACCCAGGAGGTGAAGGGATGCAGTCAGCAGATACTGCACCACTGCACTCCAGCCTGGGTGACAGAGCTAGAACCTGTCTCAAAAAAATAAATAAATAAATAAAAAAGAAAAGAAAAAGAAAAAATTATCAATATCAGAAATGGGAGAGAATTATTGGTACAGTTCTTACAGTTATCAAAAGAAAAATAAGAAAAAAAATTGTGAGCAACACTATGCCAAAAAGTTCAATAATTTAGATAAAAAAGATTCTCTGAAAGACAGAAATTACAAAAACAGACTCACAAAAACCCAGAAGACCCAGATTGCCCTACAACAAATTACTATTACGATTCCTATGAAACAGTGTCTCACTTTTTTGCCCAGGCTGGACTTCAGTGGCCTGACCATGGCTCACAGCAGCCTGGACCTCTTGGGCTCAAGTGATCCTCCCACCTCAGCCTCCTCAGTAACTAGGACTACAGGCACACACCACCAAGCCTAGTTAATTAAAAAAAAAATTTTTTTTGTAGATACAAGGTCTCCTTACAGTGCTCAGACTGGTCTTGAATTCCAGGGCTTAAGCAATCCTCCCACCTTAACCTCCCAAAGTGCTGAGCTTACAGGTATGAGCCACTGTGCCCAGACTATTAGTAAAAATTATTTTTTAAATAAAAACTTTTCGACAGAGAAAACTCCAGACTCTGATGACTTCATGGTGAATTTTATGAAATATTTAAGTTTTTTGAAACATTTAAGTTTTAACATGTTAAGTGAAAAAATTATGTTTTAACACATAACCATCTCTCCCAAACTATGTCAGGTAAAAGAAGAGGGAATACTGCTCTACTCATTTTATAAGGCCTGCAATACCTTGGTTTAATACTTGACAGAGACATACTAAGAAAACTATAGACTAATATCCTTCATGAAAATAAATGCAAAAATTTTAAACAAAATATTAAGAAATTGAATCTAGCAATTTTTTTTAAAAAAGTACCATGATCAACTGGTGTTTCTCCAACAAATGCAATGTTGCTTTGATATGAAAAGCAAATAATATAATTCACCATTTTAATAGAATATAGGAGAAAAATCATGTGATCATTTCAACAGATGCAGGAAAAAACTATTTGACAAAGTTCAACACCAATTCATGATAAAACTCTTGGCAAACTCAGAATAGGATGAAATTTCCTCAACCTAAAAAAGGGCATCTGTAAAAAACTTAGAGCTAACATCATATTTAATTGTGAAAAACTAAGTGCTTTCTACCTTAGAACAGAAACAAGACAGAAATATCCACTCTTACAAAGATAGTTCAAAAAGACAAGAAAAAAAAAACACAGTTTGTAAAGGAAGAAGTAAAACTGTCTTATTTACATAGTCAACATAATTATGTATATAAACAATCCTAAAGGAATATACAAAATCTCCTAGACCAAGTGATTACAGCAAGATCACAGGATAAGAGATCAATATGCAATAATCACATTTTATTTCTGTATATCAGTAGCAAGCAATTGAAAATGACATTTAAAAAAGAAATACGGTATGTTCTCACTCATAAGTGGGAGATAAGCTATGAGGATACAAAGCCATAAGAATGATACGGTGGACTTTGGGGGCTTGTGGGGAAAGGGTGGGAGGGGGATAAAGGTTAAAAGACTACAAATTGGGTACGGTGTATACTGCTCAGATTGATGGATGCACCAGAATCTCAGATACCACCACTGAAGAACTTATTCATGTAACCAAACACAACCTGTTCCCCAAAAACTTATGGAAATAAAATAGAAAAAAAACAAATACGTTCAAAATAACAAACATATTCAGGAATAAATTTAACCAAAGATGTGGAAGATCTATACACTGATAAAGAAATTTTAAAAGACCTAAGTACATGGAGACATAGGTCATATTTATGAACTGGAAGACTCAATAATGTTAAGATATTAATTTTTCCTGAATCTATGATAGAGTTGATGCAATTTTAATAAATATCATAGCAAGCACATTGTTTTAGAAATTGACAAGTAACTGGGGCCGGGAGTGGTGGCTTATGCCTGTAATCCCAGCACTTTGGGAGGCCGAGGCTGGCAGATCACCTGAGGTCAGGAGTTTGAGACCATCCTGGCCAACATGATGAATCCCCATCTCTACTAAAAATACACAAATTAGCCAGGTGTGGTGGCAGGTGCCTGTAATCTGTTACTTGGGAGGCTGAGACAGGAGAATCACTTGAACCCGGAAGGTAGAGGTTGCGGTGAGCCGAGATTGCGTCACTGCACTCCAGCCTGGGCAACAAAGAGCAAAACTCCATCTGAAAAAAAAGAAAGAAAGAAATTGACAAGTAATTCTAAACTTGATATGAAAATAAAAAGGACTCACAACAGCTCAACAATTTTAGAAAGAGAAGGTTGGAGGACTTAAACTACCTGATACGAAGACTGACTATAATACTTCAGTTATCAAGAGTGTGTGGTATGGGGATAAGGAAAGGCACAACAATCAGTGGGACAGAGTCCAGTCCAGAAGTAGACCCACATACGCATAGTCAACTCATGTTTATTAAAGCACCAAATTTTCATTCAGTGAATGAAAGGCTAGTGTTTTCAACAAACAGCACTAGAATAGTTTCTATATGGGAGGAAAAAGGGTCTGGACCCTTATCTTTTATTGTATAACAAAATTAACTCAGAATGGGTCATAGACCTAAATTTAAGAACTAAAATCTTAAAACTTAAGTCAGAAAAAAATAGAAGGATATATTTGTGATATTAGGTTAGGAGAAAGTTTCTTATTAAGACATAAAGGCATGAAACAAAAAAATTAATAAATTAAATTTCATTAAAATGAAAACCTTTTGCTCTTCAAAAAACCCTCTTCAGAAAATAAAACGGGAAAAAAGTTTGCAAAACATGTTTCCAACAAAGGCCTGTGTCTTGCATATATAAAGAACTATTACAGGCCGGGCGCGGTGGCTCATGCCTGTAATCCCAGCACTTTGGGAGGCCGAGACAGGCAGATCATGAGGTCAGGAGATCCAGACCATCCTGGCTAACACGGTGAAACCCCATCTCTACTAAAAATACAAAAAATCAGCCGGCCTGGTGGCGGGCGCCCGTAGTCCCAGCTACTCGGAAGGCTGAGGCAGGAGAATGGCGTGAACCAGGAGACGGAGCTTGCAGTGAGCTGAGACTGTACCACTGCACTCCAGCCTGGGAAAAAGAGCGAGACTCCGTCTCAAAAAAAAAACAAACTATTACAATTTACCAATAAGAAGACAACTCCATCAAAAATGGACAAAAGATTTAAACAGGCCCTTCATAAGAGAATATACATAAATAGCCAGTAACTTTTTTTCTTTTTAATTTTTTAAAGAATAGAGATGAGGTCTCTCTATGTTCCCCAGGCTGGGCAACTCTTGAGCTCAAGCAGTCCACCCTCCTGGGCCTCCCAAAGTGCTGGAAGGTAGAACAACTGGAATACTCATCTATTGCCAGTGGTTAGTTACACTGTACCTAACATTCATTTGGAAAAACAGGTTGGAAATTTATCAGGTTAAAAACACATTTACCTTTTCTTTTCTTTTTGTAGAGACGGGATCTCTGTTGCCCAGGCTGGAGTGAAGTGGCACCATCTTGGCTCACTGCAACCTCCGCCTCCCGGGCTCAAGCAATTCTCCTGCCTCAGCCTCCCAAGTAGCTGGGATTACAGGCACACACAACCACGCCTGGCTATTTTTGTATTTTTGGTAGAGACGGAGTTTCACCATGTTGCTCAGGCTGGTCTTGAACTTCTGACCTCAGATTATTCACCTGTCTTGGACTCCCAAAATGCTGGGATTACAGACATGAGCCACAACGCCCGGCCTATATTTTGCATTTTTTGTGGTACAATTTGCATTCAATAAAATTCACAGGCCAGGTGCGGTGACCCAAGTCTGTAATCCCAGCACTCTGGGAGGCCCAGGCTGGCGGATCGCTTGAGCTCAGGAGTTTGAGACCAGCCTGACCAACATGGCGAAACCTCGTTTCTACAAGAAAAACAAAAATCAGCTGGGCGTGGTGGTGCAAGTCTGTGGTCCCAGCTACTCCAGGGGCTGAGATGGCCTCAAGGACTGTTTAAGCCCAGGGAGGTTGAGGCTGCAACGAGCCATGATTGCCCCACTGTACTCCAGACTGGGCTACAGAGTGAGACCTTGTCTCAAAAAAAAAAAAAAAAGTAAAAATCAGTGTCTTTCAAATATAAAAAATAACTGTCAATAGAAGATTCAGTGGGAGAAAGGACACAGCGTTGGGTGTCCTCTGTTTGTCTCCAGATTAACTCTCACTGGACTCCCTCCTGCTCTCGCCCCAGCAAGCCTCGACAGTATTGATCCTAGCAATAGACTCTCCTGCCCTCTTGCCTCTGGTTGGGCTTGGCCACTGGGAAGCCCCAACAGGAGATCTAAGGAATGGAGGAGAGTGGGGTAGCATACTTATTTTCTCTTTTATCCCTATTTTCTGGAGGGATCACAGTGGGCAAGGGCAATGTATAGCTCTTATCAGTTGGCCTCTCCAATAAGAGTGCTGTCTCTGGAGTACAGCAACTACTCCTTCCAACCATTCATGCCTAGGTGTGAAAATGAGGGACCAGGACTACTGTTACTAGCTCAAAGGTAATACTCTTTTTCCTTGGTTTTTCTTTATTTTGTTTACATTTTTGTAAATATCACTTTTTATCTCTCTAGTTAACCAATATAAATAGAGTCATTTGTTCCCTACTGGAACTCCTACTGATACAGAGTTCACTTGTCACAATAGCAACAACGAACAATCCATTGGAATTAATAAGTGAGAAATCACATGAGCTATATAAAGAATACATCAAAATCAAAACAAAAATACTTAAACAAATGGAAAAACATTTGTGTACTTGGCAGTGCTCAATGGTGCCCAGGCTGGAGTGCAGTGGCGTGATCTCGGCTCGCTACAACCTCCACCTCCCAGCCGCCTGCCTTGGCCTCCCAAAATGCCGAGATTGCAGCCTCTGCCCGGCCGCCACCCCGTCTGGGAAGTGAGGAGAGTCTCTGCCTGGCCGCCCATCGTCTGGGATGGGAGGAGCCCCTCTGCCTGGCTGCCCAGTCTGGAAAGTGAGGAGCGTCTCTGCCCGGCCGCCATCCCATCTAGGAAGTGAGGAGCGTCTCTGCCCGGCCGCCCATCGTCTGAGATGTGGGGAGCGCCTCTGCCCCACCGCCCCGTCTGGGAGGTGAGGAGCGACTCTGCCCGGCCACCCCGTCTGAGAAGTGAGGAGACCTTCTGCCTGGCAACCGCCCCGTCTGAGAAGTGAGGAGCCCATCCGCCCGGCAGCCGCCCCGTCTGAGAAGTGAGGAGCCTCTCCGCCCGGCAGTCACCCCATCCGGGAGGGAGGTGGGGGGGTCAGTCCCCCGCCAGGCCAGCCGCCCCGTCCGGGAGGGAGGTGGGGGGTCAGCCCCCCGCCCGGCCAGCCGGCCCGTCCGGGAGGTGAGGGGCGCCTCTGCCCGGCCGCCCCTACTGGGAAGTGAGGAGCCCCTTTGCCAGGCCACTACCCCGTCTGGGAGGTGTACCCAACAGCTCATTGAGAACGGGCCATGATGACAATGGCGGTTTTGTGGAATAGAAAGGGGGGGAAAGGTGGGGAAAAGATTGAGAAATCGGATGGTTGCCATGTCTGTGTGGAAAGTAGTAGACATGGGAGACTTTTCATTTTGTTCTGTACTAAGAAAAATTCTTCTGCCTTGGGATCCTGTTGATCTGTGACCTTACCCCCAACCCTGTGCTCTCTGAAACATGTGCTGTGTCCACTCAGGGTTAAATGGATTAAGGGCGGTGCAAGATGTGCTTTGTTAAACAGATGCTTGAAGGCAGCATGCTCGTTAAGAGTCATCACCACTCCCTAATCTCAAGTACCCCGGGACACAAACACTGCGGAAGGCCGCAGGGTCCTCTGCCTAGGAAAACCAGAGACCTTTGTTCACTTGTTTATCTGCTGACCTTCCCTCCACTATTGTCCTATGACCCTGCCAAATCCCCCTCTGCGAGAAACACCCAAGAATGATCAATTAAAAAAAAAAAAAAATTTGTGTACTTGAACAAGAAACCTCAACATAATAAAGATGGCAATTCTTCCTTAGTTCATTCGTAAATTAAATGCCAATAGGTATTATTGTTTTGTTGTTATTGTTTCATTTATTAAACTACTTTTAATATTCATGTTGAAAAGCAAACAAGAATATTAGGAAAACTTTGAAAAAGAAGTGCAAATATTAAAACATAAAGTTGCTATAATTATAAACAGGAGAAACATGTTATCAAAAAGTCCAGAGAAATACACCCAAATACATACAAGAATTTACAGTAAAAATTTCATCTAAAATCAGTGAAAAAAAGATAATTTATAATAGACAGAAATGTATTTGGCTCATGCTTCTGAAGGCTTGGAAGTCCAAGATCAGGGGGCTGCATCTGGCTAGGACCTTCTTCCTGTGTCATCCCATGGTAGAAGGACAGAAAGGCACAAAAGCACACATGAGAGAGTATGAGAGGAAGGAGGTGAACTCATCTATTTATCAGGAACTCATCCCAAAACGACACTATTAATCCACTCATGAGGGCAGACTCATCATAGCCTGATCACCTCTTAAAAGTCCCACTTCTCGACACTTGCATCGGGGATTAAGTTTCCAACACATGAACTTTGAGAGATACATTCAAACCATAGCAAATGGGAAAAGCCTTTCTGATTACAGTTGTTCCTCTGTGTACGTGGCACATTTGTTCCAGGATCTCCCTCAGATACTAAAGTCCATGATGCTCAAATATATATATATATATGTCAGAGTCTCGCTGTCGCCCAGGCTGGAGTGCAGCGGCGCAATCTCAGCACACTGCAAGCTCTGCCTCCCGGGTTCACGCCATTCTCCTGCCTCAGCCTCCCAAGTAGCTGGGCTTACAGGTGCCCGCCACCACGCCCGGCTAATTTTTTGTAATTTTTTTTTTTTTTTGGAAGAGACAGGGTTTCACTGTGTTAGCCAGGATGTTCTCAATCTCCTGACCTCGTGATCCACCCACCTCAGCCTCCCAAGGTGCTGTGATTACAGGCGTGAGCCACCGTGCCCAGCCTCAAATCTCTTATATAAAATGGTGCAATATTTGCATATAACCTATGAACATTAAATCATCTCTGTACTTATAAGGATTACTTCTAATACCTAATATGGTGTAAGTACTATGTAAATAGTTGTTATAATGTATTGTTTTAAAATTTGCGTTATTTTTATTGTTTGATTTTTTGGAATATTTTCAATCCATAGTTTGGATGCAGAACCCACAGATACAGAGGGCCAACTGCATGATATACAATCCAGAGGTCATTATAAAAATTGTTGGCTGGGCACAGTGGTTCACATCTATAATCCCAGCACTTTGGGTGGCTGAGGTGGGTGAAACACTTGTGCCCAGGATTGTGAGACTAGCCTGGGAAACACGGTGAAGCTCCGTATCTACAAACAAAAAATATAACAATTAGCTGGGCGTGGTGGCCCACACCTGTATTCCCAGCTGCTTGAGAGGCTGAGGCAGGAGGATTACTTGAGCCTGGGAGATAGGAGGTTGCAATGACCCATGATTGTGCCATTGCATTCCATCTAGGGCAACAGAGTAAGACCCTGATTCAAAAAAAAAAGTAAGCCTATATGATGAAAACACTATAAATAATGTCAAAAGACGAACTATGAGTAAAACAGTGTTCCTCTAGAAATCCATAAGGAAAAAACCAACAATCCAATAGAAAAAATGACCAGAACAACAGTTAACAGAAAAGGAAATACAACAGCATTTTAATCATCAGAAAAGATGCTCGACTTTGCTCATAATAAAAAAAATTCAAATTAAAACAATACTAAGAAATCACTGCTCACTTATCAAGTAGGAAAACTGAAAAATATAAAAAAGTACTTCTGGTGAGGGTGAGGGAAAACAGCTCCCATCATACACAGCTCTTAGAAGTGTAATTAGTACCAGCACTGAGGAGGGCTGTTGACAATAGTTATTAGAATTTCAAATGTGTTTACTTTTTGAACTACTTCTTCTATTCCTAGATATTTACTCTGCGGAAATATTTGCACAGTTGCAAAATTTTATCTATACAAGCTGTGAGAATTGCACATACCAGGATGGAATCACTCTTTTCAGACGCTGACAAAACAGGGCTGGGAATGCACAAAAGAGGAGGCTCGTGCTTGCATGTCTGAGATAAGAACTGCTTCCAAAGGCTTCCTAAACACCTCCCAAGAAATCCCTTCACATCTGTCACACATCTCCTGTCTTGGAAGTCTGGCATGTTTCACACGTATACAAGTATTTTTAGGTTGGTGCAAAAGTAACAGCAGTTTGGACTGTGAATTTTAAATCATTATAACTAGGCTCAAACATCTTTATTAATCAAAATAGGAACCATTACAACCAACACATTTTTGTCAATGAGAAATAAGTTTTTTTTTTTCTTTTCTTTTTCCTTTTTTTTTTTTTTTCCTCTCTGAGATGGACTTTCACTCTTGCTGCCCAGGCTGGAATGCAGTGGTGCAATCTCAGCTCACAACCTCCGCCTCCTGGGTTCAAGTGATTCTCCTTCCTCAGCCTCCCAAGTAGCTGGGATTACAGGCATGCACCACCACGCCTGGCTAATTTTGTATTTTTAGTAGAGACGGGGTTTCTCCATGTTGGTCATGCTGGTCTCGCACTCCTCACCTCAGGTGATCTGGCTGCCTTGGCCTCCCAAAGTGCTGAGATTACAGGCGTGAGCCACTGCGCCCAGTCTGTTTATTTCTATAGTGTAAAAATCCATTCTTCAGGATTCAATAAACTCTTGAAAGCATTTTCTGCATCCTGCTGGTCCTGAAAGCATTTTCCCTGCAAAGAGTTGTCAAGATGCTCGAATAAGTAGTAGTCAGTTGGCGAGAGATCAGGTGAATACGGCAGATGAGGTGAAACTTCGTAGCCCAATTTGTTCAACTTTTAAAGCGTGAGTTGTGTGACATGTGGTCAGGTGCTGTCATGAAGAAGAATTGGGCTTTTCTGTTGATCAATGCTGCCTGCAGGCGCTGGAGTTTTCAGTGCATGTCATCAATTTGCTGAGTACACTCCTCAGAGGCAATGGTTTCACTGGCATTCAGAAAGCTGCAGTGGATCAGACGAGCCGACGACCACCAAATAGTGACCATAACCTTTTTTGGTGCAAGTTTGGCTTTGGGAAGTGCCTTGGAGCGTCTTCTTGGTCCAACCACTGAGCTGGTCATTGCCGGTTGTCGTATAAAATCCACTTTTCGTCACATCACAATCCAATCAAGAAATGGTTCATTGTTGCTGCATAGAATGAGAGAAAACGACACCTCAAAATGGTGATTTTCTTTTTTTAAATTTTCAGTCAGTTCACGAGGCACCAACTTATCGAGCTTTTTCACCTTTCCAATTTGCTTCAAATGACAAATGACTGTAGAAACTGTATCACTAGGCTGGGCGTGGTGGCCCACGCCTGTAATCTCAGTACTCTGGGAGGCCAAGGTGGGCAGATTATTTGAGGTCAGGAGTTCAAGACCAGCCTGGCCAACATGTTGAAACCCCGTCTCTACTAAAAATACAGAAATTAGCTGAGGGTGGTGGTGCACACCTGTAATCCCAGCTACTCCAGAGGCTGAGGCAGGAGAATCGCTTGAACCCAGAAGGCAGAGGTTGCAGTGAGCAGAGACTACACCACTGCACTCCAGCCTGGGCAACAGAGCAAGACTCAGTCTGAAAAAAAAAATGCATCATGTATGTTTATTGCAGCACTGTTCGCAATAGCAAAGACTTGGAACCAACCCAAATGCCCATCAATGATAGACTGGATAAAGAAAATGGGGGCACATATACACCATAGAATACTATGCAGCCATAAGAAAGGATGAGTTCATGTCCTTTGCGGGTACATGGATGAAGCTGGACACCATCATTCTCAACAAACACACATGGAACAGAAAATCAAACACATGTTCTCACTCATAAGTGGGAGTTGAACAATGAGGACATGTGGACACAGGGAGGGGAACATCACACACTGGGGCCTGTCGCAGGGTGGGGGTCTAGGGGAAGGATAGCATTAGGAGAAATACCTAATGTAGATGACAGGTTGATGAGTGCAGCAAACCACCATGGTACCTGCACATTCTGCACATGTATCCAATAACTTAAAGTATAATAATAATTTTAAAAAGGCCGGGCATGGTGGTTCACTCCTGTAATCCCAGCACTTTGGGAGGCCGAGGCCGGTGGATCACAAAGTCAGGAGTTCGAGACCATCCTGGCTAACACAGTGAAACCCCGTCTCTATTAAAAATACAAAAAAGTTAGCCAGGCTTGATGGCACACGCCAATAGTCCCAGCTACTTGGGAGGCTGAGGCAGGAGAACTGCTTGAACCCAGGAGGTGGAGGTTGCAGTGAGCCGAGATTGTGTCATTGCACTCCAGCCTGGGTGACAGAGCAAGACTCCATCTCAAAAAAAAAAAAAAGAAAAATAGAAAGTAGGTAAAATTAATTGTAATAATATATCTCATTTAACTAAAAAAAAAGTGCATTACTAGACACTCTTTAGGGCTGTAATAATTCCAATAAAATACTCTAAGGAATACTTGCCCCAGTAACAGCATCTCCGCCGATAAACTGATGACAACTCTGACTTCATGCCTTTGGAACCAATAAACTCTGTTCCTAAGTAGGTTACATGAACCTCTCTCTTCCTGCTAAAAAAAAGCGTCCCTTTACCTTTCAGCAGATGGCACTTGTGGGTTGCCACTCTGTGAATCTCTGATAAACCACTTTTTCCACTCCTGAATAAATTCAACATATCTGGAAGTAAGATTCTTAAGTGTCTTTTTTTTTAGGTTGACATACTCTGTGGTCAGAAGTGGGATGAAACAAGGGTACCTTTAAAACAGATCGGCAACCTTTGGGACAAGACGAGGTACACACAATTGAGCTGTACTTCCGCGGATTGCCTTTTTTCTACCCAGGTACATCTCTCAGGTCAGGCTTCCTTCCTTTGATAGCAGCTGTCTGTTGAGCTTATTTAGGACCTGAGTGGGTTAAGTCACTGTAGTAAAGGCTCTCGTATCCCTTCTGGGACTATAAAAGACTTTTTATGTATTCTGGCAAGTCACGCAAACTGTCTTTTTACTAGAAATGACTTGCCAGAATAGATAAAAAGTCTTTGTTTGTGTTTCTGATCCTGGTAAATGAACTTTTGGTTTCAGTTTTGTTCTGAGTTGTTAGCATATTCTTATACATTTGTTTACTGCTTGCTTTTTCCCCCATTTGTTTCTGAACATCTTTCAAGAACAAAATTTGCTTTCTAAAATGGTAGGCAAGGGTTGACCCTTTAAAAGCCATTAGGGTAGTTGCCACCATTCTGTGAGGGATGTCAGTCTCCAGAGAAAAAGTCTGTTGTTAGAATCAACTGGTACAAAGACAGAGAAAAGTATCACTTGGGGGCCTGCCAGTTAAAAAAAATCATGTATCCAGGGAAAACTTGGTCATGGGGTGCGGGATGGGCAGTCAGTGCGCAGGCTGGGGCCAAGTCAGACAAAAATCCTGTGCCAGGCACACTAAAACAAGCACCGGTCCAAACCCCTAACATACAGAAATCGGCAAAGTTTGCAGGTTAAATCACTGCCCAGGTAGCGTCGGTCAGCATGGAGTACTCTGATAGATATGCCACCAATCAACAAGATACATAAAAGAAGAAAGATTTCAATACCTCTCCTGCTCAACTCAAGATAAAGATACAGGGAGGGAGATGGGACAGATGTCTTAATAACATCAAACCAAAAAACCCATGGGGTCTTTTGTTTTTGTTCTTGTTTTGTCATGTAAAGAATGTATCCATGCATTAAGGAATGTTTTTGCTGTGATTAAAAATAAAGAGTTGTATTTTTGAAAAGAATGTCTTATCTCTTTGAGGTATACACTTGAAGTGGTTGCAAATTAAAGTATATGATGTGCAAGTTTGTTTTAGAATAACCTGTCAAAGTGGGAGGGGGTGAGTACATATGAAACAAAATTGATGAAGTTGGTAATGGCTGAAGGTGGAAAATGAGTTTAACTCTTTTATTTTTTGCATGCTTAAAATCTTCCACGATAAAAATGTTTTAATGTAGCTATGGAACTATACAGGAAGGAATACATCTTCAAAAACAAGCTTTCTACTAATAGAAGAGCCACTAACAGTACTAATGGTACTCTAGTAATAGACTATCAATTTTTTACTGTATTTATCCCCTTGTTTCAGACTCATCTGTTTCTGTGTTCATCATTCCTTCTAGGCGGTGTTTCTCCATCTCAGCACTATGGACATTTGGAGTCAGATCGTTCTTTGCTAGGGGGTTGTTCTGTGCACAGCAGAATGTTTGGCAGCATTCCTGGACTCCACCTACCAGATGCCAGGAGCACATTTGTTCCTTAACCCCTATTTATAACAATCAAAAACACCTACAGACATTGCCAAAGGCCCAAGGAGAGGAGAGGGCACTCGAAATCACTTAGACATGAGCCATCTAATGCCATCCAATTAGATCAAATGCCTCAAGGAGCGTTGTCAATTTTGCGCTCCTGGTGATGAAAACAAGGATTGGTACATACTAAGTGTTGACTAAAAATCTAGTGAATAATTAGGTTGGATGCCTTACCAGAAGCCATAGGTAAATAGAAGTATAAAGGAAAATAAACATAAAGTAAAGCTGGGTGGCAGTTCAGTTTGCTGACAATGGCATCAAGTTTATTCTTGAAGAATTGTATGTTAAAAAAAATCTAACTAATGTGGTTTGTTATCAGTAGAATTTATTAACTGTAATTTTAAAATTATATGTCAAACATTTATATATATTTGTTAAACACATATTTATATTTAGTTAATAATAAAATTATACACACACACACACACACACACACACACACACACACATATATATATATAATCTTTTTTGAGACAAAGTCTTGCTCTGTCTCCCAGGCTGAAGTGCAGAGATGGGACCATAGCCCACTGCAGCTTCCAACTCCTGGGCTCAAGTGATCATCTTGCATCAGCCTCCCAAATAGCTGGGACTACAGGCACCACCATGCCTGGATAATTTCTTTCTCTATTTTTGCAGAGATGGAGGTGTTGTTATGTTGCCCAGACTGTTACTGAATTCCTGGCCTCAAGCTATCCTCCTGCCTTGGCCTCCCAAAGCCCTAATATTTTATATAAAATGTGCATATTACTGTATTAGGCTTGAATGTTATTACTCTCAATTATCCAAACTTGAATTAAGTCCACTGCCTGACAGATGACATTAACATATCATAGTATTTACTTATCCAGCAATCTCAACTCTCTCAATTCATTCACGCTGTTCTTACAAAATACCATAAACTGGTGGCTTGTAAACAACAGAAATTTATTTCTCACAGTTGGGAAGTCCAAGATCAAGGTGTCAGAAAACTTACTGGCTGAAAAGAGTCTGCTTTCTGGTTGATAGAGGCTGCCTTTTCACCATGTCTCAACATAGAAGGGGCCAGGGAACTCTATTAACTGTAATTTTAAAATTAAATGTTAAATTTATATATATATAAAATGGGATTGAAGCCTTTCTACAAGAGCACTAATCCCATTCCTGAAGGCTCCACCCTCATGACCTAGTCACCACTCAAAGGACCTAACTCCCATCATCATATTAGGGGTTAGGATTCAACCCATGCACTTCTAGGGGACAAAAACATTGAGTCTCCACATTCTAATACAGAATAGAAAGCATATCGTAAGCAAACAAAAACTTTACACAGCCACAATTAGTCATACAAAGAGCACACTTTTTTTTTCTTCCGGGAACATCCAATATGCCCTCACTCAGAAACAAGCTGCTCTTACTTTATATAAATAGATATAAATTGAAATGTATATAGACACACACACAAACAAATCTAACAAGGTTAGCTCTTTCTTTTTAGAAAATCAAATTGAGAGAGAGAGGAAACAGAAACAAATGCACTAAAAGCAGCAAGAAGTAATACTTGGTACTCAAACAGCAAGAAAGAGAAAAAAAGCAATATAAGTACTCAACAAAAACAGCATCTGCAGCAACAATAAAAACCCAGAGTGCTGTATAGTGCTGATAGTTATTGAACACATATTCATATCTTTGGAATAACAGAACACATTCTATTCAATAGCTATTATTTTGTCAGTCAGAACAGGGAACAGATGGCCCCTTGTGAGCGTCTGTGGAACAAATGTCAGTGACAATGGCAACTCTGAGTCCACAAGAAGAAGTGAGATTGTCCACTTCATTACCTTTAAACAGGCATGGGAGCAGGAGAACTATTTAGACATACCGCTCCCCAAAAAGTTTTAAAGAGTTTTCTTCTTAAGGTGATGGTAAACTTTATGTGAAAATCCCCTTTTCTAGGAATGCTGTCAAAATGAAAGATTATTGGGGTTTATTCTAGAAATGTGAAGTTAATGTTTAAAAATCAATCATCGTGGCCAGGCGTGGTGGCTCATGCCTGTAATCCAAGCACTTTGGGAGGCCGAGGCAGGTGGATCACCTGAGGTCAGGAGTTCAAGGCCAGCCTGGCCACTATGGTGAAATCCCATTCTACTAAAACTACAAACATTAGCCGGGCGTGGTGGTAGGTGTTCCTGTAGTCCCAGCTACTCAGAAGGCTGAGGCAAGAGAATTGCTTGAACCCAGGAGGTGGAGGCTGCAGTTAGCTGAGATCATACCATTGCAATCCACACTGGGCAACAGAGCAAGACTCTGTCTCAAATAATAAAATAAAATGAAAATAAAATCAATCAATGTAATTCATCATATTAATAAAAGAGAAGAACCATATGATCTTCTAGGTAATACTGAAAAAGTAATTTATATAATTTGAGATCTGGTCATAAATAAGCAAAAACTCAGTACACTGGGAATAAATGAAGCATATTTACAAAAAAAACTAGAAAATCATCATGTTGTTTAATGGTGAAATATTGAATGATTTCCCTGTCAATTAGGAATAAGAAAAGGAAATCCACGATCACCTTTTTCTCTTCTTTTTTTTAAACAGGGTCTTGCTCTGATGCCCTGGCTAGAATGCAGTGGTGTGATCACAACTCACTGCAACCTCCACCTCCCGGAGGTAACAGCTTGCAAACATTCACGAAATAACAAAAGACTAGATATAAAAATTCTCCTTTGGGATGTTTAAAAATCCCCAAATTGATCCCATGAGTATATTTACTCTCATTACAAATATATTTATCTATAACTGATCCTTAAAATTACAAATAAGCACCAAACAGATTTGTTGCTTTTCTGCCTTTTAAAGTGTGTAGAGCAGCAAGCTTTCCTGAGAGCACGAGGCAGCCTTTAATTGAAGGTGCTAGGTTCAAGGCACCATCTACTATCATTTGGGATCACAGGAACATGGGTATACAAATGGCACCAAGGTCCAGAAAACGTGCCTGGGTCCAAAAAAAGGGGAGGCTCTTTGCAAGTCAAAGATAAAAGAAAAAGTAGCATCATCTCCGACAGCTGACCCCGAGTATCCAGCTACAGCATCACAACAACTTGTGAGATTAGTTCCTAAAAGAGACGTAGACTTGTCCCAATACAGTCTGTTAAAGTTCTTACTAACTAGAGAAGCCACAAGTAACAGTAAACTGATATTTTATTAAAGTGACTGCTATATGGAAGTAAATATCTAAATGTTTTAACATGTTTTACCTGTCATGTAAATTAATTTTCACAAGCCCGATTCAATTAGCTCATCATAATTCCTAGGTTTATTTACCCCAGTTCAGCTCATCTTGACTTAGATTCTTGGACCATTCTTCCGAACTATTTATTTCATTATAAAGTTCCTTTTAAACAATTGTAAACTATTCATAATAATAAAGAATTATCTTGCACCAGGAGGTTGAGGCTGCAGTGAGCTACTATGATTGTGCCACTGCACTCCAGCCTGGGTGACAGAGAGTAACACTATCTCAAACCTTTTTTTAAAAAAAGTGATTAACTCACAACTGAGAAAATAAAAGGAAAATGTCATTATTGTGTTAGAATAGAGAGTAAGAATATAGACACCTATTCTTCCATATAGACCAGACAGCTCAATACCATTTCACTCAAAGAAGAAAAAAAGGGGGGGAAATGGTAGGTGTGGAGGCACAGAGGGCAGAGTATTAAAGCCTTTTACTGAAATGACTCCAAAGTTCAGTGTGGAAGTAAAGTTTCTACATTTAAAAACTTTACATAAATTATATGAATTACAATTTTCATAAAAGTCAAAATGAAAGGTTCTGCATAGGATGAAAGATATGCCTAAGCAACATTTCATATTTGTACAAGGCCATTGAATGCCACAGATACTAGTAACACATACAAAGCTTAAGTCTATGGGACACTGAACAAAGATTTCAGTCTGGTATTCTGTAAGTCCAAGATTGTAAACTACTCTTATTCTACAAAAGCTGTAATGATGTAATAGAATTTTTATTTTTTAAGAATTGAGACGAGGCTGGGTGCAGTGGCTCATGTCTGTAATCCCAGCACTTTAGGAGGCAGACGTGGGTGGATCATCTGAGGTTAGGAGTTCGAGACCAGCCTGACCAACATGGGGAAACCCCATCTCTACTAAAAATACAAAAATTAGCCAGGCGTGGTGGTGTGTGCCTGTAATTCCAGCTACAAGGAAGGCTGAAGCAGGAGAATTGCTTGAACCCAGGAGGTGGAGGCTGCAGTGAGCTGAGACCACGCCTCCGCAACAGAGCAAGACTCTGTCTCAAGAAAATAAAAAAAAAAGCAAAAACCTTTTATAACCCTTTTGAATTTAGTCAACGTTCACACACAGATTTTCTTTTGCAAGATTAATTTTTTAGAAATCTTCCATAACTTGTTTAAACCATTTTATCTAGTTCAAAGCAATCTAACTCCAGGAAAAAAGAATTTACATTTTGATGACATTTGCATTTTACCAATAATCTTTGTTTTTATTTCTCAAAGATTAAAGTCACATGAACCAAAAGGTACCATAGCTTTTTTTCCCCTTTAAAAATATTTGATGCTAGTGATTACCCTTCTTAGGGTCAACTAATTGGAGCTTTTCATAGACATCACACACACAACACATGTATAACTACACAGAAGATCCAGTAGCTATAGGATTTTTCATTTGCCAATCTCCCAATTGGATTACTGGCCCCTAGGTGGAGCCCTTTAAGAGCAAGACTAGGAAAGCATGCAGTTTCTAGGGACCTAATAAACAGGTATAGCTGGAAGACAAAAACAGATTTTTGAGAGGGATTTATCCTCCTCTAATTCCTGGGCCTCCATGAGGAAAACAGAGGTCTCTCCCACAGTGGAATCAATGGCAACTTTTCTGTTTTTTTCCAAGGAGTCCCAGGCCATGAGAAATTATCTTAGGGCCTCTCATACGTGCATTAAAAGTGGCAAGGCAAAATGGAGAAAAATAATTCAGTTGATTGAGGAAAAACCTTTCTCCAGCAAAACAAGATCCAGGAAGAGAAAAACATAAAGGCCTTTTAAACATACCTGTAACTTGGATATTCCCTTTTAATTAAGCTGAGCACTCTTTAAGAAAAGCCTTTTAAATTCCTTATTACCTGACTTTAGTCACGCCACGTGGCCAATATTTCTGACTTTCAAGCTTTACCAAAAGTAACCTCCTAGATGTTCAGAGCAAGGAAAATTCAAGGTGATTTGTGGAGGGGAAGAGAATCAACAAATGGCAAAGGTCAAGCAGATATCAAACCAGAAAGGACTCATTCCCTAAGTCAGGACTGCACCCAGGCCACCACTGTAAAATGGCAGAGGCTAAAACAGAACATTGCCACCTGGTTACAGGTCACACTCCCAAGGAGGTTGGTTAAACAAGGTGGAGGGCTGCAGCAAAGGTTTGCCATTGCCCAGTTTGCCAGGCTGGCTTCAATAGCAGGCCTATGGAGTCCTGGGCCTACATCACATCCTAAGATGCCCCTCTTCCCTGATAGAACCATACATACAAAAGTCTTTCAAAGCACACCAGATTGGCTATGGCTTGACCAACTTCACAAATCCTTTTTCATAATTAAAACTTTACTGAGAATATAAACAGTGATAGTTGTCACCCTGGCCTGGTTAAACATCTTTTCTCCACACCGTCAGCAGTTAACACAGCCCTGCATTTTAAGCTGTTTGGAAACTATCAAGAGGAGACTCAGCTACCAAGCCAGGAGATAAGGCTCTGTTGTGCAGAGCTTCTTGTGAAAATGTAACAACCACTAGCAAGTTTTCCTAACTACCGAGATAGGCAGGCCTATCCCTTAAAGGAGTAAAACATATTTTACTTCTAAAGAGCTCTTGGCCTGAGCAAATCTAAGGAACACCTACTACATGCCTCATGTTTCCCATGACTTCTAGAGTTTACAAGGACAGCTTCAAGACCAAACCACCTGATGACATTAGTGTTTATGCTTTTTAAAAAACCTGAATTTAAAGGAAAACAGACCAAAAAGAATGCAATGGGCTACCTAGGCCAAGTCTATTTTCTCATTAACAGGATGATTCATCTTCAGAGCTCTTACATTTCACCAAACCCTAGTCTAAGAAAACCCTGAGTGAAACTAGCCAACATTTAGTTAAGACAGTCTGATTATCCTTATTTGCATGACAGCAGCTCATATGAAGAGACAAATGTTCCTGAGATTATTACAAATAATCGCCCTTCAAATACATGCTATAAAAAATGGTATTAACATTTGCTGAGTGACTGTGCCCCATGCATCATTCTGGTACTTTCATACATAATCCTCAGTTTAACGGAATTTTATAAAAATGATTTAAAAGTCACTTTACCTCTCAAATCAACAAATTTGCATTCATTAAACAGATAAGTAAAACGTAATTCATATGTATGTATTCTATTTTTTTCTTAACATTGTTTTGAGCTTTCTCTCTCCAAAACTACCATAAGGGCATCAAAACTCAACATCAAGAGTTCTATCCTTCTGATTTTCCCACTGAAGGATGACAGAAAAAGCTCCATAGCTGTCATCTAAAATCTATTAGTAAGTACTTTGGCTGAACCTTGAAACTAAGATGTCACGTATCAATTACACAGGAATGAGCTGACATTTGCTTCCTGCCAGGAGCAATGCACAGATTCAGAGAATGGTTTCTCTGAATATATAGAAAATAAAACATTTACCTTTGCAGGGATCCGGGACTTCTGAAGCTAGTATTAAAAGCTGTATGTTAAAAATGAGGACTTAGATTTCAGGGAGTCTGTGGAAGTTCTAGGCTTCTTCAGTGTGGGGTCTCATTAGCCAGTCTGTGTGAATGTGCTGAAACAAAGAAAGGATGCTTTCCCTTACTTCTAGCAGAGTTTGACAGAAGTAATGAAGGAGGTGGTGATAAATCATTAATTCTCTCCTAATACCTTCAGAAAAAGACTGAAATGCTAATACTAAAAGGGCCCTTATTTGCCATGTCTCTCCAGCCCTTATTTTAAAAACAAGGAAGCTGAGGAAAGGCAGACTGTGACGTTAGTGAGAGCTTCCAGACCCTTTGTCATCCTTTCCCTTCCTGTATGCCATTTCAGATATGCTGTCCACCTGGAGAAGATTTGCTTGGTGGGACTGGGGCTTGGGTTCTCTGCAGCTGAGTCAAAGCAAATGTAAATACGACGCGTCTTACATATTTGACCCACACCAGCACACAACAGAGAATTACTGAGAGTAAGAGTGTTTCCCACTCTCAGAGAGCAGCTGATCCTTTCCACCATGGCCTCCAAGGAATTCTAGGTAATCCAGATGAACTGGCATTCATCCCAAGTGCAATTTCCATCACTCAGGACAATCTGCTAACAAAAATGCCCTGTGCTTCAGAATTAGCTTCGGCCTTTGCCAGCTAAGAACAGCCAGCCACAGACTGGCTTACTTTGAAAAATATAACTTAGCTATGATACAGACACTCTAATATAACAGTGGTCTACAGTCTTAACATAAAATAAAATTAAGTTGAAAGAACTTTCCTACTATGTGAGATCTGTGATCCATATTTAAATATGAGAGGTTTATAGCATACATACACATATATACACACACGTATATATCTTATTCTTAAATTAGAAAAAATATACTAAACTATAGGTACATTTCCACATATAGTATAATAAGAACATTTATTTAATAAGCTTTTCATTTGTTTTTGTATAGTAATTAGGTTGATTCATCCATCTTTCTATATTAACAAGAAGAGCATATGCAATCCCCCTGAACAACATTTCTCCAGGAATAAAATTAATTATTAAACTGTCATGAAAACAACGAAGTTATGGAAGGCAGGGTTCCGGAGACTGATGTGTGAGCAGGAGGGGCTGAAGGAGAGGCAGTGAGTCTAAATAACAATGTCAGGAGGCTTATCTCTAAAGTGAAGGGGACGAATCAGAAGCCCCGACAGAACAGGATGGCCCATGTCCAGCCCTGCGGTGAGCACACATTGTGGAGATCCATCCACATCAGGCTCAATGCGAACATTAATCATCTATGCGCCTAGATCATACAAATGTTTGATTTCTCATTTACCTTTCTGTAAAGGCTCCTTTGAGTTTATCCAGGCAGACAGATTTTAAAGACAGTTTCTCTTCTGCTGTACAAATGGGTAAAGAGAGACAACAGCTTTGGCACGACTCAAGGGCTTTTAAAAATAAATTTTCAGCTGGGCATGGTGGCTCACGCCTGTAATTGCAGCACTTTGGGAGGCGAAGGCGGGCAGGTCACGAGGTCAAGAGATTTAGACCATCTTGGCCAACATGGTGAAACCCCGTTTCTACTAAAAATCCAAAATTTAGCTGGGCGTGACGGCATGCACCATAGTCCTAGCTACTCGGGAGGCTGAGGTAGGAGTACCGCTTGAACCTGGGAGGTGGAGGTTGCAGTGAGCCAAGATCACGTCACTGCACTCCAGCCTGGTGACAGAGCAAGATTCCATCGTCAAAAAATAAAATAAAATAAATTAGTAAATCTAACTTTCATCAGTGATTCTACATTGTTTGTTCTGTTTCTCTAGCATTAGCTACAAGCCATTTTCCATTCTAAGAACACATTTAGCCTATGAGAGAGAACAGCTTTTTTCTTACATACTTGTATGTTCAATTTTGTACTTTCTCCAATTCACTCTTCCTTAATATTCTTGATTGGACATGTGCACTTCTTCAGCCTTCTATAAAAATGAGAAGTGGGCATATGGATGAATTACTAATACAGCAAGCACATGTTGCATTTTTATGCCAACACCACCACCAATAGCTTGCCACAACCAGCTGGAAATCCTCATTTAAGTCCTCTAGGTGTTAGAGCACTTGGGTCACTGTTTTAAAGTGCACACGGGGATAATCTCCTAACTCAAAAATTCTTTAAATTCTTAAAAAGTTAAAACTTTTAACATAAAAAGAGCTTCTAGGTATCTAGAAAAACAGCTAAGTGAGTGACAATGCCAAGAGCCTCCTCCTCACTAAATGCCCTTCCTTAAAGAGCAATGAAAAACGTTTAACAGCAAAAATGCCAGCAAGGAACATTAAATCTGATGTGATACAATGCAGGGTGTGCCTTTTGGCATGTACGGTCAGACACCACAGCAACAAACTCCAAACCACGCAAGGCTGAGTCAGATCACAGGTCACACCTCTGCATGCTGATTTTCCCTAGTTCCACCTGAGAGAAGCAGTTGAGAATACAGGGCAAAGTACTTTATTTCTAAGCCTTAGCCTCCCTGTCTGTAAATTATAATCAGACCAACTTCACAGGGTTTTTATGAGCGTCAAATACAATGATGCAGATAGTTTCACTCCAATGGCTTGCACAAATAATGGTGATGGTATTATTATGCTTTTCCCCATGCGTCTACCCAAAAACTTTCCCCACCGTTTTTTCCCCATCATCATTTCCCCCGCTCCCTGGCCAGCCCCTCCTGCTCTCATCACCTTCTTTTGCTCCTCCATCTACCCAAAAACACTTTCCCCTGTCTTTTCCCAAAGCCTTCTCTCCACTCCTGCTGCTCACCACACTCTTTTCCCCTCCAGCTACCCAAAACCTCTTTTCCCCATTGTCTTTTCCCCCCTCCTCCTTGCCACCCTCTTTCCCTTCTCCATCTATCCAAAAACATTTTCCCGTTTTTTTGCAAAGCTTTCTCCCCACTCCTGCTCACCACTCTCTTTCCCTATCTATCTACCCCCCGAATTTTTCCCCACCCTCTTTTCACAAAGCCTTCCCCATTTCCTGCTCACCCTCTTCTTTCCTGTAGCCTGCTTGCCACTCTCTTTCCTCCCTCCATCTACCCAAAAACTTTTTCCTCACTGTCTTTTCTTTCTCCATGGTCTTTCTTTTCCGCCCACTGTCTTTTCACAAAACCTTCTCTCCCTCCAGCTCGCCACCCACTTTTTCCCTCTCCTGCTTGCCACCTTCTTATCCCCCTCCATCTACCCAAAAACTTTTCTCTCCAGTCTTTTCTCCACACCATCCTTTTGCAAAACCTTCTCTCCCTCCTGCTCACCATCCTCTCTTCCCCCTCCCTCAGCACCGTCCTTTCTCAGCACCCTCTTTTCTCCTCCCACTTGCCATCCTCTTCCCCCCTGCATCTACCCACAATCTTTCTCCCCACCTGTCTTTTTCTTCCTACTCTGTTTTCCCTTACCATCTTTTTGCAAACCTTCTCTCCCTCCTGTTCCACCTCATTTCCACCCCCTCACCATCCTCCCTTTCCTCCTCTCACTTGCCACCCACTTTTCCCCCTCCATCTACCCAAAAACCTTTTTTTTTTTTTTTTTGAGATGCAGTTTTTGCTCGTTACCCAGGCTGGAGTGCAATGGCGCAATCTCGGCTCACAACATCCGCCTCCCGGGTTCAAGCAATTCTCCTGCCTCAGCCTCCTGAGTAGCTGGGATTACAGGCATGCACCACCATGCCTGGCTAATTTTGTATTTTTAGTGGAGACAAGGTTTCTCCATGTTGGCCAAGCTGGTCTGAAACTCCTGACCTTAGGTGATCTGCCGGCCTTGGCCTCCCAAAGTGCTGGAATTACAGGCCTGAGACACCGCATCTGGCTGAAAAACTTTTTACCCACCATCTTTTCCCCACCATCTTTTTGCAAAAGCTCTCCCTCCTGTTCACCACCCTGTTTTTCTGCCTCCATCTACCCACTTTTTTCCCACCATATTTTCCCCACCGTCTTTTTGCAATGCCTTCTCCTGCTCGCCCTGCCATCTTCTTTTCCCTTTGGCACTCAGCACCCCCTTACTCCTCCATCTACCCCAAAACTATTTCCCTGCTCCTACCACTCCAGCCACGCTGCAGTTTCCATCACCACCACCAACCACAGCGACACAAGCCGCAGTCGTGCGGACCCCAGCATCCAGCGTGTGGCAGGTGGCGTCCCCTCTCCTGATCCTCTATGCCGGGAATGGAGCAGCTACTCGGGAAGACAAGGCAAAGCAGAGAATGGGCTGCCTTCAGCATTACATATATATACTGAGGTTATGCAAATGACGTTTCTGGACTACATGTTCTGATTGGATCAGAGAAAACTTCTAGGCCTACTCTGATTGGGCTTTATTATCATGTTCTGATTGGATAAGAGCAGGTCTTAGAACAACCAATCAGAGCATGAAAATAAAGTCCAATCAGAGTAGGCCTAGAAATTTTTCTCTCATCCAATCTGAACATAGAGTCCAGGAACCTCATTCCCATAATCTCAGTATACAAGGTATGCTGAGGGGGCCTCCCAGCGTTCCAGCCTCTTCGGCGTCTGCTGGACTGAGTGCTGCGTGCTCGGCTTAGAAAACGCGTGTAGAGGGAGCATGCTGGAGGCTGGAGCCTGCACCACTGTAGCTTGCTTCACTGTGGTTTGTGGCGACGGAGGCTGCGGTTGGTAGTGACGGAGACTTCAGCTCAGCCAGAGTGGTAGGCTGCGGGGTAGGCGCGTTATCTGGGCAGCCACGGAGTGCGGGTTTGGGTGCTGTTAGGGCTGCACCGCCCATGTGTGCACTGCCTGTGGCATGGGGGGGCTGGTTTGGGACCCTATCCAGGGTTGCATTGCTGGCAGTGGGGCGGGTTAGCAGCGTATGAGGGGCTACACTGCCGGTGGAGTGCGGGGGAACAGGGAAGCAGGTTGTGTCCGCTATTGAGCATTGCCAGTGGTGGGGAGATGGGTTGGGTGAGCTATCCGGGGCTACGATACTGGCAGTGAGTGGTGGCCGGCGGGGGGAGCAGTTTGGGGGGGCTGTCTGGGCTGCAGTAGGGAGCAAGTTGGGGGTGCTATGGGGCTGCACTGTCTGCCTGGGAGGGGGCAGTTTGAGGCACTAACAGGCACTGGAATGCCCATGGCAGGGACGGGTCGGGGAGCTATTCGGGGCTGCACTGCTGGTGGTGTGGTGGTGGGCAGCAGAGGTGGCAGCAAACAGCAGTGGCCTCCAAAGAAGGGGCCATTCTCCTCTTCCTGGACTCCCTACTCTAGAGGGCGACTTCTTTCTGCTCGTGGTCCAGCGCAGCAGGCAAACAGTGTTTACTCGGGAATGCTGAGCACAGCAGGGCCCCCACACCCGCCATGGTTCCCGGGCCGAGCTTTCTCACTCTATGTTGCAGAGACCACCTGGGACCCCCAGGCATGAAGTAGCGGACAATGCGGGGAGGGGAGGTGGCTGGGGTGTGGGACAGGGCCCTGCAGATGGAGTTGTTGGGAATGGGCACTTGGGTGGAGAGGGCTGGCTGGGTCTGACTTGGTTGTGGTGGTGAGAGGTGACAAAGTGCTAGCAGCCCTCTCTCGCTCTTGGTGCCTCCTTGGCCTCGCCGTCCATTCTGGCCATGCTCAAGGAGCCCTTCAGCCTGCCACTGCGCTGTGGGGACCCCTCTCTGGGGCTGGCCAAGGCTGGAGCCAGCTCCCTCTGCTTGCAGAGAGGTGTGGAGGGAGAGACACTGGCGGGAGCTGGGGCTGTGCCTACAGGCACTCGCAGCTGGCACAGGTTCCGGGTGGGCACAGGCTGGGCAGGCCCCGCACTCCACACAGCCGGCAAGCACCTGCTGGGCTTGATCGGGGGATGAGCTCCCTCTGGGCTGCCAGAGTGCCCAGGCTAGGTGCCGCAAAGTCCCGCTACGAGTGCCAGTGAGAGGTGAAGCCGAGTGGGCTTCTGGGATGGGTGCAGACTTGGAGAACTTTTCTGTCTAGCTAAAGGATTGTAAATGCAGCAATCAGCGCTCTGTGTCTAGCTAAAGGATTGTAAACGCACCAATCAGCACTTTGTGTCTAGCTAAAGGTTTGTAAACACACCAATCAGGGCCGGGCTCTATGTCTAGCTAATCTTAGGGTGGGAACTTGGAGAACTTTTGTGTCTAGCCAAAGGATCGTAAATGCACCAATCAATACTCTGTGTCTAGCTAAAGGTTGGTAAATGCACCAATCAGCACTCTGTCAAAACAGACCAATGAGCTCTCTGTAAAACGGACCAATCAGATCTCTGCAAAATGGACCAATCAGTAGGATGTGAGTGGGGCCAGATAAGGGAATAAAAAAAGCAGGCCACCAGAGCCACCAGCGGCAAACCCCTCTGGTCCCCTTCCACGCTGTGGAAGCTTTGTCCTGTTGCTTTTTGCAATAGATCTTGCTGCTGCTCACCCTTTGGGTCTGTGCCACCTTTATGAGCTGTAACACTCACGTGAAGGTCTGCAGTTTCACTCCTGAGGCCAGCAAGACCACGAACCCACAGGGAGGGACAAACAACTCTGGTTTGCACCAGGCAGGGGGCATAGCCATGGCAAAGGCTAGGTGGACAGAAGTGGCAGGAGGCAGCAGGGCCCTTCGGAGGAGCGGATGGAAGGCCTTCTCAGGTAAAGGGCAGAGCACCACACGCCTTTCTGACCACCACCCCCAGGGCCCAGCCGCTTCCAGGGACCAAGACAAGAGGCCCCTGTGGTCTTCTAGGTGAGCTGTAGTCAGCCTCTGTCGCTTCTGAATAATCACAGGGGAGCCTGTGTGCACTGACTAAGCCTCTGCCTGAGGGTGGAGGGGCATGGACTTGGTGTCCAGCCAGGATCCACTGGCCTCAGCCTCTGGAAAACGGGGTATCATGAGCTTTAGCACAGGTCATAAATAGGGTGGGGGTCCCTGGAAGAGGATCTGAGGACCATCCCTGGGGATTTCGTCCAGCCACCATCCAGCTGCCATGACTCCCAGCAGCCACTAATTCTCATGGTACTGGGCTTGACCTCTGCAGTGTCCCAGAAGGGTGTCACCTCATTTTATCCTCCTGGGATGAGTGGGGCTGAGGCCAGGGGACTCCTGCCAGAACTAAGGGTGACTGGGAGGGGTTGCCCAAGGCAGACAGGCCACCTCTATTGCCATCAGGCCCCCAGGAGGGCCCAGATGATGTGAGTGTTTGGGTGTGGGGGTGTCCTGGCCTGATGCAGCTCCCCCTGCAGGGCTGTGCTCCCTATGTGCACTGGGCTCTGACTCCCGCACTGGACCCTGCACTCCCACGGCACTCAGTGATTCCAGGACCGTGGGACCCCAGAGGCTCCTCAGGGAGCTGAAGAACATGATGGCAGGAAGGGGTGAGGTGCCAGGAGCTAAAAGAACACAGCCAGTGGGCTGAGGCATAAACCACGAGAATGCAGGGAAGGAGGCTGTGGGAGGGGCAGCAGTAGAGATGGGAGAGAGTTTGAGGGCCATGTCTCAGAGGATCTGCCCTGGGAAGCCACTGCTATGGAGCAGGTGGGCACAGTGTCAAGCCCAGGTACCTCTGGAGAGGGTGGAAAGGCTCATGGGGTGGAATTCTGGGGAGGGACCCTGGGACCAGTCTTCTGCTTCACCTGAGGGCCTGGCCTTGGCTGCGGGCTGGGCAAGAGGGGAGGGGACCAGGAGTCCACAGCATCCAGCCTGGGGTGGCCAAGCAGAAGGCCTTGGCTGCAACTGAGGCATGAGAAAGAGAGGAGGGACCGACCGAGGTGGGCTGGGTCCTGGGCCCCGCCCCCACGCCGGGCAGGGACTCTTTCATCAGGCTGCCTTGTCCTTGCAGCCCAGAGCCCTGGGACCTGGGCCTGGCCTGGAAGGGGCTCAGTGTTACTGGAAGGGGCTCAGTCCTCCTGGGGGCTGGCCCTGGGACTGAGTGTTTCAGAGAAGCATAAATCTAGTCCTAGTATAAAGCTAGGGTCCCTATCCTAGCTTGTACCCACCACAGGGTCCCAGGAGAGAGGACTTGGCTTCCCAATAAGCCATCTTAAATCTTTCTCTTGGGCCCTCAGTTTCCCCAGGGGCCATTGGATTGACCACTGTGGCTGTGTATTGGTTGTGGGGTGCCTAATGGGGTGCCCCAGGGCTCTTCCCACTCTTTCCAAGGTGCCTGAGGGCCCATAGCCAGGTGCCCTGAAATTCATGCCGTTGCTCAGATAAGTGTGCTCAGCTCTCATCACTCCTCTTGTCCACAGCCTGGGTAAAGCCCTGAATCCTGGCCTGCAGCACACCCAGACCCAGGCCTAGATGAGGAGGGGGAGGAGGTGGCCAGAAAGCAGCACTTCTTGCTGCTCTGGGCCTTAGGACACAGGGGAGCTGTTCTGCAGCCCATCCCGGGCCAGGGCCCAGGCCCAGGCTGCCGCCTGGGGTAAGGATGGTATCCGGAGCAGAGCCCCATTTAGGGGATCAGCACTAGGAGGGAGGCTGGGAGGATCCAAAGTGACTCAAGGTCACAGCATCCACAGAAACGGCTCTAAAACCCTCAGAGCAAGTCCTTCTGCCAAGTGTTTTCAGAGCGCACATCCCTCTAGTGAGGTTCACTGGGAGGACATGCTCCAGTGTTGTCCTGGAGGGACCTGCAGCCTAGGGGTCAAGGGAAAGGCTGGGACCAGTCGCCTGGTTGAGTCACCTGTCGTCCTGGCACCCCCTGGCTGCCCAGCACCCCCAGTGCTATGAGTCCCCCTTCCAGCATAGCCTGACTGCAGGTCCCCTTCAGCCTGTCTCCATCCATGGTGAGTGGCCAGCTTGTTTCTCATAAAAGCTGTGACATCCAGGGGAAGACAGACCCTTGCCTCTGGGCCAACTCGGAGCAGCTGAAGGAGTCAGGTCTGCCCCAGAAGGGAACAGAGGCAGCTCCCCAGCCTTGTTGGCATAGGATCTGGGCCAGCGGCTTGCCTGAGCCCAGAAGGTGAGGGATGAGGCCTGAGCACTCATCCTTCAGAGAACAAGTTCCCAGCTGGCCCCCATGTCCAAAGAGCGCAGCCTTAGCAGAGATCCTGAGAGATCCAGCCTTTCCCAGTGCCACGAGGTTGGCCTTGCACCCCACTGGCATGGGCAGTGAGGGGGCTCCACAGCCCACCAACATCCACATGCACTTTCTCTGCCCACGTGGGCACTCAGAGAACAATGCCCCTCATCCAGACAAGGTCCTGAGGCCGGGCTCCCATTGCCCCCATTTCTGAAGGCATTTCTGGCTCTGCAAGAGAAAGGACGATGCCAGGGCAGTGAATCGGCACATCCGAGGCATTTCTTCTTCCTGGGCTTGTTTCCAACCCTACCTGCTGGGAGGCAGCAGGATTACCTGGGTAAGCAAGATTAGTTGTGTTCAACTCACCCAGGAATCATATTAAGCAAATTGTTTGGAAAACAAGCCTTGGAGAGGAAGAGCAGTTGGGCAGGTGGCCTTAGAAGCAGAGACAGACGTCCCTGTTGATACCACTGTTGATGGAGAAGCACTCGGCTCTCCTCCATCAGGGGAAACCAAACCTGCCACCCCACCTGGGATGTGGCCTCCCCAGGGAAAGAGTAGAGAGGCTGGAGCTCTGGCAGAACAGGCCTGGCAAGGGGGCTGGAGGCCAAGGCTGGTGTTGGGGCTCAGATCAAAGCCATCATGCTGCATGGAGCCCAATCAGCTGCCAACACTCTTGGTGACACAGAGCCCTCACGCCTCTGGTGGAAGAAGCCAGGGCTGGATGAAGCTGTGGCGTGCAGCTTCTGCACAGTCTCCGTGGAATCTCTCCTACTCTCCCGTGAGCCTTTGGAGGCCTTGCAGGAGCTCAGCCTTTCAGCAGAAGGACTGGGTTCAACCGCCCCTGCAGGAGCAGCTCCTTGGCCTCCCAGGCACCAGTGGTTGGGGGCTGCATCCTCTGTGAGCCTCAGGTCAAGCCCATACAGTGCCCTAGACTCCTCCCTGCTCTGACCCTGGGCCCAGGAGAAAGGCCGAGCACCTGGCCCTCTGGAGACAAGGACATGGCCATTCCTCAGAGGTCCTTCCCCTGACAAGCTGGGCCCCCTGTTGTGGGGCGCACCACTGGACATGGTAGGGGAGTGGTGGCGGCCTTGCCCGAAGGCAGGCTGCGGGAGGGGCGGGGCTGGCTCACCACAGTTGGTTGATTCAAGTGAGGCCTGGGGTCCTGCTCTCCTTCCAGCTTCCATCTCAGGATGGCTCTCAGCCCCCCACATTGAAGACCAAGAAGGTGAGGGGCAAACCAAGGGCCCTGCCTATGGAAGCTTCCTGTGATGGGCTGCAGGTAGCAGGGGCTGGAGAGGGCTGTGGTTGGGGCCACACCAGGCTCCCCCAACCTGAGCATCCTGGAAGGTGACAGCTCACCCTTGGCAGTGGCAACCCCCAGGCCAGCAGCCCCATCTGAGGACAGTTGTCTTCAGTGCCATTGGCTGTGGCAGCACAGATGGGGGGTGTGAAGACCTGAGGCCCTGCGACTGTAGCACCTACAGCCACTGGAGCCAGCTCTGCACAACTCAGACCTGGGTGGCGAGGACATAGCTTTGCAGGTGGGCAGCCACATCCCAGGGGGAGCCTGCAGGCCAGTGGCAGGGTGGGGGCAGGCAGAGCAGGGTCTCCCCACTGTTGCCGCTGGGCTCCTGCGGCTTGTGGAGAAAGATGGGTGGGCCCACACATATTGCTGCTCCCTGGATCTGAGCCTCGGTTTCCCTACCTGTGAAACGGGTACCCATGGCAGCTCAGAAGTGTCTGGCAGTGGGGCTGCTGGGGCACAGTCATGGGGGACCCGAGTCCTGCTCTCCATGTGCTCGCTTCCCTCAGTGGTCCCTGATGCCAGCAGAACTTTCTCCCAAAAAGAGAAGGGCGTTCCTGTGAGTTCTTGTGTGGGGGGTGGGTCACAGAGCCTCTCCAAGTGCAGGGCAGGGTGAAGGGAGGCTGAGGGGTGGTTGAATGGCCCTGGGAAGAGCTCTCTTGGGCTCCTCGTGTCTGGGTGGCCTGGGGAGCATGCTTTTGGGCAGGCGGCTGGCAGGGCTGGTGGCTGAGCCACTGTGGCTCAGGATCCCCAGCCCAGGCCTGAATAGGGTAGGCAGGGAGAGGGGAGGGTGAGTGCATGGTGCAGGACAGTGTGTCTCCTGGACAGAAACAGCCCTGGTCACTCACGGCCATGGCATAGCCATGGCTACAGGAAAGTGCTGCTGTGTGTTGCAGCCCCTGGGGCCGGCTCCCAATGGACACCCAGCAGCATCTCCCCCACTGTGCTGAGGGGAGTTGTGCCAGTGGGGTGCTGGCAGCAGTCCTGGGAACTGGGGGAAGAGCCTTGGCAAGCCCATCCCTCCTCGGGCATCAGGGATGGGCTCACGTGACCAATTTCTCCCATGGAAGATGTTTGGGGTGTGCCCAGAAAATGGGGAGGGCCCTGTGGGGCAGGATTGTATTATTAAATCCAGAAAGTCTGGGGTTCCATTTTTAGCACAAGGCAGGCAGCCCACGTGCCCCAGCCCAGTGGCCAGCCTGTGTGGGAGAGGGGAGTGGGGGCCAGAGGGAGTGAGGCTTCTGTTACTGCAGCCAGCCAGGGTGGCCAGTGTGGACTGGACAGCGGGCACTGCACCAGGGGCACTGGTACTGACCTTGGGCCATGCACCTGATGCCTGTGAGAGTGATCTCTAGGAACCACTGCACAAGGGGGCAGATGAGGGAACCCTGACATGGGACAGCTGAGGGTTACGCCAACACGGGGGGGAAAGCTGTGTCCAGGCTCCACCGGACTCCGCCGAGGACAGAGCACTGCCCTGACTCTAGGGTGCGGGGTCACTGAGGGTTAGGACAGTCTGGAGTTGGGAGAGGGCCATGCTGCAGCTGGGGCACATCCCACCTGCACCTCTCTAGATCTTGGAGATGGGACCCCCACCCACATGCTCCCCAGGTGGGTCCCATCCTGGGGGGTGCAGGAGGGAGCTCCATGTGCCCCTGCTGATCTGCCCATCTGAGCCTCAGGGGTCCTGGGCACTGAGAGCTGGGCTGGGCTCAGCGGGGGTATGCATTGACATTGGGGACAGAGAGGGGATGCTGAAGCGGGTGCTGTCTGGGTGGGGCCTGCCTGATCGACCCAGCAGGTGCACCCAGCAGCCGGAGGTGCTTCTAGCAGAGTGAACGCCCTGTCCTTAGGGGCATGTGAGCTGAGGCTGGGGGCCTGGAGCTGCAGGGGGAGGAATTGGGGAGAGCAGAGGTCCCAAAGATGTCCCAAGGCCCCAAGACCCTGGTGAAGGAATGGAGGAGCCAGCATTGGTCGGCGAGAGGGGAGTGGGAGTTGGATGGCCTGGCTCTGGGCTGGACACACGGTTTGCAGCCACAGCTGAGCTGTGCTGTGGAGCCCAGTTCCCACCTGGGCATGTCCTGTCCTCTGAGGCTTCCGGGAGCCGGACGGCCACCGCGGTGCAGGCGCGCACTCAAGGGCTTTCGAGGCTCACTCTGTCGGAGAGGTCAGAGACTGAGTGTCGCTGCTGAAGGCTGTGGTGGACCGGGCTGGATCGCGGATTCTAGGTTAGATCGCAGATTTGGGATCGCGGATTGGGGATTGGATTGGGGATTTGGGGTTGGATCAGGGATGTGGGGGCTGGATAGGGGATTTGAGGATTGGATCGGGGATTTGGGGTTGGATCCTGGATTTGGGGCCGGGTCGGCGGTGGGGGGCAGTGAAAAGGTGACAGAGAGCAGCCCCTGCTCAGGAGCCGGTGGTTGGGGGTCTGAGAAGTCACCACCACCAAGAAGTTCTTCGGCTTCGGGAGCCGCGGGGGCGAGATGGCCCGGGCTCCATAGACCACGTCTGCACGGTTCCGGGTACCGAATCCGGGACGCGGAACAGCGGAAAATCCAAGGGCGGCTGTCAAGGACCGGAGGTGGAGCGCGGCCTGGAGCGCAGGAGCCGGAGACCTGGAGGCCCGGGACAAGCAGCACAGGTAGCTGGGGTCAGCCCAGGGTGAGAGGGGGGTCCCCAGGCCCGGCTTCCCCGCAACCCATGGGACGGGGCCTTGGATGGGGCCGGGCACCCTTGGAGCCGCGGAGCCAAATCAAGCCTCAGCTGCTTACCATCCCTCATGATTTCCTGGCTGAAGCAGTTGATGGAGAATTTGAGTGATTTAACTCATAAAGTTAAGCATATACGATGTTGTTATTTTTAATGTACACGTTTAAAATATAGTGTTATATACGTTATAGGAGGTGCCTAATGAGATAACTCATTCCCCTATCAAAAATACCGTGAGTTATTTTCAGTAGGCAAAAAGTTCTCATTAAACTGTCCGTTTTACATCTGTATCCACCTCTGTAGATAGGTTCTTTACTAAAGGTTCTTAGAAGCTTGGAAGTGGGAGGTGGGTTCTGTGTTCTTGAATGGGAACACACATTTTTCTCAAAATGTGAGCTCTTTCTGTGTTTATCAATTTTACATAAACCGAATGAAAATATCAAGCTTTTAACATTTTTGCATGACACCTGTCTTTTACTATTGTGATGACATTTAAAAAAATTTCATAATGGAGTGAAAAAACACTTGCTCCTCTAGATATCAAAATGTGCTATTTCTACAATTGTTTACTAACAGCTGAAAAGACAGATAAAGGCATGGAACAGAATAGGAAACCCAGAAACACTGAAGTTATTTAAGATATAAGACCTGATGAGCAGGATAAATTATTAATGAAAAAATGTCTGCTGTTTGAAGAAAACTAATGAAATTTCATGTCACAAACATACAGATTGGAATACAGATTGAAATTTTTATATACGCAAATGAGAAAAGTACCAGAACAAAATACAAACACTTATTTTCCAGGTACATTTTATGTTGACAAAGGCCTTTCTAAGAATGACCTCACAAGCAGACATTTGAAGGTTTATTTAGCAAACTAAAAATTAAAACTGCCTGTATTTCAGAAAAAACTTAACAAAATAAAAGAATATACTTGAAAAATATTTACTATATCATATATATATTCAGATGAAAAGTATGCTTTCATTTTACAGGGAATTCATCATATATTGAGTCAGAGTCTCGCTTCTTTGCCCAGGCAGGAGTGCAATGGCACAATCTTGGCTCACTGCAACCTTCTCCTCCCAGGTTCAAGCAATTTTCCTGCCTCAGCCTCCCAAGTAGCTGGGATTACAGGCACATGCCAGCACACCGAGCTAATTTTTGTATTTTTAGTAGAGACGGCGTTTCACCATGTTGGCCAGGCTGGTCTGGAACCCCTGACCTAAAGTTGTCTGCCTACCTCGGCCTCCCAAAGTGCTGTGATTACAGGTGTGAGCCACCGTGCCTGGTCTATATTCTTTATTATATATCATATATATATATTACTGATAAATATAACATGTTACAGATATAATGTGTTGTATGTGTCATTTATACACATTAGATGAAAAGTTATATGTATATATACACATTAGATGAAAAATACATCTTCATTTTACAGGGAATTCTTTCAAATCAAATCATCAAAAACTCTAAAAGTGGGCAAAGTACTTTTTTCCAGATCTACAAGTTACTTATGTACATAGGAAAAAATCCTTCGCATTTCTGGTATAAGAACTTAAAAGAGGAATGAAACTGTTTTCTATCCACAACATTTGTGAGGATGTTTTATACTGCTGCTTAAAGTTTAAGTTGCTGATTACTTTTCAAATAGATAAAGCGCTACGTTTAAAAATGTATGTCCTTTACCCATGAGTTCCGTTATACTAAAATACCCCTAGGAAGTAGATACATGCACTTTATTTTTCGCAGCACTTATTTTAGAAAGAACCCACAGAATGGATCCTATAAATAAATTTCAGTTGCATCCATAAAATGGAATAATGTGTGACCGTTGAAGGTGACAATAGATACAGAAGTACGTTGATGTGCAAAGATGTATTTTGTTATAGCCAGCAAGGAAAAAAAATTGGTTCGATTATGCATACACATAAACATACTGTGGTCTTATTTTAGCAAAAAATATGTAAAAATATGATAAAAATTTGTAATTTCTGAGCATTTGTATTTTAGGTAAAGTTTTTTTTTCCTTTTTCTTATCTGATTGCTGCAGTGAGCATGTACAAAACTTCTAGTATAGGTTTATTATTAATGGAATAATCTTTCGGAAGAGAAGAATATAAATCTTGCACAGAAAAAAATAATTTCTCGCTTTCTATTTTTTATCATTATTGTGTGTGTTATTATCTTCTTTGAACTTTTAGCCTCTTCGTAAGTGAAAATGGAAAGTTTTTATCTGTTTCCTGATGTTATTATGTATATATTTATTACGTACGTGTTTTTCTTATGTGTAGATTCATTCCATTTATGCAAACAATGATAGATTAATCATTTCATTTTAATTGTATTCTTTAAAAATAAAAATAACACAAATAATTACTATTGCAAAAACATTGCTTTATAGGAGTTTATTTAAAAATACTGAACTCCGCAACTGTATTTATCTATTCTTTTATTCCATTTATTCATCAAACATAACCTGAGTACCTGTTATATAGCAGACGTATTCTATCTCTCAGAACCCTTCCATCCTTAAAAACTGCATGTTTACCTCCCTGCCTGCACAAGCTGAGAGATTTAAAATGAGAATATCGGGACTTAATCTCATTGAAACTTTATCTCCCACCTTTCAAACAAAAGCATTTCTGAAGTTAGAAAATAGTAGAAGATAATCTTTAACTGCCCTTTCAAAAGTTTATCAGTCTTAAATACTAATATTCATCATTGGAAAGTCTTATTTGCATATATTCTGTAAATATAAGTATTGAATATAATGAGCCATGCGTATTCATTTGAATCATGAGTTTCCTTTGGCTTCAAGTTGTTTGAAAATCAAAGAATTAATTTGTTTAAAATATGTGTTACTGTTATTTCAGTGCTCTTTCCCCATAGTTCCCCTTTAAGAACTAAAATGTATTGAAGTGCCAGTTATCTGCCTAGAACTGCCTTAGACCTGCTGAGTATACCATATTCTACTTAATGTAAGGTCTCATGGATTGTGTGATGCCCCATAATTTTATATATCAATAAGATAATTTTTAAAATGCTACCAATTATAGTTGTAATAAATCATGAATCATAAATGGCATTCAAATATCAGAGGTGTTAAAATGTGAACTACTCGTTAAGTCATCCTACAAAGTAGGTAAATTGTATCATTTTACTTAATTAAAATGTTTTTGTTAAGTAGTAGTAATAGTAGTAATTATAATATCTGGCTGGGTGCAGTGGCTCACACCTATAATCCCAGAACTTCGGGAGACTGAGGGGAGAGGATTGCTTGATGCCAGGAGTTTGAGACCAGCCTGGACAACAAAGTGAAATTCTTACTCTACAAAAATTTTTAAATAAATAGCTGGGCATGCTGGTGCACATCTGTAGTCCCAGCTACTCAGGAGGCTGGGGATGGAGGATCACTTGAGCCCAGGAGTTCCAGGCGACAGTGAGGTAGAATTACACCATTGCATTTCAGCCTGGGCAAAAGAGTGAGATCTTGTCTCAAAAAACAAAAATCTTACAATGATTACAATTATTGAGTTGTTGTAGGAACTATTCTAAATACTTTACATAGTTCCTCATTTAAGCATCACGATGGTGTCCTTTGAGAAAGCTACTATTGTCATCTTTATTAATGAGGAAGTTGAGGCACAGAAAGGCTAAGCAATAGTTGGTAAGTGACAGGGTTTAAAGTAGGACTCAAGCCCTAGTTGAACTGAATCCAAAGACCGAGCTCGTTCTATTCAGATAGGCTGCTGTTTTCATTAAGGTAGTGAGCAATAAGAGCTAATAAGTATTGTACTTTCCTTTAAAAAAATTAATTATTTGTTTTGAAGGCAGAGGAAAAACATGCTATTCAATGTTTACAATTACATGAATGATCGTATGTTTTGAGATATTGCACTACGGTTTCCTAAAAAGTCCTCTTATTCTTGTAGAACTGCTCTACATTTGGCCTGTGCCAGCGGCCATGTGGAAGTGGTCACTCTCCTGGTGAACAGACAATGCCAAATTGACATCTGTGACAAAGAAAAGAGTGTGCCTTTGATACAGGTATATAGTAGCCAACTCTTTCAGCATGACATGGATTTGATTTACACATATAGAATTAAAATAAATTGATCTCATTTAAATATAACGAATTGGTGAAACCTGTAGAATGTGTATTTTGAATTCTTAGAGTTTACAATCTACTTCTTCATCTAACAGGCACAGGCTGTGCATTGCCAAGAAGAGGCTTGTGCCATTATTCTGCTGGAACGTGGCGCCAATCCAAACCTTAAGGATGTCTACAGCAACACTGCTCTCCAGTATGCTGTGTATAGTGAGAGCACATCACTGGCAAAAAAACTGCTTTCCCATGATGCAAATACTGAAGCACTGGACAAGGTATAGATCAATCAACTTTCTTTTCAACATATTTGTTTTAACATTGACATAGGTAAGGGTCAATTGTTAGTATTTGGAAGCTCAAGCATTCCCTGAATGCAAGTGCAAATTAAGTTATTTTGAAATAACTTAATTGTCTAAGATTTTATTTTCAAAATTCATACTTTTAAAGAACCATTAAAGGGCACAGCTTTTTTAAATGTACTTTGGAAAATATTTGCGAATTTGTTAAAAGTAAAACCTTTTCCATTTTTTTTCTACACAGGTTTATTCCTTTTTTTCCTAATTAGTGTAAAACAACACAAGAAAGAAAATATGCCCTGGAAATAGGCTTTATCTTAAAACTCAAACAAGACTAAAGCAACTTAAAATAAATGGACATCTTGCTGCTGCTGACAATTTTCTAACAAACTGACGTATCATCTCTCAGTGGCAAGGCTTAAGAGGGAGAAATGGGAAGGGAAAAGGAGAGCAATAAGAAATATGCAGGTCAATTGGAAATTAGGTCATGAGGGAAAATGCCAAGAAGAGTTTTTTTTCTTAGTTTGTTGTTCTTCTAGTTTATGTGTTGAGACAAGGTGCTCTTTAGCTTTGGGTCTAATAATTTTTGGTTTGAAAATGAGAGTGAGTTGAAACTTGCCTATGGATTAATTTTAGGAGGACTCTGAGGAAACCAGATTGGCAGTGAATATGTGGTGACAAAGTGAGAAACACTTTAGCAGAAGGCGGAACAAATTAACTTGTGGGAAGTCGGGGTCCCCAAACGGAGGGACCGGCTGAAGCTGTGGCAGAAGAATATAAATTGTGAAGATTTCATGGACATTTATTAGTTCCCAAAATTAACACTTTTATAATTTAATACGCCTGTCTTTACTGCAGTCTCTGAACATAAATTGTGAGGATTTCATGGCCATTTATCACTTCCCCAATCAATACTCTTATAATTTCCTATGCCTATCTTTAATCTCTTAATCCCATCATCTTCGTCAGCTGAGGATATATGTCACCTCAGGACCCTGTGATGATTGTGTTAACTGTACAAATTGTAAAACATGCGTGTTTGAACAATATGAAATCAGGACACCCTGAAAAAGAACAGAGTAACAGTGATTTTCAGGGAACAAGGAAAGATAACCATAAGGTCTGACTGCCTGTGGGGATGGGCAAAATAGAGTCATATTTTTCTTCTCACAGAGAGCTTATAGATGGACGTGTGAGTAGGAGAAATATTGCTGAATTCTTTTCCCAGCAAGGAATATTAATAATTGATAATCCTGGGGAAGGAATGCATTCCCAGGGGTAGGCCTGTAGACGACCACTCTGGGATTGTCTGTCTTATGCAGTTGAGATAAGGGATGAAATACACCCTGTTCTCCTGCAGTGTCCTCAGGCTTACTAGGATTGGGAAATTCCAGCCTGGTGAACTCTAGTCAGACCGGTTGTCTGCTCTCCAACCCAGTTTCCTTTTAAGATGTTTATCAAGACAATACATGCCCAGAGGGACATGGACCCTCATCAGTAATTCTAATTTCACCCTTGCCTTGTGATCCTGCTCTGCCCTTTTGCCTTGTGATCTTTTATTGCCCTTTGAAGCATGTGATCTCTGTGACCCACTCCCTATTCGTACACCCCTCCGCTTTTGAAATCCCTAATAAAAACTTGCTGGTTTTGCAGCTCGGGGTCGCCATCACAGTCCTACCAATATGTGATGACACCCCCGGAGGACCAGCTGTAAAATTTCTCTCTTTGTACTCTTTCTGCTTATTTCTCAGACCGGCCAATACTTAGGGAAAATAGAAAAGAACCTACATTGAAATATTGGGGACTGGTTCACCTGATGTTAACTGACTTATTACCCATCCTGGCAGAAACGGCCACTTAAATAAGAGTCTAATGACTCCTCTCAAATCTAGAATGACTTGGTGGGAAAGTGGGAGATAAGGAGCTTATGAATAGCAAAATCAAGTGGGATTTTGAGTTTACTTGTCCCTGTTCTACCCAAGAGGTTGGTGAGCGGGAGGGAGACAAGGTTTTGCAAAAAGACGGTGGACAGAAAGACCATGGAGAAAGAAAAGATGGTGAGGAAAAAGTTTTTGGGTAGATGGACGGGGGAAAAGAGGGTGACAAGCAGGTTAGGGGAAAGAAGACGGCGAGTGGGAAGTTGGTGGGGAGGCTTTGTAAAAAGACGGTGGGGAAACATTTGGGGGGTAGATGGAGGAAAAGAGGATGGTGAGCAGGAGTTGGGAGAAGGCTTTGCAAAAAGACAGTGGGGAAATGTTTTTGAATAGATGGAGAAGGGAAAGCGGGTGGCAAGGTGGGGAAGACATGGGGAAAACAGTTTTTGGGAAGATGGAGGGGGAAAAGAGGGTGGTGAGCAGCAGGAGTCGGGAGAAGGCTTTGGGAAAAGATGGGGGAAATGTTTTTGGGTAGATGGAGGAGCAAAAGAGGGTGATGAGAGCTGGAGAGGGAAAAAGAAGGTGGCCAGGGAGAGGGGAAAACGACGGTGGGGAAAAACTTTTGGGTAGATGGATGGGGAAAAGGGTGGTGAGCGGGAGAGTAAAGAAGGCTTTGCAAAAAGATGGTGGGGAAAAAGTTTTGGGGTAGATGAAGAAAAAGGGTGATGACGAGAGAGCTGAAGGCTGTCAGGAAAAGAAGGTGGGGAAATAATGGTGGGGGACAAAGGTTTTGGGTAGATCTTTTTCTAATTTTTAAATCAGGTTATATGTATTTTTGCTTTTGAGTAGTTTGTGTTCTTTATCTATTTTGTGTATTAACCCCTTGCCTGATGCATAGCTTGTAAATACTTTCTTCCGTTCTCTAGATTGTTTCTTCATTCTACTGATTGCTTCCTCTGCTTTGCAGAAGCTTTTAAGTTTAATGCAATTCCATTTGTCTATTTTTGCTTTTGTTGCTTGTGCTTTTGTTGTCTATTTAAAAATTCCTTGTCCTAATCAATTTCATGAAGCATTTATCTTATTTTTTATTTTCTGGTAGTCTCATAGTTTCAGGACCTACATTGAAGTTATCTTTATTTTGAGTTAATTTTTGTATATGGTAAGATAACGGTCTAGATTGATTCTTCTACATGTGGGTGTTGGGTTTTCCTAGCACAGTTTATTGAAGAGATTGTCCTTCCCAAATGTGTGTTCCTGGTGCCTTTGTTAAAAATGAGTCGACTGTAAATGTGTAAATTTACTTTTGAGTTCTCTATTCTGTTTTATTTGTCTGTCATTTGTCTATGTCTTGTCTGTTGCTCCCTCATTCTTTTTTTTTTTGCCAGCACCATGCTGTTTTGGTTACTATACATTTATAGTATATTTTGAAATCAGGTAGTGTGATGCCTCTAGCTTTTTTCTTTTTATTCAAGATTTTTTTGTCTATCTGAGGTACGTTGCATTTCCGTGTGAATTTTAGGTTTTTTTTTTTCTATTTCTGTGAAGAATGTCTTTTGTAATTTAACATGGGTTGCATTGATCCTGTAGATCACACTGGGTGATATAGATATTTTAACAATATTCTTCTAGTGCATGAACATGAGATATCTTTCCATTTACTTGTGTCTGCTTTACTATCTTTCATCTATGTTTTATGGTTTTCATTGTGGGATCTTTCACCTTTTTGGTTGTTTGTCCTTACGTATCATTTTTTATAATGAAATAGCTTTCTTGATTTCTTTCATAGGTGTTTCACTATTGGTGCATGGGTGTGCTACTCATTTTTGTATGTTGATATTGTATCTTGCAACTTTACTAAATTTATCTAGTAGGTTTTTTTGGTGGAATTTTTAGGGTTCTTTACATATGATCATATCAGCTGCAAACAGAGACAATTTGACTTCCTTTTTTTTTCCAATTTGGATGCCTTTTATTGTATTTTCCTGTCTAATTGCTGTAGCTAGGACTTCCAGCACTATGATGAATGAAAGTGGTAAAAGTAACCACACTTGTTCCAGATCTTAGGAAGAGCTTTTTTAACTTTTCTGCATTGATCATGATGTTAGCTGTGGGTTTATCATATATGGCCTTTATTATGCTGAGATATGTTCCTTCTTGCACATTTTGTTGAGTTTTTATCATAAAGGTACGTTGAATTTTATTGTTTTCATCGTCTACTGAAATGATTATATGTTTTTTTTTTAAATGGAGTCTTACTTTGTTGCCCAGGCTGGAGTGCAGTGGTGCTCTCTCAGCTCCTCAGCTCATTGCAACCTCCACCTCCAACCCCAACCCCCTCAGGTTCAAGCAGTTCTCCTGCCTCAGCCTCCCAAGTAGCTGGGATTACACTGCCATCACGGTGGCCCTGCTTCTTTTTGTGTTTTTAGTGGAGGCAGGGTTTCACCATGTTGACTGGGCCGGTTTCAAGCTACTGACGTCTGGTGGTCCATTTTCCTTCACCTCCCAAAGTGCTGGGATTACAGGCATGAGCCGCCATACCTGGCTCTTTTTTTTTTTTTTTTTTTTGACAGCATCTTGCTCTGTAACACTGGAAGGAAATGGTAAAATCATAGCTCACTGAAGCGACAAGTTCCTTGGGTCAAGTGATCCTCGCATCTCAGCCTTCTGAGTAGATAGAAAAGGTATGAGATATTTAGGAATCTAAAAAATATATGCACAACCTCTATGAGAAATTTCTTAAACTTTGAGAGTTAATAAGATAGACTGTTAAAATGTTAATAGTTTGGGGAAACAATATTACGCCTTCTCTTTCTAAATTATACATTCAGTGCAATTCCAGTCAAAACCCTTGCTTTGTAAACTCAGCGTTTTGACTATAAAATGTATGTGAAGTTCTTTCCTCCTTTATCTTCCTGAATATTTCAGCTCACAAGTATGGGGACAAAACAGGGAATTGTGTTGACCCAGAGTTAGGGATTGTGGCATGAATTAAATGCGAAGGGCCTAAGTGTCAGAGTGTCACCCTGCACAGTGCTGGAAGACAGTTGAGAGCATTTCTGCAAGGTAGACAAAAGAAATTGAGGTATCAAAGACTGAACAATATCAGGAGCCACCCACAGATGGATGAAAAATGGGTCTTCAGCATCTTAGGGGGGTAAGGATAAGTCATCTACCTAAGAGGGCAGCCTGGGACAGGGTGTTTGAGGAAGGATGGGGTGAAGATGGCATCCATTTGGAAGGAAAATTGGTGGAGGCAACCAATGAAAGGTGCAAGAGTCCCAAGTGGGAGTGAAGAGTATACCTACGTAGGAGCAAGGACACAGGAGATTGGTTACACACAGGAGATGAAATGAATAAATAACAGCAAGTCCTGGAATAATGTCATTTTGTTATAACATTGATGACAAAAATATATATACTGGCCAAAGCCACTGTGTGTATGGAGTTTACACGTTTTCCCCATGTCTGCCTGGGTTTTCTCCAGATACTCTGGTTTCCTCCCACATCCCAAAACTGGGCACAGGTTAACTGACATGTCTAAATGGTCCCAGTGTGAGTGACTGCGGGTGTGTGTGAGTGCACTGTACAATAGCATGTCCAGAGTTGGTTCCCACCTGGGGCCCTGAGCCACTAGATAGGTTCCAGTCCTCTGCTACCCTGAACTGGAATAAGCATGTTGGACAAGGAACAAATAAATGAGTGCAAATTACTATAAAATAAAAATTTGTGAAGTCCATGATAATCACAGATGTTGCAATACACAACGATTTGGTACAAAAGTGCTTCATGAACCTGCCATATTTGTGATTGGTTCTGACTGCATGGAGGTAGGAGGTGATTCTTACAAAATGCACCTTGCCAGCATTCATTTCTTGATTTAACCCACTGCCACTACAATCGCCATCACTCACTGATTCACCAAAAATTGGATGAATGGTATCTATTACTCTTCCTTAAATGTATGCAGAGCTAGCATTCATTTTAATGTTTAATATTACAAGTGTTTTTGTCTGTATTGACATGTTTGGTGATGTTTTTTGGCCAGAAATGTGTCATAGGAACAGATCTTTTGTTTATATCAGTTAGCCTACAGTTAAAACTGGTTTCGTTTCACATCTTCCACTTATTTTCCAAGAAGACCTATTAAATCATGTTAAGTGAGGACTTACTATATACTAAGGATGAAGGGAGCCAGGTTGTGTCAGAAAAGGGAATTACAAATATAGTTGACCCTTGAACAACATGGTTTGAACTGCATGAGTCTACTTACAAGCAGCTTTTTATTTCAATAAATAGACTGAAATTTTTTTTGGAGATTTGTGACAATTTGAAACAGCTTATAGATGAGCTGCATAGCCTAGAGATAAACAAGTTAAGAAAAAGTTATGTCATGAATGCATAATATATATGTAGATACTCATGTATTTCATCATTACTACCATAAAATATATATAATCTATTATAAAAAATACGATTTATTAAAATTTACACATGGTATGTGGCACCATTCACAGCCAAGAGAAAGGTAAACAAACAAAGATGCAGCATTAAACCATAACTGCGTAAAATTAACTATAGTGTACACTGTACTACTGGAATGATTTCATAGCCACCTGTGGTACTGCAGTGAGCAGAACTGTTGCAAGTATTTCCTTAAAATGCTTTGTGATGCTAATCATCTCCACATGAGCAGTTCATCCATCCAAGAAATTGTGTCTCATGGGAAAAAGTGATGATTTATGGTTCTTACATATTTTTCATTGTTTTTAATGCAATACTGTGGAGTCAAATAACACCACGGGACCCATACAGAGTGCCACCATTGATGCTGGAAGGCTCCCAAGAAGTAAAGAAGTCATGACATTGTATTAAAAAGTCTGAAATTGTCAAAATATAACATTTCTTAAAAGAAAAGTTTTTTAAAAATTAACAAATTATACACTATTGGAGAAAATAACCCATGAATCCTTATTGATACAAGTAAATGAATAAATTGAAGGTTTTATGAGGAAGAGATACTTACGTAGTTTCAAATTACCTCCCCACAAGATATTAATTAACAGGACAAATCAAAATTGTAGGACACATGGTAAGATGCAGTGAGACGATTACAGGATCACTTCTGTGATACACTTTACCAAAAATGTAAAATCTCTTTGTACCCCAGACCTCAGCATGATGCAATATACTCATGTAACAAAGCTGCACATGTACTCCCTGGAACTAAAAGTTGAATTTTTTAAAAAGTATAATTTAAATCTAATCACAATGAAACATCAGATAAACCCAATTGTCGAACATTCTACATTACTGGACTTTACTCTTTGAAAGATTCAAGGTCATAAGGTCAAGGGAAAACTGAGGAACTGCTCCAGACGAAGTCTAAGAGACAGAAGAACTAAATGCAATCCACGGGTCTGAATGCATTAAGTAATTTTTCTTAAAATTGTTGCATATTTTCGGCCAGGCGCGGTGGCTCACGCCTGTAATCCCAGCAGTTTGGGAGACCGAGGCGGGAGGATCACCTGAGGTCAGGAGTTTGAGACCAGCCTGACCAACATGGTGAAACTCTGTCTCTACTAAAAATACAAAATGAGCTGGGCATGGTGGCGCACACCTATAATCCCAGCTACTTCGGAGGTTGAGGCAGGAGAATCACTTGAGCCCGGGAGGCAGAGGTTGCAGTGAGCTGAGATCCAGCCATTGCACTCCAGCCTGGTCAAAACGAGTGAAACTCCATCTCAAAAAAAAAAAAAATTGTTGCATATTCTCATGATGCTTTTCAAACTTGATTTAGATGTAACTCATCAGCAGATCCTGAGTAGATCCTGCAGAAGAGGATAGATTCCATATAGAGGACTCAGATTCAAATTCAGCAGCACCTGGAAGGAAAATGAAAGAATGATGTTCTTTACCTAAAATATTTCACAGTTAGCTAAGTGTCAGTCAGTAAAAAAAAAGTTGAGAAATTTATCTGTGTCAATAGGAAGGAAAAATATGTATGACCACAATACAAAATTAACTATTTAATATTGAATATAATCTGCCCGTAGGTGTGCTTTGAATTGACTATCACTGTGGTTAAGTACCAGAGCTTCTAGTTTTCTCACCCTTCATTCCTGTATTCAGCAACCATGTGACAATAAGCACTGGAATGACAAGATGAAGATGATCAGTTCACTCCTCAAAAATCATATGCTACAACTTGAAAAAACAAACAGGCAATTTCCTTACAGAATCATAGATAACATGACAGGTATACAACACGACACTATTGGAACACACAGAAGGGACACCTATCCCAGTTTTGTGTCAATATTGCAATATTGCAGGCTTTTTGGTGGAGGCACTATATAGGTTCATATCTGAAAAACAAGGAAAAAGTATGACAGAGGGCAGAAGCAAATGCAAAGAGATGAGCAAGAGCACTGTGGAAATCTATGTAGTCTAGTTTGGCTGGATGCTAGAGCACAAGGGTAGAGTAGGGTATGTGGCAAAAGACAAGGCTGAATAACTTGACAAGAACCAAGTTGATGGAGATGTTTTCACTGCATGCCAAGCAACTTAGAGCATTTCCTGAGCACAAAAGTAAACCAATGACAAAGTAAATAATTGGAGATTTAGAATGTCATCTGTCAAATAACTGTTTTTGAACTGTAATTGCTTGGCTAAGTATTATCAGATGACTCTGGTCTTTTGGCCTTAAATTACTACTATGACTTTAAGAAGATGACGACTTTGTTTCCTGAATTCAGTTTCAGCGTGCTGCCTGACAGTTCCATAGGGATGGCAGAAGTGAAGACTATGTAGAGCCAAAACAAAAGAGATACTTAGACTTTTTGAGACCTTTTTAAAGCTATGGAACATGATAAATTAATGAGGCAAAAGTATACTCTTCATTATGAGTATGTGTTTCTATCTTTCATTAAATGTGCATAAGAAAAAATACTTACTGTAGCATTTATGAACCAGACAATGGAGAGGAAAGCCATTTGCTATTTACAGTTTATTTCAGTAATCAAGCTAAATTTAGTTAATAAATTTTGGCAATATACCTTCTTCTATTTCTCTAGTTTTATTTTCTATCAATCCTTGCTGAATCTGAAATAAGCCAAATATTTATAATGTTTAAGTTACACAAGAGAAATTACCATGGAAATGATATATCACTTACAAAATGTCATCTCTCCTACTTGTAGAGACGAGACCTAACTTGAGGATTGCCTAAATAGAAAAATTAACTACATAAATAAAATAAAATTCCTACTTATTTTAAGTTTAGATAAAAGAGAATATATATGTGTAATGCTGTTGACATTAGTCTGATAAAAGTTACAATTAACCTTGGTCTACTGAATGTACATCTTTCAGAAGAGTGAGGTTTTCTTTTACTAGTTACAAAGGTTAAGCAAATCGACTCATAGTTTGCAACAAATGCATTATTTTCTAATTCTTAGCAAAACTCTGCCTGCCCTTTATAAGAATTCAATCTGTGTTTTCTTTTCATTTTGGTAGATTTCTCCTTAAAATAAACTTTCCGTTCTCCTCCTTTAGAAAATTAAAATTTTAGATACATTCCATGTTATTAACTTTTCAGGACAGAATCTTAAATATGTACCTGAAGAAAGTGGTACTGTCATAATATGTGAAAATTCTACTGGTAAAATATTAAGTAATCATATTATTCTATCTGTATTACAACTAACATTTTTATTCATATGGAAAAAAAGATTTTGGAAATTTCACTTGAAAAAAATATATATTAGAACCAGTTTACAAACTTGGTTTATTTCATGACCTGTTAGAATTAGAAACAAAGAAACAATATATAGCTCTATATTTGTATATAGCTCTTTTAAGCTTTTCAGAAATTAGAACCAATTTTTGAAACATCTAGCTAACTATAGTTATCTACTTAGTTATGAAATTGTGGGGATACTTCAAATTATATTGCAAGTGTCTCCCATCTAGTGTTTTATTTAAATCTTTGGTGCAAAAGGTATTCCCTCACTGAATGCCCAGAAAAGAATCTGAAATTGTTTACTAAACATAAGACTTTTTGGTGATAATGACAATATGATATACAATGCCTTTACAAATTTTTGACTAATAGCTTTCCCAATATTTTGAGAGACAGTTTTCCATAATCTTTCTGTGATTATAACATTATAGACAGCCCTTATAAAATTAATGACATGACAATGGCATTACAAGAAAGGTTTTATAAAAGTAATAACTCGACCAGGCGTGGTGGCTCATGCCTGTAATCCCAGCACTTTGGGAGGCCAAGGCAGGCAGATCACGAGATCAGGAGATCGAGACCATCCTGGCTAACACGGTGAAATCCCCTCTCTACCAAAAATACAAAAAATTAGGGCATGGTGGCGGGCGCCTGTAGTCCGAGCTACTTGGGAGGCTGAGGCAGGAGAATGGCGTGAACCCGGGAGGCGGAGCTTGCAGTGAGCGGAGATGGCGCCACTGCACTCCAGCCTGGGCGACAGAGCGAGACTCCGTCTCAAAAAAAAAAAAAAGTGATAACTCAATACCAGGTAAAGGGAGAAGCCTTTATTGAAAGAATGTTATATTATCATTAATGAACACTATGTAAAATGTACATTTTTACATGACTTGTATGTAATATACATATATGTATATGTATTTTATATGTATACATATGAAACGTATATATATGCACATAAAATATGAAATATGTATATATGCACATAAAATATGAAATATGTATATATACACACATATAAAATATATACACATATAAAATGTGTGTATATATATAATTCCTTCATGTAGCTTTTTACAAATAAAAGTTTTATTCTAAAAAAATTTTCAGTTATGAAAGTCATTTAGTCAAACTTTTTAATTTTACGTACAAGGTAACACAGTCTCAGAGAGATTATAGCTTGCCTATGGTCATTAAGCCCATTAGCTCCAACCCAAGAAAGGGCTTTAAGTTTTCTTACTGAACTTGAAGTTTATGCCAGCTACTTCCTGCGTATTCAGGAAAAATGTATAGATTTTTAAATATAACTCAGGGAAAATGCATATGTAAAACTGTCATGTAACTCAATCACGTTTGGGTAAGAGACATAAAAGGTAGTTCTCTAGCTAAGTTATGATTTCTGAAGTCATGAATAAAAATTAACAAACAACTGTTAATACATCTTTGTTAGTTGCAGTCACTACTCAATTTATTTTGTAAAGAACAAAAATATTTTACAGAAAAGGGAACTTGAAGGAGGAAAACTTCAGTTGAACCAGGCAAGCTGAATTAGAGAAATTCAGCTGTTTCTTTAACAGAACTATATATTTATCCAAATAAGAGTTGGTTTACTAAAATCAATCAACAAAAGAATTATCCACATTGTGGGTTATTCACAGCAAAATTGAAAACGTAAGACACATTTCTCTTTACCATCTAGTATACTTCTATCCAACCTGTTACCGATAGTTGGTACATACAACCTGTTATCGATAGTTGGTACATAGAAATTAAGACATTGGCTTAATTTCTATCATAATTTAAATCCACACAGAAATGATATGAGAATCTTCATTTCCCTGGCCTTAAGTTTCCAAATGAGAACTTACACTCTGTCTATCTTTCTTTGGAGGGGAGGGAAGATTTACCTAATGGGTGAATTTGTGTGAAGTACATTGCATGTGCTTGCTTGGCTCTGTGTTACTTTGAAAATATGTGTCTGCCGGCCAGGCACGGTGGCTCACGCCTGTAATCCCAGCACTTTGGGAGGCCAAGGTGGGCGGATCACGAGGTCAGGAGATCGAGACCATCCTGGCTAACACGGTGAAACACTGCCTCTACTAAAAATACAAAAAAAAAAAAAAAAATTAGCCGGGCGTGGTGGCGGGAGCCTGTAGTCCCAGCTACTCGGGAGGCTGAGGCAGGAGAATGGTGTGAACCCGGGAGGCTGAGCTTGCAGTGAGCCAAGATCGCACCACTGCACTCCAACCAGCCTGGGCAACAGAGCGAGACTCCGTCTCAGAAAAAAAAAAAAATATGTGTCTGCCCACAGTGATACGAATTCAGGTCTGCTGCTCTGCAGTAAGCTGCCTGCTCCTGAGATAGGTGTTAAGCATCTGTTTTCTCCACTTACCACTGTGTGGGTAAGTGCCTAATCTGGGAATTAAACTAATCTGAAGTATTCAGAAGCCCACTCTGGCTGCTCATCTGAGCCATATCCTCCTATTAGTCATTACATGTGAGTAATAAAGCAGCTATGTCTGACTCCATATGTCTGACTCCTATGTTCTGATCTCAAAAGGGAAAGAGGAGCATTATTTATTGCCTCCCCTCCAAATAACCCCAACAAGAAAGGTGACTACACAACACTTATTGAAATGTTTTCTTCTTCTTTGACTTTGTATTCTTACTGTACATTCTTCAACACAACCCTCACTTTAAACAGGTGAAGAGTTGGAAGTTTTTAGACAAAAGTTATATAGTGAAATCAATAAAAATAGCAAAGCCAAACAAATACAAAGTTCACTCATTCAACAAGAACTTAATGATAGGCTGATGTTAAATTAGTCTTGTGATTAGAGGTTGGAAAATACTGCTGCATTCACTTTTTCAGACCATATCGATAAATACACAGCACACACACATAGTTCCATAGTTAATATGCCTTCGGTAGGTATTGATGTTTCAAAATTAAAATTTGATATCATTCTCTATTTTAAGGAGCACTCAGATGTTACAAAAAATAAGTATGTTCTCAAATGCAGTAAAATCAAATGTGTGCCCATTTAAACCACTGCAATTCAATGACAAATTGTAAATAGGTTCATGTATGAAGGAAAGTACACTTGTTGGTTTCTAAGGATGAAACACATGTATTTTGTCACAAAGAAAATAACTGGGGAATCATCTGTTGATGGAGGAGCTGAAGGACTAAGTATAGAGTCACACATATATTTAAAGACCTAGTTAAAAAAAAAAAAAAACTAAGAGAAAAGTAATTAGAAGAATTCGAGAGGGTACCTGAAACCTTCCAAGTATAAAATGACTACTGGGCATTTGGCTAAGTGGATAAAGGGAAAACAGGAAGAATTATATAGAGCCTAAAAATGAAATAATAAAGAAGTTTATCAAACTGTCTTTGCTCTCTGAGTAATTAGCATAAGTATTATGATTGATTGAGTTAAAATTCAGAGTAGACAAGCATTGCCTTAGTGATGCAAAAAGGACTATTTTATTTGGGAAAAACATGCAACTCAACATTCTGAGGAGACACAATGTTCTATCATGTAAAAACAAAATCTTAGAAACATTGTTTTAACTTTGATGTGTCTGTAAAATCCCATTTAGAAAAAGAATTGCTAAACTAAATGAACATTTGAGAAGTAGAAAAATTCCTTAAATTAATAATTAGAAATCTTTTGAAAGTGTCAGTAATCACCAAAAGTTTAAAACCAATCCATGTAAAAATGAGTCTTCCTGTATCAAGCATTTTTAAAAAGGATTTACCCAGTGACTACTGTGTGCCATGCGCTGTGTTAGGCACACAAATACTAAACAGCTTCTGAACGTTAAAAAAGTTGAACCATCCACAGGCACCAAGTGGTCAAAAGAACTAAAATTAAAATAAACTTTAGATAAATTTTTTATTTTATAAAATTGGAATAATTTTTTAAGATTTAAGTTATTAGAAAATATTCTGATATGCAGAAGAATCCAAGTGATGGATCTGTTCAGGCTAATGTTGATTTTTGTATTTTATAATAATACTGAGTAAAGAACCAATAAAACTCTGACATTACTTCTGATATATACAACAAACCATCTCAGAATTAAACTAGAATAAAAATTGAAAGCAAAAATTAGCAAAACACATGTAATAAGCTATTATTAATATAATAATGTTAAGTGCAAGGCTAAACTTCATGTAATGGGGAGAGATACAAGAAATGCTAACTTACAAACATATAAAAACTTGCTTCAACAACCAGTACAACTGAAATCACATACTAGAAAAATATTATAATCATTTTCCTTAAAGTTAAAAAATGCTGCATAAGGTAGAGTTTCACAGTAGGAATGGTCCAAAATTTTAAAACCTTGCAAATAAATGAGATGGATAAACAAATTCAGTATTAATGCTATTTTTAACATTTTTTGTAGAATTTGATTTTTAAATTTTAACAGTTTGCTTTCTAGAATCATAGCAAAAAGGTCTAAACATCGTCTTGTTTTGTAATGACTCTCTAAAAACCCACCCTTTTCTATTATGTTAGATAGTATGTTATCACCTCTCACAGTCTTATTTGATGTTTTCCTAGTGAAAATAATTAAATTCCTAGCAACCCCAAAAGTCACCTACCTTCTGTAACTCTAAGAATTTTGTTAGCAACAACTATATAAGAAATCTTTGAAGGCATTCTGCAGGGATTATAGAGACATATCTTTGTATCTTGATAGAATTGTGCATTTTAATGTCTTTTATTAAGTCTAACATGATTTGGAAAACTAATGCCCCACAAGGAAACCATTGTGGTTTACATTACCACAATGGTACTTGGAACTAATACATTAAGTTTTAAATAAACTTTTTGGACTTACCTATAAACGCTAAAAACACCTCTTTCTCTCAAAAAACTTAAAATATTTCCTCAAAAACCTTCCTTTGCATGGCCCCTGCATTTGCATATTTTTTTCTTCTTTTTGAGATGGAGTCTCGCTTTGTCACCCAGGCTGGAGTCCAGTGGCATGATCTCGGCTCACTGCAACCTCCGCCTCCCGGGTTCAAGTAATTTTCCTGCCTCAGCCTCCTGAATAGCTGGGATTACAGGCACGTGCCACCACATCCAGCTAATTTTTGTATTTTAGTAGAGACGGGGTTCCAGCATGTTGGCCAGGCTGGTCTCAAACTCCTGACCTCAGGTGACCCACCTGCTTTGGCCTCCCCAAGTGCTGGGAAGGCATGAGCTACCACACCTGGCTTTGCATTTACACATTTTTCATCATCATCTTGTAAAATGATACATTTCTGATTTTTCTGGTAAGAACTAGTGAGAACATTTTATATTTGCAACATGCTTAACAATTTACAGAAGTGTTTAACATTTATTTTCTTTTTGTATCCAGTAGTACAATTTTAGGACTCTGAAGCACTTAGACCCAAATGAGATCATCTCATTTTTTTCAGAAAAATAAAACTAAGCTAACAAAATAAAATATCAGCTAGCTAGGATCTTATAATTTTGGTATTAAAGCAATCATTTAATGTGTACTCTTTTAAGCTATTTAGTTAGGGACGTTCTTTAGGAAACCTTAGATTTTCTCTTCTATGATTTGTTAGCACATGAAGCCAGACAAGGAAACCAGGTTGAGGTCTCACTTAACACAGGCATGCACTACTATTCTCTGCATTAAGGAGATTATGAAATCGCCATCAAAACTGTAAGCCAATGTGCATTGATTGAAATGGACATTTTAATAACAGTGATACATGAAGAAAACTACTTGCTATTTATTTTTGTTCAAATAAATCTTTTATGGCTTTTGTAGATTTTTTTAGACAGGGTCTCTCTGTATTGCTCAGGCCGGAGTGCAGTAGCTATTCACAGGTGAGGTTATGTCACACTACAGCCTTGAACTCTTGCGCTCAAGTGATCTTGCCTCCCCAGCCTCCCAAGTAGCTGGGCTACAGATGCACACCACTGCACCCAGTTTTTAGAACTGTCCTGCCAGGTGTAGTGGCCCACACCTGTAATCTGAGCTCTTTGGGAGACTGAGGCACTGGATAACTTGAGCCCAGGAGTTCAGGACCAGCCTGGGCAACATAATGAAACCCAAAATACAAAAATACAAAAAATGAACTAGGCATGGTGGCACACACCTGTAGTCCCAGCTACTTGGCAGGCTGAGGTGGGAGGATCACCTGAGCCCAGGAAGTCCAGGCTGTAGTGAGCTGTGATTATGCCACTGCACTCCAGGCTGGGTGACAGAGTAAGACCCTGTATCCAGAAATAAATAAATAAATTTCCCTCTAGTCAAAAAATGACCAAACATTAGACAAATATCTTAAACTGGGTCAAGCATAGTTGAACTATATTTCTTTTACTTACCAACTCTACAATTAGTGTAGTTTGTTGTTGTTAGATTCATCTTGAGATCCCCAGAAATTGATTCTTAATATGAGTGAAATCACATGACTGGACTGGAAGGTTCCTGGCACATCTCCGGGGGAGATGGGGACACTGTGTGGCTTTATGGAATTCTGGGTAGAAATAATGTAATTGATTGTTTGGTTGTAATTGCTATTTAAAGACTCTTGATAACTTTGCCGTCTTAGTCATCAATCATTCAAGTGATGGCAACATATAAAGACATAAGGGAACTTATTTTTAAAATTCAAATCATTGTTTGATTTAACTATTTAAAAACTTGAGTAATTGGCTAGCAATAGATATATTTTACAAAAATTGAAACTAAAATGCTGTAGGTGACAATCACAATTAAGGATGTACTGTTAGGTAAGGAAATGACAAAATTTTAACTTAAAAAATCTATTTAGTGCTATATGTTTACTTAATTCATAAAAGTATTTATTTTGGATTCCTTTAAATAATAGACATCCGTATGTGGTTAAATGTTTGGATGTCAATCATTCACTTACGATTAGGGGTGGAAAACTGAGGCTGGCACTGGAAAACAAAAATATTATGAACCAAAGTAAAATCAATTAGAAAGCCAAAGCATCTCAAAGTCTGTCTTTAGTTATCAAACAATAATATTCCATTTCTAAAATTTAGCTTTAATGCAGCTTTTAAAGAAATTGAAAATGTGTCAGTTACAATAAATGTTACATTTACTGAATAAAAGTTAACAAATGTTTATCTCTTGAAAATGAGAGCTCCAGGGACTGAAAAAAACTATAAAACTTTTATTTGCTTTCTTTATCAATACAAATTATTATAACTTTTACTTACCACGCCTAAGTCAATGAAACAACTCAGTATTTCACCAAATTAAAAACAAGAATTATATCGTAAAGATGAAATGCAAAGGAAAAAGGTAATATAACTAACCTTGAATCAGTAGTTCTTCACGCCATTTTTTGAAGTCAGTAGGCTTGAGGTAGGGATGACTAAGTCTTCCCTTGGAGTAATTTTTCCCTTAAGACCTAACCTATTATTAAGATTTCTAGGTCTGGCGTGGTGGCTCACACCTGTAATCCCAGCACTTTTGGGAAGCTGAGGTGGGTGGATTGCTTGAGCTCAGGAGTTCAAGACCAGTCTGGGCATCATGGTGAAACCCTGTCCCTACCAAACATACAAAAACTAGCTGAGCATGGTGGCACACACCTGTGGTTCCCACAACTCAGGAGGCTGAAGTAGGAGAATCTCTGGAGCCCGGGAAGTCAAGGCTGCAGTGAGCCAAGATTGAGCCACTGCACTCCAGCCTGGGTGACACAGCGAGACCGTTTCTAAAACAAAAACAGAAACAAAAATCCTTGAGTGTCCAACACAAGATGACTGTAGGACTAACCCAGTAGGATGAGTCTGAAAAAAGCTCTGGTCCACTCTTTCTCTACCTTCTCTACCAGATGTCTGGTACTGGCCTCTGCTTGCCTCTCATGAGTTCTGTGAAGATTGCAAAAGATAAGTGTAAGTAAAATTTTTTATTAAATAGTGTTTTAACACCAAAAATATGTCAGAGCTTGTCTACTGTATGCGATTGTAGTTTTAAAATTGTTCTAAAGAAATGCACAACGTGCAGGTTTGTTGCATATGTATACATGTGCCATGTTGGTGTGCTGCCCCCATTAACTCATCATTTACAATAGGTATTTCTATTAATGCCATCCTTCCCCCCTCCCTGCACCCCAGTGCGTGATGTTCCCCACCCTGTGTCCAAGTGTTCTCGTTGTTCAGTTCCCACCTATGAGTGAGAACATGCGGTGTTTGGTTTTCTGTCCTTGCGATAGTTTGCTCAGAATGATGGTTTCCAGCTTCATCCATGTCCCTACAAAGGACATGAACTCATCCTTTTTTATGGCTGCATACTATTCCATGGTGTTAAAGTATTATAATAATAATAAAAAAAAGAAGTACATGTATTTCTAGGAGGATTTCTAAGAAACAAGTACTTCCAACAAATTAGGGAAAAAGAAAAATTGCTGTTTTTGATTACTTGCTGACATCACAATATTTTGGCTATACTGTGTTACAAAATTGGTGTTACCTATTTATTTTTAATTTTTATAACGTGGCTCCTAGAACATTTAAAGTCATATATGTGGCTTCTGCTGTTCAAATTACTTTTTTACTGGTCTAGACCTTTTTTTTATTTTAACCACATATCCACCTAGGTGTTCCACTTGCATCTCTATCTCAGAAAATCTCAAGCCAGTTTCTCTCTTTCTCCAAATACACTTTTTCCATATCTTATTTTCTCAAGACAGAAGCCAAAACCATTGCTCCCACCCCCAAATGCCTAGTGAATACTATTGATTTTGTCTCCACAATCTCTTGATTCCAGTAGTTTCCCTCCAGATCTACTGACCTGTCCTAGCTGAGGCGTACACTCTTTCTTCCTGGATTATTGCACCATCCTCCTATATGAAATCCTTGAATTCAGTCTCACTCTCTCAAACCAGAGTAGCTGTTTTCTAAAGGAAATCTTATTTCCTCATCTTCCTGCTTGAAATGTCTCAGTTCCTTCCCATCTAGCTTAGTGTGACACAATTGTGCCCCAGTCTGGCTCTGGTCTACTTGCCCAGTTTTATTTACTATCTCTCCATAACAGGTGCCCTAAATTCTAGCCACACCAACGGCTTTCAGTGCTCTGAATGCGTCCCTCCATGCCTGGGTACTTTAGCCATGCTTTTCCCCAGTCAGACATTGTAGGCTGGGCACCTTCCAAGGCAAATCTTAGGCCCCACTTCAAACACTTCAATGGCCATGACTCAGGGGCTCTTCCAGGAGCCATGCAGATTACTCTCAGATTCCCCATACTCCATGCATGTCATACATCTCTATTCAATGCAACACCATGCTGAATTAGAATTGCCGATTTTAAGATGGTCACTGTTTCAGATGCATTTTGACACTCTTAAAAGTGACTGATACTGAGCAGGTCTTGACTGGATAAATCCCTCAATCTTTTCTCCCGGCCCTATCACCTTGCCTACATTTTTCTCTTGCCTGAGTCTTAACAGGTAACACTTGCTGCCTTCTGGAATGGCTCTGCTGATAAGATTCTTGGGGATGCCATTTAGAAATACTTGCATTTAAAGAGTATGTGGGATGATGAATATGTTAATTTACTTGACTACAATAACCATTTCACTATGTATAAATATGTCAATATATCATGTTTTACTTCTTAAATATATGTAATTAATAAACCAAGACTTTTTTAAAAGCCAGAAATGATTGTGTTTAGGAAACCAATTTAGATATTTTAAAAATTAGCCCTCAAAGACGTTTTCAAGTATTTTTTTTCAGCACCCTTGTACAAGTCACTCATTACCTGGGAAAAATTAAGCATTTGACATTGAGGAATAATTCAGAGCAACAATTTTAGAGAAGAATGAGAGAGCTGAGCTGGTAATCAAAAAGAACTAAAGCCATCTTCAAAGGCAGTTAGCTCCTAGCATTGTAACCACAGCACCAGAGGTGGGGCCTGCCCTCTGTCTTGCACACATCCCCCTCAGGCTGAGCAAGGTGTTATTTTTAACTACTTTGTGAATTACAATTCCCCTCATGCCTATGTTAATCATTCCCCATTTCACAAGGATGCCCTTCTGTAATGAAAAAACTGTACAGGATAGTTTGTCTCAAGGCGCCCTCTAGTGGTAATACCAGAGATCACAATCAAAGAAAGTTAATTTACCGAGTGCCAGAATGTGCCAAGAGTAATAATAGTACTTGACTTTTTAAAAAATAAAACTGTCTTTATTCACAAATTACTTTATTGAATAACTAGGAAATCCAATCGACAACAAGAACAATACAAACTTCTGGAACAAATAAGTGAGTTTAGCAAGGTCTCAAAATACAAGATTAATATACAAAAGCCCATTTCTTTCCTATATGTCAATAAAGAGCAATTCGAATTTGAAATTTTAAAAAATACAGTTTACAATAGCATCAAAAAATAATGAGGTATTTACAATTATACATGTAACAAAATACATACAGGATATATATGTGAAAAACTACAAAACACTGATGAATCAGAATATTTAAATACATGGAGAGAGAGTTCATGTTCGTATATTGGAAGACAATTTTTTAAAATAATTTCAACTTGTGTTTTAGATTCAGGGAGCCCACGTGCAGGTTTGTTACGTGGCTGTATTGCATGATGCTGAGGTTTGCATTGTGATTGATTCCATCACCCAGGTACTAAGCATAGCACCCAAGAGTTAGTTTTTCACACATTGCCCACTTCTTGCCCTCTGCCATTTAGTAGTCCCCAGTGTTTATTATTGCCACCTTTATGTCTATGAGTACCCAATGTTTAGCTGCCACTTACAAGTAAGAGCATGCAGTATTTAGTTTTCTGTTAATTTTATGTTAATTTGCTTAGGATAATGGCATCCAGCTGCATCCATGTTGCTGCAAGAAAACATGATTTCATTCTTTTTTATGGCCATAGTGTATATGTACCACATTTTCTTTATCCAGTTCACCATTGATGGGCACCTAGGTTTATTCCATGTCTTTGCTATTGTGAAACGTGCTGCCATGAACATAGGAGTGCATATGTCTTTTTGGAAGAATGGTTTATTTTCTTTTGTATATATACTCAGTAATGGAATTGCTGGGTTGAATGCTAGTTCTAAGTTTTTTGAGAAATCTTCAAACAGCTTTCTATAGTGGCTGAACTAAATTACACTCCCACCAGCAGTGTATAAGCATTCCCTTTTCTCTACCGCCTTGCCAGCATCTGTCATTTTTTGACTTTTTAATAATAGCCATCCTGATGATATCTCACCATGGTTTCGATTTGCATTTCTCTGATGATTAATGAGGTTGAGTATTTTTTTTTCATATGTTTGTTGGCCACCCTGTGTCTTTTTTGAGAACTGTCTCTTTACATCTTTTGCCCACTTTTTAATGGGGTCATTTGCTTTTTGCTTGTTGAATTGTTTAGGCTCCTTATAGATTCTGGATATTAGACCTTTTTCAGATGCATAGTTTGCAAATATTTTATCCCATTTTGTAGGTTGTGCGTTTACAGTGTTGATAGTTTATTTTGCTGTGCAGAAGCTCTTTAGTTTAATTAGGTTCCACTTGTCAATTTTTGTTTCTGTTTCAAATGTTTTGAGGACTCCAAATTCTTTCTTAAGGCCAATGTATAGAATGGTATTTTCTAGGTTTTCTCCTAGGACTCTTATAGTTTGAAATCTTACATTTAAATCTTTAATCCATCTTGAGTTAATGTTTGTATATGGTATAAGCTAAGGGGGTCCAGTTTCATTCTTCTGCACATGGCTAGCCAGTTATGCCAGCACCTTTTATTGAATAGGAAGTCTTTTCCCCATTATTTATTTTTGTCTAATCTGTTGTAGATCAGATGATTAGAGGTGTGCATCTTTATTTCTTGGGTCTCTATACTGTTCCAGTGGTCTATGTGTCTATTTTTGTGCCGGTATCATGTTGTTCTGGTTAATGTAGCCTGATAGGATATAGTACAAAGTCGGGTCATGTAATGCCTTAAACTTTGTTCTTTTTGCTTAGGACTTCTTCGGCTATATGGGCTCTTTCTCGGTTCCATATGAGGATTAGAACAGTTTTTTCCTAATTCTGTGAAAAATGGCATTGGTAGTTTGATAGAAATAGCATTGAACTTATAGATTGTTTTGGGCAATAGTGATTCTTCCAATCCATGAGCATGAATGTTTTCCCATTTATTTGTGTCATCTCTGATTTCTTTCAGCAATGTTTTGTAGTTCTCTTAGTAGAGATATTAACTTCCTCAGTTAGATGTATTCCTAAGTATTTTTTAATGGACATCGTAAATGGGATTGCATTCTTGATTTGGCTCTGAGCTTGAATGTTACTGGTATATATAAATGCTACTAATTTTTGTACATTGATTTTGTATCCTGAAACTTTGCTGAAATTAAAATCATTGAACAGTTCCAGGAGCCTTTTAGCAGAGTCTTCAGGGTTCTCTAGGTATAGAATCATATCATCAGTGAAGAGAGTTTGACTTCCTCTTTTCCTATATGGATGCCTTTAATTTCTTTCTCTTGCCTGATTGCTCTGGCTAGGACTTACAGTACTATGTTGAATAGGAGTGGTGAGAGATGATATCCTTGTCTTACTCTCAAGGGGAATGCTTCCAGCTTTTGCCCATTCAGCATGATGATGGCTATAAGTCTGTCATAGATAGCTCTTAATATTTTGAGGTTTGTTCCTTTGATGTCTAGATTGTTGAGGGGTTTTATCATGAAAGCATGTTGGATTGTATCAAAAGCTTTGTCCACATCTATGGAGATAAACTGTGGTTTCTTGTTTTAATCCTGTTTATGTGGTGAATCACATTTATTGATTAACATTTGTTGAACTAACCTTGCACCTCAGGAATACAGCCTACTTGATCATGGAGAATTAACTTCTTGATTTGCTGCTGCATTCATTAGTATTTGTTTGAGGATTTTTGCATCTATGTTCATCAGGGATATTGACCTGTAGTTTTCTTGTATAGCTATGTCTTTGCAAGATTTTGGTAACAGGATGACACTGTCTTTGTAGATTGATTTAGGGAGGAGTCCCACCTCCTTGATTTTTTTGGGATTAGGTTCAGCAGAATTGGCACCAGCTCTTCTTTGTACATCTGGTAGAATTCAGCTGTGAATCCGTCAAGTTTGTGGCTTTTTTTGGTTGGAGTTTTTAAGTTTTTTAAATTACTGATTCAATTATGGAACTCAATATTGGTTTGTTCAGGGTTTCAATTTCTTCCTGATTCAGTCTTAGGAGGTTGTGGGTTCCCAGGAATGTACCCATTTCCTGTAGATTTTTTAGTTTGTTTGCATAGAGGTATTCATAATCGTTGCTGAGAATCTTTTGCATTTCTGTGGGATTGGTTGTAATGTCATCTTTGTCATTTCTGATTGTGCTGGTTTGGATCTTCTTTTTCTGTTTGTTCAGCTAGCTGGTTGTCTGTTGATTTTCTATCCTTTCAAAGACCCAACTTGTGGTTTCATTAATTATTTGTATGGATTTTTGGGTTTCCATTTGCATTCAGTTTTGCTCTTCTTTCTTTTCTTCTGGTAGCTTTGGGGCTAGTTTGTTCTTATTTTCCTAGTTCCTCTAGGTGTGATGTTCAATTGTTAATTTGAGATCTTTCTAACTTTTTGATGTAGGTATTTAGGGCTACAAACTTTCCTCTTAATACTGCTTTTGCTGTATCCCACTGATTTTGGTATATTGTGTCTTTGTTATAATTTATTGCATGGATTTTTTTTTTATTTCTGCCTTAATTTTGTTGTTTACCCAAAAGTCATTCAGGAGCAGGTTTTTTCATTTTCATATAATCATGTAGTTTTGAGAGATTATCTTGGTACTAATTTCTATTTTTATTCCATTGTGATCAGAAAGTATCATTGGCATGATTTGTATTTTTCTAATTTATTGAGACTTCCTTTATGACCAAAAATGTGGTTGATCTTGGAGAATGTTCTGTGTGCAGAAAAGAAACATGTATATTCTGGGGTTGATGAACTGAGTACTCTGTAGATGTCTATTAGGTTCGGTTGATCAGGTGTACAATTTTGGTCTAGAATTTGTTAGTTTCCTGCCTTGATGATCTAATGCTGTCAGTGGGGTGTTGAAGTCCTCCACTATTGATTATGTGGCTGTACAAGTCTTTTTGTAGGTCTAGAACTTCTCATTTTATGAATGTGGGTGCTCCAGTGTTGGGTGCATATACATTTAGAACAGTTAAGTCTCCTTGTTGAATTAAACCTTTTATCATTATGTAATGCCTTTTTTTGTCCTTTCTTACTGCTGTTGTTTTAAAGTCTGTTTTATCTAAGAATCATCACCCCTGCTCTTTTTGGTGTTCTGTTTGCATAATAGCTCTTTCACCAACCCTTTACTTCAAGCCTATGGGTGTCATTATGTGTGAGACGGATCTCTTGAAGACAACAAAGAGATGGGTCTCGATTTTTTTTTATCCAATTTGCTACACTGTGCCTTTTAAATGGAGGCATTTGGACTGTTGATATTAAAGGTTAATATTGATATGTGAAGTTTTGGTCCTATAGTAAAGTTGATAGCTGGTTGCTATGTAGTTTTTATTGCATGGTTACTTTATAGGGTCTGTGAGCTACGTAAATTAACTATGCTTTTGTGGTAGCAGGTATCATTCTTTCATTTCCATGTTTAGAAGTCCTTTAGGGATCTCTTGTAAGTCTTGTCTAATGGTAACAAATTCCCTTAACACTTGCTTGTCTGGAAAAGATTTTATTTCTCTTTCAGTTATGAAGCTTAGTTTGGTAGGATATTTAATTCTTGGTTGGAATTTCTTTTATTTATGAATGCTGAAAATAGGCCCCCATCCCTCGTGGCTTGCAACGTTTCAGCTGAGAAGTCCACTATTAGCCTGACAGGTTTACCTTCTCAGCCTTTAAAATGTTTTTCTTTAGCATTGACCATGGACAGTCCAATGACTATATGCCTTGATGATATTTGTTTTGCATAGTATCTCACAGGTGTTCTCTGGATTTCTTTATTTGGATGACCACCTCTATCAAAATTAGGAATGTTTTCTTGAATTATTTCCTCAAATATGTGTCCCAAGTTGTTTACTTTTCTCCTTCTCCCTCAGGAACACTAATAATTCATAGGTGTGGTTATGTTACATAATCCCAAATTTCTCAAGAACCCTATTTACTTTTAATATTCTTTTTTCTCTATTTTTTTATCTGACTAGGTTAGTTCAAAAGACTGGTCTTCAAGCTCTGAAATTCTTTCTTCTGCTTGGTCCAGTCTATTGATAAAGATTTCAGTTATATTTTGAAATTCTTTACATGAGTTTTTCAATTCCAGAAGCTCTGACTGATTTCTTTTTAAGTTGATTGTCTCCTTTCATTTCCTGGATTGCTTTAGAAGTTTCTTTGGGTTGATTTTAATCCTTGTCTTGGATCTCCTTGCAATCCATGCTTTGAATTCTTTATCTGTCATTTCTGAGTTTCCATTTTGGTTAGAGAACACTGGAAAGCTGGTGTGATCCTTTGGTAGTGTCACACTACATTCAGATTTTTCATGCCAGAATTCTTTTTTTTTTTTTTTTGAGGCGGAGTTTTGCTCTTGTTGCCCACGCTGGAGTGCAATGGTACGATCTCAGCTCACCACAACCTCTGCCTCCCAGATTCAAGCAATTCTACTGCCTCAGCCTCCCAAGGAGCTGGGATTACAGGCATGCACCACCATGCCCAGCTAATTTTTGTATTTTTAGTAGAGACAGGGTTTCTCCATTTTGGTCAGGCTGTTCTCGAACTTCTGACCTCAAGTGATCCGCTTGAGGCCACGGCCTCCCAAAGTGCTGGGATTACAGGCATGAGCCACTGCACCAAGCCTCATGCCAGAATTCTTATGCTAGTCCCATCTCATCTGGAAATGCTGATACTTCTAACTTTTTAAATTATTTTTGTGAGGGTAGGATTTTTTTTTTCTTTCTTTCCCTATAAAATTATTGCTTTTTTTTCTTTCCCCTCTCCCACCCTAGGGAGTGTGACTGTAGAGAATGTTAGGTAGAGTCTTTCGGCTTTGCTTCTTAGCCTTGTTTACCCTGTCAGCAGGTTTTATATTGAACTGTACAGTTCCACTATAAGCCAATAGATGACACTTACGAGTAAGAGCCAGCTGCAGCCAATGCAGTCAGGTGTATACTTGATCCTTATTTACTGGCAGAAGCCACTGTTGCCTCAGGCAATGAGTTGATCTGTGGAGTGCGCAGTGATCTGAGCTCCCTGCTTAGCCCTGGAGGGTTGTCTCTCCTTCCCAATCTAGATTCTTCACCTCTAAACTGTATCTATAAAATTTCTTAAGGTAGTCTCTGGCTTAGCAATTCATGAAATGAGAACTTTCTGCAGAAAATAGAGGCTATTGATTGAGTTTGTTGAAAGCTGTCTCTTATTAGATTTTTAATTCATAGGGTAGATTTTAAAGTCGCTAATAATTCTATGCAATATTCCTAATTTATTTCTATGAAAATGTACAGAAAAACCTTCATTATTTTTGCATAGGCTTAATAGGTCGTGAGTGTTCTTACAAAAGTTCTAGTTTCCCTGATAGGTTTAATCGGAATGATAAAATTGCATAAATCTTCCTATTGTGACTTAAGGAAACTCGTTAGTAGGAGCATCTACCTCATTGCTCCAATTTAGTATTCATGACACAATTTTCTGACCTTCATTCCTACAAAGGAAAGCATGAATGTCAGGAGAATTCTGTTTTGCTTTGTTATCATTTATATAGTTTTCACTCTACATCAATAAATTGATATCCTAGAGTATGTATCCATCTTTTCTGCGATTGGACTGTTAAGGCTTTGAAAGGCTGATGAACACAGGTGAATGGAAAAAGATTACTTTCTGAACATTATGTTAGGAGGACTATGTTACTCCCTAAGGCCCTCCTGGAGCACCCATTTCTACTTTTTCACTGGCATCTCTTTTCTTTTTTTTTTAACTTGCAGTAAGAAAAACACATGCTGTAGGGGAAAAAATACTTGTATAATGAAGTAGTATCCATTAGCAGCATTATTTCTAATGGCCAAAAGATGGAAATAACCCAACTTTCCCTCGATGCATGAATAAATTTTTTTAAAATGTATATATAGGCCAGGCGTGGTGGCTCACGCCTGTAATCCCAGCACTTTGGGAGGCCGAGGCAGGTGGATCACGAGGTCAGGAGATCGAGACCGTCCTGGCTAACATGGTGAAACCCCGTCTCTACTAAAAATACAAAAAATTAGCTGGGCACGGTGGCGTGCACCTGTAGTCCCACCTACTCGGGAGGCTGAGGCAGGAGAATGGCGTGAACCCGGGAGGAGGAGCTCGCAGTGAGCCGAGATGGCGCCACTGCCCTCCAGCCTGGGCGACAGAGCGAGACTCTGTCTCAAAAAAAAAAAAAAAAAAAGTAGGTATAAAATATTGATTTTAGACTATCATAATCTCTTTTATTAAAATGTGACTTTTATCAAAATCATTAACTTTATGAATTCAGTCAACTTATTCTATGAAGTCAAGAAGATTGCACTACTAGTGGCAAGTAGTATCAATATGAATAAAATATTTTTTTATCAATGAGACTTTTCACATTGTCTGAAATATTCTTATATACTGATAGACCCCCAACTTACAATGGTTCAACTTGTAATTTTTTGACTTCACCATGGTGTGAAACTATTGCAATTTCAACACAGTCTGAATTTTGAATTTTGAATCCTGATCTTTTCCCAGGTTGGCAATACGCAGTACATGGGATATATAATACTTTATTATAAGACTTTGTGTTAGACGATTTTGCCCACCAGTAGGCTAATGTAAGTGATCGGATAATGTTTAAGGTAGGCCAGGCTGTGATGTTTGGTAGGTTGGGTATATTAAATACATTTTCATCTTACAATGCTTTCAATTTACAATGGCTTTATTGGGATGTAACCCCATCATAAGTTGAGGAGCTTCTGTACTATGGGTTGAAAATCTCTACTCTAAAAACCTGAAGCTCCAAAATCTGACACTGTTTGAATGCAGACATAATGCCCCAAGTGGAAAATTCCACATTTGACCTCATGTGACAGAACAACAGCAAAACACAGTCAAAACTTTGTTTCATGCACAAAATTATTTTATAAAATCCTGTATAAAATTCGGGCTATGTGTATAAGGTATATATGAAATGTAAGTGAATTTTGTGTTTAGACTTGGGTCTCATTCCTAAGATCTTTCATTAAGTATACACAAATATTCTAAAATCAAAAGAATACAAAATTTGAAACATTTCTGGTCTCAAGCATTTTGGATAAGGGATATTCAATCTGTCTTACTAGAAAAATAAAATTTCTATTCAGTATGACAGAAATTTAAAAATTGACTTACCAAACTTGGACTTAACCGGTTTTTCTCAAACTGTTCATTTTTTTCCACTTGATTTTTGACTGGAATTTTTACTTGGAAATTTTTTATATTAAGCCTAAAAGGTAGATTTTAAAATAATTATCCTCAAAGATACATTTCTAAAATATCACATAATTTCTAAGCATCTATGATTATGTAAATTCTTAAAGAGTTGAAAAATAGATGATTGGGAGACTGTATCATTTTTCTACCTATATTTTGTGGGTAATGTGCAAAATTTAGGAATAACGTACAAAAATTATGCATTTCAAAATAGCTTAAAGGTGAACTTTATCCTTGGCTTCACACAGATGCGCTTATTATCCTCACTCATACAATTATCATACTACATTGTTTATTTGCTTTATAAATACTCAAGTTACTTTAACTTATGCTTTTGCATGTAGTCTTGAGTCTTTTCAGCACCTCCTGTAACATCTGTGATTTGATCCTTTGCTTCTTGCAACTAAAACAAATAATCATAATAATAAACTCTACTTATAATCTAGTACAAACCTGCCCATCACCTGCTTTTGTAACTAAATTTTATCGAAACACAGCCACACCTCTTCAATCTGCATATTGTTTATGGTTACTTTTGTACTGTAACTAGAGAGTTGAGTTGTTGCAACAGAGATCCTATTGCTCACAAAGCCTCACATAATACTATCTGATCCTTTACAGAAAAGTTTACCAATCCTGCTCTAGGACCAGAACACAACATTATTCTATTTTTCTGTGTTTAAATTATATTTGATTAGATAAATACTCAACTTACAAAATTTGTAAAATGGGAAAAGATAGGAAATTAACATAAGATAAACCTTTATATTTTTGAATTACAAGCACCGTTACATCAACTTATTTAATTTTCTTTGTGTGTACACATCTAGTTTGATTGTAATAACTTGTATACTTTTAACATTTAAAACTAGCATCTTTCCAGTAAAACAAAAAGAAAATTTAAAAATAAACAAAAACAAAACTACAATAGACAATGTCAATTCCAAATGAGATCCTGATTCTCCTGTTTAGCAACAGAGTTCAAGCCATCATTAGGAGACAATGTATTTTAAAAGTGTCATCTTAAACTGCAAGGATATTCATTAAACATCACAAACAAGGCATAGGAGAAGCCATGTTATAAAATTGCCCGTTTAGCCCACCAAAACATCTCAAACCCACCCTGGGCTGACCTTCTATAACTCCATTTTTTAGAGGTTTTTTTTTCTGTTTTTAAACAAGAGAAATTAGATAGACACATGTTGGAGAATGCTCACTGTTCTTATTCACATACAGACAGGATATACTGTCAGCCTAATATACAGAGAGAGGTGGGGAGAAAAATGTATTGTTATGCACTATTTCTTGGGAGCCTAGGCACCCTCTAGCTTTTAGCAGAGTGAAGAGTGAAAAAAAAAAGGTTATTTCATTTTGTTTTGTTTTCCCCCACACAGCTTCATGCTGTTGATTCCATACAGTGTTTGTTGAGGTACAAGGAGGAACAAAAGTAAATGTGAAACAGAAAGGAGTGGAGGTTATTTTTCCATAGTATTCTGCTCAAGCTATTTCCTCCCAAAATAAGTTGAGAACCATGGTGCAGATATGAAAGACCTCAACAAAAAAAAGGCCAACTGAGCACAAGAGGGGGAAAAAAAAAGACTACAACTTTCTCCTAGAGACTGGGCATAATTTTTTAAGTTGGAATCCATCAGTGTTCTGTGAGTCATCTTGTCCTTCTTCTTCCTCTCCTTCCTCACCATCATGATCATCTTCACCTTCATCTTCACTTTCTTTTGATCAGTATCTTTCAAATGTTCTTTCTTTCTTTCTTTCATTTCTTTCTTTCTTCCTCCTCCTCCTCCTCTTCTTCTTCTTCTTTTCTTCTTCTTTCTCCTCCTCCTTTTTCTCCTTCCTGTTGGCCTTCTTCTTTCACATTGTTATTATTTATATCAGGAGCCAAGTAGCACCATGCTCCAGCTCACTGATTGCTCCCCCCACAAACTGTTTTCTCCTCCACCTTCACCTCACATCAAGAGGCCTCAACTACAGTTTTAAATATTTACAGATGTAAATGACCCCGGCTATGCCAGTAATTATAGAAATTAATATGATGCTTTAGGTGGCAACCAGATGTTTCATGGAATAGTTTGAGAGGAAGTATCTTCACAAAAGCCAGAATGCCTCGGTCTGAATCTCAGCTCCAGCAGTTAATAGCTGTATGACCGTGAGCAAATTAACTTTCTGTGTCTTTTAGAAAATATATATGTAAATATAGAATTACATATAAAAATTTATATAAAAATCTATAAAATGAAGAAAATAGTATCTACTACACAGGGATGCTGGAAAGATTTAATGGTGGGATATATGTAAAGTACCAGAAGAATATGTGTCATGTACTGAGCTATCTATACATATGTGTGTGTATAATATTTGCTATTGGCATCATTATTTTTATTATATTTTATGTTCTGGTGACATGGCCAATGAAAGTGGTCTATACCTGCACTGAATCATTCTTCATGCCACTAAAAATTACAGCAAATGGGATGAGGCCCAGTACATCTTCAGTACTTCATAGAACCTTCACCAGTTCCAGTAGACAACAGTGCCTTTTTCTACTTACAATAATTTACAGATTACTTTTCTCTCTGTACTACTTAGTGGGCAATGACCATGTGCTACAATGCAAATAGCACCTCCTGGATTGAGTGGTATATAACTTACATGACAATCAGAGGCAGGCTAAAGCCACTGACCTGAAAATATCAGACTCTATTGCTAAGTCAAAGTTTTGCAAATCAATTCATTTGCAGCAACTGTCTATGTTGGGCTGCTTTAACAAGCACGCTGATGAGCAGATGAAAGTTATGTTATGTGGCATCTCAGAAAAGCTGCAGCCAGAGGTTTTCAGATGGTAAAGTGGTGTCAACCCATAAATCTCAGTTCTGGTTGCACAATGAAAGAAGGCAAATTTAGGTTTGTTTTCATAGTGAAAAAACATGAGCATTTGATTGAACAATTTTTCTCTGTAAGACTTCAGTGGTCTTAATTTTGTGTTTAGTTGCTTCAAATACACAAAATAAAAGCTTTACTACATCAATGTCTCAAAAAAAGAAAATATCGGTGTGGTATAAATATTTAATTGTATTCTAACAACTGTTAAGCTAAACTATTTTTGATTTATACAAACGTAAGTGACATGTATTTCACATATTATTCTCCTCTTAAGCAAATTTACAGTAAGATAAAATTATCTCCCATGAAAAAAAACTAAAAGCAATGTAGAATTAAGGGTGCAATTGTTTTGCACAGACTAGAAAATAAGTGTTGAAGCATAAGGTCAGACTCAGAACAGTCAGAGCAAGAAATATTGTGTGGCAGGTCTGAATGAATGAGGCTAAATGAACAGAAACTGAAAAAGCAGGAAAGACAGCATGAATAGGGAAGAGAGATGGTGAAATCAGCTCAATTAACCCTGAGGACAAAGTCCAGTGGTAGGGAGATACAAACATATGTCCATACAATAACTTGTAAATGAATGTTCATAGCAGCATTGAAAATAATAGCCAAAAAGTGAAAACAACCTAAACATCCATCAAGTGATGAATGAATAACTGGTATAGCCATACAGTAGAATATTATTCAAGAATAAAAAAAATGAAGTACTGATACGTGCCACAGTACAATTGAACTCTGAAAACATTATGCTAAGAGAAAGAAGCCAGTCGTCAAGGAATGACTCTATTTATATGAAATGTCCAGAACAGGCAAATCTGTGGAGACAAAAAGTAAGGATGCAGGGTTTCTTTTCAGGGTGGTGAAGACGCACTAGAATTGATTGTGGTGAAGTTTACACAACTCTGTGTGTATACTAAGATACACTTAGTTGTATACTTTAAATGGGTGAGCAGTATATGTGATTTATATCTCACTAAAGTTGTTTTTAAAAATCTAATGGCAAGATTAAGAGAATTTTCTTTCTTTCTTTCTTTTTCTTTCTTTCTTTTTTTTTTTTTTTTTGAGACAGGATCTCACTCTGTCACTCAGGCTGGAATAAAGTGGCACAACTGTGGCTCACTGCAGCCTCAACCCCCTGAGCTCAGGTCATCCTGCTACCTCAGCCTCTTCAGTTGCTGAGACTATAGGCTCCCACCTCCACTCCTAGCCTCAGGTAAGTTTCTTAATTCTCTGTTTTGAATGTATACACAATACATAATCTAAATATTAATATGCTTTTACAATTTTAAATTTTTTAAAATAAAGGAAATGTCCAACTTTTCAAACAGTTTGTAAATTAACATAAAACATTTGCATTTTGAAGAACAGTATCATGGCCTTTCTGTAATGGTTAACCTGAAATCCGTGAAATAAACAGGCACAGATTCTATATCTATTCACAAAAGTGAAGATAAAAATAAGATAATTTCTGGAACATTCCATGAAACATTCTCCTCTGATTTAATCTGGCTTGCCTTATGCTGGCAATAAAGAAGTCACTTAAACATACTGTTTAACAGGAAAAAAAGTCACTCAACTTTTGTGAGGAATGATACATAATTCTTAACTTTTCTAGGGGTATTATAAGAAAAAAATGTATGTAATTATAAGAAAAAAGGCATAATGAAAGTCACTATAAAGATACTAAAATTTTAATAAAATCAGTTATAATGAAGATACAAAAGAAAGCTGTCTTCTGAAATTAGTATCTTAAAACACTTTATATTGTTTAACCAGCTACAGATTAACTGTTGACATGTTAAATTTCACACATATCTGACTTCTGATTTGAAATAACTCCTGTGTCCCTTTTTCTAAATTAATGTGGTCACATAATGTAACCTCTAGGGAAGTCTCTGACATAGATGGTTTTTTTTTTTAATTTTATTTTTTTTAGATGGAGTCTCACTCTGTCGCCAGGCTGGAGTGCAGCGGCATGATCTCGGCTCGCTGCAAACCTCTGTCTCCCGAGTTCACGTGATTCTCCTACCTCAGCCTCCCGAGTAGCTGGGACTACAGGCGTACGCCACAACGCCAGGCTAATTTTTTTTTATTTTTGGTAGAGACGGGGGTTTCACCATGTTGGCCAGGATGGTCTCAATCTCTTGACCTCGTAATCTGCCTACCTTGGCCTCCCAAAGTGCTGTGATTACAGGCGTGAGCCACCGTGCCCAGCCCGACATAGATGGTTTTTTTAGGGTTACAGCGACTTCTTGTTGAAGTTGTCTCACACACCTGATAAAGTATTTTTGTTACTGATTTTGTAAATCACCTTATTATTAAATTTTCAATAATATCTAACTCTAACATACACTTGGAAAAATATCACCTCATACACAATTCACCTTCTTTTCCTCATGTGTACATATTCCTATTTATTACTGAATCCAGTTAAGGACACAGCAGGTGTTATCTTCCTGCCAAATAGATATTCTGTTACTAGACGACAGTTTTAGCCCACCATTCAGTCATCTGCTGATAATTCGGCGATGCTTAACAACCTGCTGAAGTCTCAAGAAAGCAGTGGATATGTGAGTGAGGCTGGCAGTGGTCAATTCTACACTGAGGAACGTTTCCCTCTTTTTCCTCTTTTTTTATTAGGAGCTCAAATCAACCTCAGGGGTCCTCAGTTATTCACTTGCCTGTCCAAATCTTTCCAATAGATTCCTGTCTCAGAATAAAAGAAAAATTCCAATGGCTTTTAAGGCCCTGTAGGTAACCTCCTGACCTCAGCTGCTATGAGTCTCTCTCCTACTTATGGCATTTCTACTATATGTGAATCCCACCTCCCCTCATTTGTCTGAAAATGAGGATCCAATGCCAGACTAAAAGGTCACAGATAACTACACTTATCATTGCTGGACAAAGCTCTATCCAAATGATGGTCAGTGAGCCTTCAAATAAAAATTATAAGCAAATTATATGTAATAATAGTAAATTATGTATACCAGTGGGAAAAATAAATCAAATATGGTTTTGGTAAAATTCACTCTATTTGTCCCAGATTGTTACTTAATAAAAAGTAGATGCCTTTTAAAAGTTGAGTGGTCATAACAACATGTAATTTGAAATCGAAATATTTTCAGATTTAAGTTAAATTGACATTAATAAAAATAAAATTATATTAACTAAAACGTATGAAAAGCTACTGAAGAAAAAGTATTACAAGATATAGCAATACACATTTATGCCATTGCCATATGTTATAGTAAGATATAGTCTCTGATACAGTTTGGATGTTTGTCTCCTCCACATCTCATGTTGAAATATGATCCCTGGTATTGGAGGTGGAGCCTAATGGGAGTTGTTTTGGTCATGGGGGCTGAACCCTTATGAATGGCCTGGTGCCCTCCCTGGAGTAGTCAGTAGTTCATGCCAACTGGTTTTTTGAAAGAACCTGGCAGCTCTCTCTTGCTCTCTTCTCTCTTACTCTCTTGCCATGTGAGGCACCTGCTCCCCCTGCACCTTCTGCCATGAATAAAGCTTCCTGAGGCCTCACCAGAAGCTGGGCAGATGCTGGTGCCTTGCTTGTACAGGCTTCAGAGTAGTGAGCCAAATAAGTCTCTTTTTGAATTACTAAGCCTCAGGGTTTTTTTTTATGGTAATGAAAAGCAGACTAATATTGACACCTTGAACACTGGAGATCATGAAAAGTCAAAGTAACAGAATATGGGCATTATCTCCCAAATTTGAAGTATACAAAAATATGTGAAGCAAATAATTTAAATTGAATATTTAGCCAAGAAAATAATTGATAAAAATGATTAAATATTTTCTTATTTTGCAATTAAAAATAGAAATTTGACACAATATGAATTGAAACTGGACCATCCATTTAAGACAATTTTAATTTTAAATTAGAAATTATGATGCTTATTTTATCTAACAATTTTATTGAAAGTTTAATCAGATGAGGAAAAATTATAATTACCTAATATTGCCATAGTATCTTACATACAACTACCTGTTATTCAACAAAAGCCAAAAAGGTAGCCAGTCTTGCAAGTTGAGATGGATCAAACAACTGAAACCAGTACTGTGTTATATCATTATATTGTTTGCATTTAAAATAAAATATAAAGACAACCACAAAAATTAAGTAGGGACTATAACTGCTGTGCAGAAGAGATTTCATAAAGCGGGCATGAGACTGTCATCCTTAGAAAGGCCTGCTTGCATGGCTGGCCTCTGCCTGGCATTTGGGACCTTGGAATTGGGAGAGTCCCCACTATTTCCTAACTGAGAAGAGTGGTTCACTCTGTCCTAAACTGTATAAACAATGCGGTTTACTCTGAATAGCTGCTTTCCTTCTGGGAGTCTGGAAGTTGAGTACCTTTGAGAGAGAGAAGCCTATGTGACTAGCCTCCATAAAAACTTGAGTGCTGAGTCTCTAATGAGATTCTGGTACTGGTAGACAACATTGCACATGTGTTGTCAAATTTTGAGGCTGAGGGAATTAAGTACATCCTGGTACCTCCACAGGAAAAGACTCCTGGAAGTTTGTGCCTGATTTCCTCCAGATTTTACCAAATACACTTTTTCCCTTTGCTAATTTTGCTTTGTATCCTTTGTCATAAATCCAAGCCCTGAGTATGACTATTTGGTAGGCCCTGTGAGTCCTTCTAGTGACTCACCAAACCTGGGGGTCTTCTTGGAAACCGTGACACAATTGCATTATGTAAATTTTTAAAAATTTAACTTGATGTGTTGTGACTATAATCAAAGGTTATTTCACAGAATACCTTTATCTAATCTGTTGTTCTTGATAGTTGCCTTAGAGATGTATTTCTATATTGGTTTTAATAAGGCCATAAAAGGGATAGAGAAAACAATTAGTGTCAGAAAATAATGTGATGAAGCTACAATCCTATTTTATACAAAATAAAAAATAGAGAATCTTGATGATTGACAGTCTGTTCTATAGTATGAAAATTTCTTGAACTAAACTGAAAATATCACAGTCAATTTTCTCCAACTCAGCAGTGTTTAATTCCTTTTTATAATTGTGCATCAGGCGGAGAGTGATGGCATGTACCTGTAGTCCCAGCTACTCGAGAGCCTGAGGCAGGAGAATCACTTGAGGTCAGGAGTTAAAGGCCTCCATTCTCTATGATTGCACCTGTGAATATCTAAGCTGCACTACAACTTGGGCAACATAGCGAGACATCTCTTAAAATGATAATAATAATAAATAAAATAACTCTACATTCAGGTTACTGGGATAATTGTAGAAAAGCATATAACCATTGGATATGGTATAATACTCTATTACTGATCATAGAGTTCCTTTTATTTTTTCCAGTCTTTTTCTTAATTTCTTATACAACTAAAAACATAGTTCACCTATTAAAAGCAGTTTTTCAAAAAGTCAAAAGAATTGCATCCAAAATGTATGATGAGTTATCTGCTGTTCCCCCTAAACAGTAGATTTTACCATTAAGATTCAATAAAACTTTTATTTGGGGATGAAAAAGCAGTTATCTTATATAGAGGTGGTTAAAAGTGTGGTAATCCATTCAAGAGCTCCATCTAACTGGGTAGGCGTGGGAGAAGGAAGCCTCTGAGAGCAACCTAGGAGGGCCGCTTGGCTTGAGAAATGTCAGTGGACTCAGTGTTGGAGTCAGAGGGATGTGGAAGGGAGCAGTGGGACGGGTCTGGCTTTTGCTAGGGTTGATGGAGAGGAGGCAAAGAGAACAGACTGTGCCCTCTGATTGCCCCAAAGGCTAGGCCCTGCCACAAAAGCTGTGCTAGTGGCCCTGTTCACTTGCCCTTTGGGGGTGAGTAGATAGAATTTCCTTCTCTAATTAGCAGCTCAGAAACGCTAAGTCAACAGCCCGTGGTTTGCTGTGGCTGTAATCAGAAAAGGATTCCTATGAAGGCTGCCAAGTGGTTACTCCCCACTTTTTGTTTCTTCTTAACATCCACCTGCTTCCCAAAGTGATCTGCTCCCCCCCGACCTTGGGCTGCACTGGGGAGGGGCGGTCGCTAGGGTGGGGAGGGGGCGAGCCCCAGAACCCACAGGGCAGAGCATGGTGGCTCCATGTATAGGAGGGAGTGAAAGAGATGGGGGTGGCATTTTCTTCCAGGAGAGTTGTGGGGAGATGACCTAACAAGCGCGCCCCTACCCCGCACGGGCGAGAGGGGCAAAGCTGGAGTGAACCCAGCTGAGCCTGGGCCGCCCAGCCCTGGAGGCTGGAGGCGCTGTGGTCAGGAAGCGCTCGGAGGATGGAGCCCTTTTCCCTGTAAGCAGGGGGCCAGGGTCTCACTTCTGAGCCGGCTTCCCACGGACCCCAGGCCCCGGCAGGGTCCTGCAGTGAGGATGATCATGCCCACGGGGTGGGTGGGGTGTTGGCAAAGCGGGGCCGCAGGGCAGGTTCTGGAAGCCACTCCGCGTGGCTGGGCTGGAGTGTGCAGACGTGGGAGAGCCCGGAATGGGGAGCGCGTGTCCGGTTGGAGGCCCGAGACTGGCCTTCCCTCGCTGGGTCTGCGCCGGCAGGCTGCCTAGGTGGGCCTGTCCCGGAGCTCCCCTGGGGCGGAGGCGCGGGAGGCGGGGAAGGGCCGGGCGGCGGGACAGGTGTCCCCAGCGGGAGGTCGGGAACCCGTCGGGGCCGCCCGCGGTGCAGCGGTTCGAGGCCAGGCGACGCGGGCGGGAGGGAGCTCGGCCAGAACTGCTGAGAGCCCCCAGCCGCGCTGGGACTCAGGGGCTCCCTGCCTTTAGCCACTAAGAGGCGGGGCAGGCTGCGGGGTGCCCGGGAGAAGCCAGATGCCTCTCATTTTACACGGACTAATTGGATCCTGCCGCCCGCCTGGGACCTCGGCATTGTCTTGTCCGCTGCACTGACGGGGAAACTGAGGCACGGTGTGAGTAAGGCGGGGGAGGGAGTCGCCGCCTCCGAGCAGGGGCGCGGCCGGTACCCACCCGCACACCCGGCTCCCGCGTGGCCTCTGCTCCTGCTCGGTGCACCGCGGCATCTGGGGAAACCGGGCTGGGCTCCTCTGTCCTCTAGAAGCTATTCATAAGTTTTAGATAAATGTTACTACTAAACACGAGGAAAGTGAATCCATGATTGGCATAGAACAAATGGTTGCACCGCGTTCTCCGCGTTAGATGGAGTGTGTGATTGTGAGTGAGAGGGGAATGGGCACTGAATCCTTACCTACACAAATGCCTAAACTCGTAAGGCATTACGACACACACATCTGAAAATCTAAGTGATAGGAATTCTAATGGTCTGGGATCCAAATGAGACCCAGCCACTGTTAGCAGCCTTCAGTTTTGTCCTGTTGCCCATAATTACCCCAAGGTCAGGGAGAAGCACTGAAGCAAAGGCATGAACATCACTTTGAAAAAGAAACCTGCCTGGGGCACTCCTTCCTTCAGACTCCCCTTGAAAGTATTCCCTCATTTCATTCAAAAGGAGTTAACTTTTCTAAAGTAAGTGGTGCTGGTAGAAGATGCTACCTGATTTAAGTGTTGCCGTAATTCTTGAAGCTCTTCGAAGACATCTTGGCCTTCCTCTGTTCCCTCCCCTTCCTGCTATTTTGCAGACATATCCACTGGGGAATTGTATGGCAGGAAGGCTGATTTTATTTAGCTGGTCCTTGATTCTTGGTTTGCGCAGTATCTGGGTCCAGCCTGCAGCCCTCGGGTCCAGGTAAGTTCATTAGGAAAAGATTTATTTACATTCAATTTAAGGCATCTAGGTCCTAAAACAGCACTTATATTATCTGTGGGATAATCCTGCTTATTAATTTGCAGAATAGTCAGATGTCTATAGAGTTTTGGGTAGGAAAGGGGTAAGCCGCTTTCAAAATTTATTCTCGAGGAGGCTGAAGAGGAGACAAAGGCAGGTTTTGAAATTCTGCTAGAACACTACCACTGGCTAGGAGGAGAGAGAGAAACCATTAATAAGTCATGAGAATAATGGACCTTTTTAACAGAGCTTTCTAGAGAAGCTTATAGCTTATTTTGCACAAATTTTAATGTGTACTTTTTTTTTTGATCAGGTTCACGTATTCAACTTGTATACATTTTCATATTTATGGCTGTGCTAATTTACAGTGTAGGAGAAAACCATCAATATATGTTGAAGAAGAAATCTATGAAGTGCACAATAGAGAGAGTGCATGAAAGAGAATATATTCGATGAAGGCACCCTAGAGCTATTGGACTCTTAGATCGTCAGATCTGGGAGGGTGTTCATCCTTTCCAGTGCATGCAGGAGGAAGCTGAGGCTCTGAGGTTTGGAAACCCGGGAGATACCACTCAGCTGATTTCTAGCAGGTTTGTATTAAATCTTAGTTTTGGAGAGTTAAGAATCTTGAGGAGTGATAACCCTGGCCGTTGAATTAAGGACATGATGTTCTTGGAGAAAATTAATCAGGAAGGGCACTGGGTGAACATTTATCAAGAGATTCTTTAGCAAAGGACAAATATAGGTAAAGCATAGGGAAATGAGCCAGAAATAAATGAATTAAATAAGAACCTATTTTGGGGGGACTAAAAAACAATAACTTCAAAGTTATTTGCAGTATGTGTCCCTTTGCCCCGACCAAGCCAGTATGTCTGACTCATGCGATCACAGCATTCTGCAGAATGACCTCTAGTCTCTATACATTCATACGATATGAATGTATAGAGATCTTGTCTTGATCTGTCTAAGGCAGTGACTGTTGTTCCTTTTTACATATATTACTGGGAGGGTTTTATGCTCAGTGAGTCCCCAACAGCTGTCACTCTGGCTGACTACAGTAGTCTGCAAGCCTCCTCACTTCTGATGAGCAGCCACACCTTGGGCAGTGCACGCCTTGTATTAGTCAGGATGTGGGCTCAGCTGTGTGTCAAGACCCCAAATAACAGTGGCTTATGCAAGGTAGAAGTCTATTTCTGTTTCATGTGCTCATGTCAAAGATGTGCTGGCAGGACAGGTCTGGCCTGTGGAGTCATCTGAGGCCAGGGATTTTCTGTCCCCAAACTCTGTTGCCCTCCTTCAAGGAGTCCCACATGGTTCACCATGCCATGCTCACCCCCACACAGGAAGCGGGAAAGGGCACCCCCTTACCCTTTAAGGCCGGTCATTGCACACAATTACACGCCTCACTTTTTTTTTGCTCATTCCCATGGCCCGTAATTTAGTTTCACGGTCATATCCAGGCTGCAAGGGAGGCTAGGGAGTGCAGTCTATCGTGGGGGGCTAGGAGCCCAGCCAAAATTTCTATTACTCTGGATGAAGGTGAGAAGGGGTATTGGAGATAACTAGTAACTCCACAAAAGCACTGACAAGGATCAGAGTTGATACCCAGTCACCTTCCCAAGTGATGGTCCACACACATTTGGAACCAGGATAGTATTTCTTGCATGCCTGCATTGATTCATTCAACAAATACTTGACTGAAAATAAGGCACTGAAAATAAGGAAGTAGAAAAATGCAGTCACCATCTTCATAAAGCTCTAACCCAGGTTGGTGCCTACTAAGTGATCACTAGTCTAGGTGTGGTGTACAGAGTAAGTGGGGACTGGGGAGGACAGTAATTCAGATGAGAGAGAGAGTGGGTGATTGCAGGGAAAGATGGGAGACAGAAGAGGCTCCTAGCTCTTTCCAGAAGGCACTCCTGGAAAAAGACCAGACCCAGAATTAAAAAAGTCGAGAGTGTAACTGTAGTTGAACTAATGAAACTGAGAGTCCAACCCATAACTTTGTGAGAGGCACAAATGTAATTTTTTATTTTTCAAAATAACATTAATATAATTTCTTCTATATTCCTTGTGCAAACCCTCAATGTTCTACATTAAAGAAGAGGCTAAATAGGAGGTATAAACTTTCTAAATTTTCTTATGAATAAATAGTGCTGAGCTGGGTGGTGGCCATGTCTCTAATCCTAGCTATTCAGGAGGCTGAGGCAGGAGGACCACTTAAGCCTAGGAGTTCGAGTCTGGCCTGGGCAACATCATGAGACTATATCTCTATAAACAAACAAACAAGCAAACAAATAGAACAGAAATAGTGCCACAACTTACTTTGCTGCGTATTTGGGAGAACGCATATTAGTTAATCAAAATCATTTGCTGAAGGTTGTCTACATGCTGTATAAACAAGCTAGATAGACTCTACCTACATCAAGTATGCAAAGCTAGTGAAAGAATTACAGAAGAGTAACCATTTGCTTCCAGGCTGGCGGCTTCTTCCCTGGAGAGCAAGTTGGAGTTTATCCTAACCTGACACCTTTATGATCTTCTGATCATTTTATTCCTGGAATAGTTGTACTCCACATTTTGAAAGGCTAAAATGAAAATTATAGAACCCTCAACAAAGTTTGGTTGATGGAATTTCGATTTGACTGTTTCCAGCCACTTCTGAGTTTAACAAAGGAGGCTCATGTATATTCTTCATGGAATTTGGCTCCAAGAAAACTCAACTCAATTTCCTGGAATGGAGCGGATTTGTGACTTCAAAGAGAAACATCTGCATTTCCTTTTCTAAAAATACTCCATTTGCATTAGACTGCACCCTGTGACATTTCCACCAGATGGCAATACAGTCTTTGGATGACAGAGAGTCTTGCTGGTTTTCAAAATCTAGAAATATTTGTGTAGGCACTATAAAAAAGCATTTTTTAAATGAAAAGCTCCCATAACTGCCCCGCATTCTAAAGCAACCATCTTTATTTGCACATACTCACTTTGAGTTTTTGTCAATATTCATACAGTCGTTAAGTACATTTATAATGTGCATGGCATTTTAGTCTGCTATCAAAATTCAGCACAACATATATCATTCACATATTTCTACATGACCTTCATGATTATTGCAGCAGTTACATACTATTACACATAGTAAACCTTTCCCCTATTGTTACATAGTATGTAGTATGCACTTTTTCACCTGTTATAGATAATGCTGCAGGTAATGGCACACAATTGGCACACAGTTTTGGAACATTAGGAAGAACTTTAGGGATAGGAATACAGGGTGAAAGACATAGATGTCTTTTGCTCTTTAACTTTTCCAGAAAGATGTGCAGATTTACGTGGCTATCAGCACTGTGAGAGGATCTGGGTTCTGACCAGTTGCACTAGGCCCACGTTTTTGTTTTACTTTAATTTTTTAAATCCTAAAAGTCAGGTGCAGGGGCTTTAGCCTGTAATACTAGCACTTTGGGAGACTGAGGTGGGAGCTCAGGAATTCAAGACCAGCCTGGGCAACAGAGTTAGACCCAGTCTCAAAAAAAAAAAAAAAAAAAAAGAAAGCGAGAAAGAAAACGAAAGGGAGGGAGGGAGGGAAGGAAGGAAGGAAAAAAGAAGAAAAGAAGAGAAGAGAAATTAGGGCCAGTGGCATTGGGTCATGCCTGTAATCCCAGCACTTTGGGAGGCCAAGACGGGCAGATCACCTGAGGTCAGGAGTTTGAGACCAGCCTGGCCAACATGGTGAAACCCCGTCTCTACTAAAAATACAAAAATTAGCCGGGCGTGGTGATGGCGCCTGTAATCCCAGCTACTCGAGAAGCTGAATTGCTTGAACCTGGGAGGCGGAGTTTGCAGTGAGCAGAGATGGCACTCCAGCCTGGGTCACAAGAGTGAAACTACATCTCAAAAAAAAAAAAAAAAAAAATTAGCCGGGTGTGGTGGTGCATGCCTGTAGTCCCAGCTGCTTGGGAGGTTGAGGCAGGAGGATCACTTGAGCTGGGAGGTTGAGACTACAGTGAGCTGTGATTGCATGACTGTACTTCAGCCTTGGTGATGGAGCAAGACCTTGTCTCCAAAAATTATATATATATCCTAAGACATCTCCCATGATGATACATTAATTTCATTCAACAAGTATTTGTTCAATCTGCTGTTCCAAGTTTAATATTGAGTACTGGGAAGGCAATAATGAGGAAATACAGTCAGGCGGGGAGTCAGATTCTTCATCCTACAATTATGTAAACAAGTGTCAAGCCCCTGCCATGACAAGCGCCATGTGGGAGAGTAACAGGGTGCTCCACAGCCCTGAGTGGGAGCGTTGCTGAGTCAGGAGGCCCAGCCATCCACGTTTCATCTTCCTTCCAGGCCTTGCGTTTGCTGCTCCGTTTGGAGCACTGCCCAAGCGTTGTCTTAGCTCCTGCTGCGGGGGAAACTGCATGGATAACCTGGGGTGGGGGCAGTGTCTACAGAGGAAAGGACTTGAAAATGCACTTCTCCCGAACTAGGTGATGTTTTCTGTGTGTGTGGCCCTTCTTCACAGTGGCCTCCTAGAAAAACAAGACCCTGACTCAAAGAATACCTCTCATTACAGTAAGACTGTTTGGAATGCTTTACTTTTTTAAAAATTTAATTTAATTGTTTAATGTGGTAAAAAAAATATATAACATAAAACTAACCAGCTTAACCATCTTAAGGGCACAGTTCAGTGGCATTAAGTACATTCTCTTTGTTGTGCAACCATCACCACCACCCATCTCCAGAACTCTTTTAAAATCTTCCCAAACTCTGTACCCATCAAACAACTCCCATTTCCTTCTCTCTTCACCTCTGGCAACCATCATCCTACTTTTTCTTTATATGAGTTTGACGGCTCTAGGAACCTCTTATAACTGAAGTTATCCAGGTCTGTCTGTTTGTGACTAGCTAGTTTCACTTAGCATAATGTTCTCGAGGTCCATTCATGTAACACATGTCAGAATTTCTTTTCTTTCTAAGGCTGAAGAATATTCCATTGTATGGACCTACCACATTGCATGTATCTGTTTATCCACTGAGGGACCCTTGGGTTGCTATGGAAAATAATGCAACTACGAACATGGACATCTGTTCTAGTCCTTGCTTTCAATTATTTTGTGTAGATGCACAGCAGTGGAATTGCTGGATCAGATGGTAATGCTATGTTTGCTTCACTATTTGTCATGTGCCTTTATGCATATTGTGATAAAATTTGATTTTTACAATAGTCCTGTGAGATAAGTAAGCATTGGTCTGTGGTTAAGAGAAGTGATTTCTTCAAAGTGAAATGATGAACGGAAGAGTATCCTGACCTTAAACTTGGCTTTTTTTTATTGCCCGTTCAGCTTGAAGAGTGGTTCCAATCACAAGTGTTACCTTCCAAGGACAATGTCATCCTGGTAATAACCAGCTTGCTCCCCTGCCCTGAGTCTTCTGCCAAGTCTGTCCAGGTGTGGGTCTGGGGCAGGGGACAGCTCATCCATTTCCCACTGCACAGAACGGAGGCTGTGTCCAGGGCCCCAGCAACAAAGGTTTCTCCTCTGGGTTTCTGTTTCCCTCTTTCAGTTCAGTCTGTCATCTGAACCATGAGGATCTGGTGGCTTCTGCTTGCCATTGAAATCTGCACAGGGAACATAAACTCACAGGACACCTGCAGGCAAGGGCACCCTGGAATCCCTGGGAACCCCGGTCACAATGGTCTGCCTGGAAGAGATGGACGAGACGGAGCGAAGGGTGACAAAGGCGATGCAGGTACTCACCTGACGGCTTCGGCTGCCTTTGAGCTTCTCTCTTCATTACTTTCATCTCATTCACTCATCATCTGTGTGGTTTTCCACCTACCCACTCACAACCCATCCATCCATCCACCCAGCAACATTCACTGGAGCCTGACCCCATTCATCCATCCACCCATCTGCCCAGCAACACTCACGGGGTCTGCTCCATGCCAGACTCTGTGCCAGGTGCTGGTGGAGAGCACAGGGCCAGATCGCCATGACCCCTGCCCTCCTGGGTTCTCTCATCTCTGACACCGCAGGACATTTTCAGTAGTATACAATGTCATGGATCCTCCCACCTCAGGTGACAGGTATGTTGGATTTTTGGCAACACGAGGCCAATAGAGAGATCTGATCATGAATTATTTGGCAGCAAGCACCCAGCTGCAGTGCAGGTGAGAGCTAATACCATATCATGTCATGAAGCAGGAGATGCGGAGTGACAGATGACACATACAGCTGCTGCTTATGAATCTATGACCTAGGCAGGGTCTGGGGATCTGGGGACAGAATCCATCCTCTGGGAGGGAGATTTGCCAAAGCCTGGAAGTCTGAGTGCTTTCCATAACAACAACCAATAGACTTGGTTTCTGAATGGGGTACCATTCTTGAGGCCTGGTCTTGACCATAGGGTCACATATCTAAGACTTATGCAGAATGATTCACTGGGTTAAGAGCACAGTTCAGTGGCATTAGAAAGAAAATATCAAAACTTCTATGGACCTTTTTACAAATAAGTTTGTGTTTCTAACATGTCTCACTTTATGGCATTTGGTGGCCTGATAGTTTTTTGAATGGGCTGGATGAAGCCAAGGGTCACCAGGAAGCAACTTTATTTCTTTCTAACCGGCACATCTGCTCTGTGAGGTGTCTTCTCCTGGCTCCTCACATCTCCAGCTCATTGAGACTGTTCCAGTCCCCCGGTAGCAAATAGCCCAGTCCAAATGAATACTAAAACCTTACCCTTAATGAAATCAGGTCTTCTGCCCTCACACTGTGACCACAGTGGTGTGTGTGTGTGTGTGTGTGTGTGTGTGTATGTCTGTGTCTGTGTGTATTTTATTTCTGAATGTTTAGGATTTTCATTTTTTAAATTTTTGTTATAAAATATTACACATAAAAGGAGATAAATAGGTGATACAAAATACAGAGAACTAAGACAAACACTTCTATATTCAATACCAAATTTCTCTACCTCTTCCGTGTTGAATTTCTCTCCTCTGCTCACCAATGTCCATTCTTTCAAGTTTTACATACTTCTTAGAAGCAAATGTTATATCTATTTTTTCTATGTAATTCATAAGTATTATTTGTAATATATATTCTTTCTTAGAAGGACATTCAATCACATTGCTCACACTAAAAATTTACTTCATTTTTATCTTACCATCTTAAAGTGTATTTTTGTGTATGTTTTATACCAAACATATTTTTCATATACTACCTGTGCATAATGTAGAAACATATAAATGTCTACTGATTGGGGTCTGTGTTCATGCTTTGTGAGTTGTGGTGCGTGATCATGAAAGCTCAGAGGCCACTGCTCTAGAGAATGGGAGAAACGAGAGCCAAGCAGGGGAACAAAAAGAGGGAAGGAGAGGAAGACACAGGGGAGCAGCCAGTAGAGGGGAGGGAAGGGGAGCGCAGGGAGGGGCAAATGTAGGGATAAGCCCCCTCCATTCAGAGGTCCCACGCTGACCAAGGCCCCACTCAGGAGCGCTGGTGTCCCAGGAGAACAGACATCGTGACAGAAATAAGTCTGCCTGTGTCAGTCCTGTCTCAGGACCTGCAAGCCGGCCCAGCCTGCGCCTGTCGCCCCACAGCCACGTCAGTGGGTCTGAAGTATGGGAGTCTCTGCTGCTTTGTGAGAAGCCAGAGTCTGGGGTGAGCTGTGGCCCAATGAGCACTCTACTGCCATAGCCAGAGCCACCTTCAACCCGCTGACGGATAGCACGCCGACCTGGAGCTCAGGGGGGCCTGTTCTGAGCACAAGGACTTGAGTGTAGTCAGCAGAGCCCCACTCACCTGATGTTCTCTGCCAGCTCGATTAGTAGCATTTCCCCCAGTGTAAGGCACTAGAGGGATCCCTCCAGAACTCTCTCTTCTATCTTGGGATAGTGTCACGTAACCATAGTCATCTGTGTTTTCATAGGAGCCTAGTAAATCTTCCATTCCACTCTCCTCAAGAGTAATGGAAGAGAAACAGAGTGAGGAAACCTCCTCGCACCTCCAACATTCAGACCACGTCCCAAGTCCTTGTCGCAGGAGAGGAACACAATCAATTGTGACAGTCAGTCCCCATTGCACACACTCCCTCTTCGTCCTGTCTTGCTGTGCGCTCTAGGCACGTCCTAGAGATGGGCGCTTGGGAAGTCACTCAGTTCATTTCTTAGGTCACTTATCCCACGCAGCTCAGCACCCCAGATGCCCGCTCATGCCTGCCTCTCTCCACCTGCGCTCGTGTGGAGGACAGAGTGCCCGTCAGGGCGGGGGTCACCCCCAGACTCTCCAACACATGGCTGATGGAGACCAATGGCCAGAAAAATCAGAAATGGAATTTCAACTCATGCCTGTTTTCTGCTTTTCCACCTAGGAGAACCAGGATGTCCTGGCAGCCCGGGGAAGGATGGGACGAGTGGAGAGAAGGGAGAACGAGGTTAGTAGTTCCTATTTATGGTGCTCTAATTCTGAGCTGTCGACTATTTAACAATATTACCATGGACAAGTCCTCCATGCTGATTATAATCTTATAATAAAGGCAACACAGTTCTTACTCTCCAGATGGGGGGATTCTGCAGGGATTGGCAGGCTTTGCAGAGGGCTGGGTAGTAAATATTCTCAACTCCACACAGATCTGTCACCACTACTCAACTTCCCCTTGTAGTGAAAAGAAGCTGTAGATGCTCCATAAATAAGCATGGCTCTGTTCCAGTGACACCATATGTGTGAAGACTGAAATGGGAATTTCCCATGGTTTCCATGTATTGTGGAATATTATTTGTGACCATTTAAACATGCAAACCATGGCCGAGCACCATGCCTCACACCTGTAATCCCAACACTTTGGGAGGCCCAGGTAAGAGAATCGCTTGAACCTAGGAGTTCCAGACCACCCTGGGCAACATAGTAAGACTTTGTCTATACAAATAAAAAAACTAGCCAGGCATGGTGGCACATGCCTGTAGTCCCAGCTACTCAGGAGGCTGAGATGGGAGGATCACTTGAGCCTGGGAGTTTGAGGCTGCCATGAGCCATGATCTCATCACTGCACTCCAGCCTGGGTAACAGAGTGAGTGACCCTGTCACAAACAAAAACCAGAAAAACAAAAAAAATGTCAACCATGTTTGTTTTGCTTGCGGGAGGGAGGCTGAATTTGGCCTGTGGCTGTAGTTTGCTGAACTTTGAACCTTGCAGTGGATGAGCACTGAGGAGTGAGACTGAGTTTTTGACTTGGTGCATCTGGCAGCACTGCATGGAGGAGGTGGCACTAGAACTGGTCCCTGATGGGTTGGGATGTAGTCGTAGTGGCAAACTTGTGTAATCTTCACTTTGTGCTTTTCATGTACTGACTCACCAAATGCAACATCCCCAGACACTAGGTAGTTTTATCACCCCAGTTCCGTAGGTGAGGGAACAGAGGCACGAGGCTCACTAGCTCGTCTGACGTCCTGTGTGCATATGGGGACAGAATGGAAACCTGGCACTTAGCCTCAGAGTCCACACTTGCAACGACGGCTCTTTGGTATGGGTGGGGGTGCAAGGAAGCAGCAAGGTTTCTGTAGATGATGAATTGCCGGTGGGATAGGTGGGTTGGGGCTGGGGTTGGGCAGGAGAGGGCAATGCCTCGATGCAGGCTTTATTTTATGTTCACTCCAGGGAGGAGGTTTTTAGAGGATGTCACGACTAGGGTTGAGTGTCAGTTAATCTGTCTGTCTCTGCTCTGCAGAGTGCTTTTTGTCATGGATTGACATTATTTAATAGCCAGCATGGTAGACTTAGATGGTAGGGTTGTAATTTCTAATGTGAGCCCTGACACTAATTTAGTAGACAGTAGTCAAAAGGTGTGTTGGGATGTGTGTGTGTGTGTCCATGTGCACACACGTGTGTAATTGGAGTAATTGACTTTTATTTATTTTTTTGAGACAGGGTCTCACTCTGTTGCCCAGGCTGGAGTGCAGTGGTTTGATCACGGATCACTGCAGCCTCAGCCTCCTGGGCTCAAGCCATCCTCCCACCTCAGCCTCCTGAATATCTGGGACTACAATTGTGTGCCACCGCACCTGGTTAATTTTTGTACTTTTTGCAGAGATGAGGTTTTGCCATGTTGCCTAGCCTGATCTTGAATTCCTGGACTCAAGTAGTCTGCCTCTCTTGGCCTCCCAAAGTGCTAGGATTACAGGCATAAGCCACTGAGCTGGGCTGGAGTAATTGAATTTTATTTTCTTATTTTTTTATTATTTTTATTTTTTTAGAGTCAGGGAATTGCTATGTTGGCCGGGATGGTCTTGAACTCTTGGCCTCAGGCAGTCCTCCTGCCGCGGTCTCCCAAGGTGCTAGGATTACAGGTGTGAGCCACCGCACCCAGATGGAGTAATTGAATTTTAAACTCTGGGCATATACTGAACCTGTGTACTACTTTGTTTCATTTGTGAGCTCAATTATAGAAAAACCAAAGTTGTTCACAAGGGAATCTTTCACAAACTATCTCTTTATTTGCTCTTTCTCTATTTAGGAGCAGATGGAAAAGTTGAAGCAAAAGGCATCAAAGGTGATCAAGGCTCAAGAGGATCCCCAGGAAAACATGGCCCCAAGGGGCTTGCAGGGCCCATGGGAGAGAAAGGCCTCCGAGGAGAGACTGGGCCTCAGGGGCAGAAGGGGAATAAGGGTGACGTGGGTCCCACTGGTCCTGAGGGGCCAAGGGGCAACATTGGGCCTTTGGGCCCAACTGGTTTACCGGGCCCCATGGGCCCTATTGGAAAGCCTGGTCCCAAGGGAGAAGCTGGACCCACGGGGCCCCAGGGTGAGCCAGGAGTCCGGGGAATAAGAGGCTGGAAAGGAGATCGAGGAGAGAAAGGGAAAATCGGTGAGACTCTAGTCTTGCCAAAAAGTGCTTTCACTGTGGGGCTCACGGTGCTGAGCAAGTTTCCTTCTTCAGATGTGCCCATTAAATTTGATAAGATCCTGTATAATGAATTCAACCATTATGATACAGCAGTGGGGAAATTCACGTGCCACATTGCTGGGGTCTATTACTTCACCTACCACATCACTGTTTTCTCCAGGAATGTTCAGGTGTCTTTGGTCAAAAACGGAGTAAAAATACTGCACACCAGAGATGCTTACGTGAGCTCTGAGGACCAGGCCTCTGGCAGCATTGTCCTGCAGCTGAAGCTCGGGGATGAGATGTGGCTGCAGGTGACAGGAGGAGAGAGGTTCAATGGCTTGTTTGCTGATGAGGACGATGACACAACTTTCACAGGGTTCCTTCTGTTCAGCAGCCAGTGACAGAGGAGAGTTTATAAATCTGCCAGACCATCCATCAGAATCAGCTTGGGATGAACTTATTCAGATGGTTTTACTTTATTAATTCCTCCAATTATTACAATAATCATAAAAAGGTGAAAACGGAAAAGTTATTCCCAAAACTGATTCTATGTAACTTACTATTTTTCCAGGAGTAAATATTTAAAATAGCTGCATGGTTTATTCTAATTTATTTCACATTTCTTATTCCTATTATCTGAAGAATCCTTTGTCTGTGCATTTCTTGTGGGAAGAGTGTTTTGATATCATTTTAGTGCTCTGAGGAGTCATATGAAGATGTATCCCTCATCTGTGTTTCTGAGGACATTAAGGGGAAATTAGAGGGAAATGTTTATTCCATTTAGTACTAGTAACAGCTTTAAGCTGGTGATGCTGTCACACTCCAGAAAGCTGTAGACACTGCTCATTTTGTCTTTTTTTAAAAAATGTATTTTTAAGTTCTGGAATACATATGCAGAACGTGCAGGTTTGTTACATAAAAATGTGCTGTGGTGGTTTGCTGCATCTGTCAACCCATCACCTATGCAGGTATTAAGCCCTGCATGCATTAGCTATTTGTCCTGGTGCTTTCCCTCCCATTTTGCTCATTTTCTAACCTAGGTTTTAATCACCATTCTATCCAACAAATCATTGTTTGATCATTATTTGCCAGACATGAATCTCTACTTGTTTTCTAGGATCGCCCTAATAAAGTACACAAACTGGGAGTCTTTAAACAACAGAAACGGACTTTCTCACAGTTCTGTAGGCTGGAAGTTTGAGATCACCGTAGCAGCAGGGCCATCCTCCCTCCAAAGGGGATACAGGAGGATGCAGCCTTGCTGCTTCCAGCTTCTGGCAGCTGGTGGCAGCATCACTCCAGTCCCCGCCTCCATCTTCAGGTGGCTGTCCTCCTCCTGTATCAGCCAAATTTTCCTCTTCTTACAAGAACAGCTTCCCTAATCTAGTATGACCCATCTTAATCATAATTGCAAACTCCATATTTTCAAATAAGGTCACATGTACAGGCACCGAGGGTTAGGACTTCAGCATCTATTTTGGGAGACACAGTTCAACCCAATCTGCCCTCTGGTTCCCAAAATTGATTTCCTTCTCATGTGCAAAATACATTTTCGCACCATGTCAACATTACCAAAAGTCTTAACACTTTCCGCATCAACTCCTCTCACCATCTACATCATTTAAATAAGCTACAGAGGAGACTTACTGTGTGATTCATCGTGTGGCAAAATGTCTCTCCATCTGTGATCCTGTGAAGCGAGACGAGTTAATCCACTTCTAAAAGACCGGGGGTTGGAGGGGGAGACAGGCATAGGGTAGACAATCCATTCCAAAAGAGAGAAAGGGGAAGGAAAAAAGGGTTCACGGGTCCCAGGCAATTCTGAAACCCTGGAGGGAAAATCCCATTAGACTTCTTTCACTATTTCCCATCTAAAATTTTTAACTGAGCTATGCAAGAGTAAAAAGTTACCGGACAGAGACACCAAACAGAGAAGTGCAGGATAAATTTACCAAGAGAGTAGGTTAAAAGGGAAACTTCTCCTTCAGGCCTATGGTGGGCATTTCTTGTTTACTCAAGTACCTGCCGTCTCTCAAAGAATATCTAATGTCCACTGGAATTCGAATATGTCATGATTTTACTCGCGCCCACCCCTAGTCAACTTGGGAGGGAAGCGCAACCCTAGCCTTTTCTTACTCTGGACACAGGGGGCGGTAAACCGGGAGGGCGGCCGAGAAGGCGAGGGGGAGCGACGCTCTTGCTCTCTGGACGACAACGTGCCCACGTCCTGAGGCCGCGCCCAGACCCGGAAGCGGGGCCGTCACGTGGGGCGGCGTGGGCTGCTGCCTTGGAAACGCGGAGCGCGCGCTCCCAGCGAAAGCAGCAGGGCAGGGATCTGCGTTGGAGGAAGGGACTGCTCTGGTGCTAGAATGCTGTGCGTCGGAAGGCTGGGCGGCTTGGGAGCCAGAGCAGCAGCTCTGCCGCCCCGCCGGGCGGGCCGGGGAAGCCTCGAAGCCGGGATCCGGGCCCGAAGGGTCAGCACCAGCTGGTCTCCCGTGGGCGCCGCCTTCAATGTCAAGCCCCAGGGCAGCCGCTTGGACCTGTTCGGCGAGCGCCGGGTGAGCGGCGCAGGAGGAGCTCCCCTCAGTCCCCGAGCTAAGCCGACCCCTGCTCCGCGCGGCCAGCAACAATCAGGGCGAGATTGTTTGGGCCTGGGAGGAGGCGAGCAGCGAACCCACCTTTTACAGTGGCGTCTTGTGTGCGCTCTCGATGAGGGCAAGGTCACCTCTGCTTTGAGGGGCCGGGTTTAGTGGTCTCCTACCCAGAGTGTCGGGTCCGGGAACTGCTTCTGCATGAGCCCCTTGCTCCACGTGAATCTGAATAGTTCGTTCTGGCAGTGGCGGTGAATTCGTCCTGCCAGGACCCGCCCTCTGCATACACTCAGGCGCACCCCTGCTAAAGCCCTTTAGCTCCAGCGCTACAGTCCTGCCTTAAGAGGCCTATCCCTGTGCGTTCACAGGCGGCATCACATGGTCTTTTTGCAAGGACACGGCTGCCTGCAGTCGAGTAATGGTAATTTCATTAATACCTGAAATTCCATCATCTATTAATTAATTTATTTCAAAGCTTTGGGCTTTCTTGTTTTAAAACACAAAACTCTGTTGAGACGAGTCTCACTTCCCATAGTGCCATGGAATTGGTCACTTTGATTTCTTACCCCAGGAAGTCACTAGCCTGCGTTGTCTAGTGAAAGGTGAGAGGAAGGCAAGGTTGGAAAGGACTTACCTGATGCCTGTTCTACTTGGAGTTTGTACATTTTGTCCGTTTTAGGTTAAGGATTACTTTTATTTTTGCCTTTTAAAATTTCGTTATACTGTATTGCCTTATAAAGACAAGTCTAGGGTATTGTTGCACTGAGCTAAAGTGTGTGATTCTTGTTTTATCTCCATTATCAGTTTTGTCTATTTAAAAATTATTTTGTGTGAAATTTGCTACACCACCTTCCTTAAGGGTATGTAGTGTTGGTATTAACATAGTTGGTGTGAAGAGACCTACTTGTAGGCGCTGAGCAGAAAGACGTGAGGGGAAGCCTGATTTTGGGTGGATGAGATATAACTAATTTTAGCTTTTATTTTTCCCTTTTTGTATCATGATATTCGGCACTGATAGCAGATTTTCAAATTTTAGAATTGATTTTTGCCTTGAAAAAAAAAAAGCCTTATTCAGTTTTTTAGCATTATGGTCACTGGTAATCCGATAGTTAGAATTCCCGAGAGCAATATGGGCAGGTTGTACTGGGAAGTGGAAGTAGTCTGTGCTTGAATCAAATTAAATCAGTATAAAGATGACATTTGTTTTTGGTCCTGATTTTCCTTTGTCTCCCACTGACTTTCTTTTATTTTATTTTTTATCTTGTAATATATTTTGAAGAGAGATTACTAGCTTAACTTCATCCATCCCTTCTTGTAGAAACAGTAGGGCTTGTCAGGCCTGAAGGTTTACCTGTTCGTATTTCTGAAAATCTATGCGTTAAGCACCTACAAAGTGAATTAACAAAGCCTAGCATCTGCTCCGGTCACTTGTTTCTTTCATTGAGTTCCCCCATGTGTTAGACATTCTATTGGATAGCTGGTTAAAGAAATGAAGGGCAGGGCTCTTGGGTCTGGAAGCTCACCTTTTCAGGAGAGAAGACTTTCAAACAGATAAATTGTAATAGAGAAGTATGGAAAAGTGTGGGCTTTACAGATGTACAGAGCGGGTTCGAGTTCTGTCTTTCCCAATATTAATTTGTGACCTCAAACAAGTTTTTTCTAACGTCTTAAAGCATGTGGCCTGATCTGTAAAAGAATGATACTCTGTTCTGTAGGATTGTGTGATTTAAATGAGAACCTATGTAAAGTAGCAGGCACACTTCATGGTATGCAGTAGGTGCATATTAAATGCTTTTTCCCCCTGCCTTCCTGAGTGTGCTAACAAGTGTGATTGAATAGGTAACAAGAGAATGGTCATTACCATTAGATCAGTGATTTTTGTTTTTATCAAGATATTGAAATGTCTTTGTAACGTATAAAATTTGCTCCCAGTTTCAGCCTATGATTTTAATATGTTCATTACATTTTTCTAAAATATCTATTGCTTCATAGTCAACTCATCCTCCCTATTTGATAGTTATAGAATAATTGGTACTATGTACTGAGATCTCACCTTGTCAGCTGCTGCTGTTAGTACTTTACATATACTTATTACCTGTATCCATGCTGTAAGGTATGTATCGTCATTCCCATTGTACATGATGAAAAAAATATTTCTCCTAGGAGGAGAAATAACATGACCAGGGTTATAAGCTAATAATAATTATGGCTAACATCTATAAATGCTCTGTGCCAAACACTGCTTTATGTATATATATATATATATTTACATATATGATCTCATTTAATCTTTGCGGCCACTCTTAGGTTCTGTAGAAGTGACAGCTGGATTTTGAACCCATACCATTGTTGTTGTTGTTTTTTCCGGAAAATAATTAAAAATTGAAGAAAAATTATGTTCTGAAAACATTTTTAGTGTAATTTATGTGGAGTGATATGGGGAGTATGATAGTGGTATCTGTGATCACAGGTATAACATGATACACCAATGAAAGTCAAGATCTCCTTTGTGATAAAAGTAATTTTAGTAAATATAAAAAAAGCACAATTTTGAATTTTGGTTATAAATCAGACGTATTCTTTGGTTCTAAGGGTCTTTTTGGAGTTCCTGAGCTGAGTGCCCCAGAAGGATTTCATATTGCACAAGAAAAAGCCTTGAGAAAGACAGAATTGCTTGTGGACCGTGCATGTTCCACCCCACCTGGGCCCCAGACCGTGCTGATCTTCGATGAGCTCTCGGATTCCTTATGCAGAGTGGCCGACTTGGTAAGGTGCTTTACCTCAGACTTGAAGCTACCTCTCTTTCAACTTGTTAAAATTTAAGTGAAATTTATCCTTTGTTGTTTACTATTAATATTAGATTATAAAGTTAAAAATGTCTGAAACTGAGATCCATTGGGTATAATTTTTTATGATGAAATATGTCATTAGGAATGGGAAAATATTATAGGAAAAGGTGATATTTAGAACTTGTACTTTAATACGTATGTTTAATAAAATATACATGTAATATATAATGAATGAATACTAATATAGCAAATATTTGCTATATTTGGGTAATATATATTTACATATATATTCATTTGACAGAGATTCTTCATTTATGAAAGTGTCTCCCAAAATTCTAAGAACACTTTATGTGTACATTTACAACAAAATTCCCCTTTTTCTTTTTTTTTTTTTTTTAATAGAGACAGGGTCTCCCTGTGTTGCCCGGGCTGATCTTGAACTCCTAGCCCCAAGTGAACCTCCTGCCTCGGCCTCCCAAAGTGCTGGGATTATAAGTGTGAGCCACTTCTTTTTCATAAGAGGTGTGAAAACCAGTTTTAATAAACCTTTTCAGGAATGCTTTTTTTTTTTTAATTAAAAACCAAGTTTTGACATCAAAATGATTGTAAAGACTTTTTTTTTTTAACATTTTAAATTTGAAATAGAAGTGTATACCTAGATCTCTTCAGCAACTAGGAAATCCATTGCTGAGATAGCAAAATTTTCTTTTTTTTTTATTTTTAATTTTTGTGGGTACATGTATATATTCATGAGGTACATGAGATGTTTTGATAGAGGCATGCAATGCATAGTAATTACATCAGGGAAAATGGGGTATCCATCCCCTCAAGCATTTATCCTTTCTGTTACAAACAATCCAATTATACTCTTCTGGTTATTTTAAAATCTACAATTAAATTATTATTGACTGTAGTCACCCTGTTGTGCTATCGAATAGTAGGTCTTACTCAATCTTCCTGTTTTTTTGTAGCCATTAACCATCCCCACCTCCCCCATGCCACCCTGCTACCCTACCTAGCCTCTGGTAACCATCCTTCTACTCTTTATTTCCATGATTCAGTTGTATCTATTTTTAGGTCCCACAAGTGAGTGAGAACATGTGATGTTTGTCTTTCTGTGCCTGACTTATTTCACTAAACATAATGACCATCCATGTTGTTGAAAATGACATAATCTCATTCTTTTTTATGGCTGAATAGCATTCCATTGTGTGTAAGTACCATACTTTCTTTATCCATTCATCTGTTCATGGACAGTTGGGTTGCTTTCTCATCTTGGATGTTGTGAACAGAGCTGCAGCAAACATGGAAGTGCAGATATCTCTTCGATATACTCATTTCCAGGAAGCAGGGTTTCCTATCAGCTTGAAGGAGCTGACTCTTGGTTACTCTTGTCAAGGAAAGCAGCACACACAATTTAAATAGTGATCATTTATGATCCTGTCTACATGGTATAGAACTGCATAGGTTTTTCCCTCACATTCAGTCAATGTTGAGCACGTACTGTGTGCCAGACACTGTCTAGGCATGAGGGATACATGCAGGAATGAAACAGACACAATCTGTTACTTCATGGAGTTTATATTCTGGCATTAACTTGTTTTTGGAAATTTAACTAGACTGTAGGCCCTTTCTACAGCCTAGTTAGCTGAAGAAGCTTTCCCTGGATGAGCTGAGGTAACCTTCTCAGCATATCTCCATTTTCACAAGAGGGAAGAAAGGCACTGGGTGATGAAGGGATGTGCCCGCTGTCAGCTGGCCAGCGTGTGGTGCAGCTGGGCTGCCAGCCCAGGCAGGGTATCTGTCGAGCTCTTCTTCTTTCTCCTGTTCCAACCATTTCAGGGCTGGCTGGCTGCTCAGGTCTCATGAATCCTTACCTGGAAAGGTTGCAAAGTTTGTTAGCCTCTCCATCTTTAAAAAAAATGTATACTTGTTTTTAAAATTATTATTCTGTAAAATTGACTTCTTTTGGAGGATGGTACAGTTCTATGAATTTTAACTCGTATAAATTTGTGCAGCCCTCACCACAATCAGGATACAAAGCTGTTCCATCCACCCCCAAAAATCTCCCTGTAGTCACACCCCCCCCTCCCCACTAACCTCTGGCAACCACTAATCTGTTCTCTCTCCCTATAGTTTTGCCTTTTCTAGAATGTCACATAGGTGGAATCCTGTATACCTTTGACTGACTTCTTTCACCCAGCATAACTCATCCCCATCTTTATTTTTTTTCCTTTTTTGGAAAATTTCCTTCCACCCATACAACTGATTTGAGCATTAACACCTTTCAGATGATTATATGTTCACCACAAGCCTCCCGCTCTTAAGAAAACTGATAAAGTATCTTACTGTAAAGGGTTTTTCCCTGGAGTGAAGTTGCAGGCTCTGAGTAGTTCTGTTGTACTGGGTTTTTGTTCTGTGCCTCCAGTATGTGCATAGGAAATGTGTCTTTGAATGATGGGGAAGCTGTGGAAACGCACTGCCAAAAGGAGGTTTCATACCCTGTTCACCTAATTGTGTCACAGAAATCAGAAAAGGAAAATCTGTGTCAGTGAATTTCACTGTATCGTCAACCCTCCAGATTGGGGGATCTGTGGAGTCAACCAACCTTGGATCAAAAATATTTGGAAAAAAAATTTGCATTCATACTGAACATGTACAGACTTTCTTTTCTTGTCACTGTTCCATAAAACAATACAGTGTATCAGCTATTTACATATTGTTTACATTCATTAGGTATTACAAGTAATCTAGATATGATTTGATGTATGGGGTGTGCTGTGTGTCGGTTATATGCAAGTACTACACCATTTTATATCAGAGACTTGAGCATCTGTGGATTCGGGTATCTGTGGGAGGATCAAACCATTGTCCATTGATACTGAGGGGTGACTTGGCGTGGCTGTCACAAATCCCAGAATTCACTGTGTATTTGTTGTCTTAGTCTTCATCTTAATCAGTATTCTAGGATTTTTTTCTACATTTTTGCTTTTGATCTTCACTAAAAGATTTTAACTTCTCTGCGCTATATCTTATTTTGACATTTTTAGTATTTATCATGTATAATAATATCTCATTTTGAAAACTTAAAAAAAAAAGATGTGATTTGTATATGTAGTTCTCTGGGTATAAAAGAACCTTTCTCTGTTCTGAATTTTTAAGATATTACCTGCCAGTAAGATTATCTGAATTTTTAATATCTTAAAAATATCTGAATTTTTAAGATATTACCTGCCAGTGAGATTAGTACTGTTATAAGGCAATCGTTTTATAAACTGTTTTTCACCAAATAGTCATTTTATTTTGTTTTCTTTTTTAATACAGTTTTTATGTAACAACTGTTTTCCTCATCACTATTACAAATCAGTTTTTAATATGTATGCTAGTGTTTTGAATTTTAATATTGATTATAAATTCACAACCCGTAGATTAGTAATTTGTAAAAAAAAAATGTTGTAAATTTACATAACTCATTTTTCAGGTACTTTGGTACTAATGTTATTTTATCGTTACCAATTGTTACAACAAATATACCAAACTATGGATTTAAATGTTTTGGCATTAAAAACTATTTGATAATAAAATTAAGAAATTTTATCTTGTGGTGATTTTATTTCATGTTATAGTCACATTTTCTTGGCAAATAAAATATGTAGTGTTTTGTAGTTTCTCTGCTTTTTGTTACAGTTGACATGAAAACAAAAATTTAGTTTTACATCATTTTATCTTTTTAAAAAAGAACTGTCACTCATTTTAATGTCTAATGACTTAAGTAGCAGCAGCAGTAGTAGCTGTATACAGTATTACATGGAGACTACGAACTCATATTTTATTGAAAGGACTATGAAGAGACCGTGCCTTTGTTTTCTGCACAAAGACTACCATGTAGTTAAATCAAAGACTAGAATGTAGTTAAATGGGTTTTGAAACTATACTATGTGTCAGTTAAAAAAAAAAGCCTTTAAGAGTTGTTTTCTGGAGATAAGTTAACATGTGAAAACCATACTGCAAAGAATTTTAGCCAGAAAGTTGTAGAATATTTGAAACCAGTGTCTGCTCTTTTGAAATAAAGAATTAGAGGGCGTGGTGGTGGGCACCTGTAGTCACAGCTACGTGGGAGGCTGAGACAGGAGAATGGCGTGAACCCGAGAGGCGGAGCTTGCAGTGACCTGAGATTGCGCCAATGCACTCCAGCCTGGGCGACGGAGCAAGACTCCGTCTCAAAAAAAAAAAAAAAAGAAAGAAAGAATTTGCTTGGTGTTTATATTTGAAAGAGAAAAACTTTTCTGAAATAATAAAAGTCTTTTTTTGGAGTGAAACAAACTTGGTTTCAAGGAATAACAGAATTAAATGTTCAGAAAGAAGCTGCTTTGCTTTACTCGCTTAGGAAAAAGTCAGTAATGGAAATGCATAGGGCAAGCCAATGGCACATCTTAAAACCCAGTTTTCATTTTCACCCTCAGATCCTGGAAGAAAGCTTCTCATCAAATTCCCTTTTGGTTTTGTCTTTCCCCTTTATTAGGCTGATTTTGTGAAAATCGCTCACCCTGAGCCAGCATTCAGAGAAGCTGCGGAAGAAGCTTGTAGAAGTATTGGCACCATGGTAGAGAAGTATGTGCTGTTCCCCTCCCCACCTCCATGCCAAGTCCTGGGTGATCCGGTTTCATGGACTTGTGCCGTAGGCAGTTTTGTCCATAGCGCTTGTCCCTCACCCAGCAGGGTGGGAGGTGTGTGTGACCAGGGGTGGCCGGAGGGAGGGCTCAGGACAGGCCATTGGCTCACCTCGCAGGCAGGCACTGGGCCTTAGGGCTGGTTGTCTGTTCTCTCAGTCATTTCCTTGTCTGTAAATGGGGTCGAAAAGTTAACCCTGCCTCAGGGTCCTTGTGAGTGTTAAATGAGATCAATGTAAAGGTGTCACTTGATAATCTGAGATGACAGACACCCAGGATTCTTGTCATCACCATTATCACTTACCTTAAATAAGGGCTTTTTAGTGTCCTAGTGGCAAGTTGGACTTACTAGATTATCGCTTGATTAAATTGCTGTTGCATCAATGGCTGTGGGCCACGGGGCGAGAAGCCAAAATGCTCTATAAACAGTGTCCTTGTGGTCCCTGTTGAGTTGGAATTAGGGGAGTCTAGGGAGGCTGTAAAAGTCTGTGGGAGGGCTGGAGCATGCTCTGGCTGAGGCTGTGATAGAGTGAATTATTTTAAAGTGATTTTGGGGTAAATGTGAGTATTTTTAAGCCACTTATAAGAGCTCCATAATGCTTGTTAAAATAACTGAATGGTGGACAGCGCTGTATTCCAACACACTTAGCTGCATGGCACCATGCCAGGCAGTGTATAGAGCTAGGGAGAGCCCTGGGCTCGCCAGCGTGGATTTACAACAGGGAAAAGGGGGTAACACGATAAGACAATTTCATATGCCAGAAATTGTTGGAGGAGGAGAGTGATGGCTTCTCTGGTTAGACGAGGCTTCCTTGGAAGACCCAACACTTCAAGATGTGCAGCTGCTGCTTTTCCCCAGGTCGCCAACATTTGTTCACTTTGGCACAATCGTGTGTGACTTTTCCCATAGCCGCTGAAAACCAACTTGCGTAATGGGACAGAACGGGGCCCTGCAGAGTGCAGATACTGGGCATGCTGACAGGGCTGAAAGTGGGGACTCCCTGGGAGAAAGCTTTGCCTCTCGGGGAAAGGCCCCTGGGAAGGAGTCAGCAGTGGGCTGCCTGCTCGAGGCTCTCTGCATGCTGTGTCCTGCCGAATTAGACGTGGGCTGGTCTCATGGACAAGCACTCTTCATTTTGTCGGAGGACAAATACAGACTGAAGTATGGGCTTTATCTCAGGGTCTTCCAACATAAAACATACTACTGGGAGATTTCCTTAAACCTCTGCAGTGGGGGCAGTGCGGGCAGCCTCTGAGCTACTGTTCCTTTGCCATGGAGTGGCTCCGTGGGTGAGCAGGTTGGGAGGAGGTAGGCCTCCACACTCACTCTCTCCCTGACTTCTGGGATCCGTGTGTGGGAGTCTGGCCCTTCTTGGTGAGTGTTTTTTTGATGGGTAATGACTATCTACGTTTCACTAGTATTTGGGAAGGCCCATGAGAATGGTAGCAGAAACCCTTCGATTCATATAAATCTTAAGTGTTTTTTTGTGAACCAACTGAGGAACAGGAGTATCCTTGAGTCTCTGAGTAGCGACTGGTGAGTGGTTCTTACAACCTTATCCCTCCTTGAAGACCTACCCAGCAGGGTGCAGATTGTATCTAGACCCAGCTCACTATTTAGTTTTGAGGGGGCCATGGCATTTGCATTTAGGGAAGAGGACTGGGTTCCTGCTAGTGGTACTATGGGGTGGGTTGGGACCACTGCCCAGCATTGGGCCCTTTGCTCTCTGGATGGCACAACTGCTCAACAGTGGCCATGGTTCATTCACATAGGAAATGTGTGCTGCACACATGATCTCATTTAATCCTCACGGCAGCCTAAAGTCTAAATAACGTGTCCAAGGTCCCACAGCAGTAACAAGGCCAGTCTTGCATCCCAGTTGGGTGGCTCTGAAGCCTGTGTCCTGAGCTCTCCCTTACAGTGTTTTTAAATTTAAAAATTAGCTGGGCGTGGTGGTGTATGCCTGTAGTCCCAACTGCTTGGGAGGCTGAGGTGGAAGGATCACTTGAGCCCAGAAGATTGAGGCTGCAGTGAGCTGTGATTGTGCCACTGCATTCCAGCCTGGGTGCTGGGTGACAGAGTGAGACCCTGTCTCCAAAATAAGGGAAAGAAAGAAAGAAGGGAAGGAAAGAAGGAAGGAAGGATGGTTACACTGTTCCTGGTAGGTTATGCTGTTCAGCTTCTGGGCATGTGTGTGGTACAAGCTGACACCATTCTTTTCATGTAAAGTTAAAAATAAGGTATTAGAAAATCATCTAATTTTTTAAATTTCTATTTTTTCTAGGTTGAACACAAATGTGGATTTATATCAAAGTTTGCAAAAATTACTAGCTGATAAAAAACTTGTGGATTCCCTTGATCCAGAAACAAGGTACTCACTCATTTCTTTGCCTTGATTGTGACTGTGACTCTAGAGGTGAGGTTGGGAGACTCTCCCTCAGGGCCTCTGTACTTGCAGCCTCTGTTGTCTGGAATGTTCCTCCCCAGGTATCTCTATGACTCCTGCACTTTCTCTAGGACTCCACTCAAATGGTGTCTCCTCCAAAATCTTTGCACAGGGTCAGACTCTACCCTCTGATCCTGATTTATTTTTCTTCATAGCCCTCGTTCCTTCCAACGTATCCTGTTTGTTTATTTGTCTATCATCTATCTCACCAGACTGCAAGCTCCTTGAGGGTAGGGCTTGGTCTGTTTTGTTCCCAGCTGCATCCTCAGTACCTACACATTCATGGCATGTGGTCAGTGCTCAACTAATGAGTGGACTCCTGTAGACAGTTAATAATTACACTTAGCTTTATGCTCAAAGTTCCATAATTGATACTATCAGAAAATGTAAGCAAATCGATTTTATCTACTGGGAGGATGTCAAGATCCTTGTAATGATTTGCTTTGGTTCATTAGGCTACATTTATAAATCTGCATCAAAAAGGCCTTACTTTTAAATCAACATGTTAGAATATTTGATATAGGAACCTAGATATCTTATTTCTTTGCTCAAATGCAATTGTGAGTGGAGTAGGGTTTGTCCTTAACCTGCTTATAATATGTATGTCATAACACAGATTAATTTTTTTTCTCATTTGTTTGTTCCTGTTTATCTACGTTTTGTTGGTGGGACACTTCCTCTGACAACTTGATTCTTTCTGATCCTGTTTCCTTCTATTTTGTCTCCATATGTGGCTTATTGACCCCAAATGAAGCCATTTTCTATAGGGACCAATTGATCATCCAGTTTGCTGTTAATCTAATACATGAGCAGCATGGTATGTGAGTAACTCAGTCTTTGAGGGGTTATTTTCATCTGCCTGGCAGGTATGCAGGTACCTAGTGGTGTTTCACTTTATCAGTCCTGATGCTCAGGACACTAGTGAAGCTAGCTGTGTCATCACAGTAGTTTAAGCTTTATCGTTATATTGCTTTCATTAGCAAAGCAAGGAAAAGTCGAATGCCTATTAATTGTGCCAGATTTATACGGAACTGGTACTGACTTTACATAACAACAAACAATGTTAAAAATAGAAGGTTATTCATAATCTCTATTTACTGAAGATCGACATGCCCCTGTTTGTGTATAAAGAATTGTAGTGGGCTAGCAGACCATTTTAGATAGAAAGGACTTGTAGTGATAGGATACATACCACATTTCTAGATATTATTAAAAATGCCAATAGGGATTTTTAAATAATAAAATGATAAATATATTGGGGAAAATAAACTGGGTAGAATATCAACAGTCTAGAAAAGAAAAGCAACTTGGAAGTAGGAGAGAAGAAGAATTTGAAGTAATAATTATTGCAGTATCGTGGCACTTAGATATCATTGAGTGTTGGCTAGCACCCAGAAAGAACTATATTTTAGAACCATGCATATGGCAAAATATAAGACAGTGGCTAAAACAAAGAATTAAAGATTTAATAAAGTCTTGTAAGTTAATGTACAGAGGGAATGATTTAAATTGAGTAACTCATCATGTTATTCTTAGATTCAGTCCTTGAAATACTAGTCTCTGAGATGTTCAGAACTTTTCTCAGAATGGTTCCTTCAGTCAGTAAGTTTGGAAATCTGATGTATCAATGTATTTCCCTGCTTGAAGAATTTTAGTAGTTTAGAGTCTCTGAGAAGCCAGGCCATAAAGAAACCTGTTTAACTTGGGGTTTTTCCAAAGCCATTAAGAGCTTTCATGTATGCAAAGACTATAATAAGCACATTCTCCAGAAAATATAATGGAGGGAAAATTCTAGTTGCAAGAACAGCCAAAGCTGTAACACACGTTGGAATGAACTTGGGAAGGTAGAGTGCAGAACCGCAACATACACAACACCTAGGAAGCATGCAAGCGACCGAAATGGAGAAACATGCTGTATTCTTAAGGAAGAAGAAAGCTCAGTAATGTTTATTACTATAAGTTTAATGCTATCCAATTTATAAAGAATTTTTTTATTGTTACTTAAAATGATTTTGAAGTCATAGAGAATAAATATGCCAGAATAGGCAGGAAAACTCTCGTAAGGAAAAGTACTAAAAAGGGACTTATACCAGATAGTAGAACATATAAAAATGCTGTATTTAAAGAGCGTTATACTTAAAAATGCCAGAATAGTCAATTAGATCAATGGAAGAATAGAGAAATTTTAGACACAGACACAGATACATAAACAGTAAGACTATTTGGTATGTGATAAAAGTGTCATTTCACATCAGTAGGGAAAGACTTGGTTTTCAGGAAATGATGTTAGACCAATGGATAACCATTTGGGGTAAAAAAGTAGATTGATTAAAGATTTAAATATTTTTAAAAGAAATTATAAAACTACTGGTAATCTTGGGATATGGAAGGTCTTTCTTGGCATGATACAAACTCATACAACAGAAAGATTCATTGATTTTTATTATATAAACATTGCAAACTTTGGTAAGGCAAAACGCTTCCACATTCAAAGTCAGAACACACAAATGTTGACAAATGGTTCTGATATGACAAAGAGTTAATATATTATCTATGTTAAGAGACCTTTCAAATTACTTTAAAAAAAGAAGAACAAAAACCCCCCTTATAGAAAAATGGGCAAAAGATTCTGTTTGTGAAACTCTCATTTCACAAAATAAGGCATAGCAACAGATGGCCCTTAAATTGATAGCAGTGTGCCACAGCTGTAACAGTGGCACCAAGTGTGAAGTGGGTGGAACTGCATCTCTAGAATGGAACTGCGGGGTTGGACTTTGGCTTCAGGGCTCACTAAACCCTAGTTTTCTCCTTTGTAAAACGGAAATAAAAAGTACTTCATAAGAATCATATGAGATGTAAGGGAAATAATTTGTGTAAAGTGCTCTGCTCTGTACCTGGCATGAGACCCACCACCATTAAGGAAAGATAGAATGAAGCAAAACTTTTTGTCAGCCAGCAGCTGACAAAGTTGAAACAGAATAAGAATAGTAGTTCTGGTTTGGGATGATGGATCCTCTCTAGTTACGGGTAAATTGATAAGACTTCATGGAGGAGCATTTGGTAATATATATCAATGTGCATACTTTGTGATTAATTTCTTGGAATTTATCCTAAGGAAACAAACAAGGATTAAAAACTGTAACAAGGATTTTTATTATATTGTGGTTCATGGGAGTGGGAGAGTAAAAACATTTGCAGTCTATATAACAACACAAAACAAGCATCAAAAGCCAACTTTTTGAAGAACGTTTAAAGACATGGAGAACTGTTCAATGTTTGTGATATAATTTTACAAGAAAGAGCAAGATACAAAAGTATATACAGTTGGGCCTTAATTATTCTAAATATATAATATAACATTAAAAGTAGATTGAAAGGAAATACAAGAATTTTAATAGTCATTATCTTTGATAGGATTAGTGATTTTAAATGTTTCATATGTTTCTGCATTAGTTTTGTTACATAATAGACCTATATTGTGTAATACGATAAACGTACACTATAAATTTCCATTCAAGGTATATTTGATGTAATAATCAGGAAGGTAAATATATCTATTTTGAAAACTCAAGGAAAGCCAAAAGAGTAGATCAAATATTTGATTATTTCCATTCAATGTTGTTGGTTTTTTTTAAAAAAAATACCATTGACAAAAAAAAAAAGGTGTTACACTTGAAATTGGTTCCAAGCATGAAGCAGGAGTAAAAAGAAAGAAAACAATTCTCATTAGCCAAGAAACTCAGCTTCCAGCACAGCATCAAAGAATTTAATATTCTAAATAGCTGCTACTGGCTAGAAGAAAAACTAAAAATCTCATGCAGAGGGCCTTTGAAAAATTGTCCAAATATAAAACTGTTTTATGTTTTTAATTATTGGGATTTGGATTGAGTTGAAATAAATAATTATTTATTACAAACCTGTGGTACTAAATTATTTATTACAAACCTGTGTACTAAATAAAATTATTATTATTATTTAGTACAAACCTGTGGCTTTCACAGGTTTGTACTCTCTGAATAAAGGAATAAGCTCTTACATGACAAGCCAATCATAATTGTCAGTCAGATAGGTGTTTTGCCTGATGTTTGCCTTAATATCTGAGGATATTAAGCTCCTTGTTTAAAACAAAGTGTGTGTGTGTGTGTGTGTGTGTGTGTGTGTGTGTTTTGAAGAAACTTTTGGCAGTGAGGCTGAAAAAGACTTATTTATTTAACAAAAAACCACAATTTTTTTGTTAGCAATTTTTATTACCTGTTATAACCTGGGGCTCATTTCATTTATAGGCGAGTGGCTGAACTGTTTATGTTTGATTTTGAAATTAGTGGAATCCATCTAGACAAAGAAAAGGTACATCTTTCTGCTGTTTTTTTGACTCTTCCAGTTTTACTAACATTTAGTTGATACCATTATTGCTACAGTCCTTGTATATATTGCTTGAATTTGCATATTGCAAAAACGTGCAGGTCTTTTATCTGTTATGAAATTCTTCTTTAGATTGTATTTGAATATAGTCCCCTCTCTGGAAGTTGACCTATCACACCATGATAATTCAGAATTAAGACAGGCTTGAGCCAAGTGGAGTGTTTTAGATAATCATGGAATTAGGATGAGATAGGCAATATCAGGAAAGACTGGCAAGTGAATGGGAAAGCTGATGTCATTGAAGATTGGTAGTACAGGGAATATCACATAAGACCTTACATAAGTGTATTTATTTATATTATACGTGTGTTTGACTGATGGAACAAGCATAGATTACACAGTGTTTACACTGGGATGGAGGCCTTCTACCTAGTCCATCCCCTTCATTTTACAGATGTGGAAACAAGACAAAGTGATTTGTTCAAGTTGCCATCCTAACTAACAAATGGCCAGTGTTCTTAAAATTTCTAACACTGGCCACTGTTCTTTCTAGCACATAACATCCTGAGAAACCAAGTGCCTCATTTCAGTTGTAAATTCAGAGTTGGAAGAACAGGAGGGACTTGACACCATTGGAAGTTCAGCCTGCCCCACAGTCTCCCCCACTCACCTGCAGTCTAGACTATTATGGCTTTTTGTTTATTTGTTTTAAACAGTAATACATTTTTCCTAGTAAATATGGTAGAATTAAACCACTTACCTATGAAGAGATTAAGTTATCAAAATATCTGGAAAAGCAGAAGGCAGGGCCTTGGAAATATGTATCACATACAATAGATGTTACCATTTTGATAGGTGCTGAGTTTGAGTAATGCTGTAACCCCTCACACATCTGATGTGTTTGTGTGGCATTAAAGGTTCAGCATGTGATTCCTGGTCTGACCCTGAGCCAGGACGTGCCTTCCCAGCAGCCCATGAGGCTTATGGGCTCTACTGTAAACTCACATTGCCTAAGGTGACCACGTTTGCCGCTTTCCACATCAATTCTTCATTAATACTTCTCTGTAAAATAAAATTTGGGAGTTAGTTGTATTCTTTCCCTTCCTAATATTGTCATATCTTCTAACCAAGTCCTTGCATTGTTCCTACAGTCCTGCATCTGTCTGCATCCCAAAAGCAAATCACCTTGATTCTTATCACCAAACACCCGGGCTGTTCTAAAGGCCTCTGTCTTCCTAACAGTGATTTAACATCAACTGAGTATTTGCTACTTTAAATCATATATTTCTCATCAAATCCTCACAACAATTTTGAGCTTGGTGCTACTATTATTCCTGGCTTTTTTTAGACCAAGGCTGTAGAGGTTGTGGGACGTTATTTTGTAAGCCAGACAGACTCCAGAGCCTCCATGGCCAGCATGTCACCATCCTGCTGGTCAGTCTTCCCCGTCTGTGAACACTGGATTAGTTTTCATAAAGTATTGATTTGTTACTTTCCTGCCCAGAATCCTCCTGTGGACTTCCCATTGTCTAGTGAAGTTAACATGTAACAAAGAGCTCACACTCGTGGCTGTGCTCCGGCTGTCAGCCCCTCATACACAGTGTCCTCCCCCATGTGTTTGCTGTCCTCCTCCTAGGCCTGCTCACCAGGTTTCCCTGGCTGAAGTCCCCATGAAGGCTTCATCCTCACGCCACATTGCGAAGCTTTTATCAGTCCCCCAGGTGGAATTTTGTATTCATCCGAACGTATTTTACTTATTTCAGTCATGTGGCATTCTTCTTTACCTTTTGTTGATGATGATGCTGTTATTGTTGTGTTGCTTATCTAACTTCTAGGCTTACAAAGGATCAAGAACGTGGATCATGTTTTTTAATGCATATTAGTTTTGGACTCAGTAAAAGTATTGAGTGAATGTATGACAAATCATGATAATGCTAGCTATCATCAAGTTTGATATCTTCAGAAGGAAGGTTGCTAGTAGAGAATCCATGTGAATAGTTTTAATGTATCCTTATGAAGGGTGCTTTTGAAATTTTGCTGACAAATAGTATATGTTCAGTTTCACCAGCATAGACATTGCCGCTTTTATCTAACATATGATTACAGTGTAGCTCCTCTTTCCCCGGGAGCAGCTCCCAGGGAACCCCTCAATATTGAATATGCAACTAAAGTAAACCTGCTCAGTTTTTCCCTTGTAACTTCCATGTTTGTTCTCAGAGGTGCTCCACTAGGACAGGATATAAAGTAGACATGTTCCATTTTTCAAAAGAGAGACCATGAAATAAACCCACCAACAAAATCTATAAATCATCAAAGCCTATGTTCTTTCCAGTTGGTTTCTTATTTATTTATTATTATTATTATTTTTTGAGACAGAGTTTCACTCTTGTTTCCCAGGCTGGAGTGCAATTGGGCAATCTTGGCTCACCGCAACCTCCGCCTCCCGGGTTCAAGCGATTCTTCTGCCTCAGCCTCCTGAGTAGCTGGGATTACAGGCATGTGCCACCACGCCCAGCTAATTTTGTATTTTTGGTAGAGACGGGGTTTCTCCATGTTGGTCAGGCTGGTCTCGAACTCCCGACCTCAGGTGATCCACCTGCCTCAGCCTCCCAAAGTTCTGGGATTATAGGCGTGAGCCACTGCACCCGGCCTTAATTTTTAAGGTCTCATACAAATATAACTTATAAGTTTAAATGTAATAGAAATGTTTATTTTTAACATTATTTAATAACACAGAAATTTCATAGAATTTTTCAAGAGTTCAGATTATTGTACATTTCATTGTTACCACAGAATGATGAAGTGATATGCCTGGCAGATCATTGAAGTTGGCATGAACTCAGTTTTGATTTTTCCAGAGGTTTTATCAGTAGATAAAATCTTCAAAGTAGTTAATTTTATCACATTTTTTTTTTCAAAGTAAAAGTTTTGAAGACAATTTTGGAACTGTAATGTGATTTCAAAATCTTGTTCATCTTTTTTGTTATTCCACTTGTTACCATTAGGTGGTGATAAATGGCCATATCAAACAAAATAAGCAAAGAGAAATCTGGACTGTAAGGAAATGGGAGTCTCCTAAAACTTTTTTCCATGAAATTTGAATTTTCTATATTGAAATTCTGGGGATATTGATATATACTCAATTTTTTCAGCATCTTATCAAGCATGCCTCTACATCATCTATGTTTATCTTTAAAAAGTATATTAGTATTGTGGCTTAATCATTTTTTAGGAGCATAGAACAGTTTAGAACTTGTTAATTGCTATCTCCTCTCCCAGAAAGATTTGTGTACACTTTCACCTGAAGCCCAACATGAGCCCAGTGCGGAGCCTGTCTAGTTTTTTGGTAACCAGTAACTGAAAATTCATATGCAGAGCCTGTCTAGTTTTTGAGTAACCAATAACTGAAAATTCATCTGCAGAGCCTGTCTAGTTTTTGAGTAGCCAATAACTGAAAATTCAGCCCTTCTCCTCCAGTCAGCCTAATTATGTGGTTTCTAGTTTATATTTAATCTTAGAGCATTTATGGCAACCCCTTTGCTAATACACGTTTTCTCAGGTTATTGTGTATTACAAAGATATGACTGCAAGATTAAACCTAAGCAGATGTGTCCGCACCATCCACGTCCTCATCACTGACCATTTGAAGGCCTGGCAGGAGCAAGGACCATGTGCCACATGGCAGGGACACAGAGTAGAAGAAAGGACCATGCCCTGGGGTTCCAGTCTGCTTCTTAGACTTCACTGTATCATTCTGTAGCAGCTCAAGCACATGCAAAATCAGAACTTTATTCCCCCCTGAGACAGGGTCTCGCTTTGTTGCCCAGGTTGCAGTGGTGTGATCGTAGCTCACTGAAGCCTTACCTCCTGGGCTCAAGTGATCCTGCTGCCTCAGCCCCACATAGGGCTGGGACTGCAGGCGTGTGCTACCACACCCAAAATCAGAACTTTTAAAATGTGCTTCCCCCTTCTGGAGGCTCACTACACTTTTGCAAATAACTGTTTTTTTGTTTTTTGTTTTTTTTTGAGACAGAGTCTCCCTCTGTCTCACAGGCTGGAGTACAGTGGTGCGATCTCGGCTCATTGCAACCTCCGCCTCCTGGGTTCGAGCGATTCTCGTGCCTCAGCCTCTTGAGTAGCTGAGATTATAGGCACGTGCCACCACGCCCAGCTAATTTTTGTATTTTTAGTAGAGATGGGATTTCACCATGTTGGCCAGACTGGTCTCCAACCCCTGACCTCAAGTGATCTGCCCTCCTTGGCCTCCCAAAGTGCTGGGATTACAGGCGTGAGTCACTGCACCTGGCATGTGTTTTTCAATGTTGTTAATTTCAACAATTAGTTATATAACCTAGACATAAAATAGAACTAGAAGTTATGTAAATCTTAAAACATAGAAACATCAGAAAACCATAAGTATGATCTTTTTGTTAGAATATTAAATATCTGTTAAAAGTAAAATTAATATATTATTTATAATATAGTAACAATATATTCATTTTACTAAACTAATATTTTATTAAGTGATAATTCAACAATATATATGTTGATTTGACATATTTATATTTTGTTTATTAAATTGTGAAATATTAATTCAAAACGCCTTTAAATAACTTTTACTCCTCCTGCATACAGCGTAAAAGAGCAGTGGACCTCAATGTTAAAATCTTGGATTTGAGTAGTACATTTCTTATGGGAACCAATTTTCCCAACAAGATTGAGAAGCATCTCTTACCAGAACACATTCGTCGTAACTTTACATCTGCTGGGGATCATATCATAATTGATGGTCTCCACGCAGAATCACCAGATGACTTGGTATGTATGTTTCATTCTCTTTGTTGTTTAGGTCCCATTTGTGTGTTGCTACTGTTTTAACCCAAAATTCAGTGATAATATAATAGTATCCTTAAAAACTTTTTAGCATTACTAAGCCCTAAAAATTTAACTTGTGGAATTATTAATGCCATAAACACTTTAAAGAATGAAAATGATTTAATTACTTATATTTCATACAAGACTCCTTATTTTTAAAGTATGATTAATAACACCATTAACTGACATTCTAGACTACAGAGACTTTTAAATTCATGCAGCCTTACTTCTCCTGGTTAAGACGCTTTATAGCATAGAGATCCACGCACTGGGTAGAGGTTTGCCCCACCGTACCTCAGAACAGTACCCTAGAGCTGCAGTCAAGTATGCTATTGCATCCCATGCTATTTTATGACTCTGGAAGCTTTATGGCCTCGTGTAGACCATTGCTTTATTTTGAAAGCAGTGATCATCTGCAGATCAAGTGGTGAGCATGAGCCTGTGTTATTGTTGCATAGGACTGTGTGATGATATTTATAGCCTTCACCATTTACTTTTTAAACGTAGGTGCGAGAAGCTGCTTATAAAATTTTTCTTTATCCCAATGCTGGTCAATTGAAATGTTTAGAAGAATTGCTCAGCAGCAGAGATCTTCTGGCAAAGTTGGTGGGGTATTCCACGTTTTCTCACAGGGCTCTCCAAGGAACGATAGCTAAAAATCCAGGTAAGCCTGTTTATCCAACATTTAAGGGCAAAATAGGATTTTTATGAAACTGAGCTTTTGATTTTAAATAGCTGTAAATTAGTGTTCTATTTTTAATACATGTAGAGAACCATTTATTGAGATTTTCTATGTATTTTTATAGGAACCATTTTTAAATAGAGCTAATAATTTGGCATAATTCTGTCCAACCAAAGAATTTTATTTTATGTGAATGTTGAGAGTAAAATCATAACCTAAATTTTCATTTTGATGTTAGTCTAAATTGTTTTCATTTTAACACAGTTTCTGTGCTGAATTTGACAAATTGGTTAGAATTAGTGTAAGAGAATGAAAGATCAGTATGTTTACTGAGGTCAAGGTTAAATGTAGGTTAGGTCATATAAAAAACACACAGTCAGATAAGCCTCCTTTTCAGAGAGAAGAGTACTGCTTAGGAAGGTTTGTGCTAGGTGAGGTGTTACGGAAGTGTGTCGTTGGGTTTGTCATAAACTTGCCTTGTGCTATGTTGAGTTCCTTATGATTCATAATGTCTAAGAGAAAATGTTACACAATAATAATATAAATGTACATAATACGTTTTTTCAGAAGCATTTATTAACTTACAGTTGTAATTTAGGTGGTGAGTCAGGAGTAGGGTGGCCGTGATGATGGAGCTGCGTGAGACTCAAGGTCTTGGCAGTGAAGTTGCAAGACTTAGTGAGGGTGAGAGGGAGGAGGAGGCATTGTGGTGGGCCCCCTGGGTTTCTGGTTGTACATCTGGTTAGACATTCCACTCACCGACAGAGGGGACACTGGGGGCAGATCACAACCTGAATCCTCGCTTGTCTTTATTCCTTCTGTGCTTATCCCTTCTCACCCTAGCATGTTCCTCTCTTCTCCAAAGTTCTCTAAATGCACTCAATCTTACTTCTTACTCTTTCGTAAACAACTGTTTCCCTTGACCTGTCAGGGCTCTCGGTTAAGCTACAGGCGTGTCACGCTCATTGCGGCCTGGGTTCCCTTGCTCGTGTCACTCTCCTATGGAGAGCAGCTTTTCTTCCTGGTCTGCCTGTTAAAATCTTACCCCGTTTTTTTAGTGCTCAGCTCAAAACCCACCTCTTTCATGAAGCTGGTTAAACTTTTTCACTTTCCTTGGACTCCTTTGTCCCCGAACCCTTAAAACACTTACATTTTTTTTCATATAATCGAAGCTCCTAAACAGATATAATATGTATGTTATGTATTAAATGTGTGTTTTTAGTGTATGTTTTTTCTTTTTTTGTAAGTATCAGTTTGGTGAAAAGTATGTTTTTCTGTAGTCGCTGTTGTCAACAGTTTGATTATAATAGTACCATATTTTTATTTTATATTTATATAAAATAATAATATTAGAATATCATTCAGTGCTTATCCTGTTGTTATCTCATTTCCTTCCTCTGCAGCTTTGTGAGGTAGGTATTTGTATTCGTGTCACAGATAAGGAATCTAAGGTTAGGTTATATTGCTAAAATGTGGCAGAACTGAAGCCTAAACACATATGCTACATTTATGGTTTTCCACAGGCTGCTTGAGACCTAATGCCCTATGTTTTATATCATCTACATCCCCCTTTTGTTTATTAATTCAGCAAATATTTACTGATTGCCCACTGTATGTCAGATATTATTCTCGGTCAGGGAAATAAGTCAGTGTACAAAGCAGAAGAAAATTCCTATCCTTATGCAGTTTACATTCTTGGGAGCAAGGGAAGAACAGTAAAGAACGAAATAAGTAGATAAAGTATGTGGTATGTTATTAGTTAATACAAGCCATGGAGAAAACTGAACAGGGAAGGGGATAAGGTATGTGGGCATGTAGGCTGGTGTTGGAGTTTTAGAGAGCATTGTCGGAAGGCTCACTTAGAATGTGGAATGTGAGCGTGCTCTTGACAGACACAAGCATGAGGCTGTGGCTCTTGAGGGGAGAAAGGTTTCACGCAGAGTCACTATCAAGTGCTAAGGTCTTGAGGCAGAAAAATGCCTGCCACGTTTGAGGAGGGCAGAGTGGCTGAAGCGCAGCGTGTGCAAGGAGAGTGGCGAGAGGTGGGAACAGACTGACAAGGGGCGGCATTAAGTAGAGACTTGATGCAAGTGCAGCAGGTCACTGTGGGGGTTGGGGCAGAGGAGTGAGATGATCTGACTCCAGTGCTAATGGTGAGTCAGTGCTGCTGTTCCTGAGAGAAGACTGCAGCAGGGCCAGGGTAGAAGAGGGCCTGTTTAGATGCTGTTTTGCAGTAACCATGATGAGAAGTGTTGGCATCTTGACCAGGTGGTAGCAGGGAAGGTGGTAAGATGTGATCAGATTCTGGGTACAGAGTATTTGGAAGAGGGAGCCAACATTTTCGACCTAAGCAACTAGAAAGAGAGTGAGTTACTACTGTTAACTAAGATTGGGAGGACCGGAAACTTGGTTTGTTTCAAGTTAAGTTTGAGATACCAAATGAGGTTCAAGTGGTGAAGTTGGGTAGGCAGTTAGATGGAGTGTGGAGTTCTGAGCTTCATATGTAAGTCTGAACCTCTAAAATGAGATTCTGATACCACTAAGAGAGTGAACTTAAAGAACAAGTCCAAGGACTGCGCTCTGGGGCCTTCAAGTTTAAGAGGCCAGGCATGTGAGGAACTGCTAGTTAACGCTGCCAGATGTAACGGCCACTAAGGGAGGTGGAAAGTGATTACAGGGTGTGGTCCTGGAGGCCGCGCAGAAGGTCTGTCTACAGGAGAGGGGAGAGATCAGCTGACTCATGCTGTGGCCAGGTCAGATGTGAGGAGGGCTGGGCATGACCACTGGCTGTAGCAGCGTGGAGCTCACTGGACCTGCAGCACCCAGCTCCAGATTCCGTGACTGGCAGGTCACCCTTGTGCACTAAGTGCTTGGTGTGCTGATGTATTGGCAGGGGGCTGTTGTGCACATCATCACGTAAGATGTGCTCTGGGTCCTTGAGGATTTAAAGCTTAGTTGAGGAGCTGGATATATGCATATAAAAAGATAAATAATAATAGAGGTTGGCACGTTTTCGGTGTCGATGGAGTAGTACAGACAAAACAATGCCATGGGATTTAGGAGCTCGGGGCATTTGTCAGATGCATCTGTGGCTGTGGAAGGCGCCCTGAGGGAAATGAAACTGTCATGCACAGTGATGGAGTGAGTCCTCAGCAGAGCAGAAGGAAGACAGAGAGGCTGACTGAGGCTAAGGCGGGCATTCATGTGGCTAGTGAATGAGGAGGTAACTGCGGTGAGGCACTTAGTGGGGGGTTTCAAACTGAATCTTAATATGACAATTCTCTGGGGACACTAATTGAGGCAGGCCAGATGTGGTGTCTCATGCCTGTAATCTCAGCACTTTGGGAGGCTGAGGCAGGCAGATCACTTGAGGTCAGGAGTTCAAGAACAGCCTGGCCAACATGGTGAAACCCCATCTCTACTAAAAATACAAAAATTAATTGGGCGCGGTGGCGGGTGCCTGTAATCCCAGCTACTCAGGAAGCTGAGACAGGAGAATCGATTGAACCCTGGGAGGCAGAGGTTGCAGTGAGCCGAGATGGGACTTCTGCACTCCAGCCTGGGCAACAGAGCAAGACTCCATCTCAAAAAAAAAAAAAAATTAATTGAGGCAGATTCTTCACATGTAAAATGACTGGAAGAATAAGATGGGTGAATGTTAAAACACGGTTATTAAGAAATAAAACGTATACAAGCATACATAGGGATTCATTTGAAAACAGTTTGGTATGGTACCTGGAATATAATCCTAAAATGAGATTTCATTGTTGACTAAATAATGTCTTTGTTCCCCAAAAATTCCTATTGTTGTTTCATATGGCACATGAGCCAGTGTTTTCAGAATTCGTATACACAGGACTTGTTAAGTATTGACAGTGGCAAGAAACCTCATGGTTTGGGTTTAGGTTAACCACCATTATTTATTTCCTTAGTCTTTTATTTCACTCAAAAGGAGATAACTTAAATTGAAGAGAGGGCAGGAAACTTAAAACTGTATAAAAGATTATCTGGAAAATACAAACATAGTGTTTGTGGTGAACTAAAATACATATGAAAGCTCTGTACACATAAGTCAGTGATAAAAAGTGCTACATTCAGAAATACTTGCAAAACATTTCCTCTTGTGGGAAACGGTGATAATTCTACTGCACTGCCTTTATGGGTTTGTAAATTATGACAACTATGGCAGAAGTATTTTAATAAAAATACTTTAAAAATTCTATCAGAAGTTAATATTTATTTTTCTTATTTTGCTATTTTTTTCATATTTATCCTGAATAGATTATTCTACAGTTGTATATAACAATAAAATTGTTATCAAGAAAAACATTGATCTTAAAAAATTTATTTCAGGGAATTATACTTCTACACTGCACCTATTTTTATGAACAAAGCAGTCTAGATATCTCTTTAAAACTCTGAAAACGTCAGACATGTCTCAGAACTTTTTTTTCTTACACATATGAATAGATAGAAACACCTTGAAATTTTGTACTTTTTTCTTTAGCCTCCCATTAACTCTTTTTTTTTTTTTTTTTGAGATGGAGTCTCACTTTCTTGCCCAGGCTGGAGTACAGTGGCACAGTCTGGGCTCACTATAGTCTCTACCTCCTGGGTTCAAGCTATTCTCCTGCCTTAGCCTCCCAAGTAGCTGGGACTATAGGCATGCACCACCACGCCTGGCTAATTTTTGTATTTTTGGTAGAGACGGGGTTTCAGCCTGTTGGCCTTGCTGGTCTTGAACTCCTGACCTCAGGTGATCCACCCCCTGCCCTCAGCCTCCCAAAGTACTAGGATTACAGGCATGAGCCACCTGGTCCCATTAACTCTTTTAATTTTGGGATAGAATCTGACGCTGTGGATTATTAGTATGCCAATTTAATTTTTTTCTGATTAAAAGATCGTCATCACCTAGAAGCATTTACTATATGTTTGGTATATGTTGGTAGCTCTACTTCCCTTTGAAAATCATCACTTTAAGGGAATTGTGGGATATAGATTATGATCATCACATAATAATTTTAACAGATATGTTCATTTTATTTCACATAATTGAAGATATTTTCTTTTGGATTTCGTTTTAGAGACTGTCATGCAGTTCCTTGAAAAACTATCTGACAAACTTTCTGAAAGGTTAGTTTTTATTCTACTATTTAGTTTTTTGGTTATATGTTATTTAGTCTTTTTAAAGAAGACTTGATTTATAAAAAATTAGGAAGTGACCTAGAATATAAGTTTTGGCATATTGGACCAGACCTGTCTCACTATGAGACATACTTTAAAAGGCCATAGTTGTCTTCCTTATGTGCCATTCTTGAAAACATAAGCTGTCCCCTTTCATTAAACAATTGTTTTTAGAAATTCATCTTTCATTTGCACTTTAAAAATCTTTACCAAAATGTTTTTGAAACTATTTATTTTAACTTGTACCATGAATTTTATGACAAGTTCATAAAGTAGTATTTCTCTTCTTTTGGCCTAAATACAGGAGGCTCATGGATGTGGTGTCTTTTTAATTTTGTGTAGTATTTTAAGGATGTTCTATCTCAACATTTGTAATTTCAAGCTGAAGTGTTCTACTGCCTTTGGTGTGTCCGTTTGTTATAACAAGTTGAGTGTCCCTTATCTGAAATGCTTGGGACCACACATGTTTTGGATTTCATTTTTTGGGGGGAATTTGGAATATTTGCATATACATAATGAGATATCTTGGGGATGGGACCCAAGTCTAAACACGAAATTCATTTATGTTTCATATACACCTTATACACATAGCCTGAAGATAATTTTATACAGTGTTTTTAATAATTTTGTGCCTGAAACAAAGTTTTGGCTGCAACCTATCACATGACATCACATGTGGAATTTTCCACTTGTACCATCATGTCAGTGCTGAGAAAGTTTCAGATTTTCAGATTAGGGAGGCTCAACCTGTATTCCTGCCTCCCCTGCCCCTCCCCTGCTCAGTGCCTTCGATCATACACTTGCCCTTCACTGGCCCTCTTCTAGGCCTTAGTTGAGAGGCAGCACACCTTTAGGTACTAAGGATTCTAGGAAGAAGCAGTCACCGTTTGTAAAAAAGGATGATGTTTTCTCTTTTTCTCTTGTAATGCTGTCTAAAATTTTGTTTGCCTGTTGTGGCTACACCAACACATTGGATCTTGGCTCACATTTCTGTTTTGGACTATAAACTCATGCCTTAGAACTCATTCTTCTCTAGTTTGGATTATGTTTATAAATTCTAAAATTTTCTTTTAATGATCCTGGTGAACCACTGTGTCTTTGATACAATAAAGAAAGAGGGTTAGTTATGCACTTATTGAGGATTTATCCTGCTTTACTTAGTTAAGTGTTAGTAGTCTTTCTCTACATAGCTATAGATTTTAGAGCAAGCATAGCTTCATCATTTTACAGGTATATATAGGAATTAATTCCAATATACATGTCATATTCTACAAATATTAAATACCTATTTAATTATTGACCAGCTAGAGTTTTTCCAAAGGGGAAAAATGACTAGAAATCTTAAATGTAGCCAATGATAAAATTCCTTTCTAGGAGTTAATTTGTTAAGTCTCTTTTAAAGGTATAGCAAAAAGTAGTGATTTAAAGTTAGTGATTAATGCTTTGCATATTTGTAATGACATTGCTAGTTTTTCCAAGCTTTAGTACTCTTGAGACATTTATCCACCATGATGCTTTTTAAGGTAGAAATCGCAGTAATATGCTGCTTTATATATTGTTATTTCTCATGACACTTAGGTAAAATTTGGATTAATAGTGATTTATGTGTGCACTACTAATTGTATCTAATCTTATGAATATTGGAATGTAACATAAGCAAACTAGTCCTTTCATAATGTAATTGTTAAAATTTTGTCCTAACAAGTAATGATAAACCTGTTTTATAGAACTCTGAAAGATTTTGAGATGATACGAGGGATGAAAATGAAACTGAATCCTCAAAATTCCGTAAGTATGTTGGAATATTTTTATTATAATATAGACAGTCTGTCAACTGAAATCAATATCTTTTGATTCAGGAACTTTCTTGTGATAGGCTACAGGTCCATTTAGTCTTGTTTCTGATCCTCGGTTTTGGTGAATAAAGATGTTGAAATATTTGATTCTTATGTCCCAAACTGATGTTGCCTGTACATACAGCATTTTTGTTGAGGAGTCGACATATTTTATGTATATACACTAACACAATGTGTATATATTCATGCAAAGACTGCTTTCATTCTGTGGAATGTTGGCTTCTCAGTTTGAAGCAGACTTTAAGGAGACTCAGTGGAGGCTTCATCTGGCAGGTGGCAATTTTAACCATCAGTGTTAATGTTGCAGTTCATTTGCTTATTTGTTAGCTAATTTATGGTGCCCAATTGAGTATTTGACTAACAAAGTATACCACATTCTAAAAACACTTAAGTGTTGTTTTCAATCATATGATTATATGATCTTCCTTATGTGATCCAAGAGTATAGACAAGTATTGTTATGGCCAGAATGCTGCCCAGGTGATTGGGGGAGTGCCCTGAAAAGTGTCGAGAGTCCAGATATTAGGACTCATTCCCATTTGGTTCTAGGGCACTACAGGATTGCCGGGGTTGTCTACACCATTCTTTTCCAAATGCTGTTATTAGTTCTTGACTTAGTTGCTGCTGCCAGAGCCATAGTCATAAGGAAGATTTAGGGAAATGGGCCTTGCAGATTTACAAACTGTTTACTAGCTTCCCAGATACAGCCACTAGGAAACAGATTAATCCCATTAAACTCAGCGATGTGTAGAGTAGCATGTCAGTCTGTTAATTTATGGAAGGAGCTGTGTCTAGCAAAGTAACTACTGTTAGTCATCTGCACAGTCATCTGCACACCTTGACCTGGTAGGTAGGCTTATTTGGGAAACCAGATAATAGGTAAGAATTTAGTTTGGTGACTATAGAAACAGAAAAATAAAAAACAAAATGTGTTGCCAAAAGCTAATTCAGTAAAAGTGAATATGACTTTAAACTGTTATCTGTAGATATTTGTATATAGCTTATGGATACAATTATTCTGCAGATATTTGTGAAATGCCCAATCTCCTCATGAAGTCCCTGCTTTGGTGAATGGTGCCACCATTCACCCTGCTGCTCTGGTCAGGACCTATACTTAATCCAGACCAGTGGTTCTCAAAGTGTGGTTCCTGGACCAGAAGCAGTAGCATCACATGGGAGCCTGTTAGAAATGCAAATTCTTGAGCCCCACCTCAGACCCACTGAATCAAAAACTGGGGTGAGCTCCACAATCTGTGTTTCAACAAGCACCCCAGGCACTGCACACTCCCCTCCCCCATAATCATTTGTTAGGTCCTGCAGATTCTCCCTCCCTGTGAACTCTTGTGTCTTCTCCTGTGCCCATTGCCATAGCCTGGGCTATGATCCCAATCATTATTCTCACCCAGATGGTAACTGGGATTGCCTAACTGGTTTCTAGCCTTTTGTTTTTGCTCCACTCGAAGCCGTCTTGGATTCAGACAGTTTAGCCATGTATTTAGCCCAGTGTTAGGCATAGAATTGGTTGTCAACACTTATTTGAACTATGAATGAATAATGAATGAATGAATTGCCACCAGAGGGATTTGTCTAAAAAGCAGATCTGATCTTGTCACTCTGTTGTTTAAAATTATTCAGTAGCTCCTGGTTATTCTCCAGTTTCCCTTCCTACTACCCTGCTGCTCCCGCCAAGCCCTCATGATTTGGCCCTTGCCTCCTTCTCTAGCTTCATCTTCTGCTGCCCCTCCAAGCCGAGGCTGTGTTCTTTGCTCTCTCCTAATACCTGTGTGATGCTCATGTGATCTCTATTCACTTAGTTTTGCTTTCTTTCCTTGCTTTGCTTTCTTTGATTCTTTAATTTGAATTAATATTTACGTGCCGGCCACATAAATATGGCATGGTGAGCAGCTTCCAGTCATTTACAAACACCACCTACAGGAATGCCTTTCTCCCTTTCTCATCTGGATTAACTGCTTCTATCATAAAACTCAATTCAGGCTTTGCCTTCTTGAGAACATTTCCTAACCTTCCGCTGTGATTTAAATACTCTTCTTGTGGGCTGTGTTTTACATGGCACAATGTAGACATGACATACTGTCCTCTGATTGTTGAGTCACTTGCCCTTCTACTGCCTAGGCTATCATCCTCTTGTTTTTGTCTGATTACAGCCTGCACTCTGTCTGCATCTAGCAGATAGCAAATAATCATCTGTTAGAGAAAATGTGTGCCAGGACCAGAACACTGTGGGGCTAGGGTTCCATGGACGCAGTCCCTGCCCTTCAGGCACTCATGAGGAGAAAGAAAATAAGCCTACAAGTATCTTAGGTTGTCATGCATCCCATGATATAAGTATTACCATGGAATATGGGAAATAACACCTTGTTATTGGAGGAGATTATGCCTAAACTGAAATGTTAAAGGATAATGGTAATAAGGAGAGTAGCCAACATTTGTTGAGCCCTTACTCAATGCCAGATATTCTACTTAATAGTTTAAGTACATTCAGCAGTCTTCTTTGGGAGGTACTGTTGATTCTTTCAACAAATATTTACTGAGTGACTACCCTGGGCCAGGTACTGTTCAGGGGACAGGAATGTAATAGGGAAGGATGCAAACAAAGTCCCTGTCATCATGCAGTTTATAGTCTGGTATGGATTGGAAACTTGAGCCCAGGCAGTCTGTCTTCACAGCCTGGTCTCTTAACCACTCTTTTGTCCACCTGGACACCTAGAAGGAAGGACAGTCATTCAAGTATTCAAGCTTTCCCTTCTTTCAGTATTATGTGCCAATCATCAAAAGCAACTAGTACTATAGTACTTCTTTATGACATATTTTCTTTGCCAAGATTAGAGTTAATTCTGCCTTGGTTACATTTTAAATTGCTGCTTTCATTTTTGATATCTACCCAAAGCTTCTTGCTTAGATTTAGAAAGAACCTTAATCCTACCTTTAGTACACTCATCTTACCTACAGTGTGTTTTATGGATTAATACATGGGTTACATTTTGGGAAAAATTTCATTATGGCTAATATAATTCGTTAATGTTTACTTTTGTTAGATACCACTTCAGAATGACATTTGTTTGTCTTTTCCCCAGATTCTGGGGTAGGTCTTAGTTATACTTCACTATCTCTTGATTACAGGGAAGTCAAAATAAGGAGCCAGGTATTTTCTGCCAAGCTATCAATTTTTTAAGGGATTCTATAAAATTGTTCTGATTTACATGAACAGTAGCTGGTTTACATTCTATAGGCTGGCCACGTTGCTGATAAAAACTATGAAAGAGTCAGTAGCTTTCCTTAACAGTGAATTATTCCATTGTAGGAAGTAATGCCCTGGGACCCCCCTTACTACAGTGGTGTGATTCGTGCAGAAAGGTAAGTTTTTCAAGAAATACCCGTACAGGAAAAGGAAAAAGGAAACTAATGTTTATTCAGCAGCTACTGTCATCCACTGAGTCGCCCACAGTACAAACCCTTCCCCTGACACCATTCTTTCTGCTGGCGTGGTCTGCTCCACTCATGTATTCTTCAGCTGCTTGTATCATTTCCTTGTTTAAAATTCTACAATCTGGTCCCTCTCCAGCTCTGCCCTTGCGTAGCTTTCTGGTTCTCTTCCTAGGCTGTGAGCATTGCTGGAATCCTTGTTGTATCCCATTGCTGGCCCAGAGTAGGGGCTCAGCATGTGTTTACTGAACCAGTAAAGGAATAAAGTGGTACATGGCGTGGTACTACGTTATTTTCCTTTTTTTTTTTTTTTTTTTTTTGAGGCGGAGTCTTGCTCTCTCCCAGGCTGGAGTGCAGTGGCGCTCTTATGTTTTCTCATTTTTATTTGGACACATATATTGTCAACACATTATTGGTCCATCTGGAAGGATATAAATGAAATAAAGATTTAAGGAACTTAAGTTGACAGAAGTACTCCTCTGGCTTCTATATCCTCCTGTGTTTATTATATTGGAGAAAAGTAGGTATGCCCTTCTCTCCCTACAGACACACTATTTCTGTAATTTTTATGTTATAAACCCAAGAAATAGAGCTCTTTTCACAGTGAACACACTTTAAAATGTTTATAGCTGAAGCAACTTTATATACCCAATAGGAATTTTTAAAAAAAAATCTCAGAATCCTACTCTTTAACAACTTATTAACATTTTTCCCTTGTAGTTAGTTTTTGAGATATGCTGTTTAAGTAGGAGAGTTAAGGTTGATTTAGGTAATAGAAGAAAATGTAAGTTTTTTGTTTTTTTTTCCTCATTAAAGCATACCAGCATGTACTGTGATGATACGTGTATTTATTTGGTATTAAGCTTTAAAATATTTTTATTACTATGCATTATTGAAGCATCAAGTAAAGCATAGTAGGTACTTCTCCAAAATAAGAAGTATTTGCTTAATTATTTATTTCAGCATTTGTCATAAAAACAGAAAACAATAACTTTCTATATTCTTTTCTATACCAGCAGGATGAGGTAGCCTAAGATCAATTAGTGTTTTGAAGCACTTACTCACTTAATTTTCATTTATTTTCCTCTCTTTGGTCTCCATCTATCACTGTTGCCAAAACCATTTTTACTTACAAGGCATAATTGTGTCCTAACCTTTAGTTAAGAATATTTGGTCAGTTACTATTTTTTATTTTTATTTTTCATTAAACAACTCTTTTTAGAGACAGGGTCTCACTTTGTCGCCCAGGCCAAAGTACAGTGGCGTAATCATGTCTCACTGTAGCCTCAACCTCCTAGGTTCCAGCAGCCCTCCTGCCTCAGCCTCCCAAGTAGCTGGCACTACAGGTGTGTACCACCATACCCAGCTGATTTTTAAATTTTTTTGTAGAGATATAGGTTCTTGCTGTGTTGCCCAGGTTGGTTAGCTACCATTTTTTTAAAAATGTATCTCAAATTCAGCATCAGTCTTTTTTTTAGTGAAAACACATAAACTGTTATTCAAAGTCTATAATAATTTGGTTATGGTAAACAACGAGGGTTTAGAATATATTTGTTTTACAAAATTGTTTTCTGGTTGCAGAACTTGAAACCCTGCTCCCTATAGTTGCATTAAAAAATAAAATGTCTCTTTTAAAATTCTGTCAAAGAAAGATTTGGCTTGGTTGTTTCACCTGTTAAAGATGTAGCATAAATCAGTAATAAAATTTATTTGTACTTTCCATGTTTATGTAAAGCATTTGATTTTTGACATTGGAGAGTAATGTAAATTAAATATATTTGATATTAAATATTCTAATTTTTAGAATTCTAATTTTAATTCTCAATATTTAGAATATTAAATATTCTAATTTAATAAATATTCTAATTTTTGCTACTCTCATTTTTATCAGGTATTCCTTTCATATCATGTCCCCGATACCTGATTATTTTCATTAATGCCTTGGCCTTAAATATAAGTGATAGTTTTTTCACTAACTATACTCTGTAAATATAGCATGCCCAAATGGTGGTTCCGAGGTAGGAGATCAGCAGGACTTGTTTTCTGGTCACAACCTCCTGACCAGAACAGGATCTGGTCCAAACAGAATGAAGTAAAGAAACCAGCCCAGACCAACAGATGGCAAGGAAAGGGATTTCTGGCTGCCCTCACTACTCATTAGCATAATTCACTCCCACCAGCGCCTTGACAGTTTACTAGTGCCAAGGCCAATGACCGGGAAGTTAGCACCCCCTTCCTAGAAAGTTCTGAATAATCTACCCCCAATTTGCATTAACCCACCCCTTAATTTGCATTTAAATAACAGTGGGTATAAATATAGCTGCCAACAGCCCACAAGCCTGGCTCTGGGCGCACTGTAGGATCTGATCACAACCTACTTTTGTTTTACAGAAAGAAACATCTCTACTCACATTTATTTGTTCTGATTTTTCTTCCACCGCTGCTCTTCCTCCACAGTTTATCCCAGCCAAACCCCTTTCTGTCTCAAAGGCAGAACCTCTGTCAGGGGAGCAGTGGGTTCCCATTGCCTCCCTGGTTTGTCTTACACATCTGTGACATCTTGCCAGGTGTCCATGAAGCTGCTGAGTCTGCACTAGCCTTGTGTAGCTCCTGGCTCCGCTGTGCTTAACAGCCTGTGTGCTACACAGTTGACCTGCTAAGATGTTCTGGATGTTAAATGTGTCTTGTCAACCATATTTTAAAGCTCTGCAAGAACAAACATTCTGGACCCTCAGTAAATACATACTAATTCATAGCCCCTATTCAAACTTGTATCTAGACCAGTAACCATGAAAAGCAATCCAGTGATGAGGTTTTTTTAGAAAGAGAATGCCATGTTTTTGCATGACATGTTTGCAGTGCTCACTGGTTGATGGAGTCTTCCACCTGCTTGCTAAGTCCTTGAAATCACCAGGTATGCTGGGAACACAATGTAGTCTGCCAGATATCCATGTGGGGCTTTAGCTTATTTTAAAGTTTTAATACTAATTTATTTATTTGACTATTAACTCAGTAAAAGAACCAGGAAAAGGGATGCAGAAATGCATCAGAAGGGGTTGTAAGAATCGGGTTTTAAAAATCTATTTTAAGTAGCTTAATAGGCTACTGAGTTTTGGTTTGAGGCTTCAGTAATCTTGATTGACAAGAGGAGGCTGCCGCACAGGTAATGGATGAGAAAAGAAAGGAAAAATATCATAGGTTGGGTTTGGGGTTAGAAGAGTGGAACAAAGTGAAGATTTCTAAATCCTTGTTAAATTCATCACCTTTCAAGTAAAGACTTAAATGTGTGGCTTGACACAAAATGAAATATAGAAGGGGCTTTCCTTGATTCGAGCCTTTTTTTCAAGTTAACCTCAGGGAGTCTTTTGCTTTTATGTTAAATACCTCAGATTTATTTCAAGTTTTTAATGTTCATCTAAAGAAAAGAACCTGTTTAGAAGCAGGAGGAGAAATTAACATGTTTTAAAAGTGCCAAAGGTTGATCCTGGAAAATACCGTAGTAGTATAAGTGACTGTCAGCAAGTCTTAAAGAGCAGCTCATTTTTCCTTTTTAAAGCTTTATTGTAAGATTCTTCATGGAAGAGTAACATTACGTCTTTCAGATACAAAAATAAATTATTTTATTTGAAATTAAATTTTATTTTTGATTAGGCAATACATTCACATGGCTCAAAAAATCAACAATGTTAAGAAGTATTAATTGAGAATACTCATCTCTACCTCTGCCCCAGAAGTCACCACTTTTAAGTTGTTTAATGTATCCTTCCAGTGTTTGGATTTTGTTTTTGATGCTTTGGAAACACTATTTCTTTTCTGTGAGTAATGAGTTTCAGTATTTCATTTATTTTGGTGCTATTTTTGTTTGTTTGTTTGTTTATTGTTTTTTTTTCTTTTTTTTTGAGACAGAATCTTCCTCTGTTGCCCAGGCTGGAGTGCAGTGACGTGATCTCAGCTCGCTGCAACCTCTGCCTCCTGGGTTCAAGTGATTCTCCTGCCTCAGCCTCCCGAGTAGCAGGGATTACAGGCATGCACCACCACACCCAGCTAATTTTTGTATTTTTAGTAGAGACAGAGTTTCACCGTTTTGGCCAGGCTGATCTCAGATTCCTAGCCTCAAGTGATCCGCCTGCCTCAGCCTCCCAAAGTGCTGGGATTACAGGCATGAGCCACCACACCCTGCCAATTTTGGTGCTATTTTTAAATTAGGATATCACTGGGAAAGGGAATTCAGTATTGTCTATTCCTTGCTAAGATATATTCTTAAAATCTCAAGCGCATTCACATAATGAAATACAGATGTTTTGTGTTTTAAACTATTCAAAAAATGGGCTCTCACAGAAGGACTTTTTTTTTGATGTGAGAAATCTCATGCTTTGTTAGTATAGGATTAGTGATCTTGGTAGTTTTAAATTTTTAAAAATTAACCTTTATTATGAAAACTTTCAAAATAAACAAATAGGAAATGGATGGCTCAGTCAAAAGAAAAAGAACAAAGAAAAAATTGTTTAAGAAAAAAATGAATTAAACAAACAGAAGTAGAGCAATATAAGTAACCTCTGCATATTGATCTCCCAGATTCTACAAAAAAAAAAAAAAAAAAAATTAGCCTGGCTAATTTTTTGTATTTTTAGTAGAGACGAGGTTTCACCGTGTTAGCCAGGATGATCTCGATCTGCTGAACTTGTGATCCGCCCACCTCGGCCTCCCAAAGTGCTGGGATTACAGGCGTGAGCCACCGCGCCTGGCCAATTACCAAGATTTTTCTATGTTTGCTTCATTTGTCTCTTTTTTCAGTTTTCTTCTTTCTTTGCTCTTCTTTTCCTTCTTCCTTCCCTCCCTGCTTTCCTTCCTTTCTCTTTTCTCATTACTAATGTACAGTCATGTGCCACTTAATGACAGGGATACATTCTGAGAAATGCATCGTGGGCTGGGCACAGTGGCTCATGCCTGTAATCCCAGCACTTTGGGAGGCTGAGGCGGGTGGATCACGAGGTCAGGAGTTCAAGACCAGCCTGGCCAACATAGTGAAACCCTGTCTCTACTAAAAATACAACAACAAAAAATTAGCCGGGCATGGCGGCAAGTGCCTGTAGTCCCAGCTACTTGGGAGGCTGAGGCAGGAGAATTGCTTGAACCCGGGAGGTGGAGGTTGCAGTAAGCAGAGATAATGACACTGCACTCCAGTTTGGGCAACAGAGTGAGACTTTGTCTCAGAAAAAAAAAAAAAAGCATCGTTAGGCACTTTTGTCATTGTATGATCTTAGAGTGCACTTACACAAACCTAAGGGTATAGCCTACACACACGCCTATGCTCTCTGGTATAGCCTGTCGCTCCTAGGCTACAAACCTGCACAGAATGTTACCATACTGAAAACTGTAGGCAGCTGCAACACATGATAAGTATATATGCATCTAAACATGGAAAAGGTATGGTGAAAATAGGTATAAAAGATAAAAAATGGTATACCTGTATAGGGCTCTTACCACAAATGGAGCTTGCAGGACTGGAAGTTGCTCTGGGTGAGTCTGTGAGTGAGTGGTGGTGAGTGTGAAGGCCTAGGACATTACCGTACACCATTATTGACTTTATAGACACTGTACACTTAGGCTACACTAAATTTATAGAAAGATATGGTTCTTTCTTCAATAATAAATTAACTTTTGCTTCCTGTAACTTTTTTTACCTTATAAACTTTTTAGTTTTTAAAAACTTTTTGATACTTTTGTAATAATATTTAGCTTGAAACACAAGCACATTGTATAGATGAACAACAATATTTTCTCTTTTTTTAATCCTTACTCTATAAACTTTTTTCTATTAAAAATTTTTTTTGTACTTTTTAAATTTTTTTGTTATAAACCAAGACACAAACATACACATTAGCCAAGGCTTACACAGGGTCAGAATCATCAACATCACTGTCTTCCACCTCCACATCTTGTCCTACTAGAAGGTCTGCAAGGGAAATAACAGGCATGGAGCTGCCATCCCCTGTGATAACAATGCCTTCTTCTGGAATCCCTCCTGAAGGACCGGCCTGAGGCTGTTTCACAGTTAACTTAGAAGGAGTACACCAAAATAGTGATAGAAAGTATAGTGTAGTTAATACATGAATCAGTAATATGGTCATTTATTAAGTGTTGTGTACTGTACCTAATTGTGTGTGTTAGGCTTTCATATGACTGGCGGCACAGTAGTTTTGTTTACACCAGCATCACCACAAACCTGTGAGTAATGCCTTGTACTCTGACATGACAGCTACAATGTTACTAGGTGATAGAAATTTTTCAGTTCCATTATCATCTCAAGGGACCACCCACTGTAGCATATGTGGTTCATTGCTGACAGAAGTGTTGTTACCTGGCTTGTGATTACTTTAAAGGAAATCCTAGCCCTCATGTCATCTCAGTCTTATACGTTTATTATGTACTTTTGAAAAGGATGAACATCTTCTTACATAACTCTTGTATCATTATTACCTAATAAAAATTTAATAGCAATTTGTTGGCATCATTTAATATCTAGTCTATATTCGTATTTCCTTGGTAGTATCAAATCAGCTTTTTTCCCCGTTAGCTTGTTAGAATTAGGACTCCAACAAAGCCTCCACATTCTCTTGGCTTTTCTGTCTCCTGTCTCTTACTTTAGAGCAATTCCCCATGCCTCATGCTCTTCTTACTCTCTTTTTTGTCATATTATCAGCAACAGTTGTTGAAGAGACCAGGCCATTTGTCCTACAGAATTTCTAACTTTCTGGATTTATCTGTGTGCTTCCTTGTGGCATCATTTCACTAGTTCCTCTCTTCCTATCATTCCTGTAAGCTGGATGTTACATATAATAACTCACTGTTAAACATTTCCCGTTTTTGGCATGGACACCCATAGGTGATGTTGTATACTTTGTGTCACATCACATCAAAAGATGTGAAATAGCTGAGCATGGTGACACATGTCTGTAATCCCAGCGACTTGGAGGCTCAGGTGGGAGGATCACTCGAATCCTGGAGTTCAAGGCTGCAGCAAGTTATGGTCATGCCACTGTACTCCAGCGTGGGCAACAGAGTGAGACTCCATCTCTTAAAAAAAAAAGAAAATTAAAAAAAAGACATGAAATATCAGTTGCCCACAGAGGGTGATGTGAAGATGGACCACTAGGTAGATTGATGCTGACAGGATCTCTGCAGTCTGCGATGAGGGTTTCCCTCTCAGCTAGAAAGGGATCTCTGTGGTGTTCCCAGCAACATGGAAATGTCCAGTTTTTCCTCAGTCATTTACCCAGTGGCTTTAACACCCATTGATAGTCTTCATCTGAGTCAGTCATTCTTTTTAATTACCAATTCTCAAAATAAGGATTTATTGTAATAGTTTTCTGAACTAGTGACAAATGAGTATTATCTGGCTTTCTCTTTGTAAAGCGTCATTATAAACTAATGGAATTCCATTGATTCATTGTGTTTCAGTCTATTACAGTCATTTTGGAGGGATGCCAAATCTGTCATAACTTGGCCAATTGCACTGAAAAGTCAGTCTTTTAGGAGCTTGTTGAGTGAGACTCAAAATACCTGTGTTTATTATTCCCAGTTGAGTTTGAACCACTTGCTGCATCCCTGCAGGACAGAAAAGGGGTGGTGATTTCTCCAGTTCTGGGCCAGTCGTGTCTGCAACCTGGGGAGAGGTCTGAGAATAGGGTCTGTTGCTGGACTCAGTAATTCAAAGAGGCTTGGAAAAGCTCCTTAGGCAAAGCAAATGGCTGTCTGGCCACTTTCCTTTCATCGTTTTCCACAAGGCTCTGGGGGAGAAAATCTCTGCCTATTTCCCTTTTGCTGCTGCCACTTGTTCCTTCTCACTAGGTTTTCATTCCTCCCTGTTCCAGGGCTAACCTGGATCCTCTCTCACGACATTTCCACAACTCCCATTCTGTTCTTCCTAAAGCAAGAGGCAGCACATAGGTGTTATTTTTGGTTATTCTTTCCTACTGTTCAATTTTAGACATGGCTGTTTGATTTCACATTTTGATACAGCTTAAGCTGAATGAGAGACCATTGCAATAGAGGTCTCCTTGCTGTAGTGAGATTTGGCCCCAGCCTCTATGGCGAGAATTCTGTCATCTAGTGGCACATTGGTGTGGTGTCATCTCTCACTGAAGTCAGGCCTACTGGTTTACTTTCCTAATCCCTAGGATGATGATGGAATTGTACTGTCTTTCTTTAGCTTTGATTTCTGTTAACCACAGTTTTCAGTGAACTGTGTTGCTGATCTGCACCATTAATGAAAATTATTTCCTGGTTGCCAGGAAGTTTGACTGGAGCAATTTTCTTGCCACTAGCTTCAGAAGTCAAGACAGAACCAAATTAGCAATGGTGGATTCTTTATAGAACAGGGGGAAAGGTCTTTTCAGTTCTATATAGTTACCTAAAGGGCAAACAGGTTTCCAGTATCATTCAGTTCCTTTACTGCTACCTTCTCTATGTAACCAAATAAAACAGTAGCTCTCCCTGTGGTTTTCAAGGCAGCATTTCAAAATGTCACCCAGCTATAACATGAGAATTATACTTAGTCATTCCTGATGCCAAAAATACAGTTTCATTTGCTTTTGATAAAGTTAAAAATAGTTTCTCTGACAGTACTGTCACGTGCTGTGTCCTTTACAGGTGTCCATTTTTTCCTCGCCCACACGTGCCCTCCGGCAGGCCATCTTGTTCATTCTGTAACAAGCCTCTGTGGGCATTTGCCATTTGGTGCACATGTTCTCTGTCACATTTGCTCTCACTCACTGAATAGAATAAGGTGAGACTGAAGCTGTGTTTACCTGTGTTTCAACCTGGATTCTCTGACTGTACTTGATTGTGTTTTATATTTTCACTAAGTTTGAGGCCATGGTGTTTGGACGTAATATCCAAGTTCTTTCTTTACCTTAATTCCAGGTGCGTCAGAGGTTGAAATATAAGTCTGACTCATAGAGTGTGCTTCATAAATACAGTGATCCATTGACTTTTTTAAAATTCAGTTTACAATGATGAATTCTTCAGTTGAAAGTCTCTTCTTGACTGATATTTCTGTGCTCATTTCAATCATAATTAGTGTTGGATGAAGATTAGATGAAGATTTTGATACATTACTAAATTCTATTGTTCTTAATTTAAAAGACCTAATTATACCATTGTATCATGTTGATAGTGGTATGTTCTGGTTCTTTGCTGAAAATCTGTAAACTCATATGTAACGTATTATAAACCAGAATAGCAGAGTGTTTATTGGACTTATTCAGTCACCTGTAGTGGATAACACAATTTTCTTCCACTTTCTTTCTTCAGAGGAATCAAAGGGTTCTAGAGATCCCTTACTTCTGGGTCCAGATCCATGGAATTCTTTACAAAAAATAGTCATAAAATTCTTGTAAAACTGTAGAAGAGTCTGAGGTGGTGACAGGGATGGCACTGAAGCCAAATCCTCAAAATGCATCTAAGCTCTGTCTCTGCTGGTTGTGGCTCTGCTGTGCTGTGAGGTCCTATATGCTGCCCATGGTGCTTTCCCACTGTCTTGGGTCTCTAGATGAGAGAGGAAAATGTTCTTATGTGTAGCATCTATGCAGATAAGGAAGCTGTGGATGGAGATGGTGCAGTTGGTTGTTCACAGGTCGGCCTCAGCCTCGGAGTGCTCTGTGGAGGCAGGCGGAGCCACATGATGAGCCTGGCGTGGAGGGCTGTACTGGGGCCTGTGACCACCCAAACACCCTCTGTGCATGTTTTTTCACTCCGTGTTGAAGACGTGAGCTGAGAGCACAGCAGTCACGCCCTCCTGACTGGCTGGTCATGTGGGACTGCTCCTTGGGGCCCCTCAGATGTGGGTTGGAGCTGCGGGAAACACCCTGTAGCTTTTTGAATCTCTTCCACCCTCTCTGGACCTCTCTCCTTCTGGCTTTTCTTCAGGAAGGAAGTAGCCTGCATTTGGTGAGAGTCACTGAGGGTGTGGAGAGGCATGTAGTCTCGCTCTGGATGGCTGAGGCAGCTGAGTGAGGACTAAGGCACTAGTGCTTGCTTGAGCTTGTCTGCCCCATTTGCTTGAATCCCCTTGGGCCTTTGCTGCCCTCTTTCTTCCCCTTTGAGTGCCCTCCCCCTCTTCTAGGAGCCTCATCTTTCCAGGTGTGCTCCAGATGCTGCCTCTTCTTTGTAGTTCTCTCTGTTCCTCCCATTCCCAGCTTCTCCCCTCTGCCAGGTGTAACTGACCACAGCCTCATCTTTGAGCCAATGCCTTGTTTGCAGTGCTCCTCTGCCCCTGATCATTTGGATTGGTCGTCATTATTGTTACAATGTGTTCATCTTTCCACACTGAGGAGTTGTCATGCAGGCACATGGCAGGTGATTAATGAAAGTTTACTGCATCTACACAGCTTCTTGACACAGTGTTGCATTTCTTTTTAGAGGTAAGGTCAGCTTTGGGGAATAGAAGGGAACTGGAATAGGAGTAGAAGAAGGGAACTGGAATAGAAGTAGAAACCGCTGGGTTTAGTCTTGTCCCTGTCCGTGTCTCTGTCTAACAGCAATAATAGTGGCTATAATTTACAGTGTGCCTGCTTTTCTCCAGGAACCATGCCAGGTTCATTGCATGTGTTTCTGTAATTGTTAATGGAGCCTGGAAAGTATTTCTACTTTACTGGTGAGGAAACTGAAGCTTCAGAAACCTAAGTAACTTGCTCAAAGCATGGAACCAATGAGAAATAGTATTTTCAAACCCAGGGCTCTTTCTTGTATTCCAGATTGCCTTAGACTGTCACAAGCCTCTTTGAGCCTGAGATTCCTCAAGTAAAACGAACAATAATTCTGGTAATAATTCTTGCTCCACCTGTCTCACAGAATCATGTAAGGAATAAGGAGATTCTTGATTCTTGATGTGAAAGTGCTTTGTAAATTGTGAAGCACCAAGACAATATAAGATAATATTATCTCAAACCACTATAGATCTTGCTTCACCAGTTATTCTAACTTTATCACAATCACCATCTCTTCCTTTGTATTAGCTTCAAACCCTTTGCCTGCAGACCTGCTAAGATATCTCTTATCTTACAACACAAATAATTACCCTTCTGTGACAGTTGGAGAGACTGTGGTACTATCTCATTTTTTTCCTGCCGAACTTCCCCCAGTCCTACTCTCTCCTGATGCCTCCTCTTTCTAATAGCTACAGTCTGGTTTATAGGCCTGTCAGTCTACCCAGCTAGTGTTTCCAGGTTATCAGCCACCTGCCAGCATGAAATTCAGTAATTTGTTTTACTGCTCAACATCCGTGATGTCTGTAGTTTTCTGTTTGGGTTTTTTTTTTTTTTTTAGCTTGGATTTGAGATCCTAATGTCTGCAGTTTTTGACGGCGCTTACCATGTCCAGTTTCTTAAAATTCTTTCTTCAACACATACCCTCAGACTTCCTGTTCTCTCCTTTTTTATCACCACACTCATTTCTCTTTTTACTTCTCTAAATTGATCGTTCTCAATCTTTGTTCACTGTTAGGCTGCCGTAGGAGTCAATGCAGGGATGTAGTGTTCTCATTGTGACCAGTAGCTCCTCACTCTTGAAAGCATTTTGGGAAATGTGTGTAAGAATGAATGATACAATTACTGTGCTTCCTTTAGTACTTGCTTTAACTTGTAACAGATATTTGTGAAAAACTTCAGTACCTCAGCCTAAACAAAGATGTGCCCTCCTGTTGATTTTTTTTCAACTTCCATGCTGTTATCATGCAGTTATAAAGGATGGTCTCAGGCCTTCTACTTAGTTGTTGTCGTAGCCTTGGGAAGGTTACTTACTGTCTTGTAAACCTGTTTTCTCCATTGTAACATAGGGTGATAGTATTACCTTAAAGGATCGTTTTTGCTGTTAAATGAGATATGTATAAAGGGCTTAGCCCACTGTCATAGTGAGTACTCACCAAATGTTAGTTACCATCATCATCATCATCATCATCATCATTTGGTAGTGATAGTTTTCTGTTTGTAGATTAAATTTAGGGAAAAATGGGCAACATATTTGCAATACAGGTCAAGCATTTCTAATCTGAAATGCTTCAAAATCCAAAACTTTTTGAGTGCCAACATGACACCACAAGTGGATCTCATGTGACAGATTGTCGTGAAAATACAGTTAAAATTTTGTTTCATGCACAAAATTATTTAAACTATTCTGTAAAATTACCTTCAAGCTATGTATATAAGGTGTATATGAAACAAATAAATTTCGTGTTTAGACATAGGTCACATCCCCAAGATATCTCATTATGTATATGCAAATTTTCCAAAATAGAAAAAAAAATCCAAAATCCAAAACATATCCCAAGCATTTTGGATAAGGGATACACAAACTATATTGAACTTCCTCTTGCTATAATAATCATGAATCTTTGCATTTTAAACTGACCTACATGTCACTGCCAGAATAATCTTTCTAAAGCACAGGATTTTGTCATGTCTCTCCTCTTCTTCCTTACTACTAATAGCAGCTATTCCCCCATTGTATGCATTCTGGGGAGATCCAGTAAATGTTGGCAAAATAAAGGGCATATCTCTATTCTTCTCCTCTCTGGTGCCTAGCAAAATTAAGAAAAAGAGCATCAATATATCTATATCTATATGTAACAACAAGACAGATCAGGAGGTCAAGGCAGGAGGAGGGGAATCAGTAAATATTATCTAAAATTGCTAAACCAATAAATAAATGTTTATTTTAAAACCAATAGAGGCCCGTATCTACCAAAAGTATCAAAATTAGGAGGCAGGAGAATCGCTTGAACCCAGCAGGTGGAGGTTGCAGTGAGCTGAGATCATGCCACTGCACGCCTGGGTGATAGAGCATGACTCCGTCTCAAAAAAAAAAAAAATTAAAAACAATAGAGAAACCACCAGAGAAGCTAAAATATAGACTATAAATATCACTAATATATCAAATTATTAGAAAGAAAAAGGAAATGCAGCACACATAGCTAAAGAAGGAAAATAAAGGAAGCATTAAAAGAAACGTAACAGAATTACATTGGCGAGAGTGAGAGCACTAGGTATTTTCATACACTGCAGGTAGGAATGTAAGTTAGAAACAGCTTTTTTTAGAGGATAATTTGGAAATACATATCAAAAAACTTAAGATCTTGTACTCTTTGCAGCAATGCCATTTCTTCAGTTTATCTTATGGATAGGCTTGTGTGGGTGTGACAAGGACATTTCACTATGGCATCACTTTAACAGATAAACTAACAGCAGCTTACCGTCAGTTAAAAGGAACAGAGGCAGACCAAGGCAGGGAAGTGAGCTCTGGGTGTGGCCTAACGGGATGCATTTTCTGTAAAAAAGTTAAAATCAATAATAAAACTGATGAAAAGTCTGGGTTCCTTTAATATCCCCATATGTGGGAAATTCCAAACGATGTCAGTGGTCGGATGCTTCCCCCATTGATGCTTCAGGCTCTCATTGACCTTGCCTCCTCTGCTCATGTACAACACAACAGGAGATGCATGAAATGAGCTTTGTCATGTGTTTGCTGTGGATGACTACACCCATGAAAGAAAACAGGCTAGAGCTTTATATACTAAACTGGAAAGTATTCCAAGTTATATTTTTATGAAAAATATATGTGTAAAAATACATATCATTGATATATTTTTATGTTAAATAAAATTGCGAGATAGTGTGAATGGTATGATTCTATTTGTGCCAAAGTAGGTTTATATATACATAAAGTTTACATGCATAAGCTTCTAAGAGTGTGCATAGGAAATGCCTGGAAGGATACACAAGATATTTACCTCTGGGGGTGGGCATAGTGAGCCAGGGGACAAGACAGTATACTTTTTGCCCATTGTTAATATTTTTGAGGTGTTTTTATTTTAAAACAGGCAGTTTAGAAATTCATTTGTTCCCAATCATTTTAGGGTAATATTGTAATATTATATGAACTTATATTCTATACTTAAATTTTTTTTCCAAGATAAATTGTTTCCTTGAATTTTGCCCAACACATAATGATTGTCATGGTCATTGGATAAGACAGTAAATATTTTTAGGTTATAGTTTAGTAAAATAAGCTGTGTTACTAGCTTTACTGTGTTTCTTTTCCATAAAAATAAATGTTCATTATAATCTTAAGAAGGGTAGAATTTTAATATGTAAAGTTTCTTTTTATTCTCCTTTATTTTTGTGTTTTTATTGTCTGGAAACAAAAAAATGAATTGCTTTTTATAACCAATTATAGTTTAAACTTTCTTGCCTTGGTAGTAGGTTCTATGGGAGGTTTCTGCTCTGGTAAGCTGTGATTCTCTATGGCTGCCTGCCTTTCTTTCCAGTTTTGGGGGCAGCAGTTTGCTCTGTGGCCTTGATTCTCTGCTGAATCTAAGAAGATTCTTGATTTTCAGCTTGTTCAGCTTCCTGCTTGTTAGGATGGAGTGGTGACTTTCAACCTCCTCATGTGCAGGAGTGGAAACCTCAAGCCTGGACCACTTCCTTTTATAGTTTATTTTCTCCCCTCTTTCCATGCACTCCTTTCTCTCAGTTCTTCAGTACCTCTGAACTGTTCTGTGTCTTCCTTCCCACCCCTCCCTCTGGTAGTTCAGGGGTCTGCCCTTTACCTTCTCTGCCCGCATCGCCCTTCCCTAATGGCCCTGTCTCCCTCTATGGCTCTAATATCTGTACAGTGAAGTCTCCTTGTTCTCCTTAGCTTTGGGTCCTGAGTGTCTGGTATCTCATGGGCACTTCACAGTCGGTTCCTCCAAAATGGAGTTTATTTTCTGTGAGCCCTCCATCCTCCTCCCATCATTGCACCTCACCCTCCTCTCTTCTCCCACAAACACACCCAGATTCCCCTCTTCCTTTTTTGTGTTCATTGTGCCGGCTGATTCAGTGACTCTACCATCCACTTATTTGTCCAAGCCAGAAACCTGAGTGTTATTCTAGATTGTTCTGTCTTTCTCATCACCCTCCAAATCCAATCACTCACACAGTCCTGAGACGTTTGCATCTCAAAGGAAAAACACATTCATCCCTGACCCCACTGCCCTCTGTCAGAGTTCACCCTCTGAAGCCTGGAAGTCTGTCCTCCTGTCAGCCCTCCCTGCCTCCTGCATTCCACCCTCCATGCTGTCCACTGTGCAGCATTCCAGAAAACATCAGATGCTCCCCTATGGCCTACAGAAGCTGTCTCCCAAATGGCATCTGTAAGCAATTCATTGAGAGTGTAGTCATAAAATATTAGAAATTCTATGTATATTTATTTTTCTTTATCTCAACTTATAAAAATGTCTGCTTTTCTTTTTGCAATGTGATAAAACAATACCACATGCATATACTTTATGAGTGTACTAATAGAAGGTTGAATACTCAAAAGTTATTTTAGTGTGCATTGGTGAGGAAGCTTAGAGGCCATGGCCTATGGTGCATGGTCCCAGTTCCTCAGCTTAGTGGACCAGGCCCTCTGTTTTCTGGCCCCTGCCTGCCTTTTCCAGACTCCGCTCCCATTCTTTCTACATTTATCCCTGCATTGGTAACTGCTTCATCTTTAACCACATCCTTTCTAGAAGTTACCAGGCTATTTTATGCCATCATACTTTAGTTATACTGTCGCTTCTGCCTAGAATTCCTATTATGATTCCCATTTTCCATTCCTCATCCCAGCCCTGCCTTGCAAAGTCTGATTCCTTTTTTTTTTTTTTTTTTTTTTGAGATGGAGAGTCTTGCTCTGTCGCCCAGGCTGGAGTGCAGTGGCACAATCGTGGCTCACTCAACCTCCGCCTCCTGGGTTCAAGCAATTCTCTGCCTCAGCCTCCCGAGTAGCTGGGATTACAGGCACCCGCCACCACACCCGGCTAATTTTTGTACTTTTAGTAGAGACGGGGTTTCACCATGTTGGCCAAACTGGTCTTGAACTCCTGACCTCATGATCCACCCACCTCAGCCTCCCAAAGTGCTGGGATTATAGGCGTGAGCCACAGCACCCGGCCGATTCTTTCTTGATTCCTATCCGAGAAGCTTTCCCTGGTGCTACTCTGCACTCCACAAGTAAAGTCATCATGCTCTCCTTTGCCCTCCCATTTTGCAGTGCTCATTCGTTCATGCTTCAGCACTGTCTGTTGAGCGCCAGCCGTGTGCCCACTGCACCAGGCCCAGGACACAGTGTAGTTGGTTCACTTCTCTGCCTCTTTCAGTGCCAGCTGCTTAGACACAAAGGCTCTTCATTCTTCTCTTCCAGCACCCCGCAGGTTTGCTGACAGCATGCTTGAGTGAACGAACCAGGGAGCGAGGGCACTGGATCATGAACGTCTCTTTCAACACTAGGATTCTGTTTAAAGAAAAATCAGTCAGAAATTAAGGTGTAAATTTGTGGATGTCCATAGCCAAAGTCTCATTTGTTGTGCAATTTATGTTCACTTACTAAACTCATTCATTTATTAGTAACTATGTTTTTATATTTTTATATATAAATTTGTTGTGGGGACTCATTTTATGGAACGAAGTGTTGTGCAGTTCTAGAATCACAAATAAAGCCAATTGAAAAAAAAATGTGTATTTTGGTAATCCTAAAAAGTAGACATATAATGAGAACCTACAATATTCTAGAGCCATTATTTTTGGCTATGGCTATATATTTTGGCTTGACTTAATGATTCAAATGTAAACATTCAAATCACGTATTTTGGATTTGCTTTGGTTTATATTGGAATATATAGAACAGAAAAAGTTATTTTTGGGTGAAGAATAATTCACCTTACTAGTTACGTTGTCTTTAATTTAAGATATCTAACTATAAAACAGATAAGATCTGATTATTTATATTGCAGGCATTTTTTTCATAAATGAATATTTTACTGGATGAGAACTTTAAATTCACTTAATGTGCCTCAGGATTTTTATTCATTTAATATTTATGTATATAGGTCACAAGTTTCTAGAATATAATTCATAAGGTAAGAGTTACCATTATAACTGAAACTGATCATATTTTGCATGTAAGTATGTATAAGGAATGTATACAGTGAGCAGTTGAGACTGCTTAATTGGGTTAGTGAAAGAGTAAATAACAGGGAAGGGACAAAGGTTAGGGAATGATATATCTACCTTAATTACTGACTTATAACTAACACTAGTAATAATCAGACTGTCATTCTGAAGAAAACTGTCTGAAAACCCCTCAAATGATATAAATACACTTTTATGTTTTGAATCCTTCTTTAGCTCCAGTGATCTTAAGTATTAAATGAAAAGTTAATTGAATTTACCTTCAGAAATTGAAATAAACAAAGATGCTGTTGAACCTCTCTTCCTTCTCTTAGGTATAATATTGAGCCCAGCCTATATTGCCCGTTTTTCTCTCTTGGAGCATGCATGGAAGGCCTGAATATTTTGCTTAACAGACTGTTGGGGATTTCATTATATGCAGAGCAGCCTGCAAAAGGAGAGGTGTGGAGCGAAGATGTCCGAAAACTGGTGAGCTCCTCCTGCTCAGCCTGCAGTTGCAGGCATTTACCTTTCGGTTGGGCAGTTGAGTCAACAGCAGTTTCAGGTTTACATCAACTTTGCCCTGACTGAGTGTGTCCCCTGCCTTATTTCTGCTTCACAAAAAAAATCCAAATTGCACTTCTGATTTAAGACACTGTATAAAGGATCCAAACATAAAACAGCAGAGTTTTCTAAAAAAGTTTTTTGGAACTTGATAGAAGGTTGAATATATATGCACCTTCATATATCCACAAATTCTATTTATAGGAAAATTGTCCTTTACTTTGTATATACCTTCATAGCTGTGTGTCCGTTTTGGTTAATTCCCAAATCCATTGGATAAGTGACCTTTTTTCTCTCCAACCCCCATCCCATGTTGTAGGGGCTTATATTTGCATCAGATATTAATTTACGTCCGTGTTCTGATTTATTTAACTTCTTTGATAATAACTTCAAACCTAGCAATCATCTTTCTCCTGTGAAGGCCCACTTTATATGAGGCATGAATATTTTAAATTTTTCCTCATAGGATTTGAGGCTTTGTTGACCTGTGTGTGTCACTAAGGCTTTGTATTGTTTTGTTGTTTGATTTTTGCTAGCATGCTTACCACACTGCTTTCTTCACTATATTTTAAGAAATGTAAACAGTCTCATTGTCTCTCGGCCACGTCTTGTGAGTGGAGAGTAGGTGTGGTGGTGGGATTGAAAGGAGAGTCAGGGTGGGAGGACGTTCATCACTGCATTGATTTACTTCACTATCTGTATTACAAACTTCCAAAAAAGATAGAGATTGATAAAATGCTGAGATATAATAAAAAGAAAAATTTATAAGAGGAGACTGAGAGGACAAAATGCGGGTGATGAAGGGTTTCCCCAGAACTGCAGAATGTGCACTCCACCGGGGTCCAGCACTGTTGTCAGTTGCATTCACTTCTGTATCCTCAGTGTCTTGAAGAGTTCCTGGCACCAAGTAGGTGCTTAACAGATGTTTGATGAACAATAAATATATACTTGCAGGTAGTTTTAAAGCACAAAATCGGGGTTCTCTTTGATGGAATCATTAAATTCTGAAAGAACAAAGAAGGCAAGATGGAGAGTAGTGATTGAGTCTCTCCTATAAGCTATGTCTCTTGGAGAGGGGATAGATAGTAATATTGCTGATTTTTAACTCAAGCTGGGAGCTGCATTGTGGTGTTTTCAAATTCAAGGGTTATAATTTGCTTGGGCGTATATCACGACATTCCAGGATTTGAAGGAAAAATAATTTGCTCCTAAAATTGTCCAGCCAGCACTTCTTCCCAGCTCTTGTGGGTGGTTAGTAAAGGTATTGTAGAGGATAGGCAGTCAGGACAAAAGGCCCTCATGAGGAGGATTTCCTGTCCTGGACACAGAATTCCAAAACCAAAATCATTCAAGAGATGGAGCAGAAGAGGATGCGGGGAAAAGAGAATCTATCTCGAGATAATGTGGGGTGTAGAATGTAATTAAAATGTCTATATGTGTGGCTATGGATGTTTAATATACAGATTCTTGTGTTAGGGATTTTAGAGAATCAGATGGCCTCATTTACCACCAAATTTAAATTTTTTTTTCTAGGCTGTTGTTCATGAATCTGAAGGATTGTTGGGGTACATTTACTGTGATTTTTTTCAGCGAGCAGACAAACCACATCAGGTGATCCTTTCTTTATAAACTGGTCTCTCTAGAACCGATCGGCATTTCATTTGTATTGATGTGAACTTTGTATCATTTTTTAAATTCCATGACATTTAAAAGTTACTAATGATGGTTACCAAATATATACATTTGAAATTAAGATAGAATTTTAAAATTAAAAAGTTTATGGAAATAATTACATCAGTCTATATTTGTCACTTTTATCTGGGTCATGGTATTAATTATAGTAACAATGACAACTGACATTTTATGAATCCTTATTTGTGCCAAACAGTGCACTGAGCCCGTTATACACATCAGCCTTTTAATGTTCGCCTCACCCTTTTGACTAGTTACTCACATTATGAGGAAACTGAAGCCATAGAGGTTAAGCTACTTGGCCAGAAGTGCTAGGACTTGAAGGCATACATCCTGAGCAGATCCCCAACTTTTAACTCTTTTCCATACTCGACAATGAACCTATTCTAAAACTGCGGAAGATACTCCATGTGGAAACCTTACCAACCACCAAGTAGCTCCTTATGTGGAAGACTTGAGGCAGCTCATCTCCTTTTCTTTAGCATTGGCCGACTTTGACAGCCAGTCAGCTTTAGCAGTTTCATGTAGCTTGATGGGAAATGTCAAGAGTTTAGGTTATAAGTTATAACAGAAATAATGTACCTTATGTTTGAATAGTGATTCACAATTTCCAAAGCACAGATTTTAACAGATGTGAGCTTATGAATTCTGGACAGCCACTGTGGGATTTGACAAGGAAGCATTTTAGAGATGAGGCTTGCAGAAGCAAATTATTTTCCGAGATGATTTGTCTAGTAGGTGTGAAAGGTAGGAACAGGGTGCAGGTCACCAGACTCTGAGGCCAGTGTTCTTCCTCTTTGCTTAAATGGGTGGGTGGTGGAGACTCAACTTTAGTGATTAGGAGCCCTGGCTCCTAATAGTCAGCCTGGGTTCAGATCCAAGGTGTGGCAGTTCTAGCTAGGTGTCCTTGGACATGTTATTTAATAATCCTAAGACTAGTTTTAGTTTTATCATCTGAAAAGTGAGATACCTGCTACATAGGGTTGTTGTGGAGAATAAGTGATACAGTGTATGTGAGTCTCAGTGTAGTGCCTGTTTCAGAGTAAGTTATTCTGGCTCCGGATCCCTTGCTTTACACTAGTTTAGATCCCATCTCGTTCAAGTGATAAAAGTCAAGAGAGGCTGGGCGCGGTGGCTCATGCCTGTAATCCCAGAACTTTAGGAGGCTGAGGCTGGCAGATCACTTCAGTCCAGGAGTTCAAGACCAGCCCTGGCAACATAGTAAGACTCCATCTGTACAAAAAAAAATCTAAAAATTTAGCTGGGTGTGGTGGAGCACACCTGTAGTCCCAGCCAATCAGTAGGCCAAAGCAGGAGGATGGCTTGAGCCCAGGAGGTCCAGGCTGCAGTGAACTGCGATCACAACACTGCACTCCAGCCTGGGCAACAGAGCAAGACCCTATCTTAAAAAAAGAAAAAAAAATAGCCAAGAGACATGGAAAGTACCTACTAGTTCATTATCTGACACATAGTAGGGACTCAGAATAAATGTTAGTGTCCCTTCGTAAGTTCTTTGCTGACTTTGTTTCCAGCTTCTGGCACAGCATCATTTCAATGCATGTTTTGGGACCAAAGTAATGAGTTAATCCATAGAAACTGAATGTGTTCTTGATGTTTTAAAAAATTAAAATTTTAGCAGAATAAAAAATGTCAAGAAAAGGTGTATATATGTAAATAGATAGAATAAGAATATAATTAAGTTAAAGTTTGCACTCACACATTTTTGGTGAAATTTTATATTCATTAAGACTGTTTTACTCTTCACATTACCAAATACTTTCTTTTCCTTTTATGTTTTCTGATTCTTAAAGGATTGCCATTTCACTATCCGTGGAGGCAGACTAAAGGAAGATGGAGACTATCAACTCCCAGTTGTAGTTCTTATGCTGAATCTTCCCCGTTCCTCAAGGAGTTCTCCAACTTTGCTAACTCCTAGCATGATGGAAAATCTTTTCCATGAAATGGGACATGCCATGCATTCAATGCTAGGACGTACTCGTTACCAACACGTCACTGGTGAGCCATGAGGAGGGCTTTTATTTACTACAGTCCTTTACAAACATACATTTTCTTTGAATTGGGAAAGGGGCTTTTTATTTGGAAAATGTGATCATTTTACCGTGTCCTGTGGTCTTTATCTCAGATTGCCTCATCCTGCCCTCCCCATGGTTGTGCAGCCTGATCTTCCATGCTTTTTTCCATGCTTGCTAACAGCTTTCACCAGGGAATAATCTCAGTTGTCTTTCAAGTTTGTCCCTTTTTACATTTTACAGTGTTTTATATTGAATTTAAGTTTGTGGCTATGTGTGTGTGAATAAAAACGTATCTCCTTAATACCTCCCACAGAGTTAATAAGTAAGTGAATGAATGGTCTCTCTTTATATTCAAAATCAGAGAAGAAAATAAAGCATGCTTAAAAAGTATGATGAAGTCCTTTTAATTTTTCATATACTTTCCCCTGTATAAAATCATAGTTCTGCTTTGTAGTTTTTATGCTGCTATGTGGCTATATTTTGTGATATTACAGACTTCCTTCTTCATTGTCTTATCCTTAAGTCTTAAGCTCCCTATCACATATGGTCAGCATTAGACCACTAGTGAATTGTTGGCATCCAGCATTTGTTAACTAACTTTACACACAGTATTTTGGACAAGGAGAAGGTATTGAAAAGACTGTAGGTGGGCTGAACACAATCGTTAAATGTCATCTAAATTTCTTACAGGATTTGTTACTTTAAGTAATTTTGAGTTTAAAATATTTCTTTTCCTCACTGAGAATTGACTTTGTTACAAAAAGCAATAAATGGATAAAATAAAGTACTTGTAAAACAAAGGAAGGATAAAAGTATTAGGTAATGGAATTTAGTGAATTAAATACAAACGCTATATTAATATTAGAAATGTTTTAATCTGTTTCATGTATAGCCAGCATAGCTGAAGACAGGTTTGTTTGCAAAAGGTGTGAGCCATGGCTTTATAAGGTGTTTTAGCAGCTGTGCAAATATTTTGTTTTAATTTTGATATAAAGGAAAATATATAGGATTATAATAAACTTTTCTGCAAATATGTACAATAAATTTATAGAAGAAAAATATTGATTTAATGAATTAAAACTTACAGTTCATCAGAAGTACAAATAAAAGTTTTAAAGGGCACACAAAAAGTAGATAAATATATTGATTTGATTCATGCCAACTTTTTTTTTTTTCTTGTTTTAGGGACCAGGTGCCCTACTGATTTTGCTGAGGTTCCTTCTATTCTGATGGAGTACTTTGCAAATGATTATCGAGTAGTTAACCAATTTGCCAGACATTATCAGACTGGACAGGTAGGAACAGTAATATTGTCGTCTTGTCCTTTGGGTTGTGATAGTTGGCGTTTATGACATCCTGGATAAATTGAACTCTTCTTGCTTTTCAGAACTCACCCTCTGTTAGTAACAAACCTTTTATTGCTTCTTTTTTTCCTGATTCCCTATCTTTTCTTTTGCCAGTCTATTAAATCATAGTCCTAGCATATAGTCATGTGTTGAAAAATAGCTACCCTTTATTACATGCCTGGTAATCTACCATTTAGTCCTCATAACCTCCCCATAAGGAAGACACTTTATCCCCATTTTCCAGATGAAGAAACAAGTTCTGTAGTAGAATAGGCATTCGAGCCTGTCTCACTTCTAAAAAGCCTTTGCTTCTGAATATTTATTCTCTTGGTCTGAATTTTTATGTTGTCTCATTAAACTGAATCCAGTGCCATATTTTGCCAGTATGCTTAGCATCTCTGTGATGTTTAGTCTGAAAAGTCCTTAATTTTAAGGCTTAAATTTCAATGATGCATTCTAATATTAAAGATTTTTAAATTAAAATGTGAGGTACCTTACACTAAGCTAGCTGTAAGTTGTCAACATTGTGCTGTTTACTGTCCATGTGTACATTGGAAGATGCGTTCTTTCCCTTCCCTCCAATTCTGATTATACTAGAACCGTATTACGTGAGGTGATGTTTTTCCCCCTCAGACTGTATGTACTCCCGGTACAAATGTAAATTGTATTCATCTGTGAATACTTAGCACCTAGAATCAAAAAAAAGCACTGAAAGAAATTAAATGAGGGGACGAATAGAATTAGAAACAGAAGGACCTTAACCACCTTTATTTGTGACTCTTCTTCTCATTATGTCTCCAGATGTGTAATATTATTTGGTCATTTTTTTTTTTGGACTTGATTTTATCTGTAGAATAATCTGATCTTCTGGCTGGCACAGTGGCTCATGCCTGTAATCCCAGCACTTTGGGAGGCTGAGGCAGGTGGATCACCTGAGCTTGGGAGTTCGAGACCAGCCTGGGCTACATTGTGAAACCCCGTGTCTACTAAAAATACAAAAGTTAGCCAGGCGCAGTGGCACATGCCTGTAGTCACAGCTACTCAGGAGGCTGAGGCAGGAGAATCACTTGAACCTGGGAGGCAGAGGTTGCAGTGAGCCGACATTGCGCCACTGCACTCCAGTCTGGGCAACAGAGTGAGACTGTTAAAAAAAAAAAAAAAAAAGAATAATGGATGATATTCTGGATAAGTAATCTGAGTGACTCTTCAACATAATATATTTCAGTTATTACGGTGGCAGATTTGTGATCCAATTAACTACCCATCCATTAATCTACAAAGAATTGTTCTGGGAATTATGTAGACTTGGCCAATAACATAGAGAGGCATACCCTACCACGTGATAGCATAATCCATCTATGGCTGTGTATTTTGGGAACTGGGAATGATTAGTAGTTCAGTGATTGCTCCCTGCCTGAGGTGCTTAGAGCCCTGTGCACAGGCAGGGCCACGAGGGCCCTGGGGGAACTGGGGAGGCTGGGGAGGAGAAGTGCAGGAGGAAGGAGGTCTGGGAAAAAGAGAAGCGGCATTCGCCAGTCAGCTCTCAGCGGTATTCATCTGTTCCACCAAAATACATTTATTGAGGACATAGGACAGAGAGGCCCTTCAGTCAGAAAACACTTGCTGAGTTTTAATATTTACCAGTCTGCATTCTCAGCATCCAAGAAACAGCCAAGAATAAGTCAGGCAACATCCCATTGCCCGCGGTCTTTAATTCCTAGGGGAACTGAGACAGAGCCTGACTAGGGTGTTACCGCCCGAAGGCAAAGCCCAGGAGAGGGGAGGAGCAACCTCTAGACTGCTGGGGAGGCCTGGCCAGGAGCTGGGAGCTAAAGGCTGAGGAGAAGTTACACAGGGAAAAACACGGGCATATGGGTTGGGTCTTCTGCTGCTGGAGCAGCAGCCAGTAAAGGCTTTCAGGCGGGAATCAAATTTTTACTTCAAGAAAATCACGCTGGTGTCAGGGAGGAAGCGGATCGCAGGGGGTGCGGATAGAGCCTGAGAGGCTTCCTGGAGAGGCAGGCTCCGGCTCCGGGGGCTCGGCCCCTCTCCCCTCATCCCGGGCGCGTGGCCTCTCTCCACCCACCCTTGCTGGGTGGCCTCAGCTCTGGCGACCCAGCAACCCGCAGACAAGTACACGGCTGGTGAAGGGGTCAGGGTGGGAGGCAGGGGACAGCAAAGGGGCATCCTGCTTCCGAGGGTTCCGCAGGGTCAGGCCAAGGGAGGCGCCACTTAGTGTGGGAGACGTGGGGAGCATCACTGCCGCCAGGAGGGGTTTCTGCGAGTTTGAGGAGTCTGAGGTTTCGGAGGTGGCCGCTGCCAAAGTGAGAGCGCGTGGTGCAGGGCTGCGGAAAGAGGGTCTGGCGAGGGGCGCGAACACAGGGCGTGGGAGGACACACACGCGGGGGTGACTACACAAGAGGACCAGGAGCCTTGCACAGTAGTCATTTTTTTAAAAGTAAAATCTGGAGTGGAAATTTACCACATATACAAATGTCAATTTTTTTTAAATTGCCATCTACTTATAGAACAACCAGGAGCAAAGAAAGGCTGGAGTCACTGCTCCAAGTGTGATGTAAGGTGCAAAAGGAGAGAGCTTCTCAATGCCTGTATTCTTACTAAATTATTCTGTAAGAAGATGTATTGTTGAACTAGATGCAAGAAAACAAGAGTAAACCCAAAATCTAATCCAAGATAGATGAGATAGGAAGAAAGCACTAAGCTGCTTTGAATTAATTCAAGTTTCAGACACAGAAGATGGATCCAGTGCCCTTAAGGGACTTACAGACGTAGTCTCTAAAGAATCTAAAATTTTGTGATTCTCATGGAGAATGGAAAGCGTGCCCAAAGGCAAGAGACATGTAAATGCTTTGAGCTTCACAAGGGCTTGCCTCTTCTTGTCACTAATGAAGGCACCAAGGAGGTTTATTTTATTTTATTTATTTTTTTTAAATCTTAAGTGCAGTCCTAGCCTTAAGGATAAGAAGTTAATTCTCTAAAATCCAAGTCTTTGTAAATAAATGGCATTTAATCTCACAAGGAAAAAATAACAGGGTTGCATGTTTATGCCTAATTTTCTATCCTGCTGCCTTTCAGGAAAGGATTTTTTTAACATTATGAAATATATTCCAGAGAGGTCTCAGGTAGAGGATAATCAGTGACTTATTAACACCTACAGGTATTTTATCAGAACTATATCATAGCATAGTCAAAGAATTCCTTGTGGTGGAAGAATTAGAAGTATGCTTATCAGATTTGCAGGTGTCATGCAGCTGTCAGAGATAGCAGATACCAGAGGTGCTCATTCAAGATTCAGAACGTCTTGACAAGCTACAACATCAAAGCCAAAGTAGAATTTATTGTAAATTAATCTTGAAATCAATACCACAGGTATAGAAGGAGTACAAACTTGGCTGCAGTTCAGGTGTTTAGACATAATAAACTTAACATGGATTAACAGTCTGATGGGTTTTCCCATAAATCTCCTTCAATTTTAGGCTACCTTAGTGGAGCTGTGGTGCCTAAGGACCCAGAGGTCATTGTTTCTCTTCTCAGTGCTTGTAGATTTTTACCTTCCGCGTAACTTCTTCGCCGTTGCTCCAAATTAGCACAGAATTATATATAGGTGGCCTCATTCTCCTGGAAGCATGATTCTTGTCCTTCCTAAACCTTTCTAAGATGCAACTTTCTTTTTTTTAATGTTTTGATCATTCTCTGAAAGTGGGATCCCCTTGTTATTTACCTATTTATATTTAATAGCTATATTAGTCTGTTCTCTGTTCCTTAGAATACCTGAAAATGGATAATTTCTAAAGAAAAGGAATCTATTTTTTACAGTTATGGAGGCTGAGAAGTCCAAGGTCAAGGGGCCGTATCTGATGAGCGCCTTCCTACTGGTGGGGACTCTGCAGAGTCCCAAGGTGGCTCAGGGCCTCACATGGCGAGGGACTGAGTGTGCTCACATGCTAGCTCAGGTCTCTCTTCCTCTTCTTATAAAGCCAGCAGTCCCACTCCCATGATAATCTCTTAATCCATTATAATCAATGGATGAATTAATCCATTTATGAGGGCAGAGCCCTCATGACCCAGTGATCTCTCAATACTGCCTGGAGAAGGGGTATTTAAGCCCCATTGGGGCTTAAATTTCAACATGGGTTTTGGAGGGGACAGATACTCAAGCTATAGCAGTGGCATAGTGTGCTCTCTCCCCAAATCTGTCATAAAATCACAGTGGCTCTTTACAAATATTGGGTTCTTAGATTCAAGGAAAGAAGACAGTCTAAACCCCTATACCCAGCATTGAAAATGCTAAGCACCTTCACCGTGCAGTCTAATAGCCTGCCCCTTGACCTCTGCTGTGGTTAGAATATGGTTTGCTCCACCAAAACTTATGTTAAAACTTGGTCCCCAACATGGTGGTATTGGTAGGTGGTGCATTTGAGATGTGATTAGGTCCTTTAGATGGAGTAATAGCTCTCTCTGGAGGCTGGGTTCTCTCTGGAATGGATTAGTTCTCATGGGAACAGATCAGTTCCCACGAGAGCAGGTTGTTATGAAGCGAGGTTGCCTCTTGTATTTTGCTCTTTACATATGCATCAGGTTCCCCTTCCATTTCTCTGCCATGCTTTGATGCAGCACAAGGCTCTCACCAGGAGCTGCCGGATGTGTTGCCCAGTCTTGAAGTTCCTAGCCTACAGAATTGTAAGCTACATAAGCTTCTGTTCTTTATAATTTACCCAGTCTCAGATATTCTGTTATAGCAACACAAAATGCAGTAAGGCAATTCCCATCCACATCCCCCCCCCGCCATGGGGAAGCTAGGCTGTCCCCGACGCCCAGATCATTTGGGTACTCAGAGTTTTCCTCTTCTTTCTCTCACTGTCCCCAGATCCTGATTCCTAATGGAGGCAGGATCTATTTGTCTGTGCCCTAGATTTGCAATTTCTTCACATCAGGTTTTAGGTAAATTTCTGAAAATGAGCAAAAGTCTGATACTTTTACCTTTCCTTTGCATTTCTAAGGTTCTGTTCCCATCCCACTTTCTCAGACTGAATTTTCCCCAGATGTGTGAATATATGTGTCCTAATTGACTTAGCCCAGCCCCTGAGTAGTCCAGATGCTTGGTTGCCCCACCCTTTCCCCTGCTTCACAGTAGCTGCCTCTGTTCCCTTTTGTCCTCAATTCCTCAGTTTCCAACTAACTCCTCCACCCCTACAGAAACTGCCACTATCCTTATCTTTACCCACAATATCCCTTTGTCCTCAGCATATTGCCTGGAGCTGGGCTGCCAGTCCCAGTGTGTTTGATCAATTTTGGAGGGCCTGTTTTACAGTGATGCTGATGAACTAGAAACCATCCTGAGGGGTGGCTGCTGCTTATTTGTAAAATTGGAAGCCACTTCACATTAGGAGGGGTTTAAGAAAAGACATTTTTAGACTAGAAAAATGAAACTCAAGTCTTTCATATACCATTTGAAGGATACCATGTAAAGGAAGAAAGTCATTCTAGGAAAAAACAATATTACTAGGAATAGTGGAAGGGAATTCTAAGGAGGCTCATTTCAGTTCAGGAGATTCTTCTTGTAAATGATTAGAGCAGAAAGAGATGCCTCTCCAAGTAATGAATTTCTCTTTTATTTAATATTTAATGTTATAACACAGTATTTGTAGAAAGAACAGCTATGAAGCCATTCTCCAACCTGAGAAGTAAAACATTACCACATGCTCTTCTCTGAACCCATCTCTGCCCCGCTTGCCTCCCAGAGGAAAGCATAGTGCTCAATTCTTATCATTTTTTGGCCACATTATTTATTCCTAAGAAGTGTGGTGTTCAGTTTTTTGAACTTTACAAAAATGGTATTTTACTGCTTATAATCTTCTGTTATTTAAAAAATATATATTTTATGCCTAAGATTAATCTGTGTTGCATGTAGCTGCAGTGTATTTATTTCAATTGCAGATAATATTCCATCATTTATTTACTCATTCTCCTGTCATGGAGCACACGTGGAGCACACAGGTTCTTCCAGGTTTTTGCTAGTTCATGTGATACTGCTGTGAACATTTTTATACTTTCTTCTGTATATCCATGTATAAGATTGGAACTGCTGGATTTGTAAGGGGTGCATGTCTTTAAGTTTATGAGATAATGCCAAATTGTTTTTCAAAATGTTTCTGCTAATTTATACTCCTCTCAGCAATGGTTTCTATCGTGCAGCATCCTCATTGACTTTTAATTTTGTCAAAAGTTTTAATTTTGCCCATTTTGTGATTATAAAATGAAATGCTATTGTGGTCTTAATTAGCAGCAGTGTTCTCTGATTACTTTTAAGGTCTTAATTAGCAGCAGTGTTCTCTGATTACTTTTAAGGTTTTTTATTTATTTATTTTCTGTTTTGTTTTGTCTTGTTTAGAAATAAGGTCTTGCTAGGTTGCCCAGGCTGGCCCCTCAAACTCCTGGGTTCAAGCAGTCCTCCTGCCTCAGCCACCCAAGTAGCTGGGACTACAGTCATGTGCCACTACACCTGGCTTATTTTTCGTTTTTGTTTTCTGTCAGATGTCTTTTTGTCTCATGCTCATTTTCCTACTTGGAAATTTGTCTTTTTCTTACTGATTTTCAGAAATTCTTGGTAGTTGAAATAATAATCCTTTTTAGGCATATGTCTTGTCTCAGTTTATGGCTTGTGTTTTCACTTTCCTTTTAATATTGTTGGATTTATCAATCTTGTCTTTATAGTTAATAGTTTTTATATTTTTTTTCTTTTTTTGAGACAGAGTCTTGCTCTTTCGCCCAGGCTTACAGGCATGCCACCATGCCCAGCCAATTTTTATATTTTTTATAGAGACAGGATTTCACTGTGTTTCCCAGGCTGGTCTCAAACTCCTGGCCTCAAGCAATCTTCCCACCTCAGCCTCCCAAAGTTTTGGGATTACAGGCGTGAGCCACCATACCCAGCCTCTTCAGTTTTCTTCTAAACATTTTAATGCTTTCTTTTCTCTTTCAATTTTTAATCAAGTTGGAAATTCTTTCTGGGTTTGGCATAAGGCGGGAATCCATTTTACTTTCTTCCGTGTGAGTAACAAACTGTCCCAGCACCATTTAGTGAGTAATTTACCCTTTCTTCAGTGCCATTACTCATGTACATGCAATTGTCAGTTTGTGGGATTCTCTTTCATTCCATTGTTTAAGCTGTCTGTCCTAATATCAAAGCCATGCTGTCTGTATTACTAGAGCTTTGGAATAAGTTATAGTAATAAGCTTACTATTATTAATAAGTAATAATAAGCCTTGATATCTGGAAGGATAGGCCTTCCTCGATTTGTTCTTCAAAATTTCTTGTCTACTCTTGGACCTTTGTATTCTTTCATATACATTTTAGAATCAGGTTATCTAATTTTTGAAAAATTCTGGTAAGAGTTTGATTGGGATTACATTAAATTTCTAGGCCAATTTGGAGAGAACTGATATCTCTGAATATTGAATCTTTGAATCCATGAATATGGCATATCTCTCCATTTCTTGGGTCTTTTCAAAAGTCTTTGAATACAGTTTTAAAATTTTCTTCCAGGGCCTTGGTCAGCTTTTGTTGGGCTTCGTCCTGGATGCCCTTCCTTTTTGATACTATAAGCAGTATATATATTCAGATTGTTTGTTACTGGTGTTTAAAAATGCTGTTTGTCCATTTTTGTATAGTGCTCTTGTTTACAGCAGCTTTGCTAAACTTTCTTATTAATTCACAGAATTTGTCTATAGACTTTTACAAGCTTTTTTAACCAGATAATTACTTCTGCTAAAAATAATGACAGCTTTATTTTTCCTTTCCAACCACGTATCTTTTCTGTTTACCTTGTTCTACTCCACTTATGAGAGCCTCCTTAATGTTGAGTAAAAGCCGTGGTATGGGCATTCCTGCCTTGATCCTGGTGTTTAAAGGAAATGTTTTTAATACGTCACCGTAAAGAAAGATGTTTGTTATAGGTTTGTTGGAGATATCAGGAAAAGGAAATTCCTTTCTATCTCCAGTTTGCTACTATTTTTTTAAATCATTAATGGGTATTGCATTTTATCATAGTTTTTTCCTGCATCTTTTGAGCTGTCAGATTGTTCTTCACCTTTAATCTGTTAATGTAGTGAATGTTAATGTTAAACATTAGCCACCTTTGCATTTCAGGATTAAGCCACCTTGGTCCTAAATAATAGTTATTTTTTAATGCAGAGCTGGCTTTAGTTTGCTAATTATTTTATTTATTTATTTTTTTGAGACAGAGTCTCCCTCCATCGCCCAGGCTGGAGTGCAGTGGTGCAGTCTCTGCTCACTGCAACTTCCACCTCCTGGGTTCAAGTGATTCTCCCGCCTCAGCCTCCTGAGTAGCTGGGATTACAGCGTGTGCCACCACACATGGCTAATTTTTGTAATTTTAGTAGAGGTGGGGTTTTACCATGTTGGCCAGGCTGGCCTTGAGCTCCTGACCCCAGTTGATCCACCCACCTCATAGTTTGCTAGTTTACTAATATTTTTATATTCTTGATTTTTGCATTTATGTTTATGAGAGAGGGATTGCTTATGATTTTTCTTTGTCATTATTTGCTGGTGTTCACTTAAATATATACTATTTCATAAAATGAGTTGGTGAGTGTTTCTTTTTCTTTTCTTTACAAGCATTTATTTATAACATTGTTATCATTTGTTCTTTAAAACTGTCGGAATTCATCTATGAAACCATTCAGGGTCTGTTGTTTCCTCTGTGGGAAGATTTTTTAAATGACTGAATCCTTACTAGTCATAAGCCTCTTTGGGCTTTCTTTTCTTCTCAGATAAACTTTGCTACTTTGAAATTTTCTAGACATTTATCAATTTGAGCCAAGTTCTTCAGCTTATTCACATAAAGTTACTTATAGCATTCTTTTATCCTTCAAATTCTGCTATAATTGTATCCTTTTTAATTTCTAATTCTGTTTTCTCATTTTTTTCTCTCTGTTAATCTTGGCAGAATTTTGTCCACTTTATCACTGTAATCTCTCAGTGTCTAAGCAGGATTGGTTCCTGGGCCACTACTCCCCGCCAACGTGGCTACCAAAATCCTTGGATGCTCAAGTCCCTTTTATGAAAGGGTGTAGTATTTGCATTTAACCTGTGTACATCCTGCTGTATACTTTAAATCATCTCTAGATTACTTATAATACCTAACACAATGTAAACGCTATATAGATGCTGTATTGTTTAGGGAATAATGACAAGAAAAAAGTCTGTACATGTTCGATACAGATGCAGTTTTTTTCCAAATATTTTTGACTCATGGTTGATTGAATCCATGAATGTGCAACCCTCAGATATGGAGGGCTGACTGTATTTTCAAAGAACCAATGCAAACTTTGTTTATCCTATTTTGTTTGTTTCAGTTTGTTACTTCCTACTTTTATTATTACTCTCTCCTTCCTCCATCCTTGTTTTTTTCTTCTGATTTCATAGGCATTTATCTAATTCGGTTTCTGTTTTATTTAACATAAGCATTTAAATTTTAATGCTTTAAATATTAAATGATGTGATGAAATGTTTTAGCTGAATTCTGTGATTTTAATACAAAATATTTTTAAAGTTGGTAATTTCCATTGTAATTTCCTCCTTAAGCAAAGACTTGTTTAGAGCTATAGTTTAAAAGTTTTAAACCTTTGCAGGGGAGTTATTTATCTTTTTGTTTCTGATATCTAATTAATTGGTCTATCTGGTATTGATTCTTTGCAGTTTGTTAATATTTATTTTATGGCTTCATGTGTCATCAGTTTTTTAGAAATGTTCCATCTGTGCTTGAGTAGATTGTATATTTATAATTGTTGGGTCTGCGGTTTCATACTAGTCTGGTAAGTCAACCTTTTAATTGTATTGTTTAGATCTTTGATATAACTAATTTTTTGATATAGCAAAAATTTAGAGGTATAAGTCTTCTACCATGAGAATGATAGATATATAATTTCCCCTTAGTTCTATCCATTTTTGCTCTCTATATTTTGAGAATATTTTATTAGATGCATAAAAGCATAGTTTCCCCGATGAACAATTCCTTTCTTCCTTATATGTTATCCTCTTAATCTTTATATGTTTCTTGTTTTAAAATCTTTTTTTTTTCCTGGTAATTTTGCAACCCCAGCTACATTACTAATCACCAAATATAGCCAATTGATTTTTGAGAGAACCTGATATTTTTTGTATAGTTGTGTCTATTAGCCACTACACTAAAATGTTTACTGCTCTAGTTGTCTTTCTCACTGAATATTTTTAAAGCGATGTTAAGAGAAGTTAATACTCACTCTCATAATTTTTTCTTATTTAGTCCTTTCTGGCAGTCTGTGAAGTTGATGGTTGGTACCTAGTTGTCCACACTGTATGGACTAACTGTAGTTACTGTGATTCCTTACCCTGGCTACCTTAGACTCAGCCAGGGTAGGTAATTTTCCAAAGATCACACAATAATAATGAGGGGGGCAATAGATCTATTAGTTTCACCTTAGAATTTCCTTAAAGTTCAGTTAGAGTTGATCAAGTCAGTATTATAACATTGTGAGTATTTTCTTTTTCCAGGTATTTTCTCGTTAAAAATTCCTCAATATGTATCGCCTAAACTTCTGACAATGTGTCTCATAAAATGGAAGCCCCATATCTACTTTAAGTGTTATTTTTAGAACAGTAACATTCTAGTGCTTTCATTGTAGAATTTTTCTGTCCTGCATCATTGTAAGATTTAGTTTCTCGCCTTAGTTTGTGAAAGTCAGCCCAAGGCTAAAATTGCTTAAGTTCTATCTTCAAGGAGACATACATACTTGTAATAAATCTTCTCCTGTCATCCTCTTTCAAGAGATGTGAAAAAGCATCGAAGGTAAACATGACAGTGCAACTAGCATTAGATTAACTTTGGCAGATTTAGGTTGTTTTGGAACTTTTCTTACTTTCAGTGTTAATGCTTCTCAATTATGTCTAGACAAAAGCATTGAACAGGGAAGTAGAGATGGATCTGAGCCCGGCCCCACCACCATACACAGCTGGCTTTAGACCAGTCATTGAACTTGTCTGAGACTTTTCTGCTCCTTTATATAAAATAAATGGAATAAATATGTCAAAATTAAAATTTAGCAAGCCTCCATACCTGCCTCAAAATTTTTGGACAAATTTAATAATGGACGCAAACTGTAAAGCACAGTATTATTGGAATATTTTTAGAAAAAATGGAAGTTGGATCCCTATCACACATTAAAATGTTTAGTGTTGAACCCTGCAAAACTCAAAGCCATCTGACCTATGTTTCTTTAAACCATCGGTGGGTCTGTGATAAAGTGTAAGCATTTTTAAAGGGTTTTTAAATCTTAGATCATCTTATTTAGTTTGTTAGAAAACACTACTTAAAAGTAAGTGAAAAGTAGTATTTCCTGTGGATTTAGGCTTGAGGTTTTGTCTCCTTGGGCCTAGCCAACATTTTTATTTTATTGATTATGTGCCATCTGGATTACTGGTTATATCAAAACAAGCTAGTTGAGACATGCAATCCAGTTGTTTTTCCATTATAGACACGTGAGGAAATGCAGTGCTGTGACACACAGCTTGGGGTGGGATGGGATCAGCTGGGAAATCAGAGCTGCTGCTTGGCAGCCTGGTGCCTGGCTTTATGCCGCTGAAGTATTTTCTTGTTTTGGATGACTATGTTTCAACAAGTTTTCTGTCATTAGACCTATCACGTGCCCAGGGACATCAGCAGTAGGAGTTCTCTGCTTCAGGATGAGTTGAATTACCACCATAACAAGGACTTGTACCAGAGATTGTCTTACCTGTTAATATATATGCAGCTTCTCACCACAGTACATTTTCTCAATGGTCATAAGTAAAAAAGGTATTTTATCACAGTGACTTAGCTCTGTAATAATTTGATACCAAACTTTTAATGTAATGTTATTTAAATTAGACTAGTGAGATTGTGAAATGTTAGAGAATACTTAGCAAGTTTATGAGATTACATGCTTACAACTTAAGCTCATGACAAAATATTCAGAGAATTCAGGTGATAACTATGTTTACCAAACATTTGTATTTTTTGGTGTTATTTTTAGAATCATTCCAAAATGCTGTGCTAGCTTCATAGAATGGGAAAGCTATTTGTTTTAATGTTTTTGTTCCTATGCGTGGTCAACAAACATTGCCACTTTTGTTTACCCCAAGGATACAGTTGACACCTTCCTCTCTTTGGTAAGGCAGTATAGCATAGGCTGTGGACAACTGATGCAGTGTTTGGCTCATATGAAGCACTCAGTAAGTTAGTTATTAATAGGGTGACAATATGATCTATTGTCCAAGCCAAACCCCTTTTTTGGTGAGAGAGGGACAGGGTCTCACACTGTCACCCAGGCTAGAGTGCAGTGGTGCAATCACAGCTCCCTGAAACCTCAAATTCTTGGGCTGAAGCAGTCCTCCTGCCCCAGCCTCCCAAGTAGCTAGGACTACAGGGCCTGTTATCATGCCCAGCTAATTTTAAATTTTTTTGTAGAGATGGTGTCTCGTTCTGTTGCCCAGCCTGTTCTCGAACATTCAGCCTCAAGCAGTCCTCCAGCTTTGGCCCTCCAAAATGCAGGGATTATAGGCGTGAGCCACCGTGCCCAGCTCCAAATGCTGTTAAGAAAGAAAGGAGTGCTATTATTGATCACACCAAGATGGCAGTCATAACGTAGGACTGTCATGCCCACCTCCATGTGTGGTCACCCAAGCTGTGACAGCATTGAGAAAGTCAGATGTTTCAGATGCAGGGACCTGAATTTCTTCTATTCAGTTAATACATTTTAGAAGTTCATTAACTAATTGTCACCTTATTGAACCTTCATACTAATTTTGTGGCAGAGGTATTTTTATCCTCATTTTACAAATGAGAAAATAGGATACTCTGAGATTTTGTTAGGCTAAGAGGCAAAAGAGTAGCAACAGCAGGATGCCTAACTCACACCCAAGCCTTCGTCTTTCACACAGTGCTCCTCCTTACGGACCATTTTTCTGCTTGTAAAATTAGAACAATTTAAGTTTGCTCATCTTTGTTTTTCAAGTCATTGTAATGACTGTTTCTTTTTCTAAGTCAGGTATCTAAAACTTCAACACACAATCACCTGGGGATCTGGATAAAATGCAGATTCTGATTTAATGGATGTGAAGTGGGTTCAGGATTCTGTATTTCCAGGAAGCGCCCAGCGGAGGTTGCAGTGAGCCGAGATCATGCCACTGCACTCCAGCCTGGGTAACAGAGCAAGACTCTGTCTCAAAAAAAAAAAGAAGCGCCCAGATGCTGCTGGTCTCTACTTGCTTTGGACTTCACATAGTTGGGTAATTACTGTTCTTACAATCCATATTTAGGAAAAAAAAAAAAAGTTGCAATTCTGAGCAAGACACAGATTTTTACCTTCTTAATATAAGAAGGAGGTCAGTTTTATAGTCTTTCATTTTCCCTTTCTGGCTGTAAATGTGTTCTGGCATTAACAAACAATAGAATAAATGAGCACTGGGAGTCCTCTCTTGCACAGCTGTGTGTTTGGGTACACAAAGAGGGTGGGGCCCCCACTCCCTAGTGTCCTTTAAGGGGACCTTTCACACAGCAATGGCTGATTGTGTCTCACAGTCTAGTTGGGGCTCTAGAAATCTAAGTTTAAGTCATTGAATGCATCATCGGGATAGGATGAATCAATTAGCTAAATGCTTGAAATAGGAGCATTTGGTTACCCAACCGTAGTACAGCCTTGCGGGGTGGGGCAATGTGAGGCAACCACTCCAGGGCTTTTAAGTCAGTTCTTTTTAGTTTATAGGCAACTTTAGCATATTAGACAGGCTGCATTGTCTTGTTATAGTCATATAGTCAAATCTTGAGTTTTTAAAAATAAACACAGAAATTACTGTTTTAAATACAGTGGTAATTGTGGAAAAATTCAGGTTGGATTATTACAGTAAGCACATTAGGTCACTGTAGTTAATTACTGGCATATTATATTCCAATAGTAGAAACAACATTTCTACCATTTTCCTATTTTAAAAAACCACCCACGATGTTTGATCTCTGCTTTTGAAATACCACTGTTACGGTAGTACAAATGGCACCATTTATTGTTAGGGTAATTGCTTTTCCAACACTGTGAATGATTACTCTCTTCTAAATTCCTTTATTGCTTTATCTGCACCTCTTTTGTGGCTCTTGGTGCATTTTCCCATGCTTTATGAATCCTGAAATACATTTGGCCCTTCTGTGTCCACACAGTCAACTAACCATGGGTCAAAAATACTTGGAAAAAATAGTAATAATAACAACACAATTATTAAAATGCAAGTAAAAAAGCAGTACAGTGTAACAACTATTTACATAGCTACTTTGTATTAGGTATTACAAGTAGTCTAGACATGATTTAAAGTATATAAGAGGATATGCATCTAGGTTATCTGCAAATACTATACTATTTTATACCAGGGACTTGAACATGTATGGATTTTGTTCTTGGAGGAAGGTCCTGGAACCAACCCCCCTCAGATACTGCAGGTTGTACATTCCTTTTCTGGTTCCAGGTAGCAGGATCAGGTGAGATTCATTGTGTATTACCCAGCTGCTTAGTAGGATGCCTTGCACAGGGTGGGATGCTCGGTGAAGATGAGCCCAGAGAGTCTTGTGACAGGTCTCACCTGCTTTTCTTGCTCTGTCTTCTCTTACAGCCCATTTCGTAAGCACAGGAGGCAGCCAGCTTCAAACCAGGGCTCATTTGGACTTGGTGGGATTCTATAGTGACAAAAAAAAATCTGCAGATATTTTTATGAAAGAAACTAGGAAGGGGCATAAATTATCTGAAGTATAAAGTTCACTCAGTAAAAATTGCTTTGAAATAAATTCACATTAACATAAATTCTCAATCCATGTTTAAAATAGTCTGCCCTTGTTAAGGGATACAGATTTTATAGAAAACTGTTTCTGAACAACTCTATAGTAAGATAGTTTGTAAAGGTTGCAGATTGCAAAGCTTTACTGAGGGTATAACTAGATTTACTATTGTATTTCAATAAAATGCCTCCATAAAAATAATAGTTGATAGGTGATATCTGAAAAAATAACAGAGTGGGAATCTCCCTCTTCACTGTGGAAAAAGAAAATGTTGCAGGAGGGAAATGTGGAGCTTGCAGTTGGTATTATTTGGCGTTTTTCAGTATGGAGGCAGTGTTGGATGCTGGCTATTTTTCTTCTGTTTTGGAGCAGAGAAATCAGAATGAGTTTTGTGGATCTGCTAATGCATTGAGGAGACCAGAACATACAGCACCTTCTGTGCTCTATCCATTTGTTCCCTGGCCATAAGGAAAGGCAAATTAGTGTGCTTTCATGAGCTCCATCAACTTTCATTCCTTAGAAATGCACACTCTGATGGGGCATTGGAACTGGCTCAGGCACCAGAGCGGCAGGACACCCTGCAGGCAAGTTCCCAGAATGTCTGGGGGCTGTGCTGGCCTGGGAGAGGCAGAGCCAGGTGCGATGGAGAAGAGCTGAAGAGAAGCTTTCTAATAAAGTGGGTGTAAATATAAGACTGGAAAGAAGCTGTAAGATAGCCAGAATAACAGCTGTATTTATTCCTTTATTTCTTTACGATGTTTTATTTATAAGAATTCTTTCTTTTATTAGTGAAAGTTACATTTAATTGCTTTACCAAGTCATTTTCCAACTAGTGTTGTACATATTAAATCACCTGATTATAAAAGATGTATGGGGTGGAGGGAGCAGGTGTTCTGTGCTCAAATAATTTTGGAAAATGGGTGTAGCATTAAATGGGTTTCTATAAAGGTAGGACTACGTATAATTTAATATGCTAATAACTGGAATCCCCAAGAAAGGTGTTTACTTGAGTGAATTTCCTAGACAATCTGACCTGCTTTTATTGTTGGCTCTTCTACCACAGGCAGGGCCTCTGTTCAGTCAACACAAGCACGAGAGTTGGACAACATCAAGGGAAGGCCAAGTAACTTCACTCAACTGGATTCTATAGATACAAAATTAAGAGTGCTCGAAGAGTTTCTCACACTTAACCCATTTTTTAAATGACACATCTGTAAACCTCATTGGGGAGACATGTACAATATACTGTGTGTAGAACACTTGGAATGAAAAGAGGTTTTTTTCCTTTTTTTTTTTTATTGAGATGGAGTCTCCCTCTTGTCACCCAGGCTGGAGTGCAAGGATGCAATCTCAGCTCACTGCAACCTCTGCCTCCTAGGTTCAAGCAATTCTCCTCCCTCAGCCTCCCAAGTAGCTGGGATTACAGGTACATGCCACCACACCTGGCTAATTTTTGTATTTCTAGTAGAGATGGGGTTTCACCATGTTGGCCAGGCTGGTCTTGAACTCCTGACTTCAGGTGATCCACTGGCCTTGGCCTCCCAAAGTGCTGGGATCACAGGCATGAGCCACCGTGTCCGGCTTTTTTTCTATTTTTTTTTTTAATAAAAAGTGGAGAATTTACGCTGTATTTCAGACCAAATGTATATAACACATAGAGATTTATAGTTCTCTATCTAAAACTTCGGGATTAGATGTTTTGGAATTCAGAATTTTCTGGATTTTTAGAAAATTAATATGGTTTATGAGAAGAAAAAATTGCAACAAATTTGGTTATAGATCCGTTTGACTTTTATATGTGATTCATGAATTAGGCAGCCTCTATTCTACAAAGTAGAATGAAAGCTACCCCTGGGCAATAGCAGAAGAGTGGGCTTTATAAGGTGGGAACAAGGAAACAGAACACCAGAAAAAAAAGCCGATTGATTAGCATCAGGTTCCTCTTTTGTAAGCGTTAAAGCAAAGGGAGCTTCCATATGACACTGACTCAGGTAGACTGCGATCTCCTATTTTCAGGAAACACCGGACTGTATGGGATCTACCTGCTTCTCTAAAACTTTGGTTTGATTGTGTGGCATTTAGCATGAGTGACTCCATTTGGTTTGGTTTTGTCTACTGGGGCCCAGTGTAGGAGCTCAGTATAAAACAATGGCCTCCCATAATTTTTGTTTAACCTTATACTGTGGATGTTGAATTAAAAGAAATGAATAAACCTAGCTAGTTCTGGTAGAGTACCCAGTAGTGAAACACATTCATATTTCTGCATATTCACGAAGTGTAAGGGTAAATATTTTTAAAAGATAAATACTTTACAAACTTCACATTTGTCCAGGTCAGGTCTTGCCATCTAATGTTTTTTTTGGTCAAATTTATGAAAACTTTCCAGTCTTCAGACCTTAACGGATTATGGAATTTCAGGTAAGGGATCTAGACCACTACTCACAGAAATTAGAATGAGGCACATCATTGAATTTCCCTCTCCGCTGTTACATTTAGCCTAAAGCTGCCTTACATATTTTAAATTAGGCTTAAAGATTTCTCCATACATAATGAACTCTAACCTTACTAGAGGTATAAACAGCCTGTAACCTACCCTTGTACCAATCACAGAGTTTCAGCCAATCACAGGCTGTTCAAACCTTGTTCAAATAAGGCAAATGTGAACTGTAACCAACCCAGCTATTTCTGTACCTCACATCTGTTTTCTGTAGGTCATTTTCCTTTTTCTGTCCATAAATATTATCAGACTATATGGCAGTTCCTGAGTCTCTCTGAACCTATTCTGGTTCCAGGGACTGCCCAATTTTTAAGGTGTCCTTTGCTCTGTTTAACTCTGTTAAGTTTATTTATTTATTTATTCATTTATTTATTTTTATTAATTTTTGAGACAGAGTCTCGCTCTGTCACCCAGGCTGGAGTGCAGTGGTGCGATCTTGTCACACTGCATCCTCTACCTCCCGCATTCGCGTTCCAGCGATTCTCATGCCTCAGCCTCCTGAGTAGCTGGGATTACAGGCACCCGCCACCAGGCCCAGCTAATTTTTTTTTTTTTTTAAGTAGATACAGGGTTTCACCATGTTGGCCAGACTGGCCTCGAACCCTTGACCTCAAGTGATCAGCTTGCCTCAGCCTTCCAAAGTGCTGGGATTACAGGAGTGAACCAACGTGCCTAGCCAAACTCTGTTAAATTTAATTTGTCCAAAGTTTTTCTTTTAACGCTGCTTAGCTCACTGCAAAACCCAGAACTAAGTGTATGGCCCAACTGTGACAATGACACGGAGTTACAGGAAACATGTTTTAATGTGCCTAACCTCAATTCTGACCTCATTTTATTTTTCTGCTTTCATTTTTCCTTATCTAACTTCCTCATCTATCAATTGTATGCTAATTGTGTATTAAATATATAAATTATATTCACTGAATGTTTTATTGAGTTATTAAGTGTTCATTCAGTAAACACTGAATGTTTACTGATCCTTTTGTGGGGGAACTTGTTGAAGTATCAGTAAAACAAATTTTGGATGGAAGTGCCTTTGCCATCAAGGGGCAGCATACCTGAATCACAGGATCGAATTTTGAGGGGTACACAAACAAATTGAATCAACAAGCCCGACGTTACACACCTGCAGCATGCCTCACAGACTCCACCTTCTTGTGATGCAGGTATCGGAATTTTAATGCTTTTGAGGGCAAAGGATGATGTTTTATTGTTCTTGTTACAGGAAAAATTATTCATGAAAGTTATTAAAGAACAGTAAGGCAGACTTTATCGGGGGGCTACTGCAGTGAGGTTTGGTAGTGGGGGAGAGATTCTGCTCAACTCCATATTCAACAAGGAAAAGTGGAGATTTATAGCCAAGGAATGAGGGAGTGGAGGGAGTTGGAGGATAAAAAATTACTAAGGTGAGGAAAGGGGGATTCTCACTCGACTGACCAAACTGCTTGAGACAGTGCTCAGCTATGCTGTCTGTCATACGTGCCAAAGCTTTACAAGTTTCTTCATGATAGTCTCTGATGGTGTGTAATTCCTGACTTAAAAGCATAGTTCACCCTTTGTAAAGCTTTTCTGCCTTTGTGTTTGGTTTGGTTTGGTTTGATTTTTCTCCTTTGGAGGCTAAGCCCAAATGATATTACTTAATGAAAGTCTGAACTGTTTGGGATTTGCCCATCCACCTAGGATGCAGAAAGCTCGAAAGAGCAGTGCTGGCAACCAACCTTCCTACAGGAAAAGGCAGGTAGAATGCTAACTTTTCTCAAGCTCATAGGGAAGCTGAGGTCTCAGGGCCCTCGAGGTGTCTGAATCCAGAGAGATACAGATGGCTCACCTGTGGCAGATCATGGGTGGAAAGGTTGACTGCCGTACAAAGGGGTAAGAAGAGATCAGTAACACTTTAGCGAATTGTTAGAGTCCCAGTGTGGACTGGAATATCAATCTGGAATATCTGAGGGCCCTGATACTGGAGGAGTTTGCATTCACTTGTAGGCCATTTTCTGTCGGCCTCCTCTGGGTGCTCATGAGAGCAGGGTGGGAAAGCAGACAGGCTTCCTCCGTGTTGTAGGAAGTGATTGGCTGCTGCTGCAGAAATAGCAGAAAACCCTGACTCCCTGCTCCAAGATAAAGCTAATCAATAAAAGCAAACTGAGGAACTTGAAAATAACTAACAACTAGAATAACTTCAAAGTCACTGTCTGTCAGGGACTTAAACAACCATTAAAGGACAAGACGGAAAACATGGATAACATGTATGAACAGATAAGGAGAAGTGGAAACTACAAAAAAAAACTACAGTCAAATGCAAATGTAGGTAATAAAGCCACGATATCACATATGAAGAATTCCTTTGAGAAGCTCATCCATACACTCGATGAAACTAGGGAAGGAATCAGTGAATTTAAAGATAGATTAGGTCAGTAGAAATTATTTAAACTGAAATACAGAGTGGGGAAAGGAGTAGGGGATGGGAAACAAAAACAAAACCAAGCATCCAAGAACTCTGGGACAATACCAGCCAGTGTAACATACATGCAATTCAAGTTCCAGAAAGGAAAAGAGAGCAATAACAAGGCCGGAGAAATATTTGATGGCATAATAACTGAGAATTTGCCAAAAATAATGAAAAGCACACCAGAGATCCAAGAAGCTTCAAGAATCCCAAGCAGGACAAACAATCAGAAAGAATATACCTGGATACATTGTTGTCAAACGGCTGGAAACCAAAGATAAAGAGAAAACCTTAAAGGCAACCAGGGCAGAAAAGACACATTACAAACAGAAGTAATAATTACAGTAGACTTTTCGTTCAAAACTATGCAATTCTGAACTATCTAGACTTATAGCATGAGATACATTTGATCGTCAGAAGAGAGAGATTTTCTGATTAGTGCCAGTATTTTATAAATATGAGCTAGAACCCGCAGATGAAAAACTGACTCATTGTTTGATAACCAGTTCTACTTAAGGTGGAGAAAATATTTTCAAAAAGTGAGTTAATGACCAAGTTTTATGGCAGATATTGAAATATCGAAGATATTAATAGATTACTAGCACATTACTTTATTTCATTGTGGGGTTTTTTTGTAAACCTTAAATTAATTACCAGGTTAGAGAAAGCATCCTCTTCTAAAGCCGGGTAATTTGAGGAGGCGTACATTTTGGGTTCAAGATAATCGGCTATTTTATAAATGAAAAAAATTAAAAATAGGCCTGGCACAGTGGCTCACGCCTGTAATCCCAGCAGTTTGGGAAGCCCAGGCAGGTGGATCTCCTGAGGTCAGGAGTTCGAGACCAGCCCAGCCAACATGGCAAAACCCCATCTCTACTATACAAAAATTAGGCACAGTGGTGCATGCTTGCAATCCCAGCTACTTGGGAAGCTGAGGTGGGAGGTATCACTTGAACCTGGGAGGCAGAAGTTGCAGTGAGCCAAGATTGCACCACTGCACTCCAGCCTGGGCTACACAGCGAGACTCTGACTCAAAAAAAAACAAAAAATCAGGAAACTATGGAAGTACATTCCTTATTTAGAACTTGATTGTTAGGTGCTACAGAGAGAAAATTGTTTAGCTATAATTCCTGTCTTCTAAGAATGTATAGATCTGAAACAGATCACATTTGCAGAGTATGTAAATAACACAGTAAAATGTAAATAAAGTTCGTCAAAGTCAGTGATTATTGTATTATATAGTGCAGCAGTAGTAGTAAAGAATACCAGCTACCATTTATTCAGTATCTGTGTTAAACCTGATGTATTAACATTTTAAAACTCATTATCTTGCTTGATTCTCATCCTATGAAAAGATAATATTAACATTTTGCAGATGAGGAAAATGTGGCTTCACAGTTCAGTAAGTTGCCCAACATCCATGCCACTTAGCTGGTAAGTAGCACAGTTGGGATTCAAACTCAGTTTTATCTGATGCTCCTTACTGTGCTACAGTGAAGCGCAATCATAGGAATTTGAAATGCAGGCAGATTTTGGTGTTAAGGCAGGCCATGCTCTCAGTTCTACTGTAATGGGTTAAGTTCATGGAACGAATGGTATTTCTTGATTAATTGGATATTGTGAAGCAGCCATTTCGATGGTCAGGAGTTAGAATGTTAGAAACAGCCTGAAAGGCCCAAAAGAGCTCTCCAGTCCTGATGTTTCTTGCACAGTTGTTCTTTACCATAATTAGCTAATATAAACGTTCTTGATTTATAGCATTCTTAATATGCTGGTAGGATTCTTTTTAATTTTTAATAAGTATGGGACCAGGCGTGGTGGCTCACACCTGTAATCCCAGCACTTTGGGAGGCTGAGGCAGGCGGATCACAAGGTCAGGAGATCGAGACCATCCTGGTTAATACAGTGAAACCCCGTCTCTACTAAAAATACAAAAAATTAGCCAGGCGTGGTGGCGGGCGCCTGTAGTCCCAGCTACTCTACTCGGGAGGCTGAGGCAGGAGAATGGCATGGACCTGGGAGGCGGAGCTTGCAGTGGGCCGAGATTGTGCCACTGCACTCCAGCCTGGGCAACAGAGCGAGACTCCGTCTCAAAAAAAAAAATTTGTTTTTAATAACTATGGTAGTGTCCATATCCTCAGAAGAATTGAGAAATTATATGTCAGTGTGAGATAGGAGATTTACAGATCAGTGAAAGGGAGTATTTTCTGCCTTGGAAATTATGGAAATTGAAATAGTATCTGGTAAAACGTGCAGCTGATAATACGGTGAAAATTATTTATGATGCCTCAGACTTTGGTAAATTTTCAAATTCAATATAATGAACATAATTATAATATTATTCAAGGCTTAGATGTTTTAAATGCATTTTCATTTATACATAGTTGCTCATTACCTATCATCTTAGATATGTTAATTCTGTTTCTTTAATGTAGCAAATGTGAGAGTCTTGTGTTTAGGAGACAATAATATTAAACATCTGTGCTGCTCTGTAGACTTAATTGCTTTTGGAATTACAGCAAAATTGAATTACAGTCAACCTTCTGTATCTGTGGGTTCCGCATCTGTGGATTCAACCAACAGCAGATTGAAATTATTTGGGGGCTGGACACGGTGGCTCATGCCTGTAGTCTTAGCCCCTCAAGATCTTGGCTGAGGTGGGAGGATCTTTGAGCCCAGGAGTTCGAGGATGCAGTGAATTATGATTGTGCCACTGCACTCCAGCCTGGGCAATACAGTGAAAGCCTATTTATGAGAGAGATAGGTATATTTTATATTTTTTTATAGATATACATAAATACGTATTTATATGTATATATATTTGGGGAAGAAAAATGGATGGTTGTGTCGGTACTGAACATGTACAGACTTTTTTTCTTGTCATTATTTTCTAAAACATACACTATAACAACTATTTACACACGAGGTGATTTCAAATATACAGGAGGATGTGCATAGGTTATATGCAAATACCGTATCATTTCACAGCAGGGACTTGCACATCTACAGATCTTGGTATCCTTAGGAGGTCCCGGAACCAGTTCCCCCATGTATACCAGGGAACACTGTAGTTCAATATTGGTTATCATGGCCGCGATTGGCAAAGCAATATTTACAGAAGAAAATCTTGACCAGGAAACATTTTTAAATTTCAGTTTTAATTTTGAAACGTTGTTTATTTTTAAAAAATAACTTTAGATACAACTTTAAAAGAAAATCAGTTTGTATGGTATTTAAGTTTTTTTTTCAAATTTGTTATGTTTTAAAAAGCAAGTATTTTCTAAGAGAATAAGCATATAACTTCATTTCAATTAATACACTTATTAATTCCAGTTGACTAACAATCAAACTAGTTTTTTTAAAAAGAACATTTACTTTTCTATGTATAGCACACACAATATGTGTATTTTTTATTTGTGATTTGATGAGTTAATGATTCTGTCCTCTGCACTATTCTACTAGGATTGTACTTATTCTCTACTTATGTGTTTCTTTACAAGTGAATGTTTTTTGTATTACAATGTATAGTAGACATTGAATAGATAATTGGGTACTTAACTTTTTATTTTGAAATAGTTATAAATTCACAGAAAGTTGCAAAAACAAAAATGCAGAGAGGTCCTATGTCCCCTTCACCCAGTTTTCTCCAGTGGTAGCATTTTTTGTTTTTTTCTAAATACGTATTTTCTTTTTTTAGAGGCAGTGTCTGGTTTGCTGGTAGGGAAGAAAGCCTAATGGCAGTGAGCGAGGGACGGGGAGAGTGAGGCACGACCAACTGCCCATCCCGTCATGGTCTGGAACTCAAGTTTCCAGAGTTTCTCTGGGGTCCCTTTGGCCAACAGGGGGTCTGTTCAGTCAGTTAGGGGCTCAGAATTTTTTTTTTATTTCTCAGGGTGGAGATGGGACCCAGCGTGGCTCAGCTTCCCGGCTTCTCCAATGGGGACCTCCTTTCCTGTCCTCTGCTGGCTTCCACCTTCTGCCAACAGCCCTGTTCTTTCCTGCCCTTTGCATGTGCTGTTTCTTCTGCCTGAAATGCTTCTTTCCCCTTCCCATCCATCCTTCTCTTGTCTAGTTAACACCTATTCATTTGGCAAATCTCACTCCTACATCCATCAAGCCTTTCAGGGTCACAGCTCACATACCGTCCCCTACGGGCCTTTTCTTCCCTGCACGCGTTACAGTTAGTAACTGTGGAATTGGTGCTTACGTGGAGAATGCTAGCTGAGAAGTTTTGGGGGCAGACACCTGCTGTTGCCCACTGTTTGTGCCCCTTGTGCCTAATGCAGTGCTTGCTTACATGGTCTTCATATGTGTTAGTTAAATGAGAAAATATTGTCACAGCTCAATGGGTTCTTCTTGCCCACTGCCCAGAAAAGCTAATGCACCGAGAACAGCAAATGTTGCAACAAACAGTTTAATCATAGCAGGGCCAGCTAAGTGGAAAACAGAAGGCGTTTCTCAAATCCACCTCCCTGAGAACTTGGAGGCTAGAGTTTTTAAAGATACTTTGTCAGGCAGGGGCCTGGGGAACTGAAACAGTTGATAAGCTGTGGATGAAATCACAGGAGTGTCTAAACTGCACAGCTGAGTCTGTTTCTGGTTGGGAGGTGGGTCTCAGGACCGGGTAGCATCTCTTGGTTTGTTGAAATGCTAAATCTGAAAAATATCTCAAAGACCAGTTCTTTAGGTTCCACAATAATCATGTTATTTACAGGAGTAGCTGGGGAAGTTACAAGTCTTATAGCCTCTGGCTATGTGACTCTGGTAGTGAGCAACTTATAGAAAAGCAAGCTTAGCAGTGGCAGGTGATTGTTTAAGTGTATCTATTGTTTAGCAAAGTCCAGGCCCCTACCATAATTCAAATCCAGCCTCAGGAATGTGGCTTCAGTCCCCAAACAAGCAGGAAGGTCAGGTTTTCTAGCCTCAAAGTTTAACTATAAACCAAATTTTTCTTATAGTTATCTTGGCCTCTGCACTAGAATAAGCTAAAGACAATGTAGCCTGAGAGGTTAGAAGCAGGATGGAGTCAGTCATGTTAGATTTCTCTTCTTATTACTTACAATTCTGCAAAGGTGGTTTCAGTGTCATTCTTCCACATATACTTTTTTTGTAAAAATTATTAAAACTTGGTGAAGCATGAAAAATCTTTTAAATGTAGCATGAATCCTGTCAACAATATAAAATATGATATAAAGTAAGGTTTAAAGAAACGTGAACATTTTGACACAATCTGTTGGCAGATATGACTTAAATAAATCTTGACTGTTAAAAATCCTGTTTGAGGAAGTATTTCTTTCATACAAGATGAGCGCCCCTGGTGTCAGAAAGCCCCAGGCCTGTGACCTGTACCAGAATTCACACTATGTAGCTTTCTCCCATCTGTGTCTTAGCTCTTTAAAAATATTGTCTTTTCTGCCTAGTTTACTTCTCTTGCTGCCAAATGGAAAGAGAAAAGGCTGTAGGTTTGTCATCTGAGCAGTCAGCAGATTCTATGTCTTTCACTTAAGAAGCCGTTTCCTAGCAGTTCTTCTATTAGTTCATTCCTTCACAAATCTTTCCTGAGTGTCTGCCGAGTAGACTCCTACAAAGCAGTGGCTAGTTTCCGCTTCCAGCAGACAGCCCACGTTCTCATTCACAGGTGGTTAATTTATACGACCATACCACTGAGTAACTTGCCATTGGTCTTTATATAATGTGTTTCTCTTTAGAGGGGCTTTTAGCTTAATTAGGTTGTAAATCGGTATCTTTCTTTAATAAACATCAGTATTAATGATTTTAAAGTAGAGTAAGATTGAGGAAAGTTCTTGTTCAACTACATTATTAATTTATTTCTAAGAGGATCTGTATGTTATAGGGTTAGGCCTAATTCATCTCAAAAAGAAAGCCTTAAATCACATAGGGACATTAAACTAAGTGTCCAAGCTCTACAGTTCTTTCAGATTCGAAAAGAAAATAATCTGCAATACATTATTATGACTATTTGTTAGGATGTCAGTTTAGCTTTAACACTGGCGGACACTGTGAATTACCATTTATTTCTTGACATTTTCATCTTTTAGTCCTATTGTCAGTGATTATATGCACTTAAAAGTCAAGAGAGTATTTGAACAGGCACTCACTAATAGCAAAGGAACAGAAAAAGTATTCCCTTTGAGGTTTTAAATAGATTTTTAAAGATCGGCGCCAGTGTCTTAGTTCCACGTAATCCTGTATTTTCATGTACAAACCCTTATTTGACAATTACCACTTTTTGAAATTAAACAGAATGTCTTTATTCATGTTGTCTTGCCAACTAAAATATTTAAAGTTATTATTTTTAAACTATAATGAAATTCTATTACTCATGTTACATTTGATGTTATTTTTAAATTTCCTGGCTTATACATAGTGCAGTGACTTATTACGCAGTTTACTCACATATATATTCTTTTGTTTTATCAAGCCACTGCCAAAAAATATGGTGTCTCGTCTTTGTGAATCTAAAAAGGTTTGTGCTGCAGCTGATATGCAACTTCAGGTATGTATGTACCTTTGTTCTGAAGTTTTCCGGAGTCATTATCCCAAATAAATATATAACTTTACATTCTTGCCAATGATACCTATTTATTATAATAATTATGCTTCTAAAACATCTTTCATCTGAGTTCAAAGAACTTGACCAAAATTGACTCATTTAGTCCTCACACTGCCCTTATGAAGTAGGCGTTGAATAAAATTATTTCCTGGCCAGGCACAGTGGCTCACACCTGTAATCCCAGCACTTTGGGAGGCCGAGGTGGGCGAATCACGAGGTCAGGAGTTTGAGACCAGCTTAACCAACACGGTGAAACCCCATCTCTACTAAAAATACAAAAATTAGCCAGGCATGGTGGTGCATGCTTATAATCCCAGCTACTCAGGAGGCTGAGGCAGGAGAATCGCTTGAACCTGGGAGGTGGAGGTTGAAGTGAGCCGAGATCTTGCCACTGACTCCAGCCTGGGCAACAGAGTGAGACTCTGTCTCAAAAAAAAAAAAAGACTATTTCCCGTTTTCAGTTGGGAAAAAATGAAAGCTTAGAAAATTTACACAACTTCTAAATCACACATTTTGCCAGCTAAATTAAGGCTCAAACTTAATTTTATATATACATATGTTTATTCATTTTGTATCTTTTTAAAATTTTTGTGTTTTTAGGTTTGAAGTTTAGATAGTAATTGCTGTTAGTTTTAGATAATATTCAAAACCAACTTCCCAGGTTTTGAGATGAAGACCAGAAAACTTTCATGAACCATCTGGATGCCAGGTCTGCATGACATCAGATGCGTAGATGTTTGTAATGACTGAGATTGTTATGGAATTCTCACTCCTCTTCAGATCTTGAGAGTTATGTAAACACCTTAAACACCCATCTTTCATCTTAGGCAGTATTCACTTTATGATGATTCAGTTACCTGTTTAACAAAGTAATCACTATTTAATTGCTTTATAGTTTTGTAAAATTCAGTCCCTAGAAGGTAATAAATGTGCTCTGTTTTTCTGTACCTTCAAACATGAAATACATGTTTCAGTGAAGGAAATCTATTATATAGACAAAACCGTGAATCTATATTTGCTTTACCTTACTCAGTATCTATTCATATCAATATAATTTTTAAAGGATTTCTGAGTTATTTTTAAAAATTAACATTACTTGGCAAAAGTCTTGATTTGCTGATATCTTTAGTAGAAGGCCTGGCTTTTAAAAGTCTGTTTTGTGGCTTTCTTCTTGAAAAAGTGTTCTGATAATTTTCTTTTAAAATGGAAAACCAACCTTTCCCTCCTCCGCCCTCCAAAAACAATAGCCCCCTAGAGACAGAGAGAGGCAAAGTCCTGGTAGAGGAGCTGCCTGGGTTCAGCTTTTATATTACACTTGGACAGTGGAGATGAACACGGGTGGAAAGGAAGTGAATTGTTTCAACTTTCTATGGGGACATAAACAGTGTTTTTAAGGCCAGATGCGGTGGCTCACACTTATAATCCCAGCACGTTGGGAGGCCGAGGCGGGCGGATCACGAGATCAGGAGATCGAGACCATCCTGGCTAACACAGTGAAACCCCAACTCTACTAAAAATACAAAAAAATTAGCCAGGCGTGGTGGCAGGCGCCTATAGTCCCAGCTACTCGGGAGGCTGAGGCAGGAGAATGGCGTGAACCCGGGAGGCGGAGCTTGCAGTGAGCCGAGATCGCGCCACTGCACTCCAGCCTGGGCGACAGGGCGAGACTCTGTCTCAAAAAAAAAACAAAAAAAAAACACTGTTTTTAAAACTGTACATTTTTTAAAATTATTGTTTTAAAAATAGGCTCTTCATTTTTCTGTGACTTAATAAGTTTCTTGGCCCCAGGAATGCATGACTCCCTGGGTAGGCAGATAGGCTCATGTCTTTGGAATTGTTTAGTTTATCAGCAAATAAGCATAAAAAGAATGCACATTTAATTTATTTTGCTCTGTTTTCATATTTAATTTATTTTGCTCTGTTTTTATAATTCAAAAAAGTTACCCCATGTTTATATCATTTTGTAAAAGGCATAATTGAAGAAATGAAACTCTTGAATTCTGATTTATTTATACATTGGGGCAAAATAACACCTCAGTTGAGGTTAGAATGTAAGAGTTTCAGTTCCTGATAATTTACTCTGTTAGAATATAGGTAAGACATTGAGTAATTTTGGCCTCCCTGATTATCTTTATGCATCGTTACTCATTATAAAATGTAGAATTGAAAGAGCTATATTTAGCTATATGTTTAGATTACCAGTTAGAAGAAAGCAATATTTATATTTAGGAAATGTCTGTATTTTTCTAGGGAAGGTTTAAACTTAACTTTATAATTTAGAACCATAATTCTATATCTAGATGCAGCCAGAAGCCAGAGGTCATTTAAATTTTCTCTTTTAACCAAACTAATCCTCACTTCTTTCAAGTCAACAGCTGCACATTCTCTACAAATCCCATTTCTGAATCACAAAGATACATATCAGAAGCATAATTGCGTGTCAAAATTTGTCCTTTAAAATAAAGCATTTTCTACTTGCCTGCATGAAGTCAAATGTTCAAGTCAGTGTTGAAAAACAATATTTGAGTCAGATGTTGCAGTGAAAAAATGCTTTATGTTTATTTTAGATTTCTTTGCAAAATTTAGTTTTCAGTACTTTGTAAACAGCAGATTTCATGTCCAAACTTTCTTTAATGCTTTCTTCTCCCACTGTGTTTCAGTGGCCTATATCCTCTACTCAGAGGAGAGTGCTCCTTTTCCCCTGGTCATCTAGTTGAGCCCTCCCTATACAGCAGCTGCTTCCTTTGTACTTCCTGACACCAGGTGTGGGAGTCTAGTTCCAACCTCTCCAACAGCTGCATCAGAATTCTTCGATACATCTATACTCACGAGATGCTGCATTGCTATTTCTTTCTCTACCCCCACCACACCTATTTAATTTTCTTTCACCTTTTATCACAAAACTAGAATTCTGACCGTTTCATTTCTCTCATTTAAGATATATCAGGATTCCAGGAGGAAACCAAACAACATTTGTTAGATCCAGCGGGTCTAAAGTTGTAACTGGTTTTGTATATTTCTGCCTACAGATAGATAGATAGATAGATAGATAGATAGATAGATAGATAGATAGATATAGATTTTTTTGTTGTTGTTGTTGTTTTTTGTTTGGTTTTTTTTTTTGAGACGGAGTCTCTCCCAGGCTGGAGTGCAGTGGAGCAATCTCGGCTCACTGCGAGCTCCGCCTCCCAGGTTCACGCCATTCTCCTGCCTCAGCCTCCCGAGTAGCTGGGACTAGAGGTGCCTGCCACCACGCCTGTCTAATTTTTTTGTATTTTTAGTAGAAACGGGATTTCACTATGTTAGCCAGGATGGTCTTGATCTCCTGACCTCGTGATCCTCCCGCCTCGGCCTCCCAAAGTGCTGGGATTACAGGCGTGAGCCACCGCGCCTGGCCTTCCGTCTACATATATTTTGGCAAAATTCCAGTTTTGTGTCACATATTTGATTTGCTGCCATTGTACATAAAGAGTATCTTATGGGTATGGTTCAAAATTCTTTAATATTCTTATTTATGAAAAGGTTGAGAGCATTCCTTTTAATCTTTAGCATGGTCTTAAATGTGGTATGAAATACATTTCAAACCATGTAAGTTTATTTTTGTGACTGTTTTCAACTGTGATTGGTAACTGTTGTTCTGGTGCACTTATAGCATCTTTGGTCAACCACATCTTGATGTGAGGATGGACGACCAAAACTAAGTAGATGTTTTTATCTATCTAGGTCTTTTATGCCACTCTGGATCAAATCTACCATGGGAAGCATCCCCTGAGGAATTCAACCACAGACATTCTCAAGGAAACACAAGAGAAATTCTATGGCCTACCATATGTTCCAAATACTGTGAGTCCAGCATTTGGCTTCTGTTTTGTGTATTGAGTGGTTCTGCTATTACTTCTGTAGCTTGTGATTATCTTCCCCTTTGGAGAACTTGAAATCCCTACATTTATGTTGAGGCTTCACATGGCTCAAATGCTGGAAATTGCCTGGTTCATTTAATATTTCCAACTACCCATTTATATGTTCTTATTTTCCTCCCTCTAACAGTGTTTTTGTACCTTTTTGGAAATGTGGGGGTTAAAAAGGCCATTGGAGTTGGTCTATATTCTTCTTTTTAGTTATTTTTCTACAATGTGAAAAATAGTGATGTAAGATGAATGTGATTACCAGTCCTGAATCATTTTCATTGCAAAGAGAATTAACATGTATTGAGTATCTTACATTGTACCAGGAATTATAATAGATGCTTTACATATCTTATCTTGTTGAGTACCATGTCAGGAGAGAGAGCAGGAGTAATGTTACCATTTATTGGATTCTAGGCGCCAGACTCTATCTAATTCCTTTGGGAAAAGATCTCTAATTTAGCTCTCAAAATAACCTTATAAATTAAATTATATCCTTGTATTTGGGGCTCATTTGGAGGCACAGACACATTATATGTCCTGTCTGAGATCATCTAGGTAGTTAAGTGATTGTATGGGGGTTCAAAACAAACAGGCTTTTTTCATCACTCAAAGGCTCGTGTAAGGAGCAGTTGAGCACCGTGACTCCTAGTGCAATTAACAGTGTGATTCTTGGTGCAGTTAGCAATGTGACTGACTTAATGTTACCCAGGCCTTTCTCAGCTGCAAGTGATAGAAACGTGGTTCACACGGACTTAAACAGAAAAGGGAATTTATTGAGTCTTGTAACTGAAAGGTGCAGGGGTATAGGGGTGTTTCAAGTAAGTTGGATTTAGGTCTCCCACAATGTCGTTAGAAATGTTTCTCTCTCTTTCTGCCTCTCAGCTCGGTGTTTTTCTGGGTTCCTTTCATTCTCTGGCAATCCCCCCAGACTGAATGGTTTGATAACTACCGGTAGGTTCAGGTCGATGTCCTTCTAGCCTAGTTGGTCTAACAGAAGGAGAGCTAACTTGAAAGTGTTTTGTAAACTATAAAAAGCAGAATAAATGTCAAGTGGTTTTATTTGCTCTAAGATTGGATAGCAGAATATGTTGTGCTAAGAGATTAAGTTAATCAATAAACTACAATTGTCCACTAAATCTTCAGGTCCTAATGCTCAAATATGCATGGGAAGAGATCGTATTTACCAGACAAGTGAAGCAACAGGATATTTTATCTTCATAATACCTCTTGTCATTAGTTTTCGATTGGCTTAGAACCTTAATTATCTGCTACAGGTATATAATGTCAGTCATACTAACTAATTTTTTAATCTTACATGTAATTTACTATTCTAATACTTTCTACTGCCAAGCTCTTGATTATCTGTGTTAGTGAAAATTTATAGTGATAAGAATAATCTAACTATTTATTCATGGAATAAATAATAACAATTGCCTAGATTTTACTAGCATTTTCCAGTTCACAGAGCATTGCCTGATTCACCTGCTTTTGGGCTTGTATGTTTTTGTTCTCATCTTATATTCTTCTTTGTGAATATGAGTTAAACTTCATGACCAGTAAGTAGTAAAGTCCTAGGAAGACTAACATTAGGAGAACTGGGATGCTTGCCAAAGCTACAAAACTTCAGTTTGACTGAGTTGCTTGCCTTCTGCCCTTTTTTATCGTAGGTCTAATAATAAAGTAATTATGTCTCTTTTTAAAAGAAAACTTCCTTACCATCCAGATTTCTTCTCTGTAATCATTTAACATACAAATATGAAGTATTAGTGGCAACCAAATTCTGAATCAACAATCCATAAATCACTTTTAATTTGAAAGGAAGGGTGATGCTAAGTCCGTGTGCCTTGTCCTAATTCCTTTTGAGAAAATAGAAAGATGTATCTCTTTACTGGGATTAGCTCCACAATTCACGTTCAGTAGCCATCACTTGCTCTTTGTGTAAATTGTTTTAAGAGGTCTTTAAAAGAAGCATAGCTATGTTTAGAGAAAAAAAGACATTATTTTAAGGCTTGCCTTTAAAAAAAAGTGTCTGAGAGTTTGTTTAGATTTGTACAGATAGCCTACTCTTCCTACTTAGAAACTTCTGCATTTCTTCATTTGTTTGTCAATGCATTCATCAAGCCTATAACATTCCCGACATCAAGTTGGTGGACTTGACCACCAACTTGAATTCAAATAAAGCTGTAGGAATTAAGACAGTCTAACACTGGTGTAGGGATGCACAGATATCAGTGAAACAGGAGCAAGAGCCCAACGGCAGACTCAGCAAATTAATAGACTCTCAAATATAGGTTGAGTGACACTGTAGATTATTGGATGAAGAAGGAACAATTTTTTAAAGTGGTGTTGTAGTGATTGATCTCTATATGGAAAAAAAAATGCAGCCCTGTATCACACTGCACACAAAAAATAGAGTTAAAGACCGAGATGTGAAAAGTAAAGCTTTAAATTTTAGAAGATAATACAAAAGAATTTTTTCTTTTTGATAGTGTTTTTGTTGTTGTTGTTGTTGTTGTTGTTTTGAGATGGAGTCTTGCTTTGACTCCTAGTCTGGAGTGCAGTGGCGCAGTATTGGCTCACTGCAACCTCTGCCTCCTGGGTTCAAGCAATTCTCCTTCCTCAGCCTCCTGAGTAGCTGGGATTACAGGTGTGCGCCACCACTCCTGGCTAACTTTTGTTTTTTTAGTAGAGACGGGGTTTCACCATGTTGGCCAGGCTGGTCTCGAACTCCCAACCTCAGATAATCCACCTGTCTTGGCCTCCCAAGGCTGAGGATTACAGGCATGAGCCACCGCGCCTGGCCATGATAGTGTTTTTTATACCCACTCTGAGTATCTTATATTTTATACAGATGCTTCTCAACTTATGATGCGGTCAAGTCCCAATAACCCATTGTAAGTTGAAACTATCATAAGTCAAAAATACATTTAATACCCCTACACTGCTGAATGTCATAGCTTAGCCTAGCCTACCTTAAATGTGCTCAGAATGCTTATGTTAGCCTACAGTTGGGCAAACTCATCTAACACAAAGTCTATTTCATAATAAAGTGTTGAATATCTCATGTAATTTATTGAATACTGCACTGAAAGTGAAAAACAAAATGGTTGTCAGGCACCCAAAGTACAGTTTCTATTGAATGCATATTGCTTTCACACCACTGTGGAGTTGAAAAATCTTAAAGTTAAAAAATCTTTAAGTTGGGGATCTTCTAGATACAATGGAAAGCCATTAAACATAAAGCAAAAGACTGACAAATTCAATGATATTTAAAGTTAAATACCACATAGCATAAAACTGACTTCCCCCCCTGCCTTCAGATGGAGTCTCACTCTATTGCTCAGGCTGGAGTGCAGTGGTGCAGTCTCGGCTCACTGCAACCTTTGCCTCCTGGGTTCAAGCGATTCTCTCACCTCAGCCTCCTGAGTAGCTGGGATTACAGGCACCTGCCACCATACCTGCCTAATTTTTTAGTGGAGACAGGGTTTCACCATGTTGGCCAGGCTGGTCTTGAACTCCTGACCTCAAATGATCTGCCTGCTTCCACCTCCCAAAGTGCTAGGATTACAGGTGTGAGCCACCATGCCCGGCCATTGGAAAAGGTTATATTTTTAAATTACTTTGAATAAACAAAAGACATGGATATGCAAAAAATGACGTAAAATAACTTAAATATTAATCAGGGAATGCACATTAAAACCACATTACAATACTCCTAAAATATTTTACTATCACTGGTTTGGCAAAAAATAAAACAATTGACAGTATCAGATGTTGGCAAGGATGTGGAGTCACAGGAACTCTTATACACTGCAGGTAGGAGAGCAAATTGGTATAACCACTTTGCAGAACAGATCTGTGAAATCTGAATATGGACTGCCCTATGACCCAGCAATTCAATTCCTAATATAACCTAGAAAAAAAAATGTTTTACTTTCTCTACCAGGTATACTTTTCTGTACCAGGCATGAAAAAATAGGAGGGTTTATAACAGCACTTGTTGTAAGTAGTTAAAAAAAAGGTGAGGGGGAGGATTCCGGGAAGAACCCAAGTGATTGTCATCAGAGAAATGGATAAACAATTTGTTCATACAGCTGGAATACTGTTCAGCTATGGAAATTGAGGGCCCCAGTTGATGAGCCTAACAAGCATAAGGTAAAGTGAAATAAATGAATACCAGATGAATCAAACTAGTACATTTATATAAAGTTCAGAGTGATGCAAAACTAAGCAGTACATTGTCAGATAAATACATATGTGATTAGACTATAAAGAAAAGTGAGGGAATTATAAGCACAGAATTCATAGGAGTGGATTCACAGGAGTCTTAGAAATATTTTCTTAAACTGATTGGTGGGTACATGGTTGATGACTTTGTCATTCTTTCTACTAATAGTAGACATATAGTCTTGGTAGATAGAAAACACTTCCAAGGATTAAAAGGTGATCTGGGCTACAAGGTATGGGGTATGCCAAGAATGGACCTTGGCAAAGCTGCTGGTGGCTCAAACTAGGACACTGACTGTGGGGAGTGGAAGATTGAAACAGACCTGAGAACAGTGCAGAAGGCATAATCAGTGCAGTGGGGGTGACTGGATATATGGGTTGGGATGATGAGCAAGATCCACGGGAATGGGACAACTGCAAGGCTTTCAACTTCCATATCGGATAGAAGATGACTTTGTAGCGCCTTCCCATGCGGGCCAAAGAGTGACAGTGTTCCCCCTGTAAACTTGTCTCCAGAAATTGTTTCTCTGAAATGAATCCTTTTATTCCCCCAAATTAAACAATGAGAAAAGGAAAATATAAGCAACGAAGAGTCTTTATAATGCTTATGGAGTTGATACAAATTTAGGTACATAATCTGGTACAAACTTTTAGACAGTGATTTTGCATATGTCTATATTAGCAATTCTTTAAGTGCATTAATAACTCATCTTGGGAATAAAGTGTCGCACTAGTTATCTTTGAGCAATACTGGTTTAAACAACATTGAGCTGGCTTCTCTACTGAGGAACCGCTTGGAGTCTGTAATATGCTAACAAACATTATGAGTCTCTATCCTCAAATGTATTAACCCTGGAAGTCTTCATGGATAATTTCTAGGCACTAGCTTTATGTAGGTCATACTTTGGAAAATTGCATTTACATGACTGTAACTATTTAATAGGGGCAGCTCCACAGATATTCCATATTAAATAATGATGCTTTCTTTACAAGTCAATAAATAGCCTTCTAGTGTCGGCAATTTATTGATATTTGTGTGCATGCTGAGTCACTCTGTATAAAATATAGGCTAATTTGTACTTACTTGCTATTCCATCTAACAGTAGTTTGATGCTGGAAATCCAAAATTTTCTACTCATTTGTGAATAGAGGGCAATAGTACAACATATACCAACAGGCTCACCTTCTGCTGTTACCACTTCTCTTCCATTTAGAGAACAGTGTTGTGTTGTTGTGTTTTTTATATTCATGACTGTCTCTTCTCAGAATATTTTCCCTAAGCGATTGTGTATCTCTCCTATTTTTAATTCAGGAAATAGAAAATGTAATATTTTTATTTTTGTAGCATTCTAGGTTTGTAATTTTACATTTTCACCCTCCTCTCTGACACAGTTGAGATACAGTCGTGTCCAGAAAGCTCTGGGATGAAACTTCTAGCCTTTGATCCTCTGACTCTGTTCTAATGTGTATTTTTCAAGTACAAAACATGAACAGCTGACTCTAGGTTTTGAAGATCTGTTAAGCAGTTGTATTTTAGTGTTTTGACCTAATTTGGTAGGCTTGTGGGTTTGGGTGGTGAGGCTGTGTCTCCAGCACAGCTGTTCTCAGAGTGACAGTGTTCTCTGAATAAATCTTGCCACCAGTGAGACTCCTTTTTGCCCTTTAGTGACCTCAAATTGAAAACAGAATAAGAAAGTTCTGAGCACTCTAAGTATTTACATGAAAATATAATAATACGTCTAAGAAAATTGTCTTTCTTCACAACTCACAATTTAAAATTCACCATCTTGATGGCATAAAAGTTGTTCAAAGCTAGAATGAAAAAGTTATTTTAGGAAAGCAGTTACTGGGACTGAAGGATATGTTGATATTTGGTCCTTCTCGTTAGAACAAACACCAACAAAGAATATGAAAAGAAGACATGTTTCTTGTGAATAGGATTCACTCCACGTTTAGGGTTTTATTTTTGCATCCAGCAACAAACTGGCATATTATAGTGACACCGTGTTAGCATTAGTTAAAAATTATCCTAGGCCGGGCGCAGTGGCTCATGCCTGTAATCCCAGCACTTTGGGAGGCCGAGGCGGGCGGACCATGAGGTCAGGAGATCCAGGCCATCCTGGCTAACACGGTGAAACCCCATCTCTACTAAAAATACAAAAAATTAGCCAGGCGTGGTGGCGGGCGCATGTAGCCCCAGCTACTTGGGAGGCTGAGGCAGAAGAATGGCGTGACCCAGAAGGCGGAGCTTGCAGTGAGCCCACATCGCACCACTGCACTCCAGCCTGGGCGACAGAGTGAGACTCCGTCCCAAAACAAAAACAAAAACAAAAAAATTACTCTAATTTGCCTGGGTGTGGTGGCTCATGCCTGTAATCCTAGCACTTTGGGAGGCCGAGGTGGGCGGATTGCCTGAGCTTAGGAGTTCGAAACCAGCCTGGGCAACATGGTGAAACCCTGTCTCTACTAAAATACAAAAAAAAAAAATCAGCTGCGCGTGGTGGTACATGCCTGTAGTCTCAGCTACTGGGGAGGCTGAGGCAGGAGAATCGTTTGAACCTGGGAGGTGGCAGTTGCAGTGAGCCGAAATCACACCACTGCACCCCAGCTTGGGCGACAGAGCAAGACTCTGTCAAAAAAAAAAAAAAAAAAAAAAACCAAAAAAATTATTCTAATTTACCCTAGAGAGGGGATGAGGGATGTATTATATGTATTAATCCATTCTCACGTTGCTACAAATAAATACCTGAGACTGGGTAATTTATACGGAAAAGAGGTTTAATTGGCTCGTGGTTTTTGCAGGCTGTACAGGAAGCATAACACTGGCATCTGCTCAGCTTCTGGGAAGGCCTCAGGAAGTTTACACTCATGGCAGAAGGCAAAGGGGGAGAGTGGTGTCTTACATGATGGCAGCAGGAGCAAGAGAGAGAGAGGGTAGGTGCCACATACTTTTAAACAACCCGATCTTACAAGAAATCACTATTGTGTCAACAGCACCAACGGGGATAGTGTTAAACCATGAGAATCCACCCCAATGATCCAATCCCCTCCTACCAGGCCCTATCTCCAATGTTGTGGATTACAATTTGACATGAGATTTGGGCCAAGACACATATCTAGACTATATCGGGGGATTTATATAATCTATAAACATTGGTTACCTGTCCATCTTTTTGAGTAGGTGTGTGCTGCAGACTTATTGGGGACATAATCAGATATACCTGATTTGCTGCAGTATACTCAAGGTGTATTAGTTGAGAAAGGTTGCTGCTACTGGAGACTGGTTTCTATTCAGACTAATTTCTATTAAGTCTAATTATGTAGAAGTGATATATATTTCATATTAAGTATAATTTTCTATGTGTAACAAACTGTTTTTAGAAAAAAACTGCCAAAAATTGTGCTGAATTTAGTCAGACACTCCAAAGAGCAAACACACTTTTGTTTTTTAGCATAAAGAAAACTATTTCAAATCCCAATTAAAATAGTTGTACAATAATTTGCTTTTTGTATTTATATTGTGATAACTACAAATTTTTAATAATTGATATAATGTATATGTATGTGTTATCTTTTTATTAAGTGCCTACTACGTGCTACCACATGGTCTAAGCAATGGATGTAACAGTAAATAAAGTAGACCAGAATCCTTGCTCTCATGGAGCCTGTATTCGAAATAGCCTTTTAGATGTGTATTTGCTAACCAATTCATCATTATATCTGGCTGTCCTGTCAGACATCTCGTTATTAAGCAAAATAGTTCTCAAGCCTATCAAATTGCTTTGAGTTGTGAGCAGAGAGACTGAGCATAAAAGATGAAAAGATTGAGACATTCTGATGCGTATACAACTAATACCGAGGCTATATTGGGATCCTCGTTTTTAATTTCCAGAGGGAGGCTCCTTCCCTGAAACATTAATGAGAAAAAGGTACCTTTTGTGTTTTTGTAGGGCTCTTGCATTCTTCCTCACTCTTGATGATGTGGCAACCTACACCTATTTGTTGTGCATCAGCAAGCTTTCCTGGAGGCTAAAGAAACAAGATGACCAGGCAGAATAGAGGAGTGCTTTAGAGGTTCACGGCAGCCAGCAGACAGACCTGGGTGTTTGGTGCTTGCTAGTTTGGGAGGTGGTGATAAAAGAGAAGGAGTGGGAATGACACCCACTGTTTTAATAAAATGAGCCATCTGTGGGGGTGGGGATGACGTTCAGAAACAGAGTACAGGAGGGGTGGTAGCTGCTTCATGCAGTGAGGAGTGCATGGGTGATGAATTTCATTTGATGTGACTGTAGAATATCCAAGTGGAGATGAACAGTGTTGGGCCAGTGGGTCCACAGCCCAGGAGACAGAGCAAGGTGGGAGCTCTGTAGATTTGGGAGTCATTAGTCTAGTGAAGGTACTAACTGTGGGAAGGGGCAGCAGGGAACAGGGAGAGTTTGCTGTGTAGGATGAGGGGAAATTGAGGAGATTACCCAGAGGTGTGTCCGTCAAAGGGCACAGACTGGGTCAGCCAGTGTGGTTGGCATGATGTTCTCATTGGAACAGCCTTTTCTCAAGTACCAGCAAAACCCAAAATTTTTAACATTTTCTTTTCAGTTTCTACTGCTATAATCACAACAATATAATGCTCTGCTCCTTTCTATTATTTTAGGGTTACATTGGCTGTATAGTGGCTTGAAACATCACTTATAGAACATTTGTTTTGGATGTGTGTTGTGAGTTCCCAAGTAACAGAATAGTGAATGAACTTTTAGCATATAACTTATGTGTAATTTGAGGGCTTCCCATGTTAAGATTGCTTGATTTCTAGAGAAGATTCTTAAGCTGACACTGCTGTTACCATGATTATGTATGCAAAGGAAAGTAACCACTGTACCAGCTTGGAGATGGAGTGCAGCTAGTGGTGAACCCTGTTGTTTACATAGTGTGCTCATCCGGATTAACTTTCAAACATGCCTCTTAACCATGTGGAAAGATGAGAATAGGGAGATGAAATCAATATAATGGAAGAGTGCAGAGAGATTTTGAGAGTACTGTTACATTTACTACGTGGAGTTTTTTTGTTTTTTTTTTTTAGTAGTCCCAAAAAGAAGAAAAATTTAAAACCTACCATGAGAAAATGGCATTGTTATGCACAATTTTGGTGTTAATGCTTTAATATATTATTACTACTAGAGTTTCTTTTCTTTCCTGTTCTCTCATTCCCTTGATAGTCAATTTTTGTTTGTTTGGTTTTTTTTTGAGATGGAGTCTCGCTCTGTTGCCAAAGCTGTAGTGCAGTGGAACGATGCCAGCTTACTGCAACCTCTGCCTCCCCGGTTCAAGCAATTCTCATGCCTCAGCCTCCCCAGTAGCTGGGATTACAGGCATGCACCACCGCCCTGATAATTTTTGTATTTTTGGTAGAGATGTGGTTTCGCCATATTGGCCAGGCTGGTCTTGAACTCCTGGCCTCAAGTTATCCGCCCACCTCGGCCTCCCAAAGTGCTGGAATTACAGGCGTGACTCACTGCATCCTGCCGATAGTCAATTTTTAAGAGCTTCTTTGTTCGATATATAGAGCATACATGTATATACATATACACACACACATATATATATAATATATGAAGATAGGTGACATTTAAACACTCAAGCATATTAACAATTGTGTGTGTATATGTATGACAGGGTCTTGCTCCATCACTTAGGCTGGAGTGCATTGGCATGATTATGGCTCATTGCAGCCTTAACCTCAAGGCTCAACTGACCCTCCTGTCTCGGTTTCCCAGGTAGCTAGGACTACAGGCGCTCATCACCACACCCCACTCCCAGCTTTTTTTTTTTTTTTGGTAGAGATGAGGTTTCACTATGTTTCACAGGCTAGTCTTAAACTCCTGGCCTCAAGTGGTCCTCCTACCTCAGCTTCTCAAATGTTTTTGTGTTTTTAATTTTAACTGTATATCTTAAAGCTGTTCATGGGTGACTTTACAACTTTATTTCAGTTGTTAATATAAAAGTGTAGCACCACGTATTGACCTCATGTAGCATCAAGTATATAATGATTTTACCTTAAAAGCGTTAATTTTAGAATAGTTGATAAGACATGAAGATAAGAAAATAATTATCCATTAAGTGATTTCTGTCATCTAGATTAAAATGTCAATCAGATTGTTCCCATTAGTTATTTTTAAACTAAGACAGGTAAGTAACCGTGATCATATGGGGAGTCCTTATACAGAAATCTTAGGGTTGCTTTGGACCTTGGCTATTTTTATCCCACACTTGTTCAGATGTTGGTTGAAAGAATGGCATAAGGGTCTGTTTTTAAATGTATAAACAAATATATTGTCTATTAAACAATAGGACTGGAGCCCCAGGCGGGTTAAATATTTACTGCTCTCTCTCCAGAGTATTCAATTTAAACTATTTGGTAAAAATGCTTATTCCTCCTATTCTTTTTTTTTTTCTTCGCCCTGGGGAAGAAGTTTCCTCCTATTCTTATGCCCCAGCTCTCCTGCAAATGGAAAGTCTCTTCCATGAGGTGAAGTTAGTGCCTGGGCTGAGCTAGCTTGGAATATTTGATGTTGCTAAGCAAACATCAGGTTAAAGAAAACAATATTTATTTTTGTTTTTATCTTAAATACGAAGAAAGACCATATGGTGCATATCTAGAAACACCTAAGTGGTTAATTGCATGTTAAATTTCTTTCCTCTTTGCCTGCATAAACAACTGAAAAAATATTTACTTTCTGTGTCATGCTAGGTTTATTTATGACTTTGTAACTAAAACACAGAAGTGTTATAAATTGAAACTTTAATCTCATGATTGACTCATTTTCTAAAAATTTATATGGTTTCAGTTTGTGGGACAGCTGCAACTCTAGATTTCAGTGATTTAAAACATGAGGAAATTATGACTACCCGGTTGTTTTTTTAATATGGTCCTTTGAGCCAAATCACCAACTTTCATTTTTGTCTTGGTTTTCATGAATAATGCTGCCCTTTTTTTCTTCTCGGCCTGCAATTTGACAAGCTAGATATAAGGAACTAAAAATCCAGGCTATTAGTAGAAGTTATTTCTTTACCAGGTAAACTTTTGTATCTTAAATGATGCACATGTGTCTTTTAGATTTAGGCTGTTTCTATTTCAGGAAGCGTTTTCTCTGGTAATTTTCTGAGGTAAGTCCCGTTTTTACTCACAAGGAATGAGAGCCGGACACAGGGACCATTGTGATGCCTCTTTACCTTTATGCCTTATCACCAACAGGGAGTTAAGGCAGCGTTAGCAATATGAGGAAGGCTCCAGTTGAGTGTTGTTAATTTTTAATTTTAATTTTATGTTGAGTAAGTAATACATATGCATGATTAAAAAATCACAGGGTGTCAAAAGCTTTACAATACAGTCTCCCTCCTCCTCAGGTCCCTTTCTCTGGAGGCAGCCTGGGGTACTATATCACACTGATTTGAAGATGAATTACCTCGGTTCAACATAAATTTAAAGACATAAAATCTGCAGTTCTCAGTCACTTCCTCCTCTTAATATTCTTCTTGCCTTTTCTCATGGATAGAGCAGCTCTAGACTGGACTCACAGTCTTCCCCTAATGAGCGTCCTAGGAAGTATCTGCTATACAACTCTCAAATCCACACAACATTAGTGAGGTCTTTTCTAAATACAGATTTGAGTGTGACGTCCCTTCCCTTAAAACCCTCAATGGCTTCCATTGATCTTAAGCTAAAGGCCAGAGTCCTTTGCCCACTTGCAAGTTCCTGCGTGGTCTGGTCACCCAAGCTTCCTCCAGCAGGACACAGCCTGCTTCCTTTGGCACTGGAGTCTTGGCACTTGTTTCTGCTGCCTGGAGTGCTCTCTTTCTGCTCCCTTTGCCTTCTGCTTGAACCATCATTTCTCCAGACCTGGCCAGCCTCTGTTACAGTCTCCCAGGGCTGGGGTCCTTCCCTTAAGATGGGTCATCTCAGTTTATAATGTATTGATGCCATTTGATTCATTTCTATCTTCCCAACTGGAGTGAACCTCAAAGAACAGCATGGCTCATTTCTGATTTGTTTATTGTTTTCCCAGGGCCCTGAACAGTTAGTAGTATGTACCCAATAAATATTTACTGAGAAATGTTTTTACATTTTTATTGAGATATAATGTACATAAAGTACACAAATCTTAATTTATAGCTCCATGAACTTCTGGAAATATGTTTGCCTGTGGAACCACCACCCAGATCAAAATATATACATCTGCAGTTATCCAGAAGGCTCTTGCGACCCCCTTTAAAGTTAACCACTAGTTTTGCCTGTTTTGACCTTCATGTAGGTGGCATCATACAGAAATCCTCTTTTGTGTCTAATGACTTTTATACAACATGTCTGTGAGATCCACTGTCTTGTTGCATGTTTTAGTAATCTGTTCCTTTTCATTGCTTTGTGGTATTTTCTTTTCCAGTATGCCACAACTTATTTATCTGTTCCACTACTGATGGACATTTGAGTTATTTCCAGTTTGGGGCTTTTATGAATAAAGTTCCTATGAATACTCCTGTATGTGGTTTTTGGTGGACATAAACATTCATTTTAGCTGAGTGAAATGGGGAACACTTTTGTTTAGTTTTATTTTGCTATCGCCAGTTTTTCAAAGTGATCATCATGAGTTACATTCCAACCAGCAATATTTGGATATTTGCTTCATCCTCTCCAGTTATAATTAAAAGGATGTAATCAATCCTTTTTACTTCAGCCATTCTGGAGCATGGAGAATGATCTCACTGTGGTTTTAATTTGCACTTGTCTCATGACACCCACTCATACTGGGTGCTTCTTCATATGTTCAGAGGCCACTTGAATGTCCTCTTTGTGTAAGTTTTCTCTAATCTGGATGAAATAGGAGGGTTTCAAACAGAGGACTGACAGATGGAATGTGGAATGTAAGAGAAAGAAGTGAGTTGAAAATTACTGCAAGGGTTTTGATCTGAGCACCCAAAGGATGGCATTGCCATTAAGATGGAGAAGACGGCCAGACATCGTGGCTCACACCTGTAATCCTAGCACTTTGGGAGGCCAAGATGAGAGGATCGCTTGAGCCCAGGCATTCAAGACCAGCCTGGGCAATGTAGACTAAAAAATTATCTGGGCATGGTGGCACGCACCTGTAGTCCCAGCTACTTGGGAAGCTGAGGTGGGAGGATCACTTGAGTCCAGTCAAGGCAATGAGCTGTGATTGCACCAGTGCATTCTAGCCTGGGCAAGACCCTGCCTCAAAAAATAAAGATGGAGAAGACTATGAAGACTATGGGAAATGTAGGTCTTAAGGGAGAGCAGAAGATCAGGAAATACTAAGTTTAAGACGTCTACTAAACAAACCAGAAAAGATGTCAAATAGGTAGTTGGATGTACAAGTTCAGAGGACTGGTCTGTGCTGGTGATACCCATTTGGAGTCATCCCCACACAGATTGTATCAAAAAGCCAAGGAACTGGGTGAGATCAACCCCAAGAGTAAGTATAAATGGGAACAATCTGTCTAAAAGATGAGCCTTGGGGCATTCCAACATTTAGAGGCGGGGACAGTGAGGAGGAACCAAAAAAAAAGGTGAATTGAGAGGGAGACACCAATGAGGCAGGAGGAAAAAGAGGGTAATGTCTTGGAACCAACTGAAGAAAATGTTTCAAGGCAGAGTGAGTGAGTGATTGTATCAAATGGTACCTTTAGGGTAGAAGAGCTGAGAACTGAGCAACAACTATTGGATTTAGCAAGGTGAAGGTCGTTATTGACTTGGATAAGAACATTATCAGTTGAGTGGTTGGTGGGACAAAGGCTAAATGGAGTGGGTATCAAGTAAAGTGAGAGAGAAGAATTGGAGGCAGTGAGTAGAGGCACTTCTGGTGTTTTCCTGCAAGAGAAGAAAAATTGAACTTGGAGGAGATGTACAGATAAAGGGAGGTTGTTTTTGTTTTTTTGCTTGACTGACTGATTTCATTTGGATTTTTAACGAGGTGAATAATATGTGTAAGTGAATGGGAAAGATCTATTAAGACTGAAAAGCCAGTGATGCAGGGGAGAATAGACAAGGGGAAGGGATTTTTGTACGGGTGGAGGGGTTAGCCCGTAGAGCCCGAGAGCACAGCCTAACCGTCTTTAGGGTGTGTGAACAAAGATGCAAGCAGTGGGTAGATGGTGTTGTGGAAGTCCTCTTCCGGGGCTTTGCTCAGTCAATCGGAAGCAGGGCACCAGCTGAGCATGCAAATGGGGCAGTGCTGCTGGCATTTGAGGAGAGAGGAGCAGGTATAAAGGAGAGTGGGAGAGATGGCAGAGTGGAGATGTGAGTTATGATTGCAGGCCACGTTAAGGGCCCAAGTGGGGTTAGTGCCACTGGTTTGAAAAGAGAGCTGTGGGGATGGTTGTGTGCTTTTCCTGGCCATACTCGGTGCCTAGCTTTCACCAGGGCTGTGGTTTTGCCAAGTGAATGTAGAGTATAGTCCAAGAGCAGGCCATGGACCTGAGGGTTATTCAGAGCAACTGTGACAACTGACTGTGGGATTTAACAAGGCAGAGGACAGTGAGCACATGAGGGAGCTCTGGCCTGGTGAACATTTGGAAGTGGATTGTGAGGTCCCAGTGGGATTGGAGATAGGGTACTAGAGAGTTAGCTGAAAAGACAGGGTGTGATTGTTGAGCAAAGGAATGCTTGGAGTGGATATTATGAAGGGGTTCCAGTTACAGTAATGGCAAGGCCTAGATTGTAACCATGGAGTGAGAGGCTGAGTTAGGGCCAAGAACATCATCACTAAAGAAGAGAAGGTCAAGGAGTCGAGAGGCCAGAGTATTAGTTGCCTATTGTTGCTGTAACAAATTACCACAAACTTGGTGGCTTAATATAGCAAAAATGTGTTTTCTTAGAATTCTGGAGAAGACCACAGTGAGTGTTAATGGGCTGAATGAAGATGTCAGCAGGGCTGACTTCTTCCAGAGGCCCCTAAGAGCATCCAGTCCCTGCCTCTCCCCACTCCATGAGGCAGATGGTGTGCCCTGGCTCCGGGCCACAGGCTGCATTCTCTGCTTCCCTCATCACATTGCCTCCCCCTCCTTCTACTTCTTGCTTTTCTTTTATAAGGACCCTTGTGGTTCTGACTAGGGCGTACTCAGATAATTCAGGATAACCTTCTCACCTCAGGATCTTTAGCTTAATCACATCTGCAAAGTCCATTTTTTTCCCAAATAAGGTGACATTCACAGGTTCTAGGGATAGGATGTGGACATCTTTGGAGGAGAGGGCATTATTCTTTCTGCCACACAGAACATTTGAAAGATTAGCTTTGGGGGCATTGCTGTCATCAGAATTCTAACAGGAGTAGGATTGGTGAGAGTGAAGTAAAACAGAAGTAAGAAATCTTCAAGGAGTGAGTGAGAAGGACGGACGCTTCTGCTAGTGACTGCAGTAGTGAAGGGTAAAGAGGATTATGGTCCACTGTCAGCAAAATCAGAGTTGGAGTGTTCTGAAGGAGAAGGAACTGGCAGTGAAAACCAGAGCCAACACCTACTTGCCTTCAGACCCAGTCATATGCAGGATTTGGCGAGAAACCAGCCGTGTCATGAAAAAGTTGCAAGGGAAGTATGGTTCTTAGCAGAGACCTGGGTTTCTTTTAGAATAAAAAGGTGAAAGGAACCTTCAAAGAAGGCAGAGGAAAATACAGGTGGTTTTGCTGATGACTGGATTTTAGAAAGCTCAGCAGAAGAAAAGGGAGGAAAAAGAAGAGGGCAGAAAGTGGATACAGAGAACAGCCAGGAGAGCAGTGCTGCCATAGTCATGGGTATCCACAGGGTTAAAGGTCTCAAGACTGATCGCAGTGGAACTGCTAGTGCGGGTAGAGGGGAGGGTGGGAATTCCCAGCAGAGCACGAGGGCGTAGGATGAGGAAAGCCCCAAACCCGGCAGGTGGGAGAAACTGAGGGTCAACAAGAAGGGCATGGAAAGTGAGATCTGTTTTTATGTTAGCTTGCCAAATAGAAGTACAGTATTTCTTTCTCTTTATTTGTACCTGATACTCTGGGTAATGCAGAGGCCAGGATGACCGTTCAGTTTTGTGCTGAAGCTAAGAAGCTTTGCGTAGCTTTCCAAACTTTGGAGTAATGCTATGGGGCCAGAATAGACTGAGGACTAAGGCATTTACCTAAGGTGTTCCGGGCAGAATTAGTACACACATTGCCTGACATTTGGACTGGAGCTCTTTCTGTTACTCTATTTTACTGTCATGAAGTAAATTCCAGATAGAGTAAACATTTAAATGGAAAAACATAAGCCATTAAAAAAGGCTTCTATAGACAGATAGCTCTTTTTCATTTAGAGAAGGTTGGTAAATGTAATAGAAATGGAAGAAATCACAAATGCAAAGAGTAGTAGATTTGAACTTCTCTCATAAAACATGATGAATAAAATGTACTGGCAAACAAACTGGTTTTTTTAAATTATAACATCTGTGACATATGGTTTACGTTTTGCTGCATAAAGAGCTCATACAAATAAAACAATGACAACAGAAGAACAATTTTTTAAAAATCCCAACATTGGCCAGGTGCAATGGCTCACACCTGTAATCCCAGCACTTTGGGAAGGCAAGGTGGGCAGATTGCTTGAGCCCAGGAGTTCAAGACCAGCCTGGGCAACATGACGAGACCATGTCTCTACAAAAAATAAACTTAGCTGGGCATGTTGCTGCATGCCTGTAGTCCCAGCTACTTGGGAGGCTGAGGTAGGAGGATTGCTCCACTGAGATAGATAATTTTATATTTGTTCATAAAAGGATAAATTTGTTTAAAAGGAGGGACCAAGAACCTGAAGAGTTTACATATCCCTTAAGCCAATAATGTAACATTTAAGAATTTGTTCTAAAGGAATAAATAGAAATCCAATAAAGCTTGGTGAACTGATCATCATAACATGTACAAAAACATTGGAAAGAATCCAGCATTCAAGGAATGGCTAGATAAACTAGTGCGCATCATGTGGTTGTCACTAGGCCTGCTCACTAGTAATCCAGCTCTCCTATCTCTGCCCCATGGTAGAATTGCACTTTCATGCCCCTTGCAGTTATTTGTGGCCTTGTGACTTAATATGACCAAAGAAATGTGAGCAGAAGTGATGTGTATCATTCCTAGGCTGTGGCCTTCGAGAGCTACTATACAGTTGTCCACATCTCCTGCCCTTGGTTCAGCAGTCAATGACATTCCAGTTGGTGGAGGTCTTGAGAACATGGGTTCCTAAATACTGATAGTGCGAGACGGGCCCACTGACCTGTGATGACATGTTGTATGCTCAAGGAGCAAACACAGAGATTTTAGGGTTCATGTGATCACATTGTAACATAGCATAGCCTAATATGGCCCATATGAAATAATATGCAGTCATTCATGTTTAGAAAGAATTCATAAATAAGTTTAGGGAAAAACTGATAGGAAAGTATACATAGTGTGATTTTGTCTTTTTAAAATAGACTGAAGAAAACTTTGAAACATTAGCAAATATTGATCACACACGTGGATTAAGGGTGGGAGTTTCCTTTTTTATATTTTTCACAGTATTCCATTTTTTCTCTAATGAGCATGTATTCCTTCTAAAATCAGAAGAGGAAACACACAAACATATGCACACCCACCCTCCTCCAGCTGACTCCCAGTGGTATGGCCATTCAGTTCTCTGTGAACCATTAAAGAGGCCACGCTCATGGAAATGATAGTAATCATAGGGACCCTTTTTTACCTGAAGAGTGCAGCTGAGGTGGAGGATCAGGACTAAACTTAACTTGGGCTCAGAGTAGAAATTTCCTGTCATCATGGCTTTAGTTCTAGATATAACATCCATTTCCCTAGAGCCTAAATTCTTTCCCTCTCCTTTAAATGATCTTGGAGATAGAGAATGCAAACTCACTTGCCTCGGAAAAGCTGCATCCTAAAAGAGATATTCTTGGAGGTGGTAACTAGACTTTTCGCAATGCTGAGCAATCATTCACTGCAGAGCACTCCCTGGAAGTGCCGTGGTAGGGGACACGAGAGAAAGAGAAAGTGTGTTATTTGCCTGGATAAAACACACATAAATCAATAAATGAAAATGAATAGGATGGTGTGAGGAGGTGGGACCTTTGGGAGATCTTTAGGATATGAAGATAGAGCCCTCATGAAGGGATTAGTGCCTTAGAAGAAGAGACAGGAGAAGCATGTGCACTCCTGCTGTGCTCTCTCTCTCTCTGTCTTCTCTCTCTCTCTCTCTCTCTCCCTCTCCCCGTCTCTTGCTCTTGCTCTCTCTCCCCCCACCCTACCATGTGAGGATGCAGCAAGCAAACTGCCATCTCCACACTGGAAGCAGGCCGTCATCAGACACTGGATCTGCTGGTGCCTGGATTCTTGCACTTCCCAGCCTCCAGAACTATGAGAAATAACTTCTATTGTTTAAGCCACCCAGTCTATGGTATTTTGTTATAGCAGCCCAAACTAAGATGTGTAGTTTAAACTTTGTACATTTTTGTTCATCAGACATTTTCCTAAGACCTTTACCACTGTGTGTCAGACACAACATGTGGATACTTTGCACTGAGCAATCTGCTTGCCACTTACCTGCGTGTCAAGCTGTGGCGTTCCCATCACCCCTGGTTTGTCTCCCATGTGTGACTTCTGCTCCTAGTTGAAGTTAGTATTCACATTCACTCTGCTTGCTCTGAAATCTTGCCCCAGACCCTCCTTGTGTTCAAGATTGTGTACTCCTTTTTCGTTATTATAGAAGGTCTGCATAACTCTGTGCACTTGACTACTTTAGCCTTAAAATAAGTCCGTAACAGTGTACTGCTGGGCCAAAAGGTAAGCAAAGTTGATGTTCCCAGACACGTTGCAAAGTTGTGCAATAGATTAGGTAGTTTTCTTTTGACAACCCTCACTGCTGATTTTAATTTTTGCCAATCTGATGCTCCACAAATGCTAACTTAGTTGTGCTTGCAATTCATGTATTACTAGTAAAGTCACTCTTTCCTTATTTTTTTTTCTTTTTACCAACTATATGGGGAGTGAAATGCCTATTTTTATTATTTTCCCATGTTTATGTTGATCTTTCTTTTGCTATTGATTTTTATGAAAATGTTAATCATTTATCCTTCTTGATATACGTATTTCCCCTATTTTGTTATTTGTCTTTCATCTTTTATGATTTTTTAACATCGAAAAGATTTTATTTTTGTTGTTTTGCTTGTATGTTGTTGATAGCTTTAATTAAATCTATTAGACTTTTTCCGTTTCCTGTTATGCTTAAAGAGAACTTCTTATCTAAGATTATTTAAATTTTTGCCTATATTTTCTTCTAGTATTTATGATTTTATTTTTCACATTAAATCTTTAATTATGTAAATTTGTTTTGATGTAAAGTATGAAATTTGGAACCAGCTTTAGTTTTTCTTGTCTTTTTTAAGATACGGTCCTCACTCTGTTGCCCAGGCTGGCATGCAGGGGCTTAGTCATGGCTCAATGCAGCCTTGACATCCCGGGCTCAAGCAGTCCTCCCACCTCAGCCTCCTGAGTAGCTGGGTCTACAGGCATGTGCCACCATGCCTGGTTAATTTTTTTTTATTACTGTTTTTTGTAGAGACAGGGTCTCACGATGTTGCTCAGTCTGGTTTTCAACTCCTGGGCTTAAAGGGTCCTTTCGCCTTAGCCTCCCAAAGTGCTAGGATTACAGACGTGAGTCACTGGCAGATTTAGTGTCTCTACATCGTTATAATTCGTCTTTTCCCCACTGATTTGAAAAGGTATTTTTTTGTCAGATACTAGGTTTTCATATGCAACAAGATTTGTTTCTCAGCCTTCTGTCTCAGATGTTCTTGCCCAGGCTGGATAATCATTTGTGAAGTTTTTAATTGATTGTTGATGGATTTTTAATATGAAATTTTTACTGTTCGATTTACCTGCCTATTGCTAGCATACTATCATATATGTTCTTCTTAGAAGTCCCTCATACACCCTTTTTTTCTTTTTTTAGAGGACTTCTTTCTTTTTTTCTTTTTTTTTTTTTTATTATACTTTAAGTTCTAGGGTACATGTGCACAATGTGCAGGTTCATTACATATGTATACATGTGCCATGTTGGTGTGCTGCACCCATTAACTCGTCATTTACATTGGGTATATCTCCTAATGCTTTCCCTCCCCCCTCCCCCAACCCCAAGACAGGCCCCGGTGTATGATGTCCAAGTGTTCTCATTGTTCAGTTCCCACCTGTGAGTGAGAACATGCGGTGTTTGGTTTTTTGTTCTTGCGATAGTTTTCTGAGAATGTTGGTTTCCAGCTTCATCCATGTTCCTACAAAGGACATGAACTCATCATTTTTTATGGCTGCATAGTATTCCATGGTGTATATGTGCCACATTTTCTTAATCCAGTCTATCATTGTTGGACATTTGGGTTGGTTCCAAGTCTTTGCTATTGTGAATAGTGCCGCAATAAACATACATGTGCAAGTGCCTTTATAGAAGCATGATTTATAATCCTCTGGGTATATACCCAGTAATGGGATGGCTGGGTCAAATGGTATTTCTAGTTCTAGATCTTTGAGGAATCGCCATACTGTCTTCCACAATGGTTGAACTAGTTTGCAGTCCCACCAACAGTGTAAAAGTGTTCCTATTTCTCCACATCCTCTCCAGCATCTGTTGTTTCCTGACTTTTTAATGATCGCCGTTCTAACTGGAGAGAGATGGTATCTCACTGTGGTTTTGATGTGCATTTCTCTGATGGCCAGTGATGATGAACATTTTTTCATGTGTCTGTTGGCTGCATAAATGTCTTCTTTTGAGAAGTGTCTGTTCATATCCTTCACCCACTTTTTGATGGGGTTGTTTGTTTTATTCTTGTAAATTTGTTTGAGTTCTTTGTAGATCCTAGATATTAGCCCTTTGTCAGATGAGTAGATTGCAAAAATTTCCTCCCATTCTATAGGTTGCCTGTTCACTCTGATGGTAGTTTCTTTTGCTGTGCAGAAGCTCTTTAGCTTAATTAGATCCCATTTGTCAATTTTGGCTTTTGTTGCCATTGCTTTTGGTGTTTTAGACATGAAGTCCTTGCCCATGCCTATGTCCTGAATGGTATTGCCTAGGTTTTCTTCTTGGGTTTTTATGGTTTTAGGTCTAACATGTAAGTCTTTAATCCACCTTGAATTAATTTTTGTATAAGGTGTAAGGAAGGGATCCAGTTTCAGCTTTCTACATATGGCTAGCCAGTTTTCCCAGCACCATTTATTAAAGAGGGAATCCTTTCCCCATTTCTTGTTTTTGTCAGGTTTGTCAAAGATCAGATGGTCATAGATGTGTGGTGTTATTTCTGAGGGCTCTGTTCTGTTCCATTGGTCTATATCTCTGTTTTGGTACCAGTACCATGCTGTTTTGGTTACCGTAGCCTTGTAGTATAGTTTGAAGTCAGGTAGCATGATGCCTCCAGCTCTGTTCTTTTGGCTTAGGATTGTCTTGGCAATGCGGGCTCTTTTTTGGTTCCATATGAACTTTAAAGTAGTTTTTTCCAATTCTGTGAAGAAAGTCATTGGTAGCTTGATGGGGATGGCATTACCTATAAATAGGGCATTACCCTATTTATAGATGGGGAATCTATAAATTATCTTGGGCAGTATGGCCATTTTCACGATATTGATTCTTCCTATCCATGAGCATGGAATGTTCTTCCATTTGTTTATATCCTCTTTTATTTCCTCGAGCAGTGGTTTGTAGTTCTCCTTGAAGAGGTCCTTCACATCCTTTGTAAGTTGGATTCCTAGGTATTTTATTCTTTTTGAGGCAATTGTGAATGGGAGTTCACTCATGATTTGGCTCTCTGTTTGTCTGTGATTGGTGTATAAGAATGCTTGTGATTTTTGCACATTGATTTTGTATCCTGAGACTTTGCTGAAGTTGCTTATCAGCTTAAGGAGATTTTGGACTAAGACAATGGGGTTTTCTAAATATACAATCATGTCATCTGCAAACAGGGACTATTTGACTTCCTCTTTTCCTAATTGTATACCCTTTATTTCTTTCTCTTGCCTGATTGCCCTGGCCAGAACTTCCAACATTATGTTGAATAGGAGTGGTGAGAGGGGGCATCCCTGTTTTGTGCCAGTTTTCAAAGGGAATGCTTCCAGTTTTTGCCCATTCAGTATGATATTGGCTGTGGGTTTGTCATGAATAGCTCTTATTATTTTGAGATATGTCCCATCAATACCTAATTTATTGAGAGTTTTTAACATGAAGGCTGTTGAATTTTGTCAAAGGCCTTTTCTGCATCTGTTGAGATAATCATGTGGTTTTTGTCTTTGGTTCTGTTTATATGCTGTATTATGTTTATTGATTTGCATATGTTGAACCAGCCTTGCATCCCAGGGATGAAGCCCACTTGATCATGGTGGATAAGCTTTTTGATGTGCTGCTGGATTCAGTTTGCCAGTATTGAGGATTTTTGCACTGATGTTCATCAGGGATATTGGTCTAAAATTCTCTTTTTCGGTTGTGTCTCTGCCCGGCTTTGGTATCAGGATGATGCTGGCCTCATAAAATGAGTTAGGGAGGATTCCCTCTTTTTCTATTGATTGGAATAGTTTCAGAAGGAATGGTACCAGCTCCTCCTTGTACCTCTGGTAGAATTCAGCTGTGAATCCGTCTGGTCCTGGATTTTTTTTGGTTGGTAGGCTATTAATTATTGCCTCAATTTCAGAGCCTGTTATTGGTCTATTCAGGGATTCAACTTCTTCCTGGTTTAGTCTTGGGAGAGTGTATGTGTCAAGGAATTTATCCATTTCTTCTAGATTTTCTAGTTTATTTGCGTAGAGGTGTTTATAGTATTCTCTGATGGTAGTTTGTATTTCTGTGGGATTGGTGGAGATATCCCCTTTATCATTTTTTATTGCGTCTATTTGATTCTTCTCTCTTTTCTTCTTTATTAGTCTTGCTACTGGTCTATCAATTTTGTTGATCTTTTCAAAAAACCAGCTCCTGGATTCATTGATTTTTTGAAGACTTTTTTGTGTCTCTGTCTCCTTCAGTTCTTCTCTGATCTTGGTTATTTCTTGCCTTCTGCTAGCTTCTGAATGTGTTTGCTCTTGCTTCTCTAGTTCTTTTAATTGTGATGTTAGGGTGTCATTTTTAGATCTTTCCTGCTTTCTCTTGTGGGCATTTAGTGGTATAAATTTCCCTCTACACACTGCTTTAAATGTGTCCCAGAGATTCTGGTATGTTGTGTCTTTGTTCTCACTGGTTTCAAAGAACATCTTTATTTCTGCCTTCATTTTGTCATGTACCCGGTGGTCGTTCAGGAGCAGGTTGTTCAGTTTCCATGTAGTTGAGCAGTTTTGAGTGAGTTTCTTAATCCTGAGTTCTAGTTTGATTGCACTGTGGTCTGAGAGACAGTTTGTTATAATTTCTGTTCTTTTACATTTGCTGAGGAGTGCTTTACTTCCAACTATGTGGTCAATTTTGGAATAAGTGTGATGTGGTGCTGAGAAGAATGTATATTCTGTTGATTTGGGGTGGAGAGTTCTGTAGGTGTCTATTAGGTCTGCTTGGTGCAGAGCTGTGTTCAATTCCTGGATATCCTTGTTAACTTTCTGTCTTGTTGATCTGTCTAATGTTGACAGTGGGGTGTTAAAGTCTCCCATTATTATTGTGTGGGAGTCTAAGTCTCTTTGTAGATCTCTAAGGACTTGCTTTATGAATCTGGGTGCTCCTGTATTGGGTGCATATATATTTAAAATAGTTAGCTCTTCTTGTTGAATTGATCCCTTTACCATTATGTAGTGGCCTTCCTTGTCTTTTTTGATCTTTGTTGGTTTAAAGTCTATTTTATCAGAGACTAGGATTGCAACCCCTGCCTTTTTTTGTTTTCCATTTGCTTGGTAGATCTTCCTCCATCCCTTTATTTTGAGTCTATGTGTGTCTCTGCACATGAGATGGATTTCCTGAATACAGCACACTGATGGGTCTTGACTCTTTATCCAATTTGCCAGTCTGTGTCTTTTAATTGGAGCATTTAGCCCATTTACATTTAAGGTTAATATTATTATGTGTGAATTTGATCCTGTCATTATGATGTTAGCTGGTTATTTTGCTCGCTAGTTGATGCAGTTTCTTCCTAGCATCGATGGTCTTTACAATTTGGCATGTTTTTGCAGTGGCTGGTACCAGTTGTTCCTTTCCATGTTTAGTGCTTCCTTTGGGAGCTCTTGTAGGGCAAGCCTGGTGGTGACAAAATCTCCCAGCATTTGCTTGTCTGTAAAGTATTTTATTTCTCCTTCACTTATGAAGCTTAGTTTGGCTGGATATGAAATTCTGGGTTGAAAATTCTTTTCTTTAAGAATGTTGAATATTGGCCCCCACTCTCTTCTGGCTTGTAGAGTTTCTGCCAAGAGATTTGCTGTTAGTCTGATGGGTTTCCTTTTGTGGGTAACCCGACCTTTCTCTCTGGCTGCCCTTAACATTTTTTCCGTCATTTCAACTTTGGTGAATCTGATAATTATGTGTCTTGGAGTTGCTCTTCTCGAGGAGTATCTTTGTGGTGTTCTCTGTATTTCCTGAATTTGAATGTTGGCCTGCCTTGCTAAGTTCGGGAAGTTCTCCTGGATAATATCCTGCAGAGTGTTTTCCAACTTGGTTCCATTCTCCCCGTCACTTTCAGGTACACCAATCAGACGTAGATTTGGTCTTTTCGCATAGTCCCTTATTTCTTGGAGGCTTTGTTCATTTCTTTTTACCCTTTTTTTTCTAAACTTCTCTTCTCGCTTCATTTCATTCATTTGATCTTTAATCACTGATACCCTTTCTTCCAGTTGATCGAATGGGCTACTGAAGCTTGTGCATTCGTCACGTAGTTCTTGTGCCGTAGTTTTCAACTCCATCAGGTCATTTAAGGACTTCTCTACACTGGTTATTCTAGTTAGCCATTCGTCTAATCTTTTTTCAAGGTTTTTAGCTTCTTTGCAATGGGTTTGAACATCTTCCTTTAGCTCGGAGAAGTTTGATCATCTGAAGCCTTCTTCTCTCAACTCATCAAAGTCATTCTCCATCCAGCTTTATTCCGTTGCTGGTGAGGAGCTGTGTTCCTTTGGAGGGGGAGAGGCGCTCTGATTTTTAGAATTTTCAGCTTTTCTGCTCTGTTTTTTCCTCATCTTTGTGGTTTTATCTACCTTTGGTCTTTGATGATGGTGACGTACAGATGGGGTTTTGGTGTGGATGTCCTTTCTGTTTGTTAGTTTTCCTTCTAACAGTCAGGACCCTCAGCTGCAGGTCTGTTGGAGTTTGCTGGAGGTCCACTCCAGACCCAGTTTGCCTGGGTATCAGCAGCGGAGGCTGCAGAACAGCAAATATTGCTGAACAGCAAATGTTCCTGCTTGATCATTCCTCTGGAAGCTTCGTCTCAGAGGGGTACCCGGCCGTGTGAGGTGTCAGTCTGCCCCTACTGGGGGGTGCCTCCCAATTAGGCTACTCGGGGGTCAGGGACCCACTTGAGGAGGCAGTCTGTCCGTTCTCAGATCTCAAACTCCATGCTGGGAGAACCACTACTCTCTTCAAAGCTGTCAGACAGGGACATTTAAGTCTGCAGAGGTTTCTGCTGCCTTTTGTTTGGCAATGTCCTGCCCCCAGAGGTGGAGTCTACTGAGGCAGGCCTCCTTGAGCTGAGGTGGGCTCCACCCAGTTCCAGCTTCCTGGCCACTTTGTTTACCTACTCAAAGCTTCAGCAATGGTGGGCGCCCCTCCCCCAGCCTCGCTGCTGCCTTGCAGATCAATCTCAGACTGCTGTGCTAGCAATGAACGAGGCTCTGTGAGTGTGGGAACCTCTGAGCCAGGCGCGGGATATAATCTCCTCGTGTGCCGTTTGCTAAGACCGTTGGAAAAGTACAGTATTAGGGTGGGAGTGATCCGATTTTCCAGGTGCCATCTGCCACCCCTTACCTTTGCTAGGAAAGAGAATCCCCTGACCCCTTGTGCTTCCTGGGTGAGGCGATGCCTCACCCTGCTTTGGCTCACACTCGGTGGGCTGCACCCACTGTCCTGCCCCTACTGTCCGACGAGCCCCAGTGAGATGATCCTAGTACCTCAGTTGGAAATGTGGAAATCACCCGTCTTCTGCGTCACTCACGCTGGGAGCTGTAGACTGGAGCTGTTCCTATTCGTCCATCTTGGAACTGCCCCCCCCATACACCTTTTTAAATGTATTTGTTTTATGGTTTTTTGTTGTTGTGAATGGGATGTTTATCCTCCCACCTTTTTCTAGCTGATTATCACTGATACATAAGGAAGTTACTTGTTTTCATTTGTTGATTTTTGTGGCTGGAAATTCTAATGAAAACATACTATCTTTGATACCTGCCACAATTTCGGGGTTTTCTACATACACATCACTCACAACATTTGTAAATAACATTTTTGCTGCTGCTTTCCAATAGCTGTACGTTTCTGTTTGTCCTCAGCTGATTCAATGGCTTGAACTTTCAAACTGTTGCTAAATAATAATAGAAAAGGCAAACATCCTTATTTGGCATGTTTCTGGTTTGACCTATGGTTTGAAAGAGTGCTAGTGTGTGTACTTGAGAGAAGAGAACATTCCAGGATAAAGAGTGGGCATATTCAAATTAACAAGAAAGGATTGAGAAAGTTATGTGTGGAAACAGGTTGTACAAAGCTGAAGCTCTGTGTGGAGGAGTTACAACATGAGTAGAGGTGGCTCCTCTGAGGAGAGTGAGATTAATCAGATATGATGGATAATTCAGGCATACTGTAGAGTGTGGTGTTGTAGAATCAGGTGAGCTAGGCGTGAGATCTTCATCAGTAAGATGGTGATATCTAAATCACAGGACTATGACTGAAATAATGTATGATCAAAGCACTTAGCCCAGTGCCTGGCACCCAGTAAACACTAAGCAGATGTCATGTATTATTATTATTATTATTGTCAGTATAATAAAATAATGTAGAGCTTGAAAGGGGAATTGAAAAAAACGGGTAATTGACATGATAAAAATGGTATGTATAAATAAAATCAGTTGCACATAGGATGTGTCAAAGCAAGAAAAACAAATAGACCAAAATTGATGGGAATCTGTGTGTTCAGCATTCTTTCATTAGTGAGTTTTGAGGGAGTCTCTGCTCCCCAAGGCTAGCCATTGGCCAGGCCACCAGGGGTCCCCATGATAATGCACAGCTAGTTGCTTGAGCATGGTTATGGTGATTCGTGCCCCCAACAGCCTTCCATGACCATATGTGATTATTAATGTGCTAGAATAGTTTATCTTGGTGTCTTGCACACATCATGATTTGTAATGTATATATTTAATAATTATAAAAGAAAGCAGTTATTTGCTTTCTTTAACATACATTATCTTCAAATTCCTAACTTAGTGATGATGCAATCATTCTTTTCACATGTGTATGTTTTTTTGTGTCTTGGGGAAGCTTTGAAATACTTGCTGATTTATGGAGAGTGAAAAGTGAACCAGACTTTCTCAGAACATTTAGAAAAACTCAGACACTCAAAAGCTAAAATCAAACAGTATTTGAAATGATTTATACAATTGCAGCCATAACTTTTTCCCACTTAAGCCAAAGTACGTCTAAACAATCCTTTCATACTGCTAAGTCCTTTAAATGGAAGCAATAGATGTCTATAAATCAAATGATAGTTTACATTTATTTCATAACCACTTTTTCTAACCCATTTTCCCTCTTAAAACTTAGTATGTCCTCTAAGAAGTTGAACACTCTGTCCTGATTGAATTTAAATGAACATGAATAAAGAAATACATTAAAATATTTTAGAGAATAATATGCTGCCACAGTTAGTTTAGAGAAGCACAGTACTGAAGGCAAGTAGAGTAACACTAGGTGCAGTGGAGTTTGCTTATTTGAAATAAGGTAATTCAGCTCTAAGCTCATCAGTAGTGAGTAATAAACATGATTACTGCAGTGGAGTCAATCTCAAACTAGTCTATTGGACTAATCCTTGGAATTCACAAAACACTCTAATCTTATTTTTTAATAACTTCTTATCTCAAAATAGTTTATGTTCGTAAGTTGCAAAGTACCTTTCACCCAGCTTCCCCAGTGATAACATTCTGTGTAACCATGTGTACCGTCAAACCCAGGAAATTAACTGTGGTACAATACTGTAACACAGTAATCTGAATTACTTTCACATCCTCTATTTGTTCATTATGATTACTTCAGAAATTCACTGTCTTTTATTTTCTAGGATGGTGCATCTCAGAATGGTTAGCAAAACATAGTTTATAAGTTTAACCTACAACCTATGACTCCTTTTGTTCTGTTTAGATGATAACCAGATTTTAAGTGCATCATGAAGACAGGAACAACAGAAGCAAGATCAGTAGAGACTTGCACATCACTGGGACTTGCCCTGCATTCTGATGCTACCATGTTAGAGAAACACAAATACTTTAAAGTGCTCAGAGTTGAGAGCCACAGCAGCCATTGCTGTGTTTATGGTCCACTTGCCCCATGGGTAAAGTCAGAATAAGCCACGAGATCACCCATCTTAAGCATTTTCACCTGCCTTTATATCCTTGACTTCTCTTTTTACTTTAGTAGCACTGATTTTTTAATCTGTCCTTGAACTGTTTACTCACTGGCGTTTAAGCATTTTGAGCAAACCTGCAGTAAGAAATGCATTTTACATTATGATCTATTGTACAGATACATGTATGTACATTTAGGTGTATATGTACATATATGTGGGAGTGAAACTGAAACAAAAGTACCACAAATCTAAAGTTACCCTCTGTGCTGTGCACTATATATTTTCTGTCCCATTTTCTTCTTTTTTTTTTTTAATGCAGGTCACAAGCTACTGTACAGATTTTACAAACCATTAGTAGATACTGGTGCACAGTTTGAAAAATCTCCATGTTAACTTATCCTGCCCAGTGATTTTGCTTATTCTACTTTCTTTCCCAAGTCAACCATAAAACCTTTTTCCGATAGAGATGTTTTAGAACTAAATTATTTAGAACACTAAAACCACAACTTTTATTTAATCCCACCACCACTTCTCCTCATGTGTGTTAATTCATTTGAATGACATCTTTCAGGATGGATGATATATACATGTACAAGACAGTGTGAAAAATGATACAATGCAGTGCTGTGAGAACACTATTATAAATAGAGAAGTGTTGAATTTTGCCTCGTGGAGTCAGAAATGACCATTAATCTGGGCTTAGTTGCTTCTGCTTCAGATTTTACCCTAGCTTAAGCCACAGTAGGGAGGAGGGAGTGAGGAACAGGTAAGGTATGATAGAAAGTGGTTAGAGAATATATTAGTCCTGGTTGCTTGATGATAGGGAACTTGGAACAGAAGGGAGGGGCTGTTGTTTGGGGGTTGAAAATCAGACTGGGATCAAGTCCTGAAGAGTTCTTTATGTCTGCTCAGAGGCTTATATATGACTGGGGAGGGAATAGGGAGGCCTTAGAGGTTTGAAGTTTGTAAGCAGAGAAGTGACATGAGCAGATATAAGCTGCAGGCAAAAAGTTAAGGTTTCAGTATGGGTGATAGATGGGGGGTACAGAGATTGAAGGCAGGGAGAAAACAATCTATCCAAGAAATAGATGAAAACAAATAGAAAAATACAGTGAATATGACCATATACTTAAAAACATCTGTTTTTTAATCTGCTGGAATGATCTACATCATTTTGATAACATTTTATTCTTCTCTCAGCAACACATTTACCAAAAAAAATTCTTTTAAATATTTTATCCAGAGTTTAGTTGTTTCATTCAGGACTGTTGGAAATAGCAGACCCATTATGCTGATGAAACAGAAGTTCCTCCATTTGATTTATCTCTTCTTCCTGTGTTTTTGCTTTATTCTTGGAGATTGCCTTGATTTTATCCTCCTGCTCTTCCCACTGTTTTTGGTTTGGTTTTTGTTTTTGTTTTGGCAAGGATATTTTTATTTCTGGTAGCTGCTGCCTGTTCTTGTCTTCATTTTCCACAGCATTTTGGTTTTGTTTAATGAATGTAACTTTTTTTGGTAAGTAAAACATATATGCACATAGACCCTACGTACCCCAAAGGCCTTACAGTTTAGGCAAGAGGTGATGAGGATCTAAACCTGGGCATTGAGGATGAGTATGGAAGGGAAAAACTACAAGGAATATATTGAGATAAAATTATCAGGACTTCAGGATTGATTGGCAGTAACTGCGGATAAGGAATCAAGAGTCAATGCTGATCCCCAGCCTAAAAAGAGCACCTAGAAAAAGCCCACAGCTGACATTATACTCAGGGTGAAAGACTGAAAGCTTTCCTCTGAGATGGGAATAAGACAGCAATGTCTGCCATTGCCCCTTCTATTCAATATTGTACTGGTGGTTTTCACCATAGGAATTTGTCAAGAAAAAAATTAAAAGCATTCATATTACAAGGAAGAAATAAAATTATCTCTCTGCAGATGACATGCATGATCTTGTATATAGAAAATCCTAAGGAATACACACACACACACACACACACACACACACACACACACACACACACAGAGAACTGATAGGCTGGGTGCAGTGACTCATGCTTGTAATCCCAGCATTTTGGGAGACCAAGGCAGGTGGATCATTTGAGGCCAGGAGTTCAAGACCAGCCTGGTCAACATGGCAAAACCCCCCTGTCTCTACTAAAAATACAAAAAATTAGCCGGGCATGGTGGTGTGCACCTGTAATCCCAGCTACCAGGGAGGCTGAGGCAGGAGAATTGCTTGAACCTGGGAGGCAGAGGCCGCAGTGAGCCGAGCTCATCCCATTGCACTTCAGCCTGGGCAACAAGAGCAAAACTCCATCTCAAAAAAAAAAAAAAAAAAAAAAAAAAAGAACTGATAAACCAGTTCAGCAGGGTTGCATGGTATGAGATCAATATGCAAAAATTGTTTTTCTGTATTCTAGCAATAAACAACCTAAAAATTAAATTAAGAAGACCGTTCTATTTACAATAGCATCTGGAAGAGTAAAATACTTAGGAATAAATTTAGCAAAAGAAATTCAAGACTTGTAAAGTATAAACTGTAAAACATTATTGAAAGAAAGAAGACCTAAATAAATGGAAAGATGTCTCATGTTCATGGATTGTAAGACTTACTATTGTTAAAGATGGCAATACACCCCAAATTGACCTACAGATTTAACACAATCTCTATCAAAACCTCAGCTGCTTTTTTTTATAGAAAATGACAAATCTAATAAAATTTCTCACGGAAATGTGGGAGACCCAGAATAGCCAAAACAATCTTGAAAAGGAACAAAGCTAGAGGGCTCACACTTCCCAATTGAAGCAGTTACTACAGAGCTACAGTAATCAAGACTGTGTGGTGCTGGCATAAGGATAAACATACAGGTCAATGGAATACAACTGAGATTCCAGAAAAAAAAAAGCCATACATTTATGTTCAGTTGACAACTAATTGGGGAAAGAATTGTCCTTTCGAAGAATGGTGCTGGGAAAACTGGATCTCCACATGCAAAAGAATGAAATTGGACTCCTACCTTGTACTATATACAAAAATTAACTCAAAATAGATCAAAGACCTAAATTTAAGAGTTAAAACTGGAATATTCCTAGAAGAAAACATAGGATTACATACACATTTATGACCTTGGATTAGGCAATGGCTTCTTAGATACATCACCTAAAGCATAAACAACCAAAGAAACAGAAGATTTTTTTTATTTTAATGGGGACAAATTTTTTAATTTTAATGAGTTCAAATTTGTATCCAAAGAACACTACCATGAAAGTGAAATAACCCACAGAATGGGAGAATATGTATCTGATCAGAGTTTAATCTTTAGAAAAGCAACCCATTTTAAAGTGAGCAAAGGGTTTGAAGAGATATTTCTCCAAGGAAGATACAAAAATGACAAATTAGCACATGAAAAGATGTTCAGCATCATTAGGGATATGCAAATCAAAACCACAGTGCGAGACTACTTCATTCCCACTGGGATGGATATAATAAAAAGATGGGCAGTAGCAAGTGTTGGTGTGGATGTGGAGAAATTGGAACCCTCATACGTTGCTGGTGAGAATGTAAAAGGGTACAGCAGCTCTGGGAAACAGTCTCATAGCTCCTCAAAAAGTTAAACAGAGTTACCAGATGGCCCAGCAGTTCCACTCCCAGGTGGTAGGGAACTCTCACCCAATAGAACTGAAAACATATGCCCACCCAAAAATGTATGCACAAATGTACATAACAGCATTATTCATGATAGTCAAAAAGTGGAAACCACTCAATAGATGACTGGATGCACAAAAGCCTTGTATCCACTCAATGGAAAATTGGTCATAAAAAGAAATGAAGTATTGCTACAACATGGATAGACTTTGAAAACATTACGCTCGGTGCGACAAACTAGACACAAAAAACCTCTATTGTGTGATTTCATTTATATGAAATGTCCAGAACAGGTAAATCCATAGAGACAGAAAATAGATCAGTGGTTACCAGGAGCTGAAGGAAGGAGGAATGGAGAGGGACAGCGAATGGGCCCGGGGTTTCTCTTGGGAGTGAGAAAATGTGCTGGAGTTAGTGACGATGGTTGCACAATTTTGTGAATATACTGAAAACCATTAAAGTGTACACTTGAAAAGAGTGAATTATATGGTGTGTGATGTTTATCTCAGTTTTTTAAAGTTGCACAATTTTGTGAATATACTGAAAACCATTTAAGTGTACACTTGAAAAGAGTGAATTATATGGTATGTGATGTTTATCTCAATTTTTTAAAGAAGAGTCACTGTCTTAGAGCAGGGAAGGGCTGTGATGGGCCACACTCAATGCCTCCATTCCTTCCCAGGAAGAGGGAGACTGAATTGCCATAGAAGTTAGAGACCAGCTTTCCTGGGAAGGGTGTTCTGGCTAGTGTTCTGAGGGATTAGGTTTAACGTTGTAACCTATAGATCTAGAAGGAAATATGAGGCCATCAGCTCACCTCAGCCTTCAACAAGTTGTCATTCACCACAGATCCTTTTAACATTACACCTCAAACCTTCAAACTTAGGAGATGTGAGAAGAAAGCTCTTACAGAGCTTCTATATATAAAATACCTATAATATTATAGCATTTTAAAGTAATGCTAGTTGATTCTCTTTTTATACTAATAATTGTAAGAATACTTCAGCGCAGCAGCATTATTTATAGTGAATACTACTTTTAACTAATGGTATTGAATATTTTTATCTAATATGTTTTTTAAATTTCCATAATATGTACTGTTTGGCATTACCCAAGTTTTCCATATATTTCAGCCACAACTGTAGCCGTTTTTTTTGTTGTTGTTGTTAAAAAAAAATTGCTAAAAACTCTTGCATCAGGAATTTTGGAAATTCTTCAGATGAGACAATCAGGGAGGATTGATCACATGTTGATAGAATGCAGGCAGCCTTAGTCATTTCGGTGGCTCAGTCACATTCTTTATTTCTGTCAGTTATTCTGAACAAAATACAGGTGGTAACATGACCTGCAAATGACATACTGTCACAAGCCCTGGGCTATCCTTTAGAATGTGCAGTTAATAAGCTCTGGAATGCCTTTACATGGGAAGTGGGGGGGCAGTTGTTACGGATTCCTGGAGGTGAAGTTGTTTTTATTGTCTTTATTAATTTAGTTTCATCTTAGCAGGAGCATAATCCTTCGTAAGACACACCTCCTAATTGCACACGTCTGGCTTTTTACCTCTTAGGCAATGTAAAGGAAAGTTAATAGGATGTACTTTTTAATAGGATCTTAGGGGGATCTTTCACCATTAAAATGAGAAAATAAGTTTGGGGAGCAGCAATTATTCAAACCAAGGAAGTTGAGTGAATCATTTAGAGTTATTAGGTAAGGGTTAATAGGTAAGAGACACTGAAATGAGGATGTGGCTGTGCAAACACCACATTTCACGGGTTTCAGATGAAACATGACTGTTAGGGAAGAGTCTGTGTAGGAGTCATGCATTCTTCAGTATTTCACATACACCTTGGCCTAAGCTTATGAGAAGCTAATAGCAGTATTATTTTAATTTTGTTTTGTCACTTCAGAAATGCAGATGTGTGTGTGTGTGTGTGTGTGTGTGTGTGTGTGTGTGTAGTCAGCAAATTAGTTACATGTTACCTATTTGTTGATAACTTTATAATTTTACTGATTTTTGAAACTGGTTAATTATAGAAAAAGAATTTGAACTTACAGATGTAAACTGTTTCCAAATTATAGTCATTTATGTCTAATATTCTTGCTCCTTTTATCATTGTTTGTGTAAATATTTATTGAAGACACCCCACTAGTCACTGATACAAAGAGGTGTCTGATGTCCACCCTGCTTAGAAAGGATTCTGTTAGCAGCTGACAAACTGGACCATCCCGAGGACCAGCACAGTGCACACTTTTCCCTTCCCTTCTCTCCTTTAGCCCATGCCATAGCCCTAGGAGGTGGGTGTGGCCACGGTCAGGGTGGTTGTGGGATCTGGTGTTGGCTGTGCAGCCGGTAAGTGCAGAGCCTGCATTCCCATAGCACTTGTTGCAGTGTGACTGTCCAGTGATCCCGGATTTACTGTCTGCACCCCCCAGTGACTGTGCAGCCATGAGGTCAGGGTCCTCTCTAGTGCTGGCCAGTTGTGAATTCAGTGAGGTTTGGAAAGATGGATGATTTTCAAGTCTCTGTGCCTAGTGTTTATGCGCCATGCAGAGGTACAGAGGAAAGGGTGGTGAGCACGCACAAGACACAGGGCAGGCCCTCGCTGCCACGGCCAATGCTGAGGTGAAGTTAGGACAGCCTCTCCAGTTTTCTCTATGAAGACTGTAAAGGGACAATACAAACTCATTAGAAAATAATAAACTCGTGTGTTCTACCCCCTCTTCAATAAATCTTCCCACTGAAATAATCCCAGGTGCTGGCTGATTAGATTAATGGGGAGGGGGCAGTGGCGGTCTCTGGTGGTGGGTGAGTGGCTCTGAAGGTGAGGACTCCAGCCCAATTGCAGGACATCAGCCACACCAGAGAGCACCTGGGGGAGGCCAAGCTGGCAGGCAGGGGAGTTAGGCCCTGATTGAGCAAGAGGGTATGGAGTGGGAGTTCATCTGCACAGACTTCGATGCTGAGGTCCCAGCTGCCTGGGGGCAGGGGGACAGCAGTGAAACCGGTTGTTCCAATTGTGCCTGGAATTGGCACTGAGACAGCATCCTGACCCCCTCCCCTTTTTTTACTCATCAGAGAAGGTCTTGTTGAAGAAGCGTAATTTAAAAAGACATTGAGGAAAGTGAGAATGAGCCATATGGATCGACCTGGGGGAAGAGTATCTGAGGCAGAGAGGAGAGAGCTAGGATCAGGAGCTTACCTGGAGGCTACTGGACCAGCAAGTCAGTGGCATGTCTGGAGCACAGTGAACAACGGGAGAGTGACAGGAAGTGAAGTCTGAGCAGGACATGGTCTGAGGAAGCCATTCCAGGGTTCTGCTTGCCTGTTTAATGAAAGAAGTCAGTAGGCCCTTTCCTAGCCCATTTTCTGTTGCTTATAACAGAATACCTGAAACCGGGTAATTTACAAAGAGGAGTTTATTTTTTACAGTAATGGAGGCATGTAAATCCAAGGTTGAGGATCTGCATCTGGTGAGAGCCCTCCTGCTGGTGGGGACGCCGCAGAGTCCCAAGATGGGAAAGGGCCTCACATGGCAAGGGTGCTGAGTGTGCTCATGGGCTAGCTCAGGTCTCTCTTCCTCTTCTTATAAAGCCACCAGTCCCACTCCCATGATAGTCTGTTTATGAAGTCAGGGCCCTCATGATCCGGTCACCTCTTAAAGGCCCCACCTCTCAATACTGCTGCTTTGGGGATTAAGTTTCAACATGAGTTTTGGAAGGGACCATAGCAGCCGTATGTGACATCAAATTGTCCCATTTGTCCCTCTCCTTTTTGTATTGCAAGTTTATCTAACAGGGTAGAGGTGCTGGCTGCCTGATTCCCCACGGCAGGCGGAGACCTGGGTTCTAAAGCTATGAGCCCCTACAGGAATGGAGCCTCTGCCCACAAAGCCCAGTTATAGCCCTCCCCCCACACACCTGCTTCCTTGCACACTTGTGTGCAATCTGTTGGTGATACACCTGCCCTTGGACTCCTTCCCATTGAGAAGTTACTGTCCTTTCTGCATCACTTTTTGTTGTACTCTATGCCTGGAGAGAAAATCTCATGGTCTACAAAGGGCACTCATGTCCTTTTCCATTTTTCCTTTCATGGATTTTCCCTGATCCTATGCAGACACACCTCCTTTACTGAAGGACTTATGATTATCATGAAAACAAAAACAGAACCCTTCTTGTCGTGTGCCTCAGGGGTTTCATTGACTCCCAGAGCTGCCTGATCAGGGTTCAGACACAGTACCTGTTCCTACAGAGGCCCCGTTGCTGTCCTGGGCTGACTCTCCTGACCATGGACGTCCTTATTTTCTGTGTTAACTTCTCTGACACTTTCCCAATGTTAGCATGGGTTCCTTTAGAATGACGGGGCAATTTACCATTTTCTCAGCAGATGTTGGAGGAGAGAGAAAAAGCAATGTTAAAGAGTTTTGACTGGGAAGAAAAAGAGCAAGTATTTGTTGGTTCTGGTTCTGTGGTGGTTGTTTTTCATTTGTCTTAATTAGATCCATGTTACCTTTCTATGTCTCATCTAATAAATGTATTTCCATTTGAGTCAGTTACATCCCTGCTCTGCTAGTAGATTTGCTTTTGATAGACACAATCCTGTATTTCCAGGGGTTTTTTAATATTACATATAAATTACATTAACAGTCGAGGTTAGCATACTGAAGAGATGTGCTCCTAGTTAATATTTTGTTTGTCCTTAACATTACATCTGCCATACTACTTTGTGTGGGTTTTTGTTTTGTTTTGTTTTTGAGACAGAGTCTCACTCTGTCACCCAGGCTGGAGTACAGTGGTGTGATCTCAGCTCACTGCCACCTCTGCTCCCAGGCTCAGGTGATCCTTCTTACCTCAGCCTCCTGAGTAGCTGGGACTATAGGTGGGCTACCACGCCTAGCTAATTTTTGGGTTGTTTTTGTTTTGTTTTGTTTTTTTGGTAGAGATGGGTTATCACCATGTTACCCATGCTGGTTTCAAATTCCTGGGCTCAAGCAATCTGTTTTTATTGGCCTCCCAAAGTTCTGGGATTACAGACATGAGCCACCGTGCCTGGTCAACATTTTAAACTATAGTATTTACTTAACATAGCTTGTGTAAGAACTTTCTTTTCAGCTGTAAAAATAGCTCTGTGGTGTGTTTTGATATGTATTTTAGCAGACATGGTAGAAACAAAGTTAAAAGTTACAGGTGTCATACATACACAACATGAATGTGGCATAGACATCAGTTTTGGTGTTAGTGATGTAAAATCAAGCCGGGTGTAAACTTGGCCTCCCCTTGCCTATCAAGCTAGCAGATAGAACCAGTGAGCTGGTAGCTTCATCAACATCTGGCATCTGGTGTTCACCTTTGAGTCCAAGGTGGTGATTCCAGTCTTCACCATTTCAAAGCTAGCAGGAAAGGAGAAAGAGGACAAGGAGGGCGAGTAGCTTCCTTTTGCAGAACCCAGCTGCACACGTCACCTTTACTCACAGCCATTTTCAAGAATATAGTCGCACAGCCACACGCCTCGGGGCATCTGGGAAATGCAGTCACTGCCACAGCAATCGAGAGTCCTGTTCACACTTAGCAAGAAAAGGGTATTATTCTGTTTCTAAAAGGAAAAAGGGGAAAATGAAGGAAGGAACACTTACTAATCTCTGCCAGTAGCCTTGGGCAAATCGCTCTTTTCAAGTCTATTTATAAAATATAAGCTAGTAAAATATTTACAAAAAAAAATTAAAAAATATTTACAAAGGGCCAGGCGTGGTGGCTCACACCTGTAATCCCAGCACTTTGGGAAGCCGAGGCAGGTAGATCACGAGGTCAGGAGTTCAAGACCAGCCTGGCCAACATAGTGAAACCCCGTCTCTACTAAAAATACAAAAAAATTAGCTGGGCATGGTGGCACGTGCCTGTAGTCCCAGCTACTTGGGAGGCTGAGGCAGGAGAATCGCTTGAACCTGGGAGGTGGAGGTTACAGTGAGCCGAGATCGTGCCACTGCACTCCAGCTTGGGCAACAGAGTGAGACTTCGTCTCAAAAAAAAAAAAAATTTACAAAGATACTGCCCTTCAAACATTTTCACAAAGACACAAGGTATATCTTTATATACCTTCCATATTTGCAGGCGTTTATTCTCAAAATAGTATTTTTAACCTAAGTCTCATTTAAAAAAATAGATATTGGTATTAGTTTTCAATTGCTGTATAAAAATTTCTACAAATGTAGTGGCTTAAAACAGTGCCTATCTCACAGTTGGTTTGGATCAGGAGTCAACACAGTGTAGCTGCTTGCTGTGCCTGGGGGTCACACAAGGCTGCAGGCAAGTTGCTGGCAGGGCTGCAGTCTCATCTGGGAGCTTGGCTGCATCACCCAGGTTATTGGCATAATTCATGTCCTACAGTTATAGCACTGAGGACAGGCTTCTTACCGGTTGGCTCTAGGCTACCCACAGGTCCTAGAGGGCCCCCCAGGTTCCAGGGTCCTCCCCCAGACCTCTGACAGTGGGCTTTCCCAACATGGTCACCTTCTTCCTCTAGCTAACAAGGAGTGTTCTAGAGTGAGCTTGCTAGCGAGATGGAGACATCATGGATAACACAATGTATTCACAGGAGTGACATCCGGAACCACTGCCATATTCAGTTGGTTAGGAGCAAGGAGCAGCTTCTGTCTATATTTAAGGCAGGGGATTCCACAAAGGTGTGACCATCAGGAGGATGGGTCATGGGGGCCTCCTGAGAGTGTGTCCACCACAATAACTGTTCCACTTAACAACACTTTATATTCCAAATGGAGAATTCCTGTCTGTTGGGCACTGTTATTTCATGGGTTTTGGTAAACTGTCAGTAGGGACTTTTTATCAGTTAGAAGCACTAGTCTCCAGTGATGCATGGAACATGCCCACACATTGAGAGAGTGAGTGAGAGAGAGAGAGAGAGCATGGATGTGTGAGGCAAATAGAAGGATATGTCCTCTGCTCTACATTGTGGTTAAATCGTTAAACACTTCTGGAGTATCTTTTTTAGCAGACCAGTGATATTGTACACAGAGAATGTGAGAACTCAAAATGGTCTTTCTATGAAGACGAGCTCAGGAACTTGCTTCTTCCTGCCTTGTTATCCTGATTACAACAGGTGCAAGTGTGAACAACAAGATTATATGAGCTCATACAGTATTACTAGCCCATTGTTTGTTTAGAGTCTCTAAGGCTTGAAGGAGATAACATACTCTAGGAAGCCCTACTCAGATTCTCTGCATGATCCAGACCTGGAGATGTGGTACCAAAATTAGCCTGAGAAACCTTACATCATCTATCAAATAATGTAGTCAAAGAACTATTTTTAAAAATCATTTACAGCCTAAGATCCAAATTTGTTTTTAACACCATAGTATCTTCTTATCTGCAAAACAGATATGGTAGATGCTCAAAAGAATCCGGCGAAGAAAAATACTTCTGAAATAATGAATAGGATTATTCCATATCAGAGGCCTTTTTGGATGGTTGTTGTGTGGTGGTCTTGAAATGTACTCTCTCAGACAGTGTCACATCATCATTGGTATATAGTCAATGTATTTAATATATTTCACTACCATTCTTACCCTAATACCACTCACTTCCCTAGTCGAAAATAAATTACTTAAATGAAACTGCCCTTGTAGTACAACCCAATACACCGGTCTTGTAAACCAGAAATATTATTCCTGGACTCTGCATCTCAGCCAGATGTCCAGTTGTCAGTAACATTGAATGTCATTGTGAAAGAATCCCATGGTGTCCATCTGTCCATCCATTCATTCAGCAGATTGCTGTCGAGTTCCCGTTGTGCTTCCAGTACTGCAGTAAGTCCAGACATGGGCACAATATGTAGGCCATGCCCTTGGGAAGTTTATAACACACATCAGAGCAATAGGTTGCATTTCTATACTCGTGGTTTATAGGGGTCCTCCGCTTATTCTCAAGGGATATGTTTCAAGGCCCCAGGTGGATGCCTGAAGCTACAGATAGTACTGAACTCTATATATACTATACATACATACCTATGATAAAGTGACATTTATAAATTAGGCACAGTAAGAGATTAACAGCAATAAGATAGGACAACTTATGTACTGTAATAAAAGTTTTATGAATGTGGTGTCTCCCTCTCTCAAAATATGTAATTATGGTACACCTGCCTATTTTTGGAGCGAAGTTGACCATAGGTAACTGAAACTGTGGATAGGAAAGCTGCTGTTACCTTTTCACTTGAGTTGGGAGGACTACTGTATAGTGACCCTCAGCATCTGTGGGGAATTGGTTCTAGGACCCACCCCCCGAGCATGGATACCAAAATCTGAGCATGTTCAAGTCCTGTGATTGGCCATGTGGAACCTGCAGACAGGAAAATTCAGCCCTCCATAGATGCAGGTTTCACATCCCTGAAATACTGTATTTCCCACCTGCGTTTGGTTGTGGTTGCAGAACCTGCCAATATGTATTCGACTGTATTCATTGAAAGAAATCCACATATAAGTGGATCCACTTGTGTTGTTCAAGAGTCAACTGTATAATGTTCCAGTGATAAAAATCATTTGAAAATAAATTTTAGCTAAAGCATTTCTACATTTATAGCTGGACATGAAGAAATGGTATACTATTTAAGAGTATAGTTGGCTGAGCACAGTGGCTAACACCTGTAATCCCAGCACTTGACAAGGTAAGCAGATCACTTGAGGCCAGGAGTTCAAAACTAGCCTGGGAAACAGAGAGAGACCCTCATCTCTACAAAAATTTTTTTTAAAAATTAGCCAATTATGGTGGTGCACACTTGTGGTCCCAGCTACTCAGGAGGCTGAGGTCTGAGGCTACTTGAGCCCAGGAGCTCCAGGTTACAGTGAGACATGCTCATGCCTCTGCACTCCAGCCTGAGTCACAGAGTGAGACCATGTCTCTAAAAAAATTTAAAAAGAGTATAATTGGGAGAAATGGTTAGTTCCGTTATTCCATATCTAGCACACAGTTACTGAGTGCTTGCTCTGCACTAGCCCCTGTTCTGTGTTTGAAACTGAAAATAGATAGTAAGTAAATGGCTCATTGCTACCTTTCCATTTCCGGCCCTGGAAAATCGTGGCATTAGAGTAGGGCTATAGGCAAGTAAAAATGATCAAAGAGCCTTCCATTCTCTGAAGTTCTAAAGCAAGTGACCATATCCATGGGTTTCCTGACAGGCTGCTTTGCTGGCTCCAAGTTTTGTCTTTCGTATGGGATCACTGAGATTATGTAACTCAAGGAAGGTTTAAATAGGCATGCCTTGGGACAGCAATAGGATTTGAAAATCTATGTCTCTCACCGTAATAAAAGGAAAACTACAAAGATGTTTGCATGGTTTGCTTTTGAAATCAGATCCACACGTTAAATATCCTGAAGGAAGTGTGAAAGCTTTTATCCATCTGACAAATATCCCTTAGGAAGAAGAAAACTTCAATTTAAAAGGAAGAGGATATCATAATTCCAGCGCTTAAGATGAAATGCTATATTTTATTTTTCCAGATGAATGAGTGAAATGGTAATAAGGACTTAATATTAGGTTGAATTAGCAGGAATTCAGCAATTGTGTTCAAACAACAGTGGAATTGTAGGTCTTAGCCACAGACTTGCAAACCTATGATGAAAGGTGTCAGGTGGAGATAATTTATTTAGCATGTCTTGAGGTGTAGTCCTGAACCCAAACCTGTAATTAAAGAGCAAGACACAACGGGGCATGTGTGTGCCAGAAGACCTGGATTCAGGCAGGGGGATCAGGATAAGGCAGACCCCTGGCTGTCTAGGAAATGATGCATGCACAAATCCTGATGTCTCTTTCTACCATTCTGAAAGGTCTTATTTTTATAACTCTGTTTATGGGGGATGTGGGAACTCAGTTATGAGCTGATGAAACCAGGGAACTTAAGACATTTCTTAGCTCAGATCAAATGCCACTATTGAAGTGGGCCTGCTTTCAAGATAAAACAAAGCTGTATTCAGCTTGAATCTAAACAGAATTAAACTCTGCTCTATACTGCAAAGGCTGCCAAACTAGTTCTGGCAAATCACCATGAAGAAAATGTTTCAAAGACAAAGCCCCTTAACTGTATGCTACAAATTCCGGGGCTTCCACCCTGAGAGACGCTTATCATCAGTAGTACAAGTGCTCGTATCTTGTTGGAGTATCAGATTAAAACAGCAGGCTGTATTCCATTACAGAAGATACCCTCACATCCAAACTGCTTCATACGAGAAAGGCTACCAGTGGTCCATGAGTTCTCATCATTTAGTAGATTAGGATTCCAGCATAAAAAGAAAAACTGACAAATACCCCTTTTAAATAAGACAGAGTACATTGGACTGTGTATATGTTGTAAACGAATTCTAAAAGCCTTTTGACTAAAAATGTAGTTATTCAAAGTTTGTTATACTAGAATTTAATTCATAGATGGTCCTAGTCTCTTTGCTTTCGTTTTAAATAGCACTTGCATCTTAATAGGATGAAAAGTACGTGTCTACCTTTCTCTGCCCTTCACTATGCTGGAGGGACCTTGCTGGCAAAAGACTGTGCAGGCCACATTTTGAGTGTCCAGCTCCTCCCACCTAGGGCACAGCTCTACCAAGGGCATGGCATCTGTTGCACCTCCAGCAGCCTCAGCCCCGCTGTTGGTTGTGTATTCATGGTACTGTTTGGGGGTGGCATTTGGGCCTGAAGTTGGGGTATCCTGTGAGGTAGGGATACAGGTCTAGTTGCTGTGCAAGAGACCCAAAACAATAGCCGTGCAAGTGCCCCTGCCCAGCACAGGAGGCGGCTGCCCCATTACAGGCCCACACTTCTGACTGGCTGCATCCCCAAGGAGGAAGGGGCATGGATCATTCCTTCAGGACACCACTCACAAGGCGCCCACCTGACTTCCAATCATATCTTCTTACAGAAAGAGGAGAACGGATGTGGAGGTGCAGTGTGTCTCTGAGGTGCTGCCCCCATGTCCTAAATTGATTGCAGTGCTCCTGCACACCTTCCTTATGACAGAGCCCTTGCCGAGCCCAAGCAAATTAGTTGTCTTGGAGAATCGGACATAACCAGAGAGTCACTAGCATTGCCATGCGTCTTTTAAGCCACTGTGTAGTGAATACAGGGAGTATGCTGCCACGTTCCTGTGATGAAGTAACCATATTTTTAAAAATGTTTCTTCCTTGATATGTTAACTAGAATTCACTTATCTAGTTTATAGAGTTGTAGCAAGGATTATACTTTGTTTATTCTTTATTTTCTGGGGAGTTAACAGCTTTGTTAAAGAGTGTTGTTATCATGGTTAAAAAAAAAGTTAAGCTTTTTAAAAAAGTTGTTTATTTATTTTTTAATTATTATTATTTTTTGAGACAGATTCTTGCTCTGTCGCCTAGGCTGGAGTGCAGTGGTGCGATCTTAGCTCACTACAACCTCCGCCTCCCGGGTTCAAGCAGTTCTCCTGCTTCAGCTTCCCAAGTAGCTGAGATTACAGACTTGTGCCGCCACGCCTGGCTAATTTTTGTATGTTTAGTAGAGACAGGGTTTCACCATGTTGGCCAGGCTGGTCTCGAATTCCTGGCCTCAAGTGACCCAGCTGCCTCAGCCTCCTGATGTGCTGGGATTACAGGCATGAGCCACTGTGCCCGGCCCAAGCTTCTGTTTTTTAAAAGAAATGTTTATGTCAGATAAAGACAGAAGAAAGTGGATGATTGCTGTGTCAGATTTGTTTCAGAAAAGTAAAAATGTTAAAGTCCTAAGTGTAGCCTTTGAGGACAGTTTTCATAGTCCCAGCCTTGGCTGGGGTGACGTTACAGCAGATATACCATCGCAAGCTCGTGTGCCGTGCTTGCATAGCCCTGCACCTGCTGATGAATTGGAATGGAGATGTTTTCCACTTTAGCAACAGAAAAAGAGCAGTATTCGTAGGAAAAGAAGTTTCCAGTGGAACTGTGTCCTTCCATGAAAATCCATGTGGCTTTTCCTATCATAACTACTACATTGTCCTGAGATAGAATGGATGCTCTCTCTCTGTGCCAGACTCCAAATTCTCTCCTCCAATGTTGATGACCAGGCGTTCCAAGTGGGTCAGAACAGATGTGCACCTCCACCCGGCTCCACCATTGGCACTCCTGCCACCGTCTCTAGGCTGTCTTTACGTTTCTGTCACAGAAGTGAATCCCAAAGTGATGAACTTGTACAAAACAATTAGGTGTCCGCTTCTTCCTTCTTATGATTAGAAAATAAGTGGAAGGAGCTTAGAGAAGGAGGGACAACAGTTTGTTCACCCTTCTTCCACTGAGAGGCAAGTTGCTGGTGGTTATCTTTGGTTCTTAGCGTTTGTCTCTTCTTAAAAAAAAAAAAAAAGAATGCATTCCCAGATTACCCCTCTTTGTATAGTAATGATTTTTAAATTCTGTCCCATTTTTCTTCTGCTCTGTGACTTTTTGTTTTGTCATAAAATGTAATTATGGTAAAAACATGGAAGGTTTTTGTGTTACAAAAACTAGTTCATGAAAAGCAGTTCATGCAACAGAGAATCATTGCAGAGTACAACTCTCTGAACTAACTAAATTATTAAAAATAAATAAACTCCTGACTTTACTGTTTTTGTAGATAGTCATGTGAAATAAAATGTATTATAATCAGTGTAATTAAACTCACTTAATGAAGAAGAATAGCCATATATTTGGAGCAAAACATATACATCTATATATGATTATATTTATGTGATACAAAATTTTCTTTGTGTATGTCTTAGTGTGCTAAGGCTGCCTTCACAAAATGCCAGAGACTATGTGGCTTAAACAACAGAAATTTACTTCCCACTGTTTTGGAGGCTGGAAGTCCAGACCAAGGTGTCAGCAGATCTGGCTTCTCCCGAGGCCTCTTTGGCTTGCAGACAGCCTTTCCTCTGTGCCCACACCCTGGCATCCACCTTTCCTCCTCTTCCAAGATACCAGTGAGTTTGGGCAAGGGCCCAGTCTAAGAGCTTCACTTTTACTTAATCACGTCTTTGGAGGCTGTGTCTCCTAATAAGTCACATTCTGAGGTATGGCTTTGGGTTTCAACATGTGAATTTTCAGGAGACACAGTTCAGCCCTAACAGTGTATAAAATGTGAAAATATTGATATCATAGGTGACGTAGCCTTCTAGGGTAAAATGCAAATGAAAGCATTTACGGGTCTCTCTGTGTCTCCACTGTGTTCTCACATGTGATATTCTCCAAGTGGAAACTGACTTGTGTCCCGTGCTGTGTCTCTCTGTTCTTGGCAGGCCTGGCAGCTGCGATTCAGCCACCTCGTGGGGTATGGTGCTAGATATTACTCTTACCTCATGTCCAGAGCGGTCGCCTCCATGGTTTGGAAGGAGTGTTTTCTACAGGATCCTTTCAACAGGTAAGGGGGTAAGTTCTAAAATGTCCCCATCTTGGACCACAGTAATTCCCCACTCTATTACATCTGGAAGTCGGGCTCGAGAACTGCAGCCCACATAACACAGCCAAACCTGGCAGAAAGTGGCAGGCTCCCCACACAGCCTCGCCCCACTTGGCCATTCCCACCCAAGCTTGCTCCTGCTTCCCGCAGCTGACCGGTGGCCCTGGACATCCCCCTACCCTGCAGCCACTGTGTAGAGGTGGCTGTGTGGTGTCTGAGGGAACCCTTGTATGAGGGCTCCTGTGCTACCTGAAGCAGCCCCTGCTGCTCCTGTGGGTTTTCTTGGCTTTTCTGACCTCACCACGTGATACGGGATGCCCACCCCTTTCCACAGAATGGAGGCAAAACAAGGCACTGGAGAGGCTGGGAGCATTGTCGGGAGGAAGTAGGGGTGCCTAGGATCAGTAGTCCTGCTTTCCCAATCTCTTTCTAAAGGCCAGGTAGTGGTTAAACTTCCATTGGGTGGAGAGGTACAGGAGATCCCTTGCTTCCTGGAGGGTGTGAGGGATTCTATGCTGTGGCTGGGGGATGCAGGGGATCCTGTGCTGTCTAGGGGGGTGTGGGGGATCCCGTCCCGTGCTGTCTTGGGGGTGTGGGGAATCCTGTGCTGTCTGGGGAGGTATGGGGATCTTGTGCTGGCTGAGGGGTTGCGGGGGATCCTGTGCTGTCTGGTGGGGGTGGGGTATCCCGTGCTGTCTGGAGAGGTGCGTGGGGGTCCTGTGCTGGGTGAAGGGTGCGAGGGTTCCCGTGCTGTCTGGGGAGGTGCAGAGGATCCCATGCTGGCTGGAGAGATGTAGGAGATCTTCCCTTTGCTCCCTGATTTGGCCTCCTGATCCTCCTAACAGGAATCCCTATAACAATAGGAACCAAGACGTTGTCAAGTTTGGGTCCTATGATTCCTTAGAAGGCTCTTTCTTTGAAAGAAAACCAGTAATTATAATCTGGTGTCAGAGTTGTTTATAGCATTTATCTTCTCACCACACAAATAACTACATCTCCAAATTCTTTTCAGGGAACTTTGGCTGATGAGTGCTATTTTTACTGCTTTATCTTGGTTTTTAGAGTGTCCTAGAGTTTTCACATAGTATTCACAGCAGTCTTGGCAGAAACCAGCACGTTTTATAAGAGAAAACTGAGGCTCAGAGAAAACAGTTTGTTCAGACTTCACCATTAAAAACTGGACTAAGACTATAATCTAGGTCTTCTCATTCCTGGTTTTTTCTCCCTCCCACCTCCACCTCACCCTCTCAGTCTGTCATACAATTTGACTTAGACTTGGATTTTTCTCAGCAGTTAATAATCACATTTGTTTCAAATTATTTGAGTCTGAATGTGATGTCATAGAATTTTTAAATATTTTGCAGCTTGGTACTCACATGTATTTTGTCTTCTGCCCTTTGCAGACTGTAGACATTTGGTCTGCTCTTCAGATTTTATTTTTAAAAGATCTTTAGCCAAACTTGACATCAGTAAATCAGTTTCAGGGATTATAACTTTTTACTGTAGATTTCTGTAAAATAGGCAAAATATCATCTTGTTTGAAGTATACTTTACTAGAAAAGTACATACTATAAAATATATACGTTTCTAAATATTTATATCTTGTTTATGTGTACATTCTTGCCTAGACATGTAGTTGCCATACTTTTATGGGCATGTTAAAGTAAGCTAGTAAAAATGCTCACTAGACTAGAAAATTTCTAACCTCTGTCAAAGTCTCCTTTTTGATCTCACTCCTGAGAAATAACCAGGCTGGAGCCTACATCAGAAAGCCAGGCATTGCAGAGCTGAGGCAAGCCAGGAGCTAGAGGCCTGTGGGGAGGGATTTGATTTAGGGTCAGGGCACTACATCCCATGGCTGAGAAGGGCCTCAGAGCACCCCAGGTCGGGAGTCAGGCAGGGCCCCTCAGCCACCCCTGCCCCTGAGGGGAGGCGCCACCTCAGTCCAGGCTTCCTGCTTCGCTTAGCACTCACTTCAGGATGTGACCAGGGCTAGTGTTTGATGTCAGCATGTTTTTGATACTGTAATGCTATCAAAAAGTCTGATTAAAGACCATGTTCACAAAATGACCCACATGTAAAGAGGCTCCAGAGCTTCTCAAATGGAAACAATATCAAAATTTATTTAACCTGTCTCATCATAGTATGTAGTCATGTATGTTAAAGGAATTGCATTTTTCATAAAATACAAAAGAGTAGTACTAAATAACTTGTTTCCAGGTCCCATTAGTTTGGAGGATTTATGTCTACAAAAATTATTCCAAACCTGCCTTCACATATTGTCATTAACAGCGTTCCTTGTGGAACTCCGTCAGGTAGGCATATCCAGGTGACACAGAGTACCAGAAGACGGGAACAAGGCAGCCTCCACTGTGCCTTTATCACCCGCACACTCCAGTGGAGTTTGCTGATCCGTTAACTGTTATCCTGAACCAAGGTTTTCTGGTGTAATTAACCTTTTCCTGCCAGCTTCTCTTCCTTCACTCTTGTTTTAGAGTGTTCTTTTTCTCTTCTTTATTAGGTGCCATCACAAATTATTTCTTAATGGTATAATTTCAAGCCTCATTTAAAATAATCACAAAACTATTTTTATAGAGAATAAAATGTAATATTTTACTTATTCTGTAACAGGAGTCCCCAACCCCCAGGCCACAGACTGGTACTGGGAACTGGGCCACACAGCAGGAGGTGTGGTGGGTGGGTGAGCAAGTGAAGCTTCATCTGTATTTGCAGCCGCTCCCCATCCATCTCCTGTTGAATTAGTGGCAGCATTAGATTCTCATAGGAGCAGGAACCCTACTGTGAACTGCGCATGTGATCCTTATGATCCTCTCACAAGGATCTAGGATGGGCACTCCTTATGAGACTCTGAGGCCTGATGATCTGTCACTGTCTCCCATCACCCCTGGATGGTACCATCTAGTTGTAGAAAAACAAGCTCAGGGCTCCCACTGATTCTACATTATGGTGAGTTGTATAATCATTTCACTATATATTACAATGTATAATGTAATAATAAAGTGCACCGTAAATGTAATGTTCTTGAATCATCCTGAAACCATCCCTCCCCCATCAACCCTCGTCTGTGGAAAAATTGTCTTTCACAAAACCAGTCCCTGGTGCCAGAAAGATTGGGGACAGCTATTGTATAATACATAAGTTAATTATTTTTATAAAGTGAGGTCTCTTGTTAACAGAACAGATAGCCAAAAGTATAGTTATCCTCTTACAGGGAATATGTCACACCTGATTTAATTTATTTTAGAACAATTTAAAAGCCAGAATTTGATTTTTAGAAGCAAGAAAATAGGGGCCAAATTGTCACATGGTGGCAGCTTTTATGAATATGGCATCAGTGTGGCTTTCTTTGAGAATTCAAGACAAGTGTGAATGGAGGCTGTGCAAGCAGGAGTCTGTAACAGAACCTCTCTTCCCCAGGGCTGCCGGGGAGCGCTATCGCAGGGAGATGCTGGCCCACGGTGGAGGCAGGGAGCCCATGCTCATGGTTGAAGGTAAAACAAAACCAAAATGGCACCATCTATAATGAAAGCTGATTTATGTTTTCTCCATATGTTTTTTTCATTTAAAGAAAATGTTTTAGGCCAGGTGTGGTGGTTCATGCCTGTAATCCCAGCACTTTGGGAGGCCCCAAGGAGGGTGGATCACCTGAGGTCAGGAGTTCGAGACCAGCCTGGCCAACATGGTGAAACCCTGTCTCTACTAAAAATACAAAAAATAGCTGGGCGTGGTGGCAGACGCCTGTAATCCCAGCTACTCGGGAGGCTGAGACAGGAGAATCACTTAAACCCAGGAGGCAGAGGTTGCAGTGAGCTGAAATCGTGCCATTGCACTCCAGCCTGGGCAACATGAGCAAAACTCCTTCTCAAAACAATAAATAAATAAGCAAATAAAAAAGAAATGTCTTAGCTGTGCATTGTGTTCTAAGCATCTGTCTCACTGTGTCCTAAGTAAATTAATTTTTAGTTGCCATGATTTATTCAAGTACCAGGATAAAGATTCAGGTTTTAGCTTTCAAAGTGTTACTTATACTCTAATAGAAAAATTTTTTATTTGTCATAAACTCTTAGAAAATTTTCCTTTAGATTTTAACAGGTCACAGTGTTTTTTTTTTAGTCTAAAGAACTCATTTATTTTTTATTCCTTTATTTCTTTTTCTGAAAGTTTAAAACTACATATTTTCAAGAAATTCCAAGGCATTGGGTTAGATTTGTTTTTTTACCTGTTGAAAAATTAGAACTTAATATCTTTAAGGTATTACAATTCTTTTTTTCTATGTAATTTTCTCAGTAATTTTTTATTTGAGTATTTTTACTGAAAATTTAATTGTAAATGGAAGTGATCATCATGATTTTTCATGTATGAATATAAGAACATTGAAACATGCTTACAAATATTTATAGGAAGATATGAATGTTACTAGATAATTGCAATATATTGATGGTTATATTTGCAGCTGAGCTTGACTATCTGAAAAGTTTTCTGGCTATCTGAAAAAGTGCATATAGGAAATAACTTTCAATATTGGAGAAGTGTTTTCATTGTAGTAATTGAGTGTGTCTGGGTAGTCATGAGTGTGATTTAAATGTCTCCTTGCCTAAGACTGTTGAATCTAATGCCTGTACTCCTTTTTAGCAGAATTCCAGATTCTTGCCTTCAGCCATTCATTTATTCAGCAAATATTTGTGCAGTGCCTTCAGCCATTCATTTATTCAGCAAATATTTGTGAAGTGCTAATTATGTGCCAGACATGATTCCATGTGCCAGAGGTGAAGTAGTGAAAGACGCTTAGACAAACATCCTGCTCTTTTGGAGACTGCATTCATTCCATCAGCTTTGTGAAGAGTGAGGAAGTGTGCATGCTGACACAGCCATCATTTACAGCTAGTCCTTACTGGTCCTTATTGAACTTTCCACCTCTGGGGATGGTTTTAGGGATTACCATGTATCTGTTGATTGACTCTTCTTAGTAACCCTATGAGGTAGGAGTTATGATCCCCGTTTTATAGACAATAAGCAGGTTAGGCCCTCTGCTTATGTAACAAGGCAGTATGTGGAAGAGCCAGGGATTGAACCAGGACCTCAGGCAGCAAGCAGACCAAGCTCTTCAGCTGCCTGTACTGTCAGACAGGACATCTAGTTCAGGGTCTGTTCCAGACCCAGGCAAAAGTGAAACAATAGGCACATCATAATAAGCTACTGATTGGGTACATTGTATACTTTTGGCTGGTGGTTGGTAGCGCCAGCCCACCCCGAGCTAAGGCGGAAATAAGCGGTGAGTTTCTGTGAGGTGTGTGTTCCTGGCAGCCGTGCTTGGCTCATCCTTTCCCAGGCCATGCTGCTACACCTCAACATTTGCTGATAGGAGATACCATCAAAAGAAAAAAATGTAAATCTTTTTCAGTGTTTATCTTTTGGCTGGTGTGCTTTTCTAGTCGGCTTCCCAGAATGTTGCAACTAACTCTCAAAAATTCTGTTCTTTATCCAAAACAATTTTGTGTTAAGAAACTTAATATTTTCTGCACTAAAATTCACATATGAGAGAAAAAGAAGTCCATCATTCAAACCAGAGATGATTAAGTATTCAGATTTTAGTTAACACAAACAATAGAACAATTCTACTTTTACATTTTAATATTTTTCTTAATGCTGTTCTGTCAGATCTCATTAATTCACATGATTTGTTTCATGTCAGAGATGAATGGGGGACATGCAAAGAGGGTTATGCCAGTTGTCACTTCATAGGGCTGGATTTGTAAGCTAAGACCCATAGTAGTGGCTTCTCATTTTCTTGGAGGCAGTCAGTCTGTACCCCAAAACAGCAGGTCTTAGGTGTTGGCTCACAGCCTTAACACTGGGGTATTACCAGGAGTGATGGGTGAAATTACTGAGATTTGTAATGTAAAAGCATACAGGATCTCGTTGGCAGTATTCTTCTATGAAAATGTAACTTTTTATAGGTACCTTATATATTTTTGTTTAACTGCTTCCTGGATAAATGTAAAGAATTATATTACATAGCAAAATGGAAAGAAATAGAACACCTGCCTTCAAACTATGTACCTCCCTAACCAAATCACAACTTTTTTTTACCTCCTTAGTTATAAGACTGTGTTTCTTAGGGTCAGAATACCTTTGTATTCATATTTGTGCTCTTTGAATGATACAAATTCAGAGAAGTCAAATAGGGAATGCTTTTGATCTTTGAATAATAAGTTCTACATAGGCAAACTTTTAGATTATTTGTCTTTTTCAGAATGAGTCATCCCTTGGGAACAGGGCTCTGCTCAGAGCTCTGAGTCCCTCGGCCATTTCTAGTCCTCACCAGCTAGAGGCCAACACCCTATTCAAGGAAGTCCCTGAGCACACAGGATTCCTCTACTTTCTTTTTTCCCTGATGTTTGCTTTACATTCATCAGTTAAAGGCCACTGCTAGGCAACCATGTATCTATGCTCTCTAACTCTTGGCTGCAAGGTATTTATTCAGAAGTTTTCCATTACTTAACTTTACATAGAGTGATCCTCACAGGAAAAAAGACAAGTTGCAGCAGCAGGGGCTTTCTTAAAAAGCCTAACACACCAAATACCATTTGAAGGCAACATAATAGTGGTTAAAACAGTATTTTCTTCCCCAGAGAAAGAAAGCAATCACATGGTGAAATAGAATTGGATTTGCAGTCAGTGACTCTGCTACTTACTGTCTATAAATTACTTAGGAAAGTCACTTAATTTCCTTGCGGGAGGTAAAATGTGATTTGACTTCAAAACACTTCTTTTTTTGTCTTATTATTATTATTATTTTTTTTTTTTTTTTTGAGATGGAGTCTCTACTGCCCAGGCTGGAGTGCAGTGGCACGATCTCCCCTCACTGCAACCTCCACCTCCTGGGTTTATGCACTTCTCCTGCCTCAGCCTCCTGAGTAGCTGGGACCACAGGCATGTGCCACCATGCCCAGCTAATTTTTGTATTTTTAGTAGAGACGGGATTTTGCCATGTTGGCCAGGCTGGTCTCGAACTCCTGACCTCAGGTGATCCACCCTCCTTGGTCTCCCAAAGTGCTGGGGTTACAGGCCTGAGCCACCTTGCCTGGCCCAAAGCACTTCTTTTTAATCTGCTTCTCCTTTTTTTAATCTCTGAAGGGGGTGGGGTGTGTGTACAGACGTGTGGCAGTAGCTTTGCAGATTGACAGTATGGCCTTGTCTATTTTTAAACACATTCATAGCTTACATAAATATATATATTATAGGCATGACATTCAGTCACTTAATCCTCCACTAAACACATGTGGCAATACCTGACTGAAACCAACTTTCTTAATTGCTGAGACATCTGGGGTGAGGTTTAACTCTCATTGTCAATGTTAAGGTTTTCTGCTGTTCATCTCATACCCCCACAATGGTTTTTGGCTTATGTTAAATCACATTTCTGAGTAATAAGATAACTTAAGGTTTTTGCTTAAAATAAACCATGATGATATGGCATTTCCATTCATTTTACCATTTTATAAAATATATACTAGAATATTTGTTAAGTATGCTATGGTGAGCATGATCTAAGGTTCAGTTTCCATTACAGCCACTTCAGAAAATGTGCAGTTTTCTAAAAAGACAGATATGCTGAGGCTTGTGAATAGCAAGGAAGTAATACTTTGCCCCCACTAGGAAGCAGAATTGTTTCTTACTACAGCAAATAGACTGGTAGAATTATATAGATATTAGGAATGGAAACTATATTACTTCAGCAGTTTGTGAATGGCAATTGTATTACTCATGCAAGTTTTCATATTGCCCTCTGTAAACTATTTGGTCTTTTTGTGTTTTATGTTATGTAAAATTTTTAGGTAAATCCCTCTTACTGAGTTTTTAGGTTCAGATTTTACTTATCCTCTGATAAGTTTAATCCCCTATAACACAGGTCATATTGTCCCTATTTTTATAAATAATGAAACTTTGTCAGTGTTCATACCCTCTGTGCTGCCTTGCCCACATTTTTCTCTGTTGATCCTTACATTCTGACATGAAAGTGACCTGGCCTTTAGAAGGCAAGAGATGTAAGCAATGTGGGTCTTGGGCCCTGATGGTTCTCTTAACGATCTCCAAGTTTTTTTTTTTTTAATGTCGCAACCTATCTATTCTCATTGACATTGGAGAGACCTGCCTGACATCCACTGATCAACAATAAAATCTTCCTCTTCCTGTGAGCTCCTTTAGACTTTTGTGGCAAAGCTGTCAATTTAGTTTATAACCATTTTTAGCCATGGGGGTCCTGATGGAAAGATTCTCCCCACAGCCATGTAAGCAGGACATGGCCCAGTTAGTTTTGGGTTCTGCCTCTGGTTACAGAATTCCTTATGCTCTCTTTCTTCAACTCTTCCGCAAAGAATCTGAGGGGAGGGGAAGGGAAAGGATAAAGTCCAAGATTTTAGCATTCCAGGAGGTTATTTGTAAATATTAAACAACTTTATTTCCATGCTCCTTTCTAATCAGAATCTCTCTGGCCAAAAGCAGTATGCAAGTAGAGATACTAAATAATAACTTTATGGAGTTTTTCAAATGGACCAAACATCAGATCAGATGGAAAGAAATAGTAGTAGCTAAATGAGTCAATTCTCAACAAACTGAAACTCGATTTTGTTTGTTTTTTCGCATCAGACTGACTCACCAAACCAAAGTCTAGAAGCCCGCAGGGCCTTACCTTAAGCTGATTAAAATATAATACCTTACGTTTCTGTAGAGCTTTATTTATAGTCTGCCAAACACACTCGCTTTTGCCATATTATCCTATATCATCTCTTCTAGCTTATTAAATTTTTTTTGTTTAAGAAACAAACCAGAGAATTATGGTTTATACTCCAAAGAATCACCTCCATGCTCCAAGAAGATTAATGCAAACAATGAAGATATCTATCTACTAGTTTCTTTAAAAACAGTTCTCAGTTCCAGCAGCACGGAGCACATCAGCACCCAGAAATTGGGTTTACACCATTCTCCAGTAAGAGGAACCAAGGCTCCTTGGAGAAATGGCTGATTCCAGGGCTGGAACAAGGAAGACAGAAGATGAGCATGAAGCATCTTATAGTGCCAGAAAGGAAGGAAGTGCCCAGAAACACACACAGTGATGGGCGCATGTGTCATCGCAGCAGGGGCCCACTGAAAGAGCTCCCAGTGCCCCAACCTGGGCCAACTCCAGCAGCCAAATAAATCACAGTCTTGGGATGTGATACAAAGTATTAAATACATATCCATGAGTCCATATTGATATAAATGATTAAATGAATAGAATAGAATAATCTCCCATAGAGAAGAGTTCCAAGTAATTTATGTACATACTCCCCACCTTAGGGAAGTGGAACATAACTCCCCACTCATTATGTGGGCAGTGCAGAGTGAGTTCCGTCCAGAGCACTCTAGAGACAGCGGGGGAAATGACAAATACGACCTCAGTCAGATGATCAAGGTCAGCATCAGTGATGCGTCATGTGGACAGTATGCATCCTTGATATAATATGATGGGAAGTTTTCCTCCCAGAAACCCATAACCCCAGTCTCATAATGAGAAAAATGCCAGACACACCAAATTCAGGACATTCTGCAAACTGCCTAAGCAGTACTCCTCAAAACTGTCAAGGTCATTGAAAACGAAGTCTGAGAAGCTGACACAGTCTAGAGGAGCCTAAGGAGACACGGCAGCTACATGTAGTATGGTCCCCTGGTTGGTCCTGGAACAGAAAAAAGACAGCTAGTTTTGATCGTACCAGGGCAATCTGACTAAAGTGTAGCTGGAGCTAACAATATTCTGTCAATACTGGTTTGTGAGTTGTGACAGATGTGCCACATGATGAAAGATATTAATGATAGGGGAAACTGGCTGAGTGTGGAGTGTGGAGGAACTCTCTTGACTCCATCACAGTTTTTCAGTAAATATAAAACTATCCTGAAATTTAAAATTTAATTAAAAACAAAGAACCTCCTTGGGAAGGTTTTTAGCAGTGACACCACTGCTCATGGTTTGGTCCACACCTTGACTCCACCATGTTTCCCTTCTTCCCAGCAGCCTTTTCATTGCCACTTGGGGGAGGGAGGGGCACGGAGGTGAGATTGAAAGAGGAGTATTAGGCACAAAATGAGGCTGGAAGGTAAGTGGGCGTCAGGTCGGGCAGGGCATTGTGGATACTGTGAAAGAGAGTTGGTGTTTATTCTGAGGACTATGAGAAACCAATTACAGTATTTTTAAGGCAGGTAGTGCCAAGATCAGTTTTATGTTGGCATGGAGGAGGGTGAGTGTGATATCAAGGATGACTCCCAAGCTCCGTGCTTCAGTTGTTATAGAGATGGTTGCATGGTTATGACTGTCACGGGGGACAGAAATCAAGAAGCCCTTATGCAATTCGGCCACTGCGAGAATTCAGCTCAGGAAGCTCCCAAGCCTGTCGGATTCAGTTTCTGAGTGACTGCGAAGGACTCTGTACAGAATGGGCTGGAGAAAGCTCTTTGCCCATACAGTTCTGATGATGGGAAACTCACTTTTTCACAAGGAAACTCACTTCAGTTTCAGACAGCTCTGACTGACAGGATGACACGTTTATTCAAATTGACCCAAAATATTTAGTCCACTTGAAAGTTTGATGTCTTGTGACACAGCAGCTTAAATAATAAGCGTTGATGCCTTTTTTTTAAAATAACCTGATTACTAACCTAGTAGGCAAAACATGCTTAGTGCAAGGCTTTGCTATTGGTGTTATTTGCACAATACAAACATCACGACAATCGAGGAGCAATAAGTCCTGTCTGTCAGCAGGAGTACTGCTGACATTTAAAATAAGAAAGCTAAATAAACAGTCATTGTTCAGCAATAGCTTGATTAATTTCCCTGTTGTCAAAAGGTATACACAGATACTGAAACAGAAAAGGCGTTTTACATTGTCTTATAGCACTGAAAATTAGTAGTAGTTAATACTTCTAGTTTTAAAGCATGCAGTTAGCATTTATGTAATCTGATCAATCTCTAAATATTGGCATTGTGTGGCAAGGCTGGTGTGCCCAGCACTGTAGGAGAACAGTAAATGCACACTACCTCTGGATGGTTATTCCTAAATTTATTTTTTAGGTGTCTTTGCTTTTTATTTTTTTAATAAGGGATTTCAAGGGAAAGATAAGCCTTAACGCCTGACAGGTTCTGCCTGACTGAGCCAGCAGCATCTGTGCCTCCAGGTATGTGGAGGCGCAGCATAAATAAATGCCAGAACGTGCTCAAAGCACCAGCCTTGGCTTGGGATAAGTGCCCACCCCAGGGTGTGTTTTACATTTGTGAGGGACTTAGGAGGAAGGAAATGTGTTTTACATTTGTGAGGGACTTAGGAGGGACTTAGGAGGAAACCCCTTCACACAGATACATTAAATATTAAAAGATAAGATGATTTAAAACTACTAGCATGCCAAGTAAAACTTTGCTGTTGGAAGTAAATCATTCTGATGAATTTTGATGGGTTGTTTAAACATTTATGAATAGAGTCTCTTCGTTTCCCCTGTAGTCAGACATTCTCTACCCCCTTACTCTGCTTTGTTTTTGCTTCATAGCACATATTAACATTTACTTCCTAATTTCAACATGTATTATTTCATTTATTGGTTTATGGTCTCTGCCCCTCAATAAAGTCTAAGCTCTGTGATAGGAGGGCAACTGACTGTCATGTTCACAGCTGTATCTGCAGCCCCTGTTACAGGGCTCAGCCCATCGGCATTCAATAAATATTTGTGCAATGAGTGAATACACGAATACCAAAATAGACTTAAAAGAGCAATTGTTTCCTGTGCTGTAGAAAAGTTGTGATTTAGCTGGGTGTGGTGGCATGCACCTGTAGTCACAGCTACTTGGGAGGCTGAGGCAGGAAAATTGCTTATACCTGGGAGTCGGAGGTTGCAGTGAGCCAAGATCACACCACTGCACTCACTCCAGCCTGGGTAACAGAAGGAGACTCCAGCTCAAAACAAAACAAAACAGGCCAGGCACAGTGGCTCATGCCTGTAATACCAGCACTTTGGGAAGCCGAGGCGGGCTGATCACAAGGTCAGGAGTTCGAGACCAGCCTGGCCAACATAGTGAAACTCCTTCTCTACTAAAAATACAAAAATTAGCTGGGCATGGTGGCATACGCCGGTAGTCCCAGCTAGTCAGGAGTCTGAGGCAGGAGAATCACTTGAACCCGGGAGGCAGAGGTTGTGGTGAGCCGAAATCACACCACTGCACTCCAGTGCGGGCAACAGAGCGAGACCCCGTCTCAACAACAACAACAACAAAAAGTTGTGATGATTACAATGGGAACAGGTTTTTATTTGCCTGGTTCAGGAATTTTTTTTATCACATGAATATTTTTGGATATTTTACAGGCTAAATATTTTCGTGAAGTTCTTTAATCATGTAAAAGAAAAAAAATATATAGCCATTGTGCTGTCTCCACACTTGTTCAGTCTCTCAGCTGTTCTCTTACTCCTATCCTGCCCTTCCTCCTTCCTGTCACGGTGTTTTAGACACTTTTTGTTCTAGTACAGTGCTTGGTTCTGCCCACTGGACGAGTACTGACTGTTAAGCAGCTAGATAGCAGGCATAATAAGTAGGGGACACCACTAGAAGAAAGGGGGTCCGCTATCCATTCCCAAATAGGTCCTTACTGGCCAGAGTCAAGCACCTCTTCATAAGCCCTGGGCATCAAGAGATCCCGCCTAAATGATTTCAGATAGTACTCTGTTTAAGCAGCATGCAGGAAGGAGATTCTCCATGCAGGAAAGGCAAAGGGACAATGACAGAGTGAAAATGTGCCAGGTGGGTCATGGGCAGCATCTTTAATCCACCAAACACTGCTCTGGTGGGTCGTGTCATCTCCACTTCCCATGTATGGAAGCAAAGGTCTTGTTTCAGAGCCATTCTCTGGCATAGTCAGGAGTCGGTCACACTCTTTTGCCTCCAGAGCCCCTGCTGCCCCACAGCACTCCTCGACACCTCTTAGCCATAGACTCTTGATTACTGTCTTCTTCAACTTCTGTTTTGTCACCGTTACTTTTGGTGGGTAGTGCTTGTTTTGACAGTTTTCTCTAATAGTAAGCTATCATCTACTTTCTGTATAAATTTGATGGGTCCCTCTTCCATTTTGAGATACGTCCAGAGGTTGACTTTGAGGTCTGAGAGGTTTTTCTTCCTCAAGTAAATATCTTGTAGTAGATTCATTCCAAAAAATATACTAATGATTCCATTTTTAGATGATGTCAGTGTATACTACCTTCTAAAAGGAATGTAGGTAACGTTCTCTCAGTGCTTTGAGTGCTGAATGGAAACATCATAAGATGTTTTTGAAGATGGTCATTTGTTATAGATGGTGTTCCTTTTTTTAATTTTTTTTTTTTTTTTTTTGAGAGGGAGTCTCTCTCTCTCACCCAGGGTGGAGTGCAGTGAGGTGATCTCAGCTCACTACAACCTCTGCCTCCTTGGTTCAAGTGATTCTCATGCCTCAGCCTCCTGAGTAGCTGGGATTACAGGCGTGTGCCACCATGCCTGGCTAATTTTTGTATTTTTGGCAGAGACGGGGTTTTGCCATGTTGGCCAGGCTGGTCTCCAACTCCTGACCTCAAGTGATTCACCTGCCCCAGCCTCCCAAAGTGCTGAGATTACAGGCGTGAACCACTGCACTCTGCCTATAGATGGTGTTCTTAACTTATGGTTAAAACTGTTCTGGCCTGGTGCCATGGCTCATGCCTATAATCCCAGCACTTTGGGAGGCTGAGATGGGTGGATCACCTGAGGTCCGGAGTTCAAGACCAGCCTGGCCAACATGGTGAAACTCCATCTGTACTAAAAATACAGAAATTTGCTGGCTGTGGTCCATGTACGTATAGCCCCAGCTACTCGGGAGGCTGAGGCAGGAGAATCACTTGAACCTGGGAGGCAGATGTTGCAGTGAGCCAAGATTGTGCCGTTACACTCCAGCCTGGGTGACAAGAGTGAAACGCTGTCTCAAAAAAAAAAAAAAAAGTGTGCTGAGTGGGCTAAACACAGGTTACAGAAGCAGATGTTGTATCCCCAAACGTCTGGTTCTAGGTTTTGTTTTGTTTTGTTTTGAGACATAGTCTTGCTCTGTCATCCAGGCTGGAGCTCAGTGGCACAATCTCGGCTCACTGCAAACTCTGCCACCCAGGTTCAAGCGATTCTCCTGCCTCAGCCTCCTGACTGTAGCTGGGATTACGGGCGCCCACCACCACACTTCGCTAATTTTTTTATTTTTCGCAGAGATGGGCTTTCACCATGTTGGCCAGGCTGGTCTCGAACTCCTGACCTCAAGTGATCCGCCCGCCTCGGCCTCCCAGAGTGCCAGTGTTACAGACATGAGCCACTGCACCTGGTCTGGATCTAGATTCTTAACTTTCCTGCGTGACACCCTCAGGCATCAAGCTTCAAGGGCTGAGGAAATCACAAGTTGGCAATACACTGATGAATTTACATTTGGAAGGAGTACCAGTAAAAAGTTAAATTATAGTAATAATTATAGAGATTTAGAGCAGATTTTAGTTGAAGAATTGAAATTGACATTTGCTAGCCAACTCTTTTATGAAATGTTGCTAGAGGATGTAGGAACAAGATTTCTCTTGGTTTAACTGGACTGTTTCCTGAAAGAGCATTTACAAGACATCTTCTGGTGTTTGTTTATGTCTTTTTCAACTAAATGTAAAAGAAACTTTTTCTTTATGACTATGATGTAACATTATTAATAATGAAATTAGATTAAGAAATTATACCTATACCTGATTTTCTTTTACATTTAATAGTTTATCTTTACATTAAAGTTTCTCTTATTGAATAGTCCCTGGTTAATTGTAGAGTTTGCACATCTCAAATATCTGAATAGCATTATCAAGTTATTTTTGTGACCCATCACATAAGTTAGAGTATGTCAGGTAACACACAGTTTCTTTACTCTCTTTCCATTCGGTACTAAATGTATGTTTTGTTTAAGCTTTAGGGTCAGGAGGAAGGCCAACCTGTACTTAAATTTCCCTTTCTAGCAGTTTAAATAAAACTGAGCTTTAACAAAATTCTTAAAAGCTTAAGTCACACACTCAAAATAGTGGAATTTCAACACTAGATTTATTTTTGTCTTCCTTTTGATGCACGTGCATTCCACATTAGGATAGACATTTTATTTAAATGCTTCCATAGCCTGTGTATTGATTTTCTAAAGATAAGTAATCCTTCATGTCAAATACTTTCAATAAAACTAATTTCTGCTACTTGTATATTGCCAGCATTGAATGGCTAGGAGGGAGTCATAAAAGTTTAATCAAACCAAGCATACATTTGTTATTTTATTGTTCATTGTTACAATAGTGACAGCAATAACACTAAGTACAGCTAAAAGCATTTGTTGAGTGTATTTGATGTGCCAAGTACTATGCATGTTGCTGTATGATCTCATTTAATTCTCTAAACAGTCCAAGGGATGCATAAGTAACTTATTTGCCTGAGATCACCTAGTAGCAGACATTAGAACTAGGATTCAGAGTCAGGTACTCTGACTCACCTGTGTGGGCTGGTAATTTCTTCAACTTCTTTCTCATTATACCAGGAAGTTTTTGCTTTGAAATATGTGCATGCATATTCCACTGTATTTTTTTTCCCTTGCTCTTTCATAATTTTTGGCAACTGAGTTGCCTTGTTGGGAATACAGTGATGCTCAAAGAAGATATTATTGGGTTATCAGAGTAAGATATCATGGGGACAAATCTGAAAAGTGGCATGTGCCAACTAGTATGCTAACTAGTAGCTAATATATATACTAGTATGTAATTGCCTTACCTACAGTAAAATGATTTTGTAGGAAAATAAGATTTGTTGAATGTAAAGGCATGAACGCACAGCGTACAAAGCAAGATTTGGAACTTTACAGGATGTTCATTGGCAGAAAGCTGCTTTTCTTGCACAGCGTAGCAGGAATAAATGAGGAAAGCATGTTACGGAATCAGAGTTACAATTTAGTTAGCTCTAGGATTATGACACAATTTCAATAATAGAGGCAGCCCAGAATAATAGCCAAGTAAATAGAATCCCTAATCTTTGGCTTGTTCATATATTTACCCAACGTAGCCTCTGAAATCGCTGAAAGCTTTTTGGAAGAAAGAAATGGAAAGGAGCACCTGCGTTCTCAAGGCTAAGACCTCCCTTTTGTAAATGCACTAATATTTTAAGAGGGTGTGTGCGTGTTTAATGTGTGGGTGTGTTTGTTTAAGGAAGACACTGAGCTTCAAAAGGCAAGATGTTTTGTAACCCAGAAATGTAATTGTAAATGGAATTATTAAATCTGACAATGAAATTAAAATAAACTAATGTGTAAACAGGGCACATATGTGGGGCTGTACTTGCTGGCTCAACTTCTGTCTAACACAGGTTCAGAGGCTTCACTTCAGTTAATAATTCTAGAGAGACAGAGAGAGCCTCATATGTGAATGCCGACAGATACCAATCCAGCACAGGGAGCAGCAGAGTCTTTTTAGTTCAAAGGAAGAGAAGAATTTCACTTCCTGGCCGATAGTCTGATTTTCTCAAGAACTGATTGTAGATAGAGGGAATCCACCTTTAGCAAAGGGTGTGGGTAACCACAGTCTTGTAGCAGAGAAAAACTTCAAAGTCAAGATGGTGAGCCATACAGTTGCCCTAGGCTTGGGAGAGACAGATCTGGAATGAGGATTCTGATCTCATAAAATTCACTTAAGATTTTTCAAACTGCCAGGCTAGCCTTTGTAGCTACAATTCTTAATCAGTAGGCTGAGTTTGGCACATATAATTATTTCAGCAGAAAAAAGAGCCATTAAACTATTATGATGAATTATTAGAATTGGTAATGGTGCTGAGAATACTCAAACCTCCTTTTCACTCCCAAATCTGTTTAGATAATCTGCTTTTTGGTACATCCAAGTTATTGTTATGTCTAGTAATGGAGGACGGCATAGCACAGACAGCTGTATATTTGAGTGAATCGCAGGTTCTAAAAAGAGATTTCTGATCTCTTTTTAAAATTGTGGTAAAATATACATGCCATACCATTTGCCATTTTAACCATTTTTAAATGTATAGTTCCAAGCCATTCACAATGTCCTACACTTACAATGCTGTGGAGCCATCACCAGTATCCATTTTCAGAACTTCCCCATCACCCCAGTGAAGACCCTTTATCACAGAAGTCAACAGGTAGAAAAATGGATTTATTTTAATTCCATCTTTTATTTCTTTTAGTAGATAAACAGTTACCTAATAAGCAGATGGCAAAAAGTAGAAAAAAGCTGTGATTTATGAGCTGGATAAGTAGCTTGTGATTGTGAGTTTTATGATAGTTTTATGATATTTAATCACAGATCAATGTTTTGGAATTGAACTTGTGCAAAAATAGTAAGCAACCTCCTCCTTCAACTCTTGAACTAGGAAGCAGGTTTTCATAAATCTTCGGGTCTGATTATTATAGTGAGTTACTGAGCATTTCTGTGTGTTAAATGCTGTATCTTATTTAATCCTTATTAACAATCTAGCAAAGTAGATGACATTGTGCCAGTTTTATGAACTTCAAACATTATACTAAACTCCAACATTTTACTTTTACTTAGATTTCCTCCAGCAGGGGTTAAGTGATTAGTCTGAGGTCCTTACCCAGTTGTTTAACCCAGGGTAATCTCTTACTAAACCCTTGCTCTAACCATCAGGATATATTGCCTTCTTTCGAGCCACCTAAAGTTTTATTTAGAAAATGAAAAAGGTATTTTTTTCTCTCTATTCTTTCTTGGCACCCCTTCAAAGGAAAACTTTTGTATAGTCAGAAGAGAAATAGCCTGAAATTTCAAATAATAAGATACCATGCGGAACCAGATAATGTTCCATTCAGCCCCAAATTCACACCAGCACAGTGCCCCTGAGGCTGTTGGTGGAACTGCATTCGAATAGCTGCTCTGCTGACCAGCAAGGCCCCACGGGGCTATTGTCCTGTAGGGGGTCCTCAGGACATTTTCTTTTTTGGAGCCTGAGGCTCTTTTTTTGGTCCACCAGACTGTTCCTAACTGATACTTATAGGCCTTAAATAGAAATCTGGCTAATGGAACTTAATTAATTAATTTCTACTAAGTCCAGTGCTGTGGCTGAAATGTAAGAATATGACTAGCTTTTAACTTTTATTTTTTTTTTTTAAATTTTTTTTCTAGGTTCGGTGTACATGTGCAGGTTTGTTATATAGGTAAACTTGTGTCATGGGGGCTTTTTGTACAAATTATATTATCACCCAGGTACTAAGCCTAGTACCCAATAGTTATTTTTTTTTGCTCTCCCTCCTCCCATGCTCCACACTCACATAGGCGTCAGCGTGTGTTGTTCCCCTCTGTGTCCATGTGTTCTCATTATTTAGCTCCCACTTATAAATAAGAACATGCAGTAATTGGTTTTCTGTTCTTGTGTTAGTTTGCTAAGGATAATGGCCTCCAACTCCATCCAGGTTTCTGCAAAAGATGTGATCTCATTTTTTTATAGCTACATAGTATTCCTTGGTGTGTATGTACCACATTTTCTTTAACCAGTCTGTCATTGATGGGCATTTAGGTTGATTCCATGTCTTTGCTGTTGGGAATAGTGCATCAGTGAACATTCACGTGCATATGTCTTCATGGTAGGATGATTTATATTCCTTTTGTGTATATTAACCAGTAATGGGATTGCTGGGTCAGATGGTAGTTCTATTTTTAGCTCTTTGAGGAATTGCCACACTGCTTTCCACAATGGCTGAACTAATTTATACCCCCGCCAACAGTGTATAAGCATTCCTTTTTCTCTACAACCTCACCAGCATCTGTTATTTTTTTGACTTTTTACTAATAACCATTGTGACTGGTGTACAATGGTATCTCATTGTGATTTTGATTTTTTAGCTTTGATTTTAAAGAACTGATGAGGTATTTGTCCTGGGTGTCTTGGCCCATGGCACTGGCCATGCCTGATTGGTGTTACGAGTCCATCCACCTGGCCACATACACAGAGCACCCAGACCTCCCCTCTCCTGGGCAGCCTTGGACACCCAGTCCATGAACTTCCCTTGCATCTTTGAAACCCACAAGCAGCGATACTTCCTTCCCCGACTCCACAAGGGAAGATCCAGTTTCAGGGAGACCCAAGCTATGGAGGGCAGTCCCTCTGTGCATCTTCCTATCCCCCTCACACCTCCTGCCACACCTGACAGGGCTTGGTGGCAGTGAGACACTGTTTTCTCTTTGTCCAGGAACAACCCCTGCTTTTCCAGTGAAGGTGGGGAGTAGAAATCAGGCATTAAAGCTTGCTTGTGTATCACCCAGACTTTATGAATCGGAGGAAAGACAGAATCATTTAAGTGAAAAAACAGCTGCTTCAGGTACAAATCCTGGGTCTACAGAGTTGGTCTTTGATCAAACAAAAAGATCAGTGTTCCCTAGACATCATTAAATTCTTTTTAATAACGGGTGAACTGATTTTTTTTTTTAATCAACTGGGAATCTTCTTGAAAGAAATAGAACCAACTCTGGCTTATCAAAGCAGAAAACCAATTTTTTTTTTTTTTGAGGCCACAGACTCAAAGGAAGAAGTTACAACAGGGCTCCAGAAGAGCAGCTCGGTGGGGCTTGGCAGAGGAGAGGGTGTGTTCTTCATGGGGCTGGTACTGGGATGGCTCAGCTCCAGCCAGCCATAGACCTTTCTGCATTCGGCTCAAGACTCAATCCTGGAAGAACACATCTGGCCACCCTCACTGGCTGAGCCAGGGGCAGGGAGAGCTTCCTCATTTGTTGGCCCACCGCAGGGTGTCTGCCTGCACACTGTTGACGTTTTGGGACCAGATAAGTTCTTTTTATGGGGCCTGTCCTGTGTGTAGTATGGTGGTTCACTCCTCCAGTGTGACAACCAAAAATGTCATCAGACCTTGCCAGATGCCCTGACAAAATCACCCTCTAAACCACTGCTCTAAAGCAAAATTATTCTCCTAACCAGAAGGGAAATGGATGCTAGGTGGAAAAAAGCAATATCCTACCCCATTGACACCTTGGTGCTGTATGAACAGTTATGTATTTCCATGGCTTTCTCCCCAACTCATGAAGTTCCTCAGAACAGAAATCATGTCTCACTCATATCTGTGTGCCTGCTGTCTCCAGTACACAGTGTTTAGCACACAAGTGCTTAGTAAACATTTCCTTTTGATAAATGCATGAGCAGACGTTCAGTCTGAAGTGGAGTCAGGAGTAGTCATGTTTCTGCTTGCTGCCGTGCACAGGGAGCTTGGCCTGCAGGCAGAGGCATTTATCTCAGAACACTAATGATGGGAGAGGTCCATGCCTATGGGGAGTCAGACCTAAGCAACTCCATCCACCTTTCTGCTAAAATCGCCCACTTTGGCAGAAATCATGACCTATCAACAGATGACCAGTCCTCTACCAACTTCGTGTTTTCCTTGAGAAATGGCTCCCTCTGGGCTCCTGCCTGACTGAGGTTGGGTTCTATTTCTCAGGCTCAGAACAGTCAGAATGAAAGAAGCTTCTTAGGTGTGTGTTTCTGAGCTTTTCTCATAATAATTGATCAACACAAATTATTGTCCTGTAGAATGTTCCTAGTAATCAAAACATACCCTGCTTTTTAACTTTTTAAATAAAAGGACTGCCTTCATCTCCAAAGGGCACCTCCCGTCTGGGAGACTTCTTGAGCAAGTGCAGAGCCCCAGCTTCCACACAGCTCACACTGACACCACGTCCCTTTCTCCGTCCCCACTACAGATCTGTAGGCCATATCCATGCCAAATCCACTAGATCATTGTAGGTGCTTTTCCAGCTAGCTGGTACTCAATAACTTTGAACAGTGTCCCAAATAAATTATAGTTTTACATGAAACAATTGTTTTCTATTTCACCTGAGAAATCTTTTTTAGTTAAGTAGAAAATTACAATCGTCTACATCTTTCTTGCTCAGTATTTTTCAAGTTATAGTTGCCAGTTGAGAGAAACGACATCTCATTTTCAGGCTTAACAGGTTTCCGCAGGTCCATCTGAGCCATGGGGCTTAAAGGCGAGCATGCAGCAGAGTCACTGGGAAGGCTTATTAAAACACAGGTCACTGGGCCTATCCCCAGGTTCTGATTCAGCAGGGCTCGGATGGGGGATTAAGAATTCACATTTCTAACAGGCTCCCAGTTGACACACCAGTGATGTCAGTCCACTTTTAGGTCCACTGGATCATAGTTTTCAGAAGAAAGTCTCAGCCAGTCACAGAGGCGCACGCCTGTAATCCCATGGGGCACTTTCAGAGGCTGAGGTAGCTGGGTCACTTGAGCTCAGGAGTTCGAGACCAGCCTGAACAACATGGCGAAACCCCATTCCTACAAAAAAAAAAAAAACTAGCTGGGCGTGGTGGTGCATTCCTATAGTCCCAGCTGAGGAAGGCGGAGGTGGAAGGATCACTTGAGCCCAGAAATTCAAGACTTCAGTGAGCCGAGATTGCACCACTGCACTCCAGCCTGAGTGACAGAGTGACACCCTGTCTCAAGAAAAAAAAAAAAAAAACTCAGTAATTTTTATATATAATATATACAGGGATCTCTAATCTTTTGGCTTCCCTGGGCCACATTGGAAGAAGAATTGTCTTGGGCCACACATAAACTACATTAACAATAGCTGATGAGCTAAAAAAAATCACCAAGAAAAAACTTCATAGTATTTTAAGAAAGTTTATGAATTTGTGTTGGGGCACATTCAGAGTCATCCTGGGCCACATGCAGCCCACAGGCCATGAGTTGGACAAGCTTGATATATAACATCTTCCTAATAAATAACATGTTTTTTCTTTTTTGGGGTTGTTTGTTTGTTTTGCCTTCCTGAAATTCACATTAGGCATTTAGGCACAGATAGAATGGATGAATGAATGGAAAAAACTCTTACAAATATTCAATTAATAGTTTCTTCATTCATTCATTCTTTGAGTTTCATTAAATTTGGATCATACTCAGCCATTGATCAAACAGCCATAGTTTCATTTTATTGGGCACCTTTGCTTGGTGTCAAGCAATATATAAAATAGACTCAAAGAAAAGATGTACCTATTCTTCTTCTTCCAAGCTTTAAAATAATTCTACTTTTTAATTGCCTGGTAATCCCCTGTATTTATGAAATTAAATGATACACCAACGATTTCACCCTAGGGCCTTAGGAAAGGGAGCCAGAATGAGATTTCGTCTTTGCAAGGTTGGCTTACAGGTATAGTCAAACTGCCAACCAATTGCTCTCAATCATGTTTTCAAATAATTATATTAATTGTACATCCAAAAGGGCATTCAAGGGTTAAACAGGTGAGGCCATGAGTATGCTGATTTTTAAATGAAGGTCTGGTTGGATTATATGTTCATTATGTATTACAAAATAACAGGATATGAACTTGCAGCTTTGTACACATATATATTTGAACTCATCCTGGAGCTGACAGGATTTTTTCTTGGCGAAAGTGTAGAAATATGCATAGTTAGGAGCCCCTTAAATATGTGAAGGCTACTGTTTGAAGGGGTTACCACAGGCACTTGGAGACCACCCAGAAAGCATCCCTAAGCACAGAACTCTTGGGCACTTTTTCCTCCCAGTATCACGCCAAGACAGGAACTCCAGCAGCAACCAAGCATTGTGAGCACTGTTGTGCCCTGATGGGAAGAGGCTCTTGGTCGTTACATGAGTGCCTGTCCTGGTCATGAGTGTCCCGGTCACAGCTGGGCCAAGCCACCGTTGGCAGTACCAGACTACGGCCCTGTGAGACGAAGCCACTGATCTCTGCCCTCTACTTCCAGCTAGATGGGCACAGTCGTGACTGCTTGTAAAGTGTGCTCCACAGAACGGAAGCCGTGTAAGTTGGGTACAAGTGCTCATGGGTGGCATCAGGAAATAATGAGACCTTTCTCTCAAGATTTTCTACATATTTAGGTTCTGTCACATCAAGGATGCTGATATTTAAATATAAACCTTTTTAGAATGTATTTGACAGAATTTCGGGGCATGAGGCAATATATCATAGCGCTTTAAGAGCATGGGCTCAGGAACCAGACTGCCAGGGTTAAAGCAAACCTATGAGTTGTGTGACTCTCTTGGCTTCTGTTTTCTTACTTGTGAAGATAGGTGTCTCAAGGTGTGTTTTAAGGAGACCATGGATCAGTGCTCTTAGGACAGTGTCTGGTGCACAGTGAATGCTCTGTAAACAGCCACCGTGGTTCTGGGAGTGGAGTGGCTGGTGTTCTCTCTGATGAGCCCCGTCTAGGCCAGCTGTCTGCAGGTCAAGTCCTCCTGCATGGTATTTTTCTCCTCACTTTCTCTCCAGCTGTATGTCTGCAGTCACTCGGAAGAAGAGGACTGGAAAGCCGCAGTTTGGAAACCCTGCCGTTTTAAGACTCAGTCTTGGAATCTTGTTGATATTATAATTTAAATTAGTCAGGCCAGAATAATTACCCTAGTACTTCAAGGTTATGAAACACGCTAATTTGAGCAGAGCCGTCAGAACAAAAATGTTCTGGCTTGTACCATCTTTTCTTAGCCCATTTGTCTCTCAGGTAAAATGAGGAGAAAAATACATTAAATTCTCACTCTTTAACTACTCTTTATATATTCTCTGTCCCTCTCAGTAGGACAAATAGGTGAAGATCTACTACCTGCTTCCTTTTGTGAGCTCATATTTGCAATGTGTGTCCTGATGCAATTTTGTCTTTCTTATATTGCTATTGACACTTTTCTCTTTTTAATTGTAAAGTTATTGCCTGTTTGAGTCCTTTTGGCAAGATCCATTCATTCTCCCTCTAATTTAGGTGATTTCCAGAGTGAAATGTGTTTGTTAACTCCATCCACCTTGGTTGGAGTTAACAGCTCCAAGCTGGTTCCCAGGGGTGCTTGGAAAATACAATTTTAATCGTCACCCTTCTAAAATTAAGACTTGAAGGCAAAGGGGACATCTTTGTCAGCTTTAAAAAAGAAACCAAAGCTTTCTTGGAATTTTTTTACTATGGCCATATACAAAATCCAAATCCAGTTTTTCTTACTTGTGGAACTACCTGAAACATTGTTTTTTTTGTTTTTTTTTTAAATTTTCTGTGTAGGGTTTAGTTCATGTTAACACTCGCAGAACATTTAAATCTAATTAGAGCAGGGCTAGCATAACAGTGTGCCCAGGATTCTTCCCCAGTAACTATTCTTCATTATCCTTCCAGGCTCAGGTCCTGATTTCCTCCTTTTTGAACCTTCATCTTCAGCAATCACATACATACAAAATCACCAAACCAGTTAGCTCTAACTATATTTCTTTAGAAAAGCCCACAAGTGTATATATTTTTCTCTTGTGGCCACAGTTGCCATTCTGTGAGATACAGGAATTGTTTAAGGTGGGGAATTGGAGAAGGACGTGTGTTAGTTGGGCCTGTCTGCTGGGAAGGAGAGAGCAAGGTCATATTTATATTGGCAGTTTGTTGAGTTGAAGTGAACCACTTCAAAGAACAGGATAGCCATACTTACCTGAATAGCTTGGCTCTGAATAAATGGCTTTCTCTTCTGAGAATTCCAGTCATTTAGTTATAAACGACCAGTCATGTAATTATAGAAATGTTTCAAATATAGTTTTTTTTATTTTTAAGGAGCAGAGAGAGTTTAATAGGCAAGAAGAAGCAAGAGGGAAGGGAAAAGGAAGAAGCTCCCCTGTACAGAGACAGAGGAAGGGGGGCTCCAAAGCCAAGAGAGGGAACCCCACCTGCCACAGATACCAGCTAGGTATATATACAGAGGCTGGAGGAGGCAGTGTCTGATTTGCACAGGCTCAGGGGATTGGTTTGACTAGGCATGTCATTCACGTAGCCCGCAGGAAAAGCTGGCTCTCCCACCCTAGCCTTTTAATATGCAAATGCAGGGCACCATGATCTTCTACACAGGTGGGGATACTTCGGGGTGTCCATGTATCCAGGAATGTGGGGAAAGGGCAAGAAGTCCACAGGAATCGCCATGTTTGGGTGGACCCACTTTCTAATGGCTGGCATTTGGATATCGGGTAACTGGCCTGGCTTTAAGAGCTGGAGCTTTACAAGAAACTTTTCCAGACGTGCTTTAAAAAACAAAAACTTCCTAAGGACCCCTTTTCCTCTCTATCTGCCTAAAATAATTTATCAATAACTCCTACAACATTCCCCCCTGTGGAGATGCCGCACTAACTGCTGTTAGAGGTTTGGGCGACGATGTCTTCTGGCTACTTCCTGCTGGAAAGGGGCGTCGAATGGGGAACAGCAGCTAGGGCTCCTCCTGGGGTTGATCTAAGGGTCCTCGGAAGACTGACGTGTCCATGTGTGGTTCAGTTTATAGCACCATTTGGAGTTTGATTGCTGTGAGTTGGGTGATCCTCTCCTCTTGAGGTCCCAAGATAAACTCAGAGCTTCCAGACAGATAATTTCCAAATTCTAGAGGAACCAGGCAGAGAAATAAACATGCTTCAAATTTTGTTCATAGGAGTACACCTTACTCAATTATTAAAGGCCATAAATAGTTTAAAATAAGTTTCCTTGACTCAGTCTGATGAATGAATTTCCTTTCTCGGCCAACGCACCAAAATGATGTGGCTCCGATGAGTGGTGGAGCACCAGGGTTTTTGGTCCTCATGCCAGCTTAGATACAAGGACACGGACACACGTGGAGTGGTTTTAAGGAGCAGAGAGTTCAATAAGCAAGAAGGAAAAGAGAAGGAAGAAGCTACCCTGTACAGAGGAGGAGGGCGCCAAAGCTGAGAGAGGCAACCCCTCAAATATTAAAAAGGAAGAAATGGCGTGATAGGCTAGCACATTTTATGGAAAGCCATGTCTTAATTAAATGTTTTCCCTACAAATGTTCTCTGTATCAAGAAACCTGGCACATAGGGAATGCATGAAACCTGATTTATAATCAGATTCAGTCTACTTAAGTAATAACCTATATCTAGATGATAGATTGTCAACTGTGCTACTTTAGCCATCATCACATACCCAGCGTTTCTATCCTTAGTGACACAGCTGGGCCAGAGGCAAGGCCTGCATTCATGCATGCAGATTATTTTACTGTAAAAAAGAACACTGTGTTTTGAACTTTAATTGCACAAATAGACACAGCAATGACATTCTCTTCTAGTAACTAGTAACAGCCCATTATTCCTCACATAGTACCTAAGATAGAGCTGTTAGAATTTAGATAGACATTAGATAGCCAGTGAAAATATTTTAGTCTACAGTTGAAACTGTAACAATATTGGTATTGTTCTCAACTACCCCTGGTCTAGTTAAGGGCTTTCAAGTATGTGTTTGGACCAAGTATTTTCATGTCCACCATCTAGATAGTCCTTGGTCTATTTCCCACCCCATGTGCTTTCTGGTGGGATGATCACATCTGCACCTCTAGTCCCCAAGCTGTCCCTGAGCTCTGTGTCCTCACTGTCTCCACATGGAGTGTCCCCTTCCACCTCAAACTTGACAAGGGTTGTGTCTCCACACCACCCTGCTCCTCCTGGATTCCAGCCCAGTCTGTCCTTCCTTTTCTGTTGGTTGCCCTGGTTCAGAGCCCTGGGACCTCTCATGTTCCTCTCCCAGAGTCTCTTCCAGCCTTACTCTACCCGCCAGACCACTTCTTGGTCAGCATACATTGTGCATTTCCCCAGGTTTGTGCCTTTCCTATATTGTCTCCTCCACCTAAAAGGCCCAATCTGTTAAGTTTCTGCTCAATCCCATCTCCTCCACAAACCTGCTGAATCTCTTCATTGGAATTCATCTTTCTCTTCTGTTCTCCACACTGACTGCACTTTGTATGCTATTAGCATCTACAGTTTACTTTTTCTCAAGATTTTATGTTAAAATTTTTCAAATATTCAGAAAAATTGAATGAACAGTACAACACTCATATACTTGCCATTTAGTAAACATTTTCCTATATTTACATCTCTTCATCTCCGTATCTGGCCTTATGTTTTTATGCATTTCAAGGTAGCAGACATCAGTACATTTTACACCTAGATTCGTTTACATGCATAGCATTAGAGTTCAATAGTTGCTTACTGTATTTAGGTAAACTTTTCATACAGTGAAACGCAAAATCTCAAATGTACCTTTCAATGAATTTTGATGCATGTACACACCTTTATAACTCAAATCACTATCCAGATGTAGAACATGACCATCACACCAGAGGCCCTCCTGCCCCTTCTCAGTTGATTCTAATATCCACTCCCGAAAGCAACCACAGTTCTGATTTTTTTCACCATAGATTGGTTTGACTAACTTTTTGAACTTCATATAAATGGAATCAAACAGTATGTACTGCTTCACATAAGGCTTCTCTCACTCAGCATAATGTTTTTGAGATCCGTTTGTGTTGTTGCATGTATGAATAGTTTGTTCCTTTTTGTTGCTGAGTAATATTCCATCATATGAATATATTGTAGTGTGTGTATTCATGTCCTATTGATAGAAACTTGGGTTGTTTCAAGCTTGGGGTTGTACAAGTTGTTTCTTTGTTGACATATGCTTTCATTTCTCTTGGATAAATACCTGGGAGTGAAATTGCTGGGTCCTAGTGTAGGTCTATGTTTAGTTTCGTAAGACACTGGTTAAGACCTTTTTTCAAAGTGATTGTATCATTTTATCCTTTCACCACAAATGTATGACAATTCAGGTTGCACACAGCCTTGTCAACATTTGGTGTAGCACAGTGGCTCACGCCTGTAATCCCAGCACTTTGAGAGGCCAAGGCAGGAGGATCGCTTGAGCCCAGAAGTTCAAGACCAGCCTGGGCAACATGACAAGACCCCATCTCTACAAGAAGTTTAAAAACTAGCTGGGCATGGTGGCACACACCTGTGGTTCCAGCTACTCTCAAGCTGAGACGGGAGGATCACTTCAGCCTGGGAAGTCGAGGCTGCAGTGAGCCATGTTCACACCACTGCACATGCTGTGTTGTCCAGGCCTGGACAACAGAGCAAGACCTTGTCTTTAAAAAAAAAAAAAAAAAAAAAAAAAATTAGCTATTCTGGTGGATGTGTAATAGTATCTCATTGTGGGTTTGGTTTTCATTTCCCTAGTGACTAATGATGTTGAATGTCTTCTCAGTGCCTATTAGTTGTGTTACTTATTCAGATATCTTCTGTGAAAAACCTGACCTTGTGAAGGTAAAATCTTTTGTCAATTTGTAATTTAAAAAAACATATTTTTACAATGGGTCAAAGGAGTTCTTTATATTTTCTGGATACCAGTCTTACGTGAGATATGTTTTGTGAGTATTTTTTCCAACTATCATTTGTCTACTCATTGGCTTAATGGTTTCTTTTCAAGAGACATTTTAAATTTTGATGAAATCTAACATTTTTTCCTTTTATGCATTGCTTTCTGTGTCCTAAGAAACTATACCTACTTCAGGGTCACAAAGATACTTCATGCGGTTTTTTTAAGATAATAATTTTAGTGTTTACACTTAGGTCTGTGACCATCTCAAATTAGTTTTTATGTATGGTATGCAGTAGGAGTCAAGGCTAGTTTTCTGCCGTATGGATATGCAGTTCTGCCCAGCCGACTACTCTCACTCTTCATGTTGTGACTGAGCCTGCCCACCTGTATGCCCATGACCTGGCCTGATCCTTTACACACAACAGATGCTTCCTTCATGTTCACTGAATTGCAATACAGGTTCAGAGAACAATAGAGGATTCCTGCAATCTTTTAATGCCTTGATTTTGAAAATGGTTTTACAGAATTCATCTCCCAAAGTAAATATCAGTATATAGAGCCTGTTCAACCCTTCAGTTAGCATTTCCTGCCAAGAATGTAGGTTAAAGCAATAAGGTTAATTGCATCAATCTTTGTTTTTGGCTTCTTTAGAGTGAAGAAAGGACATGAATTCAGCTTTTTATTGAATTCTTAATATATGCTAGGCATGGTGCTTCATTGCTTCTACTACATCTTCTTGTTTGATCCTTATAGCAACCTTGTAGGAAATTTGGATGCCAGAGATTTTAAGTGACTTCTGCGTTACACAGTTACTAAGTTGCAAAGCTAGGAGTTCTCTGGGACAGGGAAATCTGGAGGAGAGCCAATAACTTGATTCTGATATAAGATTTCTATAAAAGAATTAACATCTAATTGATTGTAAAGTGTATAGAACTTGATAACAAAACTTGATATGTAATTAAACTTGTTAAATTGTGAATCATCCCAGTCAAAGATAACTAAAAAAAAATCAGTCTTCTAATATCAGTCTCTAAGGGTATAGTCATATATGCAAAAATAATAGCCCTTAGGAAATATATTTAGGCCTAAATCTCTAAGCTAAGGATGGATTTGATAGTAAAAATACATTAAAATTATAAATAGCTCCAAGGCCCACACACTGCCCATGACTTTATAAAATGTTCTTGCATTCAGGTTATACAGCCAGAGTCTTAATTCAGAAAGCCAGAGTGTTCCTCTAGTGTGTGGATTTGATTTTGTGTCTTTGTGCTTCCTGTTGCCTCCTGGTGAACGCAGTTCTGACCTTTCCTTTGTTTGCAGGTATGCTTCAGAAGTGTCCTTCTGTTGATGACTTCGTAAGTGCCCTCGTTTCCGACTTGGATCTGGACTTCGAAACTTTCCTCATGGATTCTGAATAAAAGAAACACTCTACACCTCTTAAATCAAGGTCATGTAGATAATGACTTTGTTATAAATGCTACAGCTGTGAGAGCTTGTTTCTGATTTCATTGTTCGCTTCTGTAATTCTGAAAAACTTTAAACTGGTAGAACTTGGAATAAATAATTTGTTTTAATTATTCTGGCTTTTCACCTGTTTGGCAAATATTTGAGCACATGGAAATCTCTGACCTAGTAACAACAACACTTCTACATGGCATTGTTAAATGGAGGGTATGGGCATTTCCTTAGTATAACCACTCTCCTGTTGAGCTTTTCCCTCTTTCCATGGATCTTTAATTGGTTTAATTAAATAATTAACTAAAAGCAAAATTGTTTAAGACAGAGTTTGAAGCAGTCTTCAGACAGGTTACACTTATAGTTCTTTTAAGAATGATGACCATTTCTTAAGACCACTATCTAAAGTAGGCTTAGAAAATGCACTTTAAATAGTCAATTACAGGCAACCAACAAACCAAGTGTGGTTTCCAAAATACATGTAATTATCTGTACTGTTTTTTCCTGAATGTTTAGGCAAATAGACTCAGAACACAGAGGACTGGCTTGGCAATGAAGGTAGAATGAGTAAGTGCAGGTACAATTAATAAGTGACATACCAGTGTCAAGCAACTGGTGAATCAGGAAACAGACCATGTCTGTTTTTATCTGGAACTCATTTGCTTTACAGTATTGCATACCATACTGTATTTTGGTTAATATCAGGAAATAAATTATTTAATGGGTTTTTCCCACCATTAAAGTCAAAACCAAATTATGAATTTCCAGTTTAAAAAGGCATCTGCTAACAGCCTCTTCTTGCTTCTCACCAAAGACCAATGATGAAAGGAAAGATTCAAAATACCCAAAACTAGGACACACATTCAACCTATTTGCAGAATCTGGAGGAATTTCTTCATGCTCAGAGATGGGACTGGATGGAGAAACATCATCAGTGGCCGGCCTGTGCCAGGTGCTCCTGGATGCAAGGGGGATCGACCCTTCATGCTTTCCCACCTCCTCCTCACCCTTAGAAATCCAAATCGGTACTGACCAGAAAGCAGAGCAGCCAGCACCCCAAGTAGGGCTTTGCGTTTGACTGAGTGCTGCAGTGGGTCCCTGTCCCTGCTGCTCCCCATTGGAGCTTCTCTCTCTATACAGCAGCACTTGGAAACTGCAGCTCACACAGCCTTGGGCAGGGAGTCGGGCAAGCCTGGCAGTGGTGTCTCCTCTGTACCCAAAGCAGAGCTGAGGAACGGAGACAAAGGTTTGAGGAAGGGCTCTGGTGCAGTGCCCAGGGAGGAATCTTGCTGTTTCTATGTCTCACCCTATTTACAATATCCAAGCTAACTTAAAAAGAGATCTTATCCTGACAAACTGGCAATACACAGATGCCAGCTCATTCTGGGAAACAGACTTGGAGACATTTACAGGTAAATCAGTTACAGGTAAATCTGAAAAGTGCTTTCATCAGCACCCAGGTGCACCGACAGTGACAAAACCCCTGCATCTTTATCAGGTCTTTTTTGTAGAGGTGAGTAACCAAAAAAAGAAGTCTATGTGGAGCCTTTTTAAAAGCATTCTTCAGAAAAGGGAAAGGAAGACTTGACCTGGAAGATGCTGGAAAATCATAACTTAGAAAATTATTATTTCTTTTGAGACAGAGTCTCGCTCTGTCACTCAGGCTGGAGTGCAGTGGCATGATCTCAGCTCACTGTAACCTCCGCCTCCCAGGTTCAAAGGATTCTCATACCTCAGCCTCACTAGTAGCTGGGATTACAGATGTGCACCACCACACTGAGCACATTTTTGTATTTTTAATAGAGATAGTGTTTCACCATGTTGGCCAGGCTGATCTCAAACTCCTGACCTCAAATGATCCACCCACCTTGGCTTCCCAAAGTGCTGGGATTACAGGTGTGAGCCACTGTGCCTGGCCAAAAATTATTTTTTTAAAGGAGCAAATTGCTCCTTGTACATTGCAGCAAAATCTCTCTGTTTTGTTTGTTTGTTTATTTGTTTGTTTTTGAGGCAGAGTCTTGCTCTGTTGACCAGGCTGGAGTGCAGCAACATGATCTCGGTTCACTGCAACCTCTGCCTCCCGGGTTCAAGCGATTCTCCTCCCTCAGCCTCCCAGGTTCAAGCGATTCTCCTCCCTCAGCCTCCCGAGTACCTGGGATTACAGGCGCCCGCCACCATGCCTGGGTAATTTTTGTATTTTTAGTGAAACGGGATTTCACCATGTTGGCCAGGCTGGTCTCAAACTCCTGACCTCAAGTGATCCACCCGTCTCAGCCTCCCAAAGTGCTGGGATTACAGATGTGAGCCACCGTGCCTGGCCCTCTCTGGAATTCACAAAGAGATTTGAGAAAACATGTTATTTATGAAGTTGAAAGCCATAAAGAACAGGCAGAAATTAAAAGACAATAGGACAAGTTACAAAGGAAGATGGGTAAAATAAATGCAGAGAAATGATAACCACAGTACAATGATTTAAAACATTGTCAGAATCAGAAAAGAAGAAAATTGTCAAGGAAAAACCTGAGAAACATCTTTCAGAATGCAGGTTAAACAGATGCAATGAGAGCAGATAGCAAGACAGCAGAGTGGAGGGCTACACCCTCTGAATTCTAGAATTCCTCAGATGAAGCCACGGCATTTGCAACAAAAGCAATAAGCAGAAATAAATTCTGGTGTACTCCTGTATTCCCAGGAGTACAAACCAGTGCCTACCCCTTAGTAGGGGTACTGGTGAGTGAATGCTAATCACTGATTTCAAGAAACCATTTTTAAGCTGAAAGAATGGCTGTGCAATTCGAAAGAATCCCTGATGGTGGCACACAATGCGAATGTCCTTAGTGCCGCTGAACTATACACATTCAAATGGTTCTGCTCCATGGTAAATGGTATATTATGTATATTTTACCACAGTTTTTTAAAAAGCAAACAAAAGAGAGAATTCTGAATTCCAGATTAAAACATAGTGGAAAGAGACCTCATCTAGATATATTCTGCTTTTTTGAGAGTTTAAATAAAATATTTGAGTTTAATTTAAAGTTTGAGTTTAATTAAAATATATGGCATATCCCAAGATGGGCTTTGCAGAAAGAACACTTCTCAGGAACTGTTAGTTGGTGTACCAGGAACTCAGAAGGGTCCTGTTATTAAATATATTTGGAAAATGCATGGATTCTCTGAAGATTCACTCTGCATGTGAGCAACACTACAATCGCAAACCAGATTTGGCATTGCATACATGAGCCAGTATTTCCCAAACATTTCTGGTTATGGCCCACCCCCTTTGTGTAGTACTTATTGCTGTTTTTTGGAACCCTGGGAAATAACTAAAAATATTCAGCTGGAAATAACAGGCGTAGCTGTAAAGGAGCAAGAATTACAGTGACTCCAGAGTGCAAGTGTTGATTACTATTAAGAGCCAAAGAATTGAAAGAAGTTTTGAGAGGTGAAGACGGAGATGTAAAATGACATTCTCAGATATATGAGAGCTCAGGAAACATCTCAACTTTGTACACTTCTTTAAAAATTGCTAAAAGTATATGTAATTTTGATGAAGAGTCAGAGCACATGAAACCTCCAAGAGGCTTCACAGAATGTGGAGGGGTCATTACTTCTTCCCAATAACAGCTGAATAAATCACAGTAGCAAATTATTTTATTATGAATGTTTTCCCCTATGATGGGAATAAATCCATAAGCCACAGTCCTCTTGGGAAGATTCTCTCCTGTAGTTACAATTTACCACCAGCTTCTAAAAATCTAATTTAAAGTTCTTATGAATGTGTAAACGCTGAAAATAACCTAATAAAAACTGGTGGATTATGAATAAAATGTTAGTGTGTAGGTATTGAGACTTAGGCCTTTTTTCTTCTTTTTTCTTTTTCCAATTTTTAAAAAGTAGGCAATGTGTTAATTTCAATAATAAAAAATGTACAGAGTGTTTTAATAATCATGACAAAGCCAAATTTAAAGCATTTTTCCAGTTCTGAAGAAATGCTTGGCTGATGGAAGCCAATTCAGAAAATGTCTCTGAGTCATTTCAAGGAACAATTTGTACAGCCCAAGACGTTATGAATACCCAGGGTTTAGCCTGATTTGGTAAAAGTGATTGAGATAAAATGTGAACAACAATTGTGCATGACATTTACTTAGCATTTTCCAGTTTCCAGGGGCCTGTCTCGTAGCTGTCTCACGTGAAGCACTTGAACTCGCGAGGTAACAGACAGTGGTAACTGTGGTACTAGGAAGGCAGACGGCTCGGGACTTGCCCAGCATCCTCAAGCTGGCACCATACCAGCGTGACTAGAGCCACCTCCCTTGGCTCCTTGTCCACTGCCCTTTGCATCTCATGCGGGTCTCCAGAAGACCCCGCTCCTGCTGTGCAGGCTCCCACGCATACCTTAGACACTGCTGTGGTGTTGGGTGGCCACGTGACCCACACAGGCCTTTTCTAGTTCACCAGTTTTCTGCAAGGATGCTGGTTAGGGAGTGTCTGCAGGAGGAGCAAGTCTGAAACCAAATCTAGGAAACATAGGAAACGAGCCAGGCACAGGGCTGGTGGGCCATCAGGGACCACCCTTTGGGTTGATATTTTGCTTAATCTGCATCTTTTGAGTAAGATCATCTGGCAGTAGAAGCTGTTCTCCAGGTACATTTCTCTAGCTCATGTACAAAAACATCCTGAAGGACTTTGTCAGGTGCCTTGCTAAAAGCCAGATGCGTTCGGCACTTCCTTGGTCTGAGGTTAATTGCACACCTACAGGCACTGGGCTCATGCTTTCAAGTATTTTGTCCTCACTTTAGGGTGAGTGAAAGATCCCCATTATAGGAGCACTTGGGAGAGATCATATAAAAGCTGACTCTTGAGTACATGCAGTAATGGGGTAGATGTGTGTGGTGTGTCTTCATTCCTGCAAGGGTGCTTGTTAGGGAGTGTTTCCAGGAGGAACAAGTCTGAAACCAATCATGAAATAAATGGTAGGTGTGAACTGGAAAACTAATTCAAAAGAGAGATCGTGATATCAGTGTGGTTGATACACCTTGGCAATATGGAAGGCTCTAATTTGCCCATATTTGAAATAATAATTCAGCTTTTTGTAATACAAAATAACAAAGGATTGAGAATCATGGTGTCTAATGTATAAAAGACCCAGGAAACATAAATATATCAACTGCATAAATGTAAAATGCATGTGACCCAAGAAGGCCCCAAAGTGGCAGACAACATTGTACCCATTTTCCCTTCCAAAATGTGAGCGGCGGGCCTGCTGCTTTCAAGGCTGTCACACAGGATGTCAGCTGCTGTGCTGTCCTTAGAGCCTTTGTCCTGAGTTCCATGTGTTTGTCCAGCTGTCTCGTTACCTGTAGGTCTTAAAGACACTTCAAATTTGACCTCCAACATCAGATTCCTCCTTTATCCCAAATACTCCCCCTGAGTCACTGTTTTGATGAGTGGCATTGTAGTCTTCTAGCTGCTCAAGTAGAAACTTCTAAAGGGGTGAGTCCCTCATCCCTGCAGTTGGTGTTTTTCTTTCCTTTGCACTTAGCCTGTGCATCATGTATCTGTCATACTTGCCTAGTTTTCTTTTTGCCAGCTCAGTTGCAGGTATGTGTTAGAAAATCAGCACAGGCCTCCAGTGTAATCTGGGCATAAAGTCATCAGTGTCCAAGGGATTGAAGGAGGGGCGGTCCCAGGAAATAATGTGTGGCCAGACTAGGTTTAAACAATTCCATCAGATATAGTTTTCATTAAAAATAATTGAAAATTATGAAAATGTTTCTGTTCGCTCCTATCACTGCTTTAAGAAGAATCCATGTCATGGTTAGTTCTGTGTGTCAGCATGACTGGCCACAGGGTGCCCAGATGAAACATTTCTGCGTGTGTCTGGAGAGTGTTTTGGGATGAGGCTGGCACTTGACTCAGCCGACTCAGTAAAGCAGATGGCCCTCCCTAGTGTGGGGGTGGGGGTGCGCTCATCCAATCTGTTGAAGGCCTGAATGGAACAAAAGGTGGAGGAAGGAGGAATTTACCCCATTTGCTTCCTGCCTGCCTGCTGAGCTGGGACATCCATCTTCTCCTGCCTTCAACCTGGAATCTACACCGTTGGTTCCCCTGGTTCTTGGGCCTTCAGACTCAGACTGGAGCCACACCCTCAGCTTTCCAGGTCTTCAGCTTGCAGATGGCAGAGCACAGGACCTCTCAACCTCCTTCATCACATGAGCCGGTTCCTCATAATCTCTTCCAAAACATACATCCAACTCGTTCTGCTTCTCTGGAGAACATGGACTAATACAATCCATGAAGAAATGTGGAGGGTTTTTGTAATTTACGTAAAAAAATGAATCAAACACCAAGAAAACCAAGACCAAACCAGACTCCACAAAGGAATTCTAAGCACAGCTTTACATCTACATGAGAATGTGTATGCCACACCTTTGACCAGTTTCTGTTGATTTCTATTCCAGTGCATTTTGTATCAATAGTTTGGAGAAAAAGCATCACACACTAGGAGGAAGCTCTCTGTGGCAGGGCCCAGATCTGTGACTCAATATAAGCCCAGTGCTAATTTATCCAGACCCAGTAGGAGGAGAGAAGCCTCAAAGGAGGCAAACATTTTGACATTTAGAGGGAATTTTTTATGGCTTTTTACACTGACTCAGCATCAAGTACAAAGTTATTTTTGCTCTTTGTTGCCAATCGTGGGAGAAGGGGCTGTTAGCTAGGAGCTTGGAGCAGGGAGCCTGCAGGAAACAGCTTCACTTAGGAAGGCTCAAACCCTGTAGAATCCTGCTGCCTGTCCTTTGAGGCCAAGCTGCTCTGATGATCTCAGTTTTGTGCTTTTTCTTAACTCTTACAACTATTTCAAAGTTGATTTATTAAAATTTATTCTGTTTACTAAAAGGACCAAATCATGTTTGTTTCTTCAGATACTGCTCTTGAAATTCAGTTTTTAGAAATTGCTATGCATGGATGGTAGAAGGATTGATTTTTACCAACGAAACAAAAGAAAACAAAGGGATGGTGGAGTAAAAGGCCTAGTTGTTCTGGCTGTGGGCCAGCAGAAGAAATCCCAAGGGGATGAGAAGGGGACCCAACATCATAGCATGTCAGGGACAAGCTGTGACAGCCACAGAGGCCACAATGGTCGGCTGAATCTGAGCCCTTTTCCAGCAAAGTTATCCTAAGGTAAAGAAATTGAGCTTACCAGGAATGAAGCACAAGAATAAGCACTTAGCCCCAGTCCAAAGAGCTGCTACCACATGGAGGGCAGGGCTGGAGTTGTGATGAGTGCCCTAGAGCTCTCTTAAACTCACTTCTTCCCAAGGACAATTACTGTTTTCAGACTGCGCGGACATACATACATTAGATGAGTTAAATAATTTGTTACGGTTGGGGAAAAGTATGTGGACTTCTGAGAGCAAGGATCATAAATGCGCACAAAGCAAGGATTGCTGGGGAAGATTAAAGATAAGTGGTGTAAATGCTCTGTGCAGCACAGTATGTTTCCAATAGTGCCCTCATTGTTTGCAGATTGTGTATGAAATAAGCCAGTTCCATACCACAGAGGACTCTTTATTGGCAAGCTTATGGTTCACTGTGCGTTCTCAAAGTTCTTTATAGTTTAGGCTGGACATTGGAAAAAAAAAAAAAGCCAGAACAACATGTGATAGATAATATGATTGGCTGCACACTTCCAGACTGATGAATGATGAATGTGATGGACTATTGTATGGAGCACATCTTCAGCAAGAGGGGGAAATACTCATCATTTTTGGCCAGCAGTTGTTTGATCACCAAACATCATGCCAGAATACTCAGCAAACCTTCTTAGCTCTTGAGAAGTCAAAGTCCGGGGGAATTTATTCCTGGCAATTTTAATTGGACCCCTTATGTGAGAGCAGCGGCTACCCAGCTGGGGTGGTGGAGCGAACCCGTCACTAGTGGACATGCAGTGGCAGAGCTCCTGGTAACCACCTAGAGGAATACACAGGCACATGTGTGAGGCCAAGCGTGACACCTGTAGCACTCAAATTTGTCTTGTTTTTGTCTTTCGGTGTGTAGATTCTTAGTACAGTGTGTATTTGTTCAGAGGTCAAATCAATTACTGCGCATTTACTGAGCACTTTGCTGGGTGCTACAGACCCAAAGATGAATAAAACATGAATTCTACCCTTGCACTCCTAACCGTGTAGTCAGTAGGTGCTGAGGAATCAATGGAGTGTCAGAGTGATGCTGCAAAGTAGACAAGGATTTTAAAAGGAAGCGAGACCTCAGGAAGATTTTGAGGTAAACGATAAGAGAGAATTAGAAAAGCAACTGAAAACAGGGCTCCATATACCCATCTGAAGGATCTGCCTGCCTCCACTTTGAAGCAAGTCCATTCCTGCAAGACGAGCTACCCAAGGATGCCAAAATGTAAAAAGGATTATCGGACATCTGTCCAAACCTATAGACCATACCACAGCAAGAGTAAATGTGAACCAACATAACCTGTGGACTCTGGGTGGTGGTGCCGCATCAGTGTAGGTTCATAGCCTGTAACCAGTCTACCACTCTGGATGCAGGATGCCGATATGGCGGAGACAGCGGGGAGGGGTGCACAGGAAATTTCTGTTCCTTCCACTCCATTTTGCTGCGAACCTAAAACTGCTGAGTGGATAATGTATGTCTTAAGGAGTTCCTGTGCAATTTGCACATTACAGCACTTTCCTTCTATACCATGGAAGGGGAGGGAGGTCCTGGAGACAGACAGAGCCCAGAAGAGTGACAGAGACACCAGGTCTGAGTGGTCTCAGTGTCCCCAGCCCCTGCAGCATCTGATACGGTTTGGCTCTGTGTCCCCACCCAATCCCACGTGTCGGAGGAGACCTGGTGGGAGGTGATTGGATTATGGGGGGGATTTTCCCCATGCTATTCTTGTGATAGTGCATGAGTTCTCATGAGACCTGATAGTTTAAAAGTATGTGGCAGGCTGGATGTGGTGGCTTATGCCTGTAACCCCAGCACTTTGGGAGGCCAAGGCAGGCGGATTGCTGGAGCCCAGGAGTTTTAGACCAGCCTGAGCAACATAGTGAGACCCCATCTCTACTAAAACTACAAAAATTAGCTAGGTGTGGTGGTGCATACCTGTGGTCCCAGCTATGCGGGAGGCTGAGGCATGAGAATTGCTTGAACCTGTGAGGCAGAGGTTGCAGTGAGCTGAGATCATGCCACTGCACTCCAGCCTGGGCAACAGGGCCAGACTCTTGTCTCAAAAAAAAAAAGTTTGTGGCAGTCTCCCCCCTCACTCGTTCTCTCCTGCCACCATGTAAGACGTGCCTTGCTTCCCCTTCGCCTTCCACCATGATTGTAAGTTTCCTGAGGCCTCTCCAGCCATGTGGAACTGTGAGTCATTAAACCTCTTTTCTTTATAAATTACCCAGTCCCAGCTGTGTGCGGTGGCTCATGCCTGTAATCCCAGCACTTTGGGAGGCAGGCGGATCACGAGGTCAGGAGATGGAGACCACAGTGAAACCCCGTCTCTACTAAAAATACAAAAAAAGATTAGCCGGATGTGGTGGGGGGCTTCTGTAGTCCCAGCTACTTGGGAGGCTGAGGCAGGAGAATGGTGTGAACCTGGGAGGCGGAGCTTGCAGTGAGCTGAGATCACACCACTGCACTCCAGCAAGGGCGACAGAGTGAGACTCCGTCTCAAAAATAAATAAATAAATAAATATAAATTACCCAGTCCTGGGCATTTTTTTGTAACATTTGTTTGTAACAGACTAATACAGCACCTGATGCAGCTGTTACAAACTGTTGAGCTGAAGACACCACAAGAGAGCATGGATCATGGCAGAGAGAGGAAAGGGTTCTGAGTGGTAGAATGGTGACAGCGCTCAGCACTGCAAGGCATCAGGGAGGACACTGGGCTCCCAGGGAATTTTAGAACTGAGGGAATGGTGAATGGAGCGAGAAGCCAAGAGAAAAAGTAAGGAACAAATGATGAGGAAATAGAAGCAAGGAACACAGATTATTCACAAAGCCTGGCCAGGGTGATGGGAAGAGCAATGGGATGGCACATCATGCTCATCTGACCTCATGGTCAGCTGCCCCCCAAGGAGCACAGGAGGCCAGACCAGGCCATGTGTGATGCTGCAGGGCACCAACCCCAGAGGTCTGTAGAAAGAGTATGTATTACACACTCTTGTGTAACATGTGCATACATCCACCAGAGCGGTACACGTTACAACCCATGAACCTACACTGACCCAGGGTCCACAGGTTACACTGGTTCACATTCACTCTTTCTGCGGTACAGTCTATAGGTCTGTAACGCAGTGATGTATTACACACCCTGCACCATCACGGAGCATCACAGTCCCATGTTCAGGGCTGTGCACCACACATTCTTAGGACAGACACTGTGATGCTTAATTGTATGTAGCAACTTCACTGGGCCACAGTGCCCAGATATGTGGACAAACATTATTTATTCTTGGTGTTTCTGTGAGGGTGTTTATAGATGAAAATAACATTAGAATTAGTGGACTTTGAGTAAAACAATGCCCTCCAAATATAGGTGGGCCCTGTCCAATCATGTGAAGGCTTGAATAGAACAAGACCAACCTTCCCAAGCAAGAGGGGATTCTTGAGAATACTGCCTCTTGCCTTTATCTGCACCATCAGCTTCTCCTGGGTGTCCACATGCCTGCCTTCAGACCTGTACCACAGCATTGTCTTTCCCTGGGTTTTCAGCCTGCCAACCAACCCTGCAGATTTTGGACTTGCCAGCCTCCATAATTGCGTGATCCAATTTCTTTTAAATTTTTTTAAGAGATAGAGTGTTGCTATGTTTCCCAGGCTGGAATGCAGTGGCTATTCATAGGTGTGACCATAGCTCACTGCAGCCTCAAACTCCTGGGCTCAAAAATCCACCTCAGCTTCCTGAGTAGCTGTAACTACTACAGGCACACACCATTGTACCCAGCATACGAAATGAAACCTATAATTATACTTTATCCATGTTTATCTCCCCACTAAACTGTGGGCAAATTGAAGTCAGGACTTGTATCCTTTCATCTTTATTTAACTAGTGACTAATATAGTGTCTGTTGTATGATATCCAGCTGGCTGCATCTTCACCAAAGCTTCGTTGATAATTAAGAAGTTCTTGCTAAGTGATCTTTTGAAGTAAGTTTTTTTCCTGCCTCTGGTAGATATGTTTACTTCCTTCCCTCACTCACTGGGGTGACAGGCTTCAAAAGGTAATGTCTGAATGGAAGTACAATTGTTTCTGCATGCTTTTCCAACTGATAGAACATTTCCATTTTGTTAGGAAATTGTAAATTTCTGAATGTACTTAGCACATATGAATCCTCATAATTCTTATTTCCCTTTCTTTTCTTATTAATGTCCACATTACCACTTTTAATTTAGTCTTTATATCTTCAGAGATAGATGAAATACTGTCATATTGAGAAAATTGGAAGGTAAATTGCTTTTCTCTGGCTATACAAGGTAGCTCTGTCAATCTGTCTTCTTCAGGGTTTTTAGAAACATGAACATTTTATTTGTTTACTCTCTTAACTGCAGTGATAGAATGCAAATTTCAACTAGCTTGAGTAAAACAGTGAATTTCTTAGAAGGATACTGTGAGGATGTCTCATAGCACACAAGGACTGCCAACAGCAGTTAGGATGCTTTGCGTGCAAATAAAATAAAGCTTGAAATCAAACAGGTTAAAGCAAGATGAAAATAACCACAATACATTGCTATGCCCCTGTTTTTTTTCAGCTGTTTATTACATGCTGTTTTGTAACCTGCTATTTTGCTTTAAAATCCCATGATTTTCCTCCAATCATAAGTATTTTTCTACATCAGTTTTTATGGCTAGATGGTATTCTGCTCAGTGTTCTTGAAGGTCTTTGGGAGAGTTCAGTAAGTAGCACCCATCTTCCCCACCCAAATCGAGAAATAGCAGGTGGAGAACCAAAATATCACCCTTATTTCTAATGAAGGCAGAATCGGAAGGCATAGCTTGCAGCAAGAGACGAAGTGGGCTTGTGGAATCTGTTCTTTGTTAGACTGTTGAGAAGTGGGATAAACCCACCTAAAGGAAAGCTTAGCCCTGTGGGGCCAGACAGCTCACCAGTCCCCACCTAACACTGGCCTTGGCCAGAGGAATGAAGACAGGGAGCAACTTGTCCAAGCAGAGGACCTTTGACCATCTCCACCCAATGTGTGTGACCTACCAACTGAGGTAAAGCTGGCCCCTGCTCTGGGAAGAAGGAAGGGAAGGGAAAAGAAGCCAGGAGGATTTTGGAAAATCCCACAAAGCAGAGGCAAGAGAAGAGGTTCTTGCTCCCCTGTGCAGTGTGAAGGTCCCAGTACTCAGTTCACCAGGCCTCTATTGCACGTTATGTTAGTTTCCAAACAACATTGAAGCTAAACATCTTTGTAATTAATCTTTGTGTACATTTGTGAAAATTTCCTTAAGATAAATCCCTACAAGTAGAATTTCTGAGCCAAATGATATTAACAGGTTTAAAACTTTTGACTCACTTGGCCATATTTCCCTCTACAAAGTTTTATCAGTTTATATTGCCACAAGTAGTACAGTGTATGAGAACATGTTTTCTTAACACATACCCACTCTGCCTATTCAGTCCTTCCTTTTTGATCTTTGTGAATTTGATGGGCAAAACATCTGTGCCACAGTGTTATTTCAATTTTGAGCAGTCTTAATGGAGGAGTTGTTTTGGGGAACCAAGGTATAGAACATGTGAAAGAAACTATCTGAAGAGACTGAGCAATGTCTTCAAAGGCCTGTAGCCCTGCAGCTGCCCCTAGTACTTTCACTTTTGTGAATAATTTTATTTTCCAACCATGGAAGCATCATCGTGAGGTTGAAAGAGGATCATTCTTGGAAAATACAATTACTTAACAGTTATGTGACCTGGGACAAGTTGAGCCTAAATGTCCTCATCATAAAATGGAACTAAGTAACCCTCATAAGAATGACGTAGTGTATGGACACTGTTTGGCCCAGAGTGGGCAGTGAAAAAATTGTGGCCATTCTGGAATAATCTTATAGTCTCTATGGTGGGGAGATCTGAAAGCCGTTTTCTTTCCCCTTCCCATTTTGTGTATGTATCTGCCTCCACTGATCTGCACAGGGAAGGGAAGTGGTTGGTAACTCTCTGGGCACTCAGGATCTCTACACTTGGTAGTTGCCCAGCAGCCCATCACTGTGTCTTTCACCCCTAGGGCTCACAGTGACATTTTCTGGCCCCATCAGGGTGTGCTGCACACCTGTGTGGAGTCTTTGCCAGGTGAGCTCTCCCCATCCCATCCCTGCCTTCATCAATAAAAGGCTGAGTCAGGGAAAGGGAGTACCCAGCTCTCCTCCCCACCTGTTTGTTTGACTTTGGTTCCCACCTACAACTCGCCCTTGTCTTTAAACACCATAGAAAAGGTCTTGAATTCCCCCTCCAGTGGCCCACGGGTGTCCTGTACTGGCAGCACACACAACACTTCCAGACAGGAGAAGATCTGGCAGTTGTGAATTTTTCTTTTTCATCTTTTCTTTTCCCAGACTTGCTGCTGCTGCCACCACTAGCACTGATGCCAATACAACCACCTCTGCTGTCACCCTCAATGCACTGGCCCACCCTATAAGGCCCCTATCATCTGGCTGCCACAGGCATCCTCTTACCACTACAGTCAAGCTGCAGTCTCTGTCACCACCACCAACTGCAGCAAGGTGAGCCGCAGAGCCATGCCATCTGCAGGCTCCAGCCTCCAGTGTACCACATGTGGCTCCTCCTTCTCCTCTAGCCAGGCATGGAGCAGCTGGGCAGGCAAAGCCAGAAAAACCTAGAACAGGATGGAGGAGGTGGTAGAGTTAGAGCCTCACCTTGTCATGCCCGCCACTGGCCAGTTTCAGTGAAGGCACTCGCACCCTCCCTCCAAAGTCCAGCCTCTCCTTTTGGTCTAAGCGGCCAGGAACTGGGGCCTGGGGTGGGGACTGGAGACATGGCAGTGCCCGGCTCCCCACTCCACAGGAACCCCGGGGGACAGGGGATACCTTCCTCGGAGGGTGGGAGCAGCAGAAACTGAGACCCAGCCAACCCTCTCCACCCAAGTGCCCGTTCCCAATGCCTCAGCCTACAGGGCCCTCTCTCCCCATGGTATCTGCTACTCCGTGCCCAGGGGTCCCAGGTGGTCTCCACAACACAGAGTGAGAGGGCTCAGGCCAGGGAACCACGGTGGTGTGGGGGCCCTGCTGTGTTCAGGATTCCTGAGGAAATGCTGTGCGCCTGCGGAGCTCCACCAGGAGCAGGACGTTGTCGCCCTCTAGAGTCTGGAGTCCAGGAAGAGGAGAACAGCCCCTTCTTTGGAGGCCACCACTATTCGCTGCCACCTCTGCTGCCCACAGCCACCAGCAGTGCAGCCCCTGATAGGGCCCCCGACCCATCCCTGCCACAGGCATTCCAGCACATCGTAGGGCTTCAAACCGTGCCCTCCCTGGCACAGGCAGTGCAGTCCCAGATAGCACCCCCAACTTGCTACCCTCCATGGCCCCGTATAGTGCCCCCAGCCAGCCCTGAGCTGCCTGATAACGAATGCCCCACACCCCTGTCAGTGCCCCCAAACTGCCCCCCCCCACCCCCGCCAGTATTCTAGCCTCGGATAGCTCACCCAACCCAACCCATCACCCTGCCGCCAGCAGTCCACAATAGCGGACATAACCCGCCTCCTGGCTCGGGCAGTGTAGCCTCTGGCAGTGTAACCACCCCCCGCCACCGCCATACCGCAGCTGGCCCCACCGCCTGCAATGCAAACCCGGATAGCACCCCAAACCAGCCCCCCTTACCATGCACAGTGCAGCCATGGGCAGTGCAGCCCTAACAGCACACCCAACCGCAGTCTGCGGTTGCCCCAGAGAGCATACCTACCCTGCAGCAACTTTTCTACCACTCTGGCCGATCTGCAGTTTCCATCACCACCACCTACCACAGTGAGGCGAGCAGCACTGGTGCAGGCTTCAGCCTCCAGAGTGTGGCAGATGGCTCCCTCTTCGTGTTCTCTAAGCCCGGCACAGAGAATGTAGTCCCACAGGCACAGAAGAGCCTGGAATGGCTTGAGGCCTCCTCAGCATACCTTATATACTGAGGTTATGGGAATGTGGTTCCTGGTCTCCAAATTTGGATTGGATGAGAGTAAACCTCTAGACCTACTCTGATTGGACTTTATTTTCATGATCTAATTGGTTGTCCTCAGGCTTGCTCTCATCCAATCAGAACATGTAGTCCAGAAACCTCATTTGCATAACATCTGTATATAAATGATGCTGAAATCAGCCCATTTAAGGCTCTTCTGTGTCTTCCTGACCAGCTGCTCTGTTCCCAGCTTAGAGGACCAGAGGGAGAAGCCACCTGCTACACGCTGGATGCTGCAGCCTGTGCCACTGTGGCTCACATCGCTGTGGTTGGTGGCAGCAACGGAGACTGCAGCCAGCTGGAGTGGTAGGAGGAAGGAAATAGTTTTGGGGTAGATGGAGGAGTAAAGAGGGTGGTGAGTGCCAAAGGGAAAAGTGGATGGCGGGGCGAGCAGAAGAAGGAGTTGCAAAAAGATGGTGGGGAAAAGATGGTGGAAAAAAGTGGGTAGATGGAGGCGGAAAAACAGGGAGACAAACAGGAGGGGGAGAAGGTTTGCAAAGATGGTGGGGAAAAACACTGTGGGAAGAAAAGAAAGGCAGTGGGGAAAAACATTGTGGGTAGATGGAGGGCAAGAAAGAGGGTGGCAAGTGGGAGGAGAAGAGAGGGTGCTGAGAGGGAGGGGGAAGAGAGGGTGGTGAGCAGGAGGGAGAGAAGGTTTTGCAAAAAGATGATATGGAGAAAAGACAGTGGGGAGAAAAGTTTTTGGGTAGATAGAGGGGGAAAAGAGGATGGCAAGCAGGAGAAGAAAAAAGAGGTTGGCAAGCTGGAGGGAGACAAGGTTTTGCAAAAAGATGGTGGGCAGGAAAAGAAAGACCGTGGAGAAAGAAAAGATGGTGAGGAAAAAGTTTTTGGGCAGATGGACAGGGAAAAGAGGGTGACAAGCAGGTTAGGGGAAAGAAGATGGCGAGTGGGAAGTCAGGGTTGGGGGGAGGCTTTGTAAAAAGATGGGAAAAATTGGGTGGGTAGATGGAGAGGAAAAGAGGATGGTGAGCAGGAGTTGGGAGAAGGCTTTGCAAAAAGACAGTGGGGAAATGTTTTTGAATAGATGGAGAAGGGAAAGAGGGTGGCAAGGAGAGGGGGAAAGACGTGGGGAAAACAGTGTTTGGGAAGATGGAGGGGGAAAAGAGGGTGGTGAGAAGCAGGAGTCGGGAGAAGGCTTTGGGAAAAGATGGGGGAAATGTTTTTGGGTAGATGGAGGAGCAAAAGAGGGTGATGAGAGCAGGAGAGAGAAAAACAAGGTTGCCCAGAAGAGTGGGAAATGATGGTGGGGAAAAACGTGGGGAAAAGTTTTTGGGTAGATGGATGGGGAAAAAGTATGGTGAATGGGGGAGTAGAGAAGGCTTTGCAAAAAGACGGTGGGGAAAAAGTTTTGGGGTACATGAAGAAAAAGGCTGATGACAAGGAGAGAACTGAAGGCTGTCAGAAAAAGAAAGTGGGGAAATAATGGTGGGGGACAAAGGTTTTGGGTAGATCTTTTTCTGATTTTTAAATCGGGTTATATGTATTTTTGCTTTTGAGTAGTTTGTGTTCTTTATCTATTGTGTGTATTAACCCCTTGCCTGATGCATAGCTTGCAAATACTTTCTTCCATTCTCTAGATTGTTTCTTCATTCTACTGATTGCTTCCTCTGCTTTGCAGAAGCTTCTAAGTTTAATGCAATTCCATTTGTCTATTTTTGCTTTTGTTGCTTGTGCTTTTGATGTCTATTTAAAAATTCCTTGTCCTAATCAATTTCATGAAGCATTTATCTTATTTTTTATTTTCTAGTAGTCTCATAGTTTCAGGGCCTACACTGAAATTATCTTTATTTTGAGTTGATTTTTGTATATGGTAAGATAACAGTCTAGATTGATTCTTGTACATGTGGGTGTTGGGTTTTCCTAGCACAGTTTATTGAAGAGATTGTCCTTCCCAAATGTGTGTTCCTGGTGCCTTTGTTAAAAATGAGTTGACTGTAAATGTGTGAATTTATTTTTGAGTTCTCTATTCTGTTGTCTGTCTGTCATTTGTCTATGTCTGTCTGTTGCTCCCTCACTCTTTTTTTTTTTTTTTTTTTTTTTTTTTTTTTTTGCAGTACCATGCTGTTTTGGTTACTATACATTTGTAGTATATTTTGAAATCAGGTAGTGTGATGCCTCCAGCTTTTTTCTTTTTATTCAAGATTCTTTTATCTCTCTGAGGTATGTTGCATTTCTGTGTGAATTTTAGGTTTTTTTTCTATTTCTGTGAAGAATGTCTTTTGTAATTTAACATGGGTTGCATTGATCCTGTAGATCACACTGGGTGATATAGGTATTTTAACAATATTCTTCTAGTGCATGAACATGGGATATCTTTCCATTTACTTGTGTCTGCTTTAATATCTTTCATCTATGTTTTATGGTTTTCATTGTGGGATCTTTCACCTTTTTGGTTGTTTGTCCCTAGGTATCATTTTTTTGTAATGAAATAGCTTTCTTGATTTCTTTCATAGGTATTTCACTGTTGGTGCATGGGTGTGCTACTCATTTTTGTATGTTGATATTGTATCTTGCAACTTTACTAAATTTATCTAGTAGGTTTTTTGGTGGAATTTTTAGGGTTCTTTATATATGATCATATCAGCTGCAAACAGAGACAATTTGACTTCCTTTTCTTCCAATTTGGATGCCTTTTATTGCATTTTCCTGTCTAATTGCTGTAGCTAGGACTTCCAGTACTATGATGAATAAAAGTGGCAAAAGTAACCACACTTATTCCGGATCTTAGAGGAAGAGCTTTTAACCTTTCTGCATTGATCATGATGTTAGCTGTGGGTTTATCATATATGGCCTTTATTATGCTGAGATATGTTCCTTCTTGCACATTTTGTTGAGTTTTTATCATAAAGGTATGTTGAATTTTATTGTTTTCATCATCTACTGAAATGATTGTATGTGTTTTTTTTTAAATGGAGTCTCACTTTGTTGCCCAGGCTGGAGTGCAGTGGTGCTATCTTAGCTCATTGCAGCCTCCACCCCCAACCCCACCCCCTCAGGTTCAAGCGATTCTCCTTCCTCAGCCTCCCAAGTAGCTGGGATTACACCGCCATCATGGTGGCCTGGCTTCTTTTTGTGTTTTGGGGATGCAGGGTTTCACCATGTTGGCCAGGCTGGTTTCAAACTCCTGATGTCCAGTGATCCATCCACCTCAGCCTCCCAAAGTGCTGGGATTACAGGTGTGAGCCACCATGCCTGGCCTTCTTTTTTTTTTTTTTTTTTTTTTTTTTTTAAGACAAGGTCTTCCTCTGTAACCTAAACTGGAATAAAGTGGTGAAATCATACCTCACTGAAGCCTCGAATTCCTTGGCTCAACTTTTCCTCCCATCTCAGCCTTCTGAGTAGATAGAACTACATTTGTGAGTCATCAAACCTGGCTAATATTTTATTTTTTTGTTAGAGACAGGTCTTGCTATATTGTCCAGGCTGGTCTCGAACTCCTGGGCCCAAGCAATCCTTCTAGCTCAGCCTCCAAGGTGCCTGGGATTTCAGGCCTAAGCCACCACACCTGACTAGATTTGTTTCACTTTGACGTCTTTGCTAAGTCTATGGCTATAAATAAAATGACTATTCAATTATGACTAATGAGAGGCATGGGGAAAGCCAAGCCAGAGGGGGACTATCAAATTTTGTTTTTTCTATATATATTCAAATTATGATGGTATACATACATTGGAGTATATTTATGCTTTCCTGTAACAGTCTTGTAGGACCCTAAATGACCTGAATTTATCTTCGTAGATTGATTGGGAAAGGAGGAATTATTGAGAGACAGGAAATTGTGAAACAAGAAATTATTCTAATTCTAGCACTAAGATACCCAGAATGGCTTCTCATTACTAAGAATGGTAGAAAAACTCACCCATATTCCCTTCAGTCGAAATGATGCAGTTTTATTGGCATAATCACTACTAAACATCAATAGGTTTTGTAACTTTGGATTTGGCACTATTTTTCCATTCAGTGAGCATTTATTGACTGCTGTGCACCAGGAAAAGTCAGAGCTCTGCCTTTGCTGTGGATGAATGAAAATAACCTCTTTCATGTCTGCACTGTCTGTTAATGTGTATGAATATATGTGTCTGTGTGTGTGTTTCTGTCTTTTTACATGAAAGGGACTGGCAGCTTTAGACCTATTGCTGTTGTGAATCTTCATGAACCTATATTTTGCCTCTCTGCAGTGGACCCATCATTACTAATTTCATCCTTTTGCAACAACTGTTTGCATTTAGATAATTGTCAGCACTTAGCTACCAAGGTTACAGAAAATGTCAAGATTCAGAAGAAGATATACAAATTTTTTTTGTAAGGCCATGAATTAAAGCAGTAACACTTGTCTAGACCATTAAACAAGGAGATACATTTGTATGTAGAAAGTGACTGCCCTTGTGTCATTAGAGTCTCATGAACCTGTGACTATTACATTCATAAAAAAGTGCACTGTCTTAATTCAGTTGGTAGTTCTCATCATGTTTCAGGGATTTTAGTTGTGATGATTGAAATAGTTGCCTTTGGGTAGTTTGTATTCCTGTTTCATCAGAGATTGGCTGAGACTTGTCTTTTCTGTTTACATTTCTCTTGGACTTGTTTCATCTGCTCTTGTTTGCCATGGAAACCTGTCTGTAAATCATATATATACATATATATACACAAATACATGCATATACATATATACACACATGTATATACGTATACACACATATGTATATAGATATATACACATACACACATATGTATATAGATATATACACACATATACACATATATGTATATACATATATACACATATGTATATATACACATGCATGTGTATATATACACACTGCATGTATATACACACATGCATGTATATACACATACGTGTGTGTATATACACATACACGTGTATGTGTATATACACAAGTGTATGTATATACATATATACACACGTGTATGTGTATACACACATGTATGTATATACGCTCACACATGTATATACATATGTACATATGTACGTGCATATACACACATGTATGTATATGCATATATACACACATGTATGTATATACATATATACACACGTATGTATATACATATATACATATATATGTCTGTGTGTGTGTGTGTGTGTGTATATATATATGGCCATATAAAGTGTGAAAAAGCATGTTTGAGAGAGAATACCAAGGGTGTGGTCAAGTGACCATTTGCTAAAGAGATTACCCTGGATAGAAGGGAACCAGATGCTATTCAAGATAATGGGAGAAAGATCCTGAATACATTCCAGAGATCTTTGAGTCTTCCCCACCCATCACAGCCCCAGAGATCTAGGAGGGCAGAATGATTTCAGAGGATGGGCCTGGGGTGCCCTCCAGAGGCTTGCTGCCTAGAGCTGCCTTGGTCCCTGTTTCCCACATTCTGCCAAAGTGCCTGTGGATTGCCCCAGCTATGGCTCAGCTATTAATAGACTCAGATGTGGTTCAATCTGCCACTCAGGAAGGTGCAAGTAGTAAGCTTTGGTAACATTCGTGTGGTGTTAATTCTGCAGCCACACAGAATGCAAGAGCTATGGGGGCATGCCTACCTCCACCTGGATTTCAAATAATTTTTCAAATATTCTCTGGTGCCCAAGCAGAAACCTGCCACAGGGGTGGAGCTGTCACAGAAAGTCCTCACTAGAGTAATGCCTAGGGAAGCTGTGGGAGTGGGACCACCACCAAGACCCCAGAAGTGTAGAGCCACCAGTGTACAATTTCAGCCTAGGAAGGCTACAGGCGTTAGAATCCAACTCATGATAACTGCTCAGTGGACTGAACCCAGCAAAGCCACAGGGCCAGCTACCCAAGGCCTTGGGTGTCGAACTCCTGCCCCAGTGTGCCCAGGATTCAAGACATGGAGTCAACAAAGATTCAAGAAAATATATTTACTCAGTGCCTGGTTCATTGGTACCCAGTAATTCATGTCCAGGTTCAGTGGGAGGGATATGAAGCATGAAGAAAACTCTATAAAATAAATGTTCAAAGAAGTATTATAACTACACACAGGTGAGGTGCAGTGGCTCTTGCCTGTAATCCCAGCACTTTGGGGGGCTGTGGCGGGTGGATCACCTGAGGTTGGGAGTTTGAGACCAGCCTGACCAACATGGAGAAACCCCATCTTTACTAAAAATACAAAATTAGCCGGGCGTGGTGGTGCATGCCTGTAATCCTAGCTACTCAGGAGGCTGAGGCAGGAGAATCATTTGAACCTGGGAGGTGGAGGTTGCAGTGAGCTGAGATTGCGCCATTGCACTCCAGCCTGGGCAACAAGAGCAAAACTCTGTCTCAAAAATAATAATAATAGCTACACACAGATGAAGGTCATCTGTGTTGAAGTACAATGGCAATCTTACTGATGAGTCTTATTGTCTCACCTGGATATTTGCATTAAAAGACTGCTAACATTTGTAGCTGAAGCTTTAGTGCAGTTTGGTATGATTATTATGAAGTTAATGTTTCTGAAAATTTCCTTGAACTCAGAGCAACATATTCCTATATTCATTTCATAAACTTATTAAGCACTTACTGTGCATTTGCTACATTTTAGGAGCTAGGGATACAGCAGTGAACAAAACTGTCAAAACTCTCTAGCCTCATGGCATTTACATTCCAGCATACTGCGAATGACAAAAAACAAAGATGCTACATAAACTAGATGAAAAGGTAACTGCTTCTTTTTTCTTTTCTTTTTTTTTTTTTTTCTTTTTTGAAATAGGATCTTGCTTTGTTGCCCAGGCCGGAGTGAAGCTCATTGTAACCTCGAACTCCTGGGCTCAAATGATCCTCCCGCCTTATCCCCATGAGTAGCTGGGACCACAGATGCAGATGTATGTCACTACACCTGGCTGATTTTTTACTTTTTATTTTTTTGTAGAAACAGGATCTCACTATGTCTCCCAGGCTGATCTTGAACTCCTGGCCTCTCGTGATCCTCCCACCTCAACCTCCCAAAGTGCTAGGATGATAGATGTGAGCCCCTGTGCCTGGCCTGGTAACAACTTCTATGGGAAGAATTGGCGGGAGACTATAGAAGCTGGAGAAGTACACAACTTAAAATAGGGTGGTCAGCGGTGAGCTCACTGGGAAGGTGACTTGAAAGAGGCCAAGGAAAGAGCCATTTTGGTGTCTGGGGAAAGAGCAGAGGAAGCTTCATGTCCAAAGGCCCTGAGGTGGGAAAAGGAGCCCGAACTGTAGAGGGCAGTAGATAATGTCTTCAAGCACCAGACTCTGCTGAATACTGACAATATATTTTAAAGAGCACAAAACAAAGGATTTTTTTTTTACTCTTTATTTATTTTATTCATTCATTTATTATTTATGTACTTTTTTTTTTTTTTACTATTTTTTACTATTGCCTGACATTCTGCTTCCTTTATAACACAAACACCTGTTCAGTACCATAAAGTTAATTTGATCACTGTGCTCCCCTTCTGTATTTTATTAGAAAATATTTAAATAGAATTTACTAGATTCTGTGTGTTTTCCAAACACACTTTATAAATATAAACTCTCTTAATTCTCATAACCACCCTATTAGGGTAGGTACTGTCGTTATTTCCATTTTGCAAGGGGGTAAACTGAAGCACAGAGAAGTTAGGTTACTTGTCTAAGATCATACAGCTAATAAACACCAGAGCCTATAATCCCAGCACTTTGGGAGGCCAAGGCGGGAAGATCACCTGAGTCAGGAGTTCAAGGCCAGCCTGGCCAACATGGCAAAATCCCATCTCTGCTAAAAAATACAAAAATCAGCCGGGCATGGTGGCAGGTGCCTGTAATCCCCGCTACTCGGAAGGCTGAGGCAGGAGAATTGCTTGAACCTGGGAGGCGGAGGTTGCAGTGAGCCAAGATCGCACCACCGCACTCCATCCTGGCAACAGAGTGAGACCCTGCCTCAAACACACACACACACACACCAGAGCTGTGCTTTGTGCCCAGTCCACCTGGCTTTGGAGTCCATGCTCAGCCTCTGATAAAGGCACATCCTCTCCCAGAGGTGTGCTGGAGCCGGCTTGGACCAGCCCACAAGAGCCAATTGTGTGCATCTCTTGCCTCTTCTGCATCAGTAACATCACTTTGGTACTTAAAATTAGCCACAGTGGGAGTGTTTACACCACGGAAGTCGGCAAATGCTGTAAGTCCGGGCCTTGCATCCCCAAAACCTGGTTGTTGCACATTTACCAGCACGCCGTGATTCCCTGCCATCTTTTGCACCCCAATTCGGGTTGAAGCCCCTTGAAGCATCCCCCTGACTTCATCCTACCCGACACCCCCACTCCAGCTTCACCTGCCCTTCTGGCATTGTTACGTTACAACAGGGCTAACATCTGCCAGGGCTGTTTGACCACTGAAGTGAATGTTCTATTAGGAATTTCCAGTGCAGCATAGTGGCAAGAACAGGCAGTGATTAGGTGGACCTAGGTTCGAATTCTGACTCAGTGAGATACGTGGCTAATAGCAATTTACTTCCTGTCTCTGTCCACTGGTCTCCCTCATCCGTAAAATGAGACATAACAATTTGCACCTACTTGAAGCCTGGTTGTGGGGACCTGGAGCAAGGCCAGAGTCAAATCCAAACTCATGACCAGGCCTCCGTGGCCCCACAGAACACCTGCTTTTCAGCACCACCTCTCACCATCTTGTGCTTGGCCCCTGAGGCTCCACCACATCCCATCCTGGGAATTGGACCTGCTTTTCCTCCACCCAAATCTCACCACGGATGTGTGTGACTGCTTCCTCCATGTGCGGTCCACTCAAGCCCAGCAGCTCCACTCCAGGCCTCACTGCCACTGCCCACCCACCCCACGTGGCCTCCTGTGCCCCTCTGCTGTTTCCTCCATAGCACTCACAGGGGACTGGAAATTATCTAACCTATTTTTTCTGTTTTAGAAGCCCCTTGATGGCAAAGTCCCGTTTTACCCCTCCCTGTGTCCCTAGCACATGGAGTATCACACACTAGCTGAGTGGGGTATTGGGAAGAATCTTCCAGTCCTCTGGGATCTCAGGGAGTGGAGGTTGGTGGGGGCCCTGGCCATGTCACCACTGGCCTGTATCTGGGCCAGTGTGGAACTGAGCTGCGCCATCCATCCAGGGAGTCCCGGGGCCCTGCACTTTATCCAGGAAGATGGGGGAGAGGGTTCAGCAGAAGCTGCATTGTCAAATATTTATCAAAGCCTTTTGATTTGCAAACTTGCAGTTCCAGTGAGCACAGAGCAAACCACTCTCTTTCAAATGGCCTTTGGCAAGACCTCCAGCCTGTCACTGGATGCTGAGTGGGAATGTGTGGGCAGAGGGAGCACTGCTGTTGAAATCAGTATAGAATTTCCTGACTCCTGAGCCTTTTTTTTTTTACTCTTTACATTTTGTTTGCTGCAGCCAGAAGAGGAATCCTCCCCCATTGTCATCCTACCTTTAAGGCATCCAGCATTTTGCCTGGAAATCACCAACCTGATTATCGACCATGCAGAGACCTCCTGCCCTTGTGGGGTCACTCCCCAAACCTCAGCATTTTCAGAGGCTTTAAGAACTCACAAGCATCCTCTGATAAAGTGGCTTATAATTTGTACAAAGCCTGCATGGAAAGTGGTAGAGGAGAGGTCCGAGGGAAGTCACATTAATCCTGTGAGTGGCCATGTAGGCATTGATAGGACAGAATCACTTCTTGTGTGTTAACCACGAAGAGCGCTTAGCAGGCTTTGCGCAGAAGCTGTCCTGGGCTGTGGTGAGAGCTCTCTGTCATGGCCCCATCATCAGCACTTAGGTGACAGGGAAGGGGCACTGTCCAGGGCTGCAGGGGCCAGCCGTGATGGGGACCTAGGTGTGCTCATCTTTAGTGGTTCTGACGGTGTGAGAGGCTATTCCAGCCATGGACACAGGGCTATGGGATCTGGCTTTGATGCTGCTGTCTCTGGGCAGGAACTCCAGGCAGGAGGCCTCTACCCAAATACTATGGCCAGGGAAACCAAACAGTATGTTATTTTTCGCGGGCGTGCAAAGCATTGTGGAAACCAGCCTGAAACGCGTGGCTGAGGCCCGTGGCTTGATGGGTCCTCCTAGCTCCTGTGGTCTTCCCTGGCTGGATGCACGGGGGAGATGAGTGTCCTCACGTTTTTGACAGTGGAGTGAAGAGAGCTGGCCAGGCCCACCCAGGGGTCACCACATGGAGCAGGACGGAAAGTAAAAAACAGGAAGATAAAAAACAGGAAGAAGAAGGAAGGTGAAAAACAGAGACCTTCGAACACCCAGGAGCCCTGCTCACCGATACCTGTGGGCTGACGGTGACTGGACTCAGCTGCTACCTCGCTCCTTCATAGAAGAGCCGCAGGAGGGAGGAGCGGGTCCCCTCCACCAGGGCCGGCAGCCAGAGGCCTGCACCTTCAACCCCCTAGCCACAAAAAGTAGCATTTGCTGGGAAGTGGAGGAGGGAGAAGGAGAGGGAGGGACTGATTAAAGTATACAAAATTACAGCTAGATAGGAGGAATAATTTCTAGTGTTCTACAGCACTGTAGGGTGGGATTTTGAATGTTTCCAACCCAAACACATGATCACTATTTGAGGTGATGGGTAAGCTAATTACCCTGACTTGATCACTATGCACAGTATGCATCAAAACTCACTCAATATACCCCATAGACGTGTACAATTATTATGTATCAGTTTTTAAACATGTTTTTCAAATGTTTTTTAAAATCCTTGGGGTGGGAGGGGTGGGGGCAAGGGGAGGGAGAGCATTAGGACAAATACGTAATGCATGCAGGCCTTAAAACCTAGGTAACAAACTTGCATGTCTGCACGTGTATCCCAGAACTTCAAGTAAAAAAAAAACAATTCCTTGGGGGAAAGGATGCATATATTTTCAAGAAGCGTGGGTGAATGTATTATAAATTAATTTAAAAGTCAGTGGCTTCTGAGTTAGGACTTAGTAAGTATAGAGTTTCAGTTTTCCAAGGGGTCAAGAGTTGTGGAGCTGGAAGGTGGTGCTCGCTGCTTGGCATCATGAGAGTGGGTAATAACGCTGAGCTGCGCACCTCAGAATGGTTGGGATCGTAAGTTTCATGTGTATGTTGCCACAATTTAAAAAATTGAAAAAAAAAAATCAGTGGCTCTTTCCCTACCTAAGAGATTTGTGAAGACTTGTCCCGAGGTAGGATTCTGGACTTTCTAACCCCAGGCGTCCTCTGGGCATCCGCTTCTCCCTAAGCCCTAAGGTTCCCTTCCCCGTGACCTCTAGGGCGAGAGCCTGAAAGAGTGGTTGGACAGCTGGTCCAATTCATTCAGGTAAAGGACTTCATTCGCTTTAAGTGTCAACTCTTTTGGCTTTCACCTTTTTGGGTAGCCTGTTTTCGTAGAGCTCACTTTTTGTTCTCAAGCTCCCCGAGCACAATGCATTTTGTGAGCCAAATCATTAAAATAGGACATTTGTTTTTTGTTTTTTCTTTTGGCCACAAGTAAATACACGTTTAAGCAATAGCTTCCTACAGCTCTTGAATTATGCAATATAAAAATGCCAGTGTGTTTTAATTTTAGTTTTCTAGGTCATGTAATTAGAAAATGATTTGAATGAAAACAATGAAAAAAATGTAATATATCTTTTAATCTGTGAAACAAGAATGAGAAAGTTATTTCTCATCTCACTCTCCAAAAGTCCCAGGGCCTTGTGCCTCTCTGTGCCCTGGGCTGGCCTCACCGTGGGTCAGTCCTGCTCCCGCGCCTGCTGCTGAGCTTCCTGATGCCTGGCCCTGCCCATTCAGACCGGATTTGTCCAGATTCTCCCAGCATTGTAGAAAAAACAATCGCTCATATTTAATGAGTTCTTTTGTGTGTGTCAGACAGGGTTCTAAGGGTTCTACGTACACTAACACACATAAGCCTCATGAGCGACTGGGGCTACAGAGGGTCACCACCATGCCCAGCTACTTTTTAATTTTTACTTTTGTAGAGATGGTGTCTGGCTCTATTGCCCAGGCTAGTCTAGAATTCCTGGCCTCAAGCAATCCTCCACTGTAATTACAGCTGAGAGCCACTGGGTCCAGCCTATTTGTAATCCATATTTCATAGATGTGATGCTTAGGCACAGAGAAGTTAAGCAGCTTGCTGGGGGCCACACAGCCAGTGTGACTCCAGCCTCCCCACTTTTCATTCGGATGTTATACTTCACACCTTCGGAGAGCTGCCCTCTCTGCCTTGGGGGACCTCACCCCTTCCTCTGCTGGGTAGAGTCCACTCCTTCTGCAAGAACCTTCACATTGCTTGCTCTATTCGAGTCTCCCCTGCAGGCTTGGGCCGGCGGCTTCCCTGTACCTCCAAGTTCTCGCACTCACCTCTTGGCGCTGGAACCTCGACGTTCACCTCCATCCCCTTGTTCCTGTGGCCCCGCTGAGGCTCCTGCTTTCCATTGTTCGCATTTTAAGCATCTAGCACAGGCTAGGCATGCAGGAGCTCAAGAAGTATTTGCTGAAAGCATGAAAGAGTGGCTTGCACAGTACAAGCCCTGGCAGCAGGGGCGGGGCAGGGAGAGGGACCTGTTTTTCATGGGTGCTCAGGGCAGTGGCTCTTGTGCCTGAGCTGCCTGGGCCCCCATAAGCCGGGCCTCCCTGAGCTCCCCACCCTCTGCGCTGTCTGTGGTCCCTTCTGCCCACCACTGCTTTAGGCACTTCTCTTGGCTATTTCGAAAACATGGGCAGAAAGCGGATCACAGGAAATTATAGAAAGACCAGGCCTGAGCAGGGTGCGGGGCTGAGGGTGGACTCCAAGTGAGGAACAGTCTGTATCATGAAGCCCTCACAAAAGTCGGGGTCCGGGTGTGCGAGTGGGCACAGGCTGTGCAGTCCTTGAGCGGCTCAGCCTCTCCTCTCAGAGGTGGCGTCCTGACAGTGACAGTCTGGAAAGCCCTGCACAGAACCCCAGTCCCTCTCTCACTGAACACACCTGGAGCTCTTAGGGGCTTATGAGCGCCCTGCTGTGCAGATCCTGTTCCAGATCGCAATGCTGCATGCCTGCCAGGGCACCTGCTGTGCTGTGAGGGCCATCTTGATGGCCCTGAGGCTCCCAGGTGTCCCCACAGCCATGGCCCAGCACCCTCAGTTACGGCCTCTATGTCCAGCTGCTGGCCGCTGTGTCTGGCTGCTGGCCTGGGCAGTGGCCACGGCTCTTAGTCACCGCTTGCACAAGTTCTTCTGGTTCTGCTCAGTCCAGCCCTCCTGCGCCTGGCCCTTTGCGGTTGCTTTCTTTCCAGGCCCCTCCAGTGCATCTAAACCTCTCTGCTGTCCGAAGGCCCTGGCTGTGGTCTCTGGGGGCTTGTGGGGAGATCGCTTGCTTCCTCAGTCCATGACTTGATACCTCAACTATGCAATTCAGAATTATTTGTGTTTCGTGTGGTTGTTTCGGCTGTATCACGTTGCAAGCTCACATATAATTTGTTGGCCGTTTTCATTCCCCTGAGGTCTCTTTCAGCGTTTGTATTTTCCAAATACTTTATCTCCTTACCGTTAATAACTATGTTTGGGATTCTTGTCCTCCTTGGTGTAATAGCTTGCATTTTTTCCACATTGGACCTCCCTTTATTTACTGCCATTAATTACCGCCTTTTGCTATTTACATCATCTTCTCCTCCTGAGTGGGAGTCTGATTTAGTTTCAGCTAATGGACAGCCACCCACCCCAGGCTCTTCCAAGGGGAGGCAGTGTCAGAGGGAATTAACCCTACTATGGGGCTGACAGCAATCCATCGGTCTTCTCCTGGCTGAGACAGGACTGTTCCTCCAGGTCCTGCCCACCACGATCCATCACTGAAGCTGATGGAAGGACTTGGAGATAGGATCTGTGATGAAAACGTGAAATAACTGGGGCTGCTTCACTTGGAATGCCCTGTGTTCTTCTTGCGGGTGAGAAGTTATTACATCACAGAGGAAGACTAATTCTATTTCCCATCTCTTTTACAGGGTGTAAATCGGTTAATACCAGAGTAAGGGGTGGCATTTAGATTTGAGAAAAAGCTTCCCAATAATAATCTTGAGGCATGAGACAGGGACAAAGGAAGGTTTCCTGCATTGGGAAAGGGGAGTTCTCTTCCTCCAAGATCTTCAACAATAAAACAGGAATTCTTCTATCCAGAAGGGCCTAAATCTTCACCCCTTACAAAATGGGATCCTTAATGCCTTTAGACTCTCTCAATATTTTCTGGCTTTGATTCCAGCCCTTTGGACATTGTTCTCAATATTATGCTTTCCTTCTACTCTATGCTAGCCATTTATCTCAGTATCTTTAGAGTCATTTTGATATAAGAACAAATGAGTCTCAATAGGTTTACAACAGGCATTTTAAAATAAGGAACCTTATTTGATCTTCATACATCTCATGTCAGACATTGAAGATGGTTTGCTTGTGTCTGCCATCTTGGGATCTCATGTACCACATGAAACTGAGAGCTTCAGTTGCTTCAGCCTGGGAGTCAGTAACTCCAGGCAAGGATCTCAGCCGTGGGACAATGGGAACTAAATCCCTACACTGCTGGTTCTTCCTAAGTACTGCACCCCAATGTCCAATAACCATGACAGTGCCGAAAAAGTGGAGGACGCAGATTATGTATGCCTGAAACAGATTACGTGCTCAATACATACATTGGTGGCTTATGGTGATAACACAATGATGGAAATGATCCTAAGGCAGCTATTTTTCCTTTCTGTGTCTCCATATAGACATATTTATATTTATATTCAGGACTTAATTATATATACATGCATACTCAGAGATATTGCGGATTCCATTCCAGACCACTGTAATAAAGTTAATATTGAAATAAAGTGATTCACACAAGTTTTTTGGTTTCCCAGTGCCAAGAAAAGTTATGTTTACATTATACTGTAGTCTAACAAGTGTGCAATGGCATTATGTCTTTAAAAAAGTATGTACCTTAGTTAATAGTTTATCGCTTAAAATGCTAATAATCATCTAAGCCTTTAGCAAGTCATAATCTTTTTGCTGGTGGAGGGTCTTGCCTTGATGTTGATGAGGGTGGTGGTGGTGGTTGCTGAAGGCGGGGGTGGCTGTGGCAATTTGTTAAAATATGACAATAATGGCCAGGCACAGTGGTTCATGCCTGTAATCCCAGCACCTTTGGGAGGCCGAGGCAGGCAGATCACTTTGAGGTCAGGAGTTCGAGACCAGCCTGGCCAATATGGTGAAACCCCGTCTGTACTAAAAATACAAAAATTAGCCAGGTGTGGTGGCACGTGCCTGTAATCCTAGCTATTCGGGAGCCTGAGGCAGGAGAATCGCTTGAACCCAGGAGGCAGAGGTTGCAGTGAGCTGAGATCGCGCCATTGCGCTCCAGCCTAGGCAATAGAGTGAGACTCCATCTCAAAAAAAAAAAGACAACCAGAACTTCTTCCAAAATTGGAGTCAGTGCTCTCAAACTCTGCTGCTGCTTCATGAACTAAGTTTATGAAGTATCCTAAATCCTTTCTGTTCTTTCAACAATGTTCACAACATCTTCATTGGACTAGACTCCATCTTAAGAAACCACTTTCTTTGTTCATTCATAAGAAGTGACTCCTCATTCATTCAAGTTTGATCATGAGACTGCAGCAATTGCTTCACGTCTACAGGCTCCACTTCTCATTCTAATTCTCTAATTCACCACATCTGCAGTTATTTCCTCCACTGAAGTGTTGAACTCCTTAAAGTCATCCATGAGGGCTGGAACCAGCTTCTTCCAAACTCCTGTTAATGTTGATATTTTGACCTCCTCCCATGAATCACAAATGCTCTTAAGGGCACGTAGAATGGTGAATCCTTTCCAGAAGGTTTTCAATTTACTTTGCTCAGATCCGTCAGAGGAATCACTGCCTATGGAAGCTATGGCCTTACAAAATGTATTTCTTAAGTAATAAGACTTGAAAGTCAAAATTATTCCTTGATTCATGAGCTGCAGAATGGGTGCCGTGTTAGCAGGCAGGAAACAACATTCATCTCCTTGTACACCTCCATCAGAGCTCTTGGGTGATCAGGTGCATTGTCAGTGAGCAGTAGTAATTTGAAAGGAATCTTTCATTCTGAGCAATAGGTCTTAGCAGTGGGCTTAACATATTCAGTAAACCATGATGCAAAAATATATGCTGTCATTCAGGCTTTGTTTTTCCATCTCTAGAACACAGGCAGAGCAGATTTGGTATAATTCCTAAGGGCCCTAGGATTTTCAGAACGGTAATTGAGTATTGGTTTCAACTTAAAGTCACCAGCTTCATAAGCCTCTAACAAGAGAGTCAGCCTGTCCTTTGAATCTTTGAAGCCAGGCATTGACTTCTCTCTAGCTAAGAAAGTCCTAGCTGGGGCCGGGCACGGTGGCTCACGCCTGTAATCGCAGCACTTTGGGAGGCCGAGGCGGGCAGATCACGAGTCAGGAGATCAAGACCATCCTGGCCAACATGGTGAAACCCCGTCTCTACTAAAAATACAAAAAAATTAGCAAGGCATGGCGGTGCACACCTGTAGTCCCAGCTATTTGGGAGGCTGAGGCAGGAGAATTGCTTGAACCCGGGAGGCAGAGGGTGCAGTGAGCCAAGATCGTGCCACTGCACTCCAGCCTAGTGACAGAGCGAGACTGCATCTCAAAAAAAAAAAAAAAAAAAAGTCCTAGCTGGCATCTTCTTCCAATAGAAGGCTGTTTTTATCTACATTGAAAATCTGTTGTTTCATGAAACCACCTGCATCAATGCTCTTAGCTAGATCTTCTGGAAAACTTGCTGCAGCTTCGACATCAGTACTTTTTCCCTGCCTCACCTTGTACTTTTGTGTTAACAGAGCCAGGCTCTTTCCTTAAATCCCATGAACCAACATCTGTGAGCTTCACATTTTCTTCTTCAGCTTTCTCATGTCTCTGAGCCTTGACAGAATTGAAAAGAATTAGAGCTTTGCTCTGGGTTAGGCTTTGGCTTAAGGGACTGCTGTGGCTGGTTTGATCTTCTATCCGGACCACTCAAACTTTCTCCATATCAGCAATCAGCTTGTTTCACTTTCTTATCATTTGTGTGTTTACTGGAGTAGCACTTTTAATTTCCTTCAGGAACTTTCCCTTGCATTCACAACTTGGCTAATTGTTTCTCAAGAGGTCAAGCTTTTGGCCTATTTCAGCTTTTGACATGCCTTCCTCACTAAGTTTAATCATTTCTAGTTTTTTTATTTAAAGTGAGAGACATGTAACTCTTCCTTTCACTCAAACACTTAGAAGGCCAATACAGGGTTATTAAATGGCATAATTTCAATATTGTTGTGTCTCAGGGAATAGGGAGGCCTGAGGAGAGGGAGAGAGACAGGTAATAGCTGGTCCATGGAGCAATCAGGATAAATCACCATTTATTGCTTATAAATCACCATTTATTGCTTAATATATCACCATTTATTGCTTAAGTTCACCATCTTATATGGGGTTAGTTCATGGTGCTCCAAAATAGTTACAATAGTAACATCAAAGATTACTGATCACCTTAACAGGTATAATATCAAGGCTAGGAGTTTGAGGCTACTGTGAGCCATGATTACACCATTGCACTCCAGCCTGGACAAACTTGAAAGATCCCATCTCTACAAAAAGATAGGAAAATTGGCTGGGTATGGTGGCACACACCTGTAGTCTCAGCTCCTGGGACGCTGATGTAGGAGGATTGCTTGAGCCCAGGAGTTCAAGGCTGCAGTAAGCTATAATCACACCACTGGACTCCAGCCTGGGCCACAGATTGAGACTCTGTCTCTAAAAAACAAACAAACCAACAAATAAACAGATATAATGTTAATAATGAAAAAGTTTAAAACATAGTAAAAATTACTAAAATGTGACACAGAGACATGAAGTGAGCCTATACTGTTGGAAAAACAGCGCTGATGGACTTGCTTGATGCAGGGTCGCCACAAACCTTCAATTTATAAAACATGCAATATCTGCAAAGCGCAATAAAAGCGAGGTGTGGCCGTCAGGTCCGTCCCAACCCAGGTTTGCTCTATGCAGCCAGAACACCTCACCCTACCCCCACCCCCACGGACGCTCATACAGTTGGGTGGATTTTCCACCCCAATGCTATGAAAACAGAAAATCCACCCCATTCTCTTCTGGCCTTTTTATTTTTGAGGAAGAATGCTCTGCAGCATTGTAGCTCTGAGAAAGAGGGAGGATTCCAGTGTTCCCATGACTCAACGTGGAGGGTTCCCATTTCCATGCCTTTCTTCTTTCACTGCTGCTCCCAGCTCCCACCTCCTGAGCTGGGCATCAGGAATCTTTTGTGTGTAAAGCACAGGAAGGACCCAGCCCAACCACAAGTGACCGGCTGGCTTTCCTGTGATTCCCTGGGCCTCAAGGCCAGTGCATTACCAATGCCGTGGGGTCTTCAGTCCAGGGGGCCTCTCCAGCCTTCCCGATGCCTCTGCCGGGTGCTTCTGCTGTATTTAGAAAAGCATTTGGTTCCTCTGATTAGGTAATGTCTGGTAAGTTCCCAAGGAAGGTTTCATTCACATTTTCAAGTTAAGGTGAACTGAGATGCTTTAAACTCAGTGAAGCCAGAGGACTTGGGGCCCAATTCCGTCCTTGGGCAGGGGTGTGAGGGAGCTCCCGTGGGCAGGCTGTCCAGCATCAGTTTAGACCCCGTCCCAGTAAGCACGATGAGCGCTGTGAAATGAGAAGGGCAGGCTGGGCTGAGGGAGGGAAGAGCAAGAGGTAGGAAGGAAAGAATGTCTCAGCCCGCACCGCCCCTGGGCGGAGGCGCATGGTGCACCCCAGCCACTCTGTCGGCCAGCCCCTCCTTCTCTGGTAGTCCCCCGATCTCCCACTCAAATGAAGATCTGCTCTCCCTCCGAGCAGGCAGGCCTGATGCTTCCAGCCCGCTGGCGGGGAGGCCTGGCGTCTCGCCCTAGAGGGGCCCATGACGCGATGGGTGGGGCCCCATTTGAAATGAAAATGTGGGGTTCCTGTTCAAAAGAGTATTAAGAGTTCCGAGGGTGACGGCAGGCCGAGCAAGAGCCCAGAGGTGCTCTGAGCACAGGCCCTATGCCACTTCCTGCCGCACAGCCTGAGCCGCCCCAACCCCCGGGGGAGGCAGGTTTGTCAGCACTCGGCCTGGACTGAATCCGGATTAAATTGCGCTCTGCAGCACAGAGGCCCCGGTCAGGCGCCCGTGGGGGCACAGGCCTGCACCTGCTGCTGATATGCACTTCGAGAGCGGGCGGGCGCGGCCTTGCCAGAGGGCTCTGGGTTTGAATGAGGAAGCAGCGCGGCGGGGCGGCCTCTGCAGGAGAAGGTGCTGGCGGCAGGGAGGGGCGCGGACGCGGCCCAGCAGCTGGCAGGGACTTCACGGGAATATCGGCCGACAGCCCTCGAAGAAGCCACAGCAGGGAGGAAATTTTCCCTCTGCCCACTTCAGGCCAAGATGGCTGGTGTCGGATGAATGCCCCGGGGTCACCTGCTGAAAAGAAAAAAACCCAATGCCCAGTCTAATCGCGCGCGCAGGGGCTCCGGGCCCTCCCGAACCCTGGCAGCCCCGCAGGGCCCTTTGTGCCCGCGGCGTGTGGAGCGCGGAGTCTCCGGGAAAAGCCCCCCCTTAGGCAATCCGGGCCATTTCCGAGGCGAAGGCTGTGGCCGGCGAGGTGCTGGCTGTCTCTGAGCCGGCGCTCCAAGGCCGACACCCCTACCTGGAGAGGGCCCTGGGCGCCCGCCGGCTGGGGACCCGGCGGGCAAGGCTCACAGGAATTCCCGCCCAGGCCTTTCTGGAGGGGGCTCAGGAGCCAAGCCTGGAGTGTCCCCAGCTGACTTTCCCTGGATGCCTCCCCAGGTGGTCCTGCCACGACAACAATCAAATGAAAACTCAAACAAAAACACCAAACCCCTTTTATTTCCTGCAAGCATTAGCGCATGTCTTTCCAAAAGGCTTGGCCTGCGATCCTGTAGGCATGGAGGCCCAGGGGTGCGTTCTCAGCCGGCGGGGCCCCTCCTAGGGGCCTGCCCTTTCCTTACCCTCCAGCCAGTGTCTCCCGACCCCGGCTCAGCAACTTCCCAAGTGGGCCGCCAAATTGCACAATGTCATATGTCCATTCCTTCATCATCTTCCCTGTTAGGCACATCCTATGTCCTCTTAATATACATTAAGGCCGGGCGCGGTGGCTCACGCCTGTAATCCCAGCACTTTGGGAGGCCGAGGCAGGCGGATCACGAGGTCAGGAGATTGAGACCATCCTGGCTAACACGGTGAAACCCCGTCTCTATTAAAAATACAAAAAATTAGCCGGGCATGGTGGCGGGCGCCTGTAGTCCCAGCTACTCGGGAGGCTGAGGCAGGAGAATGGCGTGAACCCGGGAGGCGGAGCTTGCAGTGAGCCGAGATCGCGCCACTGCACTCCAGCCTGGGCGACAGAGCAAGACTCCGTCTCAAAAAAACAAAACAAAACAAAACAAAATGTGTATATATATATATATATATACACACACATTAAAGATATGGGAAACAGATACCTATAAAATCACACCTGAGATGAAATAGATAGTAACATTTTTCCATAGTTGTTTTAGAGGTTTTTTTAAATAAAAACATTACAATTTCAGCCACTCCCCACCTCAACCCTCAACCCTTTACCCTACCTTTTCTTGGCAACTAAATCTATCCACCATCTCAGTAGCTTCTTTTTTCTTTTTCTCATCAATAATGATACCAATCCTTTTTTGGTTATGTCCTTTGTAAATATCTTCTCCCTGTTTGTGGCTTAACTTATTAATTGATACATGGTGACTCTTTTGATAGACAAGTATTAAATTTGAATGTAGTCAAATATGTTCATTTCTTATAAACTGTTCATAAGCAGTTTATATTTTTAAAGTCAAATTAAAGAAAGCTTTCTCTACCCAAGGCCAAAAAAGATACTCTCCTCTATTTTATTCTAAAAGTTTCAAGCTTTGCTTTGAACATTTAGATCTTTAATTCACAGGGAATTTATTTTTGTGCATGGTGTGAGCTAGAACTCCAAGTTTATTTAAAATGTTCACATAGAAACCAACTGTCCCAAGGTCCACTGACCTGCGGTGCTGCCTGTCACATGTCACACTTTCATGTATGGATGGCCGGTGTCTGCACTCTATGTTATATTCTTTGTCTGTTGTGCAAATATCAGAGGTGTTTGAACCAGAGCAACTTCATCTTGAATAGGGGCTGGGTAAAATGAGGCCGAGATCTACTGGGCTGCATTCCCAGACAGTTAAGGCATTCTAAGTCACAGAATGACCTAGGAGGTCAGTACAAGATACAGGTCATAAGAACCTTCCTGATAAAAACAGCTTGCAGTAAAGAAGCCAGCTAAAACCCACCAAAACCAAGATGGCGACAAGAGTGACCTCTGGTCATCCTCACTGCTACACTCACGCCAGCGCCATGAGAGTTTACAAATGCCATTGCAAGGTCAGGAAGTTACCCCATATGGCCTAAAAAGGGGAGGCATAAATAATCCACCTCTTGTTTAGCATATAATCAAGAAATAACCATAAAAATGGGCAAGCAGCAGCCCTGAGGGCTGCTTTCTATGGAGTAGCCATTCTTTATTCCTTTACTTTCCTAATAAACTTGCGTTCACTTTACGGACTCGCCCTGAATTCTTTCTTGTGCAAGACCCACTCTCTTAGGGTCTGGACCAGGACCCCTTCTGGTAACATTAACACTGTACTATCATAATTATTTCCTTTCTCTAGTGTCTTGATATCTAATAAGTGCTTTACCTTGTTCATCTTCAGGAATGTGTTGGCGCTTCCTGACACTTAGCACTTCCAGAAAAACTTTAGAACGTCAAGTTCAGTTTTAAAATGATGAGGGTTTTGATTGAAGCTGTATTGCATTTATCGTGAGAAGTATATTAAAATCTCTCATTGTAAGGATAAATTAATAAATTTCACTGGGTAATTCTGTCCATACTGTATGTTGAAATAACCAAAAGGATGGGAATCTAGTTTTAAAGAGTTTATTTAAGCAAAAAGCTTGAAATAGTCATCCAGGAAACACAGACTCCAAACACACAGGGTCATGCTCCGAAGTTAAAAGTTAAGTTCTTGCTTATACAGGAAGAAGACAAAGAAATTTAACAGGATTGCTTTTTCCATCAAGGCTGGTTTATGAGTTACAACAAATTAATTAGTTACAGTTTGTTTTCTTTTCCGCAGGGCTTATTTTATTTTTCATAGCTAGTTTTCATTCTTTTGGCAATTTAAAAGAGTGTATTTTGTGTCAATCTTAAAACAGCATGATGGTCAATGAAATCTACATGTGAGAAAGTTAAGGGGGAGGTTAATCTATCATGGAGATCAACAGTGGAGACCGAGGAGGTCTTCCCCAGCACTCTTCGGTCATTTACAACATTTTGCCTGCAGGTAAGGAAGAAAGCTTCATCAGAGAAACAGAGGTTACAGCTGCCTTGGTTACACCTGGCTATCATGTGACTCGGGTTCTTAATCACATTCCTTTAAAGGGGCTCAAAATAATCTAGAGTTCCAAGAGTGTAGATTTTGAATTATTTATTTTCACAATATTTGGTCCGTATTTCATTTGTTCACTTATATATTTGAGCCTATACCATCAGGATCACATACTGCTATATTTTCCTGTTGTATTCTTGTCATTATACATTGACCTTTCTTTACCAACTCTAATAAAGATGTGTTGCCTTAAGTTCATTTGGTCTGATGTTAATGTAGCTATTCCAGCTTTCTGTTCCAGATCAGCATTTGCCTAAATATTTTTTCCCAACTGTTTAATCTTTCCTTTTTTTGTTCTAGGTATGTCTCTTATAAACCTCCAAAACCAGAGCCAGATTTTGTTTTTTATTTAATCTGGCAGTCTTTGCATTTGAATGTTGAGATTAGATAATTTACTGTAACTATGATTATTGAGATATTAATGATGTGATTTTATACTTTCTATTTACCATCTTCTTTCTTCTGCTTCTCTCCTTTCCTGCCTTCTTTTGGATTTTTACATTTTCTTTATTCCAACTATTTCCCTCTAGTGGTTTGGAAGTTTATACAGTCTGGTTTTTTTTGTTGTTGTTGTTGTTTTAGTAGTTTACAGTTAATTTTTTTTTTTTTTGTGACAGAGTCTCGCTCTGTCCCCCAGGCTGGAGTGCAGTGTCCTGATCTCGGCTCACTGCAAGCTCCACCTCCTGGGTTCACACCATTCTCCTGCCTCAGCCTCCTGAGTAGCTGGGACTACAGGCGCCCACCACCACGCCCGGCTAATTTTCTGTATTTTTAGTAGAGACAGGGTTTCATCGTGTTAGCCAGGATGGTCTTGATCTCCTGATCTCGTGATCCGCCCGCCTCGGCCTCCCAAAGTGCTGGGATTACAGGCTTGAGCCACCACGCCCGGCCCAGTTAATTTTTTAAAACACATACTTGACTTACCAAAGTCTAACGTTAATATCTTTAACCTTCCTCTGAATAACAGAAAGATCTTAGAAACTTTAACTCTGATCTTATCCCCCCATCTTTCATGTCACTCTGTTGAGAATTTTAGTTCTACTTTCTTTTTCTTAAACAGCTTTGTTGACATATAATTGACACTAATAATATTGGTCTATTTAAAGTGTAAAATTTGATGTAGTTTAGCATGTGTACACACCTCACCACAGTCAAGCTAGTAAACACCCAACTTTGTTTTCAAACCCCCATCAGCCAGAATTATCATCGTTATTTTATATAGCAAATTCATATTGATATGCTCAGATATTTATTTTTTATTATTTGTTTGCTCACCATTGCTTCTTTCACCTACTCTTTCATCCATGTTAATTTCCTTTTTCTTCAATAAAACTCTAAGTTTTATTATAAGTTTATGGTTCCTAAGTGAGGCTCTGTAAGTGGTAAATTCTCTTTACCTGCCTCAGCCTCCAAAGTGCCTCCCAAAGGTAGGATTACAAGCATGAGCCACTGCACCCAGCTGACTCTGACCCATTCTAAAGGTGGCCTAGAATGGGTCAGATTGGGTCTGCAGGACTTCTGGGGGGCCAAAGGCATGTCAGGTCCAGGACAGCCTCAGTACTCCACACAGGGCTCAGTCAGTGCCGGTTGCATGGACCTGACACTGGATGGAACAGATCTCCCCTGGGGAAGGACCTGCTCATGGCTGATGGAACCCAGGTGGCTACTCTGTTCTTTTCCTGACACCCTCAGTGACTAATATAGGCCCTGCCCTGGACACCAGCTGAGCCACAGCCTCAGCCCTTCCTAGGACTGAAGGGGAGGCTGCAGCTGCAGATGCTCACTGGGACAGGGCCTGTCAGCTCTCACTGCAGCGCCTGCAGCTTTGCCAGCTTCCTGGGATAAACATAGAGCACATGCAGGAGGGTCCCAGTGCCCCCCCGACCAGGGAGTAAGATTTAGGTTTTTTTGTGGGTGCATGATGGAGTTTCCCTCTGTCACCCAGGCTGGAGTGCAGTGGCGCAATCTCAGCTTACTGCAACCTTCACCTCCTGGGTTCAAGTAATTCTCCTGCCTCAACCTCCCTAGTAGCTGGGACTACAGGTGCGCACCACCACGCCAAGTTAATTTTTGTATTTTTAGTAGAGACAGGGTTTCATCATGTTGGCCAGGTTGTTCTCAAACTCCTGACCTCAAGTGATCCACCTGCCTTGGCCTCCCAAAGCGCTGGGATTACAGGCATGAGCCACCGCACCAAGCCTAAGGCTGAGTTGAAGAAAGCCTTCTTCTCAGCTCCTGCTTGCTGAAGTAAACTGAGCTAAACTGAGATTTCTGCAGCAGCCGTGTGCACAAACGTCCACCACAGTGTGCCACAGCCTGGCCTCCCTCCGCCCGGGTGCACTGCAGACACTGGTGAGTGACACTGAGAGGCGGGTGCCACTCTGTGTCTGGCAGGCCATCCCCAGCTTTCCTCCTGCTCTCCAGGGGAGCGTGTCCCCACAGGCATGCATCTCAGCAGAGTGTTGGGAAAAGCATCCTCCTCTGGAGATCACCATGGTGAGACAGCCCAGGCCAGGAGCCGGGTGCCCTTCCCTCTCCCACTTGCTATGCGAACGCACGGAAAGATCTCAGGAGCTTTGGCCTCAGTCTTCTCATCTGTAAAATGACAAGACTGGATGAACAGTCCCCAGATGCCAGTTTTATGAGAATCACCTGGGGCCCTTGTTCCACCGTCGAGGGGAGCCTCAGTCTGTTTTGGCTGGTCCTGACTTAGATAATAGACTACATTTAAAAAATACATATTGTGGTAAAATATACGTAAGATAAAATTTCCCATTTTAACCATTCATAAATGTACAATTCAGTGCCATTAAATACATTGACGATGTCATGTAACCATCACCATCTATAACCAAAGCTTTTTCATCATCCCCAACAGAAACTCAGTATCCATTGAACCCAGAGCTCTCCCCTCTTTCCTCCCTCCATTCTCCTTTTTGTCTCTATGAATTTGCCTACTCTAGTGGCCTGGAGTAAGTGCAATCATACAATATGTACCCTTTTGTGACTGGCTTACTTTCCTTAGCATAATGTCTTCAAGGTTCATCCAGGCTGTAGCGTATGTCAGAATTTCCTTCCTTTTGAAGGCTGAGTGATATTCCATTGTATGCATAGGCCACATTTTGTCTATCCATCCATTCATCGATGGGTGGAGACCATTTCTGAGAGAGACAAAAGGACTAGCGATCCTCCGCGGTCCCTGGCAGCTCTAACTGTCTGCAATCTGCAAAGCTTTTCTAGGAGATGGAGTGTTTGTGTTCCAACAGCGACCAGAAATGGTGGTGGCGGTGTTGGGGAATCAGCCAGGTCCTGCTGCTTTCCTGGGATGAGAATAAAATGAGGATGGAACCCTGGGACATGAACAGGAAATTTCAATGCTGTCACTCAGTCTGGAAAGTCACTTTCTAACTGCACTGCAGGGCAGGAAGATCTTGGTTTAGGGAGTCCAAAATTCAGGCTTCAAATTACAGCTCTGCCACTTACTGGATAAAAATGTCTCAAAACATTTTCTACCATTTTCTACTATTAACTGACTGTGGAGCTGGTTAGTTCATCTCTTGGAGTCTGCATTTTGCATTTTGTAAAACAAAATTAGTAACATTACACCCAGGATGGATGTGAAGATCAAACTGAAATAATGCATGTAAAAGTGTTCAATAAGAGATGAATTGTTTTCAAATATCACACATTATTTCAGCAGAGCCCCAGGTGAATACATCACATAGGGATGGGGACACCTTTCTGAGAAATGCATCGTTAGGCAACTTTGTCATTCTTCAAACATCATAGAGTGACTTACACAAACCTGCATGGGACAGCCTACTGCACACCCAGGCAATGAGAGCCTGTTGCTCCCAAGCTACACACGTGCACAGCATGTTGCTGTGAATACTGTAGCCAGTTGCAACACAGTGGTATTTGTACACCCAAATGTCTGCAAACATAGAAAAGGTACAGTAAAAATATGATATAAAAGATAAAAAATGGCACACCTATACAGGGCACTTATCATGAACTGAGCTTGCAGAACTGGAAGTTGCTCTGGGTGAGTCAGTGAGTGAATGATGAGTGAATGTGAAGGCCTAGGACGTTGCTGTACACTATTATAGACTTTAGAAATACTGTACACAGACACCACACTAAATTTATACAGATACATTTTTCTTTCTTCGATAATAAATTTAGCTTACTACAATGTTTTTACTTTATAAACTTTTAATTTTTTTTTTTTTGAGACAGAGTCTTGCTCTGTTGCCCAGGCTGGAGTGCAGTGGCATGATCTTGGCTCATGGCAAGCTCTGCCTCCTGGATTCATGCCATTCTCCTGCCTTATCCTCCCGAGTAGCTGGGACTATAGGTGCCCGCCACCATGCCCAGCTAATTTTTTGTATTTTTAGTAGAGACGGGGTTTCACCGTGTTAGCCAGGATGGTCTCGATCTCCTGACCTCGTGATCGGCCCACCTAGGCTTTCCAAAGTGCTGGGATTACAAGCGTGAGCCACTGCACCCAGCCAATTTTTATTTTTTACCCTTTTGTAAGATAGCTTAAAACACAAACACATTGTACAGCTGTTCAAAAATATTGTCTTTATCTCTTTATTCTATGAACTTTTTTCAAAATAGAAAAAAATTATTTGTTTTTTTTTTTTTTTACTTTTAAACTTTTTAATTAAAAACAAAGTCACAAACACACACTTTAGCCTTGACCTACACAGGGTCAGGACCATCAGCATCACTGCCTTCCGCCTCCACGACTCATCCCACTGGAAGGTCTGCAGAGGAAATAACAGGCATGGAGCTGCCATCTCTATGATAATGCCTTTTCCTGGACCCTCCTGAAGGACCTGCCTGAGGCTGTTTCACAGTACAAAGTCTAGCTGTTGATTATCGAGATTGTTTTCATTTATTTTAACAGCTCTTTTTTTTGTTTGTTTGAGACAGAGTCTCGCTCTATCGCCCAGGCTAGAGTGCAGTGGTGCGATCTTGGCTCACTGCAACCTCTGCCACCTGGGTTCAAGTGATTCTCCTGCCTCAGCCTCCCGAGTAGCTGGGATTACAGGCACGTGCCACCACTTCCAGCTAATTTTTGTATTTTTAGTAGAGATGGGGTTTCCCCATGTTGGCCAGGCTGGTCTCAAACTCCTGACCTCAGGTGATTCACCCACCTTGGCCTCCCAAAGTGCTGGGATTACAGGCTTGAGCCGCCGCACCCAGCATTAACATCTTTTTTTTTAAAAAATAAGTAAAAGGAGTATACTCTAAAGCAATGATGAATAGTATTATAAACACATAAACCAGTACATAGTTGTGTATCATTATCAAAGTATTATGTACTGTACAAATTGTGAGTGCTATACTTTTATATGCCTGGCTGCACAGAAGATTTGTTTACACCAGTATCACCACATACACACAAATAATGTATTATGCCACAACATTGCGACAGCTGTGACATCAGTAGGCAATAGGAATTTTTCAGCTCTGTTATAAGCTATGGGACCACTGTGGTATACGCAGTCTGTCTTTGACCTAAACATCATTATGCAGTGTATAATTGTATATTCGTCACTTCTGAAAGAAATGTCCACTGTGCAAAGTCTAGCTGTTAAGTATTGAGATTGTTTCTGTTTGTTTTAACAAAAAAGGCTTGAATATTCCCTTCAGAGATGTGGTGAGGGACGTGAAGGAAAGGAGAAAACAATGAAAGCAGCAACTGAAGAAGAAAAGTCTTCTTTCCACGAGTATTAATTCTAATCCCCTCCCCCAAATTAACCTTATGCTTCTTGAGTCTTGAAGAAACACCAGGATCCCATTTTTCTCTCAGGACCTCGGGATTAATTTTACTGACATCAGTATAACACATTCATTTGCAGAAAGATGCAAACTGAACCAAAAAGTGATAGGCAGGTGTCTCAAATTTTTCGAGGCTTATTTAGCCAAGGGTGAGGATGTGCCCAGGGGGAAATTCACACATCACAGTGTTACAGGAAAGGGGTCCCGATCTAGACCCCAGAGAGGGTTCTTGCATCTTGTGTAAGAAAGAATTCAGGGTGAGTCTGTAGAGTACAGTGAAAGCAAGTTTATTAGGAAAATACAGGAATAAAGGAATGGCTACTCCATTGACAGAGCATCCCAAGGGCTGCTAGTTGCCCGTTTTTTTAATTATTTCTTGATGATATGCTAAACAAAGGATGGATTATTTATGTCCCCCTCTTTTAGACCATATAGGGTAACTTCCTGATGTTGTCATGGCATTTTTAAACTGTTACGGCGCTAGTAGGAGTGTAGCAGTGAGAATGACCAAAGATCACTCTTGTCACCATCTTGGTTTTGGTGGGTTTTAGCAAACATCTTTACTGCAAACTGTTTTCTCAACAAGGTCTTTATGACCTGTATTTTGTGCTGACCTCCTCTCTTATCCTGTGACTTAGAATGTCTTAACCATCTGGGAATGCAGCCCAGTAGGTCTCAGCCTCATTTTACCCAGTTCCTATTTAAGATGGAGTTGCTCTGGTTCACAGGCCTCTGACATTTCCCCCCCTCCCTTTATAAGAGAACCCTTAATCCTAGATAAAGATCCATCTTCTGTAACTTCTTGAGGCTGAGAAGTGGCGATGCTATTCCTGCCCAACCATTAGGGTCTCTTGTATTCAGGGTAGAGCTCAGTCAGAAAGCGTCAGTATGGCGAGGGCCATTCAACTTTTTTGAGTTCCAACAAAAAGTTTTATCTGGAAGATTAACAAGTGTTCAATTTAAGACAACATTTAATAAGCTTATTCTGCATTCCTACACAAAGAGTACAACAGCAAGATATTTCACAATAATAAAGCAAAACAAGTAAAGTTATTTCAAGTAAACTAAATAAGTAGGCTTTCCATGAACTGAGTAACTGCTGGAATCAAGCTGATATGGGGTTGCTAGTTGATTCTAATACATGTCCAGATTTAGAATACTGATCCAGATTTCTACATTACCCATCTCTCTTGTTTCTTCTGAGCAGCAGTCAGAGCTCACTGGTTGGTTCATAGGAATAAACAGGATTAGCCTAAATTGCAGAAACAAACTTTAAAAACAACTGATGAGATTAGAATCTAATAACAGATGTTCCGTAGTTCTTGAAACATAATATTTCTCTCTCCAGTTTCCTATTTTTACTAAAAACAAATCACGGTAAGACTGATTTGTTTTATTATACTTTGCATGACTATTTGTGTAAAGTGCAGCAAGAATACTTATTTTTCACATAAGCTTTTTTTAAATTGGCTTTGATGGAACTCTGTTCCACAGAAGGAGTTTTAGATAAGACTTTTTTTAGAGCTGAGCCCTGCCATCGGTTTGTACCCTCAAATACCTATGAGCTGGGTGAATTCCTCTCCTCTTGAGGTTCCAAGATAACTTGGGGCTCCTGGACCTGTTAGAAAGTGACATTCTTTACTTACCACAGGTCAGAAACCCTGCACAGGGACTGCATAGGCAAGGTATAAGGCATTTCCCCAAGTGGCTTTTATTGGCTTTACAAGTCAGGTTTGATTCCTTAAAGGAAAGCATGCCATTCCAGTCAAAGCATTGGTAAAATAACCAGTTTTTCCAATTGTATCCTGTTACAAAAGAAAACAGATTCTTATTGCACTTACACAAATAACTATTTGCCATAAATTAAGAATACTCACAAATAGTTTCCAAACTCTGAAGAAATCAAGTAGAGAGAAACAAATACACTCCAAATTTTATTCACAGGAGTGTACTTTACTGAACTGTTAAAAACTGTAAATAGCTTCTGTTAGTTCAGTCTACGCAGTTAACTCCTGTTCTGATATTCATGAGCATTCCACTTCTCCATGAGAGTTCTGAAAATTGTTTCCTCTAATGTCGCAATTTTTAAAGTTATCAGAAACCTGCATTTAAGAACACCTGTCAAAGCCCTGTAGTTGATTATAAACCACCTTCTAAAAAGGAAAAAAACAAGACAACACTTGTTTGTGGATGACAAAATGTCTTAGGACAGCCGCGGTCAAAAATATGATTGACAAAGAAATTTGGTTACCTCTGTGGCATACAATGATTTTATGTAACGATTGTAATTATTAATAACATATGGTAAGCCATATTAGAATCATAGGAGTTTCTCATAATTTTTGGACACATACCAGTAACATATTTATACAAATACAACCCAAAGAAAGCCAAACACCATTTTATATTTGACAATGCTGCTTGTATGATTTTTTTAACCAAATAAGCCAAATGTCACTGTTGCATTAATGCATTATTGATGTCAAACCCCATTCTTAATAAAACCTTATAGACATATCTACCCAGTTTTACTGTTTGACCATAAGGTAAGATTATCATAAACCTTTTATAACATTTTACAATTTTTGTTAAAAAGCAGCTCATAAGCAGGATTTTGCTCTAAGAAAAACCTGCTGTGCTTTCATTCGAATGTTCAATTTATGGAAAAAAACAAATAGTACCCCTTTAATTTTAGCCAATATGTTCACACACAGAATTTCTTGTACAAGATTAATTTTTCACAAACCTTCCACAACTTGCTTAAACCTTTAGCTTTATCCTAACTTAAAACAATTCTTTAACCCTTTTATGTAGGCAAGAAAATCCACATTCCCATGACTTCTTAATAATCTTTTGCTAAAAGTACATTCTACTTTCCTTACACAACTTACATGTAAAACTGTTTTTTCAGTAGTTTCAAATACATGTCACACTGTTAACTCTTAGCAACTTTTTCTTTTGGTGAAAACTTTGGTAAGTTTGGGATTTTAATGATGTACTAGGTGTGGAGCCTAGCCCAGGACACACCAGGCAGAAGTGCAGATAAGGATTGACTCTTTCCAGCATAGCTGGGGGGCCTGGCTAACACCACATGTCCCCAGGCCTTAACTGGAATATAATGCTCCAAAGCAGGTAAATTGAACAGTTTTCAAAAGCCAAAAAAACAGTTTATGACCTTAAAGCATTTAGTAAACTTAATATCTGACCTGCGTAATTTACACCAAATGTTTACATTATTGAAGATATTTTTATTTTACCAATAATCTTTAAAACTCTTTATTTCCCAAAGATTAAGTCACATGAACTAAATAAAAGGCATTACATTTTTTACTTTTCTCACAAAATATTCTATTTAAGCTCTTATTATTACTAAACCAATTAATCAAAGTTCTTTGAGATATAAACATCACACACACAACATATATAAATACATAGAAGATAAAGGACTTATTACCTAAGCCAGGAATTGAACTCTGAACTTGGGCTGCCATTGGGAAAAGAGAAAGCCCATTCACGTGGTTACAAGGTCAAGCTCCCAAGGACATGACTGACCAGTTTGCTGGGCTGTCTTGAAAAGCAGGCTTACAGGTGTCCTAAGCCTTGTTCTATCCTAAGGTACACCTCTCCATGACAGAACAACACAGAAAGACCCACGAAGCACATCGATTTTGCTACAGCTTACGACTAGCCTCACAAATCCTTTTTCTCATTAATCAAAACTTTATGGGAGATAAACGGTGATTTTTACCATTCATTCAACCAGTTTGCACAGAGAGAGGAAAGGCAAGGGAGAAAAGCACTGCTTGTGGCAGGGTGGGGAAGGGGAGGCACTCAGTGAGGCCAGAGAAAGACCCACCCATGCAACAACCCTGAAAAGTTCAAGTGGTTGCTTGTCAATAGCAAAGGGATCTTTTACAGGAGTTCCATCAGCTCTCAAGTTTCCCCTTTTTGGGGAGGAAAAAGCTCCCCATGTCCCATGATACTGTACATGCTTAACCCTTTCACCCATAGCCATCAGCAAAGAGTGAAAGGTGATTAATCCAAAGAGAATAGAGGTTAACATCCCATAGTGCCAAACCCATTCTTAGCCAACAGGGATTTTACTGAGAAGGGTTTTATGGAATGGGGCCTCTAACCCTCCTAAGTTGGCTCTAATCCAAGGTCGGTCAAGCATCCTTGCCTTTTATTAAGAGAGGCCTCTAACCCACTCTGTCTTAGGAGAGACTCTAACTCTCCTAAGTTGGACCTCTAACCCAATTCCATTCTTTTCCCAAGTACCCCACCACTTACCCAAAGTTGTCTAATCAGTTCTGCAGTCTATTTCCTTTGGATGGGGGGGGTTTCCTCAGTATCATCCCTTACGTGGTTCATCAGAAGGATGTTATTGGACCCCACCACTTATCCAAAGTTAGCTGTTGGGTCGGTGGGGGGTTCCGCACTATAGTTGCTTCTGTGGTAGCCAGAAAGATGTTACAAGGAAAGGGGTACCAATCCAGACCCCAGAGAGAGTTCTTGGATCTCGAGCAAGAAAGAATTCAGGGTGAGTCTGTAGAATAAAGTGAACGCAAGTGTATTAGGAAAATAAAGGAATAAAAGAATGGCTACTCCATAGACAGTACCCCTGAGGGCTGCTGGTTGCCTATGTTCATGGTTATGTCTTAAAGATATGCTAAACAAGGAGTGGATTATTCATGTCCTCTCCTTTTAGACCATGTAGGGTAACTCCTGATCTTGCCATGGCATTTGTAAACTGTTATGGCGCTAATAGGAGTGTAGCAGTGAGGATGACCAGAGGTCACTCTCATCACCATCTTGGTTTTGGTGGGTTTTGGCCAGCTTCTTTACAGCAACCGTTTTATCATCAAGGTCTTTATGACCTGTATATCTTGTGCCAACCTCCTATCTCATCCTGTGACTTAGAATGGCTTAACCATCTGGGAATGCAGCCCAGTAGGTCTCAGCCTCATTTTACCCAGCTCCTATTTAAGATGGATTTGCTCTGGTTCACATACCTCTGACAACAGGGGCATCTGTGACCTCTGCTTTTCCTAAAGGGGGCTTTGTGAACTTCAGTATTTAAAGGGGAAAGAGCAAGCAGGAGGGGGGAAAAGGGAAGAGGTGAGGCAGTGAAACCAATGCTTACATCTTGTGCAGCTCTGTCTAGCTTTAGTAAATCTACATTTCACATGTGAAAAGATGGAGTAGAGGAGAATGTCAGCTATGCATTACCTCGAGCACAGTAAATCTGCATTCTACGGATGATAAAGCAAGCTTGTGAAAAGAGGGAGCAGAGAGAATGAGGCTGTGAAGCCAGGTTGTGAAATTACAGCTGTTTAGGAAAACATTATCAGTGACTCAGTTCCCAAGCTTAACTTTCCCTTCAGCATAGTGAGTTTGGGTCCTGGGATTCTACTTTTCTTTCACACAACACTACAGTCACGAGGGAGCTGTTGCCTTTTAGTTCTAGGCCTTTAGAGAGCACCAAGTGTGCATTCTCTCACATCTGATCATCGGATCTGGGGATTCTTGCATTTTCCGGGTGGCTTCTCCCTCAATTTTATGCTTGGGCTTCGCCTCTAGTAGGCCTATTTATTAACCTAGTTGCCTCTCAGTGCATTTATGTGTGGTTAAAATATCCAAACAGCTCTCAGATGCAGCCAGAAGCTTTCTGTCACTTCAATAATGCCAGGATGCTGGGGAGCAGCCGGAGTAGTCTGGGAGACAGGAGGGCAAGGGTAACTCCTCCTGAGCTACAGAAGGCAATGATGCAGAACCAGCTGCAGGCAGGCTGCACGGGCTTTGCTGTCCTCCCCAAGCCAGGGGCCAGCCTTCTGGCCCCATGAGTTTCCCGTGGGGAGGCTGCTCAGCCATGTGAGGGCAGGGAACAAAAGCAGCAGCATCTCCACGACAAGGGTAGGGTGCAGACAGACACCATCAGGCTAGAGCTAGCTAGCTTTCAGGTGAAGGCGACTGGCTAAGATTTAGAAATGGATGCACAAAGCTAAGATTTACAAATGGATGTGCCAACACTCATTGCCCTGAAGGCTGGCCCCGATCTGGTGGTAGGGTTGCCTGGAGCTCCAGGCTGGGCAGGACCATGAGAGTGCATCCCAGGCCCAGGATAAAAAGGCCACGAAGGTGCTTGATGCAATCCACAGGCACAGGAAGGCCATGGCCGCTTGAGCGCAGTGCACTAGCCTTTTCAGCCTTGTATTCTCAGGACTCCAGTGGAGCGTTGGTTTGATGTCAGCAGGTGGTTCTGCTGAGTCCTAAACTTGCACCTGAAGCTCAGCACTGCCCTGCTGGAAATCAGGACCAGACCAACATGACCTAGATGTTGCGGAACGAGCTCAGGCTCAGTATTTCCAAACAGGAGAGAGACTATCCATCTTCACTTCTGGCAGGGGGCTGGTCCCTCCCAGTGATTGGGGATTTTCTGCTGCTGGAGAGAGGTCCACTCACCTCCCTCTGGAACTCCGAAGCTTCTGGAAGACTATTTTGGTTTTTATGTCTGTCACCCCTTCACATAGAGGTAAGTCGGTCCCCCATGGGGGAAGCTCGAGCCCCAGGGCAGGGCCCATTGGATGCCTGTTGGCCTAGAAATCTGCCCTGAGCCACCTCACCCGTGTCCTCGTGCTCCAGCCTCCCTGCACTTCTCCCACTCCCAGCACAGGCTGAGCCTTTCCACCTGCAGTTCTAGCATTTTCCACCCCTCCACTTGCCTGGTGAATACCACATGAGTCTTCATGGCCCAGTGCAGAGGACTTTCCCTCCCAGCTTCTGTGCCCCCTCCTCACTGTCCCCAGAAGGATTTGCACTTGTATTTTTACAATTAAGAGCTATTTTATTAGGGACAGGTTCTTGCTCTGCTGCCCAGGCTGGAGTACAATGGCTCTAACACAGCTCACTGCAGCCTCAAACTCCTGGGCTCAAGGATCCTCCTGCCTGGTCCTCCTGAGTAGCTAGGACTACAGGCATGCACCACCACACTGGCTAATTTTTTCTTTTCTTTTTTTGTAGAGATGGAGTCCCAGATTGTTGTCCAGGCTGATCCCAAACTCTTGTCCTCACATAATCCTCTTGCATCAGCCTTGCAAGGTGCTGGGATTAGAGGCGTGAGCCACCATGCTGGCCCAGGTCTACTTTATAAACACTTAAAAGGCTTGCTTTCCTTATATTTCTTCATATCTTCTCTGGCCCTGGCACTGTAGTTAGAACCAAGCACATGCTCTATGCTATATAAATGTATGTTGAGTGCATACATTAAGGACTGCCACAGGAAATGCATCTTACTAGAGTGAGTCTTCTGAGAGGAATTGGACCTGTGTTTAGAACTTCAAGGGAAATGATTCATCTCTGATCTGTGGAGGGGTAGCATGCCTTGCGGTGGCGCAGCCTGCCTCCCTAACCTGCTATTAAAAGATTGCTGGCAGAATGGTCTGCAGATCTTCTATTTACTGTAAATAATCAACCCAGGTAAGGAAAATCCCTCTACATAGTTCTGCTAGTTAAATTCCACCCCAAACAAAGCTACCAGAACACAGCTATTTCAGTCTTAAGTAGGAATAGCTAATGCCATTAGAAATTATGGAAAAAAGAATCCTCTCTCTTTATAGAACAAAAAATGAAACCTGCTTCAGAAGACCACCCATGGTTCTAGAGAAAGTGGTTTTGCTGATAACTTTTAAAAATTCAAGTCTTCTGGAGAGGTGAATTTCAAGCAGCCATAGATCACACTAATTCAAACGCCACTGGCCATTCATGACATGACCTACCCTTGGCCAGCTGACTCTCTGGAGTAGAAACCTTTCAACCCTCCGTTGGTTGAAGTGTGACATAACTAATGCTAGTGTGAACTGCTGCCTTGACTCAGCATAATTATATCCCTATAATTGCATACCAGGACTTACTGAAACTTGTTTGACATTATAGACAATTTTGAAACCTCTCAGACCACTGTTCACTTTCAAGACTGAATGATAAACTTAAGCTCTATTTACAGACCTTAGTCGGTGCCAAATTTGTTTTTAAAAAATGTAATTCCAGCAATTTGGGATTCCAGCAATCCGAAGTGGGCGGATCATTTGAGGTCAGGAGTTTGAGACTAGCCTGGCCAACATGGTGAAACCCCGTTTATACAAAAAAAAAAAAAAAAAAACCCCACAAAAATTAGCCGGGTGTGGTGGCATGTGCCTGTAATCCCAGCTATGCAGGAAGCTGAGGCAGGAGAATTGTGTGAACCTGGGAGGTGCACTCCAGTCTGGGTGACAGAGCAAGACTGTCTCAAAAAAATTAATTAATTAAATTAAATTTTAAAAAAAGAAATCAGACAATACCTTCTTAGTTTAAAATGGGACACATTCAGAATAAGTACCCAGTTGCAGAGACCTTAATAATAGTGGTAATAATGAAAATATGTCATTGTTATTACTGAGGGGTGACAGTGTGCTGGCAGCCCTTGCTCGCTCTCAGCGCCTCCTCAACCTCTGCGCCAAGTCTGGCCACCCTTGAGGAGCCCTTCAGCCTGCTGCTGTACTATGGGAGCCCCTCTCTGGGCTGGCAGAGGTCGGAGCCGGCTCCCTCTGCTTGCAGGGAGGTGTGGAGGGAGAGGTGTGGGCGGGAACAGGGGTTGTGCCCAGCACTTGTGGGCCAGTACGCGTTCTGGGTGGGCGTGGGCTTTGTGGGCCACACACTCGGAGCCGGCCCGCCGGCCTGAGCAGTGAGGGGCTTTGCACCAGGGCCAGCAGCTGCAGAGGGTGTGCCAGGTACCCCAGCCGGCGCTGTGCTCGAATTCTCGCAGGGCCTCAGCTGCCTCCCCGTGGGGCAGGGCTCAGGACCTGCAGCCCACCATACCTAAGCCTCCCCACAAGTGGACTCCTGTGCTGCGGGAGCCTCCCCTAGGAGCCCCGCCCCCTGCTCCATGGCGCCCAGTCCCATCCACCGCCCAAGGGCTGAGGAGTGCGGGTGCATGGCGTGGGACTGGCGCCTGCAGCCCCCGTGCGAGATCCATTAGGTGAAGCCAGCTGGGCTCCTGAGTCTGGTGGGGACTTGGAGAATCTTTATGTCTAGCTAAGGGATTGTAAATACACCAATCAGCACTCTGTGTCTAGCTCATGGTTTGTAAACACACCAATCAGCACCCTGTGTCTATTCAAGGTTTGTAAATGCACCAATCAGCACCCTGTGTCTAGCTAATCTGGTGGGGACTTGGAGAATCTTTATGTCTAGCTAGGGGACTGCAAATAAGACAACAATCAGCACCCAGTCAAAACGGACCAATCAGCTCTCTGTAAAATGGACCAATCAGCAGGGTGTGGGTGGGGCCAGATAAGGGAATAAAAGCAGGCTGCCCAAGCCAGCAGTGGCAACCTGCTCGGGTCCCCTTCCATGCTGTGGAAGTTTTGTTCTTTAGCTCTTTGCAATAAATCTTGCTGCTACTCTCTCTTTGGGCTCGCACTGCCTTTATGAGTGTAACACTCACTGGGAAGGTCTGCAGCTTCACTCCTGAGGCCAGTGAGACCACGAACCCACCGGGAGGAATGAACAACTCCAGACAGGAGGAACGAACAACTCCAGAGTGCCGCCTTAAGAGCTGTAACACCGTGAAGGTCAGCAGCTTCACTCCTGAAGCCAGAGAGACCATGAACCCACTAGAAGGAAGAAACTCCGAACACGTCCGAACATCAGAAGGAACAAACTCTGGACACGCCATCCTTAAGAACTGTAACACTCACCGCGAGGATCCGTGGCTTCATTCTTGAAGTCAGTGAGACCAAGAACCCACCAATTCCAGACACATTACTATAAAATAGTCCAGACCTCCTGGGAGAACCTTATTAGCTTTGAGTTATTTTTGTCAGAGAGTTGATGGATTTATGGTACCTATAAGCTAAACCAGTCTCCATGGACACCAGGAAAGTCCACATGCTCTGGGGGGGTTGGGGTGTGAGTGGGGGTGTCAGAGGGGGAAGAAGTCAATGTCCTTCCCTCAGAGAATCCAGTGTCAACAGCAGAAACTCACCTGCTGAGAAAGCAGGATGTAACTGTAACATTTTTTAAAGTTTTTTTTTTCCAGAAAGTTTAAAGTCCTCTCTCAAAATCTAATAATAGCCTTAAAAGCTTTACTGAGTAGAGGGAAGAAAAGGATTGCTGATCTGTGGAAGCCTCCACCTTCCTCTCTTTAGTCCTCCTCTGCAGGAGGACACCTGGCTGAGCTCCATCAAGGATACAAAACTTTCTCTTTAGTTCCTTCCCTCTTTGTGCCATAAAAGGGAAAAAATGAAGAGATCATGATAAGACCTTGATGCCAAAGCTTCTCAGGGGCCGCAGAGCACCTTCCACTAGCCCAATGCGCCTGGTTCTGTTCCCAGGCTATCCCTCACAGGTCACCAGTGAGGATTACAAATAGCCCTCCAAAAGCCTGAGGAGGCAGAGAGGGTTCCATCCCTCTCTGGAGCACATTTTTTAGTGACACAGCCTCATTATGTTGTCCAGGCTGGCCTCAAACTCCTAGGCACGCCTCAAACTCCTAGGCTCATGATCCTTCTGCCTCAGCCTCCTAGTATCTGGGACCACAGGCAGGAGCCGCTGCCTGTGCCGAGAGAGCAGAACTCTGCAAAACCCTCACACAGACTTCTGAAAAGAAAAAAACATGTCTGCATCCACAAAATCAGTCATTCTCTCACTGAACACATAAATAAGAATACCAGGTGATAATTTTATTCACAAATAAAAAAGGTATTACAAAACTAAGAAAATGATAATTTACACATTTATAAATTCCAGTATGCAAAATAGTAATGATGAAATCTAAATTGATATAAGCTACTATAAAGCAATGATGGTTTTCCTTTCTTTTTCTTACTAGCACAGACAATAGTGCTTAACCTAGGTAATAGCAATATTAACACATTATCTAAAGTAGAAAAATCTCTATTTAAAAATATATTCCATATACACAAAATTAGAAAATTCATGACTTTACTTGGTTGCTCTTGAAATCCTCCTCAGTCTTGTCAACGAGCTTCTGCAGCACAAGAAGCCACAGTGGTTATGCCCATTCAGCCACACGCATTACCCGACACAGCCCTCCTGACATCGGCACTCTAGCAGCTGAGTTTATTGAGTGCTATGGGATATTCCAACAAAGTGAAGTGCAAATTGCATTTTTTTCCTCAAATGTTTCCAAGGAGTGTAAAATATAACATTGTTGTATATTTCTAGAGTAGGTAGGGTAAAATGTCTTCATCTTGATAAAAGTTACCCAGGATTTACCAAATTCAGTAGCAAATGAAATCAATTTTCAACCCTAAGCACTTCTCTACTGATTGAAAATGATGTTTTGGGATTTTTGGCCAAAGTCTCATTCCCATCAGTCTGGCTTTCTCCAGCCAGTGTTTGTCCTTGAAGTTAATCAGGGCTCTACATATGGAAAATATATACAGGCTACACAAAGGAACACAGCCCTGCCTACTTTCATCATCTCTCTGTCATAACAGAAATGCAAACATCATCTCTCTGTCATAACAGAAATGCAAACAGACCAGATTTCAAACAGTGGCACGTATGTGAATCATGGTGAGGTCACGCGAGGAAACTACTTGCATTTTCATAGCCATTGTGTGGTCAAATCCTAAATATTTTACATGTCCAAAAGGCAATGTTCCTAAGAGTTCTTGACTACCAAAGGATCATTGGTTTATACTTAAAAAAAGAAGTAATACAGGAAAAGTCAATTAATTATGACTAGGCACTAGGTTGACATGACCGCTTGGGGCTACAATGAAACATTCTCATTTCCTATTTCAGGTGAGGGAATTGAGGTCATGAGATGTACCAGACACAGGCAAGCTAGTAAACACATATCAAAACCTAAAACTATGGAGAAACGGCCACAAGAAAGAGGGCTCATTAAATTTTACTAATCTGTCACAAACAGAGAAAACCATGGATAATACATGAGAAGATAAAAACATACTAGGAAAGACAGATACATTTTAATATTCAGTTTAAAAGTTAAAAGACAGTGACTTGGGCAGGGCAATTCCAAACCAAAATATCATAGTACCCTCGAACATACTGATGTTCAGAAGTCTAAAAAATATGCCCTGTTCAAGTAGGTCTTCTCCAGGGCATAAAGATTAAGAGTAAATGAACCATTCCCTGCTTTGTGACTGAACGGGGTTAATTTCTGTCTTAGCTCTAGAGACAATGCTAATGTGTAGATGGTAGGGGATGGAGCACTTTAATAGAAAGAAGCACCGTCCTCTTAAATCCAACACCGGATGGCTAAAGTAGGAGATGATGTGCTAACTAATCTTACACAATTGGAAGGAGCACGACAATGTCCTGGTCAAACTACACTAGGGCAGTTACAGCTGCTTCATCCAAACCCCTACAAATTGTGCATTTTCTTCTAGTCCTAACATGTGGTGTGTTCTCACGGAAGGCTACTTCAGTAGTAGGGGAACCTGATATGTTGTAATTTCTAAAGCCTTTAGTATAAGATACAATGCAAGTAAAAGGTCATTTATGTTTATAAATACCCTTTTTCTATAACCTTCTAAGCTCAGGCAGAGGGACAGATGCAACAAATGTTTCTATAGCAACTAATTTTCATATAAATATGCCAACCTTTGCATACAAGTCTCTACAATATGTGTTAATTCTGGGCAATGGGCTGCCCTTTCTCGACCACATTCCCTAGCCCAGGTGTTCTCCTGAGATCAGCGGGTGTTCATGAGACCGAGGCTGAGGTCAGAAGTGTGGATTCTGGAAAGAGCTATCCTCCTCTGTCTGATTCCTCTGATTCAGTAAACTTCATCTAATAAACCCAAGATTTAGGCAGGCAATATGAGGGCCATTCTAACCACCTATGCGAATCAGTTTAGATGATGAAAAAGTGTCCTTCTCAAATAGAAACACTCACTTTTGAACCCATTCTACATAAAAGCTAAGGTAATTTATCTGATATTTCATAGGCGGTATGAAATTATTTCTGGAAAGAAAAAGTATACTCTGGGTCTTCAGTCTTGTAAAACCACAATCACCATGAAAATAAGCATGAGGGCATTTCTGTTTCTTGTTATATGTCCACAATCTCATAGGCTGCCAGCTCAACCCATCCGTCTTTGAAGTCACTTTTGTGGCAGAGAAGCTTCTCATGTAGGAAAGATGCAGAGTATCATGAGTCGGCCTGGAGTCTTTTCTTGTTATTCATTGAGGTTTCAGCTTACAGCTGGTCTGGCTCAGAAGCAACTGGCTGAAAGGCTTCAAATGCCGTCAGTTTGGTTCAGATTTATTTTTGCCCCAGAAGCCATGCAAGGTCCAGACTGCTCAGTCCATAAGCCTAACAAAGGAGTACTCTTTGGGTTCCAGCACACGCTTCTACTGCAGAAAGAAGCAGGTTCTTTAAGCTTCCTAAAACAGCAACAGAAAGGAAGCTTTAGAAATAATGTCTTACAAGTTAAATCTGCTAAATTTCAATGGTAAAGAATTATTATGCATAACTTTTACTAGTAGTATACATGGATATAATAATAGCATATGGACAAGAAACTCATTCAATAGTATCCAAATATCCAGCTACCCATGTAATCTCAGGATAAAATAAATATTTTCATAACAATTCGTAGTCACCCAATAACTGCAGAGTACTTAAAAGATGATACCGTAACCCATAGCAATCATAATGTATTAACAACAATTCTTTTGTGGGCTTTCAACCTTATTCAAACATTTAAAGCTTCTTTCTTCTATACTGTGTTCCTTTAAAGCATTTGTAGGTAAATATTTTAGGATTCTGTATTTCCTTTCTTTCAAAGAACAAAGATGAATGAATAGTACCATTCTTTATCTGCCAACTTAGTCTTTGAATGTACTTCCATTAAACTATTAGAGAATGTTCAGAAATAGTTGGGAATAAGATTTCTCTTATAACAATCTCCCTAGCATACTCACAGTCCTTATCGGGAGAATATCCTCAGCAAAGTGTAGCCATTAGACGTGTCCTCATCACAAAGGGCACTGACGTCAATGCCGGGAAGGGGACAAGTGAAACCACTGAACATTAATTTCATGTATTAACCCTTCACTAACTTACCACTAATTTGGCATTGGTGACATACCAGGTTAAGTGTATGCAAAAAAATTATTCCTAGGTCTAAGGAGATTATTTAGAAGTAAAATCTTATGAAACACTTCCAATAACAGGAGATAGTTTTATCAAATATGTTGATTAACTGACATGATTATAATAACTACATGAACCCTTCTGTGGGAGGCAAATTATCCTCATTTTGCCAATAAGGAAAAAGTAGACATTTCAATAGATTGAAACACTAGAACCCAGGGTCCTCTCATATGTTTTCTAACCTTCTTTCTGTCTGTTCCTGTTGACATTTTAAATGTTGCATTAAAAACAACTTCAAGATATGCTTTTCCTGTAGGTAAACAGGCTGGCTTTGTTCTCTCAAATATCTCAGCAAAAAATGTTCCAAATATCTCAGTTTTGTTCCCTTCTGGAGAGATGTGTATAGGAAAAACTTGATTAAAATTGAGTCATACAAACTAAAGAAGGCTCTCACACCTATTTGCTTTATCTGGAACCATAACTATCATCAGATTATGGGTCATCTTAAATCACCCACAAGAAAACTAGTGTGTGGAAATGCAGGTTGTGTAAACAAATGCATCATGCGCTGAAATCATGGCCTTACACCACGTAAAGACAGAAGTGCTGTTTGGCCACAGCTGCTCCTTTTCCACCTCCCAGATGGACACATGTTGTTTTCCTGAGCTATGAACGAGCCCACATCATGGAGCCAAGCTAATTGAACACAAACCTGTGGAATGGATAAAATTAACAAGAAGCCCTGTGCTTTGGTTCATAATAGTGAGCTGCTGAAATCAAATTATTTTATTTTATTTTTTAAGAGACAGGGTCTTGCTTTGTTGCCCAGGCTGGAGTGCAGCGGCGTGATCCTAGCTCACTGCAGCCTCAAGCCTCAAACTCCTGGGCTCAAGTCATCTTCCTGCCTCAGCCTAAAATCAAATTCTTTATGAGATGTGAATGTGTCCTCTAGTTGGAAAATTAGCCTGTTGGGGGAAATGTGGGTTGGAATTTAGATTGGGAAAGAAAAACAGAAGCAAAACTACTTGAGTTAAACACTTGGTTGGACCTTGAAATAAAGAGGAGGACCAGGCCCCCAAAGGCCTGAAGTAGCTTAAGGTTCATTTGCTACATTTCACAGATTAGTAAGTGCAACTAAAGTTTTTTTTTTTTCCAGCATCTGGAAATGATTATCTCGTAAAATGGGCTCAAAATATTATTCACTATTATAGGGGAAAAATCAAAATGGTTTATATTTTAACGCTTCCTTTTTTAAATTCAATGTCATACTTAGATTTACCTAAATTAATCTAACAATTATAGGGCTACACATCTTGAAAAGTTAGTAAAAACCTTTCATTAATAAATTATTATACTGTGCAACTTGAGTGTAATATTTTCTCATCAGGTTCAGTTTAGATATAATTGTAACTTTCTTTTCATAATGATTTGAGTTGAAAGTGTATATAAATCATGAGAACTACCTTGCATGTCTTTGAAAAAGAGTTAGTAAGTCATGATATGCCAATCTCATCAACTAAAACATGTTTCTAAAATATCATGTTCATACAGCTGTGATGACAGTGCTTATCAATCCTGTCCCCGCCACACCACCAACATACACAGAAAAAAAGCAGGCAATGAGTTGGCTCCGGGATGACCTCGTATGAAGACGTTTCATTCCTTAGTCTTGGCAATTGACATCACAAACTTGGGTACAAGCTACAAAATTAAGGTGAGTGGTAATTCTGTTTCCTGACAAAACTGAAAAACAGTCATTAGTCAGCTGGCAGCACCGTAACCCTAGTTCTTCAGATGATCTCCTAACAAGAGAGGCACGGATGATGCACTAGACATGGCGAGGGCCCCTCATTTAGTGCTGCTGGGAGGCAGCTGAGCCCTCTGTTGCTGAGCAGGGGGGTTCCGCCTGTTTCTAGCATCCTCTGATCCGTCAGTGGACGCTCTCTGCTTTGAAGGACTTGTTACCTGCTCTCGGCTGCTGGGGCCTCTCAGTTCCTACGTTGTGTGGGGCACAGTCCATTCTTGAGACTTACACTCAGCTAGGTTAATTCTTAAGTCTTTTCTTATTTATTATCATAACAATTTTACAAATTATGGATGGCTCAAAAGAACAAGATCAGTGAACAGCCTTTCCTAACTCCAGGCAGAGCTCAGAGGTAGATACTTTGTATGTGTTAACTGCCTAATTTGTTTTTCCTTCATTCACTCGTCTCCCTTCTCTTACTTCTCCATTCCCCCGTTTTGAGAATGAAACCAATTTTTTCCCTCCAAAGCTAAAAAATGTTTTGTCTATAGAATCCCCTAAAAGTTCTCCAGATAATTTTTTTTTGTACTTTAAAAAAGCAAACAAGGTGGGAAGATGGCTTGAGCCCAGGAGGACGAGGCTGCAGTGAGCTGTGATTGCTCCACTGAGCTCTGGCCTGGGCGACAGAGAGAGACCCCGTTTCAAAACCCAAAAACCAAAAACAAAAACAAGTACTGCAGACTTAGATCAGTATGTAACTTATGAACTGATCTTAAAAGGAACATATCAGCGTTCACACTTTGACTCTGCACTAAGTCTCTGATATAATCAGGCCAGGATACAGAATGACATGGAAGTGAGGCCCCTCTGGAGCAGGCTCAGCTGCCTCCTCAGCACCCACAACCCTGATCTGGGGCAGGGAGGGACAGGCAGTGAGAGCAGCAACCTCTTTGTGGGGCAGAGTCTTGTGGGCCTGGGAGCTGGACTGTTGCTGTGACTCTGCCCTTTTACACTCAAGGCTTGACACTTTTCTCCTAGAACTTAACACTAACAATACATGCACTCCCATTTAAGGAAATGTTTACAAACATTAGGTCAAATTCAGCAAAGGCCACATCCTCACCTGAAGAAAGCAGAGACGTGCCCAGTTATCCCTGAATCCTTTGCTGCCTCCAGCTTTGCAGCACGCAGAAAGCCCCCATCTCTCTGCAGGTGCCACCCTCGCTCCACCCAAACCTGATCTTAAACCATTCCACCTGAGAGGGTCTTATGACCTGGTCTCAGGTCACAACCAACAATCAATTTCCAGCCAAATCAATCAATCCGGTAAAGCAGAGTGATCCAGAAAACAACAGCCAAGGAGAGAGGAGGGAAAAGAGCAGCTTTAGGAGACCAAAATTCACATAAACTTGGCAGTGAATGAAGTAGATTTAAGTATTGGGCATAAGTAATATATATATAATAATAAGTATATATAACAGGAAGAAATGAAGGTCAGGAATTGTCTGCAAGATGCTCCCATACCCGACTCACCTCTCTCAACCAGGGAAGGAGGCAGCAGGTGCTGTGCTAAGTGGTTGTACTTACAAAGAGGAATAAAAGAATGCAGCTGTCCACTTTGCTCTTATATATTAGCTGTGTTAGTTTTTTAAAAAAATACTTGAAATTTATTTTAAAACATACTCTACAACATACAAGAAATTATTAAAGATGCAAAAAAAAAACTCATCAGGTTCCCCCAAATCTTATGCTGGGAACAGAGTTCTGATCTACTGTAAGTCAGTGCTGTGTTCACAGGGAACCCAGTCGCTGCCTTACCTGGAGGGACGTCTGAGTGGCTGGGTGGATGACAGCACCACTCTCCTGATCTAGCTGGCTTCTCATAGTTAGTGCATCCTGAGTTGATGCTGATTCTACCAGTGTGTTGTTATATCTAGATAAATCAGTAGCTGCTGTAAAGTTTTCAGAATGAGACTGGACTGGAACAGCCCCACCAACCAAATCTTGACTGCTATTTGAATCCAAAGACGTTGAGCTTTCAAGTTCTGGATTGAGAGAATGAATGTCTTCTCCAGTGAGTTCAGGATAAGAGTCACAAAAAGAGATGTTGTCACCACCCATGGGATTCTGCATCAGAGGCCAGGCATCTGAAAACTCGCCACAGATGGACTGCGTGAGGGATCCGAAGAAAGTCGGCACCATCTCCCCGGCTGGGCCTGCGTTTCTGCACACACGTTCAAAAGAACTTAAAGTTTTTGATGGGGAGAAAAACACTACTACAAAGAAGCATGTCAGCCGTAATTTTAGGTCTTCTAAATGAAATAGCAATTTACTGCATCAGAATTCTAGTGTTTCCTATTGTTATAAACTCATCTCAATACAATAAGTCAAATTACTCCATTTATTTGAAAACTGAGTTTTGACACCTCCTTCTAATTAATATAGTTATACTTAATCCAATGTCTAAAACATGCAGTTTCCTGGGTCTCATCTGAGTTTCTTGAGTGCTGTTCTAAAATTCTAAAATATTATTCCATGGGTAAAAATTACTTACATGTTAATTACTTACAGATGACAGAGGTGTCAAAAATCACAGACATAAGACAAAAATAAAATTAATGAAGAGTAAAGTGTAAAGAATGTTGCACTGGATATGAGTGACCTTGAGAGAGCTACCTAATTCTTCCCTGAGAACTGCACCCCACCAATATCCAGAATGTCATTAATATTTAAGAGGTGATGTTTCCATCATTTCAGATGAAAATCGGTAAATTAGTAGAATGCATATTTGCACAGGGGGTTATGAAATGATTGATTGAAAGCACCTAGTTACCTTGCCTGAAGACTGGCTGCAGAATGCACCCCACAACCAAGAGTCGCCGGGTTGGGGCTGCAGGCCTCCTCACAGCACATGGATGGGAGCAAGCGCACCGGCCCTAGGGAAGACAGCACAGGTGTGAAGCACAGTGCCTCCTTCTGGCAGCTTTCACTTTAATAACACTTCAACACTGCTCTCGGAAATTTAGATGTTTCCCTTTGGGTGACTTTTGGGGGAAAAGGAATACAAGGTTCTCTTTTTTTCTTATCTTAAACAAATGATGAGCCACTTATATAAGGTACCGAGAGTAGACAGACTCATACAGACAGATGAAGAAGGGGGGATGCTAGGGGGCTGGAGCAATGGGGAGACCAGGAGCTGCTGTTTAATGGAGACAGAGTTTCAGTTTGGGAGGATGAAAAATGTTCTGGAAGGTGAATGGTGGTGATGGCTGCACCACAGTGAGAATGTACTTAACGCCACTGAACTGCACACTTGAAAATGGTTAAGATGGTGAATTTTATCTTATGTGTATTTCACTACAATAATAAGCGGGGAAAAGGAATAAAGCAGTCTGTGGGAGACCACGAAGTGAGACTTCTTGGCCCCACTGAGGACAGGAGGAGCAGGACAACTTTCCCGCTGAGTGGCCTCCTAACACAGACGAGAGCATGAATGTTCGAACCCTCTAACTCCATATACACAGACACACCATTTCTTTTTATTGCTAGGAATGTCACTTAAGGAATAAGTAGATATGTGCACACAGCTTTACAAGCTGAATATATCACTGAAGCTGGATGTATTTTGTGCTACAAAGATAATATAAGCTTAAAAATCTAAAATATAGAGATTAGATAAGAAATTTAAAAATAAATCTTCTCAATCCTATAAGCTGAAAATAAACACTCAGCTTTTTGAACAGCCTTCTTGATTTCTCACTCTGTCTATACATACATATATATATATATATATATCACTCTGATTTATAGAACCACAAACACACTAAAGCACACACACACACACACAAAGACACACACATACACAAAGGAAGACTTGGAGAAATTATACATTTACATATATAGCTATTGGAGAAATTATACATCTACATATATAGCTATATGTTTGTGTGTATCCAAATTTTCCATGAGGAATATCTCTTTACTTTTATAAACAGGAAAAAAATTATGAAACTACAGTCTCTCTTTATAAAAATGAATGCCAAATATTGAGATGCAATTGCAAGCCCGTGAGAAACAGGATGACTGGCCTGCCTGCATCTAAGTCTCCCTCAAAGCAAGGCCTCCGTCCAGACCATCTAAACATACAGTGCTCTGACCCCGCTGAACTCGCCAGGGTTTACTGCCGCTTAACAAACGTGTGTCACGCTCACCATGAGACATTTCAAAATTGTTTTAAAGCAAAAGGCACTGCCATTCCTTATAGAAAGGCTGATTCTAGGGAAAGTACACGATAAACCTGGGACTTCTTTTGGTGGCAGAAAGTAAGAAAGTGCTAAAAGAATAATGCGGACATGTCAAAATGGCACATGAGCCAGCCTGAAGGGAGTTCCAAATGAAAGGCAACATGAGCATCAGAATAAATAGTGACACCAAAGGGCTGCAACCCACTGAATACAGTCCACGAGTCTAAACTAACTAAGGTATATAAATACATAAATGGAGAACGAAAGTTCCTCCTTACCATAGGAAGCCAACTAATAAATGTGGAAAGAATAACGGAATTAGAAAGCCAGCATTTGTTAACCATCATAGTAATGACTGATTCCAGTACAAATCATCAGAGCACGCTAAGCTACAGGGTGAAAGTTTGGGGTGTGACAGGATATTTACACAGCCTCCAAGTATCCCCTATAGGATATTTATTCATTACAAAGAGAACAGCGGACATTTTATACTGGAGAAACCTGGCAGACACCCCCTTAACGAAGTGACCAAGGTTACCCTGACCAGGCATAGGCCAGATGGACAACTCTGCCTCCTGATACAGTGCGCTGAGGACTCAGCATCCCCTCAGCAGTATTTCTGAATCTAATCCTGAGGAAGCATCAGACAAACCCAAATTAAGTGTCATTCTACAAAACTGTAGAATTTTGAAAAGTGCTGGCCTGTACTTTTCAAAAAAAATCAGTATCATGAGACACAAACATTAGGAGACAATTCCAGATTAAAAGAGACCAAACATATTTGACAACTCAATGCAACAGAAGTTTTCAGAATACTTTTTGCTACAAAAGACAATACTGGGGCAATTAAGAAAACACGAATACGCTCTGTAGATTATATAATGGCACTGAATTAACACGAATTTCCTGTTTTAATAATTATGCTGTTGTTATGTGAGAGAAAATGTTCTTGTTCTTAGGAAGCAAACATTGATGTACTAAGGGGTAGAGGGACATCATATTTGCAACTGAATTTAAAACAGAAAATGAAAAACAAGTATACACACACACGAGAGAGAGGGGATAAAGCAAATGTGAACATGGGTAACGTTAATATTTGGGGAATCTCGGTAAAGGACATGTGGGAATTCTTTGTTCTACACTTTCGATATTTCTGTAATTATGACTGATTTCTGAAATTATGTCAAAATAAAAAGTTAAAGGGAAAAAAGTATCTGCCATTAAGGAGGAAACATTTGAAATAAGCTGCACTGAACCAGTGCATTGGCATGGGGATCATTTCTGGCCCCAGTGTTCTGTTAGGAGGTCACACAACAAGGCCATCTGTATATTTAATCTTTCATTTCAGACTGAAGTAAGGTGAGGCAGAGTTTATACAAACTGCCTTTTATTACATTTAAAATTTAAAATTAGAGTTCATCTCTCCAGAAAGTATTCCTACTTACTCTGACTCTAGTAACAGTGTCCACGGTATTGTATCTAGGAAAATGTAATGCTTGGGGGTGTTTAAGGATCACACAGTTACCATTAATAGTGTCTAAGAGTCTTGTCTATATAGGCAAAGGCAAAACTAGATCCACACACCACAGAAAGTGTTGTATTTTATTCTTCACCCATTCCCAAAATAGGAGATAGTAATAATTAGCAGAAAAAGAATTAAAATGAAATCTTCTTATTCCATATAGCCATATGCTGCATAGCAATATTTTGTTCAATGATGGCCCAACTATACCATAGTGGTCCTGGAAGTTTATAATACCGTATTTTTACTGTACCTTTTCTATGTTTAGATCCACAAGTACTTATTTGTTGCAACTGTCTACAGTATTCAGTGCAGTCACATGCCGTACAGGTTTGTAGCCTAGGGCAATGGGCTACACCACATAGCCTAGCTCTGTAGTAGGCTATCCCATCTAGCTTTGTGTGCACTCTACAAGGTTTGCATAGAAGCAATGCATGGCTGTATATACAACATGAGACTGGAACACTTAACTGATAATTTCTTGAGAAGACTGATTAGACAGTTCCAAGAGGACAAGTCAATCTAATAGAATATGGTGAAAACAAATACAGATGGGTTATTAGACAAAATGGTGCTATTAGTTTTGCTTCCATGGGTGATAACAGAACTGTAAAGTAGTAAGAGGACGGGGGAACTGGGACAGACTTGTAGAGAGGGTGGTTGGCTATAGAGGGTTTTAATTTGCAGAGGAGGTAAGGTGGTAGGGTGGTGGGGGAGTGGGATGTGTAAGTGTAAAAACACGTGCTGAAGAATATAAATACATAGCAAAGAAAGTTGGTACTAAACACATGCTCAGACCACAGTGCAATAAAAATAGAAGTCAAGACTAAGAAAATCACTCAAAGCCATGCAATTACATGGAAATTAAACAACATACTCCTGAATGACTTTTGGGTAAATACTAAAATTAAGGTAGAAATCAAGTTCTTTGAAACTAATGAGAACAAAGATACAACATTCCAGAATCTCTGGGACACAACTAAGGCAGTGTTAAGAGGGAATTCATAGCACTAAACACCCAAATAAAAAAGTTAGAAAGATCTCAAATTAACAACCTAACATTACAACAGAAAGAATTTGAGAAGCAAGAACAAATTACCTCACCCCTAAAGCCAGCAGAAGACAAGAAATAACCAAAATCAGAGCTGAAATGAAGGAATTGAGACATGAAAAACCACCCAAAATATTAAAAAATCCAGGAGTTGTTTTTTTGAAGAAATAAATAATATAGGCCGCTAACTGGACTAATAAGAGAGAATATCCAAATAAACACAATTAAAAACTACAAAAGGGATGTTACCACTGACCCCACAGAAATAAAAATAGCCATCAGGAACTACTATAAACATCTCTATACACATGAACTAGAAAACCTAGAAGAGACAGATAAATTTCTGGACACATACACCCTCCCAAGACTGAACCAGGAAGAAATCGATTCCCTGAACAGAACGAAAATGAGCTCCAAAACTGAATCAGTAGTAAATAGCCTACCAACCAAAAAAAGCCAAGGACCAGATGGATTCACAGCCAAATTCTACCACATGACAAAGAAGAGCTGGTACCATTCCCACTGAAACTATTCCAAAAAAATGAGGGACTCCTTCCTAACTCATTCTATGAGGCCAGCATCATCCTGACACCCAAATTTGGCAGAGATACAACAAAAAAACAAAACTTCAGGCCAATATCCCTGATGAACACCAATGTAAAAATCCTCAACAAACTACTTGCAAACTGAATCCAGCAGCACATCAAAAAAGCTAATCCACCACGATCAAGCAGGCTTCATCCCTGGGATGCAAGGTTGGTTCAACATATAGACATCAATAAAGGCGATTCATCACATAAACAGAACTAAAGACAAAACCACATGATTATCTCAATAGATGCAGAAAAGGCTTTCAATAAAATTCAACATCCTTCATGTTAAAAACTCTCAATAAACTAGGTATTGAAGGAACATACCTCAGAATAATAAGAGCAATCTATGACAAACCCACAGCCAACATCATACTGACTGGGGAAAAGCTGGAAGCATTCCCCTTGAAAACTGGCACAAGGCAAGGATGCTCTCTCTCACCACTCCTATTCAACACAGTATGGGAAATCCTAGCCAGGGCAATCAGGCAAAAGAAAGAAACAAAGGGCATCTAAGCAGGAAGAGAGGGAGTCAAACTATCCCTGTTTGCAGATGACATGATTCTATATCTAGAAAACCCCACAGTCTCTGCCCAAAAGCTTCTTCAGCTGATAAACAACCTCAGCAAAGTTCCAGGATACAAAATCTACGTACAAAAATCATTAGTATTCTTCTACACCAACAACGGCCAAGCCAAGAGCCAAATCAGCAAGACAATCCCATTCACAATTGCCACAAAAAGAATAAAATACTTAAGAATACAGCTAACCACGGAGGTAAAAGAGAATTACAAAACACTGCTCAAACAAATCAGAGAAGACACAGACAAATGAAAAAACATCACATGCTCATGGATAGGAATAATCAATTTCATTAAAGTGGCCATACTGCCCAAACAAATGTACAGATTCAGAGCTATTACTATCAAACTACCAAAGACATTCTTCACAGAACTAGGAAAAACCTATTTTAAAATTCATATGGAACCAAAATAGACCCTGTATTAGCCAAGGCAATCCTAGTCAAAAAGAACAAAGCTGGAGGCATCATGTTAGCTGATTTCAAACTACGCTACAAGGCCACAGTAACCAAAACAGCATGGTACTAGTACAAAAACAGGCACATAGACCAATGGAGTAGAATAGAGATCCTAGAAATAAGACCACACATGTACAACTACCTGATCTTCAACAAAATTGACAAAAGCAATAGGGAGAGACTCCCTGTTCAATAAATCCTGGGATAACTGTCTAGCCATATGCCAAAGATTAAAACTGGACCCCTTCTTTACACCATATACAAAAATCAACTCAGATGGACTAAAGACTTACATGTAAAAACCAAAACTATAAAACCCTGGAAGAAAACCTAAGCAATACCATCCTGGACATAGGAATGGGCAAAGATTTCATGACAAAGACATCAAAAGCAATCACAACAAAAGCAAAAATTGACAAATGAGATCTAATTAAACTTAAGACCTTCTGCATAGCAAAAGAAACTATCATCAGAGTAAACAGACAACCTACAGAATGGGAGAAAATGTTTGCAAACTATGCATCTGATAAAGGTCTAATATACAGCATCTATAAGGAACTTAAATTTACAAGAGAAAAACAACCCCATCAAAAACTGGGCAAAGGACATGAACAGACACTTCTCAAAAGAAGACATACATGTGGCCAACAAGCATATGAAAAAAAGCTCAACAGCACTGATGATTAGAGAAATGCAAATGAAAACCACAAAGAGATACCATCTCACACCAGTCAGAATGACTATTATTAAAAAGTCAAAAAATAACATATGCTGGCAAGGTTGCAGAGTAAAGGGAATGCTTACACACTGTTGGTGGAAGTGTAAATTAGTTCAACCATTGTAGAAAGCAGTGTGGCAATTCCTCAAAGAGCTAAAAATAGAACTACCACCTGACTCAGCAATCCCATTACTGGGTTTATACCCAGAGGAATATAAATCACTCTACCATAAAGACACATGCACATGAATGTTCACTGCTGCACTATTCACAATAGCAAAGACATGGAATCAACCTAAATGCCTATCAATTACAGACTGGATAAAGAAAATGTGGCATATATACACCATGGAATACTATGCAGCCATAAAAAGGGATGAGATCGTGTCTTTTGTGGGAACATGGATGGAGCTGGAGGCCATTACCTCAGTAAACTAAGGCGGGAACAGAAAACCAAATACCACATGTTCTCACTTATAAGCAAGAGCTAAATGATGAGAACACATGAACACAAAGAAGGGAACAACACACAATGGGGTCTACTTGAGGGTGGAGTGTGGGAGGAGGGAGAGGAGCAGAAAAAGAAACTATTGGGTACTAGGCTTAAATAATTAAATAATCTGTAAAATAAACGTGTAACATCAGTTTACCTATATAACAAACCTGCACATGTACCCCCAAACCTAAAATAAAAGTTTTTAAAAAGTTGGTATTACCTTTGCCCCTATTTGCCCAAGTTAGAGACCAGTTTCCCTTTGAATTACTTTCCTAAACTTTCAATCTGTCAATAGTCCAAGGGGCAATTATGGTTTGTGTAAAACCTTGAAATGGACTTCTCAGCTCTCTCTTCTTTAAGAAATTCTAAAAATAGATATATTTTTATAATAGACATATTTTTAAAATAGGCATATTAGTGTTTGGTTTGAATCAACCAGACAGCAAAGGATATAAAGTCCTACTCTACCAAAGGTTACCGTGATTTTAAATAAACTGACTCAAAACAAGAAAGACAAACATGACCCAAAAGTTGCTGAAAAATTCTAGAATTTTAACGAGATGCTTATTTCCTTTTTAATGCTTAAGAGACTCGAAACACCCAAACCAACAGGAGATGGTGGAGAATAATTTAACAAGATTAGTTTTAACCAGAAGACTCAACACAGCCACCTCGCTGTGAGGTGAATAAACCAGGACCAATTCTTGCTGCTTCAGCTTCTGTGTACCTCCAGTCCTCCTAACGGCACTTCCCTGCTGAACTTACCGCAGGTCTGCACTGAGTCACGGCGGCACTGGCAGCAGGCTCTGTGGGCATATTCGTGGAGCTGAGGTCTGTCAAAACACGACAGCTCAGAGCCGTTGTACTGAATGTCCTGTGACCGCAGAGACCCTAAATGAGGGGTGAGAACTCTGTCAGGGAACACAGTCTCCTCTCTAGTGGACCTGTGCCATTCTAGCTTTTGTATTTTTAAAGAACAAATCAGCTATCCTTCCAATGTTTGATGACTTCTTCTTACATGGAAGCACAAACATGAAATAATTTGTTAAGAAAGTTCAAAATGTAGGGTACTAATGTTGCCATTACTGAGAATGATTTTTATTTTTGCCTAGTGGCGCAGGGACATCACAGCCTTGTAAGTCTCCTTACAAAGCTGTGCAACCTCAGTGAATTCTACAGATGACCCTTAAGCAACACGGGTTTGAACTGCGCAGGTCACTTATACACAGATTTTCTTCAGCCTCTGCCACGCTGAGACACCAAGGCCAACCCTCCTCCTCCTCCTCCTCAGCCCACTCAACATGAAGATGATGAGGATGAAGGCCTTTACAATGATCCGCTTCCACTTAATGAAGAGTAAATCTATTTTGTCTCCCTTATGATTCTCTTAGTAACATTTTCTTTTCTCTAGCTTACTTTAATGTAAGAATACAGGGCATAATACATATAATAGGCCGGTGCAGTGGCTCACATCTGTCATCTCAGCACTTTGGGAGGCCGAGGCAGGCGGATCACGAGGTCAGGAGTTCGAGACCAGCCTGGCCAACATGGTGAAACCCCGTTTCTACTAAAAATACAAAAATTATCCAGGCGTGGTGGCGGGCGCCTGTAGTCCCAGCTACTCCGGAGGCTGAGGCAGGAGAATCACTTGAATCCGGGAGGCAGAGGTTGCCATGAGCTGAAGTCACGCCACTGCCCTCCAGCCTGGGTGACAGAGCCAGACTCTGTCTCCAAAAAAACAAAAAAACAAAGAAACATATAATAAACAAGATGTATTAACCAACTGTTTATCAGTAAGGCTTCCCGTCAACAATAGGCTATTAGTAGTTAAGTTTTTGGGGAGTCAACACTGACGTGTGGATTCTTAACTGCTCTCCTAGCCCTCTGCTGTTCAGGGATCACCTGTGTTTCTTGTGCCCTGCGTTCTTTCACAACTCACTGGTGCTTGTCTCAGCCAAGTCTCTTGTGGAACACTTGCACGACAATAGTAATAAATGCCCTTCCCCTAAATGCTAAGAAATGTAATGAGCTCAAAACTTACAGCTGGGTTTCTTCTCCATAAACTGTCTCTTACAATAGATGACACAGAGGATGAGCAGGGCCAGCAGGACGGTGGCCAGAGCGCTGCAGATAACGGCAGCCAGCGCCGTGTCCCGTGGGCTGGAGGCCGTGGACGCGATCTTCACGAGGTTGACCTTGCTGGCACCTGAAACCACAGGAATGGGGTCAGCATGCTCTGAACAACTGCAGATGCAGTGTTTATGGCGAAGCTGGCAGGCACCCTTACCAGTGGCCTTCCCATGCTGTGAGAAAACTGGCATGAGATATTTAAAGATGGCTCAAGCACCCCCTCCACCCAGAAGATGTCTTTAATGGGACACCTTTACCCGGCACCCCACAATGTGCAGGGTGTCCCTCTCCTCTGTTCCCAGAGCGCTACGGACACACAATCCTCAACACATTGTGTTACTAGAATCTGCCTTCAGCTCCACCAGAGCAGAATTCTTTGTGAGCTGGGGGTCTGTCATCTTTACCTCTGGTTGCCCAGTACTTGGCATGTGGCAGGGAACTAATGTTTTGTACTTAATTGGAATTACACCATATTTTTAAGCAGACTGAATGCATGTATGCTTTTTGGGGCAACTTTAGGGGAAAACAAGGAGTTGGATCATCCAGAACCTTACAGTAGACCCCAGTTTTTGAGACAGTAAACATCTCTGAATGCCTTAGCTGTTAAACTACTGGAAAACATCTAAGTTTTGGAGAAAAGACTAATACTGTTATTACACTATGGAAAGGCCGGCATAGTCATGTGCTAAGAAAGTCAAGAAATAGATCTTATTTTAGAGGGCAGTACTGCTTTGTGGTTCAGGGCAGATTCTGAACCCCATGGCCTGGGTCAACCTCTACCTGTGTGACCTTGAGACACTGACTGGAATTTCAAGTTGCCATCTGTTCAAATGGAGGTAATAATAGTGACTGGCTCATGTGTTATGTAAAGTGTGTGGGACTGGCTGTGCTGTAGAATCATTAGCCACTGTAATGATGATGATAGTAATTACCATTTTAAAACTATCCTGAGGGTACCAGGATAAACAAACTCATTTAAATCAGAGATCTATATCTAGTGCAGTTAAACAGCATATCCTACTTAACTAACCCCAAAATAATGAGAGAAATGGATTTAAAAGGGGCATGAATCTACACAGAGGGGCAGTTACATTTTCTCTTTCCCAAGCAGATGCCCTGAGTGAGCTGAGGGGCCCTCACTCTGCTTCCCCGGCAGGTGCTGCTCACCACAGGAGCCTCCCCTCGACTGAAGATTACTCCAGGTAGAGGTATAATGTGTGCTTCACATGTCATTTCAGGTTGTCTAGGAACCACATTTAAAACGTAAAAGAGAGGCAAGGTGCGGTGGCTCATGCCTGTAATCCCAGCACTTTGGGAGGCTGAATTGAGAGGATCCCTTGAGCCTATGAAGCTGCAGTGAGCTGTGATCGCACCACTGCGCTCCAGCCTGGACGACAGAGCGAGACTCTGTCTCAAGAAAAAAAGAAGAAGAAGAAGAAGAAGAAACAGGTAAAATTAACTTTAGTCTATTTTACTTAGCCAATATATCTTAAATATTGCATTTCAATATGTATTCAATATAAAAATTATTTATGACATATTTTGCGTTCTCTATTTTGTATTAAAATTTTAAAATCCGGTGTGGTTTTAAAGACACAGCTCATCTGAATTCAGACTAGCCACACTTCAAATGCTCAGTAGCCACATGTGGCTAATGGCTATCATAATGGACACTGCAACTCTAGAGATTGAAGGTCTGTGTCTATATTTGTACAAGATGGCACCTAAACACAAGCCAATTTGTCATCTGGTGCCTTTCTCCTTCTCCCTGGCTACACACCCCTCACTCCCAATAAGATCGTATGACACCTGAGACTACAGCCCCAGAGAGAAACACTTGGGTTAATATTACTGAATCATAAAAACAGGATAGCAGGAACTATCATCTTGGAGCATGAGTCTTGGTATTTCCAGTCTCAGTGATTCTAGGCCACACATATAAAAGTCTCTTATTGCCATCTGGGAAGGCACACACACCATATGTTTTGGGCTTAGATGAATAAGGCTCATAATCCAATCATACATTTTAAAGGACATTTATTTGTAAACATGTTTAATATTCACAAAATATATTTCATCACTTCTAACTCTATAGAACACTATAATAAGCAAACGGCACACACTAAATGTTCATTATACAGCAAGCTAAAAAAAATTACAACCCTGACCTGATAGAGATTAAATCTAATCTGAAACAGCCTCTATCACTGGACAGAGTCACAAAAGGCCATATGAGCACAAGCACAGCTGTGCAAACACTGAAAATGCATAACTGGAGAGGAACTTGCATCCCACGCAAGTTGAAATAGCAGCCACAGAGAAGGGGAAGTGACTTGGAAATGAAAGCATTATCCATCTGGACCAAATGGTGAAGCTGTGGGAAGCTGTCATTTACATTGGTGAGGAAGGCGTTCACTTCAGAGGGAGAAGAGTCTCCTTAGCTTAAATTTTTGCTCAAATAACCCAGCCCTACACAATATGGGGTTTTGGCAATAGCTGTCGTAAAAATGAAGCTTAATACATGATTTGAGTGGAGGACTTCAAAGTTCTCAACTGTTGTAACCATTAAGCTCATCAATTGACACAAAACTGGATATTCAGAAAAATCCTGGTAAGAATAGGGATTTTGGGTTAAAGTAGTATCATAATTAGAGTCCTTTAAGTTCTTATTGTTTAAAATCCTTCTATAATACATTCGTCAACTTATTTTCCTTAATATAAAAGGAACTGTCTCTAACTTACAGATAGGTTAAAATGTCCCAAAAGTGGAGATTTTCTTCTTAATTTGGTGGTTTGTAACTCAGGATTTATGTTCTCTAAACGTGTCTTGTTAACACATATCTAATACTATAGGGCACAATACTGTAATGTCAATGATATATAGTTGCCACAGTAATATCAATTTTAAAGGAAAAGTACATCCAATATGCCCCTTCTCCACACATTTCCCCAGGCAGTGACATCTAAAGATGAACAAGAAAAATATACAAGTTTTACTTCTTGATTTTTGACACCTATATAACAACAGGCATCTTATTGATCCAAACACCCTCAGAGAGTGCTCATGGGAAGTAGGGCTCTGGAAACTGCCTTCTTGATTCTTGTTTATATGTATGAGTTTATGGTAACACTCAGAGCAAACATTCTTTTTTTCTAGGAAATGGGTTCGTCATTTTTAGTTCATCATTTTTAGCTTTGTCACATATAGCAATGCAGACATAAATAGGAGATTGAACTGAATATCATTTGATTTTAGAACAGCTCTAGAAACTAATTCTTTTTAGTTTCTAGTAAAAAAACTATTTTCTTATAATTCTTTATGACTTGAGCAGCAAAAAACAAAAACAAAAACAAAAACAAAACAAAACCAAAAATAAGGGGGGGGGGCAGATTTATACTAGCTATATAAAGTGGCTTCCACTCTATAAAGTTTTTGTTAATTGAGATATTGCTGATAATTCCTAAGAAAAGAACTTATCTACGCTAAAGGAAAAGGTATTGTTTTGCTAACCTGTGGCAATGATACTGAGATGAAAGATTCTTTCCACTCACATGCCTTGACTAAATGCCCCATTCTAGTTCACTAAGCAGACTGAATGCCAGCCAGGAATTCTGCCCGTATCTTATTAGGATTCCGAAAGTACTTCTGAAGAAGTGGAAATAGGAAGGTCCACATGCCTTGGAAAGTTTTTAACTTTTCTGGAATACAAAATATTTCTTACTCTAACCAATTAAGTTATTAAATTCCACCATAATGTTAGCACTACCCTTTAGCAATTTACTTCAGAGCAAGGATTGTTTTCTTTCAGCTTAAATTTTACCTACATTACATGGGTTCACTTTTATATTATGCATCTCCTTAGGAGTTCAACTCAACTGAACAATTATGTCCTGAGTGTCTATTACGAGTACGACATCCTACAAGGCATTAAAAAAGTTTGAGGAAAATCTGAATAGAAGAAAAGGAAATGGAGGTCTCCAGCAAAATCTGCCAAGTGTTTTTATAAAGTCCCATCTGAACTTCTTTGGAGTAGACCAAGGTGCAGAAATCCATATCCTCTCCCCACATTGCATCCCCTAAAGAGCTTCAAGCATAGCTGGAAAGCCTTGAAACACATCTATTGGAGAGACTTGTCACACTGGACAAAGGCAAGAGCAACTTCTCAGATGCTGCAAATGAGGAACCTATTTGCAAGCCACAGAGGTGGCTAAAACATGGACACTAGCTTCTGTAGACACAGCTTCTAACACACCTTCAGTGCCTCACCCTCCTCACTAGGTAAAGTGGTGAGCGTTCATTGATGAGCTTCATTTGATACCCAAGAAAATCAAGACCTTGAGTCACATGCTCAAGGTTACACAGCAAAGCAGAGGCAGCTTGAAAACTGGATTCAGGCCTTCTGAGCCCCTCTAGTAGACCGCACTGCTCCACAGATGCAGGTAGCTTCTGAGATCAAAACATTCTGTTGGGTAATGATAACCAAAGTACAGCTCATGTTTGTTTATGTAAGGGCCCTGCTCATTTCTGTGGGGAGAACTCAGCCAGGCCACAGAGCAGTCACAGGGCTTTCCAGACTGCAGAGCTGCCCCAGTGTGCATGGCAGCTGGTTCCGCAGGAGTTCACCTGCCCACAGAGATGTTCGGGGTCCTCCGCCTTCCCATTGGTCTTGGTGTCTGCATGACGGGCCACTGTGATCAGACGTGGGGGCAGTAAGCATGCTGAGCAACGTCTGGGTGTCCTGGGGCAGGGGCGGGGGGCATTCTGTGGAGGTGACTGCATCTGGAAAGGGCCCAAGTAGGGAGGGAAATGGGAAAGGATGTGCACAGGCAGTCACAGCTGGACTCCGCCTGGGCTTGCCAGGCTCCCTCCTCTGCCTTCTACTGCTACTCCCTACTTGCTTAACCTCTCCAACTTCCTACTATGCAATGTTTAAAAACCTGCTCAACAAAACATCCTTCTTCCTGGAGAATTTTCCTAACAAAGGGCCCCATTCAGGCGGGGCTGCTTGGGAGGAAGGGAACTGTTGTCCAAAACCTGGCTCTTGCCACTTTCCACCCTGGCCACAAACAAGACTTTTTTTCACAGCTCTTAATCTCAGTTTCCTCCCTGGGCAAGCTCCTCACGCAGACACCAAGACCCACTGAGGCAGAAGGGCCTGAACATTCTATTAGGGCAGGTGAGCTCCTGCAGAACCAGCTGCCAGGCACACTCCAATAGATCTGCTGCCCAGAAAGTCCCATGGCCACTGTGGCCTGGCTGTGCTCTCCCTGCAGAAATGAGCATGGCATTTACATGAAAGATGAAGTAGGATACTTGATTTCACTACTCTGAAATTTTCTTTCCAGTCTGATCTGCTCTCTTGAACTTCAGAGTCATGCATCTCACAGCCTACTTGGCACCTCCACATGGATAAAGATGCATCTCAACTCACCATGTCCAAAGCACGTGCCCCCAACTACAAGCAAATCCCTCAACACACTCCCTGCCCCTCCCACAGATCTTCCTCACCTGTCAGTGCCTCTGTCCACAATGCTCCCCTAGACTGCCGCAAGGACTGCACCTCAGCTGCTGGAGTCCTTCCGCAATGTCACCACCTCAGTGAGGCTTCCCACCAATCTATTTACAATTGCAGTTTCTCCCCAGCACTTCCTACCCACTGCCCTGCTTTCTCTTCCTTCACAGCACTGACGATCATCTGACATTTTGTATACTTTACTTGTTTGGTTCACTGTCATTCTCTCCCAAGGTAGGAGTTGGAGATCCCACCCTGCTTCTCAAACACACCCACCAGGCTCGTCGTTAAGCTAGGTCCAGCAAGAAGCCACACTGCAGCTGAGCCTGACCATATCCAGGTTAGAGTCAGTGGGGACGAAAGTGGGCAGAAGGGGTGTGGGTTATGTGTGGGTCAGCTTCACTTAGGGAGCCATTGCTTGACCTAGACTTGCCCCTCACTGTGAGCTGGGAGGTGAATGCAGCAGCCAAGCCTTGATCCTCTGTGGGAAGCAGATGTCTAAGGCTGGCTTAGCACAGGGGGCAGGAAGCTGGGCTCTGAGACATCCTGACGCAGAGCTGCTTTCCCAGGCTGAACTGCTAAATACGAGACAGAGAAACTTCTATCTTACTTAGGCCACGATATTTCTGGGTCTCTTTGTTACAGCAGCTTAGTATTTATCCTAGCCAATTACATCTCCCACAGAAAGGACAGGGAGTTTTGCTTGTATTTTTAACATCTATAAGGGTTCCTGGCACACAGCTGGTGCCTGATAAATATGTGTTAAATGACGGAATGAATGAATGTCTATGAAATAAAAGGAAAAATCCCAAGTATTCCAGAAAGATGACTTAATGGGGACTTGTCCAATCAATAAGATGAGATTATGCCAATGATGTGTTCATTGGTTGTCTAATAACCTTCCACCTTGGGCTATGTCGCTAATGACAATGCAGATGGAAACAGCTGGAGCAAAGAACAGTTTTGTTTGCATGCACTTAGTTTTTGCAATTAATCAGGCCATGCATGAGAGAGCAAGGGTGGCTCAGATATATATCAATAGAGAATCCATGTAGACCATTGACCACATCCTTGGAATGAATATCAAACAAAAACTTAGCCTTCTCTAGTCCATTTTAAGTAGCGCTTCATGGAGTCATCACAGAAGGATCTTATTATATGCCAAATGTAATCTTAGTTAACAATCTATATAAAATGATGACTGATTTATAATGAATGCCCAAAGAAGAAAACGGGAAGACCTTCAGGAGGTGAACCACTTCTTCCAACACAAGTGCTTTGGTACCAATTTCAGGAACTATCAGGTGAGCTGGATAATGGGGACAGTTAAGCATTCACATCATTTTACCAAATTAGTCGTATTAATCTGACATTTTTACTTACTCCCAACAGTAGACAGAGGTATGGAGAAAACAGTGAGTGCCTAGAGAGCAGTTAACCACAGGAACCTATATTTGTCTTTTGTACAAAAGTTAGCTGAATTATCATCAACACCATCACAGCTACCATATAACCACAAGTGCAGGGGCCAGCCCCTACATACCCACTTTCTGGGCGCTGTAATAACCCTGTGCAGAAAGGATCTCATAGATGGAGAAGTTGATATGTATCTGTACATACTTTTTAATGCCAAACAACCATTAGGTGGCTGGATCTAGATCTGAGCTCAGGTTAGTTTGACTCTTAAAACTTATGCTTTTTTTTTTTTTTTTTTTTTTTAGCATGTTATGTTCTTTCCAACCATTTAGAGTAAAAAAAAAAAAAAAAAAAAAGACTATAGTGTGAAGGATTACTGGTTCAGATTCTGTATAGACCAGTATATTCTAGTTAATCAGCTAACACATACAATATAGCTTGACCTAATTTAAAACACAAGCATGACTTTACAAATCCAACCTGTTTTATCTAAACCCTAGATTAAGGAGGCTATTGAATTTTATTGCAGTAAAAAACAACATATGGCTTATAAACTTCATTTTATGTGTTATTTTAAAGCTCTATGTGGTATCATAAAATGAGCATTAAATAAATGTAGTAGGGAAGATCAAGTTGTAAATGAACTAATTATGCTTTCTGTCTGGGCTTCCACCTTTGAGATTTCATTAACGCCTTATGTTTTCATTAGAGAGTTTAGCACATGAAAATAACACATCTGGTTTCCTTCTGTATAACATATCACTCTGGCAACTCCAACATAATTGGAAATGCAAGCATTTTTACTTATTGGTGACTATGTTTTGACACATGCAATTCAATTAGCAATTAGCAATAAGTACTGGAATATAAGCACAAAAATGAGACATTTAAAAATATTTTTCACTGAAATATTTTATCTTTGACCTTCATATTTGCTTCAAGTAAACTACAATTCAATCCATTGCTTTCTGTGCTCTTCTACCAGCACCAGTACCATCAAAAAGCCCAAATCAAATAAAAGTTTAACAAAATTAAAACCTGATGATGAATCTATTTCTAGTCATGCTCTTTAAAAAATTATTAACAAAGAGCTCTCTTCAATCTTAATTGAGACAAGCATACAGTTCTGAAGTGTAAGCTTTATCTTGTTAATCTAAACTGGTTAAGCAAAAATATCTATGTAACACTCAACATACAAATTCCAGATCTACCACTATAGAGTCTGCCAATAAACAAAATAGTTGAATTTGTAAAATACACTTTATACCAAGCACTCTGACACTGGATACATGTGAAAGAAGAAGGCTTCGTCATTTATGTTTTTTATATTTTAGACTTTAGTCTTAGGACTATGTTTCTTTTTCAATAACCAAAAGAAATATTATTTCCAAAAAAAGCTTGTTCTGTTTGCTCTTCCATTTATATCCATAACTACATTTTTTAAATTGAACTGATTTAAAATTATAGTAAAATAGACATAAGATTTACTATTAAGAAGCTGAATACATTCACAATGTTATGCCACCATCACCACTAATTCTAGAACATTCTTATCTCCCCAAAAGGAAACCCCATACCCATTAAGTGGTCACTCCCTTTCCCCCATCCCTGCAGCCCCTGGCAAGCCCTAATCTGTTTTCTGTCTCTATGGATTTGCCTATTCTGCATATGTCATATAAATGGATATACAGTATTATACAGCCTTTTATGTCTGGCTTCTTTCACTTAGTATAATGTTTTAAAGGTTCATCCACAGTGTAGCTTGTATCGGAGCTTCACTTTTTAATGACTGAATAATATTCCATTGTATAGATACACCACATTTTGTTTAGCCATTTCTCAGATGATGGACATCTTGGTTTTCCCAGCTTTGGCTCTTGTGAATAGTGCTGCTATGCACACTCATGTACAAGATTATTCCACATATTTAAAAACATTCCACAAAGATACATTGTACTTGTTTCACCTGCTATCAAAAGATACATTATTGCCATTACACTAAAGATTATGTTAATTAATAAGTCAGTCAAAAATACTTCCTAAGCAAGAGCTAGGGGAAGAATGGAGGGATTTTATGCCAGAAGAGCTGTTTGGGGTCAATTCCTGTAGGGATTTACAGCTGCAGTGAGAAGTCTGGATTCTATTCTAAGAATGACAGGAGGTACTCAACATCAGAATACACATTCTCTTCACGTGTACATGGAACCTTCTCCAGGACAGACCACCTGTTAGGTCACAAAACAAGTGTCCATAAGTTTGAAAAGACAGAAATCATACAAAGTAGCTTTTCCAATCATAAAGGAACAAAATTAGAAATCAATGAGAGAATGAAAACTGGAAAGTTCACAAATATATGAAAATGCAACAATATACTCTTAAATAATCAATGGGTCAAAGAAGAAATCACAAAGAAAATTAGGAAATACTTTGAGGTGAATAAAAGTAAAAACACAACATACCAAAACTTATGGAATACAACAAAAGCAGTGCTCAGAGGGAAATCTGTATCAATAAATTCCTACATTAAAAAAGAAGCAAGATCTAAAGTCAGTAACTTTACCTTCCACTTTAAAACATTATGGGAAAAAAAACCAAACTAAGCTAAAAGGTAGCAAATGAAAGGAAGTAAGGACTAGGGCAGAGATCAATGAAATAGAGAATAGGAAAATAATGGAAGAAAAAAACAAAAGTTGACTTTTTGAAAAGATCAGTAAAATCTACAAAACTTTAGACTAAGTAAATAAGAGAGAATAGTCAAATTACTAAATTCAGAAATGAAAGAGAATATTACTAAAGTCTTTACAGAAATAAAAAGGATTATAAGACAATACTATAAACAGTCATATGCCAACAAATTGGACAAATTAGATAAAATGGAAAAATTCCTAGAAACACATAAACTAACAAAATGGAAGAAACAGAGAATCTGAATTGATCTATATAACCGAAGAGATTGAATCAGTAATCAAATACTTCCTGAAAAAGAAAAGCCCACAACCTGACAGCTTTACTGGTGAATTCAACCAAATACTTAAAGAAGAATTAACTCCAACACTTCTCAAACTCATCCCAAAAAATGAAGAGGGGAGAACACTTTTAACTCATTCTACAAGGCTAGCATTACTGCATGCCAAAGCCAGATAAAGCTGCCATGAGGGAAAAAAACTACAGATCAAGATCCCTTATAAAGATAGAGACAAACATTATCAACAAAATAGTAGCAAATTGAATTCAGCAGCATATTAAAAGATTATACACCACGACCAAGTGGGATTTATCCCAGGAAGGCAATGGTAGTTAATCATACAAAAGTCAATCAATACAATAAGCAATAATAAAATAAAGGGGAAAAATACACAACAAAATTATTTATGCTGATAAAGCCTTTGACAAAATCCAACACTATTTCATGATAAAAACACTCAATGAACTAGGAAACTTCCTTAACATGACAAAGGTCATATATGAAAAATTCACAGCTAACATCATATTCAGTGATGAAAGACTGAACTGAACACTTACTTTCCCCCAAGATCAAGAAGACAAGGATACCCACTTTTACCAATTCTACTTAATATAGTACTGGAAATCCTAGCCAGAGAAATTACTCAAGAAAAAGAAATAAAAGCATCCAAACTGGGAAGGAAGAAGCAAAACTACCTCTATGTGTAGATGACATTACCTTACATGTTGAAAACGATAAGGATTCCACAAAAAACTGTTAGAACTAATAAATTAATTCAGCAACATTGCAGGATACAAAATCAACATGCAAAAATCAGCTGTATTTTTATACACTAGGCATGAACAATTTAAGAAGCAGATTAAGAAAATAATTCCGTTTACAAAATATCAAAAAGACTAAAATATTTAAGAATAAGTTTAACAAAGGAGGTACAAGACTTGTACACTCAAAACTACCAAACATTATTGAAAGAAATTAAAGAAGACCAAAATATATGGAAGCACCTTCCATGTCCATAGACTGAAAAAATTACTATTGTTAAGATGACAATACTACCCAAAGTGATTTGCAGATTCAATGCAATTCCTGTCAAAATTCAATGGCATTTTTTACAGAAGTGAAAAAGCCTATCCTAAAATTCATATGGAATTTCAAGGAACCCTGAAATAGTCAAAATAGTCTTACAAAAGAACAAAGATGGAGCACTCACATTTCCCAGTTTCAAACCTTACTACAAAAGCTACAGTTAAAAAAAAGGGGGGGTGGTGTGGTACTAGAATAATGACAGACATATAGACCAATGGAACAGAATTGACAGTCCTGAAGTAAACCAATACATTTATGGTCAACTGATTTTTTTAAATGAGTGCCAATACCATTCAATGGGGAAAGGGAAGCCTCTTCAAAAAATGGTGTTAGGAAAACTAGATGTCCACCTGCAAAAGAATGAAGTTGAAGACTACTTCACACCATATTTAAAAGTTGACTAAAAATAGATCAGAGACCTAAATTCAAGAGCTGAAACTAAAATTCTTAGAAGAGGCTGGGCACAGTGGTTCATGCCTATAATCCTAACACTTTGGGAGGCTGAAGTGGAAGGATTGCTTGAGTTAGAGACTAGCCTGGGCAACATTGCAAGAACCCATCTCTATTAAAAAAAAATGTAGCTGGGCATGGTGGTGTCACCTGTAGTCCCAGCTACTCGGGAGGCTGAGACAGGAGGATCATTTGAGCTCAGGAGTTCAAGGTTATAGTAAGCCAAGATCACACTACTGCACTGTAGCCTGGGTGACAGAGCAAGACTCCATCTCTAAATAAATCAATAAATAAATAATCTTAGAAAAAGACATAGAGGAAAATCTTCATGACCTTGGGCTTGGAATGGTTTCTTAAATATACAACAAAAGCACAGAAAACAGAAGAAAACAATAGATACATCGGACTTTATAAAAATTAAAAACTTTTGTGCTTTAAAGGACACCATCAAGGACATGAAATGACAGCCCACAGAGCAGAAGAAAATATTAGCATTTCATACATCTGGTAAGGATTTAATATCCAGAATATATAAAGAGCTCCTACAACTCAACAACAAAAAACAGACAAACAAATTCAAAAGTAGACAAAGGATTTGAATAGACATTTACCAAAAGACATACTAATGGCCAATTAGCACACGAAAAGATGCTCACCATTAATAATTAGGGAAATATAAATCCAGACATGATGAGATACCACTTCATACCCATTAGGATGGCTACAACTTAAAAAATAGAAAATAACAAGTTTTGGTGGAGATGTGGAGAAATTGGGACCTGTGTGAATGTATGACTATTATGGTAAGAACGTAAAATGGTGCAGCTGCTGTGGGATACAGTTTGGTAGTCCTCTAAACATTAAACACAAAGTTACCATACAGTCCAGCAATTTCACTCCTGGGTATATACCCCAAGGAATGGAAAATAAGGAATCAGATACTTGTATATCTTCATAGCAGCATTATTCACAATAGCCAAAAGGTGGAAACAACCCAGTCGTCCATCAGCAGATGACTAGTTAACAAAATGTGGCATAGACATACAGTGGAATATTATTCAGCCTTTTAAAGGAAAGAAAACTTGATACATACCACAAAATGAATGAATCTTGAAAACATTATGCTAAATGAAATAAGCCAGACACAAAAGGACAAATACTAATATAATTCCACTTACAAGAGATACCTAGAATTGGCAAATTCATAGAGACAGAAAGTAGATTATAAATTACTAGGGGTGGGGGAAGGGAGGCACAGGAGCTTTTGTTTAATGGGTGTAGAGCTTCTATCTGGGGTGATGAAAGAGATATGGAAGTAGCTTAGTGGTGATGGCTGCACAATATCATGAATGTTATTAATATCACTGACTTGTATACTTAAAAAAGGCTGAAGTGGCAAACTTTATGTTATATATGTTTTCCCACAATTAAAAAGAAAGCTAATAGGAAGTGATTGGGGGGGCTTCAGGGTGGAGGGTGCCAGGTTCTGCCTTCCGCTTCAGAAAGATCACTGCCCGCTGACCGGGGAGGGAAAGAGAGAAAGGGCAGGCCGGGGGGTGCCGCACTGGCCCAGATATTGATGGTGATGGCTTGGGTTAAGATTACAGTCATGGAGGCTTGTCAGCTGGCTTGATTTGAGAACTGTTTGTTCTAAGAGTAATTGGATACACTGATGGATTGTGAGTCAGGTGCAAGGAAAGGCAGAATCAAGAACACACCTAGGTTTTAGAGTAAACCACTGGATGAATTAGGTGCTGTCTATTAATTTATGGAGATGGTGAAGTTTTGAGGGACCATGGGTTTGGTGGAGGGAGGAAGGAGGTATAAAACATTTTAATTGTTAAGTTTGAGATGCCTATTTATCCACGTGGATCCGTTAAGCCAGCAGCTGGACATACACAACTGAGGCAGAAGAGATTGTAGCTGGAGATATAAATTCAAAAAGCATCAGTGCATAGGTAACGTCCAAAGCCAGGGACTGATCAGATCACCTAGGTGTGTACAGTGTAAAGAAGAGGACCCAGGGCAGAATGCAGGTAGGCTTTGAAATTAGGAAGTCTGATAGAGGAGGAGTCAGCCTCTGAGATAAGGGGAAAACAAGCAGGTATAAAAAAACATATTTCAAGAAACACATAAATAAACCAAGGCTTTGCGGGATGAATTCTTCTGATTCTTAAATAAGTAGGCTACAACAGGCCAGGCACAGTGGCTCACACCTGTAATCCCAGCACTTTGGGAGGCCAAGGCGGTAAGATCACTTGATGCCAGGAGTTTGAGACCAGCCTGGTCAACATGGCGAAAACCCGTCTCTACTAAAAATACAAAAAGTAGCCGGGCATGGTGGTGCACACCTGTAATCCCAGCTACTTGGGAGGCTGAGGTGCAAGAATCCCTTGAACCCAGAAGTGGAGGTTGTGGTGAGCTGAGATCACACGACTGCATTCCAGCCTGGGCAACATAGTGAGACTGTCTCAAAAAAATAAAGGTAGGCTACATCAGGATATTTTATTTTACAGATTAGTTACAGAAAGCAAGTTTGTACATTCTGAAGAAAAAGACTGGTGATTTTTAAAAAATTAATGACCCTGCCCATTGTAGCCCCTTCCAAATTTATTATTGAATGATTCTGAACTAAAATGAAACCAAAATGTGATTTGAAAATGTGATGTCACAAAGTAAGAGGAGCAGAGCTCAGTGGAGTTAAGAGTACTGGTGATCTATTACTGAAGTGGGTTGTTTAGAGCAAGAAAGTATCATTTTTCAAATAGAGGATCACAGAAGGATTACACTAGGATTTGCATCCTTTTCCTAAGGAATCATTCTGATGTTACTTTTGAAACTTCGCCCAAATATATATATATATACACACAGGGGCTTGATATCTCTGCTCACCAGCATCTGAGACTGGCAGACATACAGGCCAGCCTATTTCCTACCGTCTGTGTTTAGGACAGCTCACCGCAGTTGTACTGCACAAAGTAGAAGCAAAAGTTCATCATGTCAGACCACAGTCCTCAAATATGCTCTGAGGGCTGCGTTTCCAAGCTAGTGCCTGATATCGTTTTCACTGCTTTTCTTTTTTGAACTGTGTATTAGTCTGTTCTCATGATGCTAATAAAGACAAATCTGAGACTGGGTAATTTACAAAGGAAAGAGGTTTAATTGACTCACAGTTCAGCAGGGCTGGGGAGGCCTCAGGAAACTTACAATCATGCTGGAAGGGGAAGCAAACACATCCTTCTTCACATGGCGGCAGCAAGGAGAGGTGCCAAGCAAAGGGGGGAAAGCCCCTTATAAAACCATCAGATCTTGTGAGAACTAACTTACTATATCATGAGAACGGGATGAAGGAAACTGCCCCCATGATTCAGTTATCTCCCACTGGGTCCCTCCCACAACATGTGGAGATTATGGGAACTACGAGATGAGATTTGGGTGAGGACATAGCCAAACCATATGAAACTGAGGGCACATCAAAACCAGTACAGCTATGCAAGCTTTTCCCCTATGGTGAGCAATGTTGCAACATTGGTTTATAAATACAGAACTTCTGAGCTTGACTCTTCTTTTAAGTTCCCTTGGTAGGCACTGCCCTAATTATCAGCCCTTTTGTGATTTAAATGTAAGTGAATCAAGGCAGAACCCTATGGTGGCCTCAAGCTGTCTCTGTTTTAATATTAATACTGATGATTCATAACTATGCTTTCATTGTGAGCAGAACTCACTCCTAAGAGGTACACTTTTATATCTTTTTTTCCCACTTAGATTGTTGTATGAACTTGTGTCTAAGGGCTATGAGCCAGGGTAAGTAAAGTGAAATGTAAAAGATGAAAGACTATCCCTGGAACAAAAGAAATGCACATTGCAATGGCACTGATGGGATCTCAACTGGGGCATTGTGGGGTGGAGGTTATTTAGTTATTTAGAACAACACAGAGCAGGACTCTGGAGATATCCCATGGAGGATCTTCGCACCTTCTCGCCATCCGGCAATTCTGATTTAACTATTTCTGTTTTCCTCTGGCTGCCTGCCCATCATTGTTTTATTGCCATCCTCAGCCTGTTACTGTGTGTTGGAAGAAAACCAGAAGAAAATGTGAAATGTCCTCTGTGAAACTGGGGGAGATGTTTATATCCGTTCTGAAATTTAAAGCACTTGGTTCCTCTCACATTTAATTCTCAAGTTCTTACAAGAGTCACTTAAAAAACAGTTTCCTTTAGATTATTAATAAACATTACTCTCTTTTACAAGGCATTCAAAGAGACAGAATTACAGCTAATGTTCCAAAATGGTTTCTATTATCCCATTTTTATCTTCTGAATTATAGGCAGAAAGGTCCAAATCTTGCAATTACATGAATCAAAGCTCTCTACTGCATTCACAAGAGCTTTCATCAAAACATGTTGCTGAATTTATAAAACAGAAGAGGTATGCTATTAGAAAAGCAGAAACTTCTTTAAATAACAACTTCTTACTCTATCAGTTCTTAGATGCTACTTTATCTCTGCTCTTGGAAAATCTTAGGTAATAGCCAGTGGCTTTAAATCTCCTCTCAGAGAGAGAAATAAGTTTATTGTTATTAGTTTGGTACTGACAGAACATTACTCTGGATCGAAGGGTTAAAGGTAAGAACGCAATATCAACAATTAATTACAAAGAATAGTTGCTTTTAATTACACCTACTGATGAAGCAGAAAAAGGCAGCACTGACTGTCTAGATAAATTAATATACGTATGAAAAGACTGCATTTGCAGAATCGATGTGGTAAATTTTCATGTGCCTGTGAACACACATTAAAGTTGGCTTACATGAACCTGATTTTAGTCAATGAGGAGTAAACTGGAAACACATCTACTCCAAAGACCTGACCTGATTTTATTGCTGGAGCTCTGGAGTAGGTATATACTAAAACTGAAAGCATTGTTTATTGATAAATGTAAGCACTCTGCTTCTGAGGGATCATAGTTTAAATTTCTAAAAGGATTTAGATAGAGCCTCCCTCCACTGGTCCATGTGTGATAACAAGCACATCAACAGGCCATCATCCCTCTTTCCTTCCCTCTTTCTTGGCTTTAAAACTTACTGGAAGATGCTGCATATTAATGGTTAACAGCTTTGCAGCCAACAGTCTGGGTTCTCCTCCTGGCTTTGCATGCACTAGCTGTGTAACCACCAGCAAATGACAGCCTCTTGCCTCAGTTTCCTTATTGGTAAAACCAAGAAATAACAATATGTATTTCACAGGATTTTTGTGAGACCTGAATGAAGTACTGCACATAAAGGGTTAGCGTGGAACCTGGCACACAGTAAACTGCCATAAGTGTTAGTCATGCTTTCTCCAATTATTGTTCAGAATCCAGACATTATAATGATTATGTCAGAATCTGGAGTGTCTCTTGACTGAAACCGCCTATACAGTGGAGAGGCCTTTGGAAACGTGACGGAATGAGTGACTTGCAACTAATTGTTGATGCATGTGTCCCCATAGCCCTCAAGTACTAAAGTTAAGAAGGAGAATTAATGATTAAAAACAAACCAAAATAATCTTTTCCAGAAGTTCAGATTTCTTTCTTATAAAAGACATAGACACTGTTATAGATAATCCTCAACTTATGATGGTTCAATCTAAGATTTGCTGACTTTACAATGGCGTGAAACCATTGCAATTTTGACATAGTGTATGATACAGTATTCAGTAAGTTACATGGGATATTCAACATTCTAATAAAATAGGCTTTATGTTAGATGACTTTGCCCAAGTGTAGGCTAATATAAGTGTACTGAGCACATTTAAAGCAGGCTAGGGTAAGCGATGCTGTTTGTTAGATTAGGCGTACTAACACTTTTGACATATATCTTCAATCTGCAACAAATTTATCTGGATGTTGCCCTATTGTAGGTCAAGCAGCATCTGTACATTTATCTAAGTATCTCAAAGGACTTCATCAAAATGATTTCTTCATTGGTAACATCAAGCAATGTTATATAACAATAAGCAACAATTAGCAAAATAATTAAGGAATATTGTGAATGAAATGGTAAAGCCATTACTAAGAAAATCCTGGCCAGGCACGGTGGCTCACGCCTGTAATCCCAGCACTTTGGGAGGCTGAGGCAGGTGGATCACTTGAGGTCAGGAGTTCAAGACCAGCCTGGCCAACATGGTGAAATCCCATCTCCGCTAAAAATACAAAAAATTAGCCAGATGTGGTGGCATATGCCTGTAACCCCAGCTACTTGGGAGGCTGCAGGAGAAACACTTGAACGTGGGAGGCAGAGGTTATAGTGAGCTGAGATTGTGCCACTGCAGTTTAGCCTGGGTGACAGAGCAAGACTCCATCCCTCACCAAAAAAGAAAATCCTTGATCTGCAAATAAGAAAACATTTAATTATTTGTCAATTACATAGACAGCTCTCAGAATACATAGCTGAGGTGCCTCCTGCCAAATTTTTAAAGAAGTCATCATGGTAAATGTTCTCACTCAAGGGATATGGAAAACAAGCCCAAGATCTGAATTTAGAAGATTTTTCTTAAATAGATCATTAGAGAATTCTGCACAGGCAAGACACAGCTGATAGTACCATAATTGAGTGTAATTTTTGTACAAAGATTCAAAAATCTTTCATGGAATCTTTTATTAAACGAACTAAAACAGTATGACTATTTCCTCCCTAGCTGCTTGGGCACTACGACCTGGGTTTGGACTTATTAACCATGTAGCAACAAGAAAATAACAGCATTAATGAACATTAAGAAACAATAACATCACATATTTAAAATACATGCAAGAAAAGAGGCACTGAAGGAAAGGAGTTTGATAGAAATGAACCTGAAGAAAAAAAGGCAGAGAAGAAACCTGTATTTCCTTGGACCTATGTTTTTAGTTCTACTATCAACATTCAAATGGTCTCCCTCACTTACTGCAAAATTATGGCAGGAAACAAAGGCTGGTGAGAGGAGCATATGAGAATTCTCTTTGTAGACAAGCCAATTTGATTTAATTCATTCAAAGAATGGATTGGTGAACATTCTCAGATGAACATCTTGGCATACAGTTTGCCAACATGGAAAGACAAAGGCCTACTTGAGAGGAGAAGGTGTGCAGGAGAAAGGTGGTTAGGAGAAAGAAGACGGGAGGCCACCTGGCCCAGCCTAGCATTTATAACCAGAAAGAGCAGCTCATCTGGTGCCTCCCCTCTCTGACTGTTTTAGTTTTAACTAGAGAGAACCACACTCTCACTCAAAGCTGGGTACAGGTTAGTCATCGAGGAAGGCTGTAGTAGCACTTACTTGGCGATAAGCTGGCAGCATGAAGTTACACAGAAATCTGGCAGTTTCTAATGATTCTCATCAACACAGCTAGCTACATTTTCTGACCTGTATTAGCATCCTGTTTGGTTACTAAAATTGATTTTTAAAAGTAAGCTAGAAGTCACCAAGTCTCTACTTGGTGTGTGGAGATACGGGACTGGTTCCCTGTCGAATCAAGACCATTATTTTCCATTGCGAACCTCCTCCAACTACACAAACAGCCTCCCACAGCATGTTTTATAACAGAGCCTCTCAGGTAGCCAAACCCCTTTCTCTTGCAGGTCAGCACCACCCAGAACGTCTCCGCTGCCTGGCTTGACAGCACTACAGTGTCTTAGTCAGGTGTCAATGCTGTCTAAAACTATAAAGTGAGTTGATGGTCCTTACTAACCTGAGTACAGAGTATTGCGCTCATGTCAGCAGAGTTTTGTTTTGTTCCTAAGCCAAAACCCCACAGTATCATCATTCATTCTGACTGCAACAATAAGTCCTTTGTATTTCAATTGCTAGAAAAATAAAGAACAATTTTAGCATATCCTTTCAAATCCAGCCATGTGCAGCGCTTGGAAATGGTCTTTCCAAATCCTCTGGGCTCTCTCCTCCTCTCCCTCCCTCCCACCACTGCCTCAGTTCTCACTGTCGCCCGCTCCCTCCAGGGCCGGGTCAGGGCACGCAGACCACTGCCCTGCTGGCCAAATCTTCCAGGGGGCCTGACTGGTTTGTGCCAGGTGGTACTGGCTGGGGAGCTACCTAGGGAAGAAGCACCAAGCATGAACTCCAAGAGCTGTAATCTTTCATAGTCTGCTCCTAACACTGGTGGGAGACTCCAGGGAAAGGGGAGGACAAATCCCCCTGGCATGTGGCTATAACTGTGCACAGCAGGGCTCCTGAGGGGAGGCAAAGGAAAGGAGCTATGTCATGAATTGGTGTCCCCAAGGACACCTGCTACGGGGGCTATATGAATTTAAATTTTTTTTAAATTATCTTTTGAGATGGAGCCTTGCTCTGTTGCCCAGGCTGGAGTGCAGTGGCATGATCTTGGCTCACTGCAACCTCTGCCTCCCGGGTTCAAATGATTCTCCTGTCTTAACCTCCTGAGTAGCTGGGATTACAGGCCCACACCACTATGTCTAGCTAATTTTTGTATTTTTAGTAGAGATAGGGTTTCATCATGTTGGCAAGGCTGGTCTCGAACTCCTGACCTCAAGTGATCCACCCTTCTCAGCCTCCCAAAGTGCTGGAATTACAGATGTAAGCCACCACACCTGGCCTTAAAATTTCCTTAAGTTTGACTTTGGTTTTTATTTATTAGTATAAAATGTGAATGTTTCTATCAAGAAAATAAAAATTAATTGTTGAGTTGAACTAAACAGCTCTTATTTCTTCTCAATAGGACAAAAATAAATTACTGATGGACAAGATAAAGACATGAAGAGTTTTCCACTCTATGATGTGCATGTGTATTAATTACACAACAGACCAGCAGAAATGTTGGCATGATGCAGCAATGAAACTCAAGGAAAACAGGACTGAAGGGCACCCGGCAGCCCAGGGACAGGAACCCGCAGCGTGATGGGAGGCTGAGGGAGCAAAGGAGTCAAGAGGATGGTTCAGAGGCACGGGGTGAGGGAGAGAAACTAAGGCAGTAAGAGGGATCCTGAAGCAAACCAGGGACCCAGGAACATCAGCAGAAGGGAGGAAGTCAGGGAGGAAGCTGCTACAGGGGCTGACGGCCACCGCAGCTGAGATCTGGTCAGTTCCTCAACCAAACTTGATTTCTGCTCTTTCCATCTTGCTTCCAGATCACTTGGTCTAGAGACCTGCTGCCCACCAGGATGGACTAGGCCAAATATGATCACGCCTGTCTTTGAGTAAAAGAAAAGAAGACCGAAAAAGCAATGACCATGGGGAGGGGCTGGCAAGGCAGGCAGGTGCACCCCAGGCCTCAGCGCCTGGCCCTAACTGCAGGGCTGACTGAAGGCACCCCATTATGCCGGAGCAACTCACTGCTTCAGGATCCTCTTTGGCACTTGCCGGATTGTAAGTACAGCTGTTTTGTATGTTAATTACCATAAATACCATCATTAACATTGAAAACAATTAAAAGCTGCACAATGGCAGCAGATTACCTACAGTGTTTCTCACAAACATGAGAGAGTAAAGGAACCTTCCCTACCCGCAAGGATGTTTTTCTTTTTAATAGTCTACGGACCCATAACGTCTTGCTGTGTTTATCTGACTGATGAAACAATGAAGCTTTTAAACTTCTGCACCGAGAAACAGAAAAGACACCATAAAAGAAACACATTATTATGGCCTTGAACATCTGTGCTGAGGGAGAGCAAGCTCAAAAATAGTGTGCTTCAACTGGCGCTGCCATCTGGGAATCCAACAGAGACCAGAAACTTGGGCCTCCGCCCTCCCAGTTCCACCACGGACTCTCCTTAACCCTTTGAGTGCCAGGCTCCATTTTGGGCTCCGGCCTCCAGCCCCTGTGAAAGAAAGCAGGGAGTGTCCATTTTCCCTTGCATTTGGAGAAGGCCACGTGGAGACAGGCAGGTGTTAGCCTGCGGACCCTGATCCTGTGAGGCTGCCTTCCCTGTCATCAGTGGATAACTCTTATTTACCTCACTGCACTATTTGAAGAAGTAATCTGTGAAATTATTCTCAGATGATGACACTCAAATTATTTCCACCCATTAACTTCCAACTAAGAAAAAAATGTATATCTGTGCACAGTTTGGTATGGTTGTTTGAGTCTAGACTGAAAAGAAAATCTGGATTTAGACAGTGCTTCCTGCTATCCTCTATGCCAGCAGAATTGATACCGGTATTAATTCACTTATAATTTTACATTTGACAGGACTTACGGCAAAGCACAAAACTCCAGGTTAGGTTAGAAAGAGAATGTTTTTCTTGAGACTTGGAACAGGAAGTCGATTCAGGACTCAGCCCCGGCATTACTGCCTCTTTTACAATCACTAGCATCTTCATTTTAAGAAACAGGGATGAAGAAAAGTTAAATAATTTGTCTGAAAATTAAGTGTTAGGACTCAAAATCAAGCCTTCTTCACAGCGAAGCCTACATGAGCTTCCATGAAAAACATCAAGTAGATGGGTTTGCATTAGTCTTGGGATATCAACTGAGATAGTTATGAGAAAATTAGTAATCAGAGAGAGCTTCCCCTGATTTTATTTTTCAGGCCTTCATCTGTGTCCCCCGGGCCTAAAATCATAGAAAACACTCATGATAATGTAAAAGCTTACGGCAGAATATAAAAGCTTAAGTTAACCTCTTTCAAATACGTGTTTCACTTGGGTTTAGGAAAAAAAACAACAACTCTAATTTTCCTTGACTATCTGAAGAGGCAAACAAAACATAGCAAATATTATAATATTATTAACACATAACTAGTAAATACATGATTTATTTAAATTAAATAAATTGAATTAAATAAACTAATAACCAACTCTTGAGAAAGGGGTGAAAAGCCACACTATTTCTCAAAGCACATACATCTACTGTGCCAGCTAAAAATGCTCTGCTGAAACTAGGAGAGTGAGCTCCTGCTTCCTCCCTTGCTCCCCTCAACTCTACTTCCAACAGGAGTCCGAGGGAAGTTAAATGTATCTTCATAACGGCCCAGGAGCCCTACGTGATGCACCTATCGACTCAGTCACCAGCTGTGGCCTCTGCTGTGGGTGTCTCTGCCTCCTCCCCTCTTTCAGGGCCCTGTCCTAGGGTCACCTTAATAAACCTTCCCTCAGCACCTTATTGTAAATAATAGCTCTGCCCTGCAGCATCGGAATCTTAACTCCCTGAGAACTGGGAAGTTGGCCTGTGGTTTTCACCAGGGCAGCCCCAGTGTCCTCATCAGTGATACGGATATCTTAGCATTCAAGATAGCTGTCCCTAAAGGAGAAGACGAGGAGATCATTCACAACCTGGGAGAGATGTGTTTCTGCAGCACTTCATTAATATCTAGACTAGCATTCTGCACCCAAAACAGACTCCCTGACATGTTTCCTGTGTTAAACATTCCAATACCAAGAATTTTAAAAAGCAATTTTTCTCATTTTGAAGAAAACCATGCCTCCTACGACCCCTGGCAATATTTTCAGGAATTATTTTCAATGGCATTTTAGAAAGTTCAATAGTGAAGATTTTTCAGAAAATCATTTAAAGAGAAAATTTCATAACATAACCCGTTGGTCTCTTGACAGAGAATGAAGCAAGGACAGGAAACATTAACACACACATGCACACATTTTACAACAGCAATAGAGCAAAAAGATGCCTAAACCATATCCCCTAGACGTCTCACTAACGGACCCCTCTGAGGCCACTCCAAGAAGACCAATGCTTAAAAATAGTCACTTTCCTTATGGGAGGGTGACAGAAATGTTCTGTATCATGATGGGGGAAATGATTACATAAGTTATACATCCATCAAAACTCACTGAATTTTACATTTAAAATGATGCATCTTCTTGTATATACATTATATTTCAGTAAAGTTCAAAAATTATTTTGAAAGTTAAAACATCCTTTTAAAATTATAATTATCAAGAAAAATGTTTCTTAAATATTTAATTAAGAAAACTGCTGCATGACTTACAATAGATAAAACTCTCATGAATACTTAAAATATTTTCTCTGAGATAATCGAAATAATAAATGAAGCAATTAAAATAATGTTTTAGACCAGGCTCTGTGGCTCACACCTGTAATCCCAGCACTTTGGGAGGCCAAGGCGGGCAGATCACTTGAGGTCAGGATTTCAAGACCAGCGTGGCCAACATAGTGAAACCCCGTCTCTACTAAAAATACACAAATTAGCCGGGCATGGTGGCACACACCTGTAATCCCAGCTACCTGGGAGGCTGAGGCAGAAGAATCGCTTGAACCTGGGAGGCAGAGGTTGTAGTGAGCCGAGATCACACCACTGCACTCCAGCCTGGATGACAGAGTGAGACTCTGTCTCAAAAAATAATGTTTTAAAAACCCAAAGTGGGATATTATCTTCTAAATTAATTAATTCCTGTTTGAAATTTGACTTCAAGCTTCCATTTTTAACTTTCTAATGCCCTTTTCAACCTTTGAGATTCTTTACCCATTTTTTCAAGTAGGATGACTCAATTACATTTTATTTATAGGTTCAGAATTTTTCTTAATTTATAAATTATTTTAAAACTCTCTTAATCCTGTCCCTCGGAGTTCACCTGGAGAGGCAGTATTGAGCTTGGCCTGTCTGTGCTGCCAGGAAGGCCTGGGGTAGGACTCACCTACCCTCCACGTGACCATGTCCTGTGGAATGAGGGCTTTAAGGAAACACACACCATGGACCATTATGTGAAGGGCAGGCTGAGAAATGCAGATGAAATGCCTGGTACCTTTCGGAATGCAAGAAATACTTGCTATTTCACACTATTCTGGAACTTCTTTTTTCCCTTCTCAAAAACGACGGTACTCAAGTAAACCCCCTAGGAAGTGGCTAGACACCCAAGTTTAAAGACAAAACGATCCCAATCCATTGGTTAAGGCCACATCCCCTGGTCTTCCTTAGACCGTGAACCCAAGAGCTGTTTTCCCACACGGTGCAGGCCCTCACATGCCACCTCAAGAGGGTGAATGCTCCCTATACAAAAAGGAGTGATAGAGCCTGAACTTTGAGTATATCCACTACAGGTTTGGCATCAAATGTGAGTCTGCTTTCCTCCATAAGCTCACATTTATTTTAAGCATTTGATGGGGACACACACAAATCACTGATCCATGTGTGTGGCCACCAATGCACTGTTTCACTACGTGTGGACTTAAGTCCACCTTATTTCACTAAGTCCACAGCTTAATGAAACAGTCCTGCTGGATTTTAGATTTTTAAAAATAAACTGTACTTAATCTGAAAAACATTTAATTTAGTGATGCCCTTTAACAAATCACAACCTGTTGATTGTGAGTAAATATTTAAACCAGCTCAATGGTTTTAAATGTCTAACAGAGACTGAAGATAAAAGCCAGAGAAATTCGATTTATTGGTGACTGGGTAATAATCAACTGCTACTGTTCTCAGAAGGCCCCACCAAAGGCTCAGGCACACAGCGACTTTGAAGAGCAGCTCCCAATTCAAGGGGTGCTGTCAACTCACTCAGTCAAGGCATTCAACTTTTCCATTTTTACTGATAACAGACAAAGTCAATGACTTACAAATATTTAGCAACTTTATGGGAGAAAACTGCTAAATTTGAAAGATTTCAATTTGAGAAAAAGGGCATTTCTTGGGAGACAAGAATCAATGTAGGGCACATGTGTTTAAGAAACTTTTTAAAGAATTTTCTGATTTCTGTAACTTTAATGAAATTAGGGCTATGGAAACATATCTGGAGAATAAGTGTTTGAAATAGCTAAATAATTATATAAACCAATTACATTTATGGTGTATTTTTTCTCTAAACAGGCCAAGACATTTAAACTGCTCAGCTATTGTTTCTTGTTTTGTTTTATTTTTTATTTTATTTTATCTTATGTTTTGAGATGGAGTTTCGCTCTTGTCACCCAGGCTGGAGTGCAACGGTACGATCTCGGCTCACTGCAACCTCCGCCTCCCGCGTTCAAGTGATTCTTCTGCCTCAGCCCCCTGAGTAGCTGGGATTACGGGTGACTGCCACCACGCGCAGCTAATTTTTGTATTTTTAATAGAGACAGGGTTTCGTCATGTCGGCCAGGCTGGTCTCAAACTTCTGACCTCAGGTGATCCACCCACCTTGGCCACCCAAAGTGCTGGGATTACAGGCATGAGCCACCATGCCCAGCCCCAGCTATTGTTTTGAGCATCCTCAGAAAATGAGGAGTTTGCTGTAACAAATTTTCAACATATTTTCAGAAAACAATTGTTTACCTCAATAAGCAAATAACCTTGAGAGGGTCATTTCTGATGTAAATCATTTTTAAATGAATTACAACAGTTTTCTGCTTTCTTGAAAAAGACTTCATGGTCAGGTGTGGTGGCTCATGCCTGTAATCCCAGAACTTTGGGAGGCTGAGGCAGGTGGATCACTTGAGCTCAGGAATTCAACCTCAGCTCTACCGAAAACACAAAAACTAGCCAGCCATGCTGGCATGTACCTGTGGGCCCAGCTACTCAGGAGGCTGAGGTGGGAGGATCACTTGAGCCTGTGAAGTTGAGGCTACAGAGATCTGTGGTGATTGCACCACTGCACTCTAGCCTGGGCTAACAGAGTGAGACTGTCTCAAAAAAAAAAAAAAAAAGACGTCAACAAGTGTAATTTGATCATCCCTGCACCCCTTTTTGGGGTCCAGAATAATAATAAGAACTGTAATTATCATACTAAGGGGTATTAGAGAGAAAACCTCAGGGGTCAGTCATTAGGATGAAAAGGTCTGTTTGCTCCACACTAAAAGGCATCAAATGACAATGTGTTTGGGGTTCTTCATGCTGCTTTTTGTGAGTTTCTGACTCCTCCCTGCAGGCTGCGCTTTCACTTCTGGCTGCCTCCATCTCTGCCTCGATTAGCTTCTCCTCTCTCTTCTAATCCTCTCCACCATGGCTGGTTTGGCTTGGTACAGTAATGCTTGCAACAAAAAATAAATGAGTTCCAAGGGAGAGATTTAAAGGTGTCCTCTTGATAGAGATATAGAGCTGGGACTCTGTGGGGAGACCTGGTTTAAGTTTTCAGCTGTGTTTATTTGGTTTCCACATAAGCAACCTTTGACTACCACTATTTTAGATTATTTTCCAGTAAAATAATGAAATCACATGTTATTGACAAAAAGAAAGAGATACAGTAAAGAAAACCAAGGAACTCTAGACAATGGAAGGAAGGGGAGAAGGAGCAACAGTAACTTAAACCAACCATAAATGGGTGAACAATGGAGGGAATCCCTGCTTTGAACCTCCCAGGGAGGCCTGGTTGGGTAATCTGTCTTCCACAAACCATGGGCTTTCCTTTGATCTCATTGTCTTCCTATTCCCTGCCCTGAAAGTTCTGTTTGGCAGTAAAGAGCTAAGTATTTAAGACTTGCCTATAAGAAGCCACCCCTTCTCTGCTGCCTCAGATACTCATTTAAAATGCATAGTAGCAGTTATGTGTTCCTGAAACAATACCCAAAGCAAGGCCCCTTAAGAGCAGCTGTGCCAGTGATCCCCTGGCTGGACACTTAGGAGTCTTGGTCTGAGGACCACAGCCGACTTGAAAACCCTCAGTAAATGGAGCCCTTAATTAGTCCTTTAGGCACTGGCTTTGTGGGCTCATCATGCAGAGGCCCCAGGAAGTCCTCTTGGAAAAGGGCTGTTAAGTATTAGCAAACTCATCAGAAACAACTCCACTGCAGAAACAAAAAACCATCCACAAACAGAGTAAAAATCACATGACATTCCCAGCAAATGGAAAATGCTTTTGGATTATCTATATCTCATCTGCGTCTCATTATGCAGTCATTTACTCTGATCAGATTCAGTAAATGTTTCAGTGCCCAGGAAGAAGAGGATACCAAGAGCTGGCTTCTTAACTCCATGGTTTGGTTGGCTGAAATACCCAGGAAAGAGCTGAAGTCAACTTGGAATTCAACACGAGGAACTTGCTATTTCTCCCCCTCCCTCCCAGACTCCCTCCTCTTCCTTCTCCTTTAAAGGAAACCTGTATTGATTTCAAAATGCTCCCAATTTATTTCCTTTTAAATTTGTTTTTGTTTGGTTTAAAAGAGGTACTCTTACTTACCAGGCACTCTTACTTTAAAATAATTTAACACTGAATGTCAAGAGACAAAAATATGAGTACCTCTGGACACAGAAATACACTCATGGACATCCATCGTTAGTGCATGAATAAGGCATGACAGCTCGCACAGAAGGGGACAGCAGTGTCACGTGGAATAGGAACAGCCTCAGAAGTCCAACTGTAGGCCACATACCTGTGTGACACTTTACCCAGACAAGTCATTATATGAAAAAAAGTATATCCGAAGTGGCAAAAGAATCCAAAATAGTATGTACAGTGTAATTATGCTCATCTTTTCAAAATCAGTGGCATAGATAGAAAAAAGACTGAAAAGAAAACCCTTAGAATGCTTTGTTTTTGTAATGATCAATGCTGCAAATGCTCTGTTTTGGGGACTACTGGGGTTCCCTTCCACCACTCACTTTTTTCTACTAAATGTTAAAAATTATCTTTAATGAGCAAATACGTCTCAAAGTTTATTTTGAAATTGCCTTTATTTGTTATTTAAAATATATTTTAAACTTCCTTTGGAAAATAATAAACTTTTAATAATGTGATTTATTACTTATTGGTGCAAACAACTGCTTGCTGTCTTCTAAGACTATGAAGCCACATACAATTCCTAAGAGTTGCAGGTCAGCCCAGCTCAGGCTTTCTTTTCTCTCACACAGTGATTTATCTGATCCCTTATCTCTCCAGAATCACGTGGCTTGTCTTACAAAGCCCCCGAGAACAAAGCAAACATCTAGGTTAAACATACTTAAATAAAGTTTTACTCTGGTGAAAACCCCTTTGAATTTTTTCAAAACCATTTGTTCCAACCACAGTATTTGTTCCAAATTAAGTAAACATTGCTAAAAGAAATCATACTAAATCTGCATTTCTTATCAGACTGAAGGCAGGATATGGTTCTAAACTTTCTTGTGTATTTTTCTCTATTTCTCCTTGAAGCTCTAAGTGGGCACAGGTGATTAGGAACTGAAGTTACTTGGGGGAACAATGCCTGCAGCAGGCATTTCTATGTAATGGGTGTCTTTTATTTATCTGCAGTTTACAGGAGTGTCACTCATCAACCCTGAGCTCCATGCCCAGCCAGTCAGTATCACACATTAATGCCATTAGTGCCCAGACAGACGGGCTATGGGAGGATTATCATCACAAATCCATTGTTATTGGGGAGGCGGGGCATACAGCTCATCTGGTGGGGGTAGGGCCAGAGGCCTCAGATCCAGATAGAGAGGGGAGAGACTGGCCTAATTCGGGTCTCTTCAGCCTTCAGCCTCCCAGTCTAGCCATCTGAGTTTCTTCTTTTTTACCCTTTTTTTTTTTTTTTTTTTTTTAAGACAGGGTCTTACTCTGTTGTTCAGGCTGGAGTGCAGTGGCACAATCCCAGCTCACTGCTGCCTCAACCTCCTGGGCTCAAGCAATCTTCCCACCCCAGCCTCCCAAGTAGCTAGAATCAAAGGCACACACCACCATCCCTAGCTAATTTTTTATTTTTTGTGAATATGGTGTCTCACTATGTTGCCCAGGCTGGTCTTGAACTCCTGGGCTCAAGTGATCCTCCCACCTCAGCCTCCCAAAGTAGTAAGATTACAGGCGTGAGCCACAGCACCTGGCCCCCATCTGAGCTGCTCAGGCACAAAACTCCATGGAACCCACTTTCCGGTACCCTTCAGTGCTCACCCACCAGGGGAGGTGAAGCCCCAGAAGACAAACATCAGAGCCAGATGCACCATGAGATCCTCCCCGTCCAGGACAACTCCAAAGCAGCAGACCCTCCAAAGAACACATCTGGGTCAGGGTATGGCCGAGGACAGGCAGGGTCATGGTTTGAAAGAAGGCAGGCCAGCAGGTAGACAGTCATTACTGAGCTTGCCCCGGGGCAGGTATCATGTTGCTGGACTACTAGTTCATTTAGTTCTATCCAAAATCTGCAGACTTGGGCATTTTCCAGAGTAAACAGAGGTTCAAAGAGGGGAGACTATTTGCCCAAGGTTACACCATCAGTACAAAGCGCAGCCAAGATGTGAATCCAACACTTCTGGCAATACAACCACAGCAGGCAGGTGGGTCTGTTCCTTAGCAGGCAGGTACCACTCCATTTCACAAGGGAAGACCTAGCCCTTGGGGAGGGGAGTGCTGGCTCAGGTCACCAGCCACAGATAGGCGTGGTACTGGGGTGGTCCCTGGGGCAGCTGACAGAAATGGGAAATCCAGAGCAAAGAGACCCATTAGGTTAGGACAGACAGCCCCGCAGACCCAGAGAGCTGCTGTAGAGCATGCAGCATACAGGGTCTCCTTCTGCAGAAGGCGTGGTGTGCCACCAGACTCCGAGCCACCTGGGACCCCCAGGGAGGGCTACTCCTGGTTCCAGAGAGTTCTTGCCTCTCCCACTACCAGGCATGTCCTTGAAACAAACCCCACTCCTTAAGTTAGCTTGAGAGGTGTCACTTTCTTCTAGCTGAGAATCTAAGCAGCACAGGAACTCCTCAAGAGGGAGAAAAACATCACTGAAGCAGTAGCTCTTTGTGGATGAGCTAAAAAAAAAAAAAAGCCCAAAGTGGAAGAAATGAAAACATAAGGCGCCTTACAAAATTTTCCCAAAAGACTCCAAAATCTCTTTTGAGGAGATTAGCTGTGTTCTGGAATTACTGCCAAGAACTGTGCCAAAGGCAGCAAACTTTCTTTTACAGAGATAAGGACTCATGCTCACTGAAGACTACCAGCCTGTCTTGCTTTGTTATTTGAAAGGCTATCAGCTGTGCACACTGCAAGTTTTACTTTGACAAATAGCTTATTCTTCCTTGCTTTCTAAAAAGTTTCATATATGAAGAAACATATACACACACATATATATGTATATATATATATACTGGTTAATTTTCTTTTTAAAATACTAAGGACTTCACCCAACACTAAATTAGTAAGGACGTCACAAGACACTAAAAGTTACATGTGAGATCTACCTTCAAAGGCAAATTTGTGATATCTGAGCTTAGTCAGAACCCAGAAGGCAGAAAATCCCAAAGCCTCAGAGTTTTGACTTGATTGTATTAAATATAAATCCAATAAATTAATGGGAAAAAACCCCTAAGACTTTCTGACTCTAAAGTGGTAATACTGACTTCACGGAATCTCTGTGCAGCAGTCTGGGCTGCAGTGCATGATTTTAACTCACCTTCCTGACAGAATGGTGGCTGGGCTGACCTACAGGCAGGCCCAGGTCACTGCATGTTAAACTGGCAAGAGGGCTTGTCCTTTGATGGGTTGTGTCGTGGCATAAAGACACTCTTCCAGTGTCCCTGACATGTTAGATTTTTAGCGTTTTCTTTAAGTGATTAATATTAAAGCAAACAACACAAGAAAGAGTCAATGTGTAGGAAAGATGAGATAGCCTAGTTTTCCTTAGGGAGCTTAGGGAGACAGTACGTTGTGGTAGAAAGAATTGGACTGGAATTTGAATATTGTCTCTGGGACTTAGCAGCCAACAACAGAACAGGATTCACCTCTCTGGACTAGTGTTCTCATTGACAAATTTGGACTGATGATAGGATTATTGAGAAAAGTAAAACAAAATAAGTAAAGCATATGCATTGTGACTGATAACAGGCATTCAATATTGCATTTGTTATTTGCAATGAATTATTTGGTGAATGTTTACCTATTATAAAAATGAGGATCGATATATGTTTTCTATAAAAGAAAATCTTACAACTTCTTTTGCTTTTCTGTCACTTCAAATGAAGAATAGAAAATAATGCATTTTGGTAAAGGACACACTAATATGGACTGCAAAATTCCATGACACTCTTGGAAAGAGAAGTACTATGTGACCTTATCAAATGACGCACTAACTTTCAATTAGTTCAGAGGGGACTTTTACCATAGCAAAAAGCAAGAGGACAGAGCCCATGCATTGAAAATGACATCAAAACAATGCTCCCCAGAAAGGCATGAGCGACCTGTGTGTGGGATAGAGCAGCCTCCTCCGTCCTCCCTCCTGCCCTTCGCTCTCCCCTGAGCCGTGAAGTGCGGCTCTCCTGAGCCCTGCTGTGGCACAGACAAGCGTGCTCTGCCACATAGAGGCCACTCACCGGTTCCCTTCCTGTGGGTTTCTATTGACCAGGTTTGTACTTAGGATTAAAAAGAGTGAGAGGCCACTCTTCTTCCTATTCAAAATTGATGCTGGTTGATAACTTGAAACAAATACCTTTTATATCTACACAAAATACATAGTCAAAAGGAGTAACTAATGTTAACATAAAGAGGAAAAGGCACAATTTTCTCATATACAGTTGTATCCCCAGCATGCAATGGAGTTCTCTTTTCTCATTTATTTGTTAAATGAGAGAAAAGAAGGAATGGATGAAGTGAACTAAGTTCCATTTAGTGACACACAGTGAGGGCAGGTGACTCACAGAGAGGAACTTCTCTGGGAAGGCAGAGATGCCACCATATGATCCTGTCTGGGGACTAGGAAAGGAAAATCCAGGAATTCATGGGGCCAGGGCACGAAGACCTAAGAGTGAGGATGTGAGCCGCCTGGTTATTCAAAGTGGCCTGAATTACAGACCCAGGGTGCCAGGGAAGGCTTCAGAAGGAGCTGAGCAGTGGCAAAATGTCTGCACTCCACTCTGAGATTCAAATCCCTGGGACCGGTTTGCTGACTGAGGCACAGAACAAAGGGACTTTCTGTCCTGCCAGAAGCCTGATTAAAGAGGACACACTGTACACCCCACAGGAGAGACAGATTTGGCTCCATCTGCCAGAGAAGAAACGTTTACAAATTTAAACTTTTTCAAAAGGCCAGGCGTCCCCTTGGCTCTGCCTGTGTTGCGTTCACTCACAGTGCGGTTCGTAAGGAGGAGGAGGGTCTCCACAAGGCACACACTCCATGTCTTGAAAGCCGACAAGTTTCGTCTTCCTATAAAATCTAGAAGAGAAAGGAAAATACTCCTTGTTAACTCTTTCATCTAAGCTTACAGTTGTGGTCATAAATTACCAGCAGTCTCCATTACCAGTTCTACGGTTAAAAGTACACAGAGGCTTAAATAATAGTATCTTAGGTAGACACATTTTTGAAGAGGAAGCAGTGGACACTTAAGAAATATCAATTCCCCTAAACGTAACTTTGCAGATGCTTCTCAGTGCACTTCTTCTATATTGGGGTGGGGGTGCAGGTGGGGGAATATAAAGTCAGTGGTCTTCGGCATTTTTATTGAAACTTAAACGACAAAATACCTTATAAATGAATAAAGAACTAGGTTTTAGCATTTGGAATTCAGACACCAAAAAACCAAGCAACCATAAAAGCAACGGAAAAATGTAGGGAAATACTCATACAATCTTGATACAGGAATGTCTTTCTAGGCATAACAAGAAACCAGGAGTCAAAGTGGAAGAGATGAACAGCAACCACACACACACACACACACACACACACACACACACAGATTTTAAAGAAATCTGAAGGGCAAAAATAAATAAATATAGCATCATCAATAATAGGTAACGGGCAAACAAAGATTGAAAAATTGTACTAATTATGGTACTGTCTATACCTTCAGTCTATAAGGTAAAACTTAAAAATCTTGATCGTGGAAATGAACACTATAATTGAAAAATAAGCAAACAACTTTCATTCCCAAAAGAAGAATGTTTCATAATTTAAAAATTTCATAATTAAACTGAAAAGCACGACACAATTAAATTTTTTTAAAAAATTTAAGATGAAAATGTTTAACTTCATTATTAATCAAGTACATTCAAATTAAAATGAAAATATATCATTTTTACTTAGAAAATTAGTCAAGTGCTGGTGTGAGTGTAGGCCAATAGGTATATGTATATATTGCCTGTGGGAACATAAACTGCCACTTTTAGGAGGGCAATTTAGCAATCTGTCACTAGAACTCAATAAAATAGTTTACACTTCTTATCTAGTAATTTCATATTTAGAAACTCATCCTAAAGAAATAATCAACTGGGTAAAGATGTATGTGTAAGAATACAGGCCGGGCGCGGGGGCTCACGCCTGTAATCCCAGCACTTTGGGAGGCCGAGGCAGGTGGATCACGAGGTCAGGAGATCGAGACCATCCTGGCTAACATGGTGAAACCCCATCTCTACTAAAAATACAAAAAAATAGCTGGGCGTGGTGGCGGGCGCCTGTAGTCCCAGCTACTAGGGAGGCTGAGGCAGGAGAATGGCGTGAACCCGGGAGGTGGAGCTTGTAGTGAGCTGAGATAGCGCCACTGCACTCCAGCCTGGGCAAAAGAGCAAGACTCTGTCTCAAAAAAAAAAAAAAAAAAAAGAATACAATCACAGCATTGTTTATGAAAGGAAAAAAGCTAATTAGGCACAATCCCAATGTCCACCAATAACCAATCAGGGTAGACCCAAGGCAATAGAATGCCAGGTGTCCTTTAAAAATGATGATGAAGACCTACCATACGCATTTTTAAAAAGTCATGAAATATCATTAAGTGAAAACAAAGGAATGCATATAATTCCATTTTGTGCAGGCACACACTTTTATTATCAATTTTCTCAGATTCTTTACCAATACATATAAAAATAGTCGTGTGTGGCCAGGCGCAGTGACTCACGCCTGTAATCCCAGCACTTTGGGAGGCTGAGGCAGGTGGATCACCTGAGGTCGGGAGTTCAAGACCAGCCTGGCCAAAATGGTGAAACCCCGTCTCTATGAAAAATACAAAAAATTAGCTGGGCATGGTGGTGGGCGCCTATAATCCCAGCTATTCAGGAGGCTGAGGCAGGAGAATCACATGAACCTGGGAGGCAGAGGTTGCAGTGAGCCAAGATCGCGCCATTGCACTCCAGCCTGGGCAACAAGAGTGAAACTCCACCTCAAAAAAAAAAAAAAGTTATGTGTATATATTTGCAATGAAAAAATTTTGGGAGTATATTATATACTGTATATGAACAGCGACTATTTCTAGATTGTGGGAATTCAAGTGATTTTCTTTTTTTCATATATATAACATAAATTTTCTATGACAAAAATAGTAATATAGAGAACAAGTCTACAAAGGACAGGTAGATGCAATTATCTTGTGAAACTGCATAATGTAGTAGCAAATCTGTATAATTTATGGTAGAAGCAAAATTTGCATTTGAAACTAGGTAAGTTATCTCAAATGCCCAGATACATTCAGAAATTGCTCAACATTCTATTTTCACTTGATTATGACAATCTTTTCAAAGGATATATAATACAGTGACTTCCCATTAGATATTAATAAAATTACTCCTTTTGGAATTTATGAAGTAAAAATTAAAAAAAAAAACAAAGTTCGAGGACTCATACTTCCTGATTTCAAAACTTAATACAATGCAACAATAATCAAAATATGTAGTACTGGCATAAAGACAGACAACTAGACCAGTGGAATAGACAAGAGATCCCAGAAGTAAACCGTCATGTATATGGTCAATGACTTTCAACAAGGTGCCAAGACCACTCAGTGAGGAAAGAACAGTCTCTTTAAGGAATGTTGGAGAAACTGGACATCCACATGCAACAGATTAAAGACCTAAAACTATAAAACTCCTAGAAGAAAATATAGAGGAAAAGCTTCATGACATTAGTTATGGCAATGATTTCTTAAATATGACACCAAAACCATAGGAAACAAGAGAAAAAATTGACAAATGGGACTATATTAAACTTAAAATCAGAGGACATAAACATTCCTATGGAATGGAAGAAAATATCTGCAAATCATATGTCTGATAAAGGGTTAATATTTATAATATATAAAGAATTCCTATAAACTCATCAATTAAAAAATCAACCTAATTTAAAAATGGGCAAGGGACTTGAATAGACATTTCTCCAGAGAAATGTCTTTGGAGAAATATCTCACATGGCTGACAGGTATATAAAAACATGTTCAACATCACTAATCATCCCTGAACTGAAAAGTCAAAACCACATGAGATATCACCTCACACCCATAAGGATGGCTACTGTCAAAACAATAACAACAAACAAACAGATAATAACAAGTGTTGGCAAGGATGTGAAGAAACTGGAACCCTTGTATACTGCTGACGGGACAATAAAATGGTGCAGCCGCTATGGAAAACAGCACGTAGGTTCCTCAAAATATTAAAAACAGAACTACCATATAATCCAGCAATTCCACTACTGTGTCTATATCTAAAAGAACTCAAATCAGGGTCTTGAAGAGATACTTGCATGCTTGTATTCACTGCAGCACTATTCACAGTAGCCAAAAGGCAGAAGAAACCCAAATGTCCACTGATGAATATGGATAAACAAAGTATTTCACAGAATGAAATATTATTAGTCTTAACAAGTAGGAGGGGTTCCTGTCACATGCTACAACATGTATAAACCTTGAGGACATGGTGCTAAGTGACACAAGCCTGTCATAAAAAGACAGATACTGAATGACTCCAATTACATGAGGTACTTAAGAGTAGTCAAATTCACAGAAACAGAAAGAAAGGTGGTTTCCACGGGCTGGGGGAAGAAGCAAAGGGGAGTTGTTTAACGGGTATAGAGTTTCAGCTTGAGAAGATGAAAAAGTTCTGGAGATCTGTTTCACAACAATGTGAATATACTTAACTCTACTGAACTGCGCACCTAAAAATGGTGAAGATGGTAAATTTTATGTTATGTGTTTTTTACCACAATAAAAAAATGCATATACAATTTTTTTAAAAAATCACAAGACAATATAAAGGAGCTTTCTTCTTTAAGAAGTCTTGCTAAACATTGTAACACATCCAGACTAATACTTTTTATCTTTTCACCCCGAAAACTTGCCCAATAGAAGTTCATTGAATTAAATATCAAGAAAGCACAAAATAGTGTTTTATACATAAAAACTCACTTCATGTAAAAAGCAAAAAAAGTTAAAAAATGTAATATCCAACATTCTCAAGAATAAATATTGGGGATACAGAAATCCATCTTTTAACACTTAAAAAGTTAGGAAAATGGGAGGTATTGATGATCAAGCATAGACACTACTTAACATTTTAAAAATAAAGAATTCTAATTGTGACAAAACAGTTTAGAGGTCTGAGCCTTCCCTGACAATCGAAGAGAATATATTTGCCAAAATTTTTTTTAAAAGTTTGAGGACCATGAGACAAATGAGGCTAGAAGGTTGTCATGTTTTGAATGACCATTTTTATTTTTTAATTAATTAATTAAATAATGTTTATTTATTTCTTGAGATGGAGTCTCGCTCTGTTGCCCAGGCTGGAGTGCAGTGGCATGATCTCAGCTCACTGCAACCTCTGCCTCCCAGGTTCCAGCGATTCTCCTCCCTCAGCCTCCCAAGTAGCTGGGATTACAGGCACCCGTTTACCATGCCCAGCTAATTTTGTTTTTTGCATTTTTAGTAGAGACGGGGTTTCACTATGTTGGCCAGACAGGTCTCGAACTCCCGACCGTGTGATCTACCATCCTCGGCCTCCCAAAGTGCTGGGATTACAGGTGTGACCACCACGCCAGGCCTGAATGACCATTAAATACTAACTAGAAATAATAAGAAATGCTATTTAGAAAGGAGGGTGAGTGGGGCTCCCGTGTGACTACTACGCATGAAGAGGTGATGCTCAGACCTAGCTCTGAGAGCAGCTATCAACAGTATCTGGTCTGCTTGCTTCTTCATTCTTTTTTGTTTGTTTTGAGACAGTCTCGCTCTGTCACCCAGGCTGGAGTGCAGTGGTGCGATCTTGGCTCTGCCTCAGCCTCTGCCTCCTGGGCTCAAGCCATCCTCCCATCTTAGCCTCCCAAGTAGCTGGGACTACAGGTGTGTATCACCATGCCCAGCTAATTTTTGTATTTTTTTTTTTTTTAGAGATAGGGTTTCGCCATGTTGCCCAGGCTGATGTCACACTCTTGAGCTCAAGCGATCCACCTGCCTCAGCCTCCCAATGAAGAGGAATTTTTAACTGAACTGAATCCAAATAGCACTGGTTAGCCTAATGAACACAGTGTTTGAAAACTGCTATTTTAAAAAAATCTGGCTGTAGACTGCTAATTCTTCAATCAGTGAGTGCATTTCTGCAAGGAGATGGCATGCCATAGAACAGCTCCGGTTTTACAATGACCTCACTTAACACAAGGTTGAGGGCAGTTACTATGCCCTGTGAGTCACAGTCAAGTCAGGATGGGATTTTCTGAAGTGTCTGTGAGACACTGGATGACAGCGTTGCTCTGTCCTGGGCTCTTGCTAGCACCTTGGTGGTTAGTCAGCCTGCTGTTTGTGTTCCTCAGCAATCCACAGCAATAGCCCCTTATCTGAAGGTGAACAAATGCTAATGACAAGATTAATCATTAGAGTAAGAGTCTAGGTCTCCTAAACAGTGTCATGGTTACTAGGGAACACCCTGAGCACAGACCAGAGAGCTGAGGCAAAGGGATGCGAAAACCCAGGCAACTCAGGCAGCTTCCAGGAGCAAGGGGTCTGCTGAGGGTAGGGTGAGGGTGAAGTGGGCACACAGCACACACGGACGGAGGCAGTCCCTGTGATTCCCATCAATCAATCACGGAAGCCCCAGCGGTGACCTCCCAGTGATATCAGACATGCACCTAAGCATGGGGCAGAGGAGCTGCAAGGTGAATTCCAGTCCTTTCATTTACAAGCTGGGTGATTCTGGGAAGTCATTTATCCACTCTGAGAACCAGTTTCCCTCTTTGTTAAGAGGGGGTGGTAGGAATCCCTACTTTACAGAGTGGTTCGGATGATAGTAAGTGCTCAATGTTAGTTGTCATTGTCACCAGAAGAAGCAAAGAGCTGGCAGGGGCCAGCCTACTCTTCAGGGCGGGTTCCAGTTCCCCTGAGCCAGGAAGGACTCAGGAACCGGCTGCCAGCAGAGGAGCTTGGAGGCCTGTTGGCCACACTCTGAAAAAGTCATGCCAAGTTTTCACTGGCCCCCAAAATCATCAATTGGCAATAATGTCCAATATTCCATTAGGACTTCCTATGGCTTAGGCACTCTGCTAGGCACTTTACATGCCTTCTATTTCTAATCCTTCTAACAATTCTGCAGGGTGGATTCTTACAGCATGGTCATTTTACAGGTGAGAAGAGTGCATTTCAGAGAAGTTAAATGACTTGTCTAAAGTCACAGAGCAGATGTGGGAATAAGGGGACTGGCTCTCTCGAATGACTCAAATTGTGGGCACGGAGGACAGATGATTTCCACACCCTACCTGCTACTGAGAGGGAAGCAGCTGGTGTCCTGGGGGACCTCGGCCTATGGACAGCAGCAGGTTCTTGCTAGAGAATGAGGCCGCAGGAGGCAGAGTGGCACCAAAAAGAGCAATGCCTGCCTTTTGCCTGACTTCTGCATTGCTTTTTGGGGAGCAATATGCATTTTGCTCACGTCTTTCTGCCTCAGTTTTTCTGTTTATAAAATGGGTTCCAACTATTTGGTTTCTTCACAGAAGTACAGTTAAACTGGAAGAGTACTTTGAAAACACTTTGAAAAGACCTGGGTAAAAGTCACTATGTAATTACGCCTGCCTCATATACTAATGCTGACTTAGAAAAAAATGGGATTTTAAAGTAATCATATAAATAAATTGTGAAACATCACTCAACTGTCTATTCACTTATAACTTTCCTATAGCTAAGTATTTACCTAAAGAATAAACAAACACTGTAGAAACTAGAGCAGTGGGCTCAAATGACAAGGACCACGGGGAAGCAGGAGGAACCAGGCACGGTGGAGTCCCGGGCAGACCTGCTCCCCTACTCCGGCAGCACAGCCCTGCATGGGCTCTATAAAATCCCAGTCCTAGGTCAGGCCTTTCCCCACCCTCCCTGGGCACTGCCTATCTCAGCCTGTACATCCCCTGTAGACCTCCTCATTTCTCTACCTCCAGATGTAGAGAGTAGACACGCACAGACAGGCTTTTATCAGGGAACTGGAGAACACGAACAACAGAGGTGTGTGAGATGTTCCGTTCATGTCCTCAATTAGATTTGCACAAGATCAAAACTCTGAGTAATGCTATCCATAGATATCATCACAGGTCTGAGATTATAGACCGTTCCTTTTTTTTTTAAGGCACAGATTTATTGACTTATACTTTATATACCACACAATTCACCCATTTAAAGTGTACAATTGGATGGTTTTCCATACATTCACAGAGTTGTACAACCATCACCACAATCAATTTTAGGACATTTTCATCATCCCCCAAAGAAGCCTCATAACCTTATCAGTCACCTCCCATTCCCAACTCTCCCCAACCCCAGCCCTTAGGCAACACTAATTTCCTTTCTGTCCCTGTAGATTTGCCCATTCTGGACATTTCAATAGAATCATGTAATATGCCATCATTGGTGACTGGCTTATTTCACTTGGCATAATGTTTTCTAGGCTCATCCATCTCATAGCATGTCAGCATTTCCTTCCTTTTTACTGATGAATAATATTTCATTGTTTGAATATATCCCATTTGGTTTTTCCATTTATCAGTTGATAGACACTTGGGTTTGTCTTAGTCGGTTTTGTGCTGCTGTAATAGAATATCACAGACTGGGTAATTTATAAATAACAGAAATTTATTTCTCATAGTTCTGAAGGCTGGGAAGTCCAAGATCAAGATGCCAGTATCTGGCGTCTGGTGAGGGCCTTTCTGCTGCACTCTTCAGAGGGAAGAAATGCTGTGTCCTTACGTGGCAGAAGGTGGAAGGCAAATAAAAAAGGAACAAATTCCCTCTGTCAAGCCCCTTTATCAGGGCATATTTGTGAGGGGAGGGCCCATCATGACCTAATTACCTCGTAAAGGCCCCACCTCTTAATATAATCGCACTGGCAACAACTGAATTTTGGAGGGGACACATTCAAACCAGAGCTTGGTTGTTTCAGTTTTTTGGCTATTACGTAAACTGCTGCTACGAACACTAGTGTACAAGTTTTTGTGTGGACGTGTTTTCAGTTCTCTTGGTTATATACCTAAGAGTCAAACTGTCAGGTCACGTGGTAACTCTATGTCTAACTTTCTGAAGGAACTCTAAACTGTTTTCCAACCTGGCTGTACCCTTTGCCGTTCCCACCAACAGTGTATGAGGGTTTCAATCTCTCCACGTCATCACCAACATTCCAATCTCTCCATGTCATCACCGTTACCGTCTGGTTTTTGTTGGCTATAGCTATCTTAGTGGGGTTGAAGAATGTGGGTTTGATTTGCATTTCCCTGATTGTTAATGATGTTGGGCAACTTTTCATGTGCTTATTGGACATTTGTATATTTCTTTGGAGAAATGTCTATTCAAATCCTTCATTGTATTTTAATTGAATTATTTGTCTTTTTATTATTGAGTTGTAAGAATATGTGAGGACATATTCTACTTAAGATAGTTCCTTACCAGACATATGATTTGCCAGTATTTTCTCCTATTTTGTGGGTTGTGTGGTTGTGTTTTGTACTTCAAAGGATTTCCTTTGAAGTACAAAGTTTAAAATTTTGATAAAGTCCAACAGAGCTATTTTTTCTTTTGCTGCTTGTATTTTGGTGTTAGCCCACTACATCTTACAGCTCCCTAGGTGCTGGGTCTCTGTATATGACCACGTGGGACCCACTAGTCTATTTTCTACTCTGTTTCCACCCTTCAGGCCCAGAGCTTTATCTCCTCTCTGGCCTCAACAAGACCCCACCCCCGGGACATCTGGTCAAAACCACTCTGATCTTGTGGTCGATCCAGTTAGAGTCTTTTGTCTGTAGTGCCTCGGAGCATGAATTCTGATGTTAGACTCCCATGATGTGACTCCCAGACTCACCACACACAGGTTAGGTGATCTTGCCTGAATAAACTTAATCCTTAATAAGTCTCAGTTTCTTCCTTCTTAAAACATTGTGAAAAGTATAGAAAATAATTCATGAGAAGTACTTGGCCAGGTGCCTGGTACATTGCAAGTAATAAATGTTTGCTGCCCCTGCAATGCAGTTTCTGGTTGTTTCTTACTTTTGCAATACAGACTGGTTTCTGATGCTCCAGGGTTTCTGCTTCCTCTCTCTTCTGTCTTTGGTCAGTAACTCTTGGCTCCACTCTATCTCCATTAAGCTCTAAGGATATTCTGCTTCATCCCATTCTCTGCATACTTGGTGTAGCAATGGCTTCTCCCTGCCTTACAGATCACCCCCCTTGTCACCCTGGCTCTTCATCCAGACTCTCTCCTCCAGCTGTCTGTATTAATCCATCCCACAGTTACTTAGAAGCAGTCAGGAATTTAACTTCCTCCTCCCTGGTGCTCCCCCTGGCCCAGGTGTGGTCCCTCTCCTTTCCCTGGACCTGGCTGCCTTATTGACAAGTCTATTTAAGGCTTCTGCGTTCGCACCTGCCCACCCCTTCCTCTGCTCTCTGTAACTTGGTGTACTGCACGCCTCCCTCTCTCTGCCACTCCCTTGGCCTCCTGGCAGTTTTTTACCCACACCAGGTAGATGCCCACCTGAGAACCTCTTGCTGGAGGTTCCTTCTGTCTGCGGTGCTCTTCCCCACCTCTCTGCTTGGCTCCGTGCCTCGTCTCCTTCAAGCCTTTGCTCAGATCTCACCTTTGCAATAAAGCCTATCCTGACAACCCAATTTACGCTGTCACTGTCCTGCCCCTCACTGTGGCCATGCCCAATCGCCCTTGTCTGCCTTAGGGTTTCTTCCATAGCAGTTATCATCTTCTATCTTTCTGCATAATTTGCTTCTTTATTATTTACTATTTAAATATTTTTTAAAACCCTATAAGAAGCCGGGCATGGTGGCTCACACCTGTAATCCCAGCACTTTGGGAGGCTGAGGCAGGCAGATCACCTGAGGTCAGGAGTTTGAGACCAACCAACATGGAGAAACACCATCTCTACTAAAAATACAAAAAATTAGCCGGGCGTGGTGGCGCATGCCTGTAATCCCAGTTACTCGGGAGGCTGAGGCAGAAGAATCACTTGAACCTGGGAGGCACAGGTTGCACTGAGCTGAGATTGCGCCATTGCACTCCAGCCTGGGTGACAAGAGCGAAATTCCATCTCAAAACAGAACAAAACAAAACAAACAAACAAACAAACAAAACCTATAAGAAATAAGCTCCCCATGGGCAGGGATCTTTGCCACTTTATTTTCTGACATAGCCCAAGTATGTAAAGCAATGCCTAAGGTGGTTGGGCACGTCTCTGCTGAATGGCTGAATGGTGTAACCTGCCCTCCTCTGATGCTAATGAGGGTGAACATTGTCAGAGGATTGCCAGTCACATGGGTCACCTCTTTTGTGGGTTGCTTGTTCATTTTTGTGTCCATTTGTCCAAGTTTTCTTTTTTACTGATTTGTAGGAACTCCTTAGATTTTCATAACAGAAATCCTTTGTTAGCATGCCTATTCATTTTCTTTATAGCCAGTGTCTGCTGCATGCATGGCACACGGTACCACAGATAATCCAGTGGTTAATACTGAAAGAAGTCACAAATACTCCACCAGCATCTTCAGGTTAATACCAGCATGCATTCCAGTTTAGAATGGAACAAGGGAATTGCCTTTTTAAAAGTTACTTAATTAAATAATTACAAGTGAAAGAAACTGGCCAACTCACCCTGGCAAGCAGTCCCCGCAGATGGCATCACTGGTGGCTGAACAATTTGCCTTCTGAAAGCGGTTCACCACTGCGCAGTCCAGACAGGGCTTGCATTTCTGGAAGCCCCAGTCCTCCTTGAACCTGTGCAGCCGGCACGTCACACACTGTGCATCCTCCCCATAGCCGAAGCCACATTCCTGTGGGGATTAACGGGTAACAGAAAGCTATTCAGACTTTGCAAGCGTGAAAAGGAAAGACCGCTAGGATGAAACGAAGACCTGGTCTAATAATTACCAAGTGTCGGCCTTCCTAGACACAAAGGCAGCTCTTTCAGCAAGTTCAAATGTGTCTTCCACTGCTAATGATCTCTCTTACTATGGTAAGTCCACTTAGTCATCCACTTTATTCAAGAAGCCGTGAGCATGAGAATAATCAAGGGTCTCTCAGGCTCCCACTGCTGCGTTACTATCAGTGGATGGCAGAATTATGGCACTTCTTCTCCTCTAATTAAGCCAGTCATGTGCATGCTCAGAAGCTAACGCCAGGGAAACATTCACACACTCACTTCTAAGGCAGAAAATCAGTACTTTGATATCAGGGGTGTTATTTTCAAAAATGAGGATAAGTGCATAAGAAATTTCATTAGCGGACAAGCCTAGAAATCAATCCAAATGGAGAGCTCCTTGAAATAGTTAGCAATTTAGTATTTCCTGAGAGTAGAAAGAGTCTTACATATTTGTTAAAAGGATGTTAACTTCCTGTTGAGACAAATTCTGTGGTACTAAAGGTCTCAAGCTTCTCTAGATTTGAACATCAGAACACACTGTTTTCCAAGAGTGGGCAAAACAAATGGCTCTCTGACCCACATACAATCATTTCCACAAGTTCAAGAACTCAGTAAACTATAGCATATCATGTAACATAATTATAATGCAACTATAAAAAGAAGAATGTAGATGTGATCTGTGTTCACGACAATTTTAAAAATAAGTTTTAATACAGAATTAGAAGTATGATTCCATTGTTTACAAAAACATTCATGTAAGTACCAACATTTATGGGTGCTTACTCTAGACCAAGAACTTTACACCATTATCTCAATAATCCATACTCCTTCCCAATCAGGGCAGCACTGCCATTTTTCCCATTTCATAGATTGGGGGATAGAGCGTCAGAGAAGTTATGTACCTTGGGCTAGGTGACAGAAGTAGTGTTAGAACCAGGATTTCAACCTACATCGTCTAATTCCAGAGTCAGGCTTCATAACCACTACACTACAGGGCCTGCCAGGTACTATATATATATATATATATATATGTATTACTTATCCACAGGAAGCGGCTGAAGGACTACACACTGTTGGTAACACCTGTTGTCGGTCTTTGTGATGGTTTCTATAGAACACTCATCATTAACAAAAAACAGACAGTGGCTTAAGAGCAAGAAGGGCACCCATGCAGGCAGCAGGCTGGGCATGCCCACAAATGCAGACTGGATGCTGCAGAGGAAGAAAGGCTTGCAAGAAACCTCAGTTTCCTCATTTGTAAACCCTGGATGCTAAAATGCAAGTCCCACCTAGTTCAACATTCCCATTTTTTCTGTAAAATTTACATATTTTAATTTCTTCATCCATATTTGTATACGAAATCAACTAAGCAGTACTTATTGGCCAAAAATTAAATGAAAACCAACTTGAAGGATAGTGCTGCCTGTACTTAATAAACTACTCAACAAAGGATTCGGAGGAATCACTTCCATCTAGATTTTTACTAATTAACTCATTCACATTTTGGGTGAGTGATACTTTCTTTCCTCCTTTCAATTACTCTGCCTGTCTTTCAAACGTACATCGGGAGTGTGCACAACAAAGAAGTGAGGAGAAAAGGGTGGAAGGTCAGCCTCCTCCTCACTCCTGAGAGCTCCAGCCACACAATGTTCTATATCAGAGGCACAGAGAGGAGGGGGGAGACAAACAACACTTGATTTAAAGAACTGATTAACAAGTTAGAATTTCTTTAAAATTGTTAACAGGGATTATCTCTTTCAGAGGAGGGGAAGATTAGAATTACGGGGTGGTCTCAAGTTTTACAGTTCTGCAAAATGTAATTTTTGCAAAAAGCATCCATTACTCTTGTAATAGGAAAACAATAAAGATGCATATTCAAGGAGAATTTCTCTGGACATGTGCTGGGTCTTTGCGGGGTGATCATTGTGACTCTGGCTCTGGGCTGGGACAGCTGTGTTTTTGCTGAGCACTTTGGTTGCTGGGAGAGCTGTGTGCAGGCACAGGCTTTCTGAAGTATAGGAGAGAGCCTCCCACTCCCAAAGTCCCTTGGGATCAAGGCACAGGTGCACGTGACCTTCTGGGGGTGGTCTCCACCTTGTTCCCAAGCTAGGGTTCTCCACAGCAAAGGTTCAGGAAAGAGCAGAGTATTTCAAAATCACACTTTGATCCAGGCAGCTTGAGGTTGTAAGAGTCTCATGTACGAGTTAAAACACAACAAAGGAAAAGAAGAAGGAGGAGAAGTACAAGGGAAAGAGAAAGGAGAATGCAGAGAAAGAGGTGCATTAACTGGAAATAAATGTCCTTGGAAATTCTGTTTCAAGCCAGGTCAACATAGGAGAAAAGTATGTATTTTCCTACATTGGATCTAAAGAGACATGAGTTTGAATGCCAGCTCTGCCACTTGTTGGCCAAGTTATTTTGGGAATTCTCCGATCCTCAGTCTCTTCATCTGTGAGATGGGGATAAGAATACCTGCCCTAAAGGTTGTGTGAGGAATAAATGGGAATGCATATAAAGTGCTCAACTCTAAATCAAGCACGGAGTGCACATTTCCTAAACAAATTATACCTATAAGTGTTAGGATTTTGGATTTTCTACAATCCAATAAATAAACCAACTTTGCTGATTCAAGAATCATAAAGCTTCCCTGGAAATAAGGGGATCATCAGACCCCAATTTCCATCTAAGACATTTTTATTGACTAAGAATCTTTCAAAAAGAAATCATAATTTTCTTAATTAAAACAAGTTTAGTGGAACACAAACTCTAATTCAACCCTATCTGAGTCAACTGCTGCACCGTGCTATAAGAGCCCTGCGTTCCTGCCAGTCAGTCATTCAACTGTGGCTCCCTGTCCTGCTGACTGTCTCCAAGTCACCTCCTCCCTCCACTGAGAAACTGTACAAGTAATCCAATGGACTAAAAGTTTTGAGTGTCACAACTCTTTTGAAAATGAACATACAACTTAATGTGGTGGAGGTCTTTGTGGTTATTTTTTGGCAAAATAATAAAATTCATTGATCATATCCCAAATACTCATGGGAACTTTCATAAAGACTGTTTATTTGGGAAATTTTACTTAAAATAGATTTTCTCTAAAGTATTTACTATTTTCAAAAATGTAATATTTTTAAAGCCTAATATTAATTTGAAACTATTAAAAAATAGCCTGCAGTTCATAAAAGTCTAAGAAATTGATGAAGTGACCATTCTACACATTGAATTAACTAGAAACCATGAAATAACTAGAAATTCAAAGAAGGTGATTCCAAGAAATTAAATTACAGTATGGTGTCCATGACAGCAACTGCTTTTTGAGTTGACTGTCATATTTCTAATGCACCTTAAACACAGACTCTGTAATTACTCATAATCCAGGCTATAAAGTAAACTACATATAAATACTAAATTACCCCCAATATAAATGTCTGCTTTGATGTTTTCATTTCATTCAGTAAAGCTGGGTGGTTAAAATGCCTTGAAATCTTCCCCATTAAGTTCAATAAATAATTACCAAGAACAAAAGAAAGAGGGAAAACAGCTGAAAGGGAAGCTCGACAGCCTCCAACCCATGGTGACATTGGTTAGCACAGATTGACACTGCCTTCACAAACTTGTGTCACCACCCTGGCCGAGATCATTTCTTTTCTTTTTATCATTCGTATACTGAAAAACTATTACACACATGAGATTTAACAAAAATAATCAAACAGTACACCTTTCTTCCCATCCCTGCTCCTTAACTTCCCACTCCCCCAACACAGGTATTGGGGTGACCTGCCAAAAATATCCTCCTAGCGTGAGTGCATGTATTTAACACTGTTCTGCAACTAGATTTGTTTTCCCATGCCATACATCTTGGACAGTGCTCCATATCAGCAAATAGAGAGTATTCCCTTGCATGGATAGAGCTGGAGCTGTTCTTACTCACCACTGCACCCCAAGTCCTGGCACAGAGAGGGTATCCATTTAGGTTTGGCCCACTGCATTTGTATTGATCAGATGACCTAACCATGCAGCAAATGAAAATAGTATCAAATCTTTTTTGTTTTTTCCCCCATAGGGATAGAAAGAAGTAATTTCCCTAGGTATATTATTTCCTGCTGCAGGCAGACAAGTAAGCAAATAAATAATGAAATGAGCTATGTTTGAGTTTAGCCTTTTGACAAGGACTCTCTCCTTGACCAAACTCTAGATAGGTTCTTAGGAGCCACTCTCTGTTGGGCCCTGTCCTCAAGAGCCCAGTTTCCCAAAAACCTGGCTAAATCTGGCCATGCTCAGTATCTTCTCAGGTTCCTCAACCCTCACCATCTCCCAGGTGATGCCTGGTCACCCTGGCCTGTCTTCAGCAAGAATCCTGTGAGGTCATTTTAGCCAGAATCTCCCTCACCTCTGACGGTTCCTCTTCATGATTTTCCATCCACCAAACCCAGCCTGCTCCTTGGCTATATATCCCCACTTGCCTGTGCTGTATTTGGAGTGGAGCCCAGTTCTACACTGAGCTTTCATTTCCTCTACTGCAACAGTCCTGAGTAAAATCTGCTGTTCCACTGTCCAGTTCTGGGTTTTCTTTGACACTTTCCAAGTTGCACTAGAGTTGTCCCTCCCATCATGGCAAGAGAAGGAGTGTGTGTGTGTGTGTGTGTGTGTGCACATGTGTGTGTGTGTCTGGTGAGGGGAGGGCAAGGAGGGTATAGGCAGAGTATGTCCATCTTTAGCCTGGGCTTCAGGATAAGGGATATGTGATTATGTTTATGGAGCATGGTCCGCCATTAATATCAATGGTAGAAATGCATTTCTGTTTTAAAATACCCCGTAGTCTGTATTCTTGAAATTATGACCTGGTACCTTAAAAGCTTGAAGGAAGTACGCAGTACTTCCCCGAATCCTTGAGAAGACATTTTTTATCAATAAACTTTAAGATGGGAAAATATATGCATAGATAAAATAATAATGCAAAAAAAGGCATTATTATAGGGCCCCTACTTACTTCCTAAAATCATATGAGAAGTGAACAACCCATGGTATCCAATGCCTCCCTCCACCTCTCCTTCCCAAAAGCCTGGTATCTAACAGGCCGGTGAATAATAAATAAATGCCTGCTGATAAACAAACGGATGAACAAATATTGTTTAAGGTAGTATTTCCTAAATACTTTAAAAAAATCCTAGGGAGCAATAGCTTGTAACGGCCCCAGCAAGGGCTCCCATGTGGTGAGGCCATATAGTCCTCCTGGGCTGCAGGATGGCAGGCAGGGTGGGCTGGGCTGGGGATGTCTGGGTGGAGTGGGGTCAGCAGCTTTCCTTATCTTGGTCCCAAGGGAGCAGAGGGCTGGGTTCAGCTGGGCTACTTCCACCCAAGCTGTAGCTCTGTCACTCTGCCCAATATTTTTAAGCCACATTTGGTGGTTTTCCAGTAGCAAAATGACTCAAAGTAAACAGTCCCCAAATCCCCTTCTCTCTTTTCTCCTTCTGCAAATCCAGCCTTTAACAAAAACATAAGCGGGTCCTACCTACAGGTTGGAGGAGCAGCTCTTCAGACCACAGGGGAAAACTCACAGACCCTTGTTGTCCAGGAAACACATTCTGGGCCTTGGGTTGAAAGCACTATTTATTTGTACAGCCAGTGCGTTATTAACTGCAGTCCTTTGAACTTTCAAAGTTAAATGTTAAATTTTAAATGTGGATGGAGAAGTTATTTGAAGGGAGAATCTAGGGCATGCAAATGCAAATGACAAATTAGATTTATGTTGCTGGTGCTTAGAAATCAACTTTTAACTTCCTTTAATGAAACAACATTGAAGAGATATTTCCCCTCAACTTTCAGTTTCTAAAAGGCTGTGCTTGAGTTTTTTAGAGAAAACTGACAAGCAAGGGCTCGTTAATATCTTACAACCATCCCTAGGCTAGATCAGCTATAATTAAACATAAATAAAGTGAGCAACACTGTCATTAAATGGCAGAAATGAATCTCATTTTTTATGCTTACAAATTAATTTTTTTAAAACTTTCCTCATAGAGACAAAAACAGTTTTCAAAAATGTAAACATCTTCAGAAATATGAAGCTGGGTATGCCCCGTGCGGAGGAAAGTATGTTGTTGTTTACAAGAGTTAATTTTTTCACATTAACTAAAGTCCTCCCAATAATTGGTTAGAAAAGTTTACTTTGAAAACTGTGCCAGAGACTTGAAGCCTGTTTCAAGTGGTTCATGCAAAAACTAGTTTCCTGATTTACTGCTGCGAGGCGATCGTGTTACAAGCACACTGTTGGCATTAATACGAGTGAGGAGGATGGGCTGGGGCTGGGCGAATTCTAGGCAGTAAGAATTAAAAGTCTAATGTGGTTACTTCAGGAAAACAAAAATCATCCTCTCCCACATATCCCAAAGTTAGGTTTATTTTTGGGAGCTGAAAGGATGCCTGATGGCCGAGTAACCCTCACCATATTTATGGTTCAGAATGCCCAGCAGGTACTACTTATGGGGCGCCCAGAACAAGCTTTTGTATTTTTTGACTCTGAAATAGGAAAAATATTCTGAATTATCTTTCTCATACACTTTCAAAATCGAAATCCTGTAGTGGAGGAGAGATAGGGTAAATATGGCTCAATGGGATAAAATCCTCAGACTCCACATGGCTCAGCGACCTGTCATATATTTTCCTAAAAATGCAGGAAAGATAACTATGTATTAAGCAAAATTTCTAAAAAAGAACTGAATGGGAAGAGATGCTGCTTGGGGCTTACAGGGAAGGAAGCAAAGGAACTAGCGAGAGGCGCCTGCTCAGAACGCCCAGGGCAACAGCATCTGGCATGAGGAGCATGGAGGACCGGAAACAGATGGGTCGGGAACTGGTGGCAAGGTCGAGCGTAGCTCAGAGGAAGAAGGACAGGAAGAAGGCTGACCAGCAAGGCAGCTCCCGCAGTGCATGTGCGTTAGGTCAATATGATTCTGGTATCTCCTTGTTTTACAGGCTGGTCCCATGCCAGAATTACTGGAAGAAAGTTAATCATTCTAGAGCTGTACTGTCCAATACAATAGCCAGACCCCATGTGGCCTCATTTAATTTTCATCAATTAAAATGAAATAAAATTCTGTAAGTGTTCAGTAACCGCAGTGGCTAGTTGCTCGTATACTGGATAGAGCAGATAGAGACCACTTCCACCATCACAGACAGTTCTATCAGAGAGAATTGCACTAGGCTATTTACAAAACGAGCAAGAGATTGCTACTCCCACGTGGCTCCACCACTCCTTCCTCCCGCACTGTTACTTACTAGCAGTGACAATGGACAAATCAGTGAACCACTGTGTCCCAGTTTCCCTGTCCATAAGATGGGGATGGTTATATTCCCTATTTAAAACATATGTTGTAAGGATTCCATTATTTAATATACAAAGATCACATAGTACCTGGCTTACTGTATGAAAAATTAGCTAATATTATCTTAGTTGCATAATATGTATTACAAGAGATAGCTCATATTTATGTTAACAGATGTCGTTTACATGAACATAGCCCAAGATATCCAAGGTAAACAGTTAAAATAAGAATCTTTTAAAAGTGGCCAAGGAAGAGAAGGGTATCATCAATCTAAGTCAGCAACAGTATCGGTGGACCTGGAGCTGCTGTGCAGACTTCTTAATACCTAATAATTGAAAGGAAGTGAAAAGAGGCTGGGACCTACTGACCACACACCACTGGTGGGTCAAGGTGTAGACTGTATCCAGGAATACGATTCCAGAAGCCCCAGCCAGCCCTGACTACACATTTTTATGGTAGAAACCTAACTAACAATGGAAGAGATGCTCAGATACCTTGGGAAAAAATAGAATTGAATGCCTTCCAAAGAAAATAATAATTAGGAGAAATAAAACCGCAGAGGAAAGTTTAACTATACCTGCTTAACCAAAGCACTTCCAGGCTTTAGTTTTAAGGCACAGGTACATGTTTGTAATTGAAAGAACCTCATGACCCAGAGTGCGTTATTTTAGACAGATGGACTGGAGGACAGAAAATGTCAGAAGTTTTAAGATACCTTTAATACAGAGAAGCAAATAACATAACAATGTTACAATAAAAGTTATTTGAAAATGCTAATGGCCTACTAAAAAATGTACTTTTTACCCACAATATAAAAAAATCTTTTGTTGTATATATCAATAGTTTGGTCTAGCTTTTCTTCTTTTTCATAATTAACTTTAAAAAGTTTTATGTTTACTCTGCTTTCAAAATTTCAAATACCATAGGTAACCAAAATTCTAAGCCTCAGTCAAAAAGGGCCCTGAGACTTGTTTAATTACAAATTAAAAGGTATCCCTCCAAACTGTCTATCTATTTATCTATTTATTTATTTCTCACTTTGTCACCCAGACTTGAGTGCGGTGGTGCAATCTCGGCTCACCACAACTCTGCCTCCCAGACTCAAGCGATTCTCCTGCCTCAGCCTCCTGAGTAGCTGGGATTAAAGGCGCCCACCACCACACCTGGCTAATTTTTGTATTTTTAGTACAGATGGGGTTTCACCATGTTGGCCAGGCTAGTCTGGAACTCCTGACCTCAGGCAATCCACCTGCCTCGGCCTCCCAAAGTGCTGGGATTACAGATGTGAGCCACTGTGCCTGGCCCAAACTATACATTTAATATCTCAAGCTTTAAAAAAGATTATTTATAAACGTAGTTGTCTGAAAAAAAATTTAAAGCTTAGTCTTAGTCAAAAGACTAAATTTTCCCTTGATTTGTAAAGCTTGGAAGTGAAAATTAGCCAGTTAAATGTAATTTTAATTTCAGTGATTTATCTGACTTTAATATCCTCATAACTTATTTTTCTTTCCTCTGAAAGACATATGCTGTTGCAAAAGGAACAATGAAAAGAAGAAATCACAAATTCATGAATGGACAATTTAAAAACATCTAACATTAAAGTAACTGCTTATAAAAAGCTCAAGCTCTCTGAGTTAAGTGGGGTGGAAAATAAAAATATATTTATGTTTTCATTTGTGTATCTGAATCCTTTGCCTCTCTGTTGTATGTTAGAGCATGAGCAAAGTTAAGTTGCTGATTTTATTTATTATGAGCTAAAACTAAGAAAAAAGACTTGGCAAAATATATGATTTATAACATATACACAAATTCATTCATTTTTATATTACCAGATTTAAGTGTCACTTTTTTTTCCAAGTAATATTTGAGATTAACTGATTTGTTCACTCATGTACTGTGTCAGGAGCTGGGTGCTCTGTAGATACAGGGTAGAAGACTGAACAACATGGGCTTCCAGGTGGACAGCTCAGGGCAGGCATGTGGTAACATGGTATACAACTGTGCACCTGAGTGGGTCCTAAGAATCTCATTTTTCACTGGCATTATTACCTTTACTTTTATTGCTCCTCATTCAATTTGTCCTGGTCTTTTTTTTTAAAAAAATTATAAATATGGGAACAGAAGATGAACAAATGAAATAAGTACATAAAGGCAGAAATGTTCTGGTTGCTTCCCTTTGGCTCTTACTTCACAGGGGGACAGCTCTTTCAATCCTTATGGAAAACTGCTATCTAGAGAAAAATATTTCTTCTGGATAGCCATGGGAATATGAAATACAGCACCTGTTATCAGATACTGTTCTCAGAAGATGGAGTATTTCTGTTTAGAAACACAATTTTTTACAGCAGTTTTTAGGTTCATAACGAAATTGAGAGGAAGGTAGAGAGATAGTCCTTACATGCCCCGCCCTCCCCCGCCACACACAAAGGCTCATTCTTATCAGCACCCTGCACCAGAATGATACATTTTTTACAATCTATGAACACATCACTGTCACCTAAGTTCCACTGTTTACATTAGGGTTTATTCTTGGTGTTATATTCTGTGAGTTTGAACAACACAGAATGATATGCATCCACCATTACAGTATCACACAGAGTAGATTCCCTGCCCTAAAAATCTTCCATGCCCACATATCCATCCCTCCCTCACCCTTACCCATGGCAACCAGTGATCTTTTTACTGTTTCCATAGTTTTGCCTTTTCTAGAATGTCGTATAGTTGGAATCATACAGGAAGCAGACTTTTCCAATTGGCTTGTTTCACTTGGTAATGTGCATTTAAGGTCCTCTATGTCTTTTCACGGCTTGATAGCTTATTTCCTTCTAGTGCAGAGTAATATTCCATTGTAGGGATCACAGCTTATTTACCCACCCCTTACTAAAGTACCGCTGGGTTGCTTTCAAGTCTTCATAATTATGAACAAACCTGCTATAAGTATCTGTGTGCAGGTATCTGTATAAGCGTTAAGTGTCCATTCCTTTGATAAAATACTAAGTAGCTCAATTGCTGGATCAAATAATAAGAGTATGCTTAGTTTTGTAAGACACTGCCAAGTTGTCTTCCAAATGGCTGTACCATTTTGCATTCCCACTAGCAAGGAATGAGAACTCCTGTTACTCCACATCCTTAACAGCCTTCAATGTTGTCTGTGTTCTGGATTCTGGATTCTGGATTTCTAATAGGTGTACGGTGATATCGCGTTGCTTAAATTTGCATTTCCCTGATGACATACTATATGGAGGATCTTTTCATATGCTTATTTGCCATCTGTGTATCTTCTTTGGTGAGGTGTTTGTTAAGGTCTTTTACCCATTTTTAAATTGGATTTGTTTGTTTTCTCAGTGTTAAGAATTTTTTGTATGTTTTGAATAACAGTCCTTTTTCAGATATCTTTTACAAATGTTTTCCACCAATTTCTGGCTTGTATTTCCATTCTCTCAACAGTGTCTTATGCAGAGTGGAAATTTTCAATTTTAATTAAGTCTAGCTTATTAATTCTTTCTTTCATAGGTTGTGCCTTTGGTGTCATATAAAACAGTCATCACCAAACCCAAGGTCTTCTAGAGAAAATCTTCTAGGAGTTTTATAGCTTTGCATTTTACAGTTAGGTCTGTGACCTGTTTTGAGTTAGGTGTGTCTAGATTCATTTTTTGCATGTGGATGTCAAGTTGTTTTAGATCCATTTGTTGAAGACTCTATCTTTTCTCCATCATGTTGTTTGCTACTTTGTCAAAGACCAGATGACTACACTTAGCTGGGTCTATTCCTGGGCTCTCTATTCTGTTCCACTGATTGGTTTGTCTCTTCTTTTGTCAATACCACACTGTCTTGATTACTATATGTTTACAGTAAGTCTTGATGTGGGTAGTGTCAATCCTCCAACTTTTTCTTCTAAATAACTGTGTTGATTATTCTGGGTCTTTTGCCTCTACATATAAACTTTAGAATCAGTTTGTCAATATCTACAAAATAACTTGCTGGGACTTTGATTGGGATTCCATTGAATCTATAAATCAAGTTGAGAAACACTGACATCTTGACAATATTGAATCTTCCTCTCCATAAACATGGAATATCTCTCCATTTATTTAGTTCTTCTTTTATTTCTTTCATCAGAGTCTTGTAATTTTCCTCATAAAGATCTTGTACATATTTTGTTAGACTTATCCCTAGGTATTTTATTTTGGGGGGGGTGCTAATATAAATTATATTGTGTTTTTAATTTCAAATCCCACTTGTTCACTGACAGTATATATGAAAGTTACTGACTTTTGTACATTAACCAGGTATCTTGAAATATTACTATAATTGCTTATTCATTCCAGGAGTTTTTCTGTTAATTCTCTTGCATTTTCTACATAGATGATTATGCCATATGTGAACAAGGAGAAGTTTATTTCTTCCTTCCAAATCAGTTTACCTTTTATTTCTTTTTTTTTATTTTGTCTTGGTGCATGAGGTAGGATTTCTTGTATGATGCTGAAAATGAGTGGTGAAAGGGAACATCCTTGCCTTGTTCCTGATCTTAGTGGAAAGCTTCTAGTTTCCATCATTAAGTATGATATCAACTCTAGAGTTTTGGTTTTGTTGTGGTTGTTGTAGAAATTCTTTACCAAGTAGAGGAAATTCCTTTCCATTCCTAGTTTACTGAGAGGTTTTTGTTGTTGTTGTTGTTTAATCATGAATGGGTGTTAGATTTTTCAAATGCTTTTTGTGCACTTACTGCTATATGTGATTTTTTTCCCCTTTAGCCCACTGATGTGACATATTACATTAACTGAATTTCAAAGGCTGAACCAGCCTTGTGTATGTGGGATAAATCCCATTTTGTCACAGTGTGTGATTTTTTTAATATACATTGTTGGATTCAATTTGCTAATATTTTGTTGAGAATTTTTGTATCTTTGTTCATGAGAGATATTGGTCTATAGTTTCTTTGTAAAGTCTTTGGTTTAGGCATTAGGGTGATTTCTGGCCTCACAGAATGAGTTAGAAAGTATTTTCTCTGCTATATTCTGGAAGAAGTTGTGGATAATGAGTATAATTTCTTCTTCATTTTTGGTAGAATTCACCAGTAAATTCACTTTAACTTGGTGCTCTCTGTTTTGGAAGGTTATGAATTATTGATTCAATTTCTTCAGTCAATATAGGCCTATACAGACTGTGGATTTCTTCTTGTGTGAGCTTTGTCAGACTGCGTCTTTCAAGGAATTGATTCATTTCATCTAGGTTACCAAATGTGTGGGCACTGAGTTGTTCACAGCATTTCTAATGTTCCTATAGTGATGTCCATGCTTTCATTACTGATATTAGTACTTTGTGTCCTCTCCCTTATTTTCTAAGTTGGCCTAGTTAGAGGACCATCAGTTTTATTGAATTTTTTCAAAGAATCACCTTTTGGTGATTCTTCACTCTCTCCAGAGTTTCTGTTTTTAATTTCATTGATTTCTGCTTTAATAGTTATTTATTTTATTCTGCTTACTCTGAATTTAATTTGTTCTTCTTTTTCTAGTTTTATAAGGTATAAGCTTAGATCACCAATTTTGGCTCTTTCTTTTTTCTAATATGTGCCTTCAGTACCCCCTGAGCACTGGTTCACTGCATCCCACAAATTTTGACAAGTTCTGTTTTCATTTTCATTTAGTTCAAAATATTTTTAAATTTATCTTGCAATATCCTCTTTGACCCATGTGTTATTTAGAAGTGTGTTCTTAATCTCCAAGTATTTTAGAGTTTTCCAGCTATCTTTCTGTTATTGATTGCTAGTTTTATTCCATTGTGATCTGACAGCAGACACTATACGATTTCTATGCTTTTACCTTTGTTAAGGTGTGTTTTATGGCCCCATATGTGGTCTAGCTTGGTGAATTTTCCATGACAGCTTAAGAATAATGTGTCTTTTGCTGTTGCTGAATGAAGTTGTCTATAGGTGTCAGTTATATCCAGTTGATTGATGGTGTTGAGTCCAACTATGTCCATATTGACTTTCTGCCTGCTGAATCTGTCCATTTCTGATAGTGTTGAAGTCTCCAACTACAGTAGTGGATTTATCTATATCTCCTTGTAGTTCTATCAGTTTTTGTCCCACATGGTTTGATTCTCTGTTGCTAGGGGCATACCCATTAAAGATTATTATAATTTCTTAGACAATTAGCTCCCTTATGATTATATGATGTCCATCTTTATCCCTGACATCTGTCTTTGCTTTGAAGTCTGCTCTGTCTGAAATTAATATAGCTACTCCTGCTCTTCTGATTAGTGTTAGCATGGTATATATTTCTCCATCCACTTACTTTTCATCTATGTGTGTCTTCATATTTGAAGTGGGTTCTTGTAGACCACAGAGTTGGATCTTGTTTTTTGACCTGCTCTGATAATGTTTATAAATTGGTACATCAGATCACTGACACTGAAAATGATTATTGATATAGTTGGGCTAATAGTTACCATATATATTACTGTTTTCCATTTCTTGGCCTTCTTATTTGTTCTTATTTCTGTCTTCCACATTTTCCCTTTTGTAGTTTTAATTGAGCATTTTATGTGGTTTCATTTTATCTCCTTTCTTAGCATATCAGTTATACTTCTTTTTATACTTGTTTTAACGGTTGCCCTAGAGGTTGCACTATACATTTATAACCAGTCCAAGCCTCCTTTCAACTAACACTGTACTACTTCACAGATAGTGTGAATACCTTATAACAACAAAATAATTCTAATTCCTCCTCCTCACCCTTTGTATCATTGCTGTAATTAATTTCACTTATGTGTGTGTGTGTGTGTACACACAAGCATACTCAATCAAATACATTGTTTCTATTATTAGTTTGAACACACTATCATCTATTACATCAATTAAGAATAGGAAAATTAAAGTTTTTATTTTACCTTCACTTAGCACTTCTTTGATGCTCTTTTATGTAGATCCATGTTTCTGACCTATATTATTTTCCTTCTGTCTAAAGAACTTCTTTTAACATTTCTTACATGGCAGGTCTACTGGTAACAAATTCCCTCAATTGATTGAGAAAGTCTTTATTTGTCCTTAACTCTTGAAGGAAAATTTCTCAGGGTACAGAATTTTAGGTGCTATTTTCTCAATACTTTAAATGTTTCACTGCACTCTCTTCTGCCTTGCATGATTTCTGAGTAAAAGTCAGATGTCATTCTTATCTCTGCTCCTCTGTACATATGGCGTTTTTTTCCCTCTAGTTTCTTGGAGGGTTTTTTCTTTGTTTTTCTGCAATTTGCAAATGATATACTTGGTGTCATTTTTGGGCATTTATCTTGCTTGGTGTTCTCTGAGTTTCCTGGATCTGCAGTTTGGTGTCTGGCATTAACTTGGGAAAATTCTAAGTCATTATTGTTTCAAATATTTCTTCTGTTCCTTTCCCTGATTAGCATATTAAATCAGAATATTCATGATTAATGCTATTAGCATATTAATCATAGTTGTTCTTGATTCTCTCTGATAACTCCAAGATCCCTGCCAAGTCTGGTTCTGATGCTTGCATTGTCTCTTCAAATTGTATTTTTTGCCTTTTAGTATGCTTTGTACATTTTTGTCAAATGTCATACATGATACACTGGGTAGAAGGAGCTGCTATAAACAGGCCTTTAGTAATGTGGAGGTGAGATGTGAAGGAAAGGGCAGCTTTCCATAGTCCTGTGCAGGCCTGTGCCTCTGTACTGTAAGCTTCCCCAGTGCCTCTCCCTTAAATGGGAGAGAATGGCTGGAGCAGACTGAGTCAGTATTTCCCTTCCCCAGGTCAGTTAGGCTCTGATAAAACCCCAGCAGGTGAGCCTTTGGTGTATGTGTTTCTCTTGAGGGCAGTCCTTGTTAAGAAAAAGAGCACTCTAGCATATTTCAAAATGTTCCTTTTCTGCCTCCCCTGTCAGAAAAACAAGGGATTTTTTTGTTTTGTTTTGTTTTGATTTTGACATTTACTATGAAAATCGGTTTGAGTTCCTGGAAGTAAAACTCACAAAAGCATGGGAGGGTGCTCTATGAGTGGGTCCTCCTGGAGTTTTAACTCTCAGACTTTTCCAAACCTAGGCTACAGCAGGCTGTCAATAACAGTGCAGGTTTCCCACCCTGGTGCTGGCTCCAGGGGAGGCTTCTGCAGCAGTGTATTGTGATTCTCTGTAGCTGCCTGCGACCTCACTTCTCTTGCAGATCTAAGAGCTGCGGACTTTTCAGTTTGTTCAGCTTTTTACTTCCTGTTGGGATAGAGTGACAACCTCTAAATTCCTCATATATATGAAATCAGAAATGGAAAAATGATTTCTTAATCAACAAAAATATTAAGGCTAATAGGACTTTCATCTTATGGTCTGATTCTCCAAAAATTAACTTAAGGTTATATTCTGCAGATTCAAAGGATGAATATAAGACAGTAATTTCTTAGAAACTATTCACTCATGTCTCAGAATCTGTGAAGTTTCATTCAGATTTTCACTGAGATTTGGGAAAAGAAGAATGTTTGAGGAAAAGAAAATGTCATCATCTTTAAACGAAAATTAAAATTCTAAGCCCCCACCATCTGAATGGACCCCCCCTCTTGGCCAAGGACATTCCAAAGTTAACCTGAAAAACTAGTTCAGGACAGGATGGAAAGGGGGCGCCAGACATGCCTCATGGTACCCTCCTCCCTTCCGGAATTACTGATGGAACAGACTCTTTCAGTCTGATAAGAAAACACTTACAATCTATTCTCTCTGAAGTCTGCTACCTGGAGGCTTCATCTGCATGATAAAACCTTGGTCTCTAAAACCCCTTATCTTAACCCTTTCTATTGACATTCCTTTCTATTGACTCTAGGCATTCCTTTCTATTGACTCCAGGTCTTTAGATAATAACCAATAGCCAATCAGAAAATCCTGCAATCCACCTGTGACCTGGAATCCCCCTTCCCCTACCTGCTCCCCACTCCCAGTTGTCCTGCCTTTCCAGACTGAACCAATGTTGAGTAATGTCTTATGTCTCCCTAAATTGTATAAAACCAACTTGTAGCCCTACCACCTTGGACACATGCTGTCAGGATCTCTCGAGGGCTGTGTCATGGGCCACTGGTCACACATTTTTGGCTCAGAATAAATCTCTTCAAATATTTTACAGAGTTTCACTCTTTCCATCAGCAGTCTATTTTCCTCTTGGGCATGATGGCATTTTTAAATACTTTGTTCACTGATCCTAGATATGTCAACCTGTTAAAAATTAATCTTTTTACACCCCACACAGAAAAATCTATGTCTGAAAGTACTTGTTACTGTAATCAACAGGGGTTGAAAAATACCTGTTGAGATGCTACTGTTAATGAGATATCACACAGACTTTGAAGGTCAGTCAGTTTCAATCCAAATGTAAAGCCCAGGATACTAAAAGCCACCACTCATTTAACACAAAAGCCAGAGAGAAACGCTATCTATCAGAAGCCACTTGCAGAATGCATAATTCTTTGTTTCCTGCTGTTTATAGATCATTGATCAAAAATCTATGAATGACAAGACTCAACTGTAGATAATGGCAGTCTGTAGGGGAAAAGGACTTCTCTTTAAAAGTCCCTTTAAATAAAAAGAAAAATCTATTGTTCCTTTTCTAACAGAAAGGCTTTGATGTTTTATTTAAAACAAAACAATACATCACTTCTCCACAACTAGTAACATCTTCAAAAGATCAGCAAATAAAGCAAATGGATGTATAGCTCTGAACGTGCTCACAAGAAAAGGCAGGCTTCAAAACATCCAAGACTGTGAAATGTGTCCTGATATAACACACACTAACACACAGTTTCTTAGCACATAGTGGTTGAAATGAATATATTTAAAGTGCTCCTGGGAGTAACATACACTCACTGTGGTGAGATCAATAATAAGACACATACTGTCAAAGGAATGTTCAAAACCATGGTTTGGAAAATGCCTGCTATCTCAGAGCATCTTTATTTAAGACACTGGCAGGCTCTACTTCTTGACAAGTAATGCTGACATTCATTTTAAGAAAAAGAAGTCCCAGTAAGTAGTAGCATTCATGATTTCTGTTATCAATGATTTAGGGTTTATATATATATATAACTGTAAGTTCTGGGATACATGTGCAGAACGTGCAGGTTTGTTACATAGGTATAAATGTGCCATGGTGGTTTGCTGCACCCATCAATCCATCATCCACATTAGGTATTTCTCCTAATGCTATCCCTCCCCTTGTCGCCCACCCCATGACAGGGCCTGGTGTGTAATGTTCCCCTCCCTGTGTCCATGTGTTCTCATTGTTCAATGAGAATGGGAATGCTTCCAGCTTTTGCCCATTCACTATGATATTAGCTGTGGGTTTGTCATAAATAGCTCTTATTATTTCCAGATACATTCAATCAATACCTAGTTTATTGAGAGTTTTTAGCATGACGGGGTGAATTTTGTCAAAGGTCTTTTCTGCATCTACTGAGATAATCATGTGGTTTTTGTCATTGGTTCTGTTTATGTGATGGATTACATTTATTGTTTTGAGTATATTGAACCAGCCTTGCATCCTAGGGATGAAGCCGACTTGATTGTGGTGGATAAGCTTTTTGATGTGCTGCTGGATTCAGTTTGCCAGTATTTTATTGAGGATTTTCGCATTGATGTTCATCAGGGATATTGGCCTGAAATTTTCTTTTTTTGTTGTGTCTCTGCCAGGTTTTGATATCAGGATGATGCTGACCTCATAAAATGAGTTAGAGAGGAGTCCCTCTTTTTCTATTGATTGGAATAATTTCAGAAGGAATGGTACCAGCTCCTCTTTGTACCTCTGGTAGAATTCGGCTGTGAATCCATCTGGTCCTGAGCTTTTTTTGGTTGGTAGGCTATTAATTATTGCCTCAATTTCAGAACTTGTTATTGGTCTATTCAGGGATTTAACTTCTTCCTGGTTTAGTCTAGGGAGGGTGTATGTGTCCAGGAATTTATCAATTTCTTCTAGATTTTCTAATTTATTTGCATAGAGGTGTTTATAGTATTCTCTGATGGTAGTTTGTATTTCTGTGGGATCAGTGGTGATATCCCCTTTATCATTTTTTTATTGTTTCCATTTGATTCTTTTCTCTTTTCATCTTTATTAGTCTAGCTAGCGATCTATCTATTTTGTTAATCTTTTAAAAAAAACAGCTCCTGGATTAATTGATTTTTAAAGGGTTTTTTGGTGTCTCTATCTCCTTCAGTTCTGCTCTGATCTTAGTTGTTTCCTGTCTTCTGCTAGCTTTTGAATTTGTTTGCCCTTGCTTCTCTAGTTCTTTTAATTGTGATGTTAGGGTGTCAATTTTAGATCTTTTCCACTTTCTCCTGTGGGCATTTAGTGCTATAAACTTCCTTCTAAATGCTACTTTAGCTGTATCCCAGAGATTCTGGTACATTGTGTCTTTGTTCTCTTTGGTTTCAAATAACTTATTTATTTCTGCCTTAATTTTGTTATTTACCCAGTAGTCATTCAGGAGGTTGTTCAGTTTCCATGTAGTTGTGCGGCTTTGAGTGAGTTTCTCAATCCTGAGTTCTAATTTGATTGCACTGTGGTCTGAGAGACTGTTATGATTTCCATTCTTTTGCATTTGCTGAGGAGCATTTTACTTCCAAATATGTGGTCAATTTTAGAGTAAGTGCGATGTGGTGCTGAGAAGAATGTACATTCTGTTGATTAGGGGTGGAGAGTTCTGTAGATGTCTATTAGGTCCAATTGATCCAGAGCTGAGTTTGGTCCTGAATATCCTTGTTAATTTTCTGTCTCGTTGATCTGTCTAATATTGACAGTGGGGTGTTAAAGTCTCCCACTATTATTGTGTGGGAGTCCAGGTCTCTTTGTGTAGGTCTCTAAGAACTTGCTTTGTAAATCTGGGTGCTCCTGTATTGGGTGCATAAATATTTAGGATAGTTAGCCCTTCCATTCCTCTTGTTGCATTGATCCCTTATACCATTATGTAATTCCCTTGTCTTTTGCAATCTTTGTTGCTTTAAAGTCTTTTATCAGAGACTAGGATTGCAACCCCTGCTTTTTTTTGCTTTCCATTTGCTTAGTAAATATTCCTCCATCCCTTTATTTTGAGCCTATGTGTGTCTTTGCACGTGAGATGGATCTCCTGAATACTGCACACTGATGGGTCTTGACTCTTTATCCAATTTGCCAGTCTAATTGGTGTATTTAGCCCATTTACATTTAAGGTTAATATTGTTATATGTGAATTTGATCCTGTCATTATGATGCTAGCTGGTTATTTTGCCTGTTGATGCAGTTTCTTCATAGTGTCAATGGTCTTTACAATTTGGTATGTTTTTGTAGTGCCTGGTACCAGTTTTTCCTTTCCATATTCAGTGCTTCCTTCAGGAGCTCTTGTAAGGCAGGCCTGGTGGTGACAAAATCTCTCAGCATTTGCTTGTCTGTAAAGGAGTTTATTTCTCCGTCACTTATGAAGCTTAGTTTGGCTGGATATGAAATTCTGGGTTGAAAATTCTTTTCTTTAAGAATGTGGAATACTGGCCCCCACTCTCTTCTGGCTTGTAGGGTTTCTGCAGAGAGATCCACTGTTAGTCCGATGGGTTTCCCTTTGTGGGTAACCTGACCTTTCTCTCTGGCTGCCCTTAACATTTTTTCCTTTATTTCAACCTTTGTGAATCTGAAGATTATGTGTCTTGGGGTTGCTCGTCTTGAGGAGTATCTTTGTGGTGTTCTCTGTATTTCCTGAATTTGAATGTTGGCCTCTCTTGCTAGGTTGGGAAAGTTTTCCTGGATAATATCCTGAAGAGTGTTTTCCAACTTGGTTCCATTCTCCCCGTCACTTTCAGGGACACCAATAAAATGTAGGTTTGGTCTTTTCACATAGTCTCATATTTCTTGCAGGCTTTGTTTGTTCCTTTTCATTCTTTTTTCTCTAATCTTGTCTTCACGCTTTATTTCATTAAGTTGATTTTCAATCTCTGATATCCTTTCTTCTGCCTGATTGATTCAGCTATTGATACTTGTGTATGCTTCATGAAGTTCTTGTGCTGTGTTTTTCAGCTCCATCAGGTCATTTATGTTCTTCTCTAAACTGGTTATTCTAGTCAGCAATTCCTCTAACCTTTTTTCAAGATTCTTAGCTTCCTTGCATTGGGTTAGAACATGCTCCTTTAGCTTGGTGACGTTTGTTATTACCCACCTTCTGAAGCCTACTTCTGTCAATTTGTCAAACTCATTCTCTGCCAGTTTTGTTCTCTTGCTGGCAAGGAGTTGTGATCCTTTGGAGGAGAAGAGATGTTCTGGTTTTTGGAATTTTCAGCCTTTTTGCACTGGTTTTTCCTCATCTTTGTGGATTTATCTACCTTTAGTCTTTGATGCTGGTGACCTTTGGATGGGGTTTTTGTGTAGATGCCCTTTTTGTTGATGCTATTCCTTTCTGTGTGTTAGTTTTCCTACAAACAGTCAGGCCCTTTGCTTCAGGTCTGCTGGAGTTTGTTGGAGGTCCACTCCAGACCCTGTTTGCCTGGGTATCATTGGCAGAGGCTGCAGAACAGCAAAGACTGCTGCCTGTTCCTTCCTCTGGAAGCTTCGTCCCAAAGGGGCACCCACCAGATGCCAGCCAGAGCTCTCCTGTATGAGGTGTCTGGCGACCCCTGCTGGGAGGTGTCTCCCAATCGGGAGGCTGGGGGGTCAGCGACCCACTTGAGGAGGCAGTCTGTCCCTTAGCAGAGCTCGAGTGCTTTGCTGGGAGATCTGCTGCTTTCTTCAGAACTGGCAGGCAGGAACGTTTAAGTCTGCTGAAGCTGCACCCACAGCCACCCCTTCCCTGAAGTGCTCTGTTCCAGGGAGATGGGAGTTTATCTATAAGCCCCTCACTGGGGCTGCTGCCTTTCTTTCCCTTTCTTTCAGGGATGCCCTCCCCAGAGAGGAGGAATCTAGAAAGGCAGTCTGGCTACAGTGGCTTTGCCAAGCTGTGGCGGGATCCACCCAGTTTGAACTTCCAGGTGGCTTTGTTTACACTGTGAGGGGAAAACCACCTACTCAATCCTCAGTAATGGCAGACGCCCCTCCCCTCACCATGCTTGAGTGTCCCAGGTGGACTTCACACTGCTGTGCTGGCAGTGAGAATTTCAAGCCAGTGGATCTTAGCTTGCTGGGCTCCATGGGAGTTGGATCTGCTGAGCTAGACCATTTGTCTCCCTGGCTTCATCCCCCTTTCCAGGGGAGTGAATGGTTCTGTCTCGCTGGTGTTCCAGATGCCACTAGGGTATGAAAAAAAAACTCCTGCAGCTAGCTCAGTGTCTGCCCAAACAGCTGCCCAGTTTTGTGCTTAAAACTCAGGGCCCCAGTGGTGTAGGCACCTAAGGGAATCTCCTGGTCTGTGGGTTGCACAGACAATGGGAAAAGCGTAGTATCCGGGTTGGAGTGCACCATTACTCATGGCACAGTCCCTCAAGGCTTCCCTTGGTGAGGGGGAGGAGTACCCGGACCCCTTGCACTTCCCAGGTGAAGTGACACCCCATCCTGCTTTGGCTCACCCTCCATGGGCTGCACCCACTGTCTAACCAGTCCCAATGAGATGAGCTGGGTACCTCAGTTGGAAATGCAGAAAACACCTGCCTTCTGCACTGATCTCGCTGGGAGCTGCAGATCAGAGTTGTTCCTATTCGGCCATCTTGCTAGCCACCACACAATGCTTTAGTTTTAAATCTTCAGTGGAATTTCAGTTGTTATTGATTAATGCAAATTAACCTTAAAAATTTTACTGTTTTAGTGAAACACTACAAATTTTAAATTATATAAAACAATGACATCTGTTGAATTCTGGGTTTGAGAACCTATTTATCTCAGTAAGACACATGAATCAAAAGTATTAAAAAAGGAATTGTATGATATTTGGCTAAAGTGACATAATGATCCAATAATTCTGTCATGGTATCCAAAGTTTCATTAATAATTAACTCAAAGAATTGAGTTAAGACGAATGCATTTTACAAACACAGATACACAACTTTGCCATGTATCCAATATACCTTAGACAACTCCATGCCTGGCCCACACTGGTTGCAGGGAACACAGTTTCCAGACCGATCCCTGAATTCTTGCTGTCTACAGTCTCCTGATTCACAAGTCACTTTACATGACTGAAAAAAAAAATTTAACAAAATGTTATCTTAAAGTATGTTAAACATTTTTTTTTGCAAGAAAGGAACAATATTTTCAATATTAGTCACACAATCACTGAATGTAAATATCAGTTCAAGTCAATTCAATGTTCACTTTAGGAAGAAAACACACTTTCTGAATAAGTCAGTGGAACAACTAAATCAATAAGCCAAATTCTTCTCTGTATTCCAGAGAATACTCATTGATTCTCTAAACAGGGTATCCCATTTTCTTGGAATTAACTGCTATCCTCCTCAGATACCCTCTGGGACTCAAGATATGACATGACTTAGGAGCTGTTCTCTTCTCTAAGTAAGAAGATATTTAAAAAAAAAACAGTTATGACTTTCTTTGATATATGACCCAAGGTCCTTTTGCTACCAGAAAAAAATCTGAATTGAAAAATTTTTCAATCTAAGAAATATAAACATATTCAAGTATAATGAATTAAATAAATTGAATAATTAGTATAGCCACAAGAGCGTAGCCACAAGAACTTCGCAATTATCGTTTAGACTTATCTGCCATGCGGTTTTGATGAGGAAGTTTCAACCCTTTTCAACTGAACTACATTTCCTTAGAGGATGTCTTTCAAATAATAATTTCTAACAATCAGGACACCAGTAAAATCCTTGGTGATGATGATAAAGATGGCAGTAGTGGCCCAACTCTCGGAACTCTTCAAAGTAGAAGTGCCATCCAAATCTGAGCTTATGCCTTTACTGATTACCACTGAGCCACTGCCTGGGACCTAACAGTATGCTTTGGTTCACAGCATAGGACTTAAATGGAAAATGTATACTTAGGCAAAAACAGAGGTTATTTGTCATTTTCCAAAATATAGCTTTTTTCTCTTATTTTTTCTGAAAACAACAAGTTCTCCTTGTAAGATATCATCCTAGAAAAGTATGTTTATCTGCTTAACGGACAGTATTTCATGAGTAATGCTGGTATTAGCAGCATCACAGAATTGGTGAAGACGTTTGGTCCAACCCCTTACCCTAAGCAAGAATGCCCTGAATAGTGCTACTGACGCGGTTCTGTTTTCCTTAATGGAAGCTGAAAATCTTAGGAGGAACTGGGGTAACAGACACTGCTGTTCTGTCTAATGCTTACCACACAGTTGAGCACAGGACATTGTTTTTGATGCATATAATTCTGTACAAACCTTCTCCACCTTGAAGCAGGAATATCTGTGAAGATATCTAACAACCTCTTTAAGGTCAAAGGTTTAATATCTAGGGCAAGCAGGAGGAAGAATTCAAGGTGAGGTTTGAGACTAGAAAATTCTTTGAGACAGACAGGCACGGTGGCTCACACCTGTAATCCTAGCACCTTGGAAGGCCCAGGTGGGCAGATCACGAGGTCAAGAGATTGAGACCATCCTGGCCAACATGGTGAAACCTTGTCTCTACCAAAAATACAAAAATTAGCTAGGTGTGGTGGTGCGCACCTGTAGTCCCAGCTACTTGCAAGGGCTGAGGCAGGAGAATCACTTGAAACTGGGAAGCGGAGGTTGCAGTGAGCCAAGATCGCACCACTGCACTCCAGCCTGGTGACAAAGCGAAACTTCGTCTCAAAAAAAAAAAAAAAAGAAAGAAAGAAAGAAAATTTTTAAGGCTATAAAGATTCTTGCCTCAACTCCTCCTCAACTCCCAGTCTTGCAGTTTACTTATTTATAAGGGGTAGGAGCTTCCCTTCCACCACAGAGAGACCGTAAAGAGAAAGAAATTACACAACCTTCCTCTTAGACCATTATTCAATGTTTAACAGCCTCCAATTACAGCAGGGAAGCTCTCCTACATTCACCTGAATCCCACTTTGTCTTTATTTTTTTATTTTTTTTATTTGTATCTATTTATTTATTTCTGAGACAAAGTCTCACTCTGTTGCCCAGGCTAGAGTGCAGTGGCGTGATCTCAGCTCACTGAAACCTCCGCCTCCCATGTTCAAGCGATTCTCCTACCTCATCCTCTCAAGTAGCTAGGATTACAGGTGTGCATCACCACACCCAGGTAATTTTTGTATTTTTAGTAACAATGAGGTCTCACCATGTTGGCCAAGCTGGTATTGAACTCCTCACCTCAAATGATCCACCTGCCTCGGCCTCCCAAAGTGCTGGGATTACAAGCATGAGCCACAGCATCCAGCCTAACCTTGTCTTTCAAGAAAACTTTGCATACTGTCTTCAGTGTAAATCTTTCTTTATATATCTGTAGATCATTATTTTATCACTAGATTAAATAAACTTTGTTCTTTTGAACACATTCATAAATCTTTTGTCAAACTTTCAAATATTAAAATTTTCCATCTGTGTTTCCTGCTTTTTGGAACCAAGAAGAATATAAACAACTATATAAAATAATAACTTTTAAAAATCTATTCTAAATTATTCATAAACTGTGTAGGTCATGGGCTCCAAATTAGAATTTATGGTCTTTTAGCTTCTAGAATATGTTACAAGAGATATATGCCTATAAAGGCAAAATAATATCATCATCATAGTGCCACAAGTAACACTGCAATTTTATGACTTCACCTACATTTAAATAAGATAATTTCAACAATTGTTACATATATCATGAATGAGCAGCAATCTTTCACTTATTAATTACATGCAAAAATAATAAAATGCCATTTGAAAGAGATAAAAACATAATATTGGATCAGAAATAGAAAATAATTTTGGGCTGGGGGTGGTGGCTCATGCCTGTAATCCCGGCACTTTGGGAGGCCAAAGCAGGCGGATCACCTGAGGTCAGGTATTCAAGACCAGCCTGGACAACATGGTGAAACCCCATCTCTACTAAAAATACAAAAATTAGCTGGGAGTGGTGGTGGGTGCCTGTAATCCCAGTGACTCGGGAGGCTGAGGCAGGAGAATCACTTGAACCCGGGAGGCAGAGGTTACAGTGAGCCAAGATTGCACCACTGCACTCCAGCCTGAGCAAAAGAGCAAGACTCTGTCTCAAAAAAAATAAAAAATAAAATGATTTTGGTACTCCTACTACTTATTAGTACATGAATTCTTTCACCACATTCTTATGAAAGAAAAAAGGACTTTACTTACCAAATAGCCTAGTAATACTAAAAGAGTGAAAAACGTTTTCTCTTGTTCTAGTAGCACTTTTAAAGCCATCTTTCTTATCAAATGTATTTATTGTTGGAGAGTTCTAAATAAAAGATAGGAAGATGCAGTTAATATTAAAAACATCAGTGACTGTGCTTTGTTTACTATATAATATCTACCACTTACTATATAGACTAGGTAATAAATATTATTTGTGTTTTAAAAGAAACCACCTTTAAAAAAGAAAAAAGACAAATAATATATAATTATTTTATAACTCATATTATGAGAATTGAAGCTCTGTTTACCTATACATTATATGCAAAACTCTTACAGGCTCTGAGTTCCCAGGCTATACCCGCCTTTATTGATATTTTCTACCCATGTTCTCTACAGCAGCCAATCTACTTCACTCAGCATGAAATTCTATTCAAATAGTGACTATATAAACCTCCCATTTATCTGGGTTTGGACAATGCCAACAGGGTAATAATAGTGATAAAATAACAACTATGTGACAGGTACTATTTTCAGCATGCTAACTCACTTAATCCTCACAACTACTCTAGAAGGTAGATCCTATCATTATTCCCATTTTAGCGATGGGGAAACTCAGAGAGGGCTAAGTAACCTGCCCAAGGTCACATTGCTAGTGAGAGGCACAGCTGGATGCAAACCCAGGTGGAGCATCCCTTTCTACAGCTCCTGTGTCACATACGCCCTGACAGACAATGTGCTATTAAATGAAGACACCAGGCTTGTATCTTGACAACTTCGTCTTCACTAAGAAGCAGACAGACAATATTTTGCATTTATGAATTCTTTCCCAAACCAGAATAGAGCAAAGTATGTATGGCAGAAAAATAAGCATTCATCTTAAAACATCTAAAAGTCATTGACGAGTGATGAAATCACAGGCACTAACCTAACATTTCAATACAAGATAAACCAAGCCTCTTTATCTTTACCAGGAATGATCTAAAATGTAGAACCAAATCTGGCTGTTTTTTACAGATCCACACATGTCCAGAGAAGAGATCAAAAAGAAAAAGCGAAGCCTCATCTGGCTGCACCATCAGGTAGAGAAACAGCGGTTCTGTTTCCTTTAAAGTTGAAGTTTCCAAAACTAACAGATCCCAAGTGGATCATCTGACTTAGAAAGAAACCAGAGCACAGAACCAGAACCATGGGCAAACAGCTCAAGAAAAACAACAACGACAACAACCAAGGAGGCAGAGGGGGCAGAGCTGCCTCCGCTGCAGGCTGAGCGGCTATCAGGGGTGAGCTGACGGGTGCCCCGGAAGTGGCTGAACCCAGATGAACCACGTCCACTGCCTGGGCAGGTCACATTGCCGGGGCAATGAAAAATCATTTACCTTTGTTGAGTGAATGACCCATTTGAAGTGAATTCAAACAGCTTTTTTCACTTTTCCAGCTACTTGGTCATAACTTTTTTTCCTGCTGGCATATCTCAAAATCAACCAGCAATTACTCAACCATGCAACTTACTGCTTGTGTAGACACAGGGTTAGGGTGAGAAGATAAAAATCACATTCTTTGAAGCACATGCTTCAGGTTATTTCTTTCATGATACGATCTTACATTTTAAAAAATGTATTAAGTTCTAAAAGCAAAAAATGTGTAATTTAGGTGGAATTAAAACTAATAAGAAAAAACGGGGATAATGCCAAAGCATTTACACAAAATATGAGACAAAGAAATTGACAAGTCAATCAGTACATACCATATTCGAGCAATTAGTCTGGATAGAATCGTCTAGTGGGATGCTACACTAACTACTGAAAAAGGCAGACAAATTGTGAAGCATTTCTTAACATTGTCACTTTGATGCTACACATCCATAAGGAGACAAAAATAGAACCCATCTCACAGGGGCATTGTGAGGACTAACTGGGCTAACACAAAGTGCTGAGCCCAGCGCCCGGAGCAGTTGCTGATGCTGTTACTGCTGCTGTTGTTATTGAGACCACTACTTATGAGCTGTGCAACCTGGAATAAGTTACTTAACCCTGAGTCTCAGTTTCCTCATCTCTAAATGGGGCAGAATGATAGTACCTACCTCCTGAAATTGCTGTGAGGAATGAGTCTAACAGCTGTAAAGCACTTTCAGGAGAATTAGCTGATGTAAACCGTTTCTGGCACATAATAAGTGCTATAGAATTGTTAGCAACTACTATTGTCCTTCATGTTAATGACATTATTATTGAGGATCAAATGATCCATTAGGATGTGACAGTCCTTGAAGACTGTAATCCGTCGGACAAATAGGAGGCATCTAGGCAGCCGCAGTCAAGTGGCAACAGCTCAGGACCTGGGAGCCTGCAGAAGGCATCTGAAGACTAAGAATCCACTAAGAGTTTGAACCAAGCGTTTATAATGTTGAGTACTGTGCTAATGCTTTAAAAAAGGATAGCTTTTTCTCCTTTCTACCACACTCTAAAGTAGACATTTATCCCCATATAATGGAAGAGAAAACTGAAGGTCCAAGGAAACAAATACGAGAACCAGTGGAAATCAAATCCAATTCATGCCTGGCAACTCCATAACAGGGCTCCTCAGCATCCCGCCATGCTGACCTAGGGTTGTGTCCTAACCCATCACCAGCATCCAGTGACTCCTGCCATTCAGGACAGCATGGCTACCTCAACAAAACTGATGAGAGACACATAATGCAATAATACATTTAATCATGTATTTATTTATTCAACAAACATTGGTTAAACGGTCATTAGGTGCCTGAAAGGAGGCAGGACTAGGCTAGAAGACACTACAACTTGTTCCTTCAAGGGAGCTCACAGCTTGGCCAAGGTAGTGATCTCCAAAACACCTTTTGACATAGCCTGGCCTAGGAGTATTTTAGAAATAAACAATTTAGCTGGTGGAGGGTTATAAGTGTGACCTTGAATTTCCTGGAGTGGAATGAAATTCCTTAAGAAATTATTTGGCATTCAGAAAAAGAAGGAAAATTTAATGAAATAGCTTAAGCGTTTAAGTAATAATATTTAAAATAAAAATAAGGCAATCAAAAGGTTATTTATTAAAATTATTTTTAAATTCTGGACATTCAAGGTCTGGCCCAAAGATAGAAAAATGCTTTTATATGCTTCAGTGTTCTATTTACTTGGAGATGATTTAGCAAGCACAAGCCATACAAATAACTGAGATTATGTACCATGGGTCTGGATGCTGGGGTTTTTACCGTTTGCCAAAACCTCCAGTCTCCACAGCATCTGTAACAGTCTAGCATGCATTTCTTGGAGGACATGTACAGAGAAACTGTTTCTCTGTACATGTCCTCCACATAAGCACTAGGGAGAAGACTAATGATGCCTGGTTTACCGTATTCCACAAGCATGAAATGTCGGCCTCACTATCTGCTATTCAACAACAATACGCAGCTTGGCAGTATCAGGAGCATGCAAAGAAGAAGGGACACAAACCCCAAGTGCAGAGCGGGGAAACATGCTGTTCAGCTGCACACAGAGTGGCTGCTTCTCAAAGCTGCTCAGCCTGCTCATTTGAGTGAATGGTAACTAACACGGATGTGTCCTAATTGGCCTCCCTCTAACTAAGATAAATCCAATAGGTGTTATAATGCACACCCCTTGTGCCTTCTTGCCCAAAATCATGAACACCAGTGCTAGCGTGTCACCACGCCGAGACAGGGGAGCACTGCCGGGGAAGGGCAGCTCTGGGCTTCATCTCTGATTGGCTGGGCGGACCTCTGGATCTCAAACCACAGTGACTGCTTCCACCAGCAGGTCCCTCAACTGTCCCTTCCTCTACAATGCCTGCCCCCAGTCTGTCACAGGTCTTCTGGAATCCCCTTAAATCTGCATCAGCATCTCTTCTTTCTGCTTCCACAGCACCCTGGACTTCCACTCACTGCTATAATTACCTTGTTACTCCTCTCTCTTTCTAGCCTTTTTGTTGCATCTGGTCAGCATGTCTTTTCTTTTTTTTTTTTTTTTTTTGAGACGGAGTCTCGCTCTGTCACCCAGGCTGGAGTGCAGTAGTGTGATCTCAGCTCCCTGCAAGCTCCGCCTCCCAGGTTCACACCATTCTCCTACCTCAGCCTCCGGAGTAGCTGGGACTACAGGTGCCCGCCACTGCGCCCGGATAATTTTTTGTATTTTTAGTAGAGACGGGGTTTCGCCGTGGTCTCGATCTCCTGACCTTGTGATCCGCCCGCCTCGGCCTCTCAAAGTGCTGGGATTACAGGCGTGAGCCACCGCGCCCGGCTACATTTATTTTCTTTAGTCACTGCAGCACTTAAATCTTTAAAATTTGCTTTCAGTATTAAAAATGAAAAATGTTCTCGAAAAATTAGACAATCTGACGGCCCTGAGTCCCACATCAAAGCAATATGAGCTAGAGCTAATGATCAGTTGTCCCTTACACGGAAGGACATATCTTTAGTGCACTAGTCTCCACCACTCCCCACTGTCACACTGGGCTCCCTTCCCTCATTTTATCACCAACCCAGCCACTGGAGTTGACCACCAATCAAATAAGATTTGAGGGCTTAATGACAAGAGCTGTGATTTCACTATAGAACTGTAACTCACAATATGTGCCCAATGCATGCTAAATGAAGAGAGAAATTCATTAACTAGGGATAACAGTTTACTTCTCAGAGTTCTAAGGGATAAAATAGTATATGTGAAAAATATGAGCAAATATAACCTGAGGTTGAAATGCAAGTCACTGTGGTAGCACAAATCCAGGTCAGAACCCCATTTCTTGAAGGTAGTGCTCTAATACAGACAAGAATCACTAAGGAGGAAGAATGGTGATAATTAGAAAGAAAATTATATTATAATCAGTAACCTTTCTGAGAATCATTTATATTTTTGATGGTGTAAATGACGAAAACATATGTGCTTTGTAATAATTCTAATAATCTGGATACTCTTTTTTTCAGAATAAATTATTTAATTTTGTTTTTTTCCTATCTCTTGAAAGCTATTTATTATCCAACAGATGCAGTGCATGCAATTGGTAACAGTTTTCATCAAAAAAACTGTATTCACACTATGTAATGAAACTATATTCAACCCATACATTTTTCTAATATGTAATAAGATGAAACATTTTTAAAATGTTGATATTCAACTGGCAGTTTTACAATTTATAAATCAGCACTGAAATAAAGCCAATGCTATAAATACAGCCTTTGACATTTTAATGGCACAACATAATCACGAATGACTTAGAAATACTGCCAGTCCCACATGCAAAGAGAATAAAACATTAATTAGAAATTTAGAGTAATGCTATTTCCAAACAAAACAATAACCCCCGGCTTCTAGCTATTCTGTATCTTAGCTTTCAATCTCACTATATTCTGAAAATCATTCTTCTTACATAGTAGAGTTGGCAGATCTCTTTGTAGCCTAGGAACTCACAAAGGTGTGCTAAGAATATACGTATTGTTATTGGCTGGAAAATGAGAATGGTTTCTCTTTTTCAAATTACAAGGTATTTTCTACTAAAAACCCTAAAAACTTAAAAATTTTCTGCTGCCAAATACAGTATCTCCAATTCTCCCAAAGTTCAAAACAGTAAGGGCCTCTATTAGGCTGCTTTTTTTTTTTTTTTTTTAAATAAAACTTAACCTAGATCCAGCAATCCCACTACTGGGTATCTACCCAGGAGAAAAGAAGTCATTATACAAAAGAGATACTTGCACACACATTTTTATAGCAGCACAATTCGTAGTTGCAAAAATATGTAACCAGCCCAAATGCCCATAAATCAGTGAGTGGCTAAAAAAACTGTGGTATATATATATGATGGAATACTACTCATCCATAAAAAGGAATGAATCAATGGCATTCACAGCAACCTGGATGGGTTTGGAGACTGTTATTCGAAGTGAAGTAACTCAGGAATGGAAAACCAAACATTGTATGTTCTTACTCATAACTGGGAGCTAAGCTATGAGGATGCAAAGGCATAAAAATGATACAATGGACTTTGGGGACTTGGGGGAAAAGGGTGGAAGGGGGTGAGGGATAAAAGGCTACAAATCGGGTTCAGTGTATACTGCTCAGGGGATGGGTGCACCAAAATCTCACAAATCACCACTGAAGAACTCATGCAACCAAATACCACCTGTTCCCCAAAACCCTATGGAAATAAAGAAAAAATAGATAAATAAAAATAAAAACAACAACAACAAAAAATAACCTAGTGCAGGGTTTTCTGAGACTAATTCTTTTTATTTCTCTAAGTTGTACATTTTATCATCTTTGCATTAGGAAAATCACTGTCAGAATTCTCAAAATGTTCAGTCAACAAGCATACTGTAACTAATGTGTTTTTCCCAAAATTCATGAATGTTTCTCTACCCTGAAATGCAAATGGAACAATGGTAGCATCAGGGACTAAGGGGACCTCAAACATCTACACAGTCTTTCTTACAAGAATTGTGCATACCCATCTCTCAAACACAGCTGTTTAAATTTTTATTTTAGAAGGAAGTCTGGATACATTCCAAAACCACTCTTTACACCATTTGTAGTGTTCTTCTCCAGTGTAAGTAGCCCCTATTATTTCCCAGTTTCCACATATGTGACCAATCCAAGCTGACCAAAGAGCTGCTAAATAACACTCAGTCTTCAGACACACAAGTTCCTTTGTCTTCTGTAATTGCTGATGGGTAGTTGTTCTCTTTTTAAAACCCAGGTTTTAAAACTTCAGTTTAAAAGGTAAATAAAGGTACATATTATGTGACATGTGGACTAGAAGATAACCCAATACTGTTTAAACATCTTACTTTTAAATGTAAACATTTTAGACACATAAAATACCAAGAACTCACTACTCAATCACTAAATCATGAAAAAAAATTATGTTCATACCCACTTTAATTTTCTTTTTCTTCACCTAGAGGGTTACTTTATCATTTTTTTTTGGTCCAACATTTTTAGCCACTGGAGTGATGAAAATTAAATCCACAATGAACTATTATGGCCTACTTATTTGAATGTCTAAAATACAACATCTGGTCACACCATTGTTGGTGAAGATTTGGAGAATTCGAACTCCCATACACTGTTACTAGAAATGAAAGTGTAACAAACACTTTGGAAAACAATTTGGACATTTCTTAAAATGTTAAGCACACACCTTTAATAACACCTAGATATTCTTCTCCCAATATTTTGGAAAGTAAACTTTCATACAAAAAGTTGCACATGAATGTTCATAGCAGTTTTATATATAATAGCTAAAAACTGAAAACAACCATGTGTCCATAAACAAGTCAAGAAATAAACAAGTTATGGTGCATGCAATGGAATACTAGTGAGCAATAAAAATGATTTAACTTTTGATACCTGTAATAATGTGGATGAAACTCAAAATAATTATTGTGAGTGAAAGAAGCCAGACCCCTCCTCCCAGAATGACATACTATACGATTACATTTATATGAAATTCTAGAAAATGCGAACTAATACATAATGACAAAGCAGATCAGAGGTTGTCAGGGGCTTGAAGAGGGCAAGGAAATATGGAAGAAAGGGATTACAACGAGTTGTAAGGAAACTTTTGGGTGTGTTTTATGTGTTCACCATCAGGATTGTGTTGGCAGTTTCACAGTATGTCAAAACTTACCTAATTATAAATTTAAATATATGCCACTTACTATATGCGAATCAATCTCACTAAGGGTGTTAGTTTTGTTGAATTTCAGTTGACATGTAATAATTGTAATATTTATCGGAGACAGTGATATTTTAATATATGTATACAATGTGTAATGATCAAATCGGGGTAATTCACATATGCATTATCCCAAATCTTTATTATTATTTTTTTTTTTGAGACGGAGTCTCGCACTGTTGCCCAGGCTGGAGTGCAGTGGCACGATCTCAGCTCACTGCAAGCTCCGCCTCCCGGGTTCACGCCATTCTCCTGCCTCAGCCTCCCGAGTAGCTGGGACTACAGGCGCCCGCCACCACGCCCGGCTAATTTTTTTTTTTTTTTTTTTTTTTTTTTGTATTTGTAGTAGGGACGGGGTTTCACCATGTTAGCCAGGATGGTCTTGATCTCCTGACCACCTGATCCGCCCGCCTCGGCCTCCCAAAGTGCTGGGATTACAGGCGTGAGCCACCGTGCCCGGCCAAGCCTGTGAATATTTAATAATCAGCTGCCACAGGACAAATATATTTAACCGTTTAACTGTTCCCTGGCTCTCTTATCACATAGGCAGCTATCAATGTATTTATTGGGAGTGTGTTTTATTCAAGTGGGCATTCCTATTCAATCTGTAGTCAACACAAATAGAACATGTTGGCCTTTTTCAGACTTTTTAATGCTTGATTTTAAATATTGATGCATCAGTTTTAAAAGGGCTTTGGCTTTTTTCACCTACTAAAGATGCCTGGAGTTTTTGTTTGAATCGTGTTAATTTTTCAGGGGTAGAATTGGCCACAGGGGATTGAGTTAAGCACAGGTTCAGAGATTGCAATAGGTGAAAAAAGAGACTCAAATTCTTTTTATGAATGTTAGCAGAATTCCTTACTTATGTTTAAAAAGTCCCCAATATGCCCTAAATTCATGTAACAGAGCTGTAACTAGGAAATTAATATATTAAGGACAGCATATGACATTACATGTCGCAATCCATTTTCCATTATAAAATATATGTAAAAAGCCTATTATCATCTGAAGTTAAAAAAAAAAGTTCTGTCCCTTTAAAAAATCTCTTTTACAGCTACTTTTACATGTGAGCAATGTTCCTTATTCAGTCTTCTGGATAGAAAAGGCACATCGACGGCCGGGCGCGGTGGCTCAGGCCTGTAATCCCAGCACTTTGGGAGGTCGAGGCAGGCGGATCACGCGGTCAGGAGATTGAGACCATCCTGGCTAACACGGTGAAACCCTGTCTCTACTAAAAATACAAAAAAATTAGCCGGGTGTGGTGGCGGGCGCCTGTAGTCCCAGCTACTCGGGAGGCTGAGGCAGGAGAATGGCGTGAACCCGGGAAGTGGAGCTTGCAGTGCGCAGAGCGGGAGCTTGCAGTGCGCAGAGCGCCACTGCACTCCAGCCTGGGTGACAGAGCGAGACTCCGTTTCAAAAAAAAAAAAAGAAAAGAAAAAAAGAAAAGGCACATCGACATTGCAATTTCCAGTGCATAATGCTCTTCATGTGTCCATAACTGCATATTCAAGATCCAGCCTGGACTCAGAGTTGCAAGACACACTCCGGCCAAAGAAACAAATAACTTTTATGATTGCTCTGAAAATACTAACACCACCTCTCAGAGTTAGCACTTACTATGGAAAAAAGTTTCCTAAAGTCAGTAAAGCCATGTGGCTTTGGTAATAAAGTAGATATGGTAAGACATTTTCATAGATTAAAAAGTAAAGAACAGAGCTCATGATAATGCTTCATGCATTGATGCCAAGGCTATATTGTGCAAATGAAAATGCATTTCTATGTTTTGTTTTACTTTCAGAACAATTTGATAAGTGTTATGCAAAGAAGCTTTCTTTTTAAGTACTCACATCTCTGTGAATGTCAAAAATTGTCTTCCACACTAGGACTCAATTCTCACCCCTCCAGTTCTATACCTTTCAATTAGATAATAAGCACTGCCTGGAATTTTTAAGACTACATGAAAGCAGTGTTGGCAAAAACGCCTAAGGTGAAACTGCACCACAGAAAAGGTACTGAGTAAATCCTGAAGTAACGCAATGTAATCCTCCCTTTTGCATCTAATATCTGATCATGAAATGACAACACTAAGAAATATCGTTTGCATGAGGTATGTTTAACAATAACTGTTTCCTGTTTACATAAAGAAATTGTTTGGTTTTGTAGTCAAAGAAACTGTCATGGGGTAAAAACTACGTCTTCATACATATCTTGGGTTAAACTGTTTCAGTTAAAAGAAACACTGAACAATGGTGATGATTTTGTATGCATATTGAGTCCTTTATTAACATGCAAACAAATGACATGGGTTTCTTACAATAGTGAACGGAGACTGGATGACTAGTGCACTACCATCAAAACAGATCACAGAATTTTGATCCGCCAAACTTGATCTCCAGGAGTATATTAGCCAAATTTCTGTCCCATGAGATGGCATTACACGCATTGTAAGAGCTGGCTTTCTCACTCTCTAAATCTATCACAGGCTCTACTCATCAATATACTAATAATTCCTGCTGAACTCTAAGGAACTCTTTCCCACAGAAGGAATATACCCTGGGCCGCTCACAGACAACGCTCTCCCGCCGCTGGCGCTGGTCCGGGATGCGGCCCCGAGACCCCTGCAGCCGCGCGCTGGCTCAGGGGACCTCCGCAGGACGCGGGCGGGCGCCGGGGCCGGGTCGGGCTTGGGCAGAGTGACAGGCTCCCAGTCGTGAGCCTCACAAGCAGATCTATTTACAATATCCCGGATAGGAGTCCAGGTCGCGTCGCTCGCGTCGCCCGCGGGGACCCGGCGTGAATTCACACGCTCCCCTCCCACCGCCTCGCCGCCTGTCACGGCCCCGAGACCCGGTCAGCCCCTTCGGGGGTTCCCTTCGCCGCGCAGTACTCCGCCCGTGAGCAGCCCCCGCCTGCGCTCCTCCCTCCCTAGGGCGGCCGCCTCCACTCCCGGCTCCCACCCAGCGGGGATCCACCAGGGCGAGGGCTGAAGACCTCGCGGGACGCCGCGCGCCGGGGACAGCGACGCACCTACCTTCCCAGCCACCTGGGAGGCTGCAGGTCCGGGCCGGAGCCCGAGGCTCAGGGGCGCGCGGAGCAGTCCTGGTTAAGGCGCAGGGCGCGGGGTTGCATGGGGGTCCAGTCCAGCGTGCACACCGTGCACCTCCCAGCGCAGGGCTCCGCGCTCTCCCGTAGCCCGGCAACGGCCGCCACCCCAGAGCCCCGCCCACTAGGAGCCCCGCTCAGGGCACCGCCCACCCGGGCCCCGCCCTCACCGCGGCTCTCGCCGTGGCTCCGCCCCCGTCCAGAGCCCCGCCCCCAGCGCACACTGCGTCAGCCGGACTTGCTCTGCAGCTGGGTTCTTTGGAGGCCCCCACTCCGCGGCTACTGAAGCGGATGAGTGTGAGGCTGACTGGGGGCTTGGGGATGGGGGACCGGAGACCACCAAGAACATGGCTGTGTTGGGAAACTTTCCTTCAGAGCAGAGAGGGAGGGTTCCTTTCCGCCGGGGTGTTCCCCACCTTTCAGCCTTTCCCGCGTGGGCCCGCATCCCAGCCAGAGGGGATACGGCGGCCAGGTCTGCGCTGCTGCGCCTGAGCTCAGGTCGGCAGAGGTCGCAGACCTCGGCTCCTCAGCCGGCAGGGACTCGCAGGTGCGCGTTCCCACGGACGCCTCCCGGGGAAGCCCGAGTTCGCCTCCTGCAGGCCGGGAAGCACTCGCCCCGAGACGGCCGCACCCTCGCAGCGGAAGGGCGTCTGCACCACAGCTGTAGCACCAGCGCGTGCGAGGCGGGGCCAGGGCCGGGGACTCACTGGGCAGTTTTGCTGAAAGGGTTAAGAGAATCGCGTCTGTAAAATACTTTTCCACCAGTAGAATGCTGTAAAAGTGCAAGCAGTATTGTTCTATTCGTTCACCCAAGATACGGTGCATGACTTTGGTACCAAGGCATCCACCGTTTCTCACGTGTTGGTTTTGACTTCCCACTCAACTGCACTGTGTGGATGGACCCAAGTCCCTGTTTCTTGTCTATACCCCAAGGCCCACTGGAGCCCCTCCATCAGTATTTGTTGAATGAATGAGTGAATAGGTTGTTGTATTTAATTGCCCAAAAGCACAGCTTGTGATCCCAGGCTTCCAACGGCGTAGCACTATACTAGGTACTTGTGAACAATGTTAAAAATATTATTCCCGATGTCACACCTTGATAGAGGTTGTATATTTCAAATCTAACACATCCAGAATATAGATCCCAATAACGACTTATTGGTAAACGATTTCCAAATGATGTACGTTATCTAATTTGAACCTCAAGGCAAGTGTGTGCTTCCCTGTCCCATCTCCCAGCGGCTACCCGATCAGACTCCAGCCCTCAGTGCACATCACTACCATATTCATTCCCACATCCCGCTGAACTTCTTTATCTGTTTCCTTCCCCAGCTACACCTGGATCTCCCGAGGGCATCTCCTAATTCCTTGATATCCCGGGGCCTAGCACACGATGGATACTCAGCACTTCTAAGCTGAGTTACTGCATCTTCCTTTGCAAGGTCTCACGCAGTCCCCCATCGTCCTCTCTTTGTCTTGGTGCCCACCACCTCCTTCACCACCATGCAGACCCTCCCCACCCCTCACCACAGCACTGCCTCGGTCATCAACCCCGCTTCCCGCCTTTCATCACTGCTACTGTCAGGCTGAAGAGTCACAGGAGGTTCCTCACTGTAAAGAATGGATTCTGCGCTCCTTAGATTAGCATTCCGAGATGTCCAGGTGCAGCCCTACACCTATTTCCAGCCTTGCCTCGCCTCTGGAGCAGGCTTTATAAACTGCGCCGCGTGGCCCTTCCTTTGCTCTCTACTTCCTCTTCGTGCTCTCCCATCTTACCTCTGAGCTTTACCTACTTGTCTTACTCCAGTTTCAGCACCTCGCTCAAAAGCCACGGCTCTCACGAGTTTTCCCTCAATTCTGAGCCTATGTATTTCCTTGCTCCAAGGTTTGTGGCAATTTAGCACTTGCCCATTGTGTCCTGTATCATAAGATTCTGTGTACTAACTTTCTTCTTCAAGGAGTTAAAAACACTTTCAGAGAAGGGGCATATTTTGTTCCGATTTGTATCTCTGACAGTATCAATCATTCAAATAAATGTTCAACCAAAGCTTTCTGAGTGGAATTGAATCTGCCAGCTCAGGAACTACCTTCTCTGACTTCAACCAAATGTTCTTCTTCTCTCTGACCTCCTTTTGTCCTTAGAGACAGTAGTAACACATTACTCAGTTCATTAGTTCTTGAATCATTTTACGTGTTTTGACTGATCTTCCCGGTTAGCCTGTTAGCTTACAACAGAGAGAGAACCTATTGTTAGCCTGAATGGGCTTGGGCATCTGACAATCTGGTCCCAATGCCAACCTGTCATTCAGTAGTTGCATGACTTTGGAAAAGTTACTTAACCTCTCTAAGTTTCTGGTTCTCCATATGTAAAATGAGTTGCTTCATTGATGGTTGGTAAGTATTAATAGATAAGGTATTTAAAGTGCTTAGGCCAATGCCTAGCACTTACTAAATAGCCATTCTTAGTAGCAATATATCCTCTTACAATGCCTAGCATCAATCAATAAATGATCATTGACGGTGAGAAAAAGGACATTGAACCTCTGGACTCCAGCTGTTAGATTCATCTAATTCTTTAAAGAGACTCATTAAGTTAAACACAGTTGGCCCTCCACATCCATGGATTTTACATCATGGCTTCAACCAACTGCAGATTGAAAATATTTGAAAAAAAATGAATGGTTGTGTCTGTACTGAACATGTACACTTTATTTTGTCATTATTCCCTAAACAATATGGTATAACAACTATGTACACAGCATTGACATTGTATTAGATATTATAAGTAATACAGAGATGATTCAGAGCATATGCAAATTTATACCATTTTTTGTAAGGGACTTGAGCATTTGCAGATTTTGGTATCCAAGAGGGTGTCCTGAAAGCAGTCCCCCTCAGATGCTGAGGGAACAAACACTATAGTTCCCACTTTCCCTCATTTGAGTGTTGTATGATTTGGAGACAGTGTCTGAACAAAAACTCAGGCACACAATTGAGCACCATAGTAGTATAAAAAGAGTTCTGTGGGCCGGGTGCAGTGGCTCACGCTTGTAATCCAGGCACTTTGGGAGGCCGAGGCAGGCGGATCACCTGAGGTCAGGAGTTTGAGACCAGCCTGGCTAACATGGCGAAACCTCGTCTCTGTAAAAATACAAAAATTAGCCAGGCATGGTGGCAGGTGCCTGTAATCCCAGCTACTAGGGAGGCTGAGGCAGGAGAATTATTTGAACCCGGGAGGCAGAGGTTGCAGTGAGCCAAAATCACGCCACTGCACTCCAGCCTGGGGGACAGAGCAAGACTCGGTCTCAAAAAAAAAAAAAAAGAATTCTGTGATCCTTAGGCTCATGCAAAATGAAACTGGATGCTTGTAATTAGGACTGGGAGCATTTTACTTCCTTTAAAACACTGCATATCATTAATGGGTTAAAATTTTTACTGGAAAAGCAAAATTGCTATGACAATCTTGATAGAGGTGTTTGTTTTTAAGATTTATGTTAAAAGTTAGTTTTCTGAAGATAGTTTTAGCAATATCTGAGCTGACACAAAGTGCATTTGTTTAAAATATTTTTCCCCAAAAGTTGAACTAAGGAAAACTTGAAAAACCCCTGAAAGAATAGTTTCAGTGATAAATTAGCTCGCTGGTAGCAAAGCTAATGAAAAATTGCCTAACTTCTAGTCATTTCTAGTGTAAATCACTATTCCTTGGGAAAAAAGTGGAATAGAATGCAAGCTACAGGAGAATATGAAATTTTGTCTCTTTGGTTTACAGTTTCTGGCACATAGTAAGTTCTCATTAAAAATTTGTTGGATGAATTAGTAATTGAGAGTGAGAATCTCAAAGAGTAATAAAGTTTTCCAAATACAGTTAAGAAAATAAGTGGAGGAGGAACCCCCAAGACCTAGCTATTTAAGTAATTCCCGATACCCACTACTGCCAATTATAGACTATCAGCATGGGGCTGAGGGAGCACCGTGAGGCCAATGCCCAGTGACTTCCTGAATGCTGCACACCAAGTTAATTAACAAAGCTGGAATCAGAATCTGGGCTTTCTGTATCTTAACATAATCTTCACCATACCATGGGTGCGTAAACCAATATATATGAAAAACCCAAGGAGGCTATTTTTATAGCCCCCTCCTGTAAGTGGAGCTCAAGACACTTACAGAGCAAAGTTGTTACAAGTTGCAGCACTTGCACTGATCTTTGTGAGTTTGGCCCTGAGTACCTCATTGGCTAGACCCTTTTCATGAGTTCGATGAGGGAAGAGACAGTCCATTGACTCTCCTTCTCTCCTTCCTGATGAACATGGTGGACTCCCCGACCTAGGGCTGGCTTGAGGCCAGGCTGGCTGGGCAGCAGCCCATGGTGCTAAGCTATAGAGCCACCAAAGAATGGGGGGCATTTAACAGGATGGAGAAAACTATCTTTATCAGAACTCCTCTCAAAGACAGTGGGTTATGTTGGAAGGAATGGTTTTATGAAGTCATTGGAAACCCCCACATGACTTCTCCTTCCCCTTCTCATCAAAGAGAAAATTTAAGTCACAAAGGAGGGTTTTAAACTACCTACTTAATCTAAAGAAGTGAGTATTGATTTTGGCAAGTGGGTGGGTTTGAGGTAACAACTTTGGAGCCAAAGCTGAATGACTAGTGACAGTAGAGGAGAAATTAAAGCACAGCCAACACAGCCACCAGGGAGCCTCCCTCTGCCCTCCCATCACAGAGCTCACCCAGGTGGACAACGTTTTAAAGAACCATCCTTTAAAGGGGACAAAATCACTCATTCTTCCAGGGTGGCTTGGACTGGCCTTGCCATCACAGAAAGAGAATCCGACTAAACCAATGCCAGATGGTTGAGTTCAGTTCACTCCTGAAGCAGAGGGAGAACAGATTATGCCTTCATGGCTTAGGGAGGTCCTTTATGGCCATCCTGACAGAAAATACTATTAAAAATGTCTAATAGTTCTTACAAAATATATAAAAGGAAAAAAAAAAACTGGAGCCCATATTTTTGGCCAAAATTTTGGCTATAATGTTTGCTGACAGTCAAGTTCAGCTTTGTGTAATTCTTAAAAAGAATGAATCACCTAGCCCCAGAACAAAAAAAATGTAGATCACAATGCTGCCACTGAATTATTCCTATAATCTTGCACATGTTATTTATCCTTGCACAAGTACTTGATATTGAATTAATTGATAATGAGTGAATTAATAAATATTAGGTCATGTTAGTAATAATCTTGTATATGTAGGAATCCTAAAGAGGGTGATAAGCCCTATTATGAGGGCAGTTGTTTGGCCATGAGAGTCCTGTATTTGTATAAAATTTTATTAGTAACTAAATTAAAATTTTTCACACAAGATATAGATAGATAGATTTTTTTTTTTTTTTTTTTTGAGACAGAGTCTCACTCTGTCACCCAGGCTGGAGTGCAGTGGCGCCATCTCGGCTCACTGAAAGCTCTGCCTCCCGGGTTCACACCATTTTTCTGCCTCAGCCTCCCAAGTAGCTGGGACTACAGGCGCCTGCCACCTTGTCCGGCTAATTTTTTGTATTTTTAGTAGAGATGGGGTTTCACCATGTTAGCCAGGATGGTCTCGATCTCCTGACCTCGTGATCCGTCTGCCTCGGCCTCCCAAAGTGCTGGGATTACAGGCGTGAGCCACCGCTCCTGGCCCCAAGATATATTTTTTCAAGGAAGAAAAGCAAAGAGATAATGAAAACATGCTCAAGAGTCTTAACATAATCAAACATGATATGAAACACATATCATATCATGTTTGAAATGCACATTGAGTTTGTCAACTGAAGTTTCACAGAATCCCACTGGGAATTTCCCTGGAGGAAAATTAACCTTTAATTATTAAACTGTTTTTGGATGCCACTGGCATCATCTAAGAAAATATCAATTCCTTCAAAACACACAAATATGTGTTGATATAATGCCAAACTCGTATGTACACACACACACAGAGGCAAACACACAAATACATATATAATTCCACATCACATTGATGCATTAAACTTTTTGTGAAAATTATTTTACGTGTTAAATTATGTTAAATTATGGGTAGCAGCTACTGTGTTTAGACAGCTTAGAAGTCCAGAAGTAGAAGGAACAGTTGGAAAATAATCAGACGAATCCAGCTGACTGACATATCTATCATGGAAACAAAAAAAAAATGCACTACAATAGGAAGTGGCTGTCTTTATTTTTCAAACTAATATTGTTCTTTGATGAGCTACAGAGTGCATTTGTTTAAGCAGTTGTTGGAAAGCAGACCCTGCATGGTAGACTGGAAAGAACATTGGACTAGAACTGGGAAAATCAGCCATGTGACCTTGTTAAGATAGGGACATTCGTTTTCTATAGCCTCAGTTTCCTCATCTGTAAAATGGCCATAAAAATTCCAATTCTGCTTATTTCATAAAGATGATGTGATCAACTCCCTCACTTCACACATGAGGAAACTCTCTTGAGGTCATATAGCTAATTGGTGACAGTATCAGGACTCAACATAAAAGTCTTTTGAAGACTTGGACTTTCTGTAGTAACAAAGCTGCCATTGAAGCAACAGATAGGAAAGTGCTTTGAAAAATGTCACATAAGGGTTTTGTTCAGTAGAAGTAATAGGACTATATCTGCCAAAGTCATTTTGTGGCAATTAATTAGGAAATGCCTTTTGAGACTGTACCTGTACCTTCAGATACAACCATCTTTATTTTAAAATCAAATACACTCTATTTCATTTCTCAACAATGACACTAGAAGTAAACAATTAACTGAATTAATTCAAACACTGAAGTGGATTTTCAAGGACTTGACTTGCCCAAGCTAGTTTTCTACAAAGCCTAAATTAATCAGATAATTGCTAATTCTCCCCTTTGTTTTGTGCTGAGGAGAGCCTGTATTTGTTAAAATGATCCTAGTAGCAGGATAAACAGTCATTTTAAAAATTTTAAAATCCAAATCTGAACTAAATGAGCAAGTTTCAGACACACTATTTCTTTAGGCACCATCTCCAGTCATTGTTTTAAAAGGCTAATTTTCTTTATCTGAATGTGAACATTAATACCACTTTTGTGATTAAAAGGAAGATTTTAAGCAAACAAATTAAAAAAAAATCAAACTAAACCGATATTGCAGGATATTGTGAACATGATTTGTTGTACTCTTAGAAAAAAAAAGCAAATGCCTCTCCTGGCATGACTAAAAACAGCAGTTAAATCTTTAAGATTAAGTTATTAATGACACACTTTAAAAATATAATCAGTTTAGCATGGCTTTAAATAACCTCCACTTAACAACTAGCAAAGTTTTAAAATTAAATAAACAATGCTAATTACCCTTCTAGTATCAAGAGGAAAGTGTAGAAAGTAATTTAATTAATTGGCTGTGAAAAATTAATTACTTATGAAATGAGACTCATTAGACCTTTCCTGTTTCATCAGAATTTCAGACTAAAGGATAACTGGTCTTATCACTTATGGTTTCTTTATGGTTCAGCTAGCATCAAATAGACTTGTGATAATAATTAAATATTTTGCCCAGATAAATTTAGGACTAGAACATTAAAAAAAAAAACATCGCGAACAAAGTAACAGTGTTACTTTTCCATTGTATTTAGTTTTTATATTTCACTGTAAAGATTTTACTGTGTGTGTGTGTGAGCGTGAGTGTGTGTGTATCATGAACTGACAAAAAAATAACAGTTAACTTTCAAATTCGGTACAGCAATATAATTTGGTTTTGTCATGTTGGGCATTAGCTAAAGTGAAAATGTGACTAAGATACTTTATGTAACATAATAACTGTTGATTACTCAGATAGTTTTCATAAACAGTTGGCAAATTTTGACTTAAAACAGCTGTCACTATAAATGTAAAGTAAATGTTAATTTAGGAATATTAACCTTGTGAATGTTTCTGTAAATAAGGCTTATGCTATTTCCAAAGGTTATAGAAAATCACTGGAGTATTTTTAGCCAAACTTAGTGCAACTTTATCCTCACTGTTTTTAAATTCTTCAGTTTTACACATAAAAGTCTTTAATCATACTTGATGGTTTTTCAGTGATTCCCTTGAGTGTACAAACTGCATAAGGAAGTGTATTTGATAGATTTACATCTTGGAAGTGAGAGAATAAATAAACTAAAGAAACAGTATTGCCAGAGATACATTTTACTCTTTTATATAAGAAAACAAAGAAAGCATTTTCAACAAGCAAAGTTGCACTGACTGTTTACTAAATAAGGTAACCTGTAAATACTTAGAGCAATTATAGCTCACAGATCTCAGGGGTTGAAGTACCAGTTGCATGCTAAAGTGAGCGCTGTTCTGTTTTGTCCTGTTTGTACAACTCATTTCCAAGTAAAATTTGTATGACAGACTGCAAACCCTCTTGTACAAACTACTAAAAATTACATCAAGTTCCATAGTTACTCTGATACACACATTCAGCATCATGTAGTATTCAGCTGTATAAATGCTTTCTAAAAAATTAATTAAAACCATTCTTTTCTCAGAACACATGCGAAAAATGCAGTGAAAGCTATAACAAAGCTTAAAACAGAGTACCTGCAACATGCTGAGCTCTTTGCAGTACTTACCCGTTCAGCAACTTAGTTTCTCCTGGCAGCACTTCTGTGCCAAATGCTTCTACCTTCCCAAAAATGTATGTCAGCACAAGCCCAGACGAAACTTCAAATCCAGGAAAATAAAATTAACCATGCAGATCAAAGGCAGACGAGCAGGGAGATGAAATGCCTGTAATCTGATCAGTGAATCAGTTGCTGAACATCAAAGGCAGGGCTGAGTTTATATATATGCATGGATATCAAAGAAAGTTCACTTTCAGCAGGTAGTTACCCTCCCACCTCCTAGTCCACAGACTCTTTTGTTAAACATGGATCACGTTGTTTTCCTCCTCTTTTTTGCAATGAGGCAATGCTGGTAGTTCTCCCATGCTTGGGCTGAGTGGCTGGATCTGTAGCTTTTTTGGTTCCCAAGCTGTGTTGTGGACTGTGTGTTGGAAGCTTTTCCTAGTGCCAGCGGGTTCTGCTTTATCCCTTTCATCTCGCTGAACTGCAGATCCCATGACATCATTCAGCGCCGTGGGACTGGTAGGAGAGCTATAATTCAGCCTGTGGGGGAGTATAGCTCAAGAGAAGCCAGAGTTTGGCTGATTTCTAATCATGTTAGACTATTGTGCCTCACACAGGACAGTTTCTGTTATCTGTCTGCCAGCTGGAAAGGACAGCAACTGCTGCTGGATGCTTCTTGGGTGATAAGATCCCTGATGGATGGACGTGCCAAATGACAGCATTTAATTGCCTCTTCGCTGATAAAAATCACAATTTCCTACAGAGACTGGGTGTCAAATATTCAGCATAGTTAAATAGCACTATGAGACCACTCTAAAAAACACCCAAGGACACTGCCAGATGGACCGATAACATTTTCACATTTTGATTCCAGTTTTCAAAGTGACAAGTCTTTAAGGATTTTAAGGAAACTGCCCTTTCTTTGAAACATACATTATTAGGATCTGATTACCAATCAAACCGGGTTGTGTTAAGTAGTTAAGCAGCAGATAACCAACAATTCATGAATAAACTGCCATCTTCCACTGGCTCACTTAAGACTTTGGGCGGAGACTTAATCTCAATCTTTGCCTTAGTTCGGGACTCTGGAAATTAGATTTTAAAGCAATATCTACTTCTTAGACATATTTCATTAATACTTGTTGAGCATTTTAAAATTCACAAAAGAAGAATTATGTAGAACAAAGCATTTGCCCTGTGATTATTCCAAAGCCATGTTATTTGCCTTTTAGGGCTGTTTCTTCCGAACTCATAGTTTGGACTTTCAACTCACTAAAAAATTACCACCTTAGCCTAATTCTTCGTATTTTAAAATTAAATATATTGCTCATTATTTAAAAATTTTAAGCTATTTTCCTTAACAATGTCAGATTCAATACAATATGATTATTTTATTTTGAGTATTTAGTAAAATAGAAGATAAGAAGAAGTTTCATCTTCCTTGAAATCCAGGATATGGTGCTTTTCTGATTTTCAGACAGTTCTTTCATGGAATGAAGACAATTTTTCTATTTTATAATGGAAACTCACTAACTTTTAGAAAGTAAGTTAAAAATATTTTTGCAAAACTTAGGGGATAGTAGAACTCAGTCTTTTTCAATGTAACTTCCCTCCTTAACTGGTTTTGTCTAATTTTTCCTGACGCGATATTTGAAAACGTTATTTATGAAGTGTTTATTTCCAGATTTCTATGATTCTTGAATAATTTTAATAGCAAAATATTTAGTTTGAACTGTTCATAAGTTCTGTATAACATTTAAATAGTCCTGTTGATTTTTCCATGTTTCTTGTATAATTTTTCTACTTATACATCATTTCTCAAAAATGCACAGGGCTCAAATAGTATTTGAACTGGCAGGTGTGATGCTTAAGGACTTCCTTAAAGCAGACCAGGAAAATTCCTGTGACATCTGGGCTTCACATACGTTTCCTGGGCATCTTGAACCCATGAATACAAAGAAAATATTTACAAAGACAAAATATTTACAAGAAGGCATGTGCCCATTTCTTTTCTGAGGTAGTCCAAACCTACCACCAGCATGGAATCCATATGCCAACAGCCTGCACTCAGGATTAAAGTTTCCCGATACACTGATATATTAAATCAGAGCAACTAGACACTCTGTAAGGCTCATTGGCTAAGCAAGTAGATTTTATGTCTTTATAGATTTCAACACCAGTAGAAATAGGTGAAGGACTGAATTCGGGTTCTTGTGTTCCACTGAAAAACATACAGGAGGCACTTGAAAGCAGGGACTTGAATGAAAACCAATCAAATGATCTTCAATTTATACAAATCTCCCCAAGCAAGCTTTGTAGTTCAAGATACATCCAACAATGCAATACCATCTCCAGTGGAAGAGTTTATTCACCAAGTCACTGGATATTATTTTGAATTGGTCCTCTTGTGGCCAAGAACTCCCCATATGTGAGATGAAAGGGGACTGAGGCTAGGGCCCCATCTGTCGCCTGGACCAGAGTGTGGCTAAAGGTCGGCCTGGCTGCAGGAGTGACCTCTTGACCTGCGGCTCATTTAGCACTGTGCCCAGCCAGCCGAGCCCCCTTCGTTGTGAGGTGTGGCCTGCACCATTGTTGTTTCTGAACAGCACCAGGAAGGGGAGCTACTACAAAGCTTTTCTCTTTCCCCTTCAAGAAGCTTAGATTAGTGTGATTAAATCAGTGTGATACAGTGGTGATAAGAGATCCAGCACTCCACTCGACATCATTGTCCGTTGTCATGACACCAAGTTACAGCATTTGATCAATGGTTCCTGTGCCATGTTGCAGTACACTTGGCTCATCTTAGTCTTTTTGTCAAGCTGCCTTTCAGCGACCTGGTTCTGCAAAGTGGTTGTGGCAGCCATTGGATCCACAGTGGGGAGCTCCAGGCTACACTTTAAAAGAAGTGGTCAGTGTTTGAGATGACGGGCATGCCAGTTACCCTGATCTGATCACTATACCTTATAGGTATAGAAATGTCACTAGGTGCCCAGGGATATGTATAATTATTATTAATCAGTTAAAAAATAAAATAAATGATTGAGAAAACTTCAGTTGTTCATATCCAAGAAGGGAGGGGCTGCCTGAGATTCCTGATGGGGAGTGGGGTCTCATGTCACCCCCAGTCGCCACCATGTGCTATTTTCTTCCCAAAACTTGGAGCGTGGTTCCTTTGCTCCTTTATCTTGACAGGTGGATGCCATGAATTCTCACCATTTTAAGATATAGATCAGGTGATAACACATTTTCCCCATAAAGTTTCATAGTTTTTTGAGTTGTCTGCATGTCTTTTCTAATGCCGTCTTTTCTAACTTTTCTGTTCAGAGGATATATCCTGGATTAGATCAGATAAACACAGATCTATTACATACATTGAGAGGAATAATTTCTGCATTTGTTTCAACTGAACACTTTTTAGAAAATGAAATAGCTCATGGTTATGAAAAGAACACGGATGCTGGAGTCAGAAAGGCCTATGTTCAAATCCCTCTTACTACCTGTACTTGAATAACAGCTTAGGCAGTGTGGACGAAGGCTACCTAGTCCCACTGAGCTTTTTAATCCTAAGCTGCAGGAAGGGGATAACACCTACCTCATTAGTGTTGCCAAAATAACAAACTTATTTCGAAAGCATCAGGCAGAATAAACCCTCAACAGAAGAGCTAAGGTTCCTTTCTTTTCTCTGTAACTATTAAAATGCCAACATTTTAGCTAGGGGATCCAATTCAAACTTCAGTATTCTAAAGGGGCAGGACAGGCTCTCACACAGCTCCTGGGCTGGTTATTCAAAGCCAAGGTAGCCCAGACATCCTCAGGTCCTTCACAATGCTGGGACCACTTGTACATGATCTGGGACCAGTAGCTGCTATCTGGGACTGTGGTCCACATAATCACAGAAAGAAAAAGGCTCAAGCCTGTTATGGGTTGGATTGTATCCCCCTAAATTCCCATGTTGATGTCTTGTCTCCCAGCACCTCAAAACATGAGCTTATCTGGAGATAGGGTCTTTACAGGGGTAATCAAGTTCAAATGTGGTCATTAGGGTGGGCCCCAACCCAGAATGACTGATGTCCCCATAAAAAGGGAGATTTAGATAAAGAGGCAGACACTCATATAGGTAGAACACTGTGTGGACATGAGGATGACCATCTACAAGCCAGGGTAAGAGGCCGGGAACAGACCTGTCCCTCACAGCCTCAGAAGGAACCAACCCTGCTGATACCTTGATCTCTGACTTCCAGCCCCCAGAACTGTGCGAGGACATACTGCTGCTGTTGAAGTCTGTGGTACTTTGTTATCACAGCCTCAAGAAACTAATACAAAGCCACTATCCAACAAACTACAAAGAGGTACAACTCCCATTTTCCTACATATTCTGAAGCCTTACATTCTCCTCATCAGCATCTGCCTCCTACAAAGCACCCCCAGCTCCAGTGGACACCCCCTGCCCTTCTGGACTCCCTCCGACCTCGTGAGCAGAAGACGCCTTCCTTTTCTTAAAGGGCCAGTTCAGGGGTACTGTTCAGTGAAGCTGAGTATGACTGAAAGTCACTAAAGGTAACTGGGATAGAACCCAGTTTCTGGCTACTGTAAATAAAGCTGCCATGAACACTTCATGAACCTGAAAGAGCCAATCCTTCCAAATGGATCCTGAGTGGCTAACTGGGTCTAAATTCAGAATGGAGCCAGGTCACAAACGTCTTCTGCATTCTCTGAGAAACCACAGGCTCGCGTGATTTGGGGACTTTCATGGCTGTCTGCTCCTATTTATGCTCCCTGATTTGATGGGTGCTGGGAAGTCTCATCTTGACTTCTGGATCTAACAAATAGACTTGTGACTTGCATTGACCAATCAAAACCAAACATACTTGCATCCCTCTCACTTGCAGAGCAGACCAGAGTGGGAATCTGGGTGGGAGCTTTTTCTATAAAGGATAACCTGTCTCTCTGTTCTCAGGGAGAGCATCTTTGTTTTGTACTGAAGGCTGGGTCTCCCTGGTTTGCAAACTGCTTACAGGAATAAAATCATTCTCTTTTTTAAGGAAGATCCTTTTCAGTGGATTTGTTGATAATACTTGTGTACAAGTCTTAGTGTGGATATATATTTTCATTTTTGTTAAGTAAATATGTAGGAGTAGAATTTCTGGATTATATGGTGTATGTATGTTTAACTTCAAAAGAAACTGCTGGCTGGGCGTGGTGGCTCATGCCTGTAATCCCAGCACTTTGGGAGGCCGAGGTGGGTGGATCACAAGGTCAGGAGATCAAGACCATCCTGGCTGGCACGGTGAAACCCCGTCTCTACTAAAAATACAAAAAATTAGCTAAGCGTGATGGCGGGTGCCTGTAGTCCCAGCTACTCGGGAGGCTGAGGCAGGAGAATGGCATGAACCCATGAGGCGGAGGTTGCAGTGAGCCGAGATTGCGCCACTGCACTCCGGCCTGGGCAACAGAGAGAGACTCCGTCTCAAAAAAAAAAAAAAAAAAAGAAACTGCCAAATTGTTGTCTCAAGTGTTTGTTCCAGTTTACATTCCTGTTGGCAATATAGGAGATTTCCATTTGCTCTACATCCTTGGCAAAACTTGATATTGTCAATTTTTGTCATTTCAGCTATTTAAATGCAGTCTAATAGTAGCTTATGATAGTTTAAATTTGCATTTTGTTGATGCTAGCACTCAATTTATATATAGAGAGACACTTTACTTTTTAGAACAGTTTTAGATTGACAGAAAGATTGAGCAGCTACTACAGAGATTTCCCATACATTCCCTGTGCCCCACTCAGCTTCCCCTAGTATTTGCATCTTGCATCACTGTGATATATTTGTAATAATTAATGAATCAATATAGGTGCATTATTAACTAGAGTTCATAGTTTACACTAAAATTCATTCTTTCTGCATATACTTCTATGGATTTTTTTTTTTTTTTTTTTTTAGATAGAGTCTTGCTCTGTCACCCAGGCTGGAGTGCAGTGGCGTGATCTTGGCTCACTGCAACCTCTGCCTCCCAGGTTCAAGCGATTCTCCTGCCTCAGCCTCCCGAGTAGCTGGGATTACAGGTGTGAGCCACCACTCTCAGCTAATTTTTGTATTTTTAGTAGAGATGGGGTTTTGCCATGTTGGCCAGGATGGTCTTGAACTCCTGACCTCAAGTGATCTGCCTGCCTTGGCCTCCCAAAGTGCTGATGTGAGCCACCGCACCTAGCCAGACTTCTATGGATTTTGCCTAATATATAATAACATGTGTTCACCATTACAGTTTTGTACAGAGTAGTTTCACTGCTGTAAAAATCCCCTGTGCTCCACCTATTCATCCCTCCTTCCCCTAGAGCCCCTGGCAACCACTGATGTTTCTAAAGTCTCTATAGTTTTGCCTTTTCCATAATGTTATATAGGTAGAATTATATGGTATGTAGTCTTTTCTGATTGGCTTCTTTCTTAGCAGTATGCATTTAACTTTCTTCTATGACTTGCTGTGACTTGATAGCTCGTTTCTTTTTATTGTTAAGTATTCCATTGTCTGTATATAGTTTATCATTCACCTATTGAAGGACATCTTGGTTGCTTCCAGTTTTTGTGATTATGAATGAAGCTTCTATAAACATTCATGTGTAGGTTTTTGTGAGACTATAAGTTTTCCCTAGGAGCATGATTGCTGGATCATGTGGTAAGACTGCAGTTAACTTTTAAAGAAACTGCCAAACTGTCCTCCAGAGTGACAACAACATTTTGCATTTCCACCAGCAATGAATGGCAGTTCCTGTTGCCCTGCAGCCTTGTCAGCATTTTGGGTTATCAGTTGCTGTTGATGATGTTTTTAATTTTAGCCACACTAATAGGTGTGTAGTGGTATCTGTTTTAATTTGTAATTCCCTAATGATGTATGGTGTTGGGCATATTTTCATATGCTTATTTATCATCTTATATCTTCTTTGGTGAGGTGCCTGTTCAGATCTTTTGCACATTTTAAAACTGGGTAGTATGTTTTTTTATTATTGAGTTTTAAGAGTTCTTTGTACATTTTGGATACAAGTTCCATATCAGATATGTGTTCTATAATACTTTCTCCCAGTCTGTGGCTTGTCTTTCTAGTCCCTCAGCACTGTTAGCTTCAATTCTTAAAGGTCCCTCAGGCAAAATTGGAAATTAGAAATACTTATCCAAATTACCAGCTAATAGAGCAGCTAGTGATTTAAACAATCTGTCAAATCCAGAAGGTGCCAAAGAAGCAAACTGTCTGTGAATCGGGCAAAACTATCTGTTACATGGTGGTTCTGATACTGACAACAACAGCAACTACCACAACAAGGACAAGTTAATTCAGCAGATACACACATGCACACCCTGCATCAGTGATGGAAAGGGTGCTTTATGCTGGAAACTGCCGCAGACCATCCAACTGCACCCAGCTGCCTTCTGCTCTCCAACTTTTCATAAGTGACTCCAAGTCACTCTTACCTGCCATATTGCCCTCTAAATACTTTACTGAGCCCAGGCTAGTTTTCAGAGAAGCTATCCAACTCATGTCTTATAATTAATCAAATGTTTTCCATTTCCTTTTCTGCCTCCTCAGCATTTATCCTGATTAATATACCAGGCTAATTACGAATCTTGGTTCTCAGTAGAGTTTGATAATGCTAACAAAAACTGTTGGTGAAACAGCAGGAAAATGCAAAAGGAGGCACTAAGAAACATCTTCAGAATAATACTACCACTACCAAAAAAAGATCTGCGCTTCATCAGGAAGTAAGTTAGATAAAGACAGGCACGCTCTTAAAAATTGATTCAAGAAATGCCTATCTAAATAAAGTCAAAACATTTAATAATGCAACCACCCATCCAATGGAAGGGCACCCAGCACATAGTTGGGGCATTAAATACACAGAATAGTTAGAGTAACTGGTGAAAATCAGGAACCCACAAAATCTATTTTGGAGGAAAAAGGGAAAATAAAGTGGTCCTGCTAAATAAAATTGAACTGTAGTGTCAGGAGGTAATATAGATGGAGAATCCTTCAATTTCAGAGAATGAGAAATAAGAGAATGTTTACAAATACAGCTTATAGTATATTTTGAAAAGAAAATTCCTAAGGCCAAATTAGATTTTTTTTCTCCTCTAATACACGATAGAAAATAAAGGCAGTTTTAACTGTGTCAGAAATCCTATTTGGCACCATACTCAGCTTATCATAAAATTGCTTTGTAAAAACTTTTTGTTTTGAGATAATTTTAGATTAAAGAGGAATTGCAAAAGTAGTAGAGGACGTTCTCATATATCCTCCACCCAACTTCTTTGTATGTGAACAGGTTACATAATTATAGAACAATTGTCAAAATACTAATCTTGGTACAATACTGTCAATTAAACTACAGAATCTATTCAGAAGATTTACAGTGAACCATTCTATGGGTTTTGACAAATGCACAGTCATGTGTCCATCACCATGGTTCCATCACCCCCAAATCTCCTCATTCTGTCTCCCTTTATATTCAACTCCTCCCCACCTTTGTTTGTTTTAAGATGGAGTCTCGCTCTGTTGCCTAGGCTGGAGTGCAGTGGCACAATCTCAGCTCACTGCAACCTCTGCCTCCAGGGTTCAAGCGATTCTCCTGCCTTAGCCTCCTGGGTAGCTGGGATTACAAATGCCCGCCACAATGCCCGGCTAATTTTTGTATTTTCAGTAGAGATGGGGTTTCACCGTATTGGCTAAGCTGGTCTTGAGCTCCTGACCTCAGGTGATCCACCCACCTCGGCCTCCCAAAGTGCTGGAATTACAAGAGTGAGCCACTGCGCCTGGCCTCCTCCCCACCTTTCTAACCTCTGGAAACCACTGCTCTGTTTTCTCTCCCTGTTGTTTTGGTCTCCCTGTGTCAGATTGCTAAGTCATATATGTGAAAGATATAGGTTGTTTTATGAGAATCTTCTGAGCTGTTTTCCAAAGTGGCTGCACCATTTTGCGTTCCTTCCAGTTATATATGGTATTCTTTCTTCCTCAGGTATCAGATTATTATAAAGCATATACTATGGCACAGTTGCTATTTCTCATCAGCAGAAATTGACTACTTATGGAACATTCTTAAGTTTATCAAGGTTACTTCCTATCTGCTGCCTGAGTCTCAGAGTTTAGTTTATATTTATTTTCCAGCTTTATAGGTAATTGAAAAGCAAGTAAGAGATACATATATTATTGGATGTAAATATAAGAAATTTTATGAGAGGAAACTGTTTTAGTCAACTTTTTACCTTCCAGTGTCCTAGTTAGGTAGGCAGATGGCCTCTCACATGGGGTGGCCTTGGCTTGAATTCCAGTACTTATGTGTGAACTTCTGAGTATGAGTAAGTTACTTGAAACTTCAGCTTTCTTGTTTCTAAAATGGGGATGATAAGAGTACCTACACCGAGGGTTCTTGTGAACACCAGAATAGTACTGACATGCAGTAAGCATGGAACACACTTTAACTCTCAGCTATTTAAAGTGTTGCTAAAAAAAATAGCCTTGTCATCTTTGATTGTAGCAGGTGAGAAAAAATTGTTTCCCATCGGAAGAGAAAGTCTCTGTAATTCTGTTTTTTCTAAGCATTTCTCGTGTTGAAACAAAAAAGATATTTTGCATTTTGGCAAACAACATGTTTCATAGCATTTGAAAGTGGAATTTCACTTTCAAATCAAAAGTTTGACTTTGAAAAAAATTATGTAAAATTAAATAGTTAAAGCAAGAAGCAAAAGCCTTATTCTCTATACATATGAGAAATCCGAAGTGTGTTAGGACGTTTTTCAGAGGGAATATTTTGTTCATGTTAAAATTCATTGTTACATATACACCATTCTTTAGATGAAGGTATGAAATTACAATTGAGATTCTCTCAAAATAGAGAGAGAGTACAAAGTTCAGTGGTTGACAGGGACCTTCTTACACAGGTATAGCTAGACAGTAAGCGAGTCTTCCACTATCGCAGGGGCAGGGAGCCCCAAAAGACAGAAGGATGTTTGGTGCTTGGTCCTTCAAGAGTACATGAGCCAGGGGTGTAGCAGAGGCAGGCATCTCCATGGAGACAGGAGGAGCACCTGGGAACACAGGAGAGGTGGTCTGTGTGTGGTGGGGCGGGGACAGTGTTGGGCAGGGCAACATTTTGTGATTCTGCTCTCCTGGAGTGGTGCGGCCTTCCTAAAGACAGAGCAGAGACCCGAGGAGCTGGGGAGACACAGGACTTCTTGCACTATGTCTAAGGGGGGGGTCATCTTGAAGGGCCGGTTGTGAAACAGGTGAATGGTAAATATCAACGAGCAAAAGATGGCGGAAGTCTCGCTGGTGAAGTCAGGAGAGTGATTAAAGGGGAAGAGCCCCAAGGCCCACTATACATGGGACTCCGGCAGGAGAGGCTGTGTGGGCAGAAGCAGAAGGTGTCCAGCCCTGCCTTGAATGTCTTGATGATATGACAGCTTATTTGGGGTCTCTAAGAGGCTGAGGATACTGGGGAACTCTCAGTTTCCACACGGTATTCTGCTTGACTAGCTGCCCTTTGCCGGGTGCTCTGCAGGCTCTTAATCAACTCCCCCAGTTCACAGGCCGGGAAACCAGGGGTCAGAAAGGCTATGTCACTTTCCAAGGTCATGTGGCTGAAATTGACCTCAGGCCTGTATGACTCTAGATCATACTATTTCACTATTATCTTCTGTTAATTAAATCAAATATATTTCTAAAAGGGTGTTTTAGTTTTCACAAGCACAGAGCTCTGCCACTGAAGTGTTAATGGCCTCTGTAAATTGCCCTGGGCTTCTTGGGCCACAGAAATCGGCTACAGGAGGCTTATGGACTCCCCCTTTTAAAAATGTTTAATTTCGAAGGCTGAGGCAGGAAGATTGCTTGAGGCCAGGAATTTGAGACCCCGAACTCTACCCAAAAAAAGTGGTGAGTGCCTGTAGTGCGTGGTGAGTGTTTGTAGTCCCAGCTACTTGGGAGGTTGAGGCAGGAGGATCTCTTGAGCCCAAGAGGTTGAGGCCGCAGTGAGCTGAGATTGTGCCACTGCACTCCAGCCCAGGCAACAAAGCAAGACATATCCAAAAAAAAAAAAAAAAAAAAAACCACGGTTTAAGGTTTAATTTCAAGCATTTTTTTCTTTTTTTGTGATTACAAAACAGCATATTTTATTATAGAAAATTGAACGATTACGGAAAAACAAAGTAAAAAAATTACCAATCTCACCCACAATTCTAATTTTCTTCTTTAAAAAAAATTATGTAAATTTAAATAGTTAAAGCAAGAAGCAAAAGCCTTATTTTGCGCCCAGAGGTAACCCCTGTCAACAGCTGTTGAACACACTTCCAGACAAATATTCTTTGGATTTGAGAACACGAGCATAGCTCAGCAACTCCTGCCGCAGCAGTTCTTCCTTACTGGCAAATACTGGAGAGAGGGAGGTAGCCGTGCTGTGCTTTCTGCCAAGGGTGTTCTTTCTCTCTTATTTATTTAACCTTCTCGTTGGTATCTTAAGTGCTACTTCAGTGTGATATTTAATACGTGAAATGCGTTTCTGCTGCTTTATCTCACAATTGTATCTATGTGCAAAGCTTTATGAAACAAATACCTCTGACAATCACCCCCTTTGTTGGGAATGTCTCTGACACTGGGGGAGAAATTGCAAAATAAGATGCTGTCCTCAAATGAGGTTCCTAAGAAGAAAGGTCTCTTGTGTTGGAACTAGAATAGAAATTGCACCATTTCCTCTCTAAAGGTCTAGCATGAAAAGAGAAACATGACTCAGAGATCAGCACATCAGAGCAGGAGTCTGTAAGAAAAAGTCAAAGGACATGCGCACAGAGAAGGCGAGCGCCTTCCTCCTCCCGACTGTTCCAATCCCATAGCACACGTCCACGCCGCTGAGCCAAGAGGGACATCTCCTCAGTGTATCTGTGCCGGTGTGTGCACACCCCTCACAGGCACCTCACACATACCACACATCCACAGACATGCAAACACAACATATACACATTTCACACACATACACACCTCACATACACCTCACACACACCACACACCACACACACCACTCACACACATACACATACAAATACACCATATACACATTTCACACACATAGCACACCTCACATACACTTCACACATAACACACACCACACACTACTCACACACATACACATACAAATACACCATATACACATTTCACACACATAACACACACACACCACACACCTCACATATATACACATACAAATACACCATATACATATTTCACACACATACACACCTCACACACATACACACCTCACACACATACACTTCACACACACACCACACCATATACACATTTCACACATATACTCACCTCACACACCACACTCACCTCACACACATACACACACACCATATACATATTTCACACATATACACACCTCACACACACACCACAGGCACTCCTCACACACCACACACCTCACACACATACAAATACAAACACACCACATAAACATTTCACACACATACACACATTCACACGCATACATACGCAAATACCTCCAACACATACACACACCTCACACACACCACACACCTCCCACATCTCACACCTCAACCCCCCACACACCTCGCACACACACCACACACACCTCACCCCTCACACACACACACCTCACACACATACACACACACCCCTCAAACACATACACATACAAACACACCACATACATATTTCACACACATATACACCTCACACATACACACCACACACTTCACACACCCCATACTTCACACAGACACACACCTCACACACCACACACATACCTCCCATACCACACACATGTATGCGAACACACCTCACACATACACCACAAATGCACCTCACACAGACCTCACAAACATACACCACACACCTCACACACTATACACACCTCACACACCACAAACACACCTCACACACCACACACACAAATAGACCACATACACATCTCACATATACACACACACCTCACACACACACAAACCACACACAGACACATCCAGACCACACACGCCACACACAAACCCACACACCTCACATATATATACACACACCCCACACACACCATGCAGACATGTAACACACCCACCTCACACACAAACACACCATACACATGCTACACAAACTCACACTAGTGTCTCCTTGTTTCTAACAGCAAAATCAAGCCATCGAGTCACCTTCAGAGTACTTAGCCTCTGTGCTGGAGGGTTTTCAGTGTTTGCATGCCTTCTGATGTCAATATTTTTAGATGATTGTTGTTAAGGTATAAATGATTTCTTTACACGTGACAGTGCAGCCTGAGCTCTCACCTTGGGATAAAGTCTCCAATTTAATTCACTGGATACATGCACACACATACCACATACCACATACACACTTCACACCCCACACCCCATGCATCACACATGTACACACCACACAAATACCACACAGAAACACACCACGCACATCACACAAACACTTCATATACCTCACACATGCACACACACACCTCTCACAGACACACGTGCACACATCTCATACAGACACCCCCTATACACCCCACACATGCACACACACCTCACACTATACACACATGCTACACAAAGACACGCTCCACACAAACATGCCACACACACCACACACACACAACTCACACACACATCTCACATAAACACACACTTCACACACCACACACGTACAAATGCCTTACACAGAAACACACACCTCACAGACACCTATCCCTCACACACTTCATACAGACGTATACAGTCACACACACAACACACACACCCCTCACTCACACACTATACACACCTCACACAGGTACACATACCACACGTGCCATACACACACTCAAGCACATGGACACTTTTTTTAAACAGGTGCTTATAATATCCTCTACTATATTGTTTTATAACCTACTTCTGTAGATTAAAGATATCAGAATGCTAGCATATTTCTTTATTGGTAGACATTATTTCCAACCGGTTATGGTGAACGACATCATAGTTCATACCTTTGTTGAGTGTGCTAATATTTATACAGGGAAAATTCCTACAAGATTGCTCGGTTTGATGGTGTGCACATTTGAAATGATATGGCACTTCCACTCTACTCTCAAAAAGGTCGGATCAGTGGATGATATTGCCAGCAGTGTGTGAAATGAAAACACGTTGTGGACGCAAAACCTCACCTTTGCTAGCATTGAATTTTATCAGTATTTTCAAATCCTTGTCAATTAAATAGGTGAAAATATTATCTCATTGTTTTAATTTGATTAATATTATTTTAATTTGAATTCTTTATTAGATTATAAGTGAAGTTAGACAATTTTTCAAATATTGACTGGCCATTTGTATTTCCACTATTACGATTTCCTATCTCTTTTTCTATTATTTAGCATGTTCTGACTGATTCGAAACAATTTTATTTATTTATTTGAGACAGAGTTTCATTCTTTTGCCCAGGCTGGAGTGAAGTGGCGCCATCTCGGCTCACAGCAACTTCTATCCCCCGGGTTCAAGCGATTCTCCTGCCTCAGCCTCCCTAGTAGCTGGGATTATAGGTGCCCGCCACCACGCCCGCTAGTTTTTGTATTTTTAGTAGAGATGGGGTTTTGCCGTGTTGGACAGGCTGGTCTCGAACTCCTGACCTCAGGTGATCCACCCACCTCAGCTTCCCAAACTGCTAGGATTATAGCACCCGGCTGATATTTATGTTTTAAGTAATAATGTAGATCTCATATATTTGCAAATATTGTCTCCCAATCTGCTGCTTGCATTTTAAGCTTGTGTGTGTGTGTGTGTGTGTGTGTGTATGTATATAACACAATCAATCAAATAGATTATTCTTGGCTCATGGTCTACTATTGTTCACGTACAGACTTTTTTTTCCCTGATTTGTTTTATTTGTTGTATTGTATTATATTGTATTTTACTTCATTTTGTTTTTCCTTCCATTCTCATGTTGAATTTTGTTTTCCATTCCCTTCCCCCAGTATTACTCATGTGCATTTTACATTTCTTTTTCCCCTAATTTCTGGATTTTGTGTTAGGATTAGGAAAGCCAGGACTTCTCTGAACTGGAGTCTCCTTGTCGGTAACAGCAAAATCAAGCCATCAAGTCACCTTCAGAGTACTTCATTTATGTGCTGGAGGGTTTTCAGTGTTTGTATGTCTTCTGATGTCATTTTTAGATGATTGTTTTTAAGGTATAAATGATTTATTTACACGTGACAGTGCAGCCTGAACTCTCACCTTGAGATAAAGTCTCCAATTTAATTCAGAAGTGCACTAGCTCATCACCTTTCCTAAGAGGGCAAACAAGCATTTCCTTCACCATGCCCCAAAGTCTCAGCCCCTTTGAATCCATTTTCCTTATGGTCACCATTAAGAATCATCTAAAATCTCCCACAAGATCCTGTCATTCCCTTTACCTATAGGGTGGAGCCCACACTTGCTTACACAGGGGCATGTCGTCTCCCCTCCACTGAGCCTCCAGCCTGGTTCCTTTGCAACTCTGAGCTTTGTATTCCACAAACCCTATATTGTTTCTCAACGTGCACCCAATGCCTCGCACAGTGCCCAACACAGGGAATACCTAAGGGTGGCATGTACTAGGCACCAAAAGAGCATTTGTTGAATGAATAAACAAGCGAGTGTGGATGCATGCATTTAGTTCCCTGTGTGCTGGCCTCTCCTCTGTGCCTTCCTGGCACTGCTTCATCCAACACCTCCTGACCCCCACGTCTCCTTGCTCTCCTTCCTGCCCAATTCTGTCCCATCCTTCAAGTCCTCCACATATGAGGAGCTGGTGATGCACAGGGGATTGCATATTTGTCATACATTGACAGCGAGATTATAAATTGGTACAGGACAATGTGGCTGTATTTTTGCATTCTAGTCTTGGGAATGCAACCTACATGTGCAAGGGTAATTAAGAAGACTGTCTTTATTTTTTTTTTTCCCAGAGACAAGGTCTTGCTCTGTTGCCCAGACTGGAGTGCAGTAGTGCAATCATGGCTCACTACAGCCTTGACCTCAAGCAATCCTCCCACCTCAGCTTCTGGAGTAGCTAGGACTACAGGTGTGAGCCACCACACCTGGCTGACTTTTTATTTTAGTGTCAGAATCTTGCTATGTTGCCCAAGCTGGTCTCAAACTCCTGGGCTCAAGCAATCCACCCACCTCTGCCTTCCAGGTAGCTGGATTATAGGAGTGAACCACCATGCCCAGCCATCCATTTCAACATTATGTGTGTATTCACCTTTGCTCTCAGTAGAGAAACTTGGAGATTAGAGAAAAAAATATCGCTCATGGTGCCATTTGCCCTGATGGCTCATGCAGAGGAGTTCTCAGCTAACTAACGTGGGGACTTCATGATGGAAATTCGGCCAGGAGAGAGCCTGGTGCACCTTTGACTCAGTTCAGCCAAGGTGATTGTTTTGTAAGGAGTACAGTCTGGGTCAAAGTGACAGAAGACGTGGGGTTGATAACAAATTCCTCATGTAGATTAATGGTAAGTTATGTTTTCTTTAGGTACTTGGGGGATTAATCAGCCTTAGCTTCACTGGTGGAGAGACAAGCCATGCCTGTTTGTGTCCCTCCCCCTTCCTTGGCACAAGGGCTTGTGCATTTTCCAGAGACACCAGCATGACACAGAGAGAGGGAGGCTGCACTGAGTCATCATCTGTGTCCTCCAGGGTGGGGCTGATGCTCCTGAGAAAGGTGCGGACAGGGGAAGGGAGGACTAGGGGAGGAGAGGAGGCATCAGGGATACCTATCCAGAATGTCCTCCGAAGGACCAAACAGAAAGACATGGACCCTCTTGTGTGGAACAACAGAGGGAACACACAAACGAACAACTCTTTTTTTTTGAGACGGAGTTTCACTCTTGTTGCCCAGGCTGGAGTGCAATGGCGCAATCTCAGCTCACTGCAACCTCTGCCTCCCAGGTGGAAGCGATTCTCCTGCCTCGGCCTCCTGAATAGCTGGGATTACAGGCATGCGCCACCATGCCTGGCTAATTTTGTATTTTTAGTAGAGACAGGGTTTCTCCACGTTGGTCAGACTGGTCTCGAACTCCTGACCTCAGGTGATCCACCCACCTCAGCCTCCCAAAGTGCTAGGATTACAGACGTGAGCCACCACACCCAGCCACGAACAACTCTTGACCGCCACACCCCTCCATTTCCTCCCCTTTCTTGCCTTTAACACTGAAACACTTTAGGGTACTTAAAATGCCTCCTTAGTCTTTCAGGGGAAGTATTACTCAGGTACTCTGGAGGCCAATGTGTATTTGATCAGAAGAAGGTCTTAGGATCATACTGTTTTTTTTGGAAACAGCATGGGCCCTCATCCATGGTTTTCTGAAAAGCACCAGGCAGCCTGCTGTAGACCACCGGGTGAAGAGTGTGCTGGCCAGTGGAGGATCCCAGACCCCAGCGGCTAAATGGACGACCTCAATGACCCATCCCCATGTTCCCTGGGGGACAGGCAGATAGCCCCACTGGGACCAAAATGAGAGGAGAGGCTGTCTTCCAGATTACGTTAGCAATTAATAAAAATTAGAAACAACCTAATTGTCTAAAAGCCGAGAACAGTTAAATTGCAGAAATACATACTGTGTAGCTATTTTAAAAAATGAACTGGTTACGTAGGAAGGATGTGTATTTTTTTGAGTCTTTTAAAAAGGCAAGTTGCATGACAATATGTATGATATAAACCCATTAAAAACTCTATAGGAATATTTATTATGTATTTGTATATATATGGAGAGAAGTAGGACAGAAGGATGCTTAACAACCGAAAAAAAAAGACTGATCTGGAAGCTTTCCCTAACCTCACCAGGGTAAGGTGCCTCTTTCCTCTGTTTTTTGAATGCTCTATCATACACTTAACCTTGCTACACCATCACACCTACAGGACAGCCCTATAAATTGGTTTGTGTTGCCACTTTGCACATTAGACCCTGAGCTCTTTGAAGGCAGGAGCCATGTCCTATTCATCTTTGTATCACTTCTATCTAGCTCAGTGCTGGGGACCAAATAGGGAGTGAACAGAGCATAAGTCCAGGAGGTGAGATACACAATTCATTACCGTAAGATGCAGCTCACACACCACAATCATCTTGTCACTTGGAAATGTTTAGGTGTGAAAGGAAAATAAAATCTCAGGACCCAAAACTCACTATGCCAAAGGGAAAAGTGAAGATTGGCAACTGAATCATATAAAACTGCCTTCCTTTTGTTCCTAAACAGAGAGCGGTAATCATAGAAGACCACCTATCTACTCAGGTGGGCTCCCTCACAAATTGCTCACAAGAATTCCCTGTGGGCTTGCAAATCTTTCAGAATACATACCCCTCCCATGAACCAACCCCAAACAGGGTTCTGTTGAATATCATCCTGACAGTGTAAATTAACAGCTTATCTTTACATGTACAGGACAAAGACAAGACTAGAAATCAACTCTCTGCCCGCCAAAAGCATATTTGACTTCTTCCTCTACTCTGTGTTTACTTTATCCTATGTAAAGTGCAGATTTACCTAGCTTGGGATGAATGCATTATTGACAGTTCCTCTACTCCCTCTTTTCACATGTAAAATGTGGATTCAGTGAGCCCCATCAAAGCCCCACAAGAATGTAACTTTTGCTTCATTATCTAATCTTTCCTCTTTTTTTCCTTTCCTCCTTCCCCTCCTACCCACTCTTTCCCCTTTAAATGGTGAAGTCCTCACAACCCTCTTTGGAAAAAACACAGGCCACAGATCCTATTGTAACTTGTGTCTCTTTTTCCTGGGCATGTGTTCAATCTTGGCAAAATAAATCTCTAAATTAAATGAGACCTGTCTCAGTCACTTTTTGGTTTACATAGGTAAAGAAGAAATAACCATAGTTTAATTTTTGGTAAAATGTTTTGTTTAGTAAGAGTGTCTCCAAACTATGTTTAGCATGGTTCTTGACAGCTCAGGAGCTTCCTGTTTCAGATTCAGGCATGCCCCGTCGGAGGCTTGATCTAACTGGAGAATTTGTATTGAGCAGAGCTGTTCATTCATGTGTAGGGGAGCAGAGCTGTTCATTCCTGTGTGGGGGAGCAGCCTCCCCTCTCAGCCCAAGCATCTCATTGTATGAAAGGCAACAGATGGGTTGACTTTTGCTCAGGCCTTGCTATAAGGCCTTTACCATTAACAAACCTAGTTTAGAATTTTAAGTAAATCCATCCTAAGCAATAATAAAAGTGTGAGACTTTGGAAATCCAGCCAAGGAAAAAAAAAAAGTCCTAAAATTTGTTTGTCATAGCTTTTAGGAAAAAAAGAGAAATGGAAACTACTGCATTTTTTAAAAAATGAAAAAGGATTCCTCTGTAAGCTGAGGTAGGAGGATCACTTGAGCCCAGGAGTTTGAGGCTGCAATGAACTGTGATTGCACCACTGCACTTCAGCCTGGGCAACTGAGCGAGACACTGTCTCTAAAGGAACAGAAAGGTAATGCTACCTGATAATAATCAACCCCACTTCGGTGAGAACCTAGGTTTTAGTCTCTGCTCTGTTTTGTGCATTTTGCAGAAGTCTCTGGCTCATGCATTTTGTAGAAGTCACCTAGCCTCTCTGATCAGAGTGGATCACCTCAAGCTTGCCTCTGTTTCTTAAAATTCATGATTCTAAACTCTGTACTCCTGGATTAACAAATGTGCTGCATATGGAACACATAAAGTGACAACAACTGTTCAAATGCTTTTCTGTTTGCAAATTTCTTTCTTTTTTTTTTGAGACGGAGTCTCGCTCTGTCATCCAGGCTGGAGTGCAGTCGCACGATCTCGGCTCACTGCAAGCTCTGCCTCTGGGTTCATGCCATTCTTCTGCCTCAGGCTTCTGAGTAGCTGGGACTACAGGCGCCCGCCACCACACCCGGCTAATTTTTTGTATTTTTTAGTAGAGACGGGGTTTCACTGTCTTAGCCAGGATGGTCTCGATCTCCTGACCTCATGATCTGCCCGCCTCAGCCTCCCGAAGTGCTGGGATTACAGGTGTAAGCCACCACGCCCGGCTTCTGTTTGCAAATTTCTATCTTAGCTTTGCTACATAAATCATATTCTTCCAAAAAGTAGGCATACTGTCATTGATGGGACCCCTAAAGATGTTAAAGAATTTGGGTAACGGGTAGAAGGAGGTGAGTTGTTAAGTACTGAATGATGGGCTAATAGAGGCAAGAAAGACGTAAGACACAGCGATCTGCAAATAGAAATTGTTCAAGGTTACTTTCTGCTAGGGGTACAGTGGATCTAATGCTTCACATTGTGTAATTTTGCAGAAACCTCAGTAGTTCTTTGCTGGAAATAGATCCTGATCTTCTGGCTACATTGTTCATTCTTTGGTGTTACCTTTACTGTTTCACATTATGTCACCTCCAAGCAGGCAAAATTGGGCTTGCCTTCCTCCCTGTTAACACCTTTTAAATATTTGTAGACTCTTATCAAGTACCAGGTATCCCCTCTCCACCAATTCTTGACCTGCACTGCCAGGTCTTTTGATCTTAATGCACAAGTCATTCCTTTGATCATTTTGGTGCCTTGTTCTGGATCCTCTCAACTATATCAACTTATTTCTGTTAGCAAATATTGCTCTGAGCATTCCAACTGGAGTCTCTGGAGAAGCAGATTCCAGAGAGAACATTTTTTTTAGTGTTCCGTGATGTAAACTCTGGAAGATCCGAGCCAACTCAAGACTTTCTTTTTGACTATAACTAAAGTTATTTCAAACTTACAGTTAAATAAGTAGCCCTTCAAGTTCCTGTCAATAATAAAATGTGGGACAGCAATAATAAAATGTGTTCCTATCAATAATAAAACATAGGATACCTATGGGTTAACAGAAAGGGCCCTCTGTTATCATCTTTGGATGATGAATTTGTCTTCACCCTCTTCTGATTTGCTTTACTGGAGCCAGCCACATATCTCAATTGAAACAGATAAGTTTTAAAATATAAATAGCATTGGGAGAGTGTTACTCTGAACATTTTCATTCCCCTAAATCCAAATGCCAAAGCCCTAAGCCCCAATGTGATGAAAAAAAAAAAAAACCTATTTTTGCTGCTATAACAGAATACCTGAGACTGGGTAATTTATAATTAACAAAAATTTATTTGGCTCATGGTTCTGGAGGCTGGGAAGTCCAAGATCAAGATCAAGGGGCCTGCTTCTTGTGAAGAACTTCTTGCTATATCATCCCATGGTGGAAGGCAGATGGGCATGAGAACATGGGTGCACATGAGACAGACAAGCTCACTTTTATAGGAAATCCACTCTCTCTCAATAACAAACCCACTCCAGTGATAATGACATTAATCCATTCATGGGGGCAGAGACCTCAAGACGTAATCACCTCTTGAAGGTCCCACTTTTCAACACTGTTGCAATAAGAATTACATTTCCAACACATGAACACTGAGGGGCACATTAAAACCCCTAGCTGAGTGTATCTGATGATGGGACCTTTGAGAAGTAATTAGGTTTAGATGTGGTCATGAAGGTGGGTCCTCATTATGGGATTTGTGCTCTTACAAGTAAAAGGCACTAGAGAATTGGCTCACTCTCTCTCCTGGTGAGACTCCAAAGATGTCATGTGAGCACAAACCAATATGGCAGCTGCCTCAAGCCAGGTAGAGACCCTCACCAGGAACCAAACCTGTGGCATCTTGATCTCAGACTTCCTAGCCTCCAGAACTGTGAGAAATAAATTTCTGTTGTCTAAGCCACCTACTTTCTGGTATTGTGTTATGGCACCTCAAGCTGACAAATACAGGGAGGACACATTGACCTAAATTTGGATCAAAACATAACTACTCTAACCGTACATATAATTCCTAAGATAAGTTTTTAATTTTGATGACTAGAATTAGAAAATAAACCATAGAAAGGGGAAAAGGGCTGGGAGAAAGTTGCAAAAAGAGGAGTAGGAAAGCTGAAGATACATAGTGTATATTTCTTTTTCTTTTCCTTTTCTTTCTTTTCTTTCTTTTTTTTTTTTTTTGAGACGGAGAGTCTTGCTCTGTTGCACAGGCTGGAGTGTAGTGGCGCGATCTCAGCTCACTGCAACCTCTGCCTCCCAGGTTCAAGCAGATTCTCCTGCCTCAGCCTCCTGAGTAGCTGGGACTACAGGTGCCCACCATCACGCCCAGCTAATTTTTTGTATTTTTTAGTAGAGACGGGTTTTCACTGTGTTAGCCAGGATGGTCTTGATCTCCTGACCTTGTGATCCACCCGCCTCGGCCTCCCAAAGTGCTGGGATTACAGGCGTGAGTCACTGCACCCGGCCATATTGTATAATTTCATAATTTGTCTCAGGGCCAGCCCTGACCTTAGGGCACCCTTAGGGACAGATCAATCCCTTATACAAATTGGTAGCTATGCTCAGCATCTCAACCCGGCGTGGCACAACAGATGGCCAGTGAAAACTGGCTGAATAAATAAATGACTAATTTTTAGTAAGAACGACTTATGTATCAGACTTGGTCCCCTTGATTTTGTCATTCTTCAGTTCTTTTTTCTAAGATATGTCTTATTTTATAGTGTGTTACTTTTATTTTTCTCCTTTATAATTTCTTTGACTTTACTCTACAAATCTATTTGTTTTTAATGATGTTTCTCAATTTCATGTGAAAATTTCACTAGCTTATCTAGCTGTTTTCCATTCAAAACAGACATATTGGATAGGGTACAAAAAATAGAAAGAATGAATAAGAACTCCTATTTGATAGCACAACGGGTTATTATTGACTATAGTCAAATGTACTTAATTATACATTTAAAAATAACGAAAAGAGTGCAACTGGATTGTTTGTAACACAAAGATAAATGCTTGAGGGGATGGACACCCCATTCTCCATGATGTGATTATTATGCATTGTGCCTGTATCAAAACATCCCCTCATGTACCCCATAAATATATACACCTACTATGTACCCACAAAAATTTTTAAAAATCTAAAAATTAAAAAAAAAACCTGGATATTATTCAGAATTGTTCTATCTTCATCAAGACCAAATTTCCTACTCCCTGGAGCGCAGCTCTTTGCATCACAAGCCGTATCAAAACACAGCATCTTAATTCCCATGAAATAAACGCAAGGGAAACCGGAGATCTCTTAAGAAATTTTCATCAGGAGAATAGAGCTTTGTAGATTAAATCAACCCCTTTCAGTTACCTTCGAAAGTAAAATAGAAAACTTCTGTTAGAGGTCAGAGAAATCAGAATCCGGCAATGCAGACAGTGCTACTTGAGGCTGTTGTTGAAGTTTGTGCCTGAGATGCAAAGAAATTCCCAAAGGAATTTTCCAACTGGAAACTGCTGGAAACAAAAGACAGACTGTTTTGGCGTCATCCGCCATATGAGTTTTAAGAGACACACTCTGTTCTAAAACGTTTTGAAGTTAGGAATCTAGTTTTCTCTCCTAGCGTATTTTTTCTGCAATGGGAAAAGAGGACGTTTTCCAAGTTGGAAAATGTTGCGGATCCTGGAGGGCCAGTGTGCCCGAGCCCGCCCCGCGAAGACTGCGCGTCTCTCCACCGCCCTGTCCCGGTTGACTTTTCTGGAACTCAAAGAGGCAGAGCCTCCGAGCCCCTGGCCGCCTGCCCTGCGGTGCCTCCGTTCCTGCACTTGCTGAGCGCCAGGCAGCCGCGAACCCCCTTCCCCTCCCTTGCTCTTCCCCTTCCCCCTCTTTCTCCTCCTCCTTTCCATACGCCTTGCTCGCTGTCCCCCAAGGGAGCGGGGACCGCGGCGCGCCGCTAGCCTCGTACCCTGGACAGCAAGGGAGGCCAGGGAGCTGGGGCAGGAAGAGCTGGAGAGCGGGCCCACCCACTTGAAAATTACCTTCCGTGTGGATCCTGGAGTTAGATACACGTTAGTACAATAATATGGAGGGGAGAGAGGAGGGAGGAAGGAATGATCCTTTGAACCATATGTTCTGTCTAAGAGTGAAAGAGAAAGGCCTTCCCTTTTCTATTTTTTCCGATTAAAATATTTAATTACAAAATATTTCAAATATCCAAAAGCATGCAGGTGGACCTCATCAAAACATTACATTTCTATTTACCAAAAACACCATTAAAAAGTGAAAAGCAAACCAAAGACTAGGAGGAGATAGTCACAGTGCATACACTTGACACAAACTTCTCCAGAATAGATGAAGAATTCCTGCAAATAATAAGAAAACCTAATTTTGAAATTAAACACTCCACAGAAGAGAATATCCAAATGTTCAACAAGCAAATGCAAGTGTCCTGCATTGTTATCCATAAGGAAAGTACAAATTAAAACCAAAACGAGATGCCGCGCTATGCCCACCAGAATGGCTAAAATGTAATCCCAGCACTTTGAGAGGCCGAGGTGGGCGGACCACGAGGTCAGGAGATCGAGACCATCCTGGCTGGCACGGTGAAACCCCGTCTCTACTAAAAATACAAAAAATTAGCCAGGCGTGGTGGCGGGTGCCTGTAGTCCCAGCCACTTGGGAGGCTGAGGCAGGAGAATGGCGTGAACCCGGGAGACGGAGCTTGCAGTGAGCCGAGATCACGCCACTGCACTATAGCCTGGGCGACAGAGGGAGACTCCATCTCCAAAAAAAAAAAAAAAAAGAAAAAAAACTATTAGTGCTGACAACAGGGATGAACCTCCAAGATATTTTGTTGAGTGAAAGAAGCTGGACACGTAAGCATATATTATATGACTATATAAATTCCAAAAATTGGCAAAATTAACTGATAATTGAAGTCGGAATTGTGATTATCTGTAGGCAAGAGTGGTGTAAACTGGGAAGAAGTACAAGAAACTGGGGGAGTACAGGATGCTGAGTATATTCTCAGCATTAATTTAGGTGGTGGTCACATAATGTATACGTATCCTCGGCCCTCCTTATCCACGGGTTCTGCATCCACGGATTCAACCAACTCCAGATCAAAAATATTTGGAAAAAATTTAAAATAATAATACCAACAATAAAATATAATACAAATAAAACAATATGGTATAAAAACTACTTACATAGCATTTACACTATATGAGGTATAAGTAATCTAAAGACGATTTAAAGTATACAAGAGGATGTGTGCATTGGTTATATGCAAATACTATATCATTTCATATAAGGGACTGAGCATCTGTGGATTTTAGTATCGTTGGGGGCGTTCTGGAACCAGTCCACCCTAAGATACCAAGGGATGACTGTACATTCAAAAGTCATCACATTGTGCACCTTAGTGTACTTTATCTACTTTATTATATGGATATTATTAATCAATTTAAAGCAAGGGTATGAAAAATCATAGACAATATGTTACTGAGATTTGTTTAATGCTAGCATTTGTTAAATGAAGCCACATTTGCTTCAGTTGTTTTTCTTGATTAAAATATAAAACAGTGCAACATATATGTGCCATCCCACCAGCTTTCCCAATCCCTAGAGGCGATGAGTGTCCTGAAGCAGGTCTACATCCTGACCATTGTGCCTTTTCTTTCTGTTTCTTTCTGAGCCTTCTCTGGGCCAGGTATTAGGCTGGTTGCTGGGAATTTAGCAATGAATAAAACAGACAAAAGCCCCTGTCTTCAAGGAGGTGACATTTGGAAGGGTGTGGGGACAGACAATGAGCAAAATATTAAGTAAAATATGTGGTTTGTTAGATGATAAGATGTGCAGGAAAGGGCACAAGGGAGGGTGTGGTGGCTGGGGGAAGCTGCTGAGTTTTGGATAAACTTGCCAGGGAACAACTCAGTGGAAAGAGGACATTCAGGGAAGAATCCAAGAGGTGGAGGAGAAGAGCTTACAGATTACTGGGGACTGGTCCTTGGCTGAGGAGGCAGTGATGGTGAAAGATGAGTGCCTCGTAGGAACAGTGAAGAGATTGGTGTAGCTTCAGAAGGCACAAGGGGAGGCCGAGGTTCAAGAGGTAAGACTGAGCTGGGCAGATGTTTTAACAGGATCATTCCAGCTACTGTGCTGAGAATAGACTCCAGGAAGGGCATGGCAGAAACAGGAAGACCAGTTAGGAGCGCAGCAATAATCCAGGGCAGAGATGCTGCGATTTGACCCAGGTGGGTGATATGGCTGTGTGGAGAGAGGGTAAATTCTGCATATATTTTAAAGATGTGTATAGTACCTATACATGCACCAACAATATATCACATTGTTTTGTGCACTTATATAATTTACATGTTTGCATTCACACTCCAGAAAGTTTTATTGCAGGCCATTTTTCTTTGAAATTCATTGATGTTGATGCATGTAGATTCTTACCTGCTGTGTAACATGGTATAGAATTCATTTATTCATTCATTTAACAAGTACTTATTGAGCACCTACTATGAGTCAAACATTGTTCAAGGTTCAGGAGAGGACAAAAGAGACAGACATCTGTGTACAGGGATCTTCATGTTGCTTCGTTTTACTGGTGACAGGCATTTAGGTTTGTTTCCAGCTTTTCACAATTACAAAATGGGCAATGGGCCTCCGTTAACTATCTTTATATATCACTCTAAGTGCCCGTATTTGAAAGTTTTACTAGGAAACCTAAAGACAGAATTCAGAGATCTATTGATCATTGCAGAATTGTTTTCCAAAGTAGTGGCTCCAGTTCTCAGTGCTCTGGGAGTTCTCATTTCTCCTCAGCTCCTAACCAGTACTTATTTTTACACTTTGGCCACTATTTTAAACTGTGGCCACTAGTGGCCAAAGTTTATTGGCCATTAATAAACTTTGGCCAAATTGGCCATTAATAAACTTTGGCCAAATTATTTCATCATAAATAATGAAATAATATTTCATTATTTTTAGCTGCAGTTTTGTTTTTGTTTTTGTTTTTGTTTTTGTTTTTTTTGAGACAGAGTCTCGCTTTGTCACCCAGGCTGGGGTGCAGTGGTGCAATCTCTTCTCACTGCAACCTCTGCCTTCTGGGTCCAAGCAATTCTCTTGTTTCAGCCTTCTGAGTAGCTGGGACTACAGGCACGTGCCACCACGCCTGGCTAATTTTTTGTATTTTTAATAGAGATGGGGTTTCACCATGTTAGCCAGGATGGTCTCGATCTCCTGACCTCGTGATCCACCCGCCTCGGCCTTCCAAAGTGCTGGGATTACAGGCGTGAGTCACCGCGCCTGGCCTTTAGCTACATTTCTTTTACTACTAGTGAGGCTGAGTGTGTTTTCCAATGCTTATTAGCCACTTAACATTTCTTCTTCTGTGAACTACCCATTCATATACTTTGCCAATTTTCCCCTTGTTATGTCTTTTACTTATTGATTTGCCAAATGTTATATGTAAACTTTGAATGTTAATTCATAGCTGGTTATATATGTAGCAATAACCTTTTGTCTCAGACCTCTTTCTTTTTGTACTGAAGTTAAATAATACACATGAGGTTTAAATGCAATAAAATTTATGATCTTTTGGTGAATCAATAAAATGTTTGCTTTCTCTGCCTTGTTTAAGGAATATTTTCCTATTCCAAGGTGAAAAGATATTCTCCAATATTTTCTCCTTGTTTTCAACCTTTTAGTTTTCACAGTCAGATTTTTCAATGCATTTGGAATTTATCTTTATGGATGGAATGAAATAGATCTATTTTTTCTCCCTGAGGACAGGCAACTGTTCCAGTATATGCAATATAACTATTTATATGCAGTAGGATTATATGTGAAATATTACTAGTAAGAGATGAGATAGTTAGGCTTTTTGACTTTTATTAAAGTAGTTCCGACTTTTTATTAAAGGTTGCTAGAACTTGTAGATCACTGCAGAAAAAACAAAAGTAAAATTCCCTCTAGGTAATAAAAGGAGCACAATTTGTTAAACAGTTCATGCTTTTCTCATTGATTGTAATGCTACTTCTATAGTATCACATATATTATAATTTAAAACAAAACAAACAGTTCCTGGGTTTTTATTTTATTCCGTAGCTTTATTTACTGTTACTTTTTGGTACAATACTTTTCAAGTTAAGCAAGATTCCTTCTAATTTTAGTTGACTAAATTTTTTACAAACAATAAATTTGTTTGAAATTATATTTCAAAACTATGATAGGTCAAGATGATCAGAAAATTATTTTCCTTTTATCTGTTAATGTGACAAATCACAGTACTGCATTTTTTCTAAGTTAACTTTCTTGTGATAAACCCAAGTTGGTAAATTATAAACTGCTCCAAGTAACTTGGCCATGAGTAACATTTATCTAGTGTTTCGCTGAAAGCAGTAAACTCTAGAAAGTTTGAGATGGGAAAAAGTTAGTTACTATCCCATAATGTCCCTACTAGGTAGAATGAAAGCAGGTCTCAGACCGAATTCTGCCAACATACCAACATTTACTAAACAAATGTTGATTTAAAAATAGGCATAAATCAGTCAGGCGCAGCCTGTAATTATGGGCTTACGCCTGTAATCCCAGCACTTTGGGAGACCGAGGTGGGTGGATCACCTGAGATCAGGAGTTCAAGACCAGCCTGACCAACTTGGTGAAACCCCATCTCTACTAAAAATACAAAATTAGCTGGGCATGATGGTGCACACCTGTAATCCCAGCCATTCTGGAGCCTGAGGCAGGAGAATCGCTTGGACCCAGTAGGCAGAGGTTGCAGTGAGCCAAGATTGTGCCATTGCACTCCAGCTTGGGCAACAAGAGCAAAACTCCGTCTCAAAAAAAAAAAAAAAAAGGCATAAATTTATTCATACACCCTGTTGTTTAATCTAGGTGACATTCTAGAGCTCTGTACATTTGGGTGCTCTGCCTACCACTTTGCATAAAAAGCTTGACAACATTCCATAGTTGGTGTCAGGCAAACAGATATTTACCTAGACCAATGGCTGGAGAAGAGACTATTTAAAGATTAAGTCTCATAGCATCATCACTAAAGGTTCAGACTATAGGATCATTGAATTTTTATGCCCTGTGCACTATAAGGATGGAGAATATGTCTAAGATATCTTAGCCAATCTTCATATCCTGAGTATTTTAAATTTCACTGGTAGCCTGTTTTTGACATGCGTTATGACAATTAATAACATCTCACATGCTGACTTATGCAATACTAGTTGGGTTCATGATTATGGAAACTATGTATATCAAAGCTGCCATTTACTGGAACAAATATAGTATCACTCTTTCTTGATTAAAGTGCTTTAGAGTAAATGATAGTCAAGTAAATCATTCATTCGATAATTCAACAAATATTTATGGTACATTATGGGTAACGAAGATACAGCAGAAGTAAAACAGACTGAAGTCCCTGACCTTTTAGAACTTACATTCTAGTAAAGGCAGCTAAAAATTAAAGAGGAAGGAGGAAGAAATTTACATAGTTAGATAGTGTGTTAAAAGCTTACAAGCAATTTCCTCTTCCAGGCATGTTGTAGTCATTATTACCAGGCTTGCTCTCCTGCTATGAACAACTAGAAAAATAAACAAAATGTATTAACCAACTGTTTACACAAGACTGTAGTCCCTGAGAGAAGGGAAGGAAACATTGTGAGACCTGCTCTCATCCTGGGTTTATACCTGAAGGAATTGAAACCTGCTGTTCTAAATACGTTCAAGGATTTAAAGGAAAACATGTATGTAATAAGGAGGGAAACATAACATAGATCGTAGAAAGGACTTGTGGAGTTGAAAAATGTAACATTTGAAAAAAAATTCACTGGGTGAGATTAACAGCAGATTAAACACTGCAGAAGAAAAAAAAAACAGTGATTGATGATGTAGCACTAGATATCCAAATTGAAGCACAGATAGAAGAAAGATTGAGTGAAATGAATAGCGCTTTAGTGACGTGGGAAAATATAAAGTGATTTAACAAATCTATAGGAAAACAGCCTGTTCTGTGGCAAGAGTGATGCCATCTTGAAGTGAAACCACCTTGATGATTGCTCTTTGACCTCTGTGTACCAAGGTGTTCTGCACTAAGTTCTTCAAACAATGTATGTAGCATAAATAACCCCTCATAAAGATGTTTATCTAACCTGTACAATAGTAACAGGTCTTGTTAAGAAAGTCTGAAGACGTGACCAGTTGCACATGGTTTACCCTAAAAGCTTGCTGATAAAGAATATTTCTGGAGGGCAGGTGTGGGGAATCCATAGTCTCACAGCTACCCAAGACATTGCTTCTGTTCATAAGTCCCTATTAAATATCTCTTTCTGGGCTGGGTGTGGGGCTTACAGTGGTTCATACCTGTAATCCCAGCACTTTGGGAGGCCGAGGTGGGCAGATCACTTGAGGTTAGGAGCTCAAGACCAGCCTGGCCAACATGGTGAAACTCCATCTCTACTTAAATACAAAAAAATTAGCTGGATGTGATGGCAGGCGCCTGTAATCCCAGCTACTCGGGAGGCTGAGGCAGGGGAATCACTTGAACCTGGGAGGTGGAAGTTGCAGTGATTCAAGATAGCGCCGCTGCACTCCAGCCTGGGTGACAGAGCAAGACTCCATCTCAAGAAAAAAAAAAAAAGAAACAACCACTAAAGAACTTATCCATGTAGCCAAACACCACCTGTTCCCCAAAAACCTACTGAAATAAAAAATAAAAGTTCTTACATTATATACACAAAAAAATTTGAAGATAAGGCATGATAAAGTTTTTTTTTTTTTCAGACAGAGTCTCTTTCTGTCGCCCAGGCTGGAGTGCAATGGTGTGATCTCAGCCTACTGCACCGTCCACCTCCTGGGTTCAATGAGAAATTCTCCTGCCTCAGCCTTCCTAGTAGGTGGAACTACAGGCGTGCACCACCACACCCGTCAATTTTTGTATTTTTTGTAGAGATGGGGTTTCACCATGTTGGCCAGGCTGGTCTCGAACTTGTGACCTCAAGTGATCTGCCCTCCTCAGTCTCCCAAAGTGCTGGGATTATAGGCATGAGCCATTGCACCTGGCCATTATAAAGATGTTTATTATAAAATGTAGAGCAGTTAATTCTAATAAAAATGAATAGCTAATAAGTAAATAATAAAGATAGAATATATAAAAAATTAATCCAAAAGAAAGGAATAAAGGAGCAGAAATAAAGGAGCCAAAAACACATAAGATAACTATAAAATAAATAACAAGATGCTAGACTTAAACCCCAATATATGGACTTATATTGTAAACATAAATGATCCAAACAATTGAATTAAGATAGAACTTAGGCCTGGTGCAATAGCTCACGCCTGTAATCCCAGCACTTTGGGAGGCCAAGGCACGCTGATCACGAGGTCAGGAGTTTGAGACCAGCCTGGCCAATATGGTGAAATCCCGTCTCTACTAAAAATACAAAAATTAGCCAGGTGTGGTGGCACATACCTGTAGTCCCAGCTACTCTGGAGGCTGAGTCAGAAGAATCACCTGAATCTGGGAGGCAGAGCTTGCAGTGAGCCAAGATTATGCCACTGCACTCCAGCCTGGGCAACAGAGTGAGACTTTGTCTCAAAAAAAAAAAAAAAAAAAAAAAAAAAGAAGCAGAAGAACTTAAAACTGGATAAAAATGCAAGATCCAACTACATATTGTCTACAAGAAATTCGCCGTAAGTGCAAAACCACAGATACATTACAATTTAAAAGGTAAAATAATAAAAATATCAGGAATAGACAGTGATCAAAAGAAAGAAAGCCAAGGTGGCTATATTAGTATCAAAGCAGCCTTTATGACAAGAACTATCAGCCTAAATGAATAGGGACATTTCATAATGATTAAATAGTCAATTCATCAAAAGACCTAGCAATTGTAAATATGCATGCACGTAATCACGTTTGAAAACATATGAAGCAAACACCGATGAAATAAGAGAAATGAAGAGATCTGCATTTTCAGTTGGAGACTTCAACACTCCTCCCTCAGTAATTTATAAAACAAATACACAGAATATCAGTGGTATTGAACAGCATGATCAACCAACTCAACCTAAAATGTATAAAATGCTATACTGAGCATCTGCAGAGTGCTCATTCTTTTTAGGTGAGCATGAACTATTCACCAAAAAAGACTATGTGCTGGGCCATAAAACAAACCTCAAATTTAAAAGACTGAAAATACTATGAAATATTTTCTCTGGTCAAAATGTAATTAAATTGGAAATTAGTAGCAAGATTACTGAAAAATCCCTAAATATTTGAAAATTAAACATATACTTCTAAATAACCTATGGTATTATATAAAGAAGAAGTCACAATGGAAATTAGAAATTACTTTGAACTGATTGATAATGAAAACAAAATATGTAAAAATATATAAGGTGCAGCTTAAGTTGTATTTAGAGGTAAATATATAGCTCAAAATGCTTGCACTAGAAAAGAAAAATCTAGAATTAATGATATAAGCTTATACTTTTAAAATCTAGAAAAAGTAGAAAAAATGAAACCCAAAGTAGAAGGAAGGAAAGAAGACAAATTAGAGCAGATATTAATACCCTAGAAAATTAAGCAAACAATAGAAAAATTACTGCCAGCAAAAGCTGTTTTCTTTAAATATCAACACAATCTACAAACCTTCAGCTAGAATGGTGGAAAAAAAAAGACCCAAATTATCATTATTAGAAATGAAAGTGGGTCACCACTATAATTCATAGAGATATTAAAAGAAAAATAAGGGGAAAATTATGAACAATTTAATGTCAATAAATTTAAAAATGTATGTTAAATAGAAGGCTTACTTGAATGACATAAATTAACAAAACTCAAACAAAATAGAAAATTTCAATAGCCTTACATATTTTTATTTTATTTTATTTTATTTTATTCATTTATTTTGAGATGGAGTCTCGCTCTGTCACCCAGGCTGGAGTGCGCATGGTGCAATCTTGGCTCACTGCAAGCTCCGTGTCCCAGGTTCATGCCATTCTCCTGCCTCAGCCTCCCGAGTAGCTGGGCCTACAGGTGCCCGCCACCACACCCGGCTATCTTTTTTTTTTTTTAATTTTAAATTTTAGTAGAGACAGGGTTTCACTGTGTTACCCAGGATGGTCTTGATCTCCTGACCTTGTGATCCACCCACCTCGGCCTCCCAAAGTGCTCGGATTACAGGTGTGAGCTACCGCATCTGGCCTAGCCTTATATTTATTAAATTTTTTTTTTGTTTTTGAGACGGAGTCTCGCTCTGTAGCCCAGGCTGGAGTGCAGTGGCGCTATCTTGGCTCACTGTAACCTCTGCCTGCCGGGTTCATGCCATTCTCCTGCCTCAGCCTCCCAAGTAGCTGGGACTACCGGCACCCACCACCACGCCTGGCTAATTTTTTGTATTTTTTAGTGGAGACGGGGTTTCACTGTGTTAGCCAGGATAGTCTCGATCTCCTGACCTTGTGATCCACCCGCCTCGACCTCCCAAAATGCTGGGATTATAGGTGTGAGCCACCGCACCTGGCCTAGCCTTATATTTATTAATTTTTTTTTTTTTTTTTTTTGAGAGGAGTCTCACTCTGTCACCCAGGCTGGAGTACAGTGGCGCGATCTCGGCTCACTGCAAGCTCCGCCTCCCAGGTTCGTGCCATTCTCCTGCTTCAGCCTCCCGAGTAGCTGGGACTATGGGCGCCCGCCACAATGCCCGGCTAATTTTCTTTTTGTATTTTTAGTAGAGATGGGGTTTCACCGTGTTAGCCAGGATGGTCTCGATCTCCTGACCTCGTGATCCACCCGCCTTAGCCTCCCCCAAAGTGCTGGGATTACAGGCGTGAGCCACTGCACCCAGCCTATTAAATATTTTACACTGTGATTTAATCTCCCTTGATAAAGACAATTCTAGACTCACATAGTTTTGGACTGGTACATTCCACACAAATTTTCCCATTGATCTTACAGAAAATAGAGAAGGAGTGAACACTTCTCAACTCATTTTATGATTAAAGTATTACCCAGATACCAAATCCAGAAGATGAGCAAAGAAAACTATTCACCAACATATGTTGTGAACCTAGTGGCAAAGAAATCCTTCTCAGAAATTTAGCCAAACACATCCAGCAATCTATAAAAAGGGTAGTACATCAGGTACAAGTGGTTTTATCCTGGGAATGCAAGGATAAAACATTATATTTAAAAGTCAATCAAGATATGTCACTGTATTAATAGAATAAACATTGCCAACTGGATAATCTGAATACATACAAGGAAAAGTATTTGACAAAATTTGCCATCCACAGATAATAAATAATCTAAGCAAAGTAGGAATAGAAAGGAATTTCCTCAACCTGATAAAGAACTTCTGTGAAAAACTTAAAGCTAACATCACACTTAATGGAGAAAGACTGAGCACTTTTTCCCTAAGACTAGGAACAAAGTAAAAATATATGCTCTTACCACTCGAGATCCACATTGCCAAAAAGAAAGGAAGAAAAGAGAATGAGAAGGAAGAGGAGATGGAAGAGGATGAGGAGACAGGAAGAAAATGATATAAATTGAAAAAGAAATAATAAAACCATCTTTAAACAACATTATTTACAATGGCATCAAAACCATGAAGGATCTAGGGATAAATTTACCAAAACATTAAAAGATCTGTACACTGAAAACAACAAAACTGTCAAGAGATATTAAAGAATATCTAAGCAAGTAATGGACAGAAATATTGTGTCTGTGAACTGAATTACTCAATATTTTTTAAAAAGAGTATTTTTCCGAAATTGATCTACAGATTTAATGTAAAGTTAATTGAAATCAGCAAGCTCTTTTGGGGATAGAAATTGAAAACTGGCTGTAAAATTATACTGAAATGAAAATGACCTGAAATAGTCAAAACACTTTTGAAAATGAAAGACGAAATTGGAGAACTTACCCTACCTGATTTCAAGATTTACTAAAAAGTAATTAAGGCAGTGTGAAATTGATATAAAAGCAGACATAAATCAATGGTATACAATATAGAGTCCAGAAATAGATTCACACATATATGGTGAATTGATTTTCAACAAAGGTGCCACGACAATTCCGTGAGGAAAAGACTCTCTTTCCAACAAATGGTGATGAAACTAGATTTCTGAATTTTAAAAAATGAACCTTAGCCTTTCCCTCACAAAATAAACTCAAAAGATATATCAGACTTTAACACAGATTTATGATTATAAAAATTCTAGAATGCTGGGCATTGTGGCTCACACCTGTAATCCCAACATGTTGAGAGGCCAAGGCAGGAAGATTGCTTGAGGCCAGAAATTCAAGACCAGTCTGGGCAACATAGGAATACTCCATCTCTAAAAAAATATTAGCTGGATGTGGTGGCATGTGCCCATTGTCTTAGCTACTTTGGAGGCTGAGGTAGGAGGATAGCTTGAGCCCAGGAGTTAAGGGTGCAGTGAGCTGTGATCTTGCCACCACACTCCAGCCTGGGCAACAGAGTGAGACACTGTCTCTAAAACAACAACAAAACCAGCTTCTAGAAGAAAACACAGGAGAATGGTTTTGCAACTTCAGGATAGCAAAAATTTGTTAGGACATCAAAACATTAAGCATAAGATAAAATACTGATAACAATATTTAAAACTTTTGTTATTTCAAAAGACTTAAAAGACCAAAAAGGCAAGCCAGACTGGAAGAAAATATTCATGCTTTATTATATGTGATATATATCTGACAATAAACTTTTCCCCAGAAGATATATACAAATAACTCTTGCAACTCAATTATAAAAAGACAAATAACTCAATTTTTTAACTGGGCAAAAAATTTGGACAGCTATTTCACAAAGGAAGATATATCAATGGTCAATGAGCACATGAAAAACAGCTCACCCCCACCATGCCACCAGAGAAATACAAATTACAACCACAATGAACTATCACTGTGTCCCCAGCAGAGTGGGTGAAATTGAAGTCTGATGACACCAAGAGTTAGCAATGATATGGAGCAATGGGACACTCAGATATCCTGGTGCTGATGGAAAATTGTGCTACAGCTTTGGAACATGGTTTACAGTTTTTTATAAAGTTAAATCTACACTTACCATATATCCCAGCAATGCCATTCCTAGGTTTTTGCCCAAGAGAAATACAAACGTAAGTATGCCTACAAGGAGACTTATATGTGAATGCTTATTTGGCAGTTTTATTGACAATAGCAAAAAACAAAAACTGGAAACAAACCAATGGTTGGTGAGAGATGAGCCACTGAGGTCCACTTTCAAACAGAGACTTGCTATCCAGCTCTGGGAGTTTGGTCAATTCCAGGTGTCAGCTGCGTTAGGGGATGCCCCATGCCCTTTGTGGAATGACCCATGTCTTGTCACTGAGCGAGGTGGGACTATGAAGAAAAAGCCATTTGTGCCGCCTCTGGACAGTTTTGATGGTCACACCCGCTCTTGGGCTTTCTGAAGCACTGGCCAAGGTTTGGTCAGACCACATCACTGTTTACCTTCTCCGTCTTCCCAAGCCTGCTTCCTCTCCCTTCTTTTCACAGGTGTTGGTCCCCAGCAAGCACACTGCATCCCAAACTCCCTCTAAGCATCTGCTTAGAACCCAACCGGAAACAAACCCAATGCCTCTCAGCCGGAGGATGGATACATCAATAGTGGCATATTGATACAATGAAATCCTATGCAGCAACGAAACGGAAAAAAAAAATCAATACACATGACAACATAAAGGACTGGAATGCACTGTGCTGAATGCAGGGAGCATTCAGAGTTCATGTTGTATGAGTCCATTTACATATACGTCTAGAACAGGCAAAACTGATCTGTAGTAACAGAAAGCAGACCTGTGGTTGCCAGGGGCTGACCATGTGGGATTAACAGGTGAGTATATGTTAGTTAAGACAATTTGGGGTACAAATAATACAAAACCCAACCAACAATGATTTCAATAATGAGGCAAATGTGAGCCTTGCATAACATAAATATAGAGATAGCACAGGGAATTTTTGGAGGGTGATGGAAATGTTCTATATTGAGACTGAATGTAACCATGGTTGGTTACATTTGCCAAAACCCACTGAATTGTATACTTAGAATGCATGCACTTTATTGTATGTAAACAAACTTCGTGGCAATATAAGATACATGTAATAAAATGGTAAAGCTGGTGTAAAGAAAAAAGGCTCTTTAACATTATGGAGAAATAAAACGTTGCAATGTTGGATTTGCTAATCTTTAGAGTTTTTACATCAATGTTAATTAATTTGGTCTGTGATTCTTCCCTCCCTCCCTCCCTTCTTTCTTTCTTTCTTTTTCGACTGAGTCTCACAATCTCGGCTCACTGCCAACCTCCGCCTCCCAGGCTGAAGCGATTCTCCTGCCTCAGCCTACCGAGTAGGGCTGGGATTACAGGCACGCACCACCACGCCCAGCTAATTTTTGTATTTTTAGTAGAGATGGGGTTTCACCGTCTTGGCCAGGCTGATCTCAATCTCTTGACCTCATGATCCGCCCTCCTTGGCCTCCCAAATTGCTGGGATTACAGGCAGAAGCCACTGCACCCTGCCCTCTACCAAGTTCCTTAGGCATTTTCTATACTCTCCTTTTTCTTGGGGGTAAAGCTGAAATCTACTATCCCATTTCTCAGAGTTTAAGACATAATTGTTGTAATCTGTGCTATAAATTCAATAATATATTTTCAGGAAAAAGAAATATTTTCATATTAAATACATACATTGAAAGATAGATCATTTTAGAAGCATTAAATTATGAAAAACGAATTATAACCAGAAAAATATGGTGATTATTTTCTCTGCTCAAATAAATTTTCAACTTGGTAGAGATGAAACAATTAGAGCACTATTGGAGCTAAAGAGCATATAGACAGTTGAGTGTCTGTTAGCTAAGACAATTTTGGGTACAAATAATAAAATATCCAACCAAAAATGGCTTAAACAATGGGGAAAACGTGAACCTTGCACAAAATATAGAAATAGGGCAGTTTCATGGTGAATTCAAACATTCAAATGCTGTCTTTCTTGTGCAGCTTAATATGTTGGCTTGGCTCAGCACAGTCACAGGTGGACAGCCCAGTTCCACGCAGCACGTGTAGACCAGGCAATATACAACCACCAAGAGGGATCTTGCTTCCTATTGTGTCCGGAATTGGTGGGTTCTTGGTCTCACTGACTTCAAGAATGAAGCCGCGGACCCTCGTGGTGAGTATTACAGTTCTTAAAGGTGGTGGGTCCAGAGTTTGTTCCTTCTGATGTTCGGACTTGTTCGGAGTTTCTTCCTTCTGGTGGGTTCGTGGTCTCGCTGGCTTCAGGAGTGAAGCTGCAGACCTTCGTGGTGAGTGTTACAGCTCTTGAGGTGGCGCGTCTGGAGTTGTTCATTCCTCCCGGTGGGTTCATGGTCTCGCTGGCCTCAGGAGTGAAGCTGCAGACCTTTGCAGTGAGTGTTACAGCTCATAAAGGCAATGTGGAACCAAAGAGTGAGCAGCATCAAGATTTATTGCAAAGAGCAAAAGAACAAAGCTTCCACAGCGTGGAAGGGGACCCCAATGGGTTGCCACTGCTGGCTCCAGCAGCCTGCTTTCATTCCCTTATCTGACCCCACCCACTTCCTGCTGATTGGCCCATTTTACAGAGAGCTGATTGGTCTGCTTTGGCAGCATGCTGATTGGTGAATTTACTATCCCTGAGCTAGACACAGAGTGCTGATTGGTGTATTTACAATCCTCTAGCTAGACGTAAAAGTTCTCCAAGTCCCCACTAGATTAGCAAGGCACAGAGCACTGATTGGTGTATTTACAAACCTTAAGCTAGACACAGAGTGCTGATTGGTGCGTCTACAAACCTTGAGCTAGACACAGGGTGCTGATTGGTGCGTTTACAAACCTTGAGCTAGATACAGAGTGCTGATTGGTGTATTTACAATCCTCTAGCTAGACATAAAAGTTCTCCAAGTCCCTACTAGATTAGCTAGACACAGAGCACTGATTGGTGCATTTACAAACCTTGAGCTAGCCACAGTGTGCTGACTGGTGCATTTACAAACCTTGAGCTAGCCACAAAGTGCTGATTGGCACATTTACAAACCTTTAGTTAGACATAAAAGTTCTCCAAGTCCCCACCTGACTCAGGAGCCCAGCTGGCTTCGCCTAGTGGATCCCGCTCCAGGGCCACGTGAGGAGTTGCCCGACCATCCCATGCTGCGTGCCCACACTCCTTTGCCATTGTGTAGTCGATGGGACCAGGCTCCGTGGAGCAGGGGGGGTTAGGGCATGGCGGGCTGCAGGTCCCAAGCCCTGCCCCGCAGGGAGGCGGCTGAGGCCCGGCAAGAATTTGAGCATGGCACAGGTGGGCCAACAGTGCTGGGGGACCCGGTGCACCCTCCACAGCTGAGCCCACGCCCACCCGGAACTCGTGCTGGCCCCAGTTCCTGCCCATGCCTCTCCCTCCACACCTCCCCACAAACAGAGGGAGCCGGCTCTGGCCTCAGCCAGCCCAAAGAGGGGCCCCCACAGTGCAGTGGTGGGCTGAAGGGCTCCTTGAGCATGGCCAGAGTGGACGCCGAGGCTGAGGAGGCACTGAGAGTGAGCGAGGGCTGCTAGCACATTGTCACCTCTCAATCCCCCCTCTAAACTGGACACTCCAACTGCTGTTGGGAATTTGGCCGATGACTGCTCTAGCTACTTCCTGCTGGATAGGGGTGATGAAGGGGCCCTGCAGTTGTAGTGTCCTCCAGAGGGGAACTCTTTAGGCCAGTGGAAGGGCCAGCAGGTCAGTCCAGGTGTCCTCGGTAGAAGTTGTTAGTTGAACTCATTTGGGGTTCCATTTGTAAGACCATCTGTAGCTTGATGGCCTCGATTCTAGAGGAAACAAATTTGACAAGAAGGTTAAAAATACAGGGCCCAAAGGCAAGTAACAGCAAGATGGCTGCCACAGGACCTAGAAAGGGGAGGGAGAAGCCATGTGGCCCAACTCCAGAGGTTGGTATAAGAGTTTGAAAGACGTTGCCTGATTTCAGAAGCCTTTTCCTGTAAACACCGGGTGGCATCTCACACTATCCATGACTGGTTAGTGTAAAAACAACAGTCTTCCCCTAAGAAGGTGCAGAGTCCTCCTTTCTCAGCAGTGAGGAGGTCTAGGCCTCGGTGGTTTTGGAGAGTCACTGCTGTCAAAGAGTCTATTTGGGATTGTAGAGTAAGGATAGATTTCGTTATTTCTTGCAAACTGTCTGAAAAATCCTTTGAGAGTGTCTGGTAGTAGGATAATGAAGTAGATAAACTGGCTATTCCGGTTCCTGTAGCAGTAACTATTCCTAACCCTGTAAGTAGTGGTATCAGTTGTATGGCTCTGCACTGACAGACTTGAGTTTTGAGGGGTACTGATAGGCTCTGATTTCCTGGGGCAATGTTAATGTTGGGACTTAGAAAGACTAAGGTGCAGGTGCCTATCCAGTTAGTGGGGAGGCAGATGTAGGTCCACATTCCACATAGGAAGAATATACCTTGGCTGGGTAGACAGAACTTTACCCTGGCTTTTAAAGGAATAGGATACACTGTTTTTTCTTTACTACTTCTATCTCTGTCTTTGACTTCTTCGTCTCTCTCTTTCTGACTGCCTCTGTCTGTCTCTTCCTCTCTCTGTCTCCTTCTCTTTGACTTCCTGTCTTTCTCTTTCTCTCTTTGTCTCTCTATCTCTTCCTCTCTGACTTCTTGTCTCTTTCTGTCTTTCATTTCTTCTGCCTCTGCCATATGCTTATGCTGCTGTTCTCCCTTCTCCTTCCCCTTTTGATGGCTTTGGCAGTGTAAGACTGCCACCTTCTTCGGTTTTTGCACTATGTACAGTAACTCCATGATTTCCTTGTGGCATTTAATGGGGGTTCCCCGAGGTTGGGAACTCCCTTTCTTTCCATATTGCAGCATGGGCATGTAGGATTACATAAGCATACTTGCTATCTGTATACACATTTATTCTTTTTCCCTTTCCCAGTACTAAGGCTCGGGTAAGTGCCACTAGTTCTGCTAACTGGGCACTTGTCCCTGGGGGAAGAGGCTTACTTTCAAGTACAGTTACATCACTAACTATGGTGTAACCTGCCCTTCGTATCCCATTCTTCACAAATGAACTTCCATTGGTATATAGGTTAAGGTCAGGATTAGCTAAGGGGACTTCTAAGAGACCATCTCGGGTGGCATAAGTCTGGACTATAATTTGTTGGCAGCCATGCTCAATTGGTTCCCCATCCTCTGGGAGAAAAGTGGCAGGGTTGAGGGCCACGCACATGCATATTTGAAGCACCAGTCTCTCAAGAAGTAGTGCCTGGTATCTAAGTAGGTGGTTGTCTGATAGCCATAAACTTCCTTTGGCACCTAGTGTGCCATTTACATCATGAGTAGTCCAGACAGTGAGATCTTTTCCTTGTAGTATCTTGATAGCCTCTGACACTAAGATGGCCACCACCACAGTGAGGCCAGCCTTTTGATACTACATCAATTTCCTTACTTATGTATACCTGCCACTGGTTGTGTGGTTGTCCCACGAGTCTGAGTAAGGACTCCAAGAGCTATCCCTGCTCTCTCTGTGACGTATAAAGAGAAGTTTTGTCCTGTCAGAAGGCTTAAAACTGGAGCTTGTGCGAGGGCCTGCTTTAAGGTTTTGAAGGCTGTTTCTGCCTCTGGTTCCCATTCTACTAGATGAATATTTGCCCTCTGGGTTTCCTTGATTAGAGTATAGAGGGGCCTGGCTATCTCGCTGTATCTGGGGATCCATGGTCAGCAAAAGCCAGTAATTCCAAGGAACCCCCGCAACTGTTTTAATGTCTTAGGGCAAGGATAAGCCAGTATAGGCTGTATTCATTCCTTGCTGAGGGCCCTGGTCCCTCTGGCTAAGATTAGGTCTAGATATTTGACCTGCTGTAGGCAAAGCTGGGTCTTCGACCTAGACCCCTCTATCCTTGATTAGCTAGAAAGTTCAAGAGATCTAAAGTAGCCTGCTGGCATGAGGCTTCTGAAATGGTAGCCAAAAGTAAATCATCCACATACTGAAGGACCAGAGTGCCTGGACTTTAGAAGTGGCCTAGATCTTGGGCCGTGCCTCACCAAACAGATGAGGGCTATCCCTAAACCCTTGGGGCAAGATCATCCAAGTAAGTTGTGATGTGTGGTCTGTGGGATCCTCAAAGGCAAAGAGAAACTGGGAGTCAGAGTGCAGGGGAAGACAGAAGGCAGCATCCTTAAGGTCCAGAACTGTGAACCATCCTGCTTCTTCTGGTATTTGAGAGAGCAGGGTATAGGGGTTGGGTACAACTGGATATAGAGGAATTACTGCCTCATTGATGAGTCTAAGATCTTGCACTAATCTCCACTGACCATTCGGCTTTTGTACTCCTAGAATTGGGGTGTTGCAAAGACTGCTGCATTTCCTTACTAAGCTTGAGCTTTTAAATGTTTAACAATATCATGTAAACCTTTATGAGCTTCAGGCCTTAAGGGATATTGCCTTTGATAAGGAAAAGTGGCGGGATCTTTTAACCTGATTTGGACTGGGCAGGCATTTTTTTGCCCTTCCAAATTGTCCTTCCAATGCCCAGACGTCAGGGTTGATTCCCTCCTCAAGTAGAGGACAACAAATGGGTAACTTCTTCCCCATATTCATGTAGATAATAGCTCCAGCCTTGGCTAATATATCTCTCCCTAATAAGGGTGTGGGACTTTCAGGCATAACAAGAAAGGCATGTGAAAAGAGCAAAGTCTCCCAATTACAACTGAGGAGGTGGAAGAAATCCCTGGTTACAGGCTGTCCCAGGATTCCTCGGATGGTAACGGACCTTGAGGACAGTCGTCCAGAACAGGAGATTAACACTGAGAAGGCCACACCAGTGTCCAGGAGGAAGTCAATTTCCTGGCCCTCAATGGTTAAGCATACCTGGGGTTCAGTGAGGGTGATGACATGAGCTGGCGCTTGCCCCGGGCACCCTCAGTCCTGTTGTCGGATCATCTGGTTGGGGGCTTCTGACCCAGAGAACATTTGTCCTCTGGGGCAGTGTACCTTCCAGTGATTGCCTCGGCATAGTGGACATGGATGAGGGGACAGCTTGTGTCTCATTGGACAATCTTTTTTTAAAGTGTCCTAATAAACCACACTGATAATAAGCCCTACTGGGTGGTGATTGGCCTGCTCCATTTTCTGTCCTCTCTGAGCCACCAAGGTTTGTTTGTCTGAGGGCCATGATTAAGGCTGCAGCCTTTCTCTGATCTCGCTTTTCCTTTTGGGCCTGTTCCTCTTGGTCCCTATTATACAACACCAAGGTTACCAGGTTTAATAATGCCTCCAAATTTTTTTCAGGGCCCAGGGCTTGCTTTTGGAACTTTCTCCTGATATCTGTGGCTGATTGGGTAATAAACTTATCTTTTAGAATCAATTGACCCTCGAGTGATTCAGGTGACAGGGGAGTATATTTTCTTAAGGCCTCCCATAGTCACTCGAGGAAGGCAGAAGGATTTTCTTCCTTTCCCTGAGTTATGGTGGACATCATTGAATAATTCATGGGCTTTTTAATAATTCTCCTTAGTCCTTCTAGAACACAGGTCAAAAGATGTTTACAACTCCAGTCCTCATGATCTGAGTCAAGGTCCCAGTGGGGATCCATACTGGGGATGGCTTGCTGACCGGTAGGGAATTTATCCCTTTCTTTGGTTGTCATTCTATCATTTACTTGACTAAGATACCACGTATCTCCAAACTCTCAGGCTGCAGCTAAAGCTTCATTCTTTTCATTAAGGCCAGGGTTTGATCTAACAGTAGCATGACATCTCTCCAAGCGAGGTCGAAGGTTTGCCCTAGACCCTGTAGGACATCTAGGTACCTATCAGGATCATCTGAAAACTTTGCCAGGTCTGCCTTGATCTGCTTTAAGTCAGAGAGGGAGAAGGGGACATGTACCTGGGTTGGGCCAAATTCCCCTCCCCCTACAGCTTGAAGGGGACATAACCGATAGCCCGGGGGGGGGTTTGTGGTGCTTTGGATATTTCTTTGCTTATTTCCTTCTGGGCAGGGGAGATTAGAAGAGGATTATCATTAATAGGAAGGGGAGCTATAGGGAGGCTAGGATATGGGGGTAAGCTGAGAGGTCCTCCTGTGGGATGTAACTTGCAAGCTTTGCATAGTTGTGTATTCTCCCTCAATGAAAAGAAAGCTTGGACATAAGGTATTTCACTCCATTTGCCTTCCCTCTTACAGAAAAGATCAAGCTTCAGGATAGTATTGTAATTTGTACTTCCCTCAGGTGGTCATTTTTCCCCATCAGAGAGGGTATATTGGGGCCAAGCCATAGTGCAGAAAAAAATGAGCTTCAGGGTTTGTGGGTCAAATTGATCCCAATGGCTTAGGATGCATTTCAAGGGTGAGCCTGTTGATGCCTGAGTGTTTCCCATCTGAAAGACAAAACTGCCTGCGGTTTTGGTTTGTTTTGTTTCTCCCCCTGCCCAAGAACCCGCAACGGTCCCTGGACCCTGCTGATCAGAATAGTTGTGCTCACGGACACAGCAGCAGAAACAACCCTTACCCAAGAACCCGCAAAGGTCCCTGGACCCTGCTAATCGGAATAGTTGCGCTCACCGACGCAGCAGCAGAAACACTAGTTTTCCTCCCAGACCACATGAAGGACCAAGGAAGGTCGGATTTAGTGGCCCTTACTGATGCATTCTCAAAAACCTAAACCCTTGCCTGTCCTCCTGGACCACAAGGGGGACCGAGAAAAATCGGATTTAGTGGCCCTTACCGACACATTCTCGAAAACCTGTTAGAGTCCTAAGCATTCCCCTGTTAGTAATGGGACCTTACCCATGTCCTATAAAGATGTCATGCCCCAAAAATGAAGTGGAGGGCCATACCCTGAGGGAGGGAAGGGATCTCCAGGGTTGGAAGAGTGACACCTTTTATCCTCACTTATATGAATAGGAAGGATAAAATTTCTGTGGCTCCCCATATCCTAGCTTCAGGAATAGCTTTTGTTAGGCTTGCTAGTCTGAGGAGGGATCCTAAAATTCCAGGTAGTCCCCCATACGACAGGGCTTTGGGCAAAAATTATGTCTTTCTGATTGGTCAGCCTGGGTGCCTAAAGAACATAACAGAGTCCTGGAGTTTATACTAGAAATCATTCTTATAGGGGAAACTAGAAAACCACCAGAGACAGGGAGCAATTTTTAGAAGTGGGACTAGCCTCGGAGAAGAGAGGTGAGAGGAAGTTTGTCTGGCAGGCATTAGGACCCAGGGGGCAAGGGTCAGGATAGATAGGATAGATGGGCGAGTCTCGCTTGGGCGACATGCCTTTGAGAGTTCCACTCATGGCCACAGGATCAACCAACTTGTTGTTGGGACCCCGGAGCTGCAAGGCTTTCCTCTCTGTTGACCCTCGACTCAGCCCAGAAGTACAGGAAAAGCGGAAGCTGGTTCCAGGCAAACCAACGCTCCCAATTCCGAAGAGTCGGGGGTTGTTAGAAAGCCCTTTACCAGAAAGCTTGACACCCGTTTCTTTAGTCCAGCGGCCATGCTAGTCGCTTTTAACTGGCCGACAGGTGCCCGGTATTTAGCCCCCAAATTCTAAGGAAAAATACGACAGAATAGCAAGCAAAAGGGGTCTGATGGTACTCACTGCTTGGCGATAGGTGACAGTCTCACCACTCAGTGATAGGCAATGGTCTCACGACTTGGTGATAGGCGATAGTCCCATCTGGGTCGCCAAAAAGCGTCCGGAATTGGTGGGTTCTTGGTCTCACTGACTTCAAGAATGAAGCTGTGGACTCTCGTGGGGAGTGTTACAGTTCTTAAAGGTGGTGGGTCCAGCGCTTGTTCCTTCTGATGTTCAGATGTGTTCTGAGTTTCTTCCTTCTGGTGGGTTCGTGGTCTCGCTGGCTTCAGGAGTGAAGTTGCAGACCTTCGCGGTGAGTGTTACAGCTCATAAAGGCAGTGTGGACCCAAAGAGTTAGCAGCAGCAAGATTTATTGCAAAGAGCGAAAGAACAGAGCTTCTACAGTGTGGAAGGGCACCCCAGCGGGTTGCCACTGCTGGCTTGGGCAGCCTGCTTTTATTCCTTTATCTGACCCCACCCACATCCTGCTGATTGGCCCATTTTACAGAGAACTGATTGGTCCGTTTTACAGAGAGCTGATTGGTCTGTTTTGACAGGGTGCTGATTGGTGCATTTACAATCCCTGAACTAGACACAGAGTGCTGATTGGTGTATTTACAATCCTCTAGCTAGATGTAAAAGTTCTCCAAGTCCCCACTAGATTAGCTAGACACAGAGCACTGATTGGTGCATTTACAAACCTTGAGCTAGACACAGGGTGCTGATTGGTGCATTTACAAACCTTGAGCTAGACACAAAGTGCTAATTGGTGCATTTACAAACCTTTAGCTAGACATAAAAGTTCTCCAAGTCCCCACCTGACTCAGGAGCCCAGCTGGCTTCGCCTAGTGGATCCCACATCGGGGCCATGGGCAGAGCTGCCTGCCAGTCCCACGCCACACGCCCACACTTGAGGAGGTGCTGAGAGTGAGTGAGGGCTGCTAGCACATTGTCACCTCTCACTATGTGTCCCTGTATAGTGAACAAAATAACCTGTTCCCATCAATCCCCTAGTAAATTTCTTTCTTCTCCTATATCATTGTTCAGAATTGGGTAATCTCCCTACCCTTAAACCAATCACTGGCAAAGGTGAATGGGATTCTCACGATGTTTTAGAGCAGTTCTGGTTAACCACATGGACCTGGGGAAGAGCCCACCTTTCCTGAGCACATTGTGAGATACCTGAACAAGTCGGGTTCTTTGTCAGGAAGGTGAGGGAATAATTATTGAGTAGGCAAGAACCAGTGTCTGCAATGAATATCAAGACTATTGCATTGTTCCTTTAAAGAGTCTCTCATATGTGAGCTTAGCCAAGGATATAATAGGATAGCGTTCTCCAGATACCACCAATAAAGCTTTATTGGAAGTGACGATACCATTGGGCCTGAAAATGTGTGCATCTCTTGAAGTGGAACATTTAAAAGGCAATGTGCTGATTAATTTGCTAATTCTTTTCTAGTCAATGAAACAGCACTCCCTTTCCTCACCATCATTTTTGTTTCATGAGTCTCTTCAGGTAGAATTCTTCCTTAACTTACACTTTATGATCTCAACTTTATTGAGTCTTCTAAGAAATTAAGAAAACTCATTTATTTTTCAAATTTTTTGGAGAATAAACATAGTAGCATCTTGACCTTAAGGAAATTTCATTATATTGGCTGACTTATAAGGTTTAAACAGGGGGAATAAGGCTAGAAGTGTAGGCTAGACCTGCAACACGAAGGCTATGTATAACTTCTCTCTCTCTCTCTCTCTCTCTCTCGCTCTCTCTCTCTCTCTCTCTGTGTATGCGTGTATAACTATAATTTTTAGAAGTTCAGATTAAAGTTAAAGTTTACAGGAAAATTCTGAAGATATTAAAGAGAGTTTGCATATACCTCATACCAAGTTAAGAGAGTTTCCATAAACCCCACACCCAGTTTCCTTTATTATTAACATCCTACATTAGTGCTGTGGTTTAAATGTGTTTCCCCAGAGTCCTCCCCAGTTCATATGTTCAAATCCTAAGCCCCAAGGTAATGCTATCAGAAGGTGGGGGCTTTGGTAGGTGATTAGGTCTTGGGATCAGAGCACTCATGAGTGGAATTAGAAATTCTTGTCCCTTCCACCATGGGAAGACACAGTGAGAAGGAGCCATGTTTGGACCAGGAGATGGACCTTCACCAGACACCAAATCTGGCAGTGCCTTGGTCTTAGACTTCCCAGCATCCAGAACTGTGAGAAATAAATTTCTGTTGTGTATAAGCCACTCAGTCCATGGTATTTTGTTATTGCAGCCTGAACAGACTAAGGCAATTAGCGTAGTGGATTTGTCACAATTAATGAATCAATATCAACACATTGTTATTCACTGAAGTCCACACTATCTAGATTTTCTTAGTTTTTACCTGATGTCCATTTTCTGTTCCAGGATTCTGTTCAAACTTCCACATGACACTTAGTTTTCATTGTCTCCTGAGGCTCCTCTTGACTGTGACAGTTTCTCAGACTTTCCTTTTTTTGAGGACCCTGATAATTTTGAGGAGTGCTGGTCACAATTGGGGTCTGTCTGATGCTTTTTTCATGATTTAACTGGGGCTATGGGTTTTGTGGAGGAAGACCACAGGGGTGAAGAGCCATTCTCATCACATCATATCAAGGCCACATGCTGTCAATGTAACTTGTAACTGCTGATGTTGACCTAGATCCCCTGCAGAGGTGGTGTAAGGGTACTTTTCTCCACTGTAAAGGTACTCCATCCCCCCACCCTTTCCATAGTGTACTCTTTGGGAGGACACTTCCGGTTCTTTTTGCTATTGGTTAAATGATCTATTAACTTGAGTGAGAATAGGAATCATATTAGTGTCAGGGCCTCTCATACCAGGCTTTTTTTGTCAAAAGTCCTGCTAGTATGACATTCCCTCTTTATTTCTTATGTGGTACCCAAGTCCCAAATAAGCTTTCCCAGCTCTACTGCATGAGCAAGGCCAGCACTTTGAGGACACTTGCTGAGAGACTGCACTTTATCAAAAATACTGTTCTCGGAGCCATTAGGTCAGCACCTTCCCTTTCTTCAGGAGCACACCTTGGGCAGGTTCTATAGAACAGGGTATGAATGGCGCCCCTGGAGTTAAGGTTGGAGATGGTTTTCTTTCTTTTTTTTTTTTTTTTCTGAGACCAGTCTCGCTCCCTAACCAGGCTGGAGTGCAGTGGCGCAATCTCGGCTCACTGCAACCTCCACCTCCCGGGTTCAAGCAATTCTCCTGCCTCAGCCTCCTGAGTAGCTGGGATTACAGGTGCGTGCCACCATGCCCAGCTAATTCTTGTATTATTAGTAGAGATGGGGTTTCACCATGTTGGTCAGGCTGGTCTCGATTTCATGACCTTGTGATCTGCCAGCCTTGGCCTCCCAAAGTGCTGGGATTACAGTCATGAGCCACCGTGCCTGGCCCATTGGAGATGGTTTTCTAAAGGAAACTAGTAACGTGGACATGCGCTGTCAGCATGAGGGTCCATTTCCTTCCCCACATAGTCATGGACATTGTGGAAAAGCAAAGGCAGCTTGGTCCTGAGGCAACAAGATCCATGCAGGAACCATGGAAGACGACAGGCAAAAAGTGACGGGAAGTCCAGCAAGCCAGGAGGGACCCCAAGCAGGCCACTTGTGCTTTCCTAAAAGCCAGAGGCATATGGAAGCCAGAAACATTTCAGAAATAGGTTTGTTCTAAAAAAAAAAAAATGAGAGACAGGAATATAAATATATTGTAAAAGAGAAGCCCACAGAGATTTGATAATAACAGTGAATGTTTTTTGTTTTTTCTTTTCTTTTTTTTTTTTTTTTTTTTTTTTGAGACAGAGTCTTGCTCTGTCACCCAGGTCGGAGTGCAGTGGCACGATCTCTGCTCACTGCAAGCTCCACCTCCTGGGTTCATGCCATTCTCCTGCCTCAGCCTCCCAAGTAGCTGGGACCACAGGCACCCACCACCATGCCTGGCTAATTTTTTGTATTTTTAGTAGAGATGGGGTTTCACCGTTTTAGCCAGGATGGAAGTGAATGTTTATTGAATGCTCATTATGTACCAGGCAGTGATCCATGGTTTACATGGTTTAACTCACAGGTTATTTGTATCAGAACTACCTGAAGGACTTCTGATTTAGTGGGTCTGGATGGAGCCAGAGAATATGCATTTCTAATAGGGCCTGGGATGATGCTGTTACTTCTGGTTTGGGGACCATGTTGAGAATCACTGGTTTAACTAACGTAATTCTGAAAAATACCTATGAGGGGGATACTGTTATTATCAGCATTTTACACACAAGGAAACAGACGTGGAGGATTAAGTTGGAAACATACTCCCCATACACACTCACACAAATGAAGTGGGAAGGCTGGATTTAAACCCGGGCATTCCAACTCTGGTTTCCGGATTTTAAACACCACACCATACAGTGTCATATATAATTAGTTCCATCAGAGAAATCTTGTCCACCTAAGATAGGACCCTGACAGACTTATTGCCATCTAATATGTTTTTTTTCTTTCCTTTTTTTGTTTGAGACAGAGTCTTGCTCAGTTGCCCAGGCTGGACTGCAATGGCACGATCTCGGCTCACTGCAACTTCTGCCTCCCATGTTCAAGCAATTCTCCTACCTCAGCCTCCCCAGTAGCTGGGATTACAGGTGCCTGCCACCATGCCTGGTTAATTTTTGTATTTTTTAGTAGAGGCGGGGTTTCACCATGTTGGTCAGGCTGGTCTCGAACTCCTGACCTCAGGTGATCCACCCACCTCGGCCTCCCAGAGTGCTGGGTTTACAGGTGTGAGTGACCATGCCCAGCCATCTAATATCTTTTTAAAGATACTACTCCCAAAGGCAGAAAACATTTGACAGTTAGTGAAATAAACTATATTGGCAAATCTTGGTTATTTAAAAAAACAGTCATTGTGATAATTGTCTTTCAAAACAGTTAAGTTAGATACTAAAAAAAGGTAGATGGGAACCAAATGGTTGGTGAACCTTACAAAGCCCTCCAATTTTTCTGGAATTTCAAGGTTGAACCTTGAATGTGGATTATTGTTTGCACTGCATTTGAATGCTTTTAAAATCTATTTATGGTTTTCTGTCCTTGCTTCCTGCTGGGTTGGGCAGGTCAAAAAGTGTTATATAAATACAACAGGAAACATTTCCAAGTTAAATTTCATTATTATGGAGTCTAAAATCTAAGGCACAGTGGGCACGTAGAACTCATCTCAGATCTAACGATGGCTGCGGTTCCTAATGGAAATGACATGCAATATACTATATGTGGCTATCAGCACTTTAAGGCCTTAAAGCTAGAGTAAAGATAACATTAATCCATAGCCAAGTCAGTTCAGGAAATGAAGAGGAAAAACAAATCCAGATCAGAATGTCTAATGTTGGGTGGGTCTTCAGTACACCCTCTACAAGCCTCCTTGTCCTAAACTCTTGTCAAAGGGAAGAGCAACCTATGAAGAGGTTCATGTAGGTGCAATCATGAATTTAAAATGTCCCTGATAGCTTGTAATCGTTTCACAGCATCAGCTGCTGGTGATGAAAAAATGGAAATCATCATCTTCTGTCCCTTTGTTTTTTTTTTTCCTATTTCAAAAAACTGGATAAATTCCCCTAGCTGTGTAATTTAGAGTCTGATATGTGGTGTCAGGAAACTAACCTTCAGGTCCAGTCTGGACCAGGGCTTGCCAATCTCGCACTCCTGACATTTTGGGACAATAATTCTTCATTGTGGGGGGAATGTCCTGTGCACTGTAGGATGTCTGGCAACACCTGTGGCCTGGACCCACTAGGCAAAAGTAACAGCTGTTCCCAAACTCCAGTCATAACAATAAAAAATGTCTCCAGACATTGCAGACATCCCCTGGGGGAAAAGCATCCTCAGCTGTGAGAACCATTGATTTAAATCAATGTATCCTCTCTCTCTTAAAGTATTGCCACTAAGGATAAGGTCAAGCTTTACAGGCTTTGGAAATAATTATTAAGTAATCCCTTTGATTTTGTTTTTTTCTATCCAATCATAAGTACCTTCCCTTATCTCTGGGCCCCAGTCCTCAAATTTGGAAGGATTGTGTGAAATCCTGCACTCTAAACTCCCCGTACTTCAGATGAAGTTCGTGAAATAATATATTTGATATTAAACATATTTAATGGATAGAAAATAATGCAATAATGAATCAAAACTGTTTGAAAAGGGAAATAATGATTTATAGAAGGACTGTTGTTCTTAGTACCACTAAAAACAACAGCATTATAATTAGGTAACTGTGTAGCCATGTGCTTTCAGAAACTCACTAAACATTCATTGAAACCATGAGCATTTGATTAGTCTACACTAATCCAGTAACTCCATTTGCTAGTTTTTGCTTTACTGTGAGTGAATTGGGGCAGTTTGCTTATCTAGAAGCAGCTTAGTAAAGAATCAAATTAAAAATATTGTGAGGTGATTGAACTAAGGCAACGAAATGAGAGGGAAAATAGACAGTTATGAGAGATTTCAGGTACACATCAGAGCTTCAAAATGATGTGCGCAGCTTATTAGAGAGGATTTCTGTCTGGAGCAGGAAGGTAAATCAGTAGAAAGAGGGCGAATATACTCAGTTTGTGCACATTTTGTTTATTAACAGGAGAGGCATATTTGTGTGTTCAATGATGTATATTGATCAATATTTTAAATGAATCAACATTAATCATGTTTAGGAAGAGTAAATGACATGTTTCTGTAAGCGTTCAATTAAAAATTTCACTGTGCACTGATTCTTGCTGGCTGCAATGCTAAATACTGGGGCAAGAAGGCTTGTAGAGAACTCAGCTGCTGTAGCCAGAGAAAACTGCAGTGGTTTCACTAACTCTATCCCCAGAACTGGTGTTGTCAGGTTGTTATCTGGCAGCGCGGTATTATAACAAGTCCTTTATTTCTGGTACTTCAGGTATACTGAACGCCATTGACATGTTAAAGGATCCTATTACATCCAGGCTTCCAGTGCAACTGATTCAGCTTTACTGTTACTATTTAAGTAGACAAGAAGCTTAGCCTGCCCACAGAACTCCACAATAGGAATTATTCTATAAAGTGTTGGTATAAGGCAATGGTGTGAAGTGGGGAAGAATGGTCTTAAAAGTCACAACAGTTATGACTCTGACATTTACCAATTGTGAACTTCTCTGGATCTCAGTATCTTTTTCTAAGATAAGCATTGTCCTCACCATCATTATCATCCTTGTATTTGCTATCTCATTGGTAGACTTGAATGAGTTCAAGTGTAGGAAAGTGTTTTGCATTCTTCTAAGAACTATACAAACTCTGTTTCATAATAACAACATAATGATAACATACAGGTCACTTTTCCTTTTATTTTAAAAGTACCTACACACTAAGTTAACTTATATCATAATTTTGATTATGAAAACTCATAATTATAAGAAACCTGAGTGAATTTCTTTCTACTTTTAGGATTTTAATGTGAAAATGGCAACATGAGAAACGTATATAGTTTCCAAGGACCATCAGTTTCAGGAACTGCCTTTGCCAGCCTCCCTGTATGCCTTCACACCCAATACCCACCCCTCACAGGAACCCTGAGCACTCTCTTGCTTTGGAACCAAGGAACTGGTGCACGTGGGTGAGAAATAGTGTTGTAAGGGCAGAAGAGTTTTGCTCTGAGGAAATATGTCAAGTCAGTTTTTTTTTAAGCCTGCAAGAATATGTCTTTCTATGTGGTGGGCCAAAGCAGTGTTTCTGTCTACCGGTCTCATCCAGGTCCTTGCTCTGGGGTAGAATTATCCAAAAGGAGACAGGTGTCTCCCGGGCCACCCAAGACCAGCTCTTTGCCACCAGCAGCACAGGCTGGAGGGAAGAGGTGCTTAAAACGCAGAAGCCTGGAATTGGAATGGAATCACGTCTGCATTCTACTTGATGCATTTGTCCTGTGTTTAGTATATATTTAAATTGACTCCACTATATTCCTAGCTGCTTCTTGCATGTGTGTGGGATTTTAATCCTACTATTTTCTTTTGGCAGAATGGCCCTAGAGATTGCCTGCGATAGGTAGATTTTTTAAAACCCCACGGATTGCAAGAATGGGCACAACAGTGAAATAATCATAGAGTGTCTTAAACAAAATAATTACAAAATAAACAAATCCATACATCAAAGCGGCGGTAAAGATTAAACATTAAATGAAAGAACTGTGTGGTAAGAGAGTGCATCAGAAACCCTAGGTTGTACTTAGCTTTCATGAAATTGAGAATGATACCATTAAAGTCCTCAGCAAGATTCTTCACACTGTTTTGGCAACATGATTTAATTTCACCCCACAGCTACTAAATTACCCTTTGCTTCTTTTGAGTAGAGCAGGATTGTCCTGTACCATCTTGAAAAATTCTGAAGTAACTTTCCAGAAATTCTCAGTGAAATAAGATACTGTTTACTGGAGCTTTCCAATAAGATACTTCATAGCCTTTAGACAGCACTGCCTTTGAAATGAAACCAGTACGAATGTTTCCAAGAGATGAAGACTGTGATTGCAAACAGCTCATTGAATGTGTGTCTGTGATGTCAGTCTAGTCTGTCATTTGGAGATAATGGACTAAAAGAAAAGACAAACGTATCTCAGTTTTTAGATGTTTTTTCACTTGTGATGCATGCTCTCCAGACACATACACACAATCAAGCACTCACTTTCATGTTGCACTATGATAAATACATAAAACCTCCTCCACAAAGTCTTAGCCTTGCTATCATTATATCAATTTTATCCATGAGAAAACCAAGTCTAAAAGGGGGAACAACTTGCCCTAGGTACGCAGTAAGAGCTCAGTGGAGGAATAACACTCAGACATCCTTACCAGTCAAAGGCTCTCTGGAAGGCAAGACTAACCTTACTGAACAGATTCAGCCAAGAATCCTTCCACTGTGAACCTCTATTGTATTTGCGGTCTCTGGAGGCTCTTATCTTGGTTTCCCAGCAGGCAACAGCCAAAACAAAATCACTTCAGGATCTGAATCTCCCTGGACCTCCTTAAGACTTCAAAAGACACTAATGAATGCTAATGATTATGACCTTAACTGATTAAATCCAGTCACAGCTATGTAATACCCTACAGGTATTATAGTGAGGCTTTTAGGGAGACAGCAGCTTTTATTTTTCCTCTGCCCGTTGAGCTTTCTTAAACCAGTAAGTGGAACTAACCCATGCTGTTCTGAGTGAGTAGGTTCCGATACGCGCATTTGGTGTAGGGGGTCTTCTCAAGACGACCGTTCATCATAGTCCAGGAAGTCAAGAAGACCTGGCAAGAGAATTTAATTTCTATGTGTTGTACCTCTGTTTCCTCAACACCCAACTCATTGCTAGATCTCTAGGCACTTAACACCATTTCAGATATCTGCTCTCTCAACCTCCTCCTTCCTCACTGGAGGTTATAAACTGGCTTCCCTCCAGGTCAGGTAGGATCTGTTAGACCCACGTAGCCTTGGGCACACTATTTTTATTTTTTAAAACTTGAGTTAGTTGCTAAGATTTAATATTACATACATATCTGCATTCTGGCTTTCTCTGAAAACTCAGAAGCTTGGGGATACCGAGCAAACATTGTCTTGGCACCGAGTCCTGGCTGATCCCTCAGATGTAGCCAGGATCCTTCCTTCCCCTGTGAAATCTCGCCCTGCTGGCCCCAGGCATGCCCCCGCCCACGGGTGTGCATGTATTTCCCATCTCTGCCCTCGCAGCACAAGACACCAATGCCCTCTCCTTTTGGAAACCTCCTTTGGTTTGTCTGACATAGGGGCTCCACTCTCTAGTGGCCTCACTATTCTCTATCTGTCTGTGCCCTCCAGCAATGACATTTTCCTCTTTCTGCCATCCTTTAAATGCAGGAGTCCTCCGAAGGGGAAATCTATCCTTGATCTTCTCTTCCTTCTCTCTCTCCACTCTCCCTTGAAATCTCATATATCTTCACGATTTAAATTCACAATGCTCTGGAAATGATGTTTATATCCATTTGTCAATTCAACCAAATATCACTGAGCATAAATGCAAGGGTGAAAACAAAACACCCTTTCTTTCCTTAAGGAGCTCAGTGATACAGATATGTAAACAAACACAGTGCAATTTGATAAATGCTAGGGATAGTGGCACAACTCAATTGACTCCACACAAGGGGCAGCCTCTGAGCTGTGTTTTGAAGACTGAGTAGAAATTCACCATGGGAATAATGATAAACCTTACAGAATTTAGTTTCTCCTGTTTTAGGAAGCATTTCACACTGCCTGCTGTACATCTTTACTTGGACATTCCACTGGCGATAAAATTAAACACACCTAAATCTGATCTTCTATCTTCTTAACCACCCCCACCCCCACAATATTCCCACTCCAAACACCAGTTGTTTTCTTGGGCTTTCTTGTCGGCTACTGGCACCCCTATTCTCCCAGTAATCTCCCTGAGAGATATCTTTGATCTTTCTCTCTGATACTCAACCAGTGGTCAAATTCTGAGATTCTTCTTTTAAATGTCTTTTTTTTTTTTTTTTTTTTTTTGAGACTCAGTCTCGCTCTGTTGTCCAGGCTGGAGTGCAGTGGCGCTATCTCAGCTCACTGCAGCCTCCACCTTCTGGGTTCAAGCAATTCTCCTGGCTCAGCCTCCCAAGTAGCTGGGACCTCAGACACCCACCACCAACTACACCCAGCTAATTTTTGTATTTTCAGTAGAGACAGGGTTTCACCATGATGGCCAGGCTGGTCTTGAACTCCTGACCTCAGGTGATCCACCGGCTTCAGCCTCCCAAAGTGCTGGGATTACAGACCTAAATGTCTTTTAAATCCACATCTTGCAAGTTTAGGTCATCAGCATGTTTTGTCCAGCAGACAGCTTCAGCAAGTGGTCCTGTGAGTGCCTGACCTCTTCAGGGTGTCTCCCCTTCTGCACACCTGTCATGCAGCCTGCCTGGAGCTGGCTCTGAAAATGCCGACCCTTTGCTCTAAATGCTTTACATGTATTCACTTATTTAATCCTCACACTACTCCAAGTTGGCAGGGTTGTTATTATCCTCCCAGAACTGGTCCAAGTCTACACACCCAGTGGGTACAGGGCCAGGATCCCGGCCCAGAGAGTCTGACCGTGGAGGCCACCCACTTGCTGAGTAGCCTATGTTTGCAGGCCATGTTCTTGCTCAAAACTCAGTACAACCCCCCTTTGCCTCCAAACACCGTCTCAGTTTGTTAGAGCCTTGAAGGTTCTAATAACTTGGCCCTCAGCTAGCTCTTTCTTTTATGTCTTGGTTTCTTTTTCTTGTAGAGTTTATCCTGAGGATTTAGCGTTAACGCATCAGACACATAAAATACGGTGCTTAGTGCTTAGAAGGGGCACTGTTGGCTTTCCTTCTCATACCCAACCCTTGTCAAATTCTGAAGCATCTACTTTCAATGTCTCTTGAATCCACACCTACCTTTTCAGTTGGGTGGCTTTTGGTATTATTTCTCTCTGTTCTGCCTCACCAGGGGTAGGTTTTGGTAAAAAGTTAATTGCAGCTTCCCCACATGCTGGGGCCTCCCTTCTACTCTGACTGGCCATGCTGTGCTAGACTGGAATCTCCTCTTCATCCATTTGGACTGATGTAAATGCCCTCACCCTCACATGCCACAGATCTCGTCCTCTTTTCTGATTCTATTTCTGTTCTCTAGCCCTACAGTCAGCCAGAACAATCTCTCCCTCCTCTGTATTTCTAGACAGCTTTCTTTATGCTGCTGAGACTGTCTTACCTCATTCGGCATTTTAGTGGAACAGTTGGCTGTGCTCTTAATTGTTTCCCTTTCTAGATAATAAACTCCCCCAAGGCTAAGAGCATTGCTTGTTCATTCTTTTCTTCCTGCAGCTAAGTTCGGTGAATAGTATTTGGTTTATACTTCAACATTTACTGAATAATGTGGATACGAAAAAATGATATGTGGTCTTGATATCACCTGGATCATTCATTTGATAAACTTAATGCAAAATTTGAGTAGAAAAATTAGGCACCAATAGAATTAGTAAGGAAAAGGATAACATATATATCATATCAAACATTTATATTCTTGGTTTTTTTTTTTTTTTTTGAGACAGGGTCTCGTTGTGTCACCCAGGCTGGAGTGCGTTGGCAGAATCATAGCTCACTGCAGCCTCCTCCTGGGCTCAAGACATCCTCCCACCTCAGGCACTTGAGTAGCTAAGACAACATATCTATACCACCATGCCAAGCTAATTTTTAAAAACTTTTTGTAAAACATTTACATTCTTAAATATGACATTAAAATATATTACGAAGGAAATACTTCCTAAGGTATGTCATCTACAAATGTGATGAGAATCAATTGCATGATGTGTGTCAATATAAAATATGCTCTCTAATACAAGTTTACGGGATTACATATAAAATCTATATTCACCCTGTAGGTGAATTTAGGAACTGCACTAACAGAGCATATAGATTGTGTGTTTGGTGAGAATTAGGTTGGAGAAAGTAACTTTTGGGGATGAAATTGAGCTGCCTTCCCTGCTCTGTGAAAGGTAAATGATAGAAATGCAAAGGAGTGTTCGAACCGTAACTAAATAAGGTGGGGGTTAGTCTCAGAGCCTAGGAACCTGAGGGGCTGGGGCAGGAAGACTGTTCAGGTTCCCAGTGTAGCTCCTGCACAGCCTCAATGGTGAGCACAGAGGAAAGGCGGAGGGCGGGTTGGGCTAGGCTGGACTGCAGATGCAGAGAAGAGAAGGGAGCTGTGGGGGTGGCCACAGAGACTCAGTGTAGGCTTTGAAGCTGAAGGGGAAGATCCTGGAAGTGGTCCCAGGGCAAAGAGATCACTTAAGGGCTATCCAGTTTACCCAAAGACATCTTTGACCATCATAGAAGGGTGACGAGTGAGAGACAATTTGTCTGTTCTCCTACTGGAGTCTGAGAACTTAGACCTCTGGTGCTCTAAGTTGAAGGGAAGAAGATCACAGTCAGCTGTCTCTGTGATGGGGAGCAGAATGTCCAGTCCTTCCAGGATCATTTTTTCATTTGTAAAGTCAGAGTGATTTTAAAGCAAGTTGTGGGCATGTATTGGTGGCAGGTGAGGGGGGACGGTCTTTCCTGGTCAGCAGGCTGTGAGAGTGGTGTTCTCTGCAGCAAAGGAGGATCATGGCATTGAAGATCATCTTCAACCTATGGGTTCTCTAGAATCTGAATACTGGAGCCTGTGACCTGGGATTGATTTAGGGTTTATGAATTGGCATAGGAAGTGGGAGAAGCATTGGGAGGCAGAAAACCTGGATTTGAATCCTGGCACTACCCCTTTGTAGCTGTTTTACCAAAGTTTGTGAAAGTCCTTGGCACACTGCCTGGCACAGAGACTAAGGATTGAATATGGGTATCGTTGATTCTTTCTTCTCTGGTGCTTACAGTGTATTAGACTTCCCCACATTCTCTCTTGTCAAGTGGCAAAAATAGATTATGCCCAGTAAATAAAGACATAAATCGAGGCACAGAAGAGTTAAGAAGTTTGACTGAGATTATATAGGAGATAATCAAGTGGATCTTAAAGTGTTCAGAATTTCTATGATCATTTTTATTTACAAAGTGGCTAACATTTTTAGTTTATTCTCTACAATATGTCTCACAGTCCAATATTTCTGTTGTTAAATAATAACAACAGTGAATTGCTTTTGACCACTTTTGATTGCACTGGATCCCATCTCTAGGATGCAGAGACTAAGGTGGAGAATGGGATTTAGGCCAGCAAACCCAGAGCCCCCACTTTAATCCTACCAGACAGAGTGAGAGGAAGAGGGTGGGGCTCATGGAGTCAAGTTACAGATAGCTGGCCTCTCTGGGGAATGGCTAATGGTCTACTGCAGGGCTGTAGTCAACTTCAGGCATCTAGGGGAAGCAGATGGAATGAGGTGAGAGCTCCGAAATAGGACATTTGGGATTGTCAAAATGGCTAACACGAATCAAGTCTTTACAACCCAGTGTGTTGGAACCATTGTGGCAGGGTGGTTGGGATGGGGAAGAGGTGGTTCATTCTGGAAGTAACATAAATTGATATTAAATAAAGAGCCTAGTCATTGCTTCTTCCAGAAGCGATGGTCATGTGTTCCATGAGTCCCCACTGAGGTGACCTATGCTTTTCTGTGAATAGTACTTCTGCAAAAAGATTTTTGCACCACCTGCTGGCAAAGAACAGTGATCTTGCTGCTCATTGAAGAAAAGTCACACGCTTAAACTGCTAGTGAGCAAGGCACAGGGAGATCAAAACTGACTTTGGTGGGAACATGTAGCTACCACTCCTGCCTGGCATCCAATTCCTTGTCACCACCTTGTTAACAAGTTTTAAATTGTGCCAGGTGATACACACAGGTGGTTTCTTTCTGAAAGTGTCATAACAATATGAGAAGATTATTCTGGATTATGTTAGTGAGAAAGAGAATATTATTTTCAGTGATTAAGAGACAGGCTATCTAGTACTCATTTCTAACATACAGACTAATCTTTTTTTGGAAAGCATGTCTAGGCTACTCTTATTTTAAAATGCTGAAGCAACATCATTTATGCATTTGTTTGTTTGCTTATTGCCAAGGAACCATTTAGATGTTCCCGATTGAGCAAGACTTCTGGAACAATCTAGGAGTTTCATGTTCTACCTTGAGAGTGTGAAGTGGCTTTCTGGGTGAGATTTCCAGAGAACACATTGAGACATTTTTATTGTGCTCATTTTGCTGCTCAGAAGGAAATTGGCTTTTCCTTTTCTCTGCAGGGATGAATAATCTGAACTCATTTAATAGGGAGTCAAACAGACTGAAGACTTTGCCCACAACAATTTCAGATTCAACCCATCTCTACCACTGTTCTTTGATACTCTATGGCAGGAAATGTGGACTGAGGAGTGAGAAACTATCAAAGCTGCAAGTGGTGCACCTGGAGTTCAGAACTGGAATATTCCTTTTCTTCCTTTCCCACACACAAACCTTATCTTGCATGAGGGAGTAGTGGTTTATGAGTAAATATGATGGAATTCAAATACTTTTCTTAAGGAAGAGTCATCCTGTTTTCTAATTCGATGCAATGCATGATTAGAACAAATTTGTTGATTCTCTGACTCTATTTTTGTGAGTTTCTTTTGATTGTTGCCGGCAATCCCCCTTCCATCCTTAGTCTCCAGTCTCTTTCATGCATTGCTACCACTCTATCCCATTCTGTTTCACTTCACTCAACACTTGTTGAATAGTTACATTGTAAAGGGTCTGTACTTGAAAGACATTAGAGGAGACACAAAAATGAAGATAGCGCTCCTACCTTCAAAGAAACTGGCCCGTACTTTGGGTGAGAGACATGCACCCAAATCTCCTTTGCACAATCATGTGTTGCTTAACGACAGGGATGCAGGCTGAGAAATGTGTCGTTAGGCGATTTCATTGTTGTGTAAACATCATAGTGTGCACTTACACAAACCTAGTTGGTAGAGCTTACTACACACCTAGGCTGTGTGGTATGGCCTCTTGCTCTTAGGCTACAAACCTGCACAGCATGTGACCCTACCAAATACTGTAGGCAGTTGTAACACAATGGTAAGCATGTGTGCGTCTAAACATGTCTAAACACAGAAAAGGTATAGTAAAAATACGGTATAAAAGATAAAAAATGGTACACCTGACCTGGTGCGGTGGCTCGCGCCTGTAATCCCAGCACTTTGGGAGCCCGAGGCAGGCAGATCACGAGGTCAGGAGATCGAGACCATCCTGGCCAACACGGTGAAACCCCGTCTCTACCAAAAATACAAAAAAATTAGCCCGGCGTGGTGGCGGGCGCCTGTAGTCCCAGCTACTCAGGAGGCTGAGGCAGGAGAATGGCGTGAACCCGGGAGGCGGAGCTTGCAGTGAGCAGAGATCACACCACTGCACTCCAGCCTGGGCAACAGAGCAAGACTCTGTCTCAAAAAAAACAAAAACAAAAAAAACAAAACAGCCGGGCGTGGTGGTGGGCCCCTATAGTCCCAGCTACTTGGGAGGCTGAGGCACAAGAATCTCTTGAACCTGGGAGGCGGAGGTTGCGGTGAGCCGAAATTGCACCACTGCACTCCAGCCTGAGCGACAGAGCGAGACTGTGTCTCAGAAAAAAAGAAAAAGAAGAAGAAGAAAATAAAAGTAGGGTATTTACCAGAAATGGAGCTTACAGGTCTCCCTCACTGCTCTGGGTGAGTTTGTGAGTGAGTGGTGAGTGAATGTGAAGGCCTAGGACAGTACTGTACACTACTGTAGACTTCAGAAACACTGTACACATAGGCTACGCTAAATTTATTTTTAAAAAGGTTTTTCATTGTTCAAAAGTAAATGAACCTTAACTTACTGTAACTTTTTCTGTTTGTTTGTTTGTTTTGTTTTGAGATGGAGTCTCGCTCTTGTCGCCCAGGCTGAAGTGCAGTTGTGCAATCTCAACTCACTGAAACCTCTGCCCCCCAGGTTCAAGTGATTCTCCTGCCTCAGCCTCCCGAGTAGCTGGGATTACAGGCGCCCGCCACTACGCCCAACTAATTTTTGTATTTTTAGTAGATACGGGGTTTCACCGTGTTGACCAGTCTGGTCTCGAACTCCTGACTGCAGGTGATCCACCCATGTCAGCCTCCCAAAGTGCTGGGATTACAGGCATGAGCCATCACATCCGGCCCAACTTACTGTAACTTTGTTACTTTATAAACTTTAAAAATGTTAAAGCTTTTTGACTCTTGCAATAACACTTCACTTAAAACAGAAACACATTGTACAGCTATACAAAAATATTTTTTCTTTATATCTTTATCCTTCAAGCATTTTTTTTATTTTTAAATCTGTTTTTAAAACTGTTTTAAAACTGTTTACTTTTTAGTTAAAGACTAAGACACATCTGTAATCTCAGCACTTTGGGAGTCCGAGGCGGGCGAATCACGAGGTCAGGAGATTGAGATCCTGGCTAACACGGTGAAATCTGTCTCTATAAAAAATACAAAAATATTAGCCGGGCATGGTGGCGGGCACCTGTAGTCCCAGCTATTCAGGAGGCTGAGGCAGGAGCATGGCGTGAACCTGGGAGGCAGAGTTTGCAGTGAGCCGAGATCGCCCCACTGCACTCCAGCCTGGGCGACAGAGCGAGACTCCATCTCAAAAAAAAAAAAAAAAAAAAAAAAGAGCAAGACACAAGCACACCCATTAGCCTAGGACTACACAGGTCAGGATCATCCATGTCACTGTTTTCCTTCTCCACAATTTGTCCCACTGGGAGGTCTTCAGGGAAACAATAGGCAGGGAGCTTCCATCCCCTGTGATAACAATGCCTTCCCCTGGAATCCCTCCTGAAGGACCTGCCTGAGGCTGTTTCACAGTTACCTTTTTTTTTGTAAGTAGAACGTGTATGCCCTAATGATAAAAAGTATAGTAATACATAACCAGTAATACAGTTGTTTATTTTCTATCAATTATTATGTACTATACATAATCGTATGTGAGATATATATATATATATATATATATATATATATATATATTTTTTTTTTTTTTTTTTTTTTTTTTTTTTTTGAGACGGAGTCTCCCACCGTCGCCTGGGCTGGAGTGCAATGGTGCGATCTGGGTTCACTGCAACCTCCGCCTCCCGGGTTCACGTGATTCTCCTGCCTCAGCCTCCTGAGTAGCTGAGATTACAGGCGCCCACCACCAAACCTAGCTAACTTTTTGTATTTTTAGTTGAGACGGTGTTTCACTATGTTGGCCAGACTGGTCTCGAACTCTTGACTTCGTGATCCCCCTGCCTTGGCCTCCAAAAGTGCCGGGATTACAGGCGTAAGCCACTGTGCCCCACCTGTATGTGCTATGTTTTTATATCAGTGGTCCTCAACCTTTTTGGCACCAGGGACCAATTTCGTGGAAGACACTTTTTCCATGGACTGGGGGGATAGGGGAGGGAATGGTTTCAGGATGAAACTGTTCCACCTCAGATCATCAGGCATTAGTTAGATTCTCATAAGGAGTGCAAAATTTAGATCCCTTGCACTCACTGTTGACAACAGGCTTCCCGCTCCTTTGAGAATCAAAAGCTGCTGCTGATCTGACAGGAGGCGGAGCCCAGGTGGTAAGGATCCCTTGCCCACCACTCGCCTCCTGCTGTGTGGCCTGCTTCCTAACAGGCCATGGACTGGTACTGGTCCATGGCCCTGGGGTAGGGGACCACTGCGTTTTTATGACTGGCAGCATAGCAGGTTGTTTTACGCCAGCATCACGAGAAACACATGAGCAACATATTGCGCTACAATGCTACGACAGCTACGATGTCACTAGGTGGTAGGAATTTTTCAGTTCCATTATAATCTTATGGGACCACTGCCATATGTACAGTCCGGCATTGACCGAAACCTCATCACAGAATGCATGACTGCACAGTGACATCATTCTCCTCAGAAAAGCACTTAATGTCATGGGAATGTGGAGGAGACGCAGATGACTTTGGCTGAGTGAATTAGAGAAGGGCCTAGAAACAGAACCAAGCAAAAATGCTGAAAAGGAAATCCATACCTTGGATTCTCATCCTTTTAAACAGACTTCCTTTCATCTATTTTTTTCCCCAATGAAATCATTTCCTCCAGACTCAAATTTTAATTCTTTCTCTCTGTTCATGTCCCTGGCTTCCCTCTCCTGAAGCCAGGCACAGCGCCTCAGCAGAGGGATAAAGGAGGCTGTGCATCAACACATCAACACTTTCTGTTAACCTCTCTTTTGACAGGTACAAAATATCCCAGTAACCTTTTGCAGAGAACAAATTAACATTTTTCATCAGCAGAAGCTGGAGCTCTTAATGATAAGCATTGTTCTAAATGTTGCCTCCCCTGGGAAGCAGACTCCAAGCCTCTGTTTGTTATTTTTAAGTGGCATCTGGAAAAACAGTTCTGATCTAATATGGAAGTCCTCGTCAATTGCCTAAGCTGTTCCACATGGAATCAAATGCATAGACTGTGTCTTGGGAGGCGGTTTCAAAGACCAAGAAATTGAATTCGTATTTGGTGACAACATCAATGTCTTCCAGGCTCCCACAACCCTTTCATTTTCCAAATAAAGCCATGAAACAGATGTGCCTAAAGCATATTGAAGAGCTGCCAGCGTAAAGCCAACCAGCCACGTTAAAAGCACAAACGGCCTCCTTCGGAGCTGTCACTCTGGCTGGTGGTTAGATCAATTGCAATTCTGCCATGAGTAAATGAACTGACACTTAGTACCTCTTAAAACAAAAGAAGTCCTGATATAAATGTGACAGTATTTTGAAATAGCTTACACAAATCTGAGCAATGCAACGTGATTGGAAAATCTCAATAGTTTTCTAACATAGAACTTAGATAATTACAGTGAACATATTTTCTCTAAAAATGTAACATTTTATATTTCTAGTCAATTGGAAATTCTTTGATCAAAGTGTTTCTTAAATGTTTTCAAGTGAAGGGAAAAATTGAGAGAAGGTATAGAAGAAAATTTTACTTCTTTCCAAAATATTTACCTTCTGAATAACTGTTATCATTAAAGAATAAATATACAGTCAGGCAATTGATAAGGGTCCATTAGCATAAAAAATGAGATTATGAGATTGCATGATCTGTTATCAATGCTTAAGGAAAGCTAATATACTTGTACAAAAGTTATATTTTGGGGTACAGTTTGGTTTAGGTAAAATAACTATCATCCAGCATTTGTTGTTCCTTCTATAAGTTTTTTTTTTAATCTAAAAGATGATTGGTAGCTCTTTTCATTTTAGACATAAAATTGTCGTTCATTTCTTGTCTGCAGAGGGGTTTGGATTTGTTGGCTCCTCGAAACACATTCCTGCTCTGTTGTTCTGCAAAAAGAAAATTTGTAAAACTGGGAACATGAGAAAGCCAGACAGACCTTTGCTCTCTTCCACGAATGTGGAGTCATAAATGAAGAAGTGAAGCATCTACCACCAGACGGTCCCACTGCTTCCAAGTGGCACACTACCTCCGAGTCAGCACGGTTTCACCCCTGGGAGTGGTTCCCCTGGGGTTCTGCCTGCAGGACATCTGACCGCTCTCCCTGTGCCCCCGCGATTTGAGGCGTCTGTCTTCAGCTCCGCACAGGTCCTCTTAGCCTATTACTCAATTAGAAAGGTATGTGCTCCCTGGCTGGCATTCTAGGATTTGTGATACTAGAATTTAAGACTTTGATGATAAACATTTGACTTCTGGTGTTTATAATTTAAACTACAAAAATTGCCTCAGAAACAATTGCAGCATGTGGCTCTTATAACACAGTAACTGTATCTATTACTCCTTAGGGGAAAACAGTTCTCTGCAGTTATTTAAACTTGAGACACAACTTGCTTCAAAAATGTAAACAATAAATTTTTTGGGTGCAATCTTCAAGCAACTTAATGAAAACTGGCATTACTTTTACTGGCAAAGCATGACAGCTCAAATGGACACTGCTTGTTATCCCAGGTCTGATATAACACCAACCAGAAACATACATGACACGAGGACAAGTTAACCTTAAAAACATTACGAAAGCTGATTATTAGTAAAGGTATTTTTACAATGGCCTCTATAGTTTAAAAACATCAGATAACTTTCAGGAAAATACCATGCCTCCATTTTCCATGTGGACTGCATTATATATTTTCCTGAATTGATAAATCTCAAGAAAAAGTATAAGTTTGTTAGGAGCTAAGGCACAAAACCAGACGCAGGGTAGGTTTAGATAGCTAATAGACAGACTTAAATCATTCGGATTGGCTATGATGGTCAAGTTACTAAATGTTAATTACTAGACCAATTCATCTCTATTTCTTTTTATACTGCATAGGCCTCACACTTTGCTTTTCTCTGTTGTGAGAATTTATGAGATCTTTGCCAAAATACAGCCCTGATGTGAAAAGTGATAACCGTGTGGGAGGCTCAGATTCTCTACCCCATCATATAATCTGATTACTCACCAGGGTGGCTGGTTACCCAAGTGGTGCGGCATCGTGCTGATTAAACCCAGGTTATGAGTTTGATTGGTGCATGAGCCCTGGCCACAGATCAGAGCTTGGCCCCAGGCGGTGGCTTCCAATGTGTGTTGTGGGATGCCAGCAGGGCAAGTGAGGGAATGGGAACTGTGAATCTATAGCTAAAATGGCATCAGCAAAATGATCAACGTATGCACCCTACTCATAGTCAAAATGTCACCTTTGGGGAGTCCTTCCCCTTAGAAGGTAGAAAATGACAAAGGAACATCATTCCTACCCTAATGGGAACAAGAAGCCAAATAAGCTGCAAGATCATAACTTTGTAGATGCCCATTAGAAAGGTGAAGTCACAAGGCCACCAAGTCAACAGGATTCTAAAGAGGGATCTGCCAGGCACAGTGGCTCACACCTGTAGTCCCAGCACTTTGGGAGGCCAAAGCAGGACGATCGTTTGAGGCCAGAAGTTCAAGATCATCCTGGACATAGTGAGGCCCCTTTCTCTACAAAAAATTTAAAAAGTAGCCAGGCGTGGAGGTGTGCACCTGTGGTCCCAGCTGCTTGGGAGGTTGAGATGGGAGGATTGCTTGAACCCAGGAGGTTGAGGCGGCAGGAAGCTGTGATTGTGCCACTGCACTCCAGCCTGGGTGATGGAGCAAGAGCTTGTCTCTAAATAAATAAATAAATATTATAACTGTCCAGTCTGTGGTCATTTGTTATAGCTGCCCAAGCTGACTAAAGTGAACCCTTTGCCACTGGAGGGGTGAAAGCAAAACCCACTGGCTTGGAGAAGGAATGGAAAACTCTCCTGCCCCCGAGACATGAGCTGTGCACCTTGGCGTCTCTGGGAGAAGAAGAAACTAAGTTTCCTTGCACCTGGAGGAGGGATGAGACACCTTCTTGAAGCCAGGATTAATCTGTGCAATGCAGAAGTCAGCTATCACAGGGGGAGGGGCAGACACTCTCACCTGACCTAGCTCCAAGGCTGAATTCTATGCCATGGGGCAGGAGGGAGGGACTGTGAGAAAGCCCACCCATTCCTTAGCCCAGTGGAGGGCCTGAGACTAAGCCTGGGTGGAGAGAACAGAGAGCTCTCCTGCCCCAACCCAATCCTCCAAGTACCAAGACCCAGCGTCAACCCCTGGGGCAAGGGCAGGAACATGGAGAGTAACTCCCTCTGTGGCACAGGCTTCCAGGGGTTGCTGGAAGTTGGGAGTGGAGCAAGAACACTGAGAAAGCCCCTCCAACATGCCAGACCCACTCTGCACACAGGAAACAGCAGCCCACAGATGGGGGCATTGAAGTCCATGCACTGAAAGTATCGAAGCAACAACAAACCCAAGCCCAACTCAGCTCCTAAGAGATTGACTTAACCCCACAAGACAGCCAGACAGAGGAGGAGGTCTGTGGATTTCCTGGCTTCCTGGCCTAACTACTATTTACCTCTGTCTCTACTGTTCTCCTGACCCACGAAGTCCAGCATGCAAAATATTAGTAGACACACCTAAAGGCAACAAAGTGTCATTTTTATATTGAAATGGTGTTACAAGTTCAAAATTTATTCTCAAGAAATTGGATTGGTTTGATTTGTATTTTCATTCTATTAAAGTTAAAGAAAGTGGGCTGGGCGTGGTGGCTCACGCCTGTAATCCCAGCACTTTGAGAGGCTGAGGTGGGTGGATCACTTGAGGTCAGGAGTTCAAGACCGGCCTGACCAACATAGTGAAACCCCATCTCTACTACAAATACAAAATTATCCCAGCATGGTGGCTCACGCCTGTAATCCCAGCACTTTGGGAGGTCAAGGGGGGGCGGATCACCTGAGGTCAGGAGTTCAAGACCAGCCTGACCAACATGGAGAAACCCCATCTCTACTAAAAATACAGAATTAGTGGGGCATGGTGGCGCATGCCTGTAATCCCAGTTACTTGGGAGGCTGAGGCAGGAGAATCACTTGAACATGGGAGGTGGAGGTCGCAGTGAGCTGAGATGGTGCCATTGCACTCCAGCCTGGGCAATGAGAGAAAAAAAAAAAATTAAAGAAAGTGAATTAAAAACAAGGACTTTGTATTTTCTGTGTTAAATACACTTTCTTTTATACTTTTATCTTTTCAATGACTGTTTAGTAAAATGAGGCAAAGATGCAAAGATTTTTGAACTCTGGTCTATGATGAAGTGGGTTATGGCTTTGTACTGAAGAAAACCAGCATGGATCAAAGTAAACTGGGTCTTTAAGTTGTCACTTATTTAATGACTGATACCTTTGCAAATTTGAAGCAGCTTAAAATAAAACTAATTAGTAAGTTTAATAGACCAAACTCATAAAAGGGAATCTTCTTGCTATGGAGGCTAGTAGAGTTATGGATAGACTATAGTGCTTGAACATGGAATTTGGTTCTTAACTTGTTAGCTAGGGCAAAAATCTAAGCTTAGTAGCCTGAATAATTGTAATGTAGGATGCTTATGAATTTAAGGATTTAAGAGATAACCTTTTTCTTTTCTTTTTTTGAGACAGGGTCTTGCTCTGTTGCCCAGGCTGGGGTGCAGTGGTGTGAACCTGGCTCAGTGCAGCCTCATCCTCCTGGGCTCAAGCAATCCTCCCACCTCAGCCTCCTGAGTAGCTGGGACCACAGGTGTGTGCCACCATGCCAGGGTAATTTTTTAAAATTTTTTTTGTAGAGAAGGGGTCTTGCCACGTTGCCCAGCCTGGTCTCAAATTCATGTGCTCAAGCGATGCCCAGGGAAGGAGGAGTGTACTCCCTCCTCACAAACCATTTATCAATCCATGAGAAACACTCAGAAAATACTGTGTTTAGCAAATTTCCTTTAAATTGGCGTAGCAGAGAATCATTCAGATTCACTATTCTAGGAAGGAAAAGACTTATAACTGAAATTTTTTTGGATGAATGATCTCTAGCTATAACCATCCTGAATCAGTTCATTTTTTCCAGAAGGAGGTGCCCGTAGAAAGTGTACCGTTTATTGTCACTACTGTGTGTTAAGTACTTTGAGATTCATCAAGAAAAAAGGCGCCATAAATGTGTTTGAGCACATAGTTCTCATGCACCAACACACACACTCACTGTCCATTTCAATACCTAATTTTTATATAGTAACTCAAATTATCCAAATAATTGCTAGTTGAACTTTTAAAGAGAATTCTTTGCATGAGTCAAAACCTTTTATCACTTCAGAGAGTAAAATTTCCCATGGGGCAATGGTCTGAAATTTATCATGGAGGCTGATGATTATCTTCAGAGCTTCTGGAATGTCTCCCAGGGTGAATTCATCAGCGATCTAGTCATCAATCACTCATTTTGCTTATTTTTAGTTCAAAGAAAATTGCAGACATTTTATGTGAGCTTTTATTTATGCAACTTTTTGCCAGCGAACTCATATGGTAGTTACTTTTTGCTTCCTGGAGGACGAGCTGGTTTTAATTCAGTAAAGTAAATGGAAATATCCAGATGTTCGCTCTACATGAGGAAGCACAAAGGCTTACATAGTTGTTTTTGCAGTATAAGTTTTTAAAAAGCTGTTTGTAATTCAATGAAGTTAGGGCTCAAGCCAATGTCTTAAAAGCGTTGCTTTAGATAATATGGGAAGTATCAATATTTCTAAGGGATATTTGATATTTTAATAAGGTGTTATAATTTTGAAATTCCATAAATTAACATTGTTACGTTACTATTAACTAGACTCCAGATCTTAATTCAAATTTCAATATTTTTTCCATTAATGTCCTTTTTCTGTTCCAGGGCCCCATCCTGGACATCACATTGCATTTCATGGTCCTGTCTCCTTGCTGCTTCTGGTCTGTGACAGTTTCTCAGTCTTTTCCCTGTTTTTCATAACCTTGACAGTTTTTAGAAGTCATGGGTCAGGTATCTTGAAGAATATCTCTTAATTTGGGTTTGTATGATGTTCTTATAATTGATTGGGATTGTGAGTTCCTAGAAAGAATATCAGAGGAGAAGAGCCCTTCTCATATATCATATTGGGAGTACATGATATCTACAAGACATCGCTGGTGACGCTGACCTTCATCTCTTGGTTCAGGTAGTACTTGGCAGCTTTCTCCACTGTAAAGTTATTATTTGTCTCCTTTCATTTTCTATTCTTTGGAAGGGAGTCACTAAACCCAGACCACTCTCAAGGGAGGGCAACTGAGCTACACCTACTACAGAGGGGAATACCCACATATATTGTATGGAATTTTTCTGTAAGAAAAATTTGTCTTTTCCCCCTCATTAATTTATGTATTCGATCATTCTTTATATAACTCTGGACTTGCATATTTTTATTTTTATTTTATACTGTGGGCTATATCCAGTACTTCATTATTTATTCTGTTGCTCAGATTGTCCCAGCTCTGGCCATTGGCAGCATTTCCAGGATGGATCCTGCGTCCCTTTGACACGCTCCCATTTTGTTGTCATTGTTTGGGCACTTTCTCATATTCTGGCATACAAGATGCACCAGATACATTCTGCAGATTGGCCCTAGAATCAGATATTTCTCCATAAAACCCTGGTTCCTCTTAGTGCAGAATGGTATGTAGAAACCAAGATCTGGACTCTGGCTGCTGGGATGTCATTGTCCCTAGACCTTCTAAGCCTTATCAGCAGATGATCATAATCTCATGAGTGTTTAGAATTTTAAAAGGTTTTAAACTGAACTTACATAAGACTTCTGATACAATGTTAAGTACACACATTCACATTTCTGATTCCGATTTAGTCACTTCTCCCCATCCTTTCTTCTTCTGTTTCTTTCAGAAACTATCTTTTCTGTCTTAAATTCCCCTCTCTGCCTTATATTCCTTCTTAGATACCTTTCCCCTCTTTCCCTTTCTTTCTCCTTCTAGGTCACGAGGGTCTGACCTAATCATTAGAGGGAAAATAATCTGCTTAACTACATTTTTCTTAGAGGCGAATGACTGATATTAGTCTAATGAAATGAATGGCTCTAAAAATCCTATGTGCAGTGAATCAATCATGAGCTGTTGAAAATATAAATACTTTAGTCAGGTGAGGTGGCTCACGCCTGTAATCCCAGCACTCTGGGAGGCAGAGGTGGGCAGATCACGAGGTCAAGAGATCGAGACCATCCTGGCCAACATGGTGAAACCCTGTCTCTACTAAAAATACAAAAATGAGCGGGGCATGGTGGCGGGCACCTGTAATCCCAGCTACTCAGGAGGCTGAAGCAGGAGAATCACTTGAACCCAGGAGGCAAGATCATGCCACTGCACTCCAGCCTGGTGACAGAGGGAGACTCTGTCTCAAAAAAAAAAAGAAAATATAAATACTTGGGCCCCTCATTCCAGACGGAATGGAAATCTTGGAGCATACGGGGGGCATGCTATGACATCCATAATTTTATAACCTACAGTGCTTATGTTTTGTGACTATACACAAACTGAGATCACTTTAAAGATACTAAGATTACTAGTGTGTGTGTGTGTATGCGTGCATGGTATATCCATTAATCTCCATTATACACCCACATCCCCACATACGCGCACATATACATACTTTTTCAGCTTCTGAAAAATCAATTTCAGGCAGGCTCCAAATCAAGTCCAAGGTGTGTTGTTTCTTCCTTCTGCCCACCTCACCCCTTTTCCCACTCTTCTGTCTGAATGCTGGGAAACCAACCCCTCTGAACTTGGCTTTTCAGCTTCTTGTGGGCTAGCTTCAAGGCACGAGAGGATGGATATCAGGAGGAGAGAGGGGTTAGGATCTTTCTTCCCCTTTCCTTCCCCATGTCAGTACCCTGTTCAGACAATAACTGTGTCCCTCCAAAATTATAGCTACTGAGCTCTGATCACACTCTTTTCTCTCCTTGCTCCTTCAAGAGGAGGGGCCACAATGGTTTTCTAATCTTGCTAATCTCTGAGTGCCTCAGCATCTTTCATGTTGCCTACATTTAATGTGGTCTACAGCTCTGTAAAGAGTCCTTGCATTGGGCCGGGCGCGGTGGCTCATGCCTGTAATCCCAGCACTTTGGGAGGCTGAGGTGGGCGGATCACAAGGTCAGGAGATCAAGACCATCCTGGCTACACAGTGAAACCCCGTCTCTACTAAAAATACAAAAAATTAGTTGGGCGTGGTCGCGGGCGCCTGTAGTCCCAGCTACTCCGGAGGCTGAGGCAGGAGAATGGTGTGAACCCGGGAGGTGGAGCTTGCAGTCAGTGAGCCGAGATCGCGCCACTGCACTCTAGCCTGGGCGACAGAGCAGACTCCGTCTCAAAAAAAAAAAAAAAAAAAAAAAAGAGTCCTTGCATTTACATCTTATAAAGCAGGCCTTTGAATGAACTTTTGTGTCCTGCTGTGGCCCTGACTGATGCACAAGGAGTTAGGCTTGCCTCGTCTAACAACAGCTGCACGGCTTCTGGGGTTGGACGAAGAGTGAGACTTACTATTTTACTATTATAATTCACGAAACACGAAGAAATCCATGCTGATCTGAAGAACGCTTTTTTCTTTCTCTTGGTCTTCAGGGGGCAAGATTAGGATTTATTGTCCAGTTTTATAGCTGCAGTTGACTTCATATCAGACTTTAAATCAACCAAGAAGGTAGTCTAGCATTTCTAATGACATTATCTCTGGATAGCCTGCTGAAGAGTTCTTGGGATTAGGAAATTGGCCCAGGACGCTACTTCCAGAGCCTTTTGGGTTGGAATGTTTCAGAGAAGAAAAAATAGAGTTGCCGTCTTGGAATCCAGCACTAGTTTATTGATTTTATATGACTGACATCCTGGCTCATGTGTGCTGGCTTTGAACGTTACAGGATGCTCCCCTACCATTCCCATGAATTGGTTTATTATATTTTCTTTCTGATTGTCCTGCCCACCCAAGATGGGATGAGATTGTTTTTATGCATTTTCCCAACTTCGCTGGCAAAGTACAATTCACTAAAACCCCAAGAGATGGGAGCAGAGTGCACCGTCAGTCACTGTAGGGCCAGACAGTCGTTTGTGTGATGAGTTTCTTGTTCTTACTACTTCATAATAAGACAGTGACTAACTAGTCTTTGATTCCTGGTTCTTAGTGATTGTTTTTCTTCTCAGCCACCCAGAGGGTTGCAAGTCCCTGACGATTCCTTCTTGAACCGCCTGTCACTTGTAACTCGCCAGACTGAATTTTCTTTCTTGAAAACTGAGATTTAGAACTCCTGGGCATGTCTGGAGTTTAGATCATTTCTAATCACAAATTAGAAGTAAATTGAAGAATGGTCAAATATAGCCCAAGTCTCAACATCAACCCTTATGTGGGTCCAAGGTCATCCTTTACTGTGGAGAGAAATAACCTATCACATGGTTTGCCTTATGTGAAAACACTTGTGCTTAGGCACTGAAGACATCAGCCAACCCACAATTACAATTCATATTTTCATAAAATAATTTCAGCTCTTTAAAACTCATATGAGCCACTCTACTTTTCGCTTCCAGTATCTTTCTTAATTTTTATTACTTCCAGAAGATTTGCAGTTCCAGAAAACTCCAGTAATTTCTAACTCCCATGACTTTAAGTATATGTCTAAATTTTTGTTTTTTTCCTAATTGAAGCCAGTTTGGACAGAAATTTTGTTGGAAACTCCAGGTTTTATGGTACCGGGAGCAAATGCTCTCAATGCTAATTCCTCTGTTAGTTTGAATATTTTTGCATATGCTTGCCTTAGTTTTTACCAAAGTTATACATAACCAGAGTTTAAGCGAACAAGCTGGTTGTGAAAAACAATAGGCTCTACCCCCCCTTTCCCCTTATTTTCTCCTCCCAGAGACACCACTTTTCCTACTTTCAGCAAGTAAGGAAGTTTTACCTCCATTTCTCTGAATGGCTGCTTGTCTTTCTACTTTTCACCTTTTCAGTTGTAGGTGATCTCTCTCCTGCAAAAGCTGATCATTTGACTGTTGCTTCCGCCCCCTCTACCACCACGCAGACTCTTCCTATTCTCCCAACTCCCAAAATAGTTCTGTTGTAGAATAATTACCTCAATATTCACCATTTACATGTAAATGCTAGTCACAGTGGTGCCATCCATGTAGTAAATTATGATCATTTTTTGTCTCTGAATAAACTTTTGTTTTTCTTGGAGTTAATAATCTTTTTCTCTTGATTTTTTTTTGGTCTTTTTATTAATTCCACTCAAAAATTTCCCAAATTGTCTAAGTTTTCCCTCAAGACTTTCGGATACATCAGGTGATCTATTAATTTCATTTTTCTAGAGCCATCTCTTCTAATTTCCTCTACACTGGACTTCTTGTCTGCACTGGGCACACAGCTGGTCTTGGGATTTCTCATCACCCATGCTTTGCCTCTTCCTGTTCTGATTTCTCTTTTCTTTTACCCCATGTCTTCCTCTTTATTGGAATAAACTGCTCCTTTTGGTGGAACTCATCTTTTGTTAGCTTTCTGCAAGAGGCTGTAAGAGCCAAAAAAAAAAAGTTTGAGAACTTGTACATTTAAAAATGCCATTATATGTCCTCATGCTTGATTTACAGTTGGGCTTATGTAATTTTAAGATGGAAAACATTTTCCTTTAAAATTTTAAAAGCCACTGTTCCATTGCCTTCTGGCTTCCACTACTGCTGTTGAGATCTCTGAAGTTACATGGAATTTCTTTTTTCTTACCTTTAGAAGTTTTAAACCTCTTCTCTTTGTCCTGGAATTCTGAAAATTTCGGACAAAGTGCCCTGGTATGATGGTGCTCTTAAATTGCGTGGCTACTTGGCTGGCTCTTTCCATCTGGAATCTCATGACTCTTCGTTCTGAGAGATTTTGTTACATTATTTCTTTGAGGAGTCCCTTCCCTCATTTTCTTTGTTGACTTTTTATGGAACTCCAATGTTTTTTTTTTTTTTTGAGACGGAGTCTCGCTGTCGCCCAGGCTGGAGTGCAGCGGCGCAATCTCGGCTCACTGCAGGCTCCGCCCCCTGGGGTTCACGCCATTCTCCTGCCTCAGCCTCCCGAGTAGCTGGGACTACAGGCGCCCGCCACCTCGCCCGGCTAATTTTTTGTATTTTTAGTAGAGACGGGGTTTCACCGTGTTAGCCAGGATGGTCTCGATCTCCTGACCTCGTGATCCGCCCGCCTCGGCCTCCCAAAGTGCTGGGATTACAGGCGTGAGCCACCGCGCCCGGCCGGAACTCCAATGTTTAACTTTTATTTTATTTATTTATTTTTTTTGAGACAGAGCCTCGCTCTGTTGCCCAGGCTGGAGTGCAATGGTGTAATCTCGGCTCACCACAACCTCCATCTCCCAGGTTCTCCTGCCTCAGCCTCCCAAGTAGCTGGGTTTACAGGCACGTACCACCACTTCCAGCTAATTTTTGTATTTTTAGCAGAGATGTGCTTTCCCCATGTTGGCCAGGCTGGTCTTGAACTCCCGACCTCAGGTAATCCACCCACCTTGGCCTCCAAAAGTGCTGGGATTACAGGTGTGAGCCACCGTGTCCAGTCCAAATGTTTGACTTTTAAGGAAAGGGGAAATGAAGAAACTTCTTGGATGCCTTCTTTACTCTGGCTGTTTAAAGATCCCAGGAAAAAGAATTAGTAGGACAGAAAACAAAATTCCAATGAAAGTCAACAAGAGAACACAGGGTGCAGGGAGAATCATAATTCATCCAGTTCTTCTCCATTCCTTGTGATTGAAGTAATTGGACTGGAATAAAAGAGAAGAGGGATTTTGGGTATCTTCCTACAACTTTCTATTGGGGATAGTGAGGAGTGGAAGTGCAAAGAAACAAGACCATCTTCTTCATCTACCTTTGGGGCTTTACAAGTGAGCAATGTGTCCCAGCAGGGAACTTGGATAGTGGGAGGTTGGGTGAATGGTCAGGGAGTGAAACCCTTTTGGTATTGTCTGTGGTGAGCTTGTTAAATCTTTGAATTCAATAATCACCTTGAGCTGAGGCTTAACAGGAAGAGAGGTGCCAGCAGACAGGGCTGGAGAAAGGAGAATCAATGAGTGAGAAGAGAGCAATGCCCATCACTTATCCTTCATTTTTCCCAATTTTTGAACGGGATGTTCACCGATGTTCACCATCATTGGCATCCTCTCAGACACACACATACACACCCACACACACAGTGAGGGGTTCACACCGACATTAAAGTGAAACTGAACAGAACCCAACATCCACACATCTGTAGTGTGCAGCACACGCACACACACACACACACTCACCGTGTGACACTGATATGCTAAGTCTCTGTTGTTGCTTAGCACTTTTTTTTTTTTTTGAGACGTTGTCTTGCTCTGTCACCCAGGCTGGAGTGCAGTGGCACAATCTCGGCTCGCTGCAAGCTGTGCCTCCTGGGTTCACCCCATTCTCCTGCCTCAGCCTCCCAAGTAGCTGGGACGACAGGCGCCCGCCACCACGCCCAGCTAATTTTTTGTATTTTTAGTAGAGACAGGGTTTCACCGTGTTAGCCAGGACAGCCTCGATCTCCTGACCTCGTGATCTGCCCGCCTTGGCCTCCTAAAGCGCTGGGATTACAGGCGTGAGCCACTGTACCCAGCCATTGCTTACCACTTTGTTAATGCACCCTGTATAGCCAAGCAACTGAGAACAGACATTGTGTTAAGCCTCGTTATGTGCTGTGCATGTTGCCTGGGCATTCCCTGGCCATCCCCAAGAATGCTTGTAGACGAGGGTCCCCATGTTTTCCCCTTAGGTCTGAGAGAAAGCCAGAAAGAAGGGACCAGTCATGCCCAACTGGTGTGTCAACCGGATTTGCCATGTCACTCATGAAGAACATAAGCTGGTGACCAAAGACAAGTGAAAAAGTGTTTCCTAGCTGGACAAATATTATTAAGAAAATTTTCTTCTACTTACCTTAGTATGAGTGAGTTGACAGATTTTCCCATGCAATTCACCACAATGTTTTCTTGGACTCCCCCACCACCCCATTTTCTACGAGACTTTCACAAACAAGTCAGTTTGTGACTTTAGTAAAATACGTCAAGAGACTGATTATGCAAAGAATTCCCTCTGGAAAGTTAAATGAGGATAAAAAGTGAGCCAGGCAGTTGAGGGAAGGTGGGATAAGAGTTGGGAGGGCATAGGGGAATTGTCTGTGGGAGGAGCAGATGCTGAAAGTCATATTCCAGGGCTTGCTTTGAAGCCGAGAGAGGCATCATGTGCTCAGCCTAAAAAGAGGGGAAGAATGTCTGTGCTCATGAACAGACCCAGCACAACACCACGGTCTGGTTCTGTGCCTTCGTAACTGGCTTTCTCCCATAATTCAATTTCAGAGCCGGTTGAAGGACGATGTTAAATAGAAACAGGATTCTGAGGCTGGGCGCGGTGGCTCACGCCTGTAATCCCAGCACTTTGGGAGGCCAAGGGGGGCGGATCACCTGACCTCAGGAGTTCGAGACCAGCCTGACCAACATGGAGAAACCCCATCTCTACTAAAAATACAACATTTAGCGGGGCATGGTGGCGCATGCCTGTAATCCCAGCTACTCGGGAGGCTGAGGCAGAAGAATCGCTCGAACCCAGGAGGTGGAGGTTGTGGTGAGCCGAGATCATGCCATTGCGCTCCAGCCTGGGCAACAAGAGCAAAACTCTGTCTCAAAGAAAAAAAAAAAGAAAAAGAAAAGAAAAGAAATAGGATTCTGGAAAAAAAAAAAAAAACCCAAGCAAACAATAATTATTAGGCAATCATATCATAATCAAATACCATTCTTTAATTCTGATGGTTTCTTCATGAAAAGTTTCTGATATTTCATCTGAACTGCATTAAAATGGTCTTTTTCTAAGAATACAAGCATTTTTAAAAGTAGTTTCAAAAGTATAATTCCCATTTTAATGTAACACGCTCAGTTTTAGAAAGTTTATAGCTGTATGCTCCACATTTTATTTATTTATCTATTTTGAAAGAGGGTCTCACTCTGTCACCCAGGTTGGAATGCAGTGGCGCAATCTTAGCTCACTACAGCCTCCACCTCTTGAGCTCAAGCAATCCTCCCACCTCAGCCTCCTCCCACCTCAGCCTCCTGAGTAGCTATGACTACAGACGTGTACCACGATGCATGGCTAATTTTTTTAAGATTTTTTTTTAATAGAGATGGGGGTCTTGCTATGTTGCCCAGGCTGATCCCAGACTCCTGGCCTCAAACAATTTTCCCACCTTGGCCACATAAAGTGCTGGGATTACAGGCCGGAGTTGTCGTACCCAGCCACGTTCCACATTTTAGTTCTAAGGAAATGGAGGTACTGGAGCTGGAGTTTCGCTTCAACTCTATTACCAGCTCTTGGAAGTAGCTATTTCACGGGCACCTGGCAGTCAGTGTGAGCACAGAGGCTGCCTCCTGCCACTGGAGTATTGAAGTTCCTGCCATCTCTTTCAAGTTTGCTTTTATGTGTCTTCATGTAATAGCTTTGTTGTTAGTGTGCTTTAATAAGGAGGATGGATACTACTAATAGTCAATAGGTAGAATGCATGCTTCATCCTAGGCCCTTTTCTCACACTCTCTTGCATTTATCTCACTTAATCCCCACACAGACTTAAAAGCTTGGTGCTGTCATTATCCCCATATCACAGATGAGGAAACTTGCCCACAGTCCTGGGCTTAGTGACCGTGGAAGCTGGGATCAAACTTAGGTTGGCCCCATGGAACTTACCAACTTACTGACAGATTGCTGTTTTGATCCTTATGGCACCTCAAAAAACAGCCGGGAACAGCACAAGTTGTATCTGCCATGGTGAACAGAGGAAAGAGATTCTCCATCCCTCATACCTAATTCCACCGCAATCTCTCCTTTTATGTAGGAGAGATTGCTCCATTTATGTAAACCTTGCCATCAATGTTTACTTTATAAATCGGGCTTTCATTCTTTTGTTAAAAAAAAAAAAGTCCATACATCATTTCTCCTTTATTATGGGGTACATAACCCTAAAAGGATGAGATTTAAAAATCACCATCAAGTTTCATTAAATAAAAACATTTAGTGAGCAACCAGACTGCCCAAGAGGCTTGCAAGGATTTACATGCATTCCTTCACCAGTGACTTGATCCACTTGGAAGAGTTATTTTTATATCTACGTTACTGTTACTGCCATCTCTATTTCACATCCGCTGGAGAATACAGCTTTCCCAAAAGCCTGGGTTACAAGGTCAGAGAAATGGAACAAGTTCAAAATGTACAGCCTTAGAGACTATGTGAACACATATACCAAGACTTCATTTTTTTTTTTTGAGACGGAGTCTCGCTCTGTCGCCCAGGCTGGAGTGCAGTGGCGCAAGTTCAACTCACTGCAAGATCCACCTCCCAGGTTCACGCCATTCTCTTGCCTCAGCCTCCCGAGTAGCTGGGACTACAGGTGCCTGCCACCATGCCCGGCTAATTTTTTGTATTTTTAGTAGAGACTGGGTTTCACCATGTTAGCCAGGAGGGTCTCAATCTCCTGACCTCATGATCCACCCGCCTCGGCCTCCCAAAGTGCTGGGATTACGGGCATGAGCCGCTGCGCCCAGCCCCACCAAGCCCTCATTTTTGAAGTGAAATAAAGGAAAAGGCTTAAATAGCGTGAAAGCGAATGAAGTCATAATAAAACAGCTAATCTCTATTGAGAGCTTTCTCATAACCAAGGCTTTCCTAAGAGCTTTCCATGAATTAACTCATTTACTGTGTATAACAACCTTACTATTGACAGTCTGCCTTCAGATCCCAGCTTTGTGACCCAAGGCTTTGTGACTTGGAGCCACTTCACTTCTCTTGGCCTCAGTGCCTTCAATTATAAAATAGGAAAAATAATCATACCCGTTTCTTACCATATTTTATGTGTGCTCTCATTTAAGCTCATGGTAGTCCTGTGAGGTGCAGAGATGGAAGAGATGAAAGCTTGAAGGCTTGAGTTTCTGATAAAAGTTTAAAGGCCTGGAGTAACACCCCACAGCTAGGAAGTGGTGAGTCTAGTACCCCACCCTCACTGCACTTGAACCAGAGCGTGCACACTCCCAGCCACTAAGCATTCGCCTGAGTGGAGGCTGAAATGATCTGCTGTCTGCAGTAAGGCCACAGGAAATGCTCTTGGAACCTGGTCTCCATGAGATATCTATCAGGAACTTTTCACAACACCAGAAATGAAGGAAATTCTCATTTTTATTTTGATATATTATAAGCAAATATGTACGTTTTGGCACAATGAGAAATGTTTAGGAATTTTGACTAAAAAATTCTTTCTGGCAAGATTCTTTAGCCACTGAAATTTTAAGTGGTACTTACGGTTGTATGTATCTGACTCGCATCTGGGTGGCTACAACCAATTACCAACTACTGACAGCAAAAGAAAGACTTGCAAATATGATTTCACATCTGCATTTTTTATTTTATATTTAGCTCTTTGTCTTATCATGTTTGTCTAACTGTAGCTCTCTCTCTCTCACTGACAGGGTAATGTCTTTAAAATCTCACTACACAAAGTACTGGCTTTGTGAAAAGGCTCTGACCTATTTTGCCCTGCCTGGATTGGTTTTAACATCATGTAGATAGTAAGTAACAAACTCATTAAACCATTTCCATTCTTGTCTTAGGGGACAACGTGGTGCCCTCCCCTTTTACATGTTGCTTCTCTTATCAGCTTCACTGGCTTTGTCTACTAACCCCATGCCTGGGGAATTATAAGGAAGGGATTCGGGCACCGTGTTGTCTGCGGCATGAATCTTGCCAGGCTGTGGCTGTCACCAAGGTTATTGGACACTCCTCCCTGAGCAGGACCCACCTGGGAGGCATGCAGATGACAAGTGCCACTCAACCTTTTCCTCAGTGCCTGCTGGGCCCCGTGTGCATGTTCAGGTAATGAGAGGAACCTCGGAGCAAGTGGAGTAAGTGAGTGTGGTCACTCCAACAACAGACCAACCCATGAGAGGTCTGATTTCACGTTAAAATGGGAAATATTTGGTTGAATGGAATTGACGGAAAGGCAGGAATAGCCTTTCTCATTCCCTCATGGATAGAAAAAATGCACAAACCACGTTATCTGTTGGGTTGCATGGAATCGCTCTGACTGTTTTATTACCACCATTCACGTAGCATTTTATGTGAAAGGGAATGCTGGGCGCAGTGGCTTACGCCTGTAATCTCAGCACTTTGGGAGGCCGAGGTGGGTGGATCACCTGAGGTCAGGAGTTCAAGACTAGTCTGGCCAACATGTGGAAACCCTGTCCCTACCAAAAATAATAATAATAATAATAATAATAATAATAATAGTAATAAATTAGCCAGGCGTGGTGGCGGGAGCCTGTAATCCCAGCTACTGGGAGGCTGAGGCAGGAGAATTGCTTGAACTTGGGAGGTGGAGGTTGCTGTGAGCTGAGATTGCGCCACTGCACTCCAGCCTGGGCAACAGGGCACCACTCCGTCTCAAATAAATAAATAAATAAATAAGAAAAAAAGAAAGGGAATGCAGGTGTGAAAGCTTCCGATTCGTCACCTAGCAAAATTACACTGAAAAGTCCCCAAGCTCTTTGAACCAACTGCAAGGTCGTCAGCTTGTAGCCTCAAGTCCTCATGATCTATCCCATTACTTCATATCTCAAAAAGTCTTAATATGTGTTTTCCACAGTGATGGCCTCTCATTGGCCACCATGTCACTCTCACCTCAGGGTAAAGAGGTTGTGTCATGCGGCTTAAAACCTGGGCACATAGATGGTTACTTTGGCAGCGTTCTTATATAAACAGATGAAGACAGCTGATAACATTAGCAACTTCCTGTGTCATCTCGTTTTTCTCGGGCACTTGCTTCTCTGAGATTATTTATGTTTTCTGTATTAGTCCATGGCAACCGCTTAACACAGCTGCACCAAATGTCATTCCCAGAAAGATCAGTTGCTTAGTCTCCTTGCCTCCATTCTATTTTGGGAGTGGCATGGACTTTTGGCGATGCCCAGTTGAGCTCTTGTCCACATCAAGTTATGAGCGGTGGTTTGTAAGAGAGTTTGCCCCTTGGCCTTGGTCTTTAGGAGAAAAAATAAATTCTATTCATTTACTCACATGCCATCATTACTCATATTTAAATTCTAAAAGATTAAAAACAAGAAACATTTTTTTCTGCATTAAGAAATCTAAAGTTTTAAAAAATCTCTAATAATGAACTGAGGTAATACATGCATTGATAAACAAAATGGAAATAGTATAGAAAAACAGAACTGATAAACTGATAAAAACATAACTGATAAACAGCTGCCTCCATTTCACACTTCCTCACCCTAGCAACTCCTAGATCATCCCAGAAAACATTTCTACTTTTATTCCTGTTGGTTGCCTACAGAACTCTAAATAATATATTTTCACATCTCTTCTTTGACCTTTTTAAAAATTAGCCTTTTTTTTTTTTTGAGACAGAGTCTCATTCTGTCACCCAGGCTGGAGTGCAATGGCATGATCTCCGCTCACTGCAAGCTCTGCCTCCCGGGTTCACGCCATTCTCCTGCCTCAGCCTCCCAAGTAGCTGGGATTACAGGTGCCCGCCACCACACCCGGCTAATTTTTTGTATTTTTAGTAGAGACGGGGTTTCACCATGTTAGCCAGGATGGTCTTGATCTCCTGACCTTGTGATCCCCCCGCCTTGGCCTCCCAAAGTGCTGGGATTGCAGGCGTGAGCCACTGCGCCCAGCCTAAAAAATCAGCCTTTTTTTTAACACAGCTTTATTGATGGGTAATGTACATATCATAAAACTCACTAAATGTGTAATGAAATGAATTTTAGCAAAGTTACAGAGTTGTGCAAGCATCCCCACAGCCCAATTTTAGAACACACCTATCACTTCAGAAGATCCCTCTTGACCACTTGCAGTGATTTCACTCTTCAGTCCCAGCCACAGGAATTCCTAATTTCTTTACTGGTTCTATAGATTTGCCTATTGTAGACATTTCATAAAAATGGAAATAACCAATCAAATTCAGACAATATTTATTGACTTTCTGATACAAAAGATAAAGATTTATCTCGCTTATAGAACTGCCTTCCCTGTCTCTATTTTCCCCAATTTTTGGTAATTATATATTATTTTAAAAATTCCTATGTTGGCTTTTTTCTTTTTCAGACGGTCTCACTCTGTCACCCAGGCTAGGATGCAGTGGCGTGATCTCGGCTCACTGCAACCTCCGCCTCCCGGATTCAAGTGATTCTCCTGCCTCAGCCTCCCAAGTAGTTGGAACTACAGATGCACACCACTGCGCCCAGTCAATTTTTGTATTTTTAGTAGAGACGGGGTTTCACCATGTTGGCCAGGCTGGTCTTGAACTCCTGGCTTCAAGTGATCCGTCCGCCTCAGCCTCCCAAAGTGCTGGGATTACAGGCATGAGCCACCGCACCCAGCCTATGTTGGCTATTTTTGTCATTTTAAGCAATATATTCCTTCTATTTGTGTGCGTGTGTGTGTTGTTCCATAAGCCTCTGTCAACGTCTTTTGCCTCCCTTGCTCCATATAAAATGCCTTACATTCCTCCCTCTTTTCCCCTACCCTTATTCATGGAATAACTGTGAATCATTGTTAGGACTTTATTGTTATGAAAGCCAATAATCTTTTATCTTTTATTCTACAACTACAATTAAGTCTTACATGTCTGTAGGTTGATTCTAAAAGTAGAAAACTAGAGCAGCCTTTATGATTTTGTCTACATTGCTCAATGTAGAGCCAGGGCTGTGCCAGGATGCCATTTCCTTCCCTCCATGTCCTGTGCATCTGTCATGGTGCTCCTGGGGCGATGCTACTCACTTCATAGTTAAGCAGGCTCCCTTCCCACATCCTTCATCAAATGCTCCATGTCACAGTAAAATAAGGGTCACACGTGAGCCATTTCTTTATACCTTGTTTTAGATGATTTTTCCTCTAGTTTTAGATGATTTTTTTATCCTTCCTATTGGAAAAGGATAAAAAATCTTAGGAACTTCCATTGTGTCCTAAAATTTATCTGCCTTCCAATCACACTACCATGTGAAGTCCTTCTTCCCCAGAGTCCTTAATTGTTCTGAATTTAAGTGGATTTTCTCTGGGCTGAATGCACAAGCCTTCAGCCTGAGTCTTCTGTTCACTGGGTTCCTGGAGCCAGTGCTAATCTCCAAAATGTGTCCTTTCTTGGTTTCCATCTTCTTTGACTGGAGTATAACCTCCAGTAAACTCCTGGGGAGGGGAAGAAAGGTATGAGAGAGGTGAATTTCCAGTATCGCATCAAATGTATTATTTTCTCTTTCATCATTTATTGTTTGTCTACACCTATTATTGAACTTTCAAAATTGTTTTCCCTCTGAATTGGAGGGTATTGCTTCAATGTTTTCTAACATTTTGTGCTGCTGATAAGAAAACTCTGCTGCAGTCTAGCTCCTGCTCCTTAGCTGCTGGGCTGTTTTTTGCCTTTGTAAGATTTTTAGGATCTTCCATTTATTGTTAGTTACTGTTCTGAAGTTTCACAAAGATGCATTTCAGGCTTCTTTATTTTTATCCTGCTTGGAATTCAACCTCAAGACATAACATTTTTAGTTCTGAGAAAAGTTTTTAAAAAATGATTTTACAAAAATCACACACAGACGCACAGATGATTTCCCTTCATTTCACTGCTCTCTCTTTTAAAAACTCTTGCTGGTCTAATATTAGATATCCTGGATTACTTCTTTCTTGTAGTTTTTAAAAAATATTTTCCTATCTCACTCAGGAAATATACTTTTTCACCTTGTATAAGTTATTTTTTATCAATTTTAAAATAATTTCTTTGAAAGATTTTTTGGGGGGAAGCAATCATATTTTTCATTTCCAAACAATTTTTCTGTTCTCTGATCTCTTTTCAAGACATTCTGTCCTGGTTTTTATGTTTTAAATGAAAAATTACTTGAATCAGATAAATTATTTAAATTCTCCTTTGTCATCTCTAATGACTCAATTCAATTTTCTTTTAAAGAATTACTTTATGGGGGGCTGGGAGGTGGCTCATGCCTGTAATCCCAGCACTTTGGGAGGTCAAGGTGGGCGGATCACTTGAGGTCAGGAGTTTGAGACCAGCTTGGCCAACATGGCAAAACCCCATCTCTACTAAAAATACAAAAATTAGCTGGGCATGGTGGCAGGCACCTGTAATCTCAGCTACTCGGGAGGCTAAGGCCTGAGAATCACTTGAACCTGGGAGGTGGAGATTGCAGCGAGCGGAAATCACGCCATTGCACTCCAGCCTCGACAACAGACTGAGACTACGTCTCAAAAAAAAAAAATTCTCATCTGTTATCTGAATATTTTTCTTTTTCTGGTTTTTTTCTTTTTCTTCTCTTCAAGGTCACTTGCTCTGTTTACTTTCTTTTTTTTCTTTTCTTTTCCTTTCTTTTTTTTTTTTGAGATGGAGTCTCGCTCCCATCATGTAGGTGGAGTGCAGTGGCATAATCTTGGCTCACTGCAACCTCCACCTCCTGGGTTCAAGCGATTCTCCTGACTCAGCCTCCCAACTAGCTGGGATTATAGGCATGCGCCACCACACCCAGCTAATTTTTGTATTTTCAGTAGAGATTGGGTTTTGCCATGTTGGTCAGGCTAGTCTCGAACTCCTGACCTCAGGTGATCCACCTGCCTTGGCCTCCCAAAGTGCTGGGATTACAGAAGTGTGCCACTGCACCCTGCCTGACTTTTTTCTGAATTTGTTTGCTGATCCTTTCTTTTGTTTTTCAAGGTCTTAAAAACTTTTCTTTTGAGCTATTGACAGCTTTAACAATTTAGTACACTCCTGTGAACAAAATTTGGAACACATTTGTTTCTCTCTACCTGATTTCTCCAGAATTGTAAAGTACTTGCGAGTATTCTTAACTTACAGCAACACAGTTATTTGCATAAGTGCAATAAGAATCTGTTTTCATTTTAACAGGATGCAATTGGAGAAATTGGTTCTTTTACCAAGGCTTTGACTGGAATGGTGTGCTTTCCTTTAAGGAATCAAACTTGACTTATAGAGCCAATAAGACCTTGGAAAAATTAGCCTCATATTTTGTGTACACACTGTATAGGGTTTCTGACCCATGGTAAGTAAAGAATGTCACTTACTGACAGGCACAGAAGTCCCAGGTTTATCTTGAAACCCTGACAGCAGGAAATTTCACCCAACTCATGGGTATTTGATAGCACAATCCATGGCTGGGCTGGGCTTTAAGAAGTCTTATCTGAGATTCCTCTTATGGAACAAAGTTCCATCAAAGCCAATTTAAAAGCCTATGTAAAAATAATAATTATTTTTGCTGCACTGCATACAAATACTTAGGCCAAGTATAATAACCAAACCAGCCCTACCATGATTTATCTTTAGTAAAATGGGGAACTGGAGAGAGAAAAAAATTATTTCAAAATGATTATATATCTGTTGTTAGATTCTAGTCTTGCCTAATGTTTTTTTCCAATTTTTATTATTTTCTACAGTTTGGACCAAATTCTAATTTTTCTTGGCTACAAGTCTTCAAAATAATGTTTTCAATTTTTTTCCGTCTCTTTTTCATTTTTCCTAATTTGAAGTCACTGAAAACTAAGTTGTTCTTCTTTAAAACCCTGCAAGCTGGCCGGGCGCGGTGGCTCACGCCTGTAATCCCAGCACTTTGGGAGGCCGAGGCGGGTGGATCACGAGGTCAGGAGATCGAGACCATCCTGGCTAACAAGGTGAAACCCCGTCTCTACTAAAAATACAAAAAAATTAGCCGGGCGCGGTGGCAGGCGCCTGTAGTCCCAGCTACTCGGGAGGCTGAGGCAGGAGAATGGCGTGAACCCGGGAAGCGGAGCTTGCAGTGAGCCGAGATTGCGCCACTGCAGTCCGCAGTCCGGCCTGGGCGACAGAGCGAGACTCCGTCTCAAAAAAAAAAAAAAAAAAAAAAAAAAAAAAAACCCTGCAAGCTGAAGACAGACAACTTAAACTTCGGCAGAAAATAACAGTAACCTGTTTACATACATAAGGCACTTTCATGCCTGCCTACTAATGTATGGACTTCAGAGTAATGTGGCCCATATCAAATTTTTTTTTTGAGAAAGGGTATCTATCACTCTGTCACCCAGGCTGGAGTGCAGTGATGCGATCTTGGCTCACTGAAACCTCCGCCTCCTGGGTTCAAGCGATTCTCCTTCCTCAGCCTCAGAAATTTGAGACAGGTCTCAGTCTCAAATTTCTGAGGCTCACACTCCTATGCAAGGAAGGAAGGCAACATGTTTTCTAATGCCACATGAAATTAAAGCACAAAATGAAACTTGGATGCTTGAAAGAACAGACTTTCTGTAAGTTATTGTGACATGCTCCATAGTTTATTGACAGCAGAGTTGGTGATGATATTGATATTACACTGTCAAAATGTATCACCAAACATCTTTAAATTTGATAAAAGATTGTGAATTTTTGTTTTCTATCAGGAGAAGACAACATATAGGAAATTCATGGATCCAGAATCCATTTCTTTCATCAAAAGATAATTTAAACTTAACTATAATTTATGGATAAATTATTGAATCTGACTACTAATGAACAGTAGAAGATGAATTTAGAAATATAGTATCATTTACATTACTTTGAATGAAAGTTTAAAAATGAATATTCTGAGCTTAATAAAATGTTTTAAAAATCTCTTCTTCCACCTTATCAACATAATTCTGTGAGGCTAGTTTTGTACAGTGTAGATTATAAAAACACAACATTAAAATAGGTGACAGTAGTAAAAATGGCAGATTAAGAACATCCAAAATTTTGTTCCTTCGTAACAGTAATGAAAAAACTGGCAAAGAAAAGCAGAATCCATTTTTTCAACTCTCTTGGCATTAACCAAAGACTTTCAGCCATCCAGGGAGCATTTATTCAAGAAAAATATCTGAATCTTGGTAAGAACTGTAATCTTTACAACATTTGAAACTTACCTTAGGCCCATCTCCCACTCTTCAGCTCAGCAATAGCCTAGAAAAATAACAACTGCATTCCAGTATTAAAGGATCAGAACAGAGCTGGAGCTCATTCAAAGCCTCAGTCCCAAAGAACTGACATTGTTTGATCCATCCTTAGAAGGCTCCACTGAAAAGGTACATTTTTACTTGATGTGGTTTGAACTTGCCAAGTGTAAAAAGTCTCTCCCAGGGGTTAAGAGGCATTTATTGAAAATAATTTTAGGCACGTCTTTTAACTATCAGGCTGCATGAGATGGATGATAGTGCAAACAATAGACTAACCAAGAAGATTAAAGGGAAAAGCTGTGGAATAAGATGTCCATAGGAGCTTTGAAATGCTCTGACATATTCCTGAGAATTTGGAAGGTCAGGGGCATATGTAGGCCTGTGGGCATTCTGAAGAAAGAGCTGAGGAGGCCTGAGCTCTCACTTCTTGGTGACCTTAAGGTTCTGCACAAGCAGAAAGTAAAGGCTAAAACAGCATTGTGAACTGCCTGGTGGAGTGTTAAAGGTATGATCCAACATGTATATAGTAACCCATGGCAAAGATTTAGAGGTTTATTGGTTCCAGCATTTAAAGAAATCTCTGTTCAATCATTAGATGTCCAATCACTAAGCTAATTGATAACTCCCATGACCACATATAATAAACAATACATACTTTATAGAATTAGTTCAGAAAAGCCATGAAATAAATAAAAACAACATTTAAAAGCAAGGAGCAACAACACAATTCAGCAGGGAAGAATATGATTTTCAGACTTGTAATATTATATTTTTTTAAATGTCAAAATTTCAACATAAAATTGTGAGACATGCAAAGAAACATAAAATTATGTCCCATACACACACACGGAAAGCAATTGATAGAAGTTGGCCCTAAGAGGCCCAAATGTTGTGCTTACTAGACAGAGAGTAAAATTAGCTATTTAAACATATGTTCAAAGAGTTAAAGGAAACTATGTCTGAAGAACTGAAGCAAAGAATGATGTATTTGTCCATTTTCACAGTGCTATAAAGATACAACTTGAGACTGGGTAATTTACAAACAAAGGAGGTTTTATTGACTCACAATTCCACATGGCTGGGGAGGCCTCAGGAAACTTAGAATCATGGCAGAAGGGGAAGCAGGCACCTTCTTCACAGGGCAGCAGGAGAGTGAGGGAGAGACAGAGCAATGGAGGAACCATCACACACTTATAAAACCATCAGATCTCATGAGGACTTTCTCACTATCATGAGAACAGCATGGGGGGAACCGCCCCATGATCCAATCACCTCCCACAAGGTCCCTTCCTTGAAACTTGGGGATTACAATTCGAGATGTGATTTGGGTTGGGGCACAGAGCCAAACCATGTCAAAAGATAACTATGTTTAACCAAATAGAGAATAAAAATGGGTCAAAATTATTTAAAAAATAGTAATTCTGGAGTTGAAAGCTAGAATAAGTGAACTGAAAAATAAACCAGAGGCACCCAATAGCACATTTGATCAGGCAGGATAAAAATAATCAACAAACTTGAAGATAGGTCAGTTGAGATTATCCAGTCTGAGGAACAGAAAGAAAAAACAGGCAGAAAAATGATTAGAGACTTGTGGGACACTATTAAATATATCAACATATGCATAATGGAATCCCAAAAGGAGAGGTGAGAGAAAGTTTCAGAAAGATTACTTGATGAAATAATGGCCAAAGCTCCCTAAACTTGATGAAAAACACTAATATATACATTTAAAAAGATCAATAAACTCCAAGTATGACAAACTGAGAGAGATCCACACTGAGTCACATTATATTCAAACTGTTGAAAGCCACAGACAAAGAATCTTAAAAGCAGAGAGAGAGAAGGGACTTGACCTGTATAATGGATCCTCAATAAGATTAACAGTTTCTCATTAGAAAGCATGGAGGCCAGAAGGCAGTGGTATGGCATATTCAAAGCACTGAAAGAAAATAGCTGCCAACCAAGAATTCTATATCCACAAAACCATCTTTCAAAAATGAAAGAGAAATTAAGCCATTTCTAAACAAACAAAAGCTGAGAGGACTTGTCACTAGGATACCTATCCTACACGAAATACTAAAAGGAGCCCATTAGGCTGGACTTAAAGGAGAGTAAGCAGTAACTCAGGTCTACATGAAGAAATAAACGAAATAATAAAGATAAACTACATACAGATGAATATTAAAAATAAATAGTATAAGTGTATTTTTTGCTTGTAATTCATTTCCTTCTCCTATCTGTTTTAAGAGACAGCTGCATAAAGCAATAATTATAAATCCTTGTTGACAAGCATATAATGTATAAAGATGTAATTTGTGATGATAATGGCATACAGGAAGGGTAAAAAAAAGCTATATAGGAACAAAGTTTTGTAGACTATTGGAGTTAAATAATATCATTTGATTTAGATAACATTGTTATTAAGTAAGGTATTAGTGGTAATTGCCAAGGTAACCACTAAGAAAGAAAACTCAAAAATATAGTAAAAGAAATGAGAGAATTAAAATACTGTATAAGAAAATATCTATTTAACACAAAGGAAGCCAGTAATGGAGAAATGTAGAAACAAAAGAATAAAAAGGTAGAAAACAAACAGTAAAATGGCAGATGTTAATCCTAATTTATCATTAATTACATTAAATATAAATAAGCTACATATTCTAATAAAAAAGCAGAGATTGGAAAAAAGATATTTTTATTTAAAATTTTTTTCCTTCTTTCTTTTTTTTTTTTTAATAAAGCAGCTGTCTACAAGCTAGAAAGATGTTTTTAATGGCCCAACTATACACTGTCTACAAAAGACACACTTCAGATTCAAGGACATAAATAGATTGAATGATCAAGAACAGGAAAAGATACACTATGTAAACAATAATAAAAACAGAGATGGAGTTACTATAACTGATATGTGGTGAGATAGATTTTAAAACAAAAATTATTACTAAAGACAAAGAAGGGCATTTTATAATGAAAAAATGTTATTCAATAAGAATATATAATAATTATATGCATACATGTACCTAAAAGAACAGCTCCAAAATGCATGAACAGAAACTGACAAACTTGAAGAGAGAACTATTTCATGTATTTTAGAGCTTTTCTCTTAGGTAACAATAATAGTTGGATATATCATTACCTTACTTTCCATAGTTGATAGAACAACTAGACAGTATATCAGCAAGGAAACAGAAAACTTGAAAAACACTGTAAGTAAACTAAACCCCATGGATATCTATATCACTACCCTACAACAGAACAATACAAACTCTTTTTAAGTACTTTGGAGCAGTCTCCAGTATAGATGATATTTTACAGCATAAAACAAGTCTCAATAAAACTAAAAGGGTTGAAAACATAAAGTATATGTTCTCTGACCAAAATGGAATGAAACTAAACATCAGTAACTGAAAGAAATTTGGGAAATTCACAAATATGTCAACACACTTTAAATAAACAGTAAGTAAAACAATACATCAAAAGAAATTAAAGCATAATTTGGGATGAATGAAAATAAAAACACAATGTACCAAAATGTGCATGCAGTTAAAGCAGTGCCTAGAAGGGAAATGCACAGTTGTAAATGTGTACATTTAAAAAAAAGAGGGTTGGCCAGGCGCAGTGGCTCGTGCCTGTAATCCTAGCACTTTGGGAGGCCGAAGCGGGTGGATCACGAGGTCAGGAGATTGAGACCATCCTGGCTAACACGGTGAAACCCCGTCTCTACCAAAAATACAAAAAATTAGCTTGGCGTAGTGGTGGGCACCTGTAGTTCCAGCTCTTGGGAGGCTGAGGCAAGAGAATGGCGTGAACCCGGGAGGTGGAGCTTGCAGTGAGCCGAGATGGCGCCACTGCACTCCAGCCTGGGCGAAAGAGCAAGACTCTGTCTCAAAATAATAATAATTTTAAAAAACTAAAAAAAAAAAAAAAGGCTGGGCACAGTGGCTCACACCTGTAATCCCAGCACTTTGGGAGGCCAAGGCGGGTGGATCTCCTGAGGTCGGGAGTTCGAGACCAGCCTGACTAACGTGGAGAAACCCTGTCTCTACTAAAAATACAAAATTAGCCAGGTGTGGTGGCACATGCCTGTAATCCCAGCTACTCGGGAGGCTGAGGCAGGAGAATTGCTTGAACCAGGGAGGCAAAGGTTGCGGTGAGCCGAGATCCTGCCACTGCATTCCAGCGTGGGCAATAAGAGTGAAACTCCATCTCAAAAAAAAAAGAAAAAAAAAAAAGAAAGAAAGAAAGATCTTAAATCAATAACCTAACATTCAACCTTAAGACATGGGGCAAAGTAAACTAAGCCAAAGCAAGCAGAAGAAAGGAAATAATAAAGATAAGAGCAGAAATTAGCGAAAGACAAAAGAGAAATACAACAGAGAAGTTTAACAGAATAAAAAGTTGGTTGTTTGAAAAGAGGAACAAAATTGACAAAGTTTATCTAGATTCACCAAGAAAAAAGAGAGAAGACTCAAATTACTAAATTCGGAAATGAATGAGGGGACATTCCTATGAACCCTACAGAAATAAAAGGGATTATAAGGCAATACTGTGAGTAATTGTATGCTAAAAACATTAGATACCCTAGAAGAAACGGACAAATTCCTAGAAATACACAAACTACAAAGGCTTACTCAATAAGAAACAGAAGATCAGAGTAGATCTAGAATAACTAAAAGGATTAAATAAGTAATTGGAAAACTTCCCAAAGAAAATCTGAGGCCCAGATGGGTTCACTAGTGAAGTCTACCAAATGTTTAAAGAAGAAATAAAAGTAGGACAGGAGGAAATACTTTTTAACTTATTCTATGAGGCCAGTATTATCTTGATATCCAAACTAGGTAAATATAACAAAAGAAAACTGTAGACTAATATCTTTTATGAGTATAGATGTGAAAATCTTTTAACAAAATAACAGCAAACCAAACCAAGCAGTATATAAAAGCATTATTCATTATGACCAGATAGGATTTATCTCAGGAATGCCATGGTGCTTCAACAAACAAAATCAATCAATGTTATATACCACATTAATATAATGAAGAAAAAGAACCCCATATGATCACCTCAATTGACTCAGGAAAAGCATTTGACAAAATTACACCCTTTCATGATGAAAAATACTCAACAAACTGGGGATTGAAAGGAATGTTCTCATCCTGATAAAGGGCATCTATGAAAAATCCACAGTTGACATCATACTTAATGGTGAAAGACTGAAACAAAACACTGTACTGGAAGTTATACCCAGGGCAAGTAGACAAGAAAAAAAAAGGCATCCACAGTGGAAAGGAAAATGTAAACTATCTGTATGTGCAGATGACATAACTTACCTATAGAAAACCTAAAGAATCCATATTACAGCTAATGAGTGAGTTCAGCAAATATGTAGGATATAATACCAAAATTTACAAATCAATTGTATTACGCATTAGCAATGAACTGCCCAAAAATGAAACTGAGAAAATAATTCTATTTATAATAAAATCAAAAGGAATAAAATACTTAGGTATAATTTTAACAAAAGAAGTATAAGACTTGTTAATTGAAAACTACAAAATATTGTTAAATTACAGAAGACCTAAATAAATGTAAAGACATCCATGTTCATGGATCAAAATACTTAATATTGTTAAGATGGGAATACTCACCAAACTGATTTACAGTTGCAATGCAAATCACTATCAAAATCTCTGTTGATTCCTTTTTTTTTTTGCAGAAATTGACAGGCAGATACTAAAATTCATACAGAAATGCCAGAGATATAGAGTAGGCAAAATAAACTGAATAAAGAATAAAGTTGGTGAATTTACACTTCCCTATTTTTAAACTTGCTACAAAACTACAGTAATGAAGACAGAGTAGTACTGAAATAAGGATAAACATGTAGAACAATGAAATAGAATTGTGAGTTCAGAAATAAACCCATGCATGTATAGCCAATTGACTCTTTTGTTTGTTTTTTGTTTTCAGACGGAGTTTCACTCTTGTCACTGAGGCTGGAGTGTAATCGTGTGATCTCGGCTTACTGCAATCTCCACCTCCTAGGTTCAAGCAAGTCTTCCGCTTCAGACTGCCAAGTAGCTGGGATTACAGGTGCCCACCATCAGGCCCAGCTAATTTTTTTTTGTATTTTTAGTAGATACACAGTTTCACCATGTTGGCCAGGCTAGTCTCAAACTCTGGACCTCAGGATCTGCCCGCCTCAGCTTCCCAAAGTGCTAGGATTACAGGCATGAGCCACCGCACCTGGCCAGCTAATTGACTTTTGACAGGGGTGTGAAGATCATTCAATGAGAGAAAATAATCTTTTCTACAAATGGGTGGAGCAACTGAATATCCAAAGGTAAAAGAATAAATTTGGACCCCTAGCTCACACCATGTTAAAATATTTTAAAAATGGATAGTGTAGTGCCTGCTACTCTGGAGGCTGAGGTGGGAAAATCATTTGAGCCGAGGAGTTTGAGGTTGCCGTGAGCTGTAATTGCACTGCTATACTCCAGCCTGGGCAACAGAGCAAGACCCTGTATCTTGAAAGAAACAACAAAACACACATTTTAAAAAACCACTAAATTTAAAAAGAGCCCAAAGTATAAGACTCTTATATGAAAATGTGTGTAAATCTTCATCATTTAGGCATTAGTTTCCTAGATATGATCCCAAATGCCTAAGTAAACAAAGACAAAAATAGACAAATTGGATTTCATCAGCATCACAGCATCACAGTGCATTAAAGGACACTATCAAGAGACTGTCCTAAAGAAAAGAAAACCCACAGAATGAAATAAAATACCTGCAAACCATGTATCTCATAAGCATCTAGTATCTAGAATATATGAATGAAGCTCTCTGACAACTCAACAGTAAAAAACTCCATTAAAAAAGTGAGCAAATGATTCGAACAGACATTTCTCCAAAGAAGGCATACAAATGGCAACCAGGTATTTGAAAAGGTGCTCAACATCATTGATCATCAGAGAAATGCAAATCAAAACTACAATGAGATATCATTTCAGACACACTAGAATGACTATAATAATAATTTTTAAAAGGGAAATAATATTGGCAAGGATGTGGAAAAATTGGAACTCTAATAAATTGCTGGTGGGTATATAAAATGGTACAACCACTGTGGAAAACAGCTGGTTCCTAAAAAAGTTAAACATACAGTTCTCATATATAACCCAGCAATTCAATTCCTAGGGATATAGCCAAGAAAATGAAAATGTATGTTCACACAAAAGCTTACATTTTAATGTTCACAGTAGCATTATTCATAATAGCCAAAAAGTGGAAACAACTCAATTGTCCACTAACAGATGAATGAATAAATAAATTGTGGTCTATCCACACAAAGAAATACTATTCAGCCACAAAAAGGAATGAATTACTGACACATACAACAATGTGGATGAACCTTGAAAACACTATGCTGAGTAAAAGACGTCAGACAAAAAAGGCTACATGTTGTAGCCTTTTATTCCGTTTATATGAAATGTTCAGAATGGGCAAAACTATAAAGAAACAGAATAGATTAGGAAGTGTTCAGGGCTGATGGCCGGGAGACTGGGCAATGGCTGCCCAAGAGTATGAGATCTCCATTTGGGGTGATGAAAACATCCTGGAATTAGATAGTGCTTTTGGTTGCACAAATTGTGAATATGATACACTGAGAACCACTGAATTGTGCACTTTAATTTTTTTTTTTTTTGAGATGGAGGTTCTCTCGTGTTGCTCAGGCTGAAATGCAGTGGCACAATCTCAGGTCACTGCAACCTCCACCTCCCGGGTTCAAGCGATTCTCCTGCCTCAGCCTCCCAAATAGCTGAGATTACAGGCATGCACCACCTGCCCAGCTAATTCTGTATTTTTAGTAGAGACGGAGTTTCACCATGTTGGTCAGCCTGGTCTCAAACTTCTGACTTCAAGTGATCCACCCGCCTCGGCCTCCCAAAGTGCTAGGATTACAGGCGAGAGCCACTGTGCCCTGCCAATTGTTTGTACACTTTAAAATGATAATTTTATGATACGTAAATTGTATCTTAAAAAACAAGGGAAAAAATACGTAGAAACAGTTTAGACATGCATTATCTTCTGTGAATAGCATTGTCAACAATCCAACATAAATTAATTAAAAAACAAGAATCAGGCTCATTTTTTACAATAAAAGCTTTTGATATTTTTATACATGCTGTTTATTCAAAACTTATAGGTTTTCTATATGGGAAATTACAATTCCTTTCATAACCTTTTGTTTAGTTTCAATGGTAGAATGACACAAATATTTTAATGTAAAAATGATTGGCTACTTTAATTGCCTATACACACACTTTCAATAAGTATGTACCATTTTTGTAATTCTTGTCTTTTTTTCTATTTTAAATTTGTTCTGATAACATTGATTGAAATATAATATTTTGTCTAGGGGCCGGGCACGGTGGCTCATGCCTGTAATCCCAGCACTTTGGGAGGCTGAGGCGGGCAGATCACGAGGTCAGGAGATTGAGACCATCCTGGCTAACACGGTGAAACCCTGTCTCTACTAAAAATACAAAAAATTAGCCGGGCTTGGTGGAGGGCGCCTGTAGTCCCAGCTATTCAGGAGGCTGAGGCAGGAGAATGGCATGAATCTGGGAGGCAGAGCCTGCAGTGAGCTGAGATGGTGCCACTGCGCTCCAGCCTGGGTGACAGAACGAGACTCCATCTCAAAAAAAAAAAAAAGAAATATAATCTTTTGTCTCTTGAGTCTGGTAATAAAACATTTGGGCTTGTATTTTGTGTGCCTTTGCTTTTTAAATTTTATTTTTCTAGTAATTTATTTCTACTATATTTTAAAAAGTAACCTTCTGCAATGGATTTGAAATTTTAACACAAAAGCTGGTCCTTCACCACAGATGCTTTGCGAAGCACTTGTGTGGGGCACCTGGATGTGGACGGAGTACTCTGTAATAAATTATCTACAACAGAAGATTTACATCTTCCTAGGTAAATGTGTGAAATTCCTTCATTCTTTATCTTTTGTAACAGTGACAATGTTGACCTTCCAGATGCTCTGGAAGGGTGGGAAAGGGAGGGGTGACTGGCAGGGCTGTGACATAGTGGTGTACATATTCCATCATTCCCTTTGCTTCGCTCCTTCTCTTTCAGGTCTCCAATAGAGGAGGCTGGCTCCTTCTTACAGAGCCTCCAACAACGATTATATTCTGGGCTTCAGCATCCTTCGCTTGCCTGTACATTAGCTTTCTTATTTTATTTTATTTTATTTTATTTTATTTTATTTTATTTTTGAGACAGAGTATTGCTCTGTCATCCAGGCCGGAGTACAGTGGCGCGATCTCGACTCACTGCAACCTCCGCCTCCTGGGTTCAAGCAATTCTCCTGCCTCGGCCCCCCGAGTAGCTGGGACTACAGGCACACCCCATCACGCCCGGCTAATTTTTGTATTTTTAGTAGAGATGGGGTTTTACCACATTGGTCAGGCTGGTCTCGAACTCCTAACCTCAGGCGATCAACCCACCTTGGCCTCCCAAAGTGCTGGGATTATAGGCGTGAGCCACTGCGCCAAGCTTGTACATCAGCTTTTTGTCCTCTGGAAATGTGTTGAAATTTCTTGTCTACTGATACCCTTCCATGCTTTTTTTGTTGCATGAGTTTATTCCTCTTTGTATTTCTACGTTGTCATTTCATTGGGGTCTCAGGAGGGACACGAGGTAAACACATATGTTCAGTATGTCATCCTGAACTAGAATAGCCAGGTTTTGGTTATGGAAAATAATAATGCTGAATGTTTTTTGTCTAAGCATACATTTTCATTTCTCTGTGTAGATATTTAGAAGTGGATGTATTTAACTTACTGAGTCACTGACAAACTGTTTTCCAAAGCGACTGTATCTTTTCTACATTCTCACCAGCAATGTATAAGGATTCCAGTTCCTCTAAATCTTTACCAGAATTCAATATTTTCAGTTTTTCTGATTAGAGACATTCTAGTATGTGTGTCATAGTATCTCAGTATGGTTTTAGTTCGCATTTCTTTAAGCACTGATAATGTTGAGCAACTTTTCATATGCTTATCTGCTATCATAATATATTCTTTGGTGAATTATCTGTTCATATCTTTTGCTCAACATTTTGAATTGTCTTTTTTTAATGGAGTGATAAGAGTTCTCTATTCTGATGCAAGTCCTTTTTCAGACACATGATTTGCAAATATTTAGTCTTAGCTTGAGACTAAACTTCGCATTTTCTTTTTTCTTTTTTTTTTTGGAGACGGAGTCTCGCTCTGTTGCCCAGGCATTACAATAATAAATTTCCCAATATTAAACCATTCTTCAATTCCTAAAGTAAATTCTATTTAGCCTACTCTTTTAATATGTGGTTAAAATATTTTTATAATATTTTGTGATTTTACACCTATATTCATAAAAAGATCATAGCTTCGCGTCTTTTTAAAGGTTTTTATCTTTTGTTATTAAGATTGTTCTTGCTTCATAAAATGAACTCAATAATTGTCTTTGTTTTTTCTCTATGTTTTAGTACAGCCTGAATAGCCTATGAATGATGTATTATCACAGAATTTAAAGACATTTACTTCTAAAGCCCCTTAAGTCTAAAATCATGGTTCTCAAATCTAATTGCATATTAAAATCACCTGGAGAGCTTTAAAAACTCTCAATGCACAGGCCACACCCCTGATAAAAGAATTCAGAATCTCGGATGTAAGGATTTTTAAATGCAAAATAAAATGAAAGGCTCAATAGTTTATAAAGTTTGTGCTAGATCTAATCTTTTCTGGTTTTGTCTGTAATTGGTCCAATAGTAAATATTGATTCATCTGTAATTGTTCTGACATCAACTAATGGTGTCCATAGCAATAGCACTACAAGCCAGTTTCTCTGCCTTTATCTCGCTTTAATTGTACACAAAACTAATAAGGCAAAGCACGTAATATAATAACTATTTTAAAAGCAAATGAAACAAACTTTGGAAGGTTAAGTGGCAAAGCCGCTTGACTCCCATCACTTTGGCATTTCAATCAATAATAGAGTCTAAAGACCAAACAATAAAACAATGGTTAACATAGAAAAAAAGAAATACGAGTTCATTAACTAACCAGGAGATCTTATTTCCAAAGAGTAAATCTGATTACATTGTTCCTGTTTAAAACCCTTCAATGGCTTCCTTATGCCTAAAAGGAAAAAAAAAATCCAAATTCCTTTGTGTGGCATAAGAGGTTCTTTGTGTAACACAAGATCTGGCCCCTCATCACCTCTCCAGTCGTATTTCTCAAAAGACCTCTCTTGCTTCCTATACTCAGTCATGCAAAATGTTCTGCAATTCTCTGAATGCCCTGGCTTTTCTTTTCCTTTTTGTGCCCATGTCTGTGCCCAAGTTATTTGCTTTTTCTGAAAGATCTATCTTTCAAAACCTTCTTTTCCCTCCCTCCCTCCAACCCTGTTGACCAACTTATCTTTTAAAGTCTGATTCAGTTTCAGGGCCATCTCCTCCGAGACCTTCCTTCCTGACTGCTTCTCGAGTTCCCCTATAAAACAGTGACTGCCCAAAGAGCAGCAACAGTTTGTAAATCATTCCATTCATGCTGCCTAGAACAAAGCTGCAGTTGTGTTTAGTAAAGGTTTATCAAATGGATGAAGACTGGTCACTATTAGTCTTGACCCCTTCTATTTGAAATATGTGAAATACACAAAGTAAAATATAATTTCTGATAGGGGCTGATATCAGGAACTGTAGGAGATCTGTCCATTGAACCCAAGGTCTTACCTATTAAATCTCTACTGTTGCCAGTCTGCGCTCCTGGATTTTCAAGGGGCTCCGTGGAATTGGGAGGCTGATGAAGCTGGTGACCACCCTCCGTAAGCATGCTGTGTTGGTGATTCCAGTGCTTACTCCTTTCCTCAAATGTGGTCATAAGAAGTCAGGAAAGTCAATATGCTTTCACTAGGAAAAAAGGAGGAAAGCCTGCTTTAGTTGGTTGTTACATTTTTGATGAGGCGAAAATTCAAACAAAACTGTAACCACAAGGACCATTAATTGTTCTTTCCTGCTAATAACCATAGTTAGCCAATTGGATTGTGAGTGTGTGGCATGCTTGTATTGTGTATGTGAGTAGGGAATGCACGTGCGTTAAAGTTCACATGTGCTTAAGAGCTTAGACACACCCGCAATTTGCAAGACAGCTTCATGTCCTGATGTGGCCAAAGCTGTGTAAGAAGCCTGAGCTGTAATTACTCCGCACAAATTTACATCCTGGGGTACTCACATCATCCTGTGGTCTGTATGCTCTGTGGCTACACACCTGGCTGAGAACAGAATTAATGATGAGAAACGTGCCTGCTTCTCTGCATAAAAGATGATGTCTGAGTAGAAGGTCGCCAAGGGAGGATTAAGAGCAAGAATGCGAGAATGTGCTCAGGAATCCGTGCGTGAGATGATGAGCTTGTGAGCTGATGTTGATTCTGTGCAGTTCCCAGTGTCTTATTCACAGGCAAGATTTTCTTGCTCATCGTTCAGCCTTCAATGTTTTAAGCAAAGATTTTTAAAAAGATCTAACAGGAAACGAGGAGCTGCAGTGAAGCTTGGGCAGTCAGTTCGAATCTGAATAAATATTTGTCAGATTGGAGAAGCGCTGAAAGCATTAAGATACTTGGAGATTTCTCTTTTTCTTTGGCAAGAAGCATGACTGAGACAGGTAAGGGCTAGGAATTCTTCCGGATCACTCCCTCCAACAATGGTCTTTCCTTTGAATTTGCACTTTGGAGTCTGACACAGATTAGTGCTTCCTAGTCCTCTAACTGTAACACATGCCTCAGTTTCCCTTCTCCGATAAGATTGCAATATCTTTGGGTGCAGGAAAAAAAATAGTTGATCCTTTTCTTTGTAGCCCAGCAAGTTCCAGGCACATTAGAAACTGATTAGAAACTGGTACACAAGTGTTACTTGCTTAATTTATTATAAATGCTTTAAAAATGAGGCAATGACTATCATTGAAAAATAAAACCAAACTGTGAAGAACTTCTCTCTTCCTGTTAGTGGAGACTTTCCACAGAATTTTTTTTTTTTTTTGGGAGGCAGTGGACATGTTGAGTTTTCAATTGAATATTTTGCTGCAAACAACTTAGGAGGAGAGGAAAAAAGAAAACGCAAAGCCAAACAAAGCTGGTATTTTTCAAGTGCTCATTAATTTCAAAACCACGGTGTCTTTCATTGATTTTTTACCATTAAAAAGGACAGCAATGCCCATCTGCTCAAAATTCCATCCAGAAATGAAATTATGAATTAAAGCTGTGTTACACATGCACAATTGAGACATCCTCTGTTTGGGCCTGCCAGATGACACACTGAAACAGCCTGGGGTCTGCACTTGGGGTGCTGCCAAGGAAGCAGATACACGGCTGATGAAAATCATCCATCATTTCAAATCAGAGGTGCCATATTCCTGCAGACTCCTGTTATGAACAATCTCATTTGATCTTACATTGGAACAAGCTGTCTTCAACACTCAGGCCTGGCCCCAGGCACAACGAGGCAGATGGAATAGGAATCTCTCATTCCATGCCTGCATTTGCCGGAATTCTAGGATTTTGTCAGAAGTTTTCTTGTGTGAACCTAGCCTGACAGGATTAACTTCACTGAGTTGTGCTTCAATATCAGTTCTTACCTCCTTCAATTTGTGCCAAAACTCTCATGGAGGACAGTGTTCATCATTTTTTCACTTAAAACCATATATATGAGTCATTATATAGAGCGATTCTTTTTAGATTCAGTTTCCGGGAAAAAAATTAAAAAGTCACATGATCTTTCTGTCTGCTAATGATATTATGCACGTTGCTCTTGTCTCTATTTTTGCCTTGGCCTCCAGGAAGCTCACAGCCACGTTTTACACTCAAATACAGAAATAATATTACCATATGCTAGTATTACCGTATTTGTGATACTCTTTTCTGTTGATCCTTAGTTTCCATTTCCATTCTTCTTTTATTAAGCCTAACACGTTTTTTGTTGTAAGCTATATCAAAATCATTTTGGAGAAAGGCCAGGCTTATATAAATGATAAAGCATAACCATCTTTTATTTCCCAGCCAAGTGGTTTGTGTTTTAGAGTATATACTTTTAGAAGAAACAGATTGTTTCTTTAAACAGATGAAAATCAAATATCTTCCTTCTTCATGAAGTTAACCACGGTTAGATCATCCACATTGATACAGATGCCTGATAAAAGATCAGGATTGCGTTTGACAACCAGGTTTCTCTTACACATTCTCAGCAGCTTTCAGTCTCTGAAGTTTTTAGTCTTCTTTATTTACTACATTAATCTTGAGAGTAAACAAGGTTCTTATCAAAAATTAATATTTTAATATTAAAAGAATTTATTAGAAAATAATTTATTTAATCTTTTAATATTTAAAAGATATTAAATAAGTTTACAAAGACAACAGCAACTAAGAATGACCATGACTGAATAGAGCAAAACTGTACTAAAATACAACAAATAAAATAAAGGAATATATCCGTGAAATGTTAAGAAAGGCACTGGCCCAAATAATCAGTACTGAGACTCCATCTTGGGTTTGCTTTAAAGCCTCTAGCATGAAGCTGATGGCTGCCCAGTCATCTCAAGGGGCAGCACTGTCCCTTAGGAGCTTACAGTTGAAGCCGACTAGGCAACCCCTAGCCTTGGGCAGAGCTGAAACTCAGCACTTACACACAGGACTGATGTTATAACTCGGAACACAGACTCCTCAGTTTCCTTTGATGCTTTTTTTCTGAGGGCCACTCACATCCGTCTTCTGTCTTCTTTCATGATCCTATCTTAACAATCATGTAAACTCAATCCTTTATCAGACACTCAACAGAAGCAGACTTTGTCAATTACTGGTGGAGAGAGTGTCCTAAAGAAGCTATCCATGAAAACAAGGGTGACCCGGCAGGCTTCACGAAGCCTTCACGAAGCCAGAGGGCAGGGGACATCCACCCTCACTCAGGACACCCTTGGGGCACTCTGTGCATCACCCCGCACAGCTGCTACTAATTAAGCCCTTCTGGGCACCATGTGTTTCCGTGACCTGCTCTTCCTGTGTCTTGTACTCATAATTTTTTCCCATCACATCACATGATCCTGCAGTTTCGGGACAATGCTGACTTCCTCTGCCATCCTCCGCAGCACACAGTGGGGCTCCTGCCACCCCGGGCCTTCTTGTGTCCTAGCTGAGCTGTGGACGGCCCTGCTCTCCCACCGGATCCTCCTGGGTCATGGAAGGATTCTTTGGAGACATGATCAGCTTCCTTACCCACCACCTGTGTGCCTTGGGCAACTGGAGTTCTCAAGCTCCAAGGCCTTCGTTTTCTCAGCTGCAAAATGAAGAGACTGGAACAGCCTCCTGTTTTGAAGAATCCCACCTGAGTTTATATCAGAACAATCTGAGATAGATATATAGATATAGATATATATCTTTTTACATTTTTTAAATGTTCTTTCCCCCAAAACCATGTCCTTTAAGTGGAGGAATCTATTTTTTAAAAATGATGTGGTTGTGCCCTCCAGTGGTTGAGCGTGAAGTCATCAGGCTGTTCGGGTGACAGCAGGGCTCGCAGGAAAGCGCAGGCCGTGCTAAACCGCCGAAGGACGAAGGTGGGTCTAAAGATAGATGAATCTGCTACTCCGGAAAGCACCGAATCGCCGTGTAGACCGGTCACCAAGTATAACTGCGAGCCCCAAGGCGTCACCAGCATGGGCATCCCAGCCTCGGTGCTTCAAGTCCTACTTCTGCTTGGCTATCGGGAAAGGCACGGCTTCGGGGCCACTTCTAGGCTCTCAACACGCGGCCGCTGCTGGGAATCCTGGCGGCCGCGGCTCTTCGCTCTCCAGTGGACCCAGTACTCCGAGAAGCCGCAGAGGCCTGGCCGCTGCAGCCTGCTCCCGACACCCGCTGGTCCGCCCCTCCCGCTCGGCTGCAGGGCTGGGGCGCCCACAGGCGGCAGCCGTCAGCCCGCGCCCGGAGGAAGCCCACGGCCGCCCCGGCTCCCCGCCCGCAGACGCAGCTGCGCAGCCTAGCGGGCTGGGTAGCGGGACAGCAGCGCACGCTGCCCGCTTCCGCTCGCTCCCCCGCGGGCCCTGCTCGATCGTCAGGGTTGCTGCAGGCGGAACTGGAGGAATAAACGCAAAGCCCCAGCCCCTCGTGAATTTCAGGGCCCCTCTCACGTGCAGGGTGTTCCCGCTTATTTCCAGACTCCTTGGATGCAAAACAATGAGTGAAGAACTGACAGTGAAGGCGGAGGGACTTACCTAAGTTATGCAATGATAAATAAATGGCAGATGAAAAATGGGACCTTTGGTTTCTAGTCAAAGTCCTTAGGAAGCGATTCGGCAGACGCAGGCCCAGGTGGCGAGGAGAATGGCCCCTTAGCCAGCTTTTAGGGTTCCGTGAGGGCTGAGCTAGGAGGGAGAGAAAAGGTTAAAGACCCTTCCGGTCCTTAGCATCACCACGAATGAACGTTTACCGAGCACTTACTTTATAAAGAGCACTGTGATAGATGCTGGGGAATATTCAGAGGAATAAATAGGACAATCTCATTTTCCAGGTCTACATTCACTGGAAGGGTCCCCTCCTGCAGGAACTCATTACTGGTCAACCACTGTGCCCTGTATGAAATCTACATGCTGTAGATTTCAGACATGTTTTCTGCCTCCGAGAGATTTATATGCTAGCAAACAAAAAAAGACATATATATAAGGAGATAAATAATAGCCAAGATATTTTTTGAAAAGTATTTGGGGTAAAAATACACATAAAAACATTTACCATCTTAATCATTTGTATGTGTCCTCTTCAGCAGTGTTAAGAACATCCACACCATTGTGCAGCCACACTCCAGAACACTTTTCATCTTGTAAAACTGAAACTCCACAGTCATTAAACAACATTTTCCCATTCCCCTTCCCCTAGCTCCTGAAAAACCACCATTCTACAGATGCTCCTTGACTTATGATGGGGTTAGGTCCAGATAAACCCACAGAAAGTTGACAATGCATTCCATGCCCCTAACCTACTGAACATCACAGCTTAGCCCAGCCTACCTTAAACGTGCTCAGAACACTCACAGTAGCCTACAGTTGGGCAAAATCACCTAACATAAGGCTTATTTTCCAATAAAGTACAAAATATCCCACGTAATGTATTAAATACTGTACTAAAAGTGAGAAGCTCTAATAGTAAGTGCTCAGTAAATGCTCAGAATGGTTCTATGGTGTATTAGTGTGTTCTCACACTGCTGATACAGACATATGGGAGATTGGGTAATTTATAAAGGAAAGAGGTTTAATTGACTCACAGTTCCACATGGCTGAGGAGGCCTCACAATCATGGCAGAAGGCAAAGGAGGAGCAAAGTCACATCTTACATGGCGGCAGGCAGGCAAGGCAGGCAGGCAAGACAGAGCTTGTGCAGGCAAACTCCCATTTATAAAACCATCAGATATCATGAGACTTATTCACTATCATGAGAACAGTATGGTGGAAACTGCCCCCATGACTCAGTTATCTCCACCCTTGACATGTGGGGATTATTACAATTCAAGGTGAGAATTCAAACCATATCATATGGGTACTCAAAGTACAGTTGCTACTGAATGCATACTGATTTTTCACCACTGTAAAGTAAAAAAACCATAAGTCAAGCCATCTTACGTTAAAAATGGTTTGTACTTTGTCTCTATGAATTAGACTATTTTAGGTACCTCATATAAGTGGGATCCTACAGTATTCGTCCTTTTCTGTCTGGCTCATTTAACTTACCATCTTCAAGTTTCACTCATGTTGTAGCACGTGTCAGAAGTTCCTTTCTTTTTAAGGCAGAATAATATTCCATTGTCTGTTTATAGCGCATTTGTGTATCCATTCATCCATCGATGGACACTCGGGCTGCCTCCACCTTTTGGCTGTTGTGAATAATGCTGCAGTGAACATGAGTGTGAAAGCAAACATTTTCAATATTAGTTGGAGTGTCTGCTTTCATTTCTTCTGGGTATACATCCAGAAGACTCTATGGTAATTCTATGTTTATTTTTTTGAGGAACCACCACACTGTTTTCCCTAGTGGCTGTACACTTTTGCATTCCTACCAACAGTACACAAGGGATCCCAAGACATCATTTTCAACCTTAAAAAAAAAAAAAAAGCGGTTTCAGGTTCACAGAAAAGCTTCACAAAGAGTACAAAGAACACCCATATTCCCCAGTTGTTAGTATTTTACCACATTTGCTTCATCAGCTTTTGTCTTTATTTACAGACATATTCATTTTTGGCTACGATGCCCATCATCCCTAAATACTATTGTGTGGATCTCCCTAAAGCGAGGGCACTCTCCTATGTAACTACCACACAGCCCTCCCAACCAGGGCGTTGACGTCAATTCTGCATCATCTGGGCCTCAGACCCCATTCACATTTCACTGACTGTCCCAAAAATGTATTTCCTTTTTTTCCTTTTTGGTCCAAGATCAGAATCATGTGTTGCACTGAGCCGTCACATCTCATCAGTTTCCTTCCATTTGGAACAGTTTCTCAGTCTTTCCCTCTTTCATGTTTGTATTGGTTTGTTCTGGCTGCCATAGCAAAGCACCACAGCCTGGGTGACTTAAAGAACAGAAATGTATTGTCTCACAGTTCTGAAGACCAGAAATCCAAGTTCTAGATGTCAGCAGGTTTGGTTTCTTCTGAGGCCTCTCTCCTTGGCTTGCAAATGGCCATCTTCTCCATGTGTCTTCCTGTGATCTCCCCTCTGCGTGTGTCTGTTTCCTCATCTCCTCGTCTTAGAAAATCACCAGTTATATCAGATAAGGACCCACATCAATGGCTCGATTTTAATTTTAACTTAATTGCCCCTTTAAAGAGACTATCTCTGAATTATAGTCATATTTTGAGGACTGAGAGTTAAACTTCAACATATAAATTTTTGAGGGGGACATGATTCAGCTCATAACAGTGTTCTCGAGAGTCTTAAAAGGTACAGGCCCTTCAGAGTGTAAAATGACACATACAGAGATAACACTCTGATGTTATCTCACGTCTAGACTCAGTCCACACATCTTGGCAGGACTACCTCAGAAGTTATGCTGTGTTCTTTTCAGGAGCAGGAGCCAACATTTTTCAATTGACCAAGTTGGTGTCTGCCAGTTCCTTCATGATAAAGTCACCATCTTGGACTTTGTATTTGATTAGTGTTTGGGTGGAGAGATTTAATGTCATGTCAGTATCCTGTTCTTTTGTCAAACCTTCACGGGTATCCTTAGCATCCAGTTAGGCTTTTGAAGTTAAGAGAGGGGAAGGAAAAGTGGAAAGAGAAGAAAAGGTGGAAAGAATAAAGTTTAAAAAAAATGTTAAGATAGCATTTTAAGGTACTTAACTGGAATGTTTAAAAGGGGAGACCAGTAACCTTCTATTTTCAGTTCCTTGTTTTTCTTGTAGCTTTGCCTAGGATGGCTACAGTAATGCTTACATAAATCAAAAAAATGTGCTCTAAAAGAGAAATTTAACTGAACAAAATCTCATTAGTAATGATAATTCAGCAGATTTTTTTTTTGAGAGTTTACTATGGGCTAAGGTTTCTCTAAGTATCAGTTCTTTTCATTCCAACTGCAATTAGATGAGGTGGCATTATTGTAATTTCTGTCTTACAAGTGAGTAAATCGAAGTATAAACATTCCAGGGTCCTACAGCTAATAAGCCTCCTTGGAGTCTCTGGGTCTAAAGCCTGTGATTGTAATCATTACCTATATTGCTATCTGGGCACAACGCAGCTACTAGTATCTGCAGTGGTAGAGATCTGAGGTCCTACATGCTCCAAAGTTGAGTTCATTTCTACATTTAGTGTCAAAATGACGAAGTGGTTTCCAAAATTGGAAAATGAGTTTCCATTCCCTCTTCTAATTAGAATTTTTAAAATGTTTTCTTTGTTTTGTTTTTCAATTTCCAAATTTTGTTTTTCAGAGGAAGTAATGCCTTATCTTTCATTTCACTTAGCTAGCTCAAGGAGAGGACTGAATTCTTTTTTTGGAATACGCAATGACCTGAATATGCAGTGTAAGAGTCAGTAGCAACAAGTGCAAGTCAGTGAAACAATTAGTTTCATAAACACAAAACATGGCCTGGCCAGCAAGGGAGGGCCTGAGTGCAGTCTTTAGCACGTCCACACACCACAGGGCAAGATGTTGGACCAACCCTATTTTTACCTAAGACCGGGAGGAGAGCAAATATCTCCTGAAACTGGCTAATTTTCCAAGCCAGGAGCTTTATACAGTCTAAACGACCATGTGAAGTTAGCATTTTTACCTTCATTTTGTGACAAGCAAAGTGTGGTTCAGAGAGATTAAGGAGACAACCGTAGGTCAGTGCTGGAGCCCAGATGTGAACCCACATTTGTCTGGCTATCTCCAAATCTCATGTTCTTTTTATTTATATCACACTGACTGCTTTTCGGTGAGTGATATCCCACTAAGAATTGAGACTGATTCTCAACTCCCCCAAAGCCATGTGCCAGGCTCTCCTGGAATGTGGTCAGCATTCGATGGGTGGGAATGAGGTGCCCAGGATTGAAGGTGCTGCTGTCAGGGAGGACCCCAGCTGCACTCACAGCTGTGTGACTTGGGTATGTTCCTCAGGCCATGTGTTCACCATTGTGCTCATCATAAAATAGGGATTATATCATCTGACTCATAGAGTGAAGGGGATTAAATGAGATAGTTCATACCACATGCTTAAGACAGGGCGTTGCAAATAGTAAGTGCTCAATAAAAGTCAGCAATTATTAATTTATTATAACTAACTGGTCTGGTTAGACTGCTGATTGAATTATGAATTTGGAAAGCTGTTCCATGAGGGTTACAGAACAGCCCTATCCTATTCAACGGCTTAAAAGGGACTTGAGTATGTGTATGGCATACATACTCTTTACATTTAGGATGATGGTAGCTTGGATGGTAGGGTCAGATACCCAAAGCCTGGGAATCTGGAGTAGTATGCAGCTAGACTGTGTATAGATGCCTTAAAAAATCCACCATCAACTCAGTGGCTTAAACCAGCACTCATTATTGTCAGCTGATCTCAGCTCTAGGCTGGGGCACTTGAGCTGGGGCACCTGTGCTCCATGTGTCTCTCAGCCTCCTCTCAGGGCACAGCGGCCATCCCAGACACAGCCTTCTCATGGTGATGGCGGAAGCATATGCATCCAAGTCCAGTCATGGAAACACTGTTCAGGGGTGTATGATCTCATAACTCTTAACTTTCCATTGGCCAAAGCAAGTCACATGGCCATGGTGAAGGCTGGAGAATGACACCACCCTGCAGAGTGAGGGCTCTGCAAAGCTAAGCAGGACAGAGTGCACGGAAGAACTGGGACCATTCGTGCAGTATAATATAGGCTGGATTCAAGCAGGTGGATACATTTAAGATTTTTTGTTTTTGTTGCTTATGTCCAAATTTTATCCCAAGAAGACAAGCCTAAGCAACAGCAACTGTAGGAAGGAAGTGGTTGACGCTATGTTTCCTAATAGGTAAGGAGACCATGCAATTGTCATCCAAACTAGGACATTCAAGAGTAAAACAAGAGCATCATTAACAATTCAGCCAGGACAACAGGCATATTGGAGACTGTCCTGGGCAAAGTGAGACCTGCGATCACCTAATGTGTAGCTTAACATATTGCTATGGACATCATGTGCTCAGGCTGAATTACTGGGTGTATAACACTAGAGGATGAAGAAGACAGTTGTGCTCTCCTTAGTGCTGGGCTGGCCATACCTAAAGTATTGTCTTTATATTCGAGTTTTCAAACTAACTGCTCTGTTTAGAAGAGAGGTGAGGGTGCTGTGGGGTGTAGAAACTTTGTCAAATGACTCTTGATGCAAGGAACAGAGCATATTTGTGAGAAATAGGAAATGCTTATGGGACACTTGACATCTGTGGTCAACTATATGAAAGTCTGTTGCAGAAAAGAGGAATTAGACATGCTTGGTATTATTGCACAGGATAGACCTTAGACCAATGGTTCTAAAAAAAGAATATTGAAATCTGAATCAGAAAAATTATATCTTATTTCTACTTACCAGCTGTGTGACTGGCTAAGCCATGCAACTTCTCTGAGCCTCAATTTCCTCATTTGGAAAGAAGCAATAATGTAAATAAATAACTCAGTCTTGCTGTGAGGATTAAATGAGATTGTGTTCGTATTATCCAGGGTTCTCCAGAGAAACAGAACTGATAGGATATATGTGTGTGTGTGTGTGTGTGTGTGTGTGTGTGTGTGTGTGTGTGTGTCTATACATATATGTAAAAGAGGGGATTTGGCTCATATAATTATGGAGGCCAAAAAGGCCCATTATCTGTCATGTGCAAGCTGGTGAACCAGGAAAAATGTGGTGTGAATCAGTCTGTGCCTGATAGCCTGAGAGCTGGGGGAGCCAATGATGTAACGCTCTGTCTGAAGGTGAAGGCCTGGGAATGGGGCGGGGGTGGGGGCTCTGCTAGTGTATGTCCCAGGGTCCAAAGGCTCAAGAGCCAGGAGCTCTGATGTCCAAGGGCAGGAGAAGATGGATGTCCCAGTTCAAGGATGGAGAGGGGAAATTGAGAGAGAGAGAGAAAGAGAGAGAGAAGGGGAGGGTGGGAGAAAGAAAGAAAGAAAGGGAGGAAGAGGGAGGGAGGGAGAGAGAGGGAGGAGAGAGAGAGAGAGAGAGAGAGAGAAAGATTCTCACTTCTTACTTCTTTGGCCTTTCTGTTGTATCTGAGCTCTCAACAGATTGGATGATACCTTGGTGACAGCAGATATTCTTTACCCAGTTTACTGATTCAAATACTAATCTTTTCCAGAAACACCCTCACAGACACACACGCACACAGAAATAATATTAGACTGGGCATTCTTAGCCTGTTCAAGTTGACACATAAAATTAACCATCACCATGTGTGTGACTGTACTTTGCAAATTATAAAGTGGTGTATAATTTTAGTACGGTAATATGGGCATCAGATTCCTGTCCAATTTAAGAAAATGGTCTCGAGAGTCGGGATGGCTGCCTTAGGAAGTAATGAGACCATTTAAGTTGATTGGAGAACACTGAGAATCTCTGGAAAGGATGTTGTGGAGAGGTTTCAAACAAGGTGTGTGTCCTCAATTATCACAAAGGTCAGTTTCAGCCCAGGCCGTCTGCAGTTCTGCTGAAGAGGAAAGATGGTGCCAGTTATCTAGAAAGCATCAGGCAGACGCTGTTCTAATCTGCTGTCTGGGATGGGGAGATTCAGGACACTGGAGTACATAGTTTTAGAAGGGACTGTAATTTGATCATCCTGACAACCTTTAGTGCTGTTAGACTGCGTCAATCCTCCTCCTATCTTATGAACGCCTCCCTTAGGGAGGTCAGAATCACACCCATTGAGCTGCCTTTCTTCCTGAAATGTTACCTTTATTTCCATGATCCATTCCAGGGAGTAAGTAAGAGAAGTAGGCCGGGTGGATACTGTGTGAATGAAACCACTGCCACCCACTTAAAGAGGAGCAATCACATCCCAGCCTTGGCTAGTTGTTGACCATTGACCATTTGAAAATATGGGTCATGTATTCTCAGACCTTCCAGTTGTCAAGGGAAGCCAGAAACCTAGATCATAAGGGAAATCCTCCAACTTTTAAACCTTGACAAAATCCATTAAATGTTTATTTATTAAATACCAGGTTGGCCAGAAATGTAAACGCCAAATAAAACAAATCAGAGGCAGTAGCTCAACTAGGAGTGTAGAGGGAGAATGGCCGAACCCCTAGGTACAAGCTTGGAAAGCGGCCTTTTTTAAGGCCATAGTTTTACTCATGGGTTTTGAGGATTATAAGCAACAGCAACAACCAAAAAGACATTGGAGAATGCACCATGGAAGCTAGATATCAAGACAACTAGAGAAGTTCCTCAAAGAGTGACATTTTTTTTTTCTTGAGATGGAGTCTCGCTCCTGTCATATAGGCTGGAGTGCAGTAACACAATCTCGGCTCACTGCAACCTCCATCTCCTGGGTTCAAGCGATTCTCCTTCCTCAGCCTTCTGAGTAGCTGGGATTACAGGCGTGCACCACCACGCCCAGCTAATTTTTGTATTTTTAGTAGAGACGGGGTTTTGCCATGTTGGCCAGGCTGGTTTCGAACTCCTGACCTCAGGTGATCCACCCACCTTGGCCTCCCAAAGTGCTAGGATTACAGGCGTGAGCCACTATGCCCAGCCAAAGAGTAACACTTTTTAAAAAACTTGTAATTATTTTCCCCCCATTCTACAGAAGAGACTTCTCTCAGCTTGCCTGTAAACATTTGTCACTAATATCTTAATGTGATTCCAGTTTATCCATTATTAGCTTAGTTTTTCCACCAGAAACAGTAGTGCAGAGCACTACAACACTCTGATTTGGCATAGACCAAATTCAACTGGAAGGAGAGAATAATCAGCTGATTGGCCTAGAATACAGAGTTTAGTGGAGAATCCCAAGCCTGACCAAAGAGATTGCAAGTCTGACTGGGGCACCATCAATGGTAAGTGCTGGACAACTAAGCCTCCTAAAGCCCTTGTTTGTAGCATCTGCCTATTCCTATAAATGCTTCCCAACCATAGCTGATTTCAGGCTGCGAATGTGATGTCACTGAAAGCAGGATTGGATAGAAATGTGCACAGCCAGTTCCAGCATACCACTGGGCCCACCACAGTGGGACCCTGGATAGCTAGTAGAAAGCAGGAAGACACAGGCACTAAAGTATTGGTGTGAGGAGAAACACAGCCCCAATGCCTCCTCCCTGAGGCCTTCTCAGTGTCTGTTCTTCTGTTCTATCAGATCACGGAAGGGGTGTCCTTAACTGATTTGGGTATCACACACAAAATGTCATTAGGTGATATAGCATCCTGATAGGCAGTTGTAGATGCTCATGAGTGATTAAAAGGATCAGATAAGGGGATGAGAGAACCCCAGGTCTAAGAATATGAGCTCCATGAATGTCTCTTCCTATGAGGTGTCGAGTCCATCTCCACAGGCAGAGCCGTTTTCCCCTCTCTGTTCTCCCAGCACTTGGCAGGTGCGTCAGGCCACAATCACCAAGTCATTTTGTGAGCTTCCCTTTCTCATGACACCTTGCACTCCTCTTTCTATTCCTAGAACTCAGTGCGAGGTGTGGCACTGGTGGCGGGGAAATCTCAGGAACCTTTTCCTAAAGGAATAAGGAGTGTGGAGAAGGCTGAGGCAGGGGCAGGAAGTAGCCCTGGGCTGAAGGCAGGGCAGGCATGTGGCAGGGAGGCTGGGGCTGGCCTTGCCCCCACTTTCCTGGCCTAGCCTCTCATACAGCTTCTCTGCGGAGCTCCGTGTAACTCTTCAGCTGTTTGTGTGTCATGGAGTTGGGCTCCACGTCTTGATGGGTCGCTGTCCTCCACACTGCAAATGCTCATTCAATGTGAGGTTATGCCAACACTTGCTGGATGTCATTTGCAGAAGGCTTCACTGAGTTATGTCACCCTCTGACCTGACGCAGCTGCTGCTGGACCTTCAGAAGTCACCATCTCCTTGACAAAGTGGCCCCCACAAAGCAGCAACAGATATCTTTATGGTTTCAGAGAGAGGAAGCCCCAGCGTCAATTTTTGGGCATGAATATGCCTTTGCAGAATTAATAATGAGTGAAATCTAAAATGGCTGACTCCATCTTGCTCCCAGCTTCACAGGCTAATATTTTTTTTCTTTTTTTCTTATTATAGTGCAGAGGCCAAGATAACTGTGAGAGGAATTTAGCTTATAGTTACACTTTGAGGCAAGGAAAACTGATCCTCTTTCTTGCACAATGAAGCTGCTGCATTCATCAGACAAGGTTAGAATTATGGTGGAAGCCTGAACTCTGCTAAAGAATAGGCACAGTTCAGTAATGACCTGCCACTGCCTCGCTTGCTTTTCTATGGTGCCTACTGCCCCGAAGTCACGTACCTTGAGGCTGCAAGATATTTTAACTTCCACAACTACTCCTAGAGATGATATCACTATTGTGGAACTCAAAGAACTGGTCTTTAAGGTATTATTCGGATTTAGCATTTTGGCAGACCAAGAGATACCACCTGGTCCTGAGACCCCCTTCCAGGAACTGACTCAGCTGCATGAAGACAGTTCTGACACCCTGTGATTTCATCCCCAACCCGACCAATCATCGTTCCCCATTCCCCATTCCTTAGACCTCCTACCTGCCAAAGTACCCTTAAAAGCCCTAAGATGGATTTGAGAATTATCTTCCATCCTCCTCACTTGGCTGGTCCTGCCATTATTAAACTCTTTTTTTTTTTTTTTTGCTGCAACACCTATTGCTCTCAGTGCATTGGATTTTCTGGACAGTGGGCAAGGAGAACCTGGTTGGGCAATTACAGATGTAAACATTTTTTTGGCAGGGCTGTGCATGTTGGCTCATGCCTGTAATGTCAGCACTTTAGGAGGCAGAGGCGGGCAGATCGCTTGAGGTCAGGAGTTCTGAGACTAGTCTGGCCAAAATGGCAAAATCCCATCTCTACTAAAAATACAAAATTAGCCAGGTGTGGTGGCACACCTGTAATACCAGCTGCTAGGGAGGCTGAGGCAGGAGAATCACTTGAACCCGGGAGACAGAGGTTGCAGTAAGCCGAGTACCACTGCACTATAGCCTGGGTGACAGAGCAAGACTCTGTCTCAAAAAAAAAATATTCTTTTTTGTTAATAAGTGGATTTGTTTTAGCTGATAGTTGGCTATATGGAAAAAAGAAAATTCAGACTCTTGAGTGGCTATGTCTTTTTCTTCTCTCTCATTCCACCCGGAAGCACCATGGCTGGCACCTAGTGGTCATGAAATTAAATATTTGTTACATGAACAAATGAAAGGATGAACCAATGAAGAGTGTGCCTTAAGGTGAGAGGTTGCATTCTATAAAAACGCTTTAGTAGAAGATGACAGTGAAGCGGCAACTGACAACTCTTCTATTCACTTGCAAGAGTGCCCCCCATCTCCAGGAGCTCCTTTATTTCAGGTTTGAGCAGGAGCTCCTACCTTCCTCAAAGCCCATGACCTTCTTATGGTAATTGGACAGAACTGGCACCCGAGCTAACCGGGGCTAATACAAGAGTTTCTTGGTTGTCCTTCTCAGCCTGGGAGCCTCTGTCACTCAATGCCTCCAGCAAAGAGAATGAAACTGGCCAAAAAGAAAGATAGAGATAAAAGACAAAGGGAATTTTGTGGCATTTTGAGCTCTGCTTTTAGTAATTCCTGACACCAGTTTTTTTCCCATTTTGCCTACACCAGTTTGGGTTAGTTTCCTTGAAACAAAGAGAACTTGCTAATTGAGTAATGGTGGTGCTCATAATCATAGCTGTGTGATGAGTTTCACCGGGTGCTAGGCACTCTTCTCAGTACTTGATCATCATTGGCCCACCTAAATAAATCTTACAAAGAAAGTTTCCTCATTACCAAACATCTTCAGATAAAGAATCAGAACCCACTAAGCTAGTTAACATGTCCCAGTTCACACAGCTGGGAGTGTCAGAGACTAGAATCAAACCCAGGCTGTCAGCTCTGGAGCCATGCCTCGTCGGGTGCAGTGCTCCCCACTTCTCTGGGCTCTGGCACTTGATGATGGTGGTGACCTTGGTGACTCCCCACCATGATGTCAGGAGCAGGTTCTAGCCCATCAGTGAGGGGGAATCACTAACTTGGGGAAACGTGGGGATGTTTGTATTAATTGCCACTTGCTGTTCAATTTGGAGGCATTCTTTTTTCTTGATTGCTGCAGGGTGTTCAGCTAGGTTAGGACAGGCCTGGGGAGAAGGAAGTCCTTCCTTGTCTCGAATAAGCCAGAGAGAGGGGGACAAATGAGGAGTCCTGAGCCTGGCCAAATTTAGGGTGCTCATGGTCCCTATGTATACATGTGCTCACGCGTAGACTGACTCACCGCACTCAGTTTTGCTTCATTATTGTTGTTGCTGCTGTGGTAGTTAATTTCAAGTGTCAATTTGACGGGGCTAAGGGATGCCCAGGTAGCTGGAAGAGCATCATCTCTGGGTGTGTCTGCGAGGGCGCTTCTGGAGAGATTAGCATGGGAACCAGCAGACTGAGTAAAGAAGATCCACCCCCACCAACACGGGTGGGCATCATCCCATTCATGGAGGGCCCAGGTAGAATAATAAGGCTGAGGAAGGGCGAATTCTCTTTCTGTTTGAGTGCAGACATCTGTCTCCTCCCCTCGGATGGTAGGTCTTCTGGTTCTCAGGCCTTTGGATTCCAGGACTGATGCCAGCAGCCCCCAGGTTCTCCTACCTTTGGCTTTGACCTGAGAATTCCACTGTCAGCTCCCCTGTTTGCCAGACCTTTGGACATGGACTGATCACACCACCGGCTTTCCTGGTCTCCAGCTTGCAGATGGTAGATGGGGGAACTTCTCAGCCTCCATAGTTACATGAGCCGATTCCCATAATAAATCTGTCTATATTTCTATCTACCTATCTCCCATTGATTCTGTTTCTCTGGAAAAGTCTGACTAATACAGCTACCATACAAAAAGTTTGGTTAATGTCAAAATATGTTGTACGTATGCTATACCAAGCATGGTACAGTGATTTTTAGAGACATAAAAACACCTGATGTCCTCTTGAATACACCAAAGTTGACTCCTGCAGAAATCCTGCTGTGCTTGGGGACTTGGGAAGGTTTAGCCTGTAATAGTTTTCTGATTTTCAGATGGTGAATAAACCTAAATCCCTGGCAAATTGCACCTTAGATAGATAAAGAATTACGGAGTACAAGGGACTTTGTCATTCTGTTTGTACTATTGTTTAAGTGGAAACACAGAATTGTGATATTACTAATCAAAAAGCTACATTTATCCCTATTTGTCAGGCACCTGAAATGAACCACTCCTGGGCATTGGTGTCATATTCCCTGAAGCCATGGCACTGTCACTGTTGTGGTGGAGGTGGAGAACACGGGTCAGTGGGGATGCTAAGGAAGCCTGAGAGAGGGCGCCGGCATGATCTTGGTGCAGATGGAGACCAAGAGTCTCCAGAGACCAATTTGTTTCAGTGGGAGGGCCAGGGGCCCATGTGGGCCAGAGGCAGCGACACTGGCGAAAGCCTGCAGGTGAGAGTGAAAAGGAGAGTCATGAAGAGGGTAAGTGTGAGAGAAGGAACTCGAGAACCCGAGAGAGCCCACAGGGGCATTCCTGGGTGGGAGAGCAAAGGGTGTGCTTAGAGGAGAGGCTGGGGAGATGCTTAGGGTCAGAGCACGTTGGACATGCACAGGGTTGGGACTTAATATGAGTGATAAGAAAAATGCTCTGTCCATCCCTGAAGAGTCTGTAGATCTATTAGCAGGCAAACTTTCCTGGGGAAGGTTCTCACCCAGGACTAGGTGCCCACCTACACGCCCAATGAACCCAAGGGCCCCTCTACCATTTCCTTATCAGCGTAGAGGGTCACTTACATGCCTGTCTCCCTCACTGGACTGTACTTCCTTGGGTGCAACAATGCTCCTCTTTTCTCAGTAAACCTAAGGCCTGGTACAGCTCCTGACATATGAAAGGACGGCTTGAGCATCTGGTGAATGCTGCTGTTGCAGGAGTTTTTGTAGTAAGTGTTATTAAGGGTGTGTTGTTGGACTTTGGGAGGCTGAGGTGGGCGGATCACGAGGTCAGGAGACTGAGACCATCCTGGCTAACACGGTGAAACCCTGTCTCCACTAAAAATACAAAAAAATTAGCCAGGCGTGGTGGCGGGTGCCTGTAGTCCCAGTTACTTGGGAGGCTGAGGCAGGAGAATGGTGTGAATCCAAGGGGCGGAGCTAGCAGTGAGCAGAGATCGCGCCACTGCATTCCAGCCTGGGCGACAGAGAGAGACTCCATCTCAAAAAAAAAAAAAAAAAAAAAAAGGGGGTGTGTTGTTTGTACTGGGTGTGGTGGCTCACACCTGTAATCCCAGCATTTTCAGAGGCCAAGGTGGGTGGACCATTTGAGGTCAGGAGTTCAAGACCAGCCTGGCCAACACAGTGAAACCCTATCTCTACTAAAAAATACAAAAATTAGCTGGGTGTGGTGGCACACGACTGTAGTCCCAGTTACTTGGGAGGCTGAGGCAGGAAAATCACTTGAACCCAGAAGGTGGAGGTTGCAGTGAGCCCAGATGGCACCACTGCCCTCCAGCCTGGGCCACAGAGCAAGACCCTGTCTCCACTAAAAAAAAAAAAAAAAAAAAGGCCTGGTGTGGTGGCTTATTCCTGTAATCCTAGCACTTTGGGAAGCCGAGGTGCGTGGATCACCTGAGGTCAAGAGTTCGAGACCTGGCCAACATGGCAAAACCCCATCTCTACTAAAAATAACAAAAATTAGCTGGGCGTGTTGGCAGGCGCCTGTAATCCCAGCGACTCAGAAGGCTGAGGCAGGAGAATTGCTTGAACCCAGGAGGTGGAGGTTGCAGTGAGCAGAGATCACGCTGTTGCATTCCACCCTGGGCAGTAAGAGTGAAACTCTGTCTGAAAAAAAAAAAAAAAAAAAGAATGTCTTGCTTGCATTTAAAGATAATGCTACTGTCAGCTGGCTATGCACTTTCCAACAAATCAACATTGGTCAGGTGTGAGTGCACAGCAAGGAGGAGATGGGTGCATGGGCGAGGCTCAGGACCTCTGGGAGAAATCGATGGTCTTGGTCATGGTCAACCAGTGACAGACTCTTGGGAGGGAGGAGTGTGCAAATCAGAAAGAAGGAAAATGAGTATTCTAAGGAGGACAGAACTGGCAAAATAGGGAGTCAGGGAGGCTGTCAGGTGACAGATGAGAAGGGCCTAGGCCAGTGCAGTGCAGAGAGGGCTTATTCTAGACCCTGGAGGGGAGCCACGTGGGGCTGTTCTGCAAGCTTCATAGGCATGAAACTGCTTTATCCTCATCCCAGACCGGGAGGTGGGAACCATCAATACATCCCCATTTCACCTGCACCCAGAATTTAATTTATGAAGGGGACTGAGTGATCCATACGAGAGGCCAATGCCATTGAAAGGGGTTTCATGACTGACAGTTGCCAAGCTGTGCAGGGCCACCCGGGAAGTGCTAGGGTTCAGCAGGAGGGAAGAAGAAAACATGCCCAGAGCCCTTGAAGTTTTTGTGGGAAGGAATAGGTGAGGCAGGGGAGGCAAGTTGGAGCACATTTGGGATTGCATGCTTTGAATGATTTCTGGGTGCTTGGGGCTGTGGGGGAGGTCTCTAGGTGTCTGGGGCCTGGTCCTGGGGTGATTTAGGATAGAAGAAATACTGGCTTGGTGTGTGCAAATGTGATAAAGGAGGTGGTTGGAGACATGGACTTTGGATTAATTGGTTTGCATATGAAAGGCATGCACAGGGGCAAGTTGTTAGCTTTCTCTAGGAATTAGCCATGGGAGGGGCGGTCTCTCCCTGGCCAGCAAGGCCCCCAACGTGTCAAAGCATTATAAAATACAGAAAATAACAAAAAACACGATTAATACACTCCCCTTGACAGATGAGAGAATCCTGACACAGAGAGTGTAGTTAATTTGCACAAGGTCACCCAGCTAAGGGATGAAGCTGGGCATTCAATCAAGGAATTGTCTCTCTGCTTAATCACTGTGACAGCTGCCTCCAGATTAATGTTAATCTTTCTAAAAGTGATAAAGTGTAATAGTTCAGTTATTATGGCAAACAATTCTTTACAAACAAGTAAGGCTTATTTAATGGTATAAAAGAGAATAGGAGGCAGTTTTCCATAGTTCACATGAAGTCATAATCCGCTCTTGCAAAACTTGAATAAGTACAATTCTCTTTCGTGATCAAAGGAAAAATGCTGTCATCATGCACCAGAATGCCTTCCAGAATTTGAGAGGGCACGTTTGCCTCCAGATGTCATTTCTGATTAATGAGGAGCAGGTGGCATGACAGGCGAGGCTGACACTCATCTCTCATGGGTGGTTTCAATTTACGCTGCCCTGAAGCAGAGAGATGGTCTTTGATGACCTTGAAAAGTTCACTTGGGGCATAACATAATTTTTTCCAGTTTTATAGATCCACAGTTTCCTCCTTGTTTAAGCAAAGTGAGCCAGCAAGTTAATTGTTCAAAGTAACTTCTGCATTTTTCAAGTTTGATGGACTAGCATAGTGCTACAAATATAGCTATAACTTGCTTAACTCATTGTTTAAAATCTTTCCGTAAGTGGAAATACATATTTAAATGAAAACGGTGAATTTTCAAACAATAGTGTTTTTATGAAAAAAAATCAAATGTATCAGTTTTCATGAATAAAAAACCAAATATTTCAAATATTTATTTGCTCTTATGTGAGGAAAAGACAAAAATTCCTCAATAAACCATTTGCTTAATGCATGTTGTGGTGTATTAATAATTAAGTACAATTAAGCATACGTTTCCCATACAGCTTTCCTGTGCAAGGCACTGTGCTGGCCACTACCTTAAAACTCCTTCTTTTAGAAACTTGCTTATAGGTGTCCATTACCACATTTAATTCATATAGCAGTCCGCTGAGGGAGGCAGGACAGACATTGCAGCAGGTATTGCTTTTGTCTGACCGGCCACATTTCTTATTCTTAATAGAAAAACTATGAAAATTGGCTTTCCCCCAGTGAAATCTCAGTGTTCCTCTTACAGAAGTGTAGGTCCAGGGGCCAGCAGTGGTTGGCTTTAGTTTGACTGTTCAAACGACACAATTTGGCCATTTGGTGATGCCATTTCCTCTCCGGCTCTCCCCATCTTTCTTCCCAACCTTCTTTTGTGTGTTTGCTCTTGCCTCCATGCTAATTGCTGCCAACTTGCAACCTTTTGTTTAAATTTTACACAGAAAACTCTGGTAGAGTGATTCAGTTTGCCCCCTTCCCCCTGGGGAACAACTCTTTGTTTTTAGACTTGCAAAACAAGTACATTGTTGTCCATGGACCTCAGTTGTCAGTTACACAAAGCCATCCTTCCTGGGAGAAGAGGAAAGGGATGCAAAAGAATCTTTTCATTCTTTAGTTGAAAAACTGACTGCAGTGAGTGGGCAGATGAAGAGAATCTGAGGATTCTTTCTTTTTTCTTTTTTTTTTTTTTTTGAGATGGAGTCTCGCTCTGTCGCCCAGGCTGGAGTGCAATGGCACGATCTCAGCTCACTGTAACCTCCACCGGATTCAAGCAATTCTCCCGCCTCAGCCTCCTGAGTAGCTGGGATTACAGGCACCCACCACTGCGCCTGGCTAATTTTTGTATTTTTAGTAGAGATGGGGTTTTGCCATGTTGGCCAGGATGGTCTCAATCTCCTGACCTCAAGCGATCCACTCGCCTCGGCCTCCCAAAGTGCTGGGATTACAGGCATGAGCCACTGCACCCGGCCTTAGAGGATTATTTCTACATTCCCTTGTTAATCCACAGCTTTGCAGGGTTTTTCTGGATGTACTCTCTCTCCTCATAACCAAGTCCGTATTGGATTCTAAGTCTTGTGCTCCTATGGGGACACTGAGTTACAAGGTTATGGTCAAAGCTTTTGGCAGGAACAGTAACTTCTGAGTAGGACAGAACTTGGCCGGACGCGGTGGCTCACACCTGTAATCCCAGCACTTTGGGAGGCCAAGGTGGGCAGACCACGAGGTCAGGAGATCGAGACCATCCTGGCTAACAGGGTGAAACCTTGTCTCTACTAAAAATACAAAAAAAAAAAAAAAATAGCCAGGTGTGGTGGAGGGCGCCTGTAGTCCCAGCTACTCGGGAGGCTGAGGCAGGAGAATGGCGTGAACCCGGGAGGTGGAGGTTGCAGTGAGTGGAGATCACGCCACTGCACTCCAGTCTGGGCAACAGAGTGAGACTCCGTCTCAAAAAAAAAAAAAAAAAAAAAGAAAGAAGAAGGCATAGACTTCTGGCATGGCTGCATTAAAGAGCCCCTCTGGAGTTAAGAGCTGAGGAAGAGTGCAGTAGTTTTCTGACATTCAATTTGGTGAGTCTACCATCCAGTTATTCAATCCCACAGTAATCTAGGGGCTGCTGTGAAGATACTGTGTAGATATGATTAAAGTCCAAGAGCAGTTGACGTTAAGTAAGGGAGATGATCCTAGATAATCTGGGTGGGCCCGATTCAAACAGGTGAAAGGCCCTAAAAAGCAGCCCTTGAAGAAGAAAGTCTACTTGTGGTCGGCAGATCAGCCTGTGACAAAAATGCCGGCCTAGCCTGGAAATTTCAGACTTGCCCAGCCTGGCCCACAATAGACTAAGCCAATTCCTTCCAACAAAGCTCCTCATACATATCTCCCACTGGTCTGGTTGAACCCTGACTCACGCAGATCATTTTACTTAATAATTTGAGAGACATTGAGAGCTTCCATCTGCTGCAGGCAGTTTACAGTTTGGGAAAATTTCCTAGTGGATCTGTAATTATACAAAGAATTGAATCTGATCCTCTATGACCTAATCAACATGCTTTTTTTGTTTTTTGCATGAGTCATTAGTTTTAGGATTACAAATAATTTTGAAAACACTTAAAAGTACAGAAGTATGAATACATACAAGTAAACATGAACATACATATAAATCACAATATATTTTTCTTCCCTACAAATTGAGTTTTATTTGGTATTAATTAAAATAGAATATGTAATATAACCTCATGGCAGCCCATGGCAGTCTTTTATTCCACCGTGAGCATTAGTGTTTTCTTTTTTTTTTTTGAGATGGAATCTTGCTCTGTTGCCCAGGCTGGAGTGCAGTGACGCGATCTCAGCTCACTCCATCTCAAAAAAAAAAAGAATTGTTAGTAAGCTAACACACTCCAGATATATCTGGACTGCCTTGGGGGTCATTAACACTTGTTGATGCATTTAAATTAAATTCAAATCTAACTTCAAACACCTGGAAGAATAATGTAAAATATTAGCATAGGTTTTCTTTCTTTTTTTTTTTTAATTAATTTATTTTTTTATTATTATACTTTAAGTTTTAGGGTACATGTGCACATTGTGCAGGTTAGTTACACACGTATACATGTGCCATGCTGGTGTGCTGCACCCACTAACTCGTCATCTAGCATTAGGTATATCTCCCAATGCTATCCCTCCCCCCACCCCCACCCCACAACAGTCCCCAGAGTGTGATGTTGCCCTTCCTGTGTCCATGTGATCTCATTGTTCAATTCCCACCTATGAGTGAGAATATGCGGTGTTTGGTTTTTTGTTCTTGTGATAGTTTACTGAGAATGATGATTTCCAATTTCATCCATGTCCCTACAAAGGACATGAATTCATCATTTTTTATGGCTGCATAGTATTCCATGGTGTATATGTGCCACATTTTCTTAATCCAGTCTATCATTGTTGGACATTTGGGTTGGTTCCAAGTCTTTGCTATTGTGAATAATGCCGCAATAAACATACGTGTGCATGTGTCTTTATAGCAGCATGATTTATAGTCCTTTGGGTATATACCCAGTAATTGGATGGCTGGGTCAAATGGTATTTCTAGTTCTAGATCCCTGAGGAATCGCCACACTGACTTCCCCAGTGGTTGAACTAGTTTACAGTCCCACCAACAGTGTAAAAGTGTTCCTATTTCTCCACATCCTCTCCAGCACCTGTTGTTTCCTGACTTTTTAATGATTGCCATTCTAACTGGTGTGAGATGGTATCTCATTGTGGTTTTGATTTGCATTTCTCTGATGGCCAGTGATGGTGAGCATTTTTTCATGTGTTTTTTGGCTGCATAAATGTCTTCTTTTGAGAAGTGTCTGTTCATGTCCTTCACCCACTTTTTGATGGGGTTGTTTGTTTTTTTCTTGTAAATTTGTTTGAGTTCATTGTAGATTCTGGATATTAGCCCTTTGTCAAATGAGTAGGTTGCAAAAATTTTCTCCCATTTTGTAGGTTGCCTGTTCACTCTGATGGTAGTTTCTTTTGCTGTGCAGAAGCTCTTTAGTTTAATGGGCAAGGACTTCATGTCTAAAACACCAAAAGCAATGGCAACAAAAGACAAAATTAGCATAGGTTTTCTAGTGTAGTTTTCTTGTCAGTGCATCTGACAGGAAGCCTTCCACAAAGTTCTCTTTGCCCGTCACTCATGGACCCTGGCGAACAGGCAGAAAAGAAAATAATTGGAAGGATATTGGTTAGCTCATTGTGTTGTCAGGAAGGCTGGGAAAATAGGCAGAAGACAAGAAAGGCTGGGCCGAGGGTAGCACCAATGCCTGCATCATTTCCTCAGGCCCCCGATGATGCCCAGGAGTGTGAGTGGAGCTACTGTTACCACTGCCATGAGTTCTTCCTCAACCAGCCCCACACTTATGAAGCATTCCCTGAAGGTTCAATGCCTAAAGCATGGATTTATTTGCATAGCCTGTGCTTAGGTAATGGGCTGTGCCCTAGCTGCCAGAAACAAGGACGGAGCATTCCCCACAGTGGGTGTGTCCCCTCAGATAGGCATGTTGCTCTGATGCTGAGTGGTTAAAAAGAATGCAAATGTGCCCAGACTGCCCAGGCCATATGCCCTGTGGGGATTTAGAATCCTCAACTCATCAACCCACCTCCCTTCAAAGGTGGAGCCACTCCCCTTAAGTTTGGGCTGCATTTGGTGACTTGCTTCTAATGATCAGGATATCATGGAAGTGAAAGTGCATTGCTTCTGAGATTAAAATGTAAAAGGCATCAAGGTTTCCTTCTTGTTCTCTCTCTGACTTGCTTGCTCTGGGGGAAGCCAGCTGCCATGTTGTGAGGATACCAAGAGGGCCTTATGCAGAGGTCTGCAGGGTGGGTACTGAGGCATCCAGCCAGCAGCATGGGAAGGCACCATCTCGGAAGAGGAGCCTCCAGCTCTAGTCAAGCCTTCAGATGATGGCAGCTTCAGCCAACATCCTGACTTTAACCTAAGAAAAAACACTGAATCACAACCATCTATATAAGCTGCTCCCAGATTCCTGAGTTTCAGAAATTGTAAGATACTGTTTGTTGTTTCAAACCTCTAAGTTTGGGGATAATTTGTTAACAGCAATAGATAACTAATACATACCCTCTTCTTTTAACATTTACAGTTAAAAAAAGAAAAATAAAAAAATGCTTTCTTTTTATATACTGCAATAATCGGTCATACAACCAAAAATGACACTCATACCTTTTGTAAAGGTAGACAAACCAGTCTCTCGTGTTTGTCTGGCCCCGTATCTCAGGGTGCTATACTTTCTTCCTTAACTTCTTTTAAACTCATTTTATGATCTGCAACTTGTGGATTAAGCTGTAAAGTTCATTACCACCAACCAATATCCCACATATTAATTTGAAATATGGGTGGATGCAGTAGGCCCTGTTTCTGCAACAGGTTACAAAACTATTTAAGAGTTTCCTTCTTCACCACTCATTCTGGGTTCCTGTATTAGTCTGTTTTCACACTGCTGATAAAGACATACCTGAGACTGGGAAGAAAAAGAGGTTTAATGGACTTACAGCTCCACATGGCTGGGGAGGCCTCACAATCATGGTGGTACGCAAGGAGGAGCAAGCTGCATCTTACACAATAGCAACAGGCAGAGAGAGCTTGTGCAGGGAAACTCCCCTTTTGAAAACCATCAGATCTCATGAGACTTATTCACTACCACGAGAATTGCACAGGAAAGACCAGCCCCCATGATTCAACTACCTGCCACTGGGTCCCTCTCATAACACATGGAAATTGTGGGAGATACAATTCAAGATGAGATTTGGGTGTGGATATAGGCAAACCACACCAGTTCTCCTTGTTTTTAGGCAGCACCTCAACAATTGGGGTCCTTTACTCCATTGGGTTACTCAAACCTTCATTTTTGAGAGATCTGAGCCTGCATGTATAGGGTACAGTGGTCCTTCATTAGTCTTTACTGCCTTGCAACACAAGAGGAGATGGTGACTTTAGGTATCATTAGGTCCTGTTTTAGGGTTTTCCAGAGGGACAGAACTGGTAAGAGATATAGAGAGAGATATGTGAGAAGGAATTTATTAGAAGGAATGGGCTCGCTTGATTATGGAGGCTGAAAAGTCCCACGCCAGGCTGGCTGCAGGCTGGAGACCCAGGGAAGCTGGTAGGGTGGCTCAGTCTGAGTCTGAAGGCATCAGAATTAGGGAGGCCACAGGCCTGAGAGTGCTAGGGGGGCTGCTGGTGTGAGTCCTGGAGTCTAACGGCTGGAAAACCTGGAGTTCTGATATCCAAGGGCAGGAGAAGAATGGCATCCTTACTGTAGAAGAGAGAGCAAGCATTCGCCCTTCCTCTGCCTTTGTGTTCCATCTGGGTCTTCAGCCAATTGGAAGGTTCCCACCCACATTGAGGCCCACACCATCTTCCTCCAGAAACACCCTCACAGACACAGCTGGGACAGCCCAATCATCCTCATCAAGTGCCAAACCACCTGGATTTCCCTTTCAGCAGAAGAGGGATGGGTGCAGTGCCTACTGACTCCTTGAGAATAAATAATGTTTTCCCAGCTGTCTGGGTACCCTTCATCTAGTAAAGTTGCCACTCCAAACCAACCATCAATCTCCCTGATTTCCCATTCTCTACACAGCAGGAATGTTATTTTCCTTTGAAAACTGGAGGGAGAGAAAGGAAAGAGATCTAATTTCTCCATTTCTTGCAGTGGATGGCCTATAGCTTCTACTTCTATTTTAAACTTGATATATTGAGAAACAAACATTTAGACACGTTACTTAATGTTGTAAAGAGAACAGCTTAAATAATTGAAAGCAGAATATAAACTTCCCAAATAAAAAATGCTTAGGGGAAGAAAAACGAGGAGTGTATTGGAAAAGACGGAACTTGAAGTGGAAAGCAACAACAAAAAGACAAAATGCCCAGCTCGCCTCTAGCAGAGCTGCTGGTTCCCCTTCCACTGCTTGCAGTCTGAAGGCCCTGAAGCTGCCCCATATTACAATTCAGTATCATCAATGCTCATTTGCTCAGCTGTGGGCTTCAGGGACCCTTTGTCATCCTTGATTCCTCTCCTTGCCTTATTCAATCTATCAGTACAATTTATCAAAATATGCACCAAATCTGTCTGCTTCTCACCATCCTCATGTCTACAACTCTAGTTTAAATCACTATTATTTCTCACCTGAAATGATTCAAATGCGATCTGGCTGGACTTCCTCTTTTTACTCTTGCCCTACTCAAAGAGAAGCCAAAGTGATCTGTCTTAAATGTAAATCAGACCCAGTGCTTTCCAGGATAATTGTAATAAAGAGATGTTATTTCCCGTGCCAAATGCCTCTGTAATCTGGCTGCTGCCTGCCTCCATCACACACCTCCCTCCACTCTCTTCTCTCCTCACTAGGCTCTAGTCATAACCTTATGTTCCTTGAGCACTCTGTTCTTTCCCATCTCAGGGCCTTTGCACGTGATATTTCTTCTCCTTTGGAAAGTTCTTCTTTGCAGAGATTAGCCAGTTGCCTCTATCTCAGCACTAACATCTCATCATCCAGGTCTCATTACTATGTAAACTCTCCAAGGGCATAAATGTTCACTGCCGTATGCCCAGTACCCAGTAAATGTTTGCCATATATAGGCAATCAAAAAGTACTTGTTGAATTTATTGAATAAGCTAAAGTAATATCTCCTTGGAGAAACCTCTCTGAGCATCCTAGCTAAAGAACTCCCCCATCCCAGACACTTTCTATCATAACCTATTTCAGCCTCTGCATGGAAGTTACAATCACTGGAATCATTTACTTATTATTTATTTATATCTATTATCAACCTCCCCCAAAACTAAAAGAGGTTCAGATAATTTATACCAAAAATATGTTGTAAGTGTCAGTGGGATAAACTCACTTACTACAAGAAAATAAATATTAAAATAAGTAAAATGCCAAATCCAAACTGCAGATTATTATACAAGATACAAAGCTAAATAAATTATCTTAGAATGGTCAAGCAAATGATAGGAAAAAAATTGAGATAATATTAATATCAGACAAGGTTGAATTTAAGGCAGGAGCTGTTAATTGAGACAAAGAGGGACACAGAAATAATAGTAGTAGGAAAATTTAATTGATCGCTGTCAACCATGACAGAGCAAATAGGCTAAAATTAAGAGCATGGAGGATCTGAATAAAGTTGAGGTAAGAGTTATACATTGAACTTCATTATAAAAGAGAATGCACAATCTCTTAATTAGACCCATGGTACAATAATATATCATCAAGGACACAAAGAAAATCATGATAAATTAACAACAATTGGAAAAATATAACCTATAATGTCGGACCACATATTTTCAACATAAATAGAATCAAAATGAGTATTAACCACTTGGAAATGACAAAATTCTTTTTAAACCACATATGGCTCAGAGAAAAAGATCAAAACCCAGATTAACGTATATCTAAATAAAAATGATAAGAACACTGCATATTAAAGCAGAATAATTGGTTAAAGGGGTACTCAGAGGAGCTTTCATGACCTTTGTCACATATTTATTTAAAAATAAAGAAATAAATGGATAAAGCATTCAGCTCAAAAAGTTAGGGAAAGAAAAACAAAAGAAGTCAAAGGAAACAGAAGGAATAAATTGCAGAAATAAATTACAAAACAGAAAAAGGAATCGACAAATCCAGTAACTAGTTCTCTGAAAAACAATACAGATAAACTTGTAGTTGGTAATCAAGAAAACAGGAGAGAAAACATAAGTTTTCTTATATAATTAGAAATAAACCAAGGGTGGCTGGGCACGGTGGCTCATGCCTGTCATCCCAGCACTTTGGGAGGCCGACGCAGGTGGATCACCTGAGGTCAGGAGTTGGAGACCAGCCTGGCCAACATGGTGAAACCCCATCTCTACTAAAAATACAATATTGAAAAATCCAACTTGTGTGACTTCAGACCTAACTAAGAATTGAGTAAAAAGTGTTTATTATTATATGGTGGTTAAATCTGGAAGTGGCTCCATGAGCAGCCAACCAGCGTGATGAGGGACATCTACCAGCTGAGCAAGAGGCCCGGAGTGAGCCCTCTGGCTGTGCCACCCATCAGCTGGCTGTGACTCAGCTCCCGTCACGCTGGCTGTGTCATGCTGAGTGGCAGAGCCCTTAACCAGAGCTTGAACAACCAACTTAACGCAGGGGGCAGAAAGGTCCCCAGGACGGGGAAAGAAACAGGGATATCCCAAAGCACCCATTAGAGAAGAGCATGAGGCTGTGTGCTGAGAAATGCCACAGCATTCGAATCTCCAGGCGGCAGCGATAGTGGCTCATTTTGCTGGATGTGGTGTGCACAGACTGGGACCAGAGCTCTGGCTCTGCCAGTCACTCTGTGCACCCTGGAAACTTTGTGAACATTCCTGACTGAGCAGAGCAGGGGGCACCCCTGTCAACTGTGAGGTAGCAGTGGAGCTGGGTCTGCATGTGGATCATGTTGGTTTCACCTCGTGAACTGTCATGTGGTAAGAATGGAAGCACCTCCAAAGCCCAAATAAGGCTCCAACTAGATAGCAATTGGCAGTTTCTGTGCTCTGAGACTCTTCCTGAAAGGACCGAGGCCAGAACCTGAGAAGGCAGCCCTGTGGTGCGCTCCGGGCAGGCCGGCCTGGACTGAAACTCCCCACCCACTCTGAACCTAAGGCTCGTTCAGTGAGCACAGGCTACCAGACTTGGTACCTGGCAAAAATAGGCATCTCCACCACTTCATACACCATTTGGTCTTGTCTTTCCTCCTTACCAACAGACTATATGTGTGTTTTTTTCTCCTTGGCTTTCATTATCCTAGGGTAAGAGGCCTGACTGGCTGTCAGGCTCAGTTCTCGTCTGGTGCATGGCAGCAGCTCCACACCCAGGCTTTGTCCAGAGCAAAGGCAGCTGATTTTTTTAAGTTTTTTTGTTTGTTTTTGTTTTGTTTGGTTTCTGAGACAGAGTCTCGCTCTGTCACCCAGGCTGGAGTGCAATGGAGTGACTTCGGCTCACTGCAACCTCGCCTCCAGGTTCAAGCAAGTCTCCTGCCTCAGCCTCCCACGTAGCTGGGATTACAGGTCTGCCCACCACGTCTGACTAATTTTTTTTTTTTTTTTTTTTTTTTTTTTTTGAGAAGGAGTTTCACTCTTGTTGCCCAGGCTGGAGTGCAATGGTGTGATCTCAGCTCACTGCAACTTCCACCTCCCGGGTTCAAGTGATTCTCCTGCCTCAGCCTCCCACATAGCTGGGATTACAGGCATGTGCCACAACATCTGGCTAATTTTCTATTTTTAGTAGAGATGGGGTTTCTCCATGTTGGTCAGGCTGGTCTCAAACTCCCAACCTCAGGTGATCCACCTGCCTTGGCCTCCCAAAGAGCTGGGATTACAGGCGCGAGCCACTGCGCCCGGCCTAAAAGTTTTTGTTTTAAATAACTTTTTTTCACAAAAATAATATAAAGACCATGAAAGATTTTGCTACTCCATGATTTTACCACCTTAAAGTAGCTATTTTGGTGACTTGGAGTTAATTCCCAGGTTCTTTGCACATGCACGTATATACTACATAATCATAACCACAGATAGAATGCATTGTACTTCCCAGTTAACATATAAATACTCTTTGTTTCTATCTGGTCCGGCTTTATGAAGTCACAGAGGATCCCATGCCCAGAAGGGATTAAACAATGCCTGGTTTAATGCTCCACTGCCAATATCTCAAAATTCTTAATAATTTTCAGCAAAGTACCCAGTATTTTTATTTGGCAGTGGGACCTGAAAATTATGTAGCTGGTCCTAGTTTCTATTTTTATTTTATTTTTATAGACCATCAGATCTAGTGAGAAATCCCTATCACGAGAGCAGCAGCATGGGGGTAACTGCCCTCATGATTCAATTACCTCCCACTGGGTCCCTCCCATGACATGCAGGGATTATGGGAACGACAATTCAAGATAAGATTTGGGTGGAGACACAGACAAACCATATTATTCACATGCATTGAGAATCTGTTGCTTAGTGTAGTCACCTTCATCCGTTATGTTAGCTAGATCTTTTGGAGAACTTGTTGAAGTTTCTCCATTAGCACGTGCTGCTTCACCTTGCACTTTCATGTTATGGAGATGGCTTCTTTCTTCAAACCTCAGGAACCAACCTCTGGTAGCTTCAAACTGTTCTGCAACTTCTTCACCTTTCTCAGCCTTCACAGAATTCAGGAGAATTAGGGCCTTTTTCTATATTGGGCTTTGGCTTAAGGGAATGTTGTAGCTGGTTTGATCTTCTATTCAGACCACTAAAACTTTCTTCATATCAATTAAAAGACTGTTTCACTTTCTTATGATTCATGTGTTCACTGGAGTAACACTTAATTTCCTTCAAGAACTTTTCCTTTGCATTCATTATTTGGCTATCTGTTTGGAGTTAAAAGGCCTAGCTTTTGACCCATCTAGTATTTGACATGCTATACACATTAAGCTTAATCATTTCTAGCTTTTTAAAAAAATGATTTTAACTCTATAGATTCAGGAGGTACATGTGCAGGTTTGTTACACAGGTATATTGCATGATGCTGACGCTTGGGGTACAAATGATCCCATCATCCAGGTAGTGAGCATAGTACCCAATAGGTAGTTTTTCAGCCCTTGGCCCCCTCCCCTACTCTTTCATCTAGCAGTTTCCAGTGTCTTTTTCCCCCTATCTTTACGTCCATGTGTACCAATGCTTCGCCCCCACTTATAAGTGAGAACATGTAGTATTTGGATTTTTGTTCCTGCGTTAATTCACTTGGGATAATGGCCTCTAGTTGCTTCCATTTCATTCTTCTTTATGGCTCTGTATTGTTCCTTGGTATGTGTACCACTTTTTTTTATCCAATCACCTATTGATGGGCATCTAAGTTGATTCTATGTCTTTGATATTGTGAATACTGCTGTGATGACCATACAAAGTGTATGAGTCTTTTTGGTGGGACAATTTATTTTCTATTGCATATACACCCAGTAATAGGACTGCTGAATTGAATGGTAATTCTGTTTTTGGTTCTTTGAGAAATCTCCAACTGCTTTCCACAATTGCTGAACTAATTTACATTCCCACCAACAGTATATAAGTGTTCCCTTTTCACTGCAGCCTCCCCAACATCTATTATTTTTTGGCTTTTTAATAATAGCCATTCTGATTGTGCGAGATGCTATCTCATTGTGGTTTTGATTTGCATTTCTCTGATGATTACTGATGATGAACATTTTTCATTCATTTTTAGCTTTTGATTTAAAGCGAGAGATATGTGATTATTTCTTTCACTTGAACACTTAGAGGCCACTGTAGTGTTATTCACAGGCATAATTTCAATATTGTTGTGCCTCAGGGAATAGGGAAGCCTGAGTGGGAGCGAGAGAGAGAGGCAGAGAGAGAGGAGGGGAGAGACAGAGAGAGAGAAACAGTGAACAGCTGGTCAGTGGAGCAGTCAGAACACACAACATTTGTCAATTAAATTCACCGTCTTATATGGATGCCACTTGTGGAGCCCCAAGACAATTACGATAGCAACATCAAAGATCACTGATCACAGATTACCATAACAGATATAATAATCAGAGCTTGAAATATTGTGAGAATTACCAAAATGTGACACAGAAACACAAACTAAGCACGTGCTGTTGGAAAAATGGCTCCAATAGTCTTACTCAAGGCAGGATTGTCATGAACCTTCAATTTGTAAGAAACATAGAATCTGCATTGTGCAATAAAGTGATATGCAATAAAACGAGGTATGCTTCTATTCCCATTTCACAGATGAAAAAACTGAAGGTCAAAAATCATGTGACTTTCCCAGACAGTTCCTGGTTTGTAGATATTTAATCTCTATAATCCCTGACAAGAGCAATCATTACTATTGAGCATGCTGGCATGATGTGCCAGTGAGTTAGTAAAACCGGTGATATTGGTCAGGGTTCTCTAGAGGGACAGAATTAATAGGATAGATGTATATATAAAAGGGAACTTATTAAGGAGTATTGACTCACACGATCACAAAGTGAGGTCCCACAATAGGCCATCTGCAAGCTGAGGAGCAAGGAAGCCAGTCCGAGTCCCAAAACCTCAAAAGTAGGGAAGCCAACAGTGCGTAGACTCCTGGTCTTTGGTCTGTGGCCAAAGGTCCAAGAGTCCCAAAGCTGAAGAACTTGGGGTTCAATATTCATGGGTAGGAAGCATTCAGCACTGGAGAAAGATGTAGGCTAGAAGACTAAGCCAGTCTAATCTTTCCACATTCCTCTGCCTGCTTTTATCCTAGCTACTCTGGCAGCTAATTAGACTGTGCCCACCCAGATTGACGGTGGATCTGCCTCTGCCACTGACTAAAATGTTAATCTCCTTTGGCAACACCCTCACAGACACACCCAGGAACAATACTTTGCAGCCTTCAATCCAATCAAGTTGACACTCAATATTAACCATCACAGATACAGAAGCTAAGACTCCAAAACTATGACTAGATGCCGAGACTTAGCTTGTATCATTCAGGTTGAGCTGCTAACCTTTCTGAGTTGATAAAATCTGACCCTCATACAGATTGAGGAAGAGGCCAAGAAAACCATGTGGTCTCCAGGCCACATGTGAGCAGAGCTTTGGCCACGTGATATGGCTGGAACGAAAGACTGGCACGGTAGGAGCAGCAGCTGGGAGGATCCAGGGGAAGGAGTCAGCATATTGCAGCAGCTCTTTGAAACCTCTGGACAAGTGGCAGAGACTCATCCTCTAGCTGCACTTTTGTGGTTCTGGACAGCCGTGGCACCAGGTCATATTTTCTCATGTTCTAGGCTCAGCTTAGGGTAAGGTGGAGACATTGACTTAGGGTTCTCCAGAGAAACAGAACTAAAGATATTTATAGATATGTAAGAAGGGATTTATTATGGAAATTGGCTCATGTGCTTGTGGAAGCCAGTAAGTCTCCTGATCTGCCATCTGCAAGCTGGAGAACAAGGAAAGCTGTTGGTGTGATTCAGTCTGAGTCTGACTGCCTGAGAACCAGGCGAGCTGATGGTGTAAATCCTAGTAGAAGGCCAAAGGCCTGAGAATGAGGTGGGGTGCTGGTGTAAGTCCTGGAGTCTGAAGATCTGAGAACCAGGACCTCTGATGTCCAAGGTAGGAGAAGATGGGATGTACCAGCTCAAGGAGAGAGAGGGAGAGAATTTGTTCTTCCTCTGACTTTTGGTTCTCTATCTGGGCCCTCATGTGGGATGATGTCCGTCTACATGGGTGACAGCAGAGCTTCTTTACCCAGTCTAGTAATTCAAACGCTAGTCTCTTTGGCAGACACCCTCACAGACACACCCAGAGAGGATGCTTTACCAGCTATCTGGGTATTCCTTAGCCCAGTCAAGTTGACACCTAAAATTAACCATCACAGACAGATTGACCTCTGACTTGGGTATGTTAACGGTCAATCTTTGCCCAGAATGTGGAAGATCTGTGGTTCATGAATTATCCAGAAATCTTTGCTTTCTTAAATTTTTAGGACAAAGTCTAAATCTTTTGACAACAACATTCCAATAGCATAAATGGCACCATAAGTGTAAATGAACTCATATGGTTTATTTCATGTGCCATTGTATCTGGACAGTGGCATAGTGAAGGGCTTGCAATGCACATGAAATCACCTTCCAAATGTGTAGAAAGTCACATATAAACACATGCAATTTGTTGTAACAGTAACAAGGTGTATCACAGGCAGTGCTCACAAGGGTATTTAAGCTTTGACTTCTACATTGCAACACTATTTTTTGTCTTTTTTTTTTTTAATTTTAGAGATGAGGTCTACTCTGTCGCCCAGGCTGGTGTGCAGTGGTGCAATCATAGCTCACTGTAACCTTAAACTCCTGGGCTCAAGTGATCCTCCCACCTCAGTCTCCCGAGTAGCTAGGACTGCAGGCATGCACGACCAATGCCTGCTTAATTTTTTAATTTTTGTAGAGATGAAGTCTTGCTATGTTTGTTTTTGTTTTTTTGGGACAGGGTCTCACTCTGTTGTTTAGGTTGGAGTGCAGTGGCACAATCTCAGCTCACTGCAACCTCTGCCTCCCAGGTGCAAGCAATTCTCCTGCCTTAGCCTCCAAGTATCTGAGATTACAGGTGCACACCACTGCACCCAGCTAATTTTTGTATTTTTAGTAGAGATGGGGTTTCATCATGTTGGCCAGGCTGGTCTTGAACTCCTGGCCTCAAGTGATCCACCCACCTCGGCCTCCCAAAGTGTTGGGATTACAGGCGTGAGCCATTGCGCCCAACCTGAGGTCTTGCTATGTTGCTCAGGCTGGTCTCAAACTCCCGGCCTCAAGCAATCCTCCTTCCTCAGCCTCCTGAGTTGCTAGGACTACAGGCATGTACCACCACACCTGGCTAAGCAACACTATTTCTGAATAATCAATATTTCACTGGATACTTTTATGTAGTGTGAGTAGGTAGGCAAAATCGTCTAACCTCTCTGAAAACTATACATATATATTATATATATAGTTTATATATATGTAGTTATTTATAACTTTTCCCTTTGGGGGTGTAATGGTTTACAGCTGTGAGTAGAAGAGCCTGCTGGGGGAGCAACATACTGGGTATTCACCGTTTAGTCTACGGTGTCTAGCTGATGCCAGGAACAAGCAAGGGCTCAATATTTGTGTGCTGAATTAAACTGATTACAACTGAACCATGTAAGAATGGTGGTAGCCTCAGAGAGGCAGCCTCACTCCACAGGCGCATGCCACCGAGGGCCTGTTGGTCCACACGGTGCTACAGTGAGAGCTCAATGAAAAGGCCCTGCAAGACACCATTTCTCCCCAATAGAAATGTGCTTTGTTTGTGATTATTCAGTCCTTTTGTTAGAACAGGTCTCCCACCTATCTCCCAGGAAATAATATGTACACAAATCTGTGAGTCTAGGATGTGAAGGAGACACCATTAGATGTGGCATCTTCTGGGTCAGACCAGTGCAGGGCCAGGTACAAGAAGCAGGGGCTCTCCTTCCCCAGTTGCTGCTGACATTTGGGGCTTGCTTTGGTCTTCTCCCAGGAGAGATCATTTGAGCCTTTTCAGGTCTGGAGTTGTTTGAACTGACTTAAGAGGAATTTTCCGCAGGAACGAAGCAATAAGAAGCTTCCGAGATCCAGTATTTCCAGATAAGCCAAAATTCTAGATTTATATGGATAAAGCAGGCAGTTCTACTAGGAGACTATCATGAGGAATATGATGTACCCAGGCCAGTGGCAGGATAGCTGTGCGCCGAAATGAAATAAATGCTGGTGGTATTTCACATACCCCATCAGAGGAAGCAAGAAAATAGAGTTACAATATTTTGTATTATTAAATTGAGACTAGCAATTTCAACTTAGAACAGGATCAATTGTATAGCATTTCACAGTTTACCACACATTTTGAGTGAATGCTTTTTTTTTTAACCATTGGAACCTCATAAACAACTCCAAATAACATACAAAAAGCAGATTGTGAGCTACAACATTACCAGGTCACAGGTCTTCATTTCCCATGAGGTACTCGAGACCCATGAGTGACTTGTCTAAGGTCACACAACTGGTGTTTAATAGAGCCAGTCTTCTGTTAGCCATACCTACTGCTAAAAATTAGCCTTTGCAAGTGAAGAGAACAAAAACGTGTGGTTGGTTGTCACCCCCACAATGAACGACAATGCTGCACTTGCAGCATTATTGACACCTAAGGTTGATGACAGTCCTGTCTCTTTAAGAAGAAAAAAAAAGGCTGCTGGGTAGGGGGAGCGACTGACTGCGGCAGGAGCCGCCTGGACCCAGTGCGGCTGCGGGACAGTCACGCTGGGAACTGCTGATGGCACTGGAGGAAAACAAAGGCCGAGAGACCCTGATGCCCACAGCCCCCAGTAAGTCCAAGGTTCCAGCTGGGTGGCCAGCGAGGGCAGCTGCAGGAGCGGCCTGGGGACGGGCAGGCTCCATGGTGTTGTTGGCCATCCGTCCCCTGAGCCTTGGGAAACCAGGGCTCGGCCACTGCAGCTGCTTGGGGGAGGTAAGGGGCCACTTTCCTTTAACATACCCGCCTTCGGAGAGGACAGAGACGAGAGGGCCTTCAGCGTGCTGTACAGCTGTGAGTAATGAGCTCTTCTGAAAATGTACAGTTTGGGTTGGCTGCTTGTGAATTTGTGGGTGAGGAGCGGCTGCAGGGTGACTAGAGAGATCTGCCGCGGTCAAGATGCTGGACTAGCCGCTTTGTCATTTTAATTTCCACCCGGGTTGCCAGGCACCGCCACAATGGAGCTGTTGCAGTAACACAGCGTGGGGTCCAGAGTCTTATTGAACAATAAGATGGGATTCTCAAAGTAGCTTACGGTTAATTTGCAGAATTGCTCTCACTTTAAACAGCATGCCTTCAAACAATGCCATATGTTATGGTTATCTTATATAATATTTGAAAATCCTGCTTTTAGTTAAAAAATATTTCACATATTTAATTTTATTCTAATAAGCGATCATTAGATTCTTTGAAAGAGTATTCCAGCTTTAGCAACAAAACCTCTCTCTCGCTGTCTTTTTTTCTTCCTTAAAACGAGGTCAATACCTCAGAGAAGAGGACTGGATTTGTTTCTATTAAAACATATCAATTGTTTTGGCTTTAATCTTAATTCTCTCTGCCCCTGAAGATGGATAAAGCCCATTCCGCTTAAGTAAAAGGCAGAAGCCAGGTTGAATCCACGTGCTTCCCAAGCGCAAGCTGCTCTGAAGTTATTTTGAAGGGGAACTCTTCATTTCTCCATCAGTGCAGATAAAAGTAATTGATTCACAGGTCATGGATGAAAATAATAATAATAATAATAAATAATTGACAATCCCATTTTATTTGTCACATGACAAGTAGATTTGCCATTCTGTTTTTCTTAAGCTGCCCATTGATAACCAGACTCATTCTACGTTAATGCAGGGTCATGATGTCCCAGTAGTTTTACTTATGACCATCCAGACTGCCTTCCCTAATCTTGCCCTGAAGCCTCACTTTGGGCTGTGACAACGATCCCCAGTTTCCTTTCCTCTATCCTCCTTAGCCGTCCCTTTCATCCTTTCTTCTCCTTCCTGGGCTGTTTGGGCAATTTTTTCTTTCTTTTCTCCTTGGATCTTAAAGACTCCTTCAGTCTCCCTTTCAAACAAAGCAAGCCAGATTTTCTACATACCCTATTTTCCTTTAATCTTACTTGGTTTATAAGAACTTTTCCACGATTAAGTGTTTTCTATTCTTCACATAATAGGAAGAAAAGTCCAATTATAGAACTTGAAGACCAAGGTTTGCTTACATCTGAAGCATCTCAAAACCATTGCTTTACGCAGGACTTGCCCCCAGAAGCCCCGGGTTCCAATCTCAGGTCTACCACATCCTTACTCTGCAGCCCCTGACAATCCACATAACTTCTGTGAGCCTCAGTTCCCTCCTGTGTCAGAGATGACACAATTATTCACTTAATGGTCACAGGGTTGAAACCAGGTGATTTGTATGAAGGCGCCTAGCAGGGTTCTTCACACAGTGTCACTATTTAGTAAGAGTTTTGTCGTTTTCTCACTCAGTCCACCATCTACCTAACCACCATGGTGAAGCATGCTAAAGTGGTTCATGCACCATTTCCCAAAAGGAATAAATTTTGAAATGAACTTTTGGCTGAGTGCATCTGAATGAGTCCTGATCAGTACAAAATACATATTCAGTTCTTGCTATGCACGAAACACTGTTCTAAGCCCTCTTGTCTATAAAAGGAACGCTGATGTTTCCATGTTGCCATAGGAGTATTCTTTGGAAGAAGGAAGGCCGATTCTCTTTGTACAACTCTTCCTAAATCCTTTAAGACAGCAGCAGTGATGATGATATTGACCACTCCCACCATGAGCCTACATGAGGACTACTAAATGTGATTGATGCAGAGGATGCCAAATTGGAAGTCAGGACAATTCCCATTGCTATTCTGATCTTGGACAGCCTGGGTGGCAATTTGCTCTTTGCAATGACAATCCTGTTACTATTTTAATTTCTACTTTATGTGTCTTTCTCCTGCCGTCTTTCCTTTCCTTAACTCACACTCAGGATATTGTGTAAGATTTTAACGTCTAGGAGAGGCCGTTTCACCCCTACCTAAGGGGGAACATAGCGAAGTTGGGAAAAGCACTGGATTGGGGACCAAAGGGTGTGGCTCCAGCCCTGCTTTGACTTCTCTTTGTGCTAATTAGAAAGCCTTTTAACGCCATCTCTAAGGCAAGAGACATAGAATAATCTTTCAATTTCCTTCAGGTTCTGACTAGATGATTCAGATAGCTCTCTTTGGGGTAGCCTCAGTTTACAACAATTATTTGATCAAATTAAATGCTTTTATCTCATTGATTCTTACAATAGCCTTATGAAACAGGCAGCCCCATTTTGCAGATTACAAAATGCAACCTTAAGAGAGAGTAGAACCCCAAGTATTTCTTATTAGTAAAAGGAGAGACTGACTAGATGGTAAGACTCGATTCCCTTGGGGAGCATCACTGAGTTCTCAGACTGAACTCTGAGCTCTGTTCCTACCATGGTATCCCCCTCAAGGCACTTCAAATTGACGACGATGTGAAACCCAAGGTGACACGTTGGTTCTGGGTTTTGTCAGGAGAGATCTGTGGTCCAATTATAATAACCTTACATCCAGACAAACATTTGTTTTAAATATTCTGCTCGAGATTACACCATGAGTTTGTCATCTGGGGCAGAAAATAAGGGCTCTACAGTCCACATAGCCTTTTAATGTGTTCTGAAATGACATTTAAAAATAAATCAAAGCCATCCTAATATAATTATTGGTGATCATTTAAATCCTTACCTCATTAAAGTACTAAGTGCTAGAAAGGAGTATTTGAATTCTATACGTATCTAGAATTTGTGCACATTTTCACATAGTACTACTTTAGCCTTTTTCCTTGTTTTTAATGCAATGATAAATTTCACCATTTAAAAACCCTGATAGGATTACAAGATTAAATACAAAAAATATTGCATAAGACATAAACATACTAAAAAATAATTCGTGGTTTATCTGAAACTCAAACTTAAGGTGTATATGTTTATATTTATAATTTTTATTTGCTAAATTTGGCAATATGATATAAACAGAGCTTTACTTGATCAATGATAGTTACTTAGAGCTTAAGGATATTAGTTTGTTAGGTCTTTAAGCTTCAAACATAAATTACAACCAATCTTTATGAGTTTTTTGTCAATTACACCAAATATTCCTTTAGTTTTATTTATTAATTTTTTTTTTTTGAGATGTTGTCTAACTCTGTCACCCAGGCTGGAGGCCAGTGGTGCAATCTCGGCTCACTGCAACCTCCACTTCCCGGGTTCCAGTGATTCTCCTGCCTCAGCCTCTCGAGTGGCTGGGATTACAAGTGACTGCTACCACGTCCGGCTAATTTTTGTATTTTTAGTAGAGACGGAGTTTCACCATGTTGCCCAGGCTGGTCCTGAACTCCTGATCTCCAGTGATCTGCCCACTTCAGCCTCCCAAAGTGCTGGGATTACAGGCGTGAGCCCAGCCAATATTATATTAAATGTTTATGCTAAGTGACCATCCAGAGACAATCCTGATTACAAAGAACAGATCTATGTTCATTTTACTGTCATATTCCTGAGAGTCCCTGCTAAGAATAGTAATAAAAAGTACCCAAGATTTTAATGTATTTGGAGGAAGATATACTGGGTTTTGGAACCTGGCTCCACATCATACTAGTTCTGACACTTAACCTCTTGCAGCCTCAGCTTCCTCCTTCTTAAATGGGATTCATGATAGGTTAAAAATCCCTACCTCGGGCCTGGCACGGTGGCTCACGCCTGTAATCCCAGCACTTTGGGAGGGCCAGGTGGGCAGATCACGAGGTCAGGAGATCGAGACCATCCTGGCTAACACGGTGAAACCCCGTCTCTACTAAAAATACAAAAAAATTAGCCGGGCATGGTGGCGGGCGCCTGTAGTCCCAGTTACTCAGGAGGCTGAGGCAGGAGAATGGCGTGAACCCGGGAGGCGGAGCTTGCAGTGAGCCGATATCGCACCACTGCACTCCAGCCCGGGTGACAGAGCGAGACTCCGTCTCAAAAAAAAAAAAAAAAAAAAAAAAAAAAAAAAAAATCCCTACCTCAACGACTGAATCACAGTTTAGTGAGCCTCTGCCATGGTTGTACATGGTCAATCCTCCCCAAAGAATTAGTTTTTAAAGAAATAATTGAATATTATTTTTCCTTCAAAAAGTCAATATTATTAGATAATATCAATTAAGATATTATGTATTCTGAAATGACACTTAAACATCAAATATATTTTAGTCATATAATCTATTTTTAAAATTTCATTTAGCAGCTTTGAGATATTCACATACCATACAATTCACTCATATGTGATATTATTTTTATGTAAAATTTTATCTTTGAGAATAATTGAGCTTTTGAAGGCAAACCTAAGACTCTGGGAGATTCTATTTCGGTGCCAGCCTTCTAGTCTCCTGCCTCCACAATTAGCTCTGCCAGTTGACAAGCTAGAATCTGAGGCCAGATAAACTACATACAAAATATGTGTAGTTTTATTATCTGTAAATTGGCTAAAGAGACTAAATTATTCACTCTTTATTGAATACTTTCTGTATCCATAAACCTAAGTAGGAGAGTCAAAGGTGAATAAGATATTCTTGAGCAACTTTCAGCAAAGTAGATGAGAAAGATTTGTATGACACAGAAGGGATTTGGAGCACTGGGGGAATAATTTATATATTTTTCTTATTATTGAAATACAGTATTTTTTCTGTTGTACATTTTACATCGAAATCTTTATTACACACACACAAAAGATCAGTAGCACTCTCCTTTACCTTCACCTTTTGTGCTCTAGAAACTATTTTACGTACATATTTAATTTCAGGATTATATTTAAGGTCTGGTACTGGCTGTGGTGACCCCCGACCTTTCCTGCAGCACACTATGCCAACACAGGTCTTTCATTAATGTCATCCAAAATGCTTGCTGTGCCTTACCTTTAAAGGTCTATTGATTTATAGCGTGAATTCATCCGACTTTTCCATTTTGCAAATATTCTATTTTTAAACCAATTTAGTCTTTGCTGACTCATATTTTCTCCTGAAGTTAGGAGAGTGAGATGATTACTTCGCTGATAATTCCCATGGAGGCGTTCTGTGGGCCTGAAGTCTGTCTGCATTTGGCTCCTTGTTTTTGTAATGATAGCGGCTTTCAAGGGTCAGCTTTCACCATATTCCAGAGGATTTGGCCATGTATGAATTTGGTTGAACCAAAAGGATGAATTTTTCATTCCCATCTTCAGATGAACATGGACCCCATTTCTTAGGAGATCACCAAGGGCAATTCTGCCTCTATTCCTTTCTCAAAGAGCGTTTCTAGGGAAACTCAAGCTGTTCTGCCAGGTGCAGCTGCAGAGGCGTGTCTGTGAACACGGCAGCACTGAAAACTATGAAAAGCGAAGGAATCCTTCAGGGAAGAGGGGCTTTACTAGTCCCAAAGACACTCTTAAACAAACAGACAAGACAGCATATCAGAGGAGATAGAGTATTCGTGTGGTTCCTGATTGTATTTTAACCTCATTCCTGCAGGAGAGGCCTTTCTTGTCCCGTCCTCGTCCTCGGGGACCAGCCAGGTGTTGCTGTCCTAGTTTCTGGGAAGCAGCTTTATCCCCCCTTCTCTCCGGTGCAATTCACTTTGTCACCTCAGGAACTTCTTCACTTCCCACACTCTTCTCCTGCCTCCCTCTGCCAAAAGGCTCTACCTCTGCCAAAGGGCGGCGTTTAGCTCAGGGAACAGCTCCCATTATTTATACAATAGTTATGATTTAAGTCCCCAGTCTCCTGGCTGTTCCTGTTTGAAACTGTGTAACTCAAAGAACTTTTCCCATCAGTGAGTAAGTGCAGCTGGCATGTTTATCTTCCTACTCCTTAAATGAGATCATATGTACAGTAGTGCCAAGTTTTCCTACTGTGGGTCAAGCCCATATGCCAAAATAGGATATTTTTGCTGGGAAGGCCAAGAGGTCACTGCGTGGCACATCTGCTTGCTAGCTGTGGGCAGTGGCTTGAGGTTCCAAGCTGGGGAGGAGGGGAGCCCCTGTCCCTAACAGCTGCTGGACAGCACTGATTGTTTTGACCCCTGAAGCATGAGAGGAGGTCATGAATCAGTGGGCAGAGAGTATCATGAACACATTTCATGTCACTTCATGTGTTAAAAAATATTAGATCAGCAAAAGTAGTAGCATCTAATATTTGCAAAAACCGTCTGCAGTTGACTAAATGCTGTTAGAACACAGCTCAGTTTGGTGTTGCGGTGATACAGTTCATGGATAAGGCAAGCTGGCCCTGTTTAGGGATGAGGAAAGTTGGGCACAGCGAGATTATGCGATTCTCAAGCCATGGTGAGGAGAAGACCGAAGAATGTTCTCTTCCATCAGGTGGTGCTACTCCCCAAATGGTAGGGTAGAAGCAGCGTTCCTCTTCTGAAAAGAAAGAGAAGGAGGAAGAAGGAAATGAGGTTTGAGGGGGTGAAAGGAAAATATCTTAGGCCCCCAAAATCACTAAGGAAAACTCAACCCAGGAACTGCTTAGGGCAAACCTGCCTCCCATTCTATTCAAAGTCACTCCTCTGCTCTCTGAGATAGATGCATATCTGATTTGCCTCCGTTGGAAAGGCTAATCAGAAACTCAGAAGAATGCAACCACTTGTGTATCACCTGTCTGACTCACTTCCAGTCTTCTTGCTTTTGCTTCAAGTTGTCCCCCCTTTCCAGACCAAACCAATGTACTTCTTTTTTTTTTTTTTTTTTGAGACGGAGTCTCACTCTGTCACCCAGGCTGGAGTGCAATGGCATCATCTCAGCTCACTGCAACCTCCACCTCCCGAGTTCAAGCAATTCTTCCATCTCAGCCTCCCGAGTAGCTGGGATTACAGGCACCCACCATCATGCCGGGCTAAATTTTGTATTTTCGTAGAGACGGGGTTTCACCATGTTGGCCAGGCTGGTCTTGAACTCCTGACCTCAGGTGATCTGCCCGCCTTGGCTTCCCAAAGTGCTGGGATTACAGGCGTGGGCCACTGCACCTGGCCTGTACTTCTTACATATACTAACTGATGTCTCATGTCTCCCTGAATGTATAAAACCAAGCTGTGCCCTGACCACCTTGGGCAAATGTCATCAGGACTTCCTGAGGCTGTGTAAGGGGTGCGTCCTCAACCTTGACAAAATAAACTTTATAAATTAACTGAGACCTGTCTCAGATTTTCTGGGCTCACTGAAGTCCTATACTTGTGTCAGGCACTCAGTCGTGGGGAATAAGTAAGAGCTGGGAGCCACCGGGATTTAAACGAAGTATGGGCTGTTGCTGGACTCTTCTGGACACCAGTTTCCTTCTCTGTATAATGAAATTCACAATTCCCTACCAAATCACTAGGCTGTTATGAGACTGAAATAAGATCATCCCTATGAAATCACTTTAACAAATCTAAAATACCATGCCCCTGCAAGGTAATCTTATTGTATTGCATTTTAATTTTACTACCAGTATCATTCCAATTGTATAAAAATTTTGTATATACTAATATTCTCTGCCTTGTCACACAGACCCCCGGCGGCCATGCTCTAGCTCATAGGCACGAGCCCACTCCCGCAGGGAGTCAGGCGGGGTGGAGCTTCGGGGCCCCAAGTCCAGCACCCACCTGAGATCTTCACACCCTGAGCAGAGCAGTCGGGGCAACTTAACTGGGCACCAAGTGGGCAAAAATGGCGCCTTCCCCACCACATGTGCAGAAGGGTGAATTCCTGGATGTTGAGGGGTGGGGGCACAGAAACTCCCTGCCCGCTCTCCCCAGGAAGAGGGCAGGGCCCATGGGGACAAGGATTCCCACCTCTTCCCCACCACCATGGACATAAGGCCTTAGTGGACACCAAGGCCCCAGCACGACATCAGGCCCCAAACGACACTGGACTCTAGGTGGACACTGGACATCAGACACCAGGTTGATGCCAGGCCCTAGTCAAGTGGACTCCAGTCCCTGCATAAACATCAGGTCCCAGTTTGGCACATAGGCCCCAGGTGGACACCAGGCCCCTGGTGGATGCCCAGGTTAATACCAGGCCCCAGGTGGACACAAGGTCCCAGGTACATTCAGGTCCCGGGTGGAAACCAGGCCCCAGATGGACATCGGGCATCTGTATGTCAGGTCCCAGGTGGACACATAGGCCCCAAGTGGATGTCTAGTCCCCAGGTAAATACCAGGGCCAAGGTGAACAGGAGGCCCCAGGTGGACACCCTGACCCCAGAGGACCATCCAGCTCGAGGTGGACGTCAGGCCCCAAGTGGACACCAGTGTCCAGATGGACATCAGGCCCCAGGTAGACACTCGACTTGAGGTGTACACCAAGCACCAGGCTCACGCCCAGGCCCCCGATGGATACAATGAAACAACAGGTTCCATTCAGTGATATAATAAAGCACATCCCAAAGCTCCTTCACCCATATCTTCATGATAATTAACTGAGCTGGATAGTCACATGTTCATATATAGGCCTAATAACCTCAGAAATGTAATTGTTTAGATTCTACAAAACCTGTGTTTGGACTTGTTTAATGGAAACTCAGGTTCCATTCAGTGATTTAAAACAGCACATCACAAAGCTTCTTTGTACATAGCTTGGTTTTCGTTATTAGTACTGGACGTTCATATGTTGATATATAGGCCTGATAGCCCCTGAAATGTCATATCTGAGATTCTACAAAACATGTGTTTGGAACTTGCTTCATGGAAACACAGGTTCCATTCATTTATATAAAACAGCACATCAGAAAGTTTCTCCTCACATAGCTTGTTTTTCATTATTAGGGCTGAAAATCTATGTAGGTACAATAGTCTCTGAAATCTCATTTCCTTTTTTTTTTTTTTGAGACAGAGTTTCCCACTTGTTGCCCAGGCTGGAGGGCAGTGGCGTGATCTCGGCTCGCTGCAACCTCCGCCTCCCGGGTTCAAGTGATTCTCCTGCCTCAGCCTCCCAAGTAGTTGGGATTACAGGCATGCGCCACCATGCCCGGCTAATTTTGTATTTTTAGTAGAGCCGGGGTTTTTCCATGTTAGCCAGGCTGCTCTCGAACTCCCGACCTCAGGTGATCTGCCCGCTTTGGCCTCCCAAAGTTCTGGGATTATAGGCGTGAGCCACCATGCCCGGCCTGAAATCTCCTTTCTTAGATTCTCCAAAACATATGTTTGGAAATTGTATAATGGAGATTCCAGTTGCATTCAGTGATATAATAAAGCACATCAGAAAGCTTCTTCACACATAGCTTGTTTCTAGTTATTAGTAGTGGATATGTGTATATTCATATATAAACCCAATAACCTCTGAAATGTCATTTTTGTAGATTCTACAAAACATGTTTGAAACTTGTTTCATAAAAACACAGGTTCCATTCAGTGATATAAAACAGCACATCACAAAGCTGTTTTTAGTTATTAGGGATGGATACTCGTATATTCATATATAGGATAATATCCTCTGAAATGTCATTGCTTAGGTTCTAAAAAATGAGTGCTTGTAACTTGTTTAACAAAAACACTGGTTCTTCTCATTCATATGAAATAGTACATCCCAAAGCTCAAAGCTTCTTCACACATAGCTTGCTTTTAGTTATTAAGGCTCCGTATTTTTATATATAGGCCTAATAGTTTATATATAGGCCTAATAGCTTCTGAAATCTCATTAATTAGATTCCACAAAATGTGTGTTTGGAACTTGTTTAATGAAAACTCACGTCCCATTCAGCGATATAATAAAGCACATCACAAATGTTCTTTGCACATAGCTGTTTCTAGTTATTAGGGCTGGATATTAGTAGGTTCATATAGAGGCCTAATAATCTCTGCAATGTCATTACTTAGATTCTACAATACGTCCTTTTGGAACTTGTTTAACAGAAATGCTTGTTCCATTCAGTGATATAAAACAGTGCATCCTAAAGCTTCTTCGCACATAGATTGTTTTTTGTTATTAGTGATAGATAGTTGTATATTCATACATAGGCCTAATAGCCTATGGAATGTCATTCCTTAGGTTCTAAAAAATGTGTGTTTGGAACTAGTTTAATAAAAACACAGGTTCCATTCAGTGATGTGAGACAGCACATCACAAAGCTTCTTCACAGATTGTTTCTAGTTATTAGGGATGGATATTCGTATATTCATATATAGACCTAATAGCCTCTGAAATGTCATTCCCTGGGTTCTAAAGAACGTCTGCTTGGAAGTTGTTTAATAAAAACACAGGTTCCATTCATTGATATAAAACAGCAAATCACAAAGCTTCTGCTCACATAGCTTGTTTTTAGTTATTAAGGCTGGATTTTCATATGTTTATATATAGGCCTGATTGCCTCTGAAATCTCATTAAATAGGTTCTACAAAACGTGTTTTTACAACTTGTTTAATGGAAACTCACATTTCATTCAGTGATATAATAAAGCACATCACAAATGTTCTTCGCACATAGCTTTTTTCCAGTTAATAGGTCTGGATATTCATATGTTCATATATAGGCCTAACAATGTCTGAAATGTCATTGGTTAGATTCTACAAAACATGTTTCTAGTATGTGTTTAACAGAAACACAGGTTTCTTTCAGTTATATGAAACACCAAAGGCTGAGGCAGGAGAATGGCGTGAACCCAGGAGGCAGAGCTTGCAGTGAGCCGAGATCGTGCCACTGCACTCCAGCCTGGGCGACAGAGTGAGACTCCGTCTCAAAAAAAAAAAAAAGAAACACCACATCACAAAGCATCTTTGCACACAGACTGTTTTAGTTATTAGAGATGGATATTCAAATATTCACATAAGACCTAATAGCCTCTGGAATGTCATTCCTTAGGTTTTATAAAACGTGTGTTTGGAACTTGTTTAATAAAAACACAGGTTCCATTCATTCAGTGATCTGAAATACCACATAACAAAGCTTCTTCATGCACAGATTGTTTTTAGTTATTAAGGATGAATATTTGTATATTCACATGTGGGCCTAACAGCCTCTGAAATGTCATTCCTTAGGTTGTATAAAACGATAAAATGTGTGTTTGGAACTTCTTTAATAAAAACACAGGTTACATTCAGTGATATAATAAAGCACATCACAAAGCTTCTTCTCACATGGCTTGTTTTTAGTTATTGGGCTGAATTTTCATGTTTATATATAGGCCTCTGAAATCTCATTTGTTAGATTCTATAAAATGTGTTAGGAACTTGTTTAATGAAAAGTTACGTTCCATTCAACAATATAATAAGGTACATCACAAAGCTCCTTTGCACATAACTTTTTTCTAGTTAGTAGCATGTTCATATATAGGCCTAATAACCTCTCAAACGTTGTTACTTAGATACTTAGATAATACACCATAGGTGGACGCCCAGGCCGTAGGTAAATACTAGGCCCCAGGTGGAAACCAGGCCCCAGATGGATATCAGGCATCTCGGTGCATGTCTGTTCCCAAGTTGACACATGGGCCCCCGTTGAACACCAGGCCCCACTTAAACTTCAGGCCTCAAGTGGATGTCCAGGCCCCAGGTAAATACCAGGGCCACAGTGGACAGGAAGCCCCAGGTAGACTACAGGCCCCAGGTGGATGCCTAGGCCCCTGGTGAACACCACGCTCCAGGTAGATACCCTGACCCCAGGGCAACATCCAGTTCCCAGTGGACATCAGGCCGCAGGTGGATGCCCAGTTCCCATGTGGACATCAGTCCCCAGGTCAACATCAGGCCCCAGGTGGACACTGGACTTAAGATGTATATCAGGCACCAGGCTCACATCCGTGCCACAGCAGGACACAATGTCACAGGTGGACAGCCATCCCACAGAGGATACCGAGGACTCAGACGGACGTTCAGGCTCAAGGGGAACATAAGACACTATGTAGGCAACAGGCCTGGGTGCATATCAGACCCCAGGTAAATACTCAGGTTCCAGGAGTACAATAGGCTTGAGGTGGATACCCAGGTCCCTGGTAGATACCCAGTCCCCAGCTGAATGTCAATCCTCATGGGACGGCACACTCCACAGGGAAACTAGGTGCCAAGTAAATGCCTAAACCCCTGGTGAATATCAAGCCCCAGGGGTATACCTAGACCAGAGCTGGACATCTGGCCCCAGCTGGACATCCAGGACCCAGGTGGATATCTACACCTCAGGTTGACATCAGGCCCCTGGAGAACACCAGGTTTCAAATGACCACCAGGCCTCAGGTGGCTATGGAAGCCACAGGTGGATATCAGGTACCACGCTCACACCCAGGGCCCAGGCGGACACAAGGCCCCAGAGGAACAACAGGCCCAAGGTGGACAAAGGCCCTAGGTGCACACCAGGTCCTAGGTGGATACCCACACTTTAGGTGGACACCAGGCCCCAGGCAGACACCAGGTGCCAGGAGGATACCCAGGACTCTGGTGGACATTAGGCTCCTGGTGGACACCAACACCCAAGTGGATGTCAGGCCCCAAGTGGGCACTGAGGCCCCAGGTAAATACCCAGGTCCCTGGTCAAAAACAGGTCCCTGATGGACAATCCGGCCCCAGGTGGACATGAGGCCTCAAGTGGACACTTGACTCCAAATGTCTTGGGTGGACACCACTCCCCAGGTGGATACCTGGGCTCCTGATGAACATCAGGCCTCAGGTTCAATCTAGGTCCCATGTGAACATCCAGGCCCAGGAAGTCCTCAGGCACCGGGAAACACTCAAGCCCCAGGTGGACATCCAGTTCCCGACTGACACCAAGGCCTCAGGTGGACACTAGGCACTAGGAGAACTTCAGGGCCCAGCTGAAATCAAGCCCTGGGTGAATACCCAGGCCCTAGCTAAATACCAGGCCCCAGATTTACATTGGGCCACAGGTGGACATTAGGCCCAAGGTACACACTGGATTCTAGGTAGACTTTAGTCCCCAGATTTACATTGGGCCACAGGTGGACATTAGGCCCAAGGTAGACACTGGATTCTAGGTAGACTTTAGTGCCCAGATTTACATTGGGCCACCGGTGGACATTAGGCCCAAGGTAGACACTGGATTCTAGGTAGACTTTAGTCCCCAGGTTCACAGTCACACCTCAGGAAAATACCAGGCCAGGCCCCAGTTGACTGTCAGACCCCATCTAGACACCAGTCCCCACATAGATAATCTATGCCCCATCTGGACATCAGGTTCCAGGTAAACACCAAGTCCAAGATGAAGAGCAGGCCCCAGTTGGGTATCTAATCCATAGGTGGACATGGGGCACCAGATTGACACACAGGCCCAACGTGGATACCCACACCACAGGTGGACATGAGGCCCCAGGTACATACCCAGTCCCCCGGTGACTATCGGGCCCTAGGTGAACACCAGGTCCCAGATGAACATCAGGACCCAAATGGATACCTAGGTCCCTGGGGAACATCAGGCTCCAGGTGGACACCAAGGACCCATGTGGGCAGCTAGGCCCAGAGTGACATCAGGTTCCATGGGGACACCCAGTCTCCAGGTGGATACTGCGTCCCTAGGGGTACACACCAGTCCTCAGTGACCGAATGGTCACATATTCTCTGGCCAAATGCAATAAAATCACCTCCCCAAAGAATATATATTCTTTAAAACTGAAAACTACATTTCTCAATCATTCTGAAGATAAGGAACTCGCAACAGAATGCTGAACACACACAGAAACGATGAAACTCCCACAACCAACACGAGTGCAATGCTGCTCAACTAGTCCGAGAGCAAGACCCACCACAGGCTTTGCATAGAAGACGCACAGATTCGAATGGAAGAAAATGTGGGACCCGAAATTGCAATATAAGAAAAGAGAAAAAGGCAACCACGCACACCAAGAAATCCAAGAAGTAAAGGGTGACATGGAGACATAACACGCCCGGTTTCCCAAGAAACATTAGGAACCACATTGCGAAATGAAATGGCAGGCCCCATCAAGCCCTGTTGAGACTCTGAACTGCAGGCCTCTCCTAGACGGCCTCTAGGCCTACAAATTGCTAAGGCCACCCTTAACACGTCCTACCCACCTTGTAGAAATTCCCCACCACTAGGAAAAGACACTAAAACCCATGTTGGTCCCGAGCTTACCCTGCCAGAGCTTACCTTGCCGAAGCTTCCCGCAGTCCCTGGGTGCCACTAGCTGGCTCTGTGGCTTCCTTGGAGGGCCTGTGGCCTAGGCCCGGTCCCCTCTCTCAGCTCCCGTGCCTGTCCGCCCATGACCCCAGAGGGACGGGCCCCTGGTTCCCTGGCGGAGCTGCCCTGTCGGCTCACACAGGCGCCGGACGGCCGCGCTCTTGCTCCCAGGCACCAGCCCACTCCCACGGGCAGTCGATTGTGGCACTCTCTGGGGCCCCAAGTCCTGCACCTGCCCCAGATCTTCATGCCCTGAGCAGAGAAGCGAGAACATCTTACTCAGCACCAACTGGGCCAAAATGGCGCCTTCCGCACCACGTGTGCAAGAGGGCAAGTTTCCCGTGGTGGGGGAGGGGGCACAGAAACTCCCCACCTACTCTCCTAGGAAGAGGGCGGCGCCCATGGAGACAAACCCATGGGCACCTTGATAGTCACAAATGCAATGCTAGATCAAAAAATGATATTCTGGTCAGGCACCCTGGCTCAGGTCTCTAACCTCAGCACTTTGGGAGGCTGAGGCAGGGGGATCACTTGAGGTCAGGAGTTTGAGACCACCCTGGCCAACATGGTGAATCCCCTCTCTACTAAAAATACAAAAATTAGCTGGGCTTGGTGGCAGGTGCCTGTAAGCCCAACTACTCAGACAGCTGAGGCAGGCAAATCACTAGAACCCAGGAGGCGGAAGTTGCAGTGAGCAGAGATCAGCCACTGCCCTCCAGCTGGAGAGACAGAGCAAGACTCCATGTAAGGTAAAAAAAAGAAATGGGTGCTATACTGAAGCACTCAAATGTGGAAACATCAGATGAGAATTTATATACAAGGGAAACAAACATATATGTCTAAAAATCTTGTATAATGTTAAGCATATAATTATTAAGGAACAAAAAGCACTTCTGTAGTTGAAAACAGTAAAAATTAAGTTGAACTAAATGTATATTACTATTTCATTACAAGCAGAGATAGTCTTTGTATTATATTTAAATGAAGGTATTATCCATATGAAAGATAAATATAAATTAGAGCCTGTTCCCCAATTTCTGCTTTTCTCTTAGGTTGTTTCTTTTTTTATTTTCAAGAGTTCTTTCTATATTCTGAACACAAAACTTTTGCTGATTGCTGTGTGGCAAATATCTTCTATTTTATATAGCTTGCCTTAGGTGAGCAGAAATTCTTAATTTTAATGTAACTTGAATTTTTTTTTTTTTTTTTTTGAGACAGAATCTTACTCCCAGGCTGGAGTGCAATGATGCAGTCTAAGCTCATTGCAGACTGCCTCCTGGGCTCAAGTGATCCTCCCACCTCAGCCTCCCTAGTAACTGTGACTACAAGTGCGTGCCACCATGCCTGGCTAATTTTTGTATTTTTTGTAGAGATGGGGTTTTGCTGTGTTGCCCAGGTTGGTCTCAAACTCCTGAGCTCAGGGGTTCCGCCTGCCTCAGTGTTCCAAAGTGCTGGGATTACAGGTGTGAGCCACCGCACCCGGCCTTGTAGTTTGATTTTAACAATCCTTTCCTTGAGGGTTACTGCTTTCTATTTGTTTTTAAAGGAATTCTTATTTACCCTGAAGCCATAAAGATATTGTGTTCCACTTCCTTCTAAAATTTTTAAGGTTTGATTTTCTCACTTATGTGCTTAATCATCTAGAATTGATACTTGTGCACAGTATGGGGTTCAGATAAATTTTCGTGCTTGTTTCCATATAGTTAACCACTTGCCCCAGTAACATTTTTGGAATGGCCCAGCTTTCCCCCACTAAACCCTGCTGATACCTCTCTCATGTATCAGGTTCTCATTAATGCAAGGGTCTGTCTCTGAGCCTTTTACTCTCTTTGATTGTTCCCATGCGAATGCCACATAATTATTATGGTTTCATGTTAAAGCTTAATATCTTCTAGAGCAAGTCTTCCCTCTTCTTCTTAAGTAGTGTCTTTGGTTATTGTGTTTTTATTCTGCAAGGTTGCTGGGGTTTTGATTCAAATTGCTTTGAATTACAAGATCAATTTGAGGAGAGTTGACATTTCAATGATATTTAATTTTCTGGTTCATCATGTACATAACTCCATTTTTAAAGGGTCTTTTTAATGTCTTTCATTAAAGTTCATAGATTTTCTTCTTAAAATTCCTATGTAAGTTCTTTCATTATAATTATTCCAAGGTAACATTTTTTTCTTGCTTGATAAATGTCTATCATTAACACATACTTTTCTCTTAAACTCTTGCTGGTATGTAGAAATGCAATTTAACTTATATCAGTAATCTTGAAAAAATCTATTATTAACATTGTCAGTTTGTATGAATTTTTTTGAATACTCTATCCATGAATAGTGATGGTTTTGTTCCCCTCTTCCTTCCCCTCCTCCCTGTTCCTCTTTGTTTTTTCTGTCTTGTTCTGGCTGCCCCCTCCAAAACATGCTGAGTAAAAATAGAGATCAAGAAATATCCTTATCACTGCTAAGCATGAGATTTGCCATTTAATTTGCCCTTTAAAAAAGTTCCCTTCTACTTTTTTTTTTTTTTTAAGATGGAGTTTCTTGTTGCCCAGGCTGGAGTGCAATGGCGCGATCTTGGCTCACTGCAACCTCTGCCTCCCGGGCTCAAGCAATTCCCTTGCCTCAGCCTCCCGAGTAGCTGGGACTACAGACATGCGCCACCACGCCCAGCTAATTTTGTATTTTTAGTAGAGACGGGGTTTCACCAAGTTGGTCAGGCTGGCCTCGAACTCCTGGGCCTAAGTGATCTGGCCTCTGTGGCCTCCCAAAGTGCTAGGATTACAGGCGTGAACCACGGTGCCCGGTTGACTTTTTTTCTTTTACCTTAATCAATCTTCCACAAGTTTGCCAATTTTAGTAGTGTTTTTAAGGAATTAACTTTTATTTTTGCTGATAGTCCCCATTGTATCTTTGTTTTCTCTTTCATTAATTCTGCTCTCATCTTTATTTCCTATTTTCTTTGGGTTTATCCCCAAGACATTTTTTCATGAATTCCTTTTTTGAGATGGAGTCGGCTCTGTCCCCCAGGCTGGAGTGCAGTGGCGTGATCTTGGCTCACTGCAACCTCCGCCTAGTGGGTTCAAGTGATTCTCCTGCCTCAGCCTCCCAAGTAGCTGGGATTACAGGCACACACCACCATGCCCGGCTAATTTTTTGTATTTTTTAGTAGAGACAGGGTTTCACCATGTTTGCCAGGCTGGTCACGAACTCCTGACCTCAGGTGACCTAACAGCCTCAGCCCCCCAGAGTGCTAGGATTACAGACGTGAGCCACCACGCCCGGCCTTTTTCCTAAATTCTTAAAATGGATACTTAACTCATTAATTTTTAGCTTTCCTTCCTTCTGGATGAAATCATTAAAGGATATACATTTTCTCATAAATTTACTGATCTCCATTTTTAATAACAAAGAGCAGGTTAAAGACTTAGTGTTTTCAGCAGGCACTTCGATCAGCATTTAATGAGTCATTTTGTATTCATTTTATTTATCTTTAAAGTTATTCTCTATTTGTGGTACTGGGTTTCCATTTATAGTAGATGGAAAGTTTCTTTTCATAATACATTTATTTAATTAAAATATTTTGGGAAAAATAAATATTAAGTAAAGAATAAATAGATGGTGCACAAGTAGGCCAAAGATCACCAAAGTAGTATGTTGTAGCTCAAAAATGAAAAACAAATTATGAGAGTGATTCATCAAGGGCTGTATTTTGAGAAAAGAATGATCTGGGTAACGGCTGCCTTATCACCTTCACATGTATTGGCTCACAGCATACATAATGATTCAATCATGGTAGGTAATTTCTGACAATTATGGAGAGTATGGCAATTTCCAGGGAGATGAACATGTGTAAACGTTCTAAGTTTCCAGGAAAGGAACAATAGTGTTTGGAATTCTAAATTGTGAGTTAGATGTTAATGGCAGAAGTAGTATTAAAATTAAAAGACTGGGCTGGGTGCAGTGGCTCACACCTGTACTCCCAGCACTTTGGGAAGGCTGAGGTGGGTGGATCACCTGAGGTGAGAAGTTCGAGAGCAGCCTGGCTAACATAGTGAAACCCTGTCTCTACTAAAAATACAAAAATTAGCCAGGCATAGTGGTGCATGCCTGTAGTCCCAGCTACTCGGGAGGCTGAGGTAGGAGAATTGCTTGAACCTGGGAGGCGGAAGTTGCAGTGAGCCAAGATAGTGCCACTGCACTCCAGCCTAGGCAACAGAGCGAGACTCCATCTCAAAAAATAAAAAAAAGAAAAGAAAAATAAAAATGAAATTAAAGACTGGATTATTTGAAAGAGATTGCATTCAGAAGGTGTGAGATGAGGACACAGTGATCTCTGAGACCTAGCATGTGTGTATCAAGGACAAGTCATGTCATGTTTAACCCACTTCCCCCTTATTAATGGATGAGACTATCGGACTGGCCAAGCAGTGTAAGTCAGAAGGAAGACTGCAGCTTGGATTAGTAATACATTGGGCAGAATCATCCTATTCTGTTAGAAATGACAGGAATAAATGTGATTGATAACAGTATATTTATAATGGCTAAGAGAGTTACTGAGGAAATATTATCCAAAGATTGATTTTTGTAATAAATGTATCATTGCCCATGGGGAGTAAAATTTAATAATTTGCCACAGAGCTCTATGCTGTTTAGCAGTGTTATCAAACACGCCTGGTGATATGAAGTTAATTAATATTCTACATTACAGAACATGTATTCTTAAAGATATCCACAAACTGGAATTAGAGATTCAGTGAGGTCGACAAGCATGAATGTGCAGTGTTCCACTGAGATCAATACTGCTCTGATTGCCTTCTGATGTTCCTACAGAGGCCGAGCACTAGTGGCAGATAGCCCTGGAGGTCCTGCTTCCAGTGTAACTAATTCCAGATTTCCCTTGAGTTCTGATCTATCATATAAAACCTGCATGTTTTATATTCATATAAACGTGTTTATATTCATACTTTTTTTTCTTTTTGAGACGGAGTCTGGCTCTGTCACCCAGGCGAGAGTGCAGTGGTGCGATCTCTGCTCACTGTAGGCTCCGCCTTCCGGGTTCACACCATTCTCCTGCCTCAGCCTCCTGAGTAGCTGGGACTACAGGTGCCCGCCACCACGCCCGGCTAACTTTTTGTATTTTTAGTAGAGACGGGGTTTCACTGTGTTAGCCAGGATGGTCTGGATCTCCTGACCTCGTGATCCTCCTGCCTCGGCCTCCCAACGTGCTGGGATTACAGGCGTGAGCCACTGTGCACGGCCCCAAGTCCTATATTTTACAGATAAAGAAATTGATCCTAATCCTTTACTTTATTATACATGACCTCTTTTAATTTTAAACATTTCAAACTGGAGTCCAATTTTAAGTCTATTATCATACAAAAGGTTTCCATCCTCTTGCTAATATAGTTCCTTAATTTAATTTTAGTTCTTAAATCCTAAATTTACATATATAGTTTTCTACTTCTTAGCATGGCAATCAAAATTTCATGAATTATTCATGAAAGAATAATAAGATTTTGCATTGATATGTTTGAATTAATCTCACTCATGATGCCTAGTAATATTTTTAATTATAGCAAGTTACTGGGAAAGTGTTTTCAGAAAAGCATTTACAGTGAATATGGAGCTCTTTTCCTGGGTTTTCATGAACATCCAAGAACTGATAATGTAATCAGTATAGCTTAGGTTGTTATTCCTACATTCCTTTTTTTCCCCACAATGAAACATTGTTGCATAGCAAACGCAGAATAAGAAGTCCGGAGCTGGTCTTTCTGTTTCCAGTCCATCCCCTCCTGGTTGGATGGGCTGAAACAAGTAACTGACCTTCCTGTGCATCAAGTTTAACATATCAGCATCTCTACCTTTCTTGTTCTGTCTACTTGAAATTTAGTATGATAATGTCTAAGAGAACATCTTGAAAATTATGAAGTATTTTAGAACAATGAATGGGCAGAAAGTGCAGTCTCATGTGTCCCTCCACTTACCATTGTTTATAAAGTTTGCCGGCCGGGCGCAGTGGCTCATGCCTGTAATCCCAGCACTTTGGGAGGCTAGGGCAGGCGCATCACCTGAGATTGAGAGTTCAAGACCAGCCTGACCAATGTGGAGAAATCCCATCCTCTACTAGAAATACAAAATTAGCTGGGCGTGGTGGTGCTTGCTTGTAATCCCAGCTACTCAGGAGGCTGAGGCTGGAGGATCGATTGAACCCGGGAGGAAGAGGTTGCAGTTAGCTGAGATTGTGCCATTGCACTCCAGCCTAGGCAAAAAGAGCGAAACTCCTTCTCAAAAAACAAAAAAAAAGTTTCTCATTTTTCACTGAGGCTTCCTTGGGTTAGCCCAGATTGTGCCCAGCACCCTAAAAAATAAAAATTAAAAAGAAAGTTTGTCATTTTTTTCTTCTATTTATTTCTTAAAATGTTAGACTATTACAGGCACCAATAGTTACAAGGAATATTACTAGTAAAATAAAGCCTTTCTGATAACACATTTACCCTTCCTTTTCTAAGGTAAATATTTTGCTTTCAAACATGAGTTATTATTGTACACATAAAGTTGTAGGTTTGGGTCGGGTGCAGTGGCTCACACCTGTAATCCCAGCAGTTTGGGAGCTCGAGAGGCAGGGAGATCACTTGAGGTCAAAAGTTCAAGACCAGCCTGGCCAACAGGGCAAAACCCCATCTCCACTAAAAATACAAAAACTAGCTGAGTGTGAGGGCAGGCGCCTGTAATCCCAGCTACTCAGGAGGCTGAGGCAGAAGAATCACTTGAACTCGGGAGGTAGATGTTGCAGTGAGCCAAGATCATGCCACTTCACTCCAGCCTGGACAATAGAGGGAGGCTCTGTCTCAGAGAAAAAAAAAAAAAAAAAAAAGGGTTTGGATTTAAAGGGTGTCGTTCCTGAAAAAAGGCACATCACATGTGAGTGAAGCACATACTGCCACTTGGAAGAAGTCAGAGAAATAGAGGGAACATGAAACTAAGTGGTTAAGTAGATGTACTTCTAATTTTATTTTTTTTGAGACAGAATCTGGCTCTGTTGCCCAGGCGCGGGGAGTGCAGTGGCGCGATCTTGGCTCACTGCAAGCTCCACCTCCCGGGTTCACGCCATTCTCCTGCCTCAGCCTCCCAAGTAGCTGGGACTACAGGCGCCCGCCACCACGCCCGGCTAATTTTTTGTATTTTTAGTAGAGACGGGGTTTCACCGTATTAGCCAGGATGGTCTCAATCTCCTGACCTTGTGACCTGCGCGCCTCTGCCTCCCAAAGTGTTGGGATTACAGGCGTGAGCCACCGCGCCCGGCCGATGTACTTTTAATTTCTGTAGCTGCACATGTGCGTTTGTTGGTTGCCTGTCTTGTGAGGCCAGAAACGAATGCCATGCTCTTTGGCAGAGCTGTAGTGCCACTAGCAGAGTATAATTAGAAAGTCACTGGAGCTGAGTACCATGGCCCTCTTCAATGAGGAATTGCATTTTCAGTGCATTGACTTCAAGTGCTTTTCCTTAACCCTTTCTTTACCCTTCCTTGATTTTTCTTCCAGGATCACAGAAGTGAGGCCAAGATGCCCATGTCACCAGAGCCAGAAGAAAGGCTCCTACCAAAGAATATTTTACATCTGCTGAGATGAGGGTGAGAAACAAAATCCAAGAATTTCTGCGACGTTTTCCCCAAGAACCTTCAAAAAGAAATACAGAAAATTCTCAGATGAAAATAAATTGATTTTGCTCTGGGGGAAAGCCAAAAACCTTTAGCGAATCCACACTGTTTTATCCTGAGAACTTCCATGGGTCGCTGGATCAGCAGGCAACCATTATCAGACTGGAGAGTCATACTTTAAGGAATACAAATGCAACACACGACAATGTTTCCTGACATCAGATGATGAATGGACACTGAAGGGAAAAACAGGCTTTTTTTCCACCTGGCAGGAAGAGCTGAACTTGGAGTACACATTTAAAGGAAGCACAGAGGGAAGACTTAAACAGAAGAAAGAAGCGTACTTTCATGGTTTTCACAAACAAATATCCCAGGAGAAGTGATCATGGAGACCAAGGAGAACAGGTAAATGAGTTAATGTTTTAAATGACAATAATTTGCATTGGGATTTTAAGACTTGTTGGATTTTCCCAAATGAAACATAGGCAAAAACAAATGAAAGCACTCGAGAGGTAAAAGTGAACTAACCATCCATATCTCAGTTCTAACTGAAATTGTATATGTAATTTTTCAAGCCAAGGGTTAAAAATAATTTCTTTGACTTTGCCCAGATAGTTTTGCATTTTGTTTATACTGGTGAGGCTATTGCAATGGAGAGCTAACTAGATGTAGCCCATTTTCTCCTTCATAAAATGTATCTATGAGTGCCTCTCACTGCCATATGATTGTTTGGAAAATATAAAATAAACAACTGTGAAATACTTAGAATTGTATTGAATAACCTGAGGAGAGAGGGAGAGGGGAGAGAGAAAGAGAACTCCACTTTTCCCTTTATAAATTATGACAAAATATAATGCTTGCTCTTTTTCTCAAATTTAGTTGCTATCTTATAAGAATATATGCTTATTTTACAAGCTTGAGGATTTGTGCAAAAAAAAAGTATGTATATTTATATAATTATTCCTTAAATTTCTGTATGTGCTTCTTTTTTTCTTAAGCATAACAAAATACTCTTTCATTAATTCTGAATGCTGTATTTCGATATTACATTCAATAATTGAAATTTTAGTGCCATAGAGATCAGGGAATTCTTCACATCTTGTAACCTAAAGATATCAACAAATAAAACGTCTTGATATTTGGCTTTCCAAAGCAAAACATTGAAAAGAACTCACTGTATTGCTCTTTACCTTTTGAAAATTGTTACCCATTAGACAGTGGAACTAAGTGATACTTTTTCAGTAGTGTTGCCTCTTAGTTTCAGGATTCATTTTGTGACTGGTTGTTATTTAAGTGTGTGAATGGACAAGAGTATTGAGACGACTTTATGGGTTTGATTTTTATTAAATGATTGAAATATTTCATTGTTTTCCATATTTCTAGTATTATGAGAAGTCATGTGAGATTAATTTCCACACCATTACTGATGCTAAATTATTTAAACATGAGAGAAGTCTACTTACCTATCATCATACATGTTATCTTGCAGTATTTCTGTACATTTTTTTAAACCTTCTAAAATGCTTCCATATTAATGCATTCCCTCCTAGTTTTGGAACCAGACTTTTTTTCAAATCAAAGGTGAACCCATTTTCCTTTAACTTTCCAGCTGACTTCTTTGTATTGGTAATTTCGTCTATACATCCATTTTAAAGAGCAGTGACTATGTAGAATCATTGACGCTGACACTAACTATAAATGTTTAATAATTAGGATTGATTTGATGCATCTAAAACCAGCAGGTTATGCTGTCTTTGTATTCAAAATGCAATAAATTCCATTCATAGCTAGAAAAAATATGAATTAACTTTGCGTGTATTTTTGCAGAGATTTACATTATATAGGCTTTACGTACCAAATTACTTAAAGCTAAAATGTTAGTGACTAGATATAGCCACATTTATGAACACACAGAGTAGATGTTTTGAGAGTCAAAACATCAGTCTTTTTTAAAAAAATACACTTTTATCAAACCAGGCTGGTTTATATAAAACCAGCCAGGTGCGGTGGCTCACACCTGTAATCCCAGCACTTTGGGAGGCTGAGGTCAGGAGTTCCAGACTAGCCTGACCAACATGGCAAAACCCCGTCTTTACTAAAAACGCAAAATTAGCTGGGCATGGTGGAGCAATCCCAGCTACTCGGGAGGCTGAGGCAGTAGAATCGCTTGAACCCAGGAGGCGGAGGTTGCAGTGAGCCAAGATCGTGCCATTGCACCAGCCTGGACAACAAGAGTGAAACACCATGTTTAAAAAAAAAAAAAAAAAAAACGGCCAGCGCGGTGGCTCACCCCTGTAATCCCAGCACTTTGGGAGGCCGAGGCGGGCGGATCATGAGGTCAGGAGATCGAAACCATCCTGGCTAACACAGTGAAACCTTGTCTCTACTAAAATACTAAAAACTAGCTGGGCGTGGTGGTGGGCACCTGTAGTCCCAGCTACTAGGGAGGCTGAGGCAGGAGAATGGTGTGAAGCTGGGAGGCGGAGCTTGCAATCAGTGAGCCGAAATCGCACCACTGCACTCCAGCCTGGGCCACACAGGAAGACTCCGTCTCAAAAAAAAAAAAAAAAAAAAAAAAAAAAAAGTAAAACTTGTTTTATTAAGACCATAAATATGCCTAGTCTCATTATTCTGGGGAAAAACAATTCTTTTTTATTTTTTTTGAGACGGAGTCTTGCTCTGTCGCCCAGGCTGGAGTGCAGTGGCGCAATCTCGGCTCACTGCAAGCTGCGCCTCCCGAGTTCATGCCATTCTCCTGCCTCAGCCTCCCGAGCTGGGACTACAGGTGCCCACCACCACGCCCGGCTAATTTTTTGTATTTTTAGTAGAGATGGGGTTTCACCGTGTTAGCCAGGATGGTCTCGATTTCCTGACCTCGTGATCCACCCGCCTCGGCCTCCCGAAGTGCTGGGATTCCAGGCGTGAGCCACTGTGCCAGGCCAAAAAGAAAATTGTTAAAGAGGATCCACTCTAGGCTTCTGGAGCTCTGGTGTCCATAGTTGTGTGTGAGGGTGGTGGGGGCATGCTCAGAGTCACAGCATTAACACACAGGGCCTTCTCAGGCCCTGGCTTTATGGAAATATTGTGGGAAAAGCAGTTAAATTATCTATCTAATAAGGCATGTAGAACGTGATGTACACAATGAAATGAAAGCAGATATAGTATTAAATATATTCATCTGAAGTTTCAAGCTAAACGTTGCAACATAACGAATCTCATTTGTTGAAAGCTGCTTTGGGACTGGCTCCTTCTCCATTGCTTTCAGGAAGATGTTGGAGCCTCAGAATATGTTAGTGCAAAAGGCAGATTCCAGAGGTGGGCCAGATTTGGGGAAACTGCCCCAAGGGTCCTGAGGAAACAGCTCTAGTTACAGTGTGCGTAAGAGCAGGGCATACTTGGGCTTAATTCAGACGAGTGGAAATGTCTAGGAATCCTCTCTTATGTTGGGGGGCGGGGGCTTCATTTGATGAATGTGACAACTGAAGTCACATGACTTGCTCAAAATCATATTCTGACAC